>NC_000006.12:141320790-142570790 GCF_000001405.40 Homo sapiens | reverse complement strand
ATTTGAAAACACAATAGAAAGCCATCTCTTGGGAAAGGTTCATCAATAGAACTGTTTGTGGTCAAGAGAATGAATTAGGTAATCACTCAGGAACTCATCCATCCTCCAAGTTTTTCAAACTTTCCTCCTTGCTATAACTTACCAATTGACTTGTCCCCTCTCATAATACCAACCTGGTGAGCTCCAAGCACACAGAACACCATGTGACTTTGCCTGGGAGCTCTGTGGAAAGTGCTGTTTGTTTAAACTGATTGACATCATTTCCTGGAGAATTCAAGGAGTCAAAGTTAAAAAAAATTCTCTAACACTTTCAAAATGAGCAAAATTTTTCACATCATTCTTTGCTTTGGGATTTGCACTGCTAAGACAGCTGCAATAGCAACAGAAATTTAAACCCCAACAAACCACAAAGCTAAATAACAGCTTTCTACTTTTCAAAACTCAGGGGAAAACTATGCACAAGTCACAACTTGTCATGTGCTTCAGTAACTGGAATGTAGTGAGGTGAACTTCAGGTAAGCATCCCACTGAAACAAGGCCAGACTGTGGGCTTCCATGAACATACAGTTTCAAGGAATATCAGTGGGACTGACAACATTTATTGTAATGCAGTTTGCTTCCATTGATCTTCATACTGGCTAAAATCAGAAACCTGGAAAAATAGGTTTTGTATTTCAAGAGGTCTTACAATTTCCTTGAAAAGAGTTTTTTTTTCTAGCTTTATTTGTCATCTATCTCTTCTATGAGACTCTAAACTTGCAAACTGCCAATCCTGCCTGAGAGTAGGTGTTTCTGGGGAGGGTGAACTGAGAAAGGCATGGATGTGGTTTGGGAAAAGAGGGATGTGAATTTCACAACAGCAAAATGACTGTCTAAACCCACTTCAGAGAGAAGGAAATGGCTTAGTGACAAACATCTCAGGTGTGGGAAGTGAACTGAAATGGCTTTGATTCCGTAGTGTGAAAAGAACAAAAGAGTTCTTTGCTTATCATTCAGCTGCCTCAGACTCCTCCACCCTTTCCCTCTTCCTGCCTCCCTCTCATGTTCTGTAAGCTCAGTCCTTTGGAAAGTAAAATCTTGCTGCTCCAGCATTTAATGTTATGCCATTGCTCAGCAATGATCAGGATCTGAAAAATATCTCATCAGCAACTTAAACATTAATCATAGGTTTTTGAACTTTAAATAGTTGCTTGAACTCTAGCAAATCTTGAGTTAGATAAATAAAAATGCACACAAGAGGTTTCAGTTGTCATTCAAATGCTCACAGTTTATTTGGTCTCTGAGGCTCTGCAGCCTGTAAGAAAGAAGGAGTTCTTTGCATTTTGGTACTTCTGAGTAAAAGCAGTTGTGAAAAATATGTAAGGTGATAGCTCATTATGCATCTTCTGTGAATTTCAGGGAAATGTAAGGTTGGAGGTTTGATCAGTCTTTAGCTCTTTCCCTCTGCCACTCTAATTCATACCCATTGATGAGTCAGAAGCAGACTCTCAGAAAAGAGAACTAAAGCCATAGCTCAGAAAAAGTAAGTTTTATTTAGTGTTACATGTTACTTTTATTAAAGAAACCATGGAAGATTTTCTGAACCAAAGGAAGACTATAATGTGGTTGGCTAGAAATGAAGATAAAAGGTTTCTCCAGAAGGCAGGAGGCAAACTCACAGCATTTCCTCCCTGTTGCTAAGTTATGTAAGGAGCAAGATCATAATCAGAATGTTTCTTTGGTGAGCATGGAGCTTAATTTAAAAAGGAATTCAGATGATCTCATAAAGAGTCCTTCAACTGAAAGAGGAATAGCCTTGCCTGTGGATAACGCATTTATAGTTCCACTGACCAAGAGTCCTCTCACTGGGCTGTACTGAATAAATACCCTTCAACAAAGTCCTGTGTGCTATGCAGGTTATCTGCTGGTGATAAATTTTATTTTCTTTATGAACTCAAAATTTCATAGAATCATGAGCAAAGACATATTCAACAATTTGATTTGATTTATACAAAGAAAGTAAAAACCTCCCAAAAAACAAAGCACAAAAACCCATCTTTTCATAAACTTCTTCAAGAGCACCTCTACTGTATTTAGTGATAGATACATGAATCTAAATCAGGTATCTAAGGATAAAATAATGATGTGGGAAGAGATTGAAATGATGCTGGGAACAGAGAAATTTACAGGGAGGAATAATTTGGTTGGAATCTACAAGAATGGAAAGAGGTGCTCTCTAGACTCCCCTATACACATAGTGCAATGCTGACCTGCATATCCACTGATGTGATATTTCTCATGATACCAGTGCCTTATGATCAGGAAGGGATATTTCCGGCATGGTCGTTTCAATAGTAGAGATGGATTTGAGTTAATGTATCATCCATACCCTCTTGCTTGGTCCCCCTTGTGGCTTTTGAATAGGATTTCTGAACAGCTAGGACACAGTCTGTGGTCATGGAGCAGTATTAGGCTAACAAGTGTTCAAAGTCTTGTTTTTGGCCTCCAAGGTGAGGAGATGTATCCGGCTGAGAAAAAGGCCATATAAATAAAATAGGTTTATTTTATTTATGGGGCAGAGGCTCTCAAACTTCAATGTGCATCACTGCCCCGAAGAGGGTGTTTAAAATGCACATGTCTAGATGACTGCTAGAGATTTAGAAAGTTAGATATTGGGTGCAGAACTTTGCATTTTTAACCAGTAATCCAAGTGATACTGAAGCAGGTGGTCCTCCTTAAATTCAGTCTAGAAGTTTAGCTGACTTTTGCCTCTCCTCCTTGGCTCAGGTCCCTTTGAATTAGGCCCATTTACAGTTTTTAATCTGTTTTATTTTGATGAAGCCAGTTTTAGATCACAATTTACTTCTAGAATGCTCTTACTGTTATTCAAAATAGTATCATTTGGCAAAGTGCAAATGATTTTGAGAAGAAGGAACATAAAGAGCTTTTGAAAAGAAAGCCAGATAATAAGATGGCCTATTAAGAAGCAAGAATAGATTCAACTTTGAAGCTACAGAGCATTTCAGCAAATGGTCTCAGTGAGGAAATGATTAATGGAGATTTGGGGAGCCAAGGGAAACGAAGAGAGCCTTGTACTCCTGTCAATAGTTGGATCAGGAATGTTTGTTCTGCGAGAAGACCTTGTGACACAGGGAGAGCCAGGTGACTGGGAGTTTAGTGTTCACCTCACAGACTTTTATTCACTTATGTAGAAACCATTCCAGCTGAATTCTAGTTTCCAAGGCTGTGGAGAACATCCAGGAAAAAAAGTTGCCTGGATTTATAGGAAGTCAAAAACCTTGGAGTCAGCGTGGGTATTTGGATCTTAGGTTAAAACAGCTGAGAGATCAATTTGTGTTCCCCATTATTAGGAAACCCAGGGTGGTTAATCGTTTAATACGGGTCCTAGCGGGAGATGGGCTTAGCAAGCACACGGAGTCTGGTGGATAAATTGGAAAGAGCAACTTACAGGTACAGAGGTATAACCCGTCTCTCTCCACAATGATCATTTTCATAAAAATAGGACAAAACAAACAAACAAACAAAACACACATCCATGGAAAGTTGACCTATTATGCAAAATGTCCAAGAGGCATAATGACTAGCAGCAACGGCAACAGAAAATGTTCTGGTATCTGTTCTCACTATAGTTGAATTCAGACAGTCACGATAGGGAGTGAGGACTAATACTTAATAATGAAATTAAGAAAAACATGACTGAGGCAGGCAGTCTAAGCCAGGGGTTGGTCACATCTGGAAAGAGGAAAATTTCCCTTTTTGGGACTAGGGCCAAGGCTGCCAGTGTCTCTAGGCTGCCCTCTCGTGTTCATTTCTAGCACTGCATGATCTTTTCCAGACCTCTCTCGCAGAGTTCTTCTAGGCCTTGGAAAACAAGACTTCTCTACATCCCATTGCCTTCCTGCCCTGCTCTCTTCTGTTAAATCTGACAAGCCAGTGGTTTTCAAATACTTTTAACCGTGGACTCCTTTCTTCAAACAGCTGTTCATGCAGAAGCCCAGTCCATACAACAGAAGAGAGAGAAGTAGAGCTGCTTAGCATGGGGTGGGGGTGGGGCCTGCAGACACATGCATTTGGCCGCCGCCTAGAGGCTGTCCCAGGGAGCACAGTTGCGCCACCTCTGTCATCAAGTCCCTGTACCCCTGGACTCATGTTAGTCATCTTACGGGATATATTTGCATTTAAACAAAGCCATCTGGAAAAGGATACACGTTCATCAGAACTCTTTAAGTTGGAATTGATAGAAACGTAACTCCAGCTAATTAAAGCAAAAATGAGAATCTTTTGCTTAGGAATTTTGAAGATGCAAAGGTGGGATCTGAGATAGGACCAGATGCAGATGCTCAGAGGATGTAAATGGGCAATTGTGTCTTTTTCCTTATCTCAGGTCTTTGTTATAATTTGTATATTCGTAGACTTTATCTCCTATAAGGTCTCCCAACAAAGCTGGGAAAGATGCCCTCCAGGTCTGTTATGGTAGACATAGCCGGACTCTCAAAAAAAAGACAGAACATCTTTTCCTCTTTGGTAGAATCTTTGTCCTTCCTTCATGGCCCCTCCCAACCCATCTAAAAGGACACCAGATGTCTCTGGTGAGGACCTGGGTCCATCACAGCATCAGGTACTGAGCTATGTGTTTACTCCCAGAGGACTGAGTCCCACTGGGAATGAGCGCATTGGCAATGCTTCCTATTGCAGAAAATTCAACTTTCTTTTCCTTTTCCTTTTTTTTTTGACAGGGACTTGCTCTGTCGCCCAGGCTGGAGTGCAGTGGTGTGATCTCGGCTCACTGGAGCCTCCACCTCCAGGGTTCAAGCGATGCTCCTGCCTCAGACTCCTGAGTAGCTGGGACTACAGGCGCCTGCCACCATGCCCAGCTAATTTTTGTATTTTTAGTAGAGACGGGGTTGCGCCAGGTTGGCCATGCTGTCTCGTACTCCTGACCTCAAGTGATCAGCCTGCTTTGGCCTCCCAAAATGCTGGGATTACAGGTGTGAGCCACAGCGCTGGGCCTTTTTTTTTTTTTTCTCCTTTTTTCTTAAAGAAAGAGATCATTTAAAGTGAAAGCCAAGTGGGGATTCAGGTTCCAGAGGCCCACACCATCATTAAAGCGGCAACTGTGTTTCTCCGCTGTTGGTTCTGCCTTACTCCTCCTGTCTGCTTTGTCCTGTATACCAAAAATAAAATTCTAAGTTCCCCCAACCATCTGAATGGACTTCGTCCTCAGCCAAGGCACTCTTAAAATTTAACCTGCAAGACTAGCTCAGGCCATGATGGGAAGTAGGGGTGGTCATGCCTCGTTATACCTCTCTGGCATTAATATCAACATGGAATTCAAGTGTGATAAGAGTCATTTTACAACTTATTCTTTCTGAAGCCTACTACCTGAAGGCTTCCTTTGCAGATAAGAACTCTGGTCTCCACAATCCTTTATCTTAACCCAGACACTCATTTCTACTGATCCCAGATCTTTAGATAAATAAACGTATTGTCAATCAGAAAAAATTTAAATCTACCTATAAACTGGAAACTCCCCACTTTTTAAAATCGACTTACAAGCTGGAAAGCTCCACCCCCACTTTGGCCTTTCTGGACCAAACCAATGTATTTCTTAAATGTATTTGATTGATGTCTCATGCCTCCCTAAAACCAAGCTGCACCCAGACCACCTTGGCCACATGTTCTCAGGACCTCCTGAGGCCTGTGTCATGGGACATGGTCACTTATATTTGGCTCAGAATAAATCTCTTCAAGTATTTTACAACACAAAAATATTTGTTGTCAACAGTCTGCAGACTAACTTCACCCAAGCTAGTGAGATGGCTGCGGGGAACTCCTAGAGCCATGTGTGCTCTTACTCATGTTATCTAGTAAGAGACCTGGACATTCCCCTGACTAGATCAACTTAGCGAATGTGCACAGCCCTCAGTCCATCACTGCTGCTGGGGACTGGGAGGTGACCGACTGACTCACCTTCATGAGGTTCTGCTCCTGTGGCCAGGGATGGCTCAAGGAATAGGACACTTCGAGTTTGAGAATTAAGGGGTCATGGGAAATGGACACCCTGCCCCCCACTTCAGTGAGGGAAGTCAACTCCCCATAAGGAATTGTATCGATCAGTATTTCACCAGAAAAGCAGAATTACCAGGATATAGAAATCCAAGAGGATAGATTTTCTGATTCTTATTTTGTGAATAAGGAAACCAAGCTTAAAGGACTTGAGTAATTTATCCAAGGTTGCACGGGCACTTCCACTGCAGAACCCACTCCTAAGTCCCCTCATCATGTGCCCTTCTGTGTATCTTCTTTATTTTATTTTATTTTATTTTATTTTATTTTATCTTTTATTTTATTTTATTTTTTCAGGCAGGGTCTTGCTCTGTCACCTAGGCTGGAGTGCAGTGGCCCAATCATGGCTCACTGATTCCTCGACCTCCCAGGCTCAAGCAATCCTTTTATCTCAGCCTCCCGAATAACTGGGACTACAGGCATGTGCCACTACACCTGGCTTACTTTTTTGTATTCTTTTGTAGAGGGGGGGTTTCACCATGTTGCCAAGGCTGATCTTGAACTCCTGGGCTCAAGCCATCTGCCTGCCTAGTCTTCTCAAAGTGCTGGGATTACAGGTGTGAGCCACCATACCTGGCCCTGTACACATTCTTAATCAAGCCCGCCATTCTCCAAATGTCCTGACAGAAATGAAGTCTTGAGCTCCCTGTAGAGGAGATCATTGTAGGCACATTTTTGCATGTGTTGTGTCAATTTTGAGGAATATCCATAAGCCTAGAAAGCCTTGGGAGCCTTGGCCAGTTTTTGAATGGAGGACCTGGGTGAGGAACCTATGAACTTCAGGAGCAGATCTTCACTGAGGGTTTTCCATCAGATCAGAGCAGGGAGCATTACCAAAGGGAAGAGGACAGATATAAAATATTAGCAAGACCCCTGAATATCCAAAAGAAATACCTGGATTGGCAAAATAGCAAGAGCGACCTGCAGGCGAGACAGCAGTTACCAGCTGTTTTTCAGGAAAAGCGAGTTATGCATCCCCCCAGGAGGCTGCAATTCCCCAAACCCAAGGCAGCTCAACAGTACATCTGTGGCTTCCTTAGGTTTCTCCACTCCACCTCTCATTACTGTGTTTGCCGTCTAGGTTGTTCCCCAGTTTCCTGGGGTTTATTTATTTATTCATTTATTTATCTTTTCTTTTCTTTTTTTTTTTTGGAGATGGAGTTTTGCTCTTGTTGCCCAGGCTGGAGTGCAATGGTAAAATCTTGGCTCACTGCAACCTCCACCTCCCCAGTTCAAGTGATTCTCCTGCCTCAACCTCCTGAGTAGGTGGGGTTACAGGTGCCCACCACCACGTCTGGCTAATTTTTTGTATTTTTAGTAGAGATGGGGTTTCACCATGTTGGCCAGGCTGGTCTCAAACTCCTGACCTCAGGTGATCCACCCACCTCGGCCTCCTGAAGTACTGGGATTACAGGCTTGAGCCACTGTGCCAGGCCATTCCGGGGTTTATTTCTGCATAATTACTTTGTGATCCAAATAGTTGATTAGAGACTATGCAGTCAGTCCTTTCTTTGTCAACATGTTATCCTTGCTGCTGCCAAATACGACAGATTATTAAAAATTAAAATGCCTGCAATGGTAGCATCTAAGATAAGTTTCAGGGCCGTGACAGTGACATAATGAGAAAGACATGTATGTCCACGGGAAAATGTTACCCCACTGACTTCCTCTTTTTCCACCAAGACACTTTTTAGTTGGTGTCCCAAGTGTGAGACTGCTCAGAAGACCCTGAAAGATTCCTGACTACACCTCTGGGGGCTGATGGGAGTGTGAGTGTGCATGTGTGTGCATGTATGCATGTGTGTCGAGGAGCCACTGCCCCATGTCCTTCTCACTCCACATCCACTCCCCCTCATCAACTCCACAGATCCATCAAATGCAGAATCAGCACAGCACATGCTATAATCTGAATATTTGTACCCCTTCCCAAATTCATATGGTAAAATCTTCATGCCCACCAAGGTTATGGTATCAGGACGTCTGGCCTTTGGGAGGTGATTAGATTATGGGGCAGATCTAATCATGGGGGTGGAACCCTCGTAAATGAGGTTAGTGTTCTTATAAAAGAGACCTCAGAGGCCGGGCCGGTGGCTCACACCTATAAGCCCAGCACTTTGGGAGGATGAGGCGGGTGGGTCTCTTGCGGTCAGGAGTTTGAGACCACTCTGGCCAACATGGTGAAACCCCGTCTCTACTGAAAATACAAAAATTAACCGAGCATGGTGGCATATGCCTGTAATCCCAGCTACTCAGGAGGCTGAGATAGGAAAATCGTTTGAACCTGGGAAATGCAGGTTGTAGTGAATTGAGATCACGCCACTGCACTCCAGCCTGGGTGACAAAGCAAGACTCCATCTCAAAAAAAAAAAAACAAAAAAACAAAAAAACAAAAAAAAAACACCAAAAACAAAAACCCAGAGAGATCCCTCTTCCCTGTGAGAATAGAGGGAGAAGACAGCTGTCTATGAGGAAGCAGGCTCTCACCAGACACCAAATCTGCTGGGGCCTTGATCTTGGACTTTGCAGCCTCCAGTACCGTGAGAAATAAATTTCTGTTGTTTAAAACCCACCCAGTCTATGGTATTTTGGTATGGCAGCCTGAACAGACTAAGACGGCACATTTCAACTGTATCAGAAACCTTTCTGAATAACTCTTAGGTATTTGAGAAAGCTTGTGTTGTCATCTGTATGAGCAATGGTAAACATTATTTGTGATTTTATGAAGAGTCACGTAGAGACTGCCTAAAGAAAATTAAACAGAAAGAGGTTCTTGCCCATTAAAAAAAATTCTTTTTCCTCCCAAAAGAAATCTTGACCAAGGTAAGTTGATTCATAGACAGGAAGAGAACTCTCTATCTTTTCCATATCTTATCTGTTCCACCTGCACACAAAAACTAATGATTGGTTGTAAATGGTTAGCTGATGCTTCTGTATTGACTTGTGGTTTGCAGCAGCCTTATTTCCTTTGCTTTGTGACATCATTTTCCTCTTCATTTCCCACAGTTGCATATGTGGGTTTATGTGATGCACACTCACCCAACAAATGGAAGAAATTATGTACCATGTTGGAGAGCTTTCAGGAATAGAATTTGGAACAAAGAGGTCAATACTTTAAGCATCATAAAGTAAAAAGGATGATGAGATAACTGATGAAGCATGCTTCCTAGCCTGAGATGAAAGAATCCTGCTCACTGAATGTTTTGAGTGAATAGTAGGGGTTCTCTCCATTGCCCATGGTCTTCCTGCTCCCCAATATACACTTCTAGGTTGGTGGGCATGTTGGGTTGCTGGGCAGAAGTTTATCCCACAATGCCCAAAGTGTTGATCAGGATTGAATAGCCACCAAGAAAACTCATTTCCATCAGCAAGAGAGAAGAGTGCTGCTTTGAGGTAGTGTGGTTTGAATGAGCCATAAGAAACCCTGGAACTTTAGGGTACTGCTGCAATTCCTATGAAGGTGGAAAAGGTTTGGGATGTTCTATTTGGCCAAAAAGTCTTCACACTGGAAGCTGCTTCCCAAAGTAGCTTTGGCTGACTCTAAAATTATAATCCTAAGAACCTCCCTCCCCCATGTCTCTGAGAGCAGCTTGGAATTTCAAGAGAGTGTCAGAAGTGCTCCTGACTGATAACTCTTATACCAAAGGAAGATACCAAGAGCGGTACTTCTGCTGACTTTTTGTGTTATGAGGAGCCCCTCTGGTAGTTGCTTACTGAAATTCTCTGCCACACTATTGGTGTTTCAGCTTGATAGTGAAAAATAAGGTACTTTGCAGTATTTTATTCCTGTTTGATGTCATTCATTTCTCATGTTCTTCATGCATGAAATGGTGCACATGCAGCAATGAGAAACACTTACACATTGAACTCACCACTTTACATTAAGCCCATCATCCAAGCAATTTTCACTCAGCACTTACCTGACTGTAGAAAAGGGTAAACTCATGGGCAAGGACTTCATGTTTAAAACACTAAATGCAATGGGAACAAAAGCCAAAATTGACAAATGGGATCTAATTAAACTAAAGAGCTTCTGCACAGCAAAAGAAACTACCATCAGAGTGAACAGGCAACCTACAATATGGGAGAAAATTTTCGCAACCTACTCATCTGACAAAGGGCTAATATCCAGAATCTACAAAGAACTCAAACAAATTTACAAGAAAAAAACAAACAACCCCATCAAAAAGTGGGTGAAGGATATGAACAGACACTTCTCAAAAGAAGACATTTATGCAGCCAACAGACACATGAAAAAATGCTCATCATCACTGGCCATCAGAGAAATGCATATCAAAACCACAATGAGATACCATTTCACACCAGTTAGAATGGCAATCATTAAAAAGTCTGGAAACAACAGGTGCTGGAGAGGATGTGGAGAAATAGGAACACTTTTACACTGTTGGTGGGAGTGTAAACTAGTTCAACCATTGTGGAAGACACTGTGGTGATTCCTCAAGGATCTAGAACTAGAAATACCATTTGACCCAGCCATCCCATTACTGGGTATATACCCAAAGGATTATAAAGCATGCTGCTATAAAGACACATACACATGTATGTTTATTGCAACACTATTCACAATAGCAAAGACTTGGAACCAACCCAAATATCCATCAGTGATAGACTGGATTAAGAAAATGTGGCACATATACACCATGGAATACTATGCAGCCATAAAAAAGGATGAGTTCATGTCCTTTGTAGGGACATGGATGAAGCTGGAAATCATCATTCTCAGCAAACTATTGCAAGGACAAAAAACCAAACACCGCATGTTCTCACTCATAGGCAGGAATTGAACAATGAGAACACATGGACACAGGAAGGGGAACATCACACACTGGGGCCTGTAGTTGTGTGGGGGGAGGGGGGAGGGATAGCATTAGGTGATATACCTAATGTAAATGACGAGTTAATGGGTGCAGCACACCAACATGGCACATGTCCACATATGTAACAAACCTGCACATTGTTCACATGTACCCTAGAACTTAAAGTATAATAAAAAAAAGAAAAGGGTAACCTCTTTTTTGCAGTCTAAGTTGTAGTTCTCAAAAGGGTATATGAAATAAGTCATTTTGTTTTTACATGGCATCCACAAAGACTCAGGGACATTAGAGTCACATGGGATACAGTGATGTTTGGACATGGTTATCAGCAAAGTTATCATTATACTCTGGGGAAACAGCAGTAGAAATGAGAAAACTAAAGATTTAGGCCCCAACCTACTGGTATATTTAAATATCTTCAGGGGATTCAGTTTTCAGTATTTGTGACAGTGCCTGGCATACAGGAAATGCTCAATAAATAAATATCTATTGCATGGATGCCTACATGAATTCTTAGCCTGGGCAGAGCCTGGGAGGACTCTTTACAGCATGGATTGTGATACTCCTGCCTAAGAGAGCAGACACCCCCGCCGATAGAACAAATGCTGCCTCGACAGAGAGTGAGGGCAACTAGATGCATGGGAGAAGAGCTTTGTGGTTACACTGGTCCAGCTCTTGAATATGGCCCTTCAGAGTCTGGTCTTACTCATCTATAAAATGGGATACGTCATACAAGACTGAAGGAAGTATTAAGTAGAGTCGCTATAATTGTGAAAGTATCTAGTATACTCCTTAATACTGTTAATGCTGTTCTGTGGACTTTCCATATGCTATTTTGGACACTTGGACAAAGATCAGTGCATCACCATAATTGAGGGGTGAAAGAATAAGAATAAATATTTGCTGAGTGTTTAAAATATATGTTAGGAATGTCAAATACTATCTTCTGTTTACAAAAACTGTGAGATAATTGTCTGTGAATTATACAGATTAGTTGAGCCTCAAAATAAACAATATATCCAGCTAGTAAATAATGAAGCCATAATTTAAATCCGTGTCTTTCAGATTCCCCAGTTTAGGCTCTGTTCTCTGCAACATGATGCTGCCTCCCTACGGTTAGTGCAAATTGGGTGAGAATAATTCAGAGCTGTTGAGTTTTTCTACTTTAAGCATCCAGTTGATGTAACATAATTATCTGCTTGTTCTCAAGAACCTCACATGTAAAAATGGTCTGGGCAAGCCTTGTATCTAATGTCTAGTACCCTATGCAAATTAATTTAAAATCAATTCTTGTCTTCAAGAAGTCAAATAACAACTCACATTTCTAATTCACTAACACAATTTTTCTCTGGTTTGAGTAAATTTCTATTTTAGCATTTCTTTGAGGTATGGATGTAATTTAATTTATTTTTTCTTTTTTTGCATTATTTTAAGTTTGCTATCTTTCCAGAAGCCCCTTCTCATGTTTTAGGGATGAATGAACCACATATGAATAAGTATAGTATTATACATACGTACACGTGTGTATGTATGTATGTATGTACAGAAGTGAAGGAGCTTATTCCTATGACTCCATTCCTCTTGTAGATGAAATGACCACAAACACATCTGTGTGTGTAAGACATACGTATGTATGGATGTATTAATTAGGGTTCTTCAGAGAAACAGACCAATAGGAGAGAGAGAGAGAATGAAAGAGAGAGATTTTAAGGAATTGGCTCACACAGTTATGGAGGCTAAGAAGTCCCATAATCTGCCATCCACAAAGCTGGAGAATCAGGAAAGCCAGTGCTGAAATTTTAGCCTGAGTCCAAAGGCCTGAAAACCGGGAATGCAGATGGTGCAACTCCCAATATGAGTTTGAGTGCTTGAGAACTGGGGGAGCCAATGTCCAAGGGCAGGAGGCGATTTTTGCCCTAGCTCAGACAGAGAGAGTGAATTTGCCATACTCTGCCTTTTTGTTCTGCTCAGGCCCTCAAGCATTAGATGACGGCCAGCTGCATTGGTAAGGGCAATCTTCTTTACTCATTCTGCTGATTCAAATGCTAATCTCTTCTGGAAACACCTTCAAGACACACCCAGTGATTTTTGTTTTTTGCTTTTATTAATATTTTAAATTGACACAAAATAGTTGTACATATTTATGGGATACAGTGTGCTATTTCAATACATGTATGCAACATATAATGATCAAATCAGAGTAATTAGCATGTCCAATCACCTCAAACATTTATCATTTCATTGTGTTGGGCATATTTGTAATCTGCTCTTCTTGCTACTTGAAAATATACAAATTTATTTTAATTGTAGTCATCCTACAGTACTGTAGAACTCTCGAACTTATTCTTCCTATCTAGCTGTAATTTTGTATCCATTAAGCAACTTCTGGATATCCTCTTCCTACTTCAACATCCTTCCCAGTCTCTAGTAACCACTTTTCGACTCTCTATGAGATGCTTTTTAAGATTCCACCTGAGTGAGAACATGCAGTATTTGTCTTTCTGTGCCTGGCTTATTTCACTTAACATAGTGTCTTCCAGGTTCATCCACGATGTCATAAATGACAGCATTTTGTTTTTTTTTATGACTGGATAGTATTTGTATATATCACATTTTCTTTTTGCATTCATCTGTTGATGGACATTGAGGCTGATTCCATATCTTGGCTATTGTGAACACACTTCAATAAACATGGGAGTGTAAATATGTCTTTGACATACTGATTTCCTTCACTTTGGATATATACTCCATAGCGGGATTGCTGGATCATGTAGTAGTTTTATTATTAGTTCTTTGAGGAACCAGTTCCTATTTTCCATAAAGATTGCACCAATTTACACTCGCACTAACAGTGTATAAGCATTCCCTTTTCTCCACATCCTTGCCAACATTTACCTTTGTCTTTTTTAATAATAGTCTTTCTAAATGAGATGAGGTGACATCTTGCTGTGGTTGTGATTTGCATTTCCCTGATGATGAATGGTGTTGAGCATTTTTTCATACACCTGCTGGCCATTTGTATATCTTCTTTTGAGAAATGTCTATCCAAGTCCTTTCTTCACTTTTTGTTGGGATTATTTGTTTGTTTGTTTGTTTGTTTGTTTGTTTTTGCTGGTGAGTTGTTTGAGTTCCATGCATATTCTGGTTATTAATCTCTTATCAGATGAAGGGTTTGCAAATATTTTCTCCCATTCTGATGGTTGTCTCTCCATTGTGTTGATTGTTTCCTTTGTTGTGCAAAAGGTTTTAGTTTCATATCATCCCATTTGCCTATATTTGCTTTAGTTGCCTGTTCTATTGAGGTCTTCTCCATATAATCTTTGCCCAGAACAATGTCCTGAATCATTTCCCTGGTGTTTTCTTCTGTTAATTTCATATAGTTTCAGGTCTTACATTTAAGCACTTAATCCATTTTAAGTTGATTTTTGTTTATAGTGAGAGATGGGGGTTAGATTCATTCTCCTATATATGGATCTCTAGTTTCCCCAGTACCATTTATTGAAGAGACTGTCCTTCTCCCAATGAATGTTCTTGGCACTTTTGTCAAAAATAAGTTGCCTATAAATATGTGGATTTATTTCTGGGTTCCTAGAAATAATGTTTTACCCACTATATGGGCATTCCTTAGCCCAGTAAATGTGGCACGTAAAATTAACCATCACAATGTATATATGTACATATAATGTGTATATATGTCAAGTATATATGTGTGCACATATATCATATATATGATATATATGTAGATTGAGTACATCATATATATATACATTCTATATTGCATTATCAACAGGATTAATGTAAAGCAAAGCGTTATTTTTAAAACTTTGATTTGCCTCATGAGTCTTGTATCACTCTTGTGGCCACCCAACATAGAGTTTTTCTTTCTATTCTGTTCCAACATGTACATGAGTGTTAGAAAAAATAATCATGAGCACTTCCTGAGAAATTGCTTTTGAGTGTCAACTGTTATCTCACAACATGCACTATCTAGGATTCAACCTCAGAAAAATTCCTCTATGTTGCTACCTTTA
Source organism: Homo sapiens (assembly GCF_000001405.40). Taxonomy (NCBI): domain Eukaryota; kingdom Metazoa; phylum Chordata; class Mammalia; order Primates; family Hominidae; genus Homo; species Homo sapiens. The sequence goes on along the minus strand of NC_000006.12, from coordinate 142,555,861 downwards.
AAGACTTGAGAAAATATCCTCCCTAATGGTCTGGGACTTCATAATGCACAAATCTTATCTTTTTGAAAACATGGGTTCATCTGGTTGTTAACATCACATGTGTCTCCAGGCAATGTGCTGTCAGGCTGCTGAGCCAGTCTTCCTGGTTGTAGGCCCATTGAGATGACTCTTGCATCCTGGGTCAGTGGTCTCTCATTTCAAAGGCATAACAGGTCTTGTCAAACAAGCTGAAGAAGAGAACTGCTGGTTCTGATCTGTCTGATAGTGCAACTCCTCAGTCTGAAATGAAGAGCATATAGGGGTAAAGACTGGCATAAAATGGCTAAGATGAGGTGGTTTCCATGTGCCCTCTGTCCCATTGTTCCTCATGTCTTTGGCTTCTGTAGAAAATGAATGCCAATTGTCCAGAGTTCCAGTGTGAGGGAGGGAGGTGACAGTGATGACATGCCAACAGTGTAGTCTTTTGGGTGGACAGTTCAGTGAGCCTTCTATTTTCTGTTATAAAAAGGGCCCTAGAAGCTACCACAGAGCCATCATTACCGCTAACACATGTCTACACTGAACAGTACCACTGCCTTTCTTCACTGTCCCTCATTTACTATCATTTCTGGGAGGATTTTGACAACTGAGTTTCCCATTGGATTACTAAGCAGGAGTTTTGACACTACATTGGCCTCAGGTTTGTATCAACACTACCCCTTTATATGATATATATTTTTCAGAATCTTTTATTTGATTATTCATGAGTCAAAACAAACTAAAGTTGTCTGCTTATAATAGGATTTCTTTTTCAATTGCTTCTTTTAGAGATGGAGCCAGCTGGGGCGGTTTTGAGGTAGATGGAACAGTAAAGAGTAGACTGCAGCTGATTCAACTTCTCTTCTGTCCAGATGAGTATGAATCTCAGAGTGAAGGCTAGACTTCACGGTCATCATCATCAAACAGAATTTGAAGCACTCTTCGCATATGGTTGGAATGAGTGATCATAAAGCTCAGCTTAGTGTTTCTGAGAGCTTTTCGGGTCATGGGGGTTTGTCTGCATCTTACCCTATGTCCAGCACAATGAGAGGTCAAAGACAGATTGGTCAGGCTCGTTAACGAACTTCTAGTACAAACTAAGGCTTCTCAAACATTTTTCAAATCATGCAAACTTAGAAAATGATAATATTTTATGCTATTTGGACAAATGGATAAAGATGCCATTGCCACTGGCCCAGGAACTCAGGGTCCCACATGACTGCTATAAGGGCCAAGGAAAGTACTCCTATGGCCCATTAATGGCACAGCATTGCACATTTGCCTGCCAGTTGAGAAGCACTAATTGAAATTATATTGATGGACCATAAGTGTACCTGCTGACAAAATTCTATTGCCTATATGATATTTGAAATATTCCCTAAATTAATGATTGCATTTAAATATTCAACAAATGTTAAATTCCATTGTTGACTGTTCTTTGTGAGGTATAGCAGCTCAGTTAACCCTGAAGACACATAGATATTACAGGGAAGTGGGAAATCTGTCACAAAACATGTCAAGGTTTTGTTACCACTAGATGCCTCTAAAGCCATGGGCCCACTGTTTTCAGAGTAACCAGAAATTTGATAGGACTCTTTCTGCTTAGGTACCTCCAATAAGATAAATCCCAATCAAATTCAAAAAGTAAATCAAATGGTTCACTGGACATGGTGGCATGGGAAGAGACTTGTAGGGGAGGTAGCTAGATAGTGTTGTCCAGGGTTTTTTCAGATTATAGCAGCTCTTAGTAACTTTTTTAAATGTTTTTTAAATGGTAAGCATTAATAGTAGACTCAAGCCCCACCCTATAAGAGAATATTGTACAAGGATGTTCCTCAGAAGAAGTTTAATGTCTTCAGTCAACCGTGGCTGCTGTAACAAAATACCATTAACCGGGTGGCTTATAAACAACAGAAATGTATTTCTCACAGCTTTAGAGGCTGGGAAGCCCAAGATCAGGGTGCCAGCATGGTTGGATTCTGGTGAGGGTCCTCTTTTGGGTTGCAACTTCTCTCCGTGTCCTCATGAAAGAGGCAAATAAACTCCCTCAGCCTCTTTTTACAAAGGCACTAATCACATTCATAATGGCTCTATCTTCATGTCTGAATCATCTTCTGAAGGCCCTACCTTTTAATATCATCATCTTGAGGGGGTAGAATTTTAACACAGGGATTTCAAAAGAACACAAACATTCCGACCATAGGATATAATATTCTCGTCCTTCAAGATAGGAGTCTGGAGTCACTTCCTCTTCAAGGTTTCTTGCTATGCTTCCCCAGAATCCTCCTTCTGAAGGAAGCATCTTGTTCTTCCTTTAATCCCCGCCCTTCCTTAGTTGTACGGCTGTTGATTTTTCAGAGTACAAAATCCTTAAAAGCTGGGTGGAAGTCTTATGCATGTCTAAATCCATAACATCTTGCAAGAACCCAATAAACTAGCAAATAAATGAGTGATAGATAATGTAGAGTATGAAATTTGGGGGAAAATTTAGTTTGATACTATGTAAAATTCATTATGGAAAATAAGCTGGTCTAATATATTAGATATAAGCTGCTACCAATTTACAAACATTGCTTTCTAAAAGTTTATTTTATTAAGTCACTTGTGGAGAACTTGGAAAGTGTTTCTTGGAGAAACATTCTTATGTGTGGTGAGTAGGTTCCCATCCAAACTATAAACGTTAATGTAACTGCGAACATCACCAAATCATAAATCATAAGACTCACATAGCAAGCCTAAAATCTGAACCTGGGGAGCAGGAGGCTCAGAATGCAGAAATGAAGTCCAAAGGTCTGTCTGCTGTCATTTGTGTAGGTTGGCCCTTGGAATTATTTTGGAAAAAGGAATATTCGATAGTCTCTTATTTGTCTATAAATCAAAAAGTATCTGAGCCAGGACTTAATTAATTTAGAGGTTTATTTTACAAAGTCAAGGACCATGGCCTATGACACAGCCTCAGGAGGCCCTGAGAACATGTGCCTAACGTGGTCGGGGCACAGCTTTGTTTTATACATTTTAGGGAGACAGAAGTTACAGGCAAAGATACAAATCAATACATGTAAGGTATACATTGGTTCAGCCCAAAGCAGGATTGAGGTTGTTGCAGGGAGGCTTCCATAGGTGGATTCAAAGATTTTCTGACTGGCAATTGGTTGAATGAGTTAAGCTATACCTGAAGAGTTGAAGTCAGCATAAAGAAATGCTTGAGCTAGGATAAGAGGGTTATGGAAGCCAAGCTTCTTATCATGTGGATGAAACCTCCAGGTAGCAACCTTCAGAGAGAATAGATTGTAAATATCTTAAATGTCTTTTATCTGACCTTAAAAGGTGTGACACTCTCCAGAAAAGACCTAGTAGGGGAAAGGAGAGCCATTTCAAAATATGTCAAAAAACGCATTTTGGAGTAAAATACTTTGATTTCCCTCAGGGACTGCTATCTATCATGTGACGCTATACCAGAGTCAGGTTGGAATTTTGTATCTTATTGCTGCAAAGTGTCTGTTTTGTCAGTCTATGATCTTTATTTTATATTAATACTGGTCAATTGTGCCTAAACTCCTAAGGGAGGAGGGCATAACAAGGCAGGAGTGTCTATCCAACCGCCCTTGCTGTCTTGGCCTGAACTAGTTTTTCAGGTCTCTTTGGGATCCCCTTGGCCATGAGAGGGTCTGTTCAGTTGGTTGGGGGCCTTAGAATTTTATTTTTGGTTTACATAGCTTAGGACATTATTTTGCCTCACCCCAGATCAGTCCTATTTCCTAAAATACTGCACTTTAAAATATAAACCCTTTAACCCCAGTCATAACACGGATTTTCTCACTGAACAAGATCTCAAGTATGCAGAAGACAAGCTGATCGCAACGAATCCCAAAAAAGTGAATGACTTATTCATGAGATGCTTGCTTTAAGTGGCGATTGAGGTTAATCCTCTAAGCTGCTCTTGATTTCCACAGATTTTGCCTGGCTTTGAGCATCCACAGATCCTCTCAATGTTCTCTTATTTCATTCGGACTTTCCTGGAAACAGAATGTGAGTGCTACCTTTAACCTGGCAGGAGTGACCTTCTGTGTCTTTCCTGGATCATTTATTTATAAGCCACGGATGGGCAAGTCTGGTACTGTCTGTGCTCAGGAAGGCTGACTAATGCTCCTGCCCCAAGACAGCGCAGGAATGCAGAACCCTGAGCCTTCAGAAGGCAGCTCCTGCCACGCCTGCGACAGCCTAGGGGACCGGGGAGCCACCCTGGGGTTTGGAGGCTTGAGGTAATGACACACAGCCGCCTGGCTGTGGTTACCAGCTGCTCTGCCAAGGTTGTACAGCTGGTTGCCTGTATGTTGGAAGATGCCGATGCCCCCTGCTGTACCCTGGGTTGCCAAGGGGAGCAGCAGTTCCAGTGGGTTTTAAAAAGAGCACAGTTTATCTTTTCTCTGAGGAAGCCTTGTTTCTTTGCTTGCGGCAGGTCCCTCTCAGCTCAGGTTGTGGTTATGTACGTGTTGTATACTGAGCCATCTGTCTTCCTGAGGAGCAGGGCTGATTTGTATGGAAGGCTATATAGACAGTGGTTAGTGCTGACATAACTTGGATTTTGCTTCAAACTTGAACTTCTAGAATATTCTAAACTGTGTTTTCTTCTTTGCATGGGCAAGCACTCTGTGTGTCTTTTTTTCTTCATTTTTGCCTGGAGTGTTTGTTTACCATAAAGCTGTATAATACCATACACATTTCTTTAACTCTTTTAATCTCCTCAAATGAAGATTGTTTTTGCCTTCTATTCAGCTTCTCTCCCTACAGCTGCCATAAGTTCTTCAAGTTTATGCTTTTATTAAATATTTAAGCACATATTTTCAGGGATGAAACATATTCTCCGCTCAGAGCTGTGCTAGCAGATGTATCTCTTCTGCCAGTGGGGAGCTGGGTTTCTGGCAGGCTTATGAAGTGACCTCACGTAATTAGTGGGAAATAGAGAGATGTGAGGCGTTATGTTATTTGAAGCTTCAGACTGGCCCTTATTCCTAGAAGGCACTTGGAAGTCAGCAGCAGTGTAGGGATATGCAATTCCAGGGTCGGCACCACAGAATTAAAGTGAAATGAATAATACATGCCGATTTAAAGTGAAATGTGTACCTCCTGAAAGAAAATGGTGACATTTACATTCTTGCCACCAAGGCAAAAATCTTTTATTCAGTGAACAGGCTCCTGCAAGTAAAGTTTGCAAATGAGAACTTCTTTAACATTCGTATGGAATGGTCTAACCCCCATTAATTGTTTATGGAGCACCTGCCATGTGCTCAAGCTGGTTGTAGAGAGGAGCTGGTTTCAGAAATAGCATCAAGAATGGCCTCTGTGACTTTGCCAGAATATTGAGGGCTGAATCCAAGCCTGTTAGATAATGTTTCTTCTGAATCCTGCCCTTTCCCTGACCACAACTCCAGGGCAAGTGGTGCTATCTTTTAAAAAGAAAAGTACGCACAGAAGATGTATTAGGCAGGGTTTCCAGAGAAACAGAACCAATTTAGTTATATACAGTTAATCCTTGAATAACATGGGTTTGAAGCTTATGGGTCTGTAGATTTTCAAAAATAAATATATTGGAATTTTTTTGAGGTTTGCAAAAGATTGAAAAAACTCACAGATAAACTATGTAGCCCAGAAATATTTTTAAAATTAAGAAAAATTAGGCATTCATGAATTCTATTCTATTTATGTGTTAATTGACTGTTTATGTTATTAGAAAGGCTTCCAGTCAACAGTACACTATTAGTAGTTAAGTTTTTGGGGAGTCAGAAGTTATATGCCGATTTTAAACTGTGCAAGGGATTGATACCCCGTTATAACCCCCGGGTGGTTCAAGGGTCAACTGTATCTGTATCTCTACAGTTGACCCTGGGGAAAAAAGTATTTATTATACACTGAGTCATTTCATAATCAAGTGTTGGCTCACATGATTATGGAGACTAAAAAGGTTTACCATTTCTCCTGGTCTGGGCATGATAAGGGCCTTTAACCAGTGGTTGGTGATCAATCCTCCAGTTACAGCACCAAACCTGACCTCGTATTCCAGAAAAGAGTAGGCAGACACCTGCTTTCATTCTTGTACTTGAATTTCGGTGGAACTAGATTCCCACTTTCTCCTTCCAGTCTCTCAAGAGACTATGTTTTGCCTATGTCCACTTACATAAATAGGTACCTAGAATGTGCCACCAAACCTTCTCCAAGTTGCCTCTCAGCCAACCTGTCTGCTACCTCTCACCTGCCATTACACTTATTAGTACTTGTCTGCCTCCCTACCTTTAATTCTTTTCATTTCCCACTGCTGGGCTTTCACCTCCAGGCCCCTCACCCACAACACACACACACACACCCCAAGCTGGGCCTGCCATATATTGTCTCTTTGTAAGAAATGTAATGTACCTTTGACCTAATTCCCTCTTTGCCACTGGCTATTCAATCTTCTTTTAATTTTTTCAATCTTCTGTTCTAAATGATTAAAGTCCCCATGAAAATTACAAATATTGGTTTGAGTTCAAGTATCTACTATTTCACTGTTTTGCTTATTTCTTTTATTTCAAAGTAGTCTGTTGTCTCTTCCTGGAATAACCTAGAACATCCTCCTTCTAGATCAAAACTGTTACTCTAGTTATGGTTTCTCTTTGTGGACCACCCTCCCTGCTCTAAGCTTCTTGCTCTTGTATGTGACCTCCCTTCTCCAAAATTCTGACAGTTTTATGCACCCTGTGCCTTTTTGATGATGTGAGGCTTGCAAATCTTCAGGTTTGTTATGAGGTGAATAATTTAATCACTTAGTATCTTTTTAAAAAGACCAGAGGTAGTTTTATGCACAACATATGTTAAAATAAGTTTAGTTTCACACGTAGATATACATTAAAAAATAATTTTTCTCACAGTCTCTGATTACAGTCTACTTGAGGAGAGAAGACTAGCACACATACATTATTAATTCTGGAACAATATAAGGGTGCTAAGTTAGGTGCTAACTCACATGGTGCTGTCAATAAGCAACCAAGGAGTACAAGGAAGTATTAGAAAAAATAAAAGCAGGAGACAGAAGGAGTGCAGGGAAGTATGAAAAGAAGTGAAGGAGATTGGCTGGTCATTGGAAGTTGGTCTGCCGAGGCATGAGGCACACAAGGCTATCTCAGTTCTTCACTGGACTGTGAAGGAATGATCCTTGAGGACTAGAAGGATTTAAACAGGAAAAGGAAAGAATGGAGAGCATGTAGAGAGAGAGAACAATCAAATAGAGGCAAAATTAAAAAGCAGAGATATGTTTTTGTTTTAGGGGAGAGGGACATTGGGGGATTGGCTGACAAGCATATGGCAGGAAGTGATGGAAACAGGTTTAAACAAGTAGAGTGAGTCCCAGTAATGCAGGGCCGTAACCACCAACCAGGAGGCGTTGAACTTCCGAGGCTAAGGCATAGGCATTATGTGTTGCAAATGATTATGAAGAACGGAGTTTGGAGAATCTGAACTCAGGAGCTGGGGACAGTGGAGAAGTTATTCTAATTACAGATTTATGAGACAATGAGGAGGTTCTTCAGTAATTTTTTATTTAATAAAAGGCTTGAGAAAATTTTCCTCCTAGAATTCCTTTTGATTGATATGAAACTTGGGGTATAGATACAATTGGAATAAGACTTTTTATAAAAGAGGGTAATAAGGGGTTGGCTTGCATAGGTACAAAGGAATCATGTTTAACTTATCCTCTGACATTTTTCAAGTACTCTAGCGGCAGGGGTGGTAAGGGTAATGACAGGTTAGAGTTACTGTTTAGCTACATAGAACCACAAAGCAATGAATATTAAAACCATGCTTTCTCCCCTTATTCCCTTTTCCTATATGTCCCCGGTAGTATGGACCATAAAGTGAGCTGACCTCACAAAGAAGCAGAAAGAAGTGATGTGAGGTTGCAGAATGACCTAAAAAAAGCCATGGTCAAAAATACAGTTCTTCACAATATATAAGGAGATAAAAAACCTTAATATTCATTTTAAATTATTTTATTTTATCAATATGTCACATGCATATTATTATCCTGGCAGCTAATATTTATTTTTAAAAGATTCTGGAATGCTGTTCTTGACAGTTTTCAGAATGGCACACTGGCTGATTGCCTCTTAAAAATGAAACAGTCTTCTTATATTGTAGCCTTTATCAGCAATAATATGGTAGCTATTTTGAAGAACTTTTCATCAATAAGAATGTAGGGACCAGTAATTGATTAGATATATGAATAAAAGGTAGAAAGATGAAAGAGGCAACACCTCTTGGATAATGAGGACAATGAAGATTTCTATGAGAATAAGGCAAATTGGAGAGAGAAATGGTATTGTGAAAAATGGATTTGGTCTTGGTTACACGGAGTTAGGGCAATGTCAGAAAACCTAAGCAGAAGTGTTCAGGAGGCATGCTGAGTACCAAAGAGTGACCATTCTTGATTCTTGACCTGCTATTCCTGCGTGTGACAGGATCTCTGTGCACGCTGGGTTGTTCTTACAGAGTAAGTTGTAAACACTACTTGAGTGATAAATGTCATGAGCTATTTAAACTGGTCACTAGCACATGTATTTCTACATATTTATTTGTTTGTAAATGAATATACCCATATTAAAATAATTGGCTGACTTATGAGCTCTACCTTGTATGTCAATATTAAAAATAAATAAAACAAACATTTTCAGTGTTACCTCAGCAAGCCAGCAACAGTTTTCTACTATGTGATCTACAAATCTCAATTCAGTGGGAATGGAAATAGTATCAAATAGAAAACGTCATTCCTGAAATCTTTCCTGGAGCATATCAGTAATACCAAGAAAAGAGCCAGTAGGCAGGGACAGGTTGCCAGAGTCCCCACTGAGGGTCTACAGTTGGAATGAACTGTCATTAATGAAGGGAACCAATGACCTGAGCCAGGCCATTACAAAGAATTGCAGAGCTTCTCAGAATTTTGTCAGAGTGCAATGAGGAAATGTAGAAGAAATCAAGGAGAAGTTTGAAAAACAGTAAGGGGATGAGTAGCAAAGAGGGTTTAGGTTTAGCCTTCTCTTAAAAAGTTCCTTTCAATAAATTCATGTGAAGAAAATATAATAACAGAAATCCAAAAACTGGAGGACATGTTATCTGGTGAAAAGGATACATTAGACTAAATATCAATACTGAAGTATTAGGGTCTATGTATCTTTAAAATAAGAAATGCTGAATTTATAAATTTATGTTTGTCATTATGCCTAGGTGGGTTTGGGGCTATATTTTGGAGATGATTCCTGTTCATTCAAGAGATAATTTAAATACTTGAAATTTAGCCAAAATCGATTCTAAAAATAATGAAAAATGTATTATCTATGTAAATATTTAAATTACAGAGATCAAAACGTGTTTTAGTAGCTATGATGTAGAGTAAGGAACCCAATGATTAAGAAACGAGTCTTTGAAGGAAGGGAGGAAAATCCCTAGCAGAATATAAGCCAGCAGCCTTGTATCATAGAAACCAACCTTCTAATGTGTCTCTAAAACTAATTTGCTCAAAGTCACATAACCATTAAGAGTGGAACCTAAACCCCTATTTTCTGATTCTGAAACATCAATATTAATTTTTGGCCCCCTGCTTCCACTTTGCTTTCATCTGTAGATCAGATTGAAACAATCTGCCTATGACCTATTCTGTCATTGTTTGATCATCTTTCAAAGCAAAACTTGAAGTGTTTAATATTCCCTGCATATATCAGTTTGTCACTCAGAACAGTTCTACTGGTTCAAATTTGTAACTTCAAATTCAATGATGTGCACCCTCCTTAAATTAATAATTTATCTTTTAATCTTCTTAGAAGGAATGCTAATGCAGACAGACAAACACACTTTATTCTCAATGCCTAGGGCTAAGAGAAAATTAGGAAGTAGCATTAAAGGAACTGTAGCCCTTAGCCTGGTGGACCCCAGATCAGTTAAATGAAATACCAGATGGTTGGCCTACCTTCTTCTTATACCTGAGTGGATTCCTTTCATATTCTCTATCTGTAAGTGACTAATTAGTTTAGTTTTCATTGAGTGGGATCTCCTTTCTTCTACATTCTGATAAGGTATAATAAGTAAAGGAACGGTCCTTAAGCTATGGTAACGTAGCAGAGCTTGTCACAGTTGGACACAGTTCACTCAAAGAGGCAATTAAATTTAGTTTTATAAGGGAATTAGTAGGATTAATAAAAAGCAAAATGTTATGAAGCATCCTGGCATGATCTCACCAACCTTAGAGCTAAGGGGCAAAGGGGATAGGAGAAAAGTTAACTAAAGAAGATATAGTAGTTGTTACTGAGGTTTGCCTGGCCGTAGCTGCAGCCTTCAGTTAACAAACAAACAAGAAATAAAAGAAAAAACTCAAGCCACCGTAGGCATGACCCACAGTGATGGAATCATGCAAACATGACTTGAACTTACTCTTCTTTCTCACCCTGACTTCCTGCCAGTGCCTCCTGTGGCTGAACCAACAGAAGCCAGGTGACAAGGGAGTCTTTGATGTAGACATGGAGGCAGGTCCCTTGGGGCACCCAGTGCTCTTGAAGAGCATGGATCTGAGAGTCCAACAGAAAGGGCCTGGAGCAGAGGATGATTGTGAGTGGGTTAAAGCAGTCATCTTTTTGTGGATCGATATTGGTTATATCCGAGTGATGAATATCTGATCATTACGCCGTAACCTGAAGGCTGTTAGAAGAAGAGATCTGCTGTTAATAACACACTCAGAACCTGAAAAATCAGCATTACCACCAATCTTGAGTTCAGGTTGGGACCATACTTCAAACTTTTCTTTTCTTATAATTTTTTTTTTTTTGAAACAGGTTCTCACTCTGTAGCCCAGTCTGGAGTGCAGTGGTACAATAATGGCTCACTTCAGCTTTGACCTTCCAGGCTCAAGCGGTCCTTCTACCTCAGCCTCTGGAGCAACTGGAACCACGGGTGCACCCCACCACGCCCAGCTAACTTTTGTATTTTTTTGTAGAGACAGGGTTTTGCCATGTTGCTCAGGTAGGTCTGAAACCTCTGGACTCAAGGGGTCCTTACACCTCTGCCTCCCAAAGTCCTGGGATTACAGAGATGAGCCACTGTGGCCAGCCCATTCTAATTATGGATTAGACATGACCAACCCTGGGCCAAAATTGATAGGGCACCTCAGAAGGGAGCCCAACAGGAAGTTGGTAGCTTTCAGGAGGGTGAAAAAGCTGAAAACAGTGAAGAAAGAGGTTCTTTCACAGTCAAGCTTCTTCTAGGGGATTGAAAACAAGAGTGAGATCAAGAGGGTTTTTTTTGTTTTGTTTTTTGTTTTTCCAAATAAGCTGGCAAAGTTTCTTTAAAGCCAATTAAACATACCTCAGATTGAAAATGATTTCAAACAGTGGTTTTCTCATTTCAAATCAGTGGTTTAAGGTTCATTTGTGAGAAATCAATGTAACCACATTTATCCTTGGCCTAGTATTGAAAAAAATATAGTTACAGTAAAGTGATTTTAGTCTTTTGAAACTGTGGGGAACATGAGTGATTCTGACAGAATGGAAATTTCAGGCTAAGTGTATGAAATTGCAATTCAATAATGATGTGGAATTTTTTTTTGGAAGGTGCATTTAATCTAAAGGCATGTAGGTAATTTATGTGCAAAAAATTGTAAATGTGTTCCAGTAAATGATGTGACCCTGAAACTGTCATGGGGTGGGCTTGATCATATTTGCACAAACCAGCACATTTCCAGTGCTAGTGAAATAAATGCAGAGGGATAAGGACTGTGGTGCTGACAGCAAGCCTCACAGAAACCATCTCCAGCAGAGCATTCCCTTTCTGTTTTCCTCCTTTCAAGAAAGGGCATCAAGCGTTCATTTGAAATTTGTCTCTTAATCTGTTTTCCATTGATGGCAGCAACTGAGAAGTTTTCAGCCGGGAAAAGTCAAGTTAAGTCAAACCAGTTTTGCTCACAACAAGCATACAAATTGGCTATTGTTTAAAAATCAGAACTTAACCATATGCTTTGAATTTAGAAGTGGGATTACATACTAAAAGGCTGTATTATCCTTAAATCACCCTGTGTGTGTGTTTGTGTGTGTGGTGTGTGTGTGCATGTGTAGTACTGTTCTCTCAGCACCCTGTCTTACAGATGACCCTCAAACAAGGCAGCATGACAGTTACCACAGATTCTTCTACATTTACCCATAGATATGTCTCTTAGGGGCACTGGAGAACACTGGAGAACTCTCTCCCTGAAAGAACGTGTACAAAGTCGTACAAAGCAAATAGAAGATTTCAATAAAGTATTTTTAATAAATAACACTTGAGTAAGTATGTTCTTTTAAAATAAAAAACATGGTGTGAGAAGAGTGTATCTTGAAGTTTCAGAAATTCCCCATCAGCTACTGTATATATATGAGAAAAATGTTCTACAGTCTAGAAATGAATGCAAGAAAAAGAGTAAAGGGAGATCTCCCTAGACACCTCTTGAAGTGATTATAAGGCTGGATGAATTCAAAAGTAGCTCTAGGTTGGGTGCGGTGGCACATACCTATAATCCCAGCACTTTTGGAGGTGAAGACAACAGATCACTTGAAGCCGGGAGTTTGAGACTGTAAGGTTGTTGTATAGGTTCGAACCCCCAGAGCGCGCCAACAGACAACACGAGGCTGTTTTAATGAGTGCCTGGGTAGAGACAGGCTGAGGCCTAAAATGGTATCAGCACCAAATGAGGATAGGACAGGGGTTTTACGGTCCCCTGGAAACAGGAAGTGTCTCAGTCTGACATGACTGCTACGTAGTACCCAGACGGCTTCTTTCTCGATCTTCAGGGGTACGTGTCTTCCATCCAGGGTAGGTGTCTTCCCAGCGGCTCTCTTCCTGCTTCTGCTATCTTGCTGACTCACGCTGCTGGCTCAAGTAGCCTTGCACCTTGGAACTGGGCCTGAGAAGGGAGGAGTTACTCATCCCTTTAAGCTTTCAGGCCCCGGGGAGAATCTTGCCATTCCTGTCTACTGGTTATAGAAGAAAGGGAAAAGGGACAACTTTCTCAATAATTACTTCAGTCGTGACGTAGGGGGTGGCATGAGCATCTTGGAAAAAGAAAAACTTAATTTTGGGGGTACTCTTGAGAGACGGGTTGGTATCCATCGTGTCGTTGTAGCAGGAACATTGTCTGGATAGTCTGACAGTTAACTGTAGTTTCAACAAGAATTTTAATGGCTTTTATTATCAGTGGGATAACAAGGGGAGAAACAGGAGGAGCCCAGTGATGAAGATTACTGTCCTTACCAGTGTTTTAAATCCTCCTAAATTAGAGAACCACCTTCTTAGAAGATTTGTTGGGTCCCATCCCTTCTAGGTTTGGACTGGTACATGGGCTACTTTTTTGATGTTTGAAGCGATTTCTAGAACTGCTTTTCCATTATCGTCTATGTTAAGACAGCAGTTAGAGATATTAAACTTACCACACACCCCACCTTCTTCTGCTAATAAGCAGGGTAGTGCTAGCCTGTTTTGATAAATTGCTGCATGCATTTGATTTTGGTGTTGTGTGGGCATTTCCAGGGCTGAGGCCGTTTGGTTACTGATTATCTGTAGAACCACCTGTAGTCTAATTATTCTATTTAGCATATATATGGGAGTGCAATAACCCCATGAACCATCCTCAGCGCAAGTGGCAGGACCATAATATTCAATGATCTGTTGCGGAGGCCATTCGTCCTCTTGCCATCTTTGGCTTCCTCCTACCTTTAAGGATCATTTTTCTTTGTTTAGGTTATTATATACAGGGACTCTGAGGGTGTTGCCCGCCGTTAATGTTTTGGAGGAAGGAGTAGCCTTGGGGGTGAGCTTGACCCTGGTGCGATGGACCCAGTCGGGGAGTCCTTGGACTGTCATTGCAGATGGCATGCTGAGTATCACAGTGTAGGGGCCTGTCCACTTCAGTTGTAGCTATTGGTGAGGGTCAGGTTGGCAGATAAACACATCTGTGCCTGCAAGACAGTTACGTTGAGAGGACAAGGAGGTGTTGACAAGGAGAGGCATGGCCTCATCTGCTGCTTCATGAATGAAAGACTGTGTCTGGATTAAGAAGTGGAGATAATTCATGAGTGGCTCAGAGTCTGGTAAGGATGGAGGCCCTAAAACAAAAGTTCGGCCACCCAAGATTTCAAAGGGACTATAAAAAGAGGGTTCTTTTGGTGTTGCGTGGAGTCTCATGAGGGGAAATGGGAGATTTTTTTGTCCAAGACAGCTGGGTCTCTAGAGCCAGCTTGGTGAGTTGGGCTTTAAGGACAGAGTTAATTTTTTCAACTTTACCTGAAGATTGAGGCCTGTAGGGTGTGTAGAGAACCCATTTTATACCTAAGGATGTAGAGACACCTTGGGTAATTTGGCTGATGAAGGTGGGCTCGTTATCAGACTGGATGGATGTTGGGAGTCTGAAACGGGGAATTATATGCATGATGAGAGTTTGTGTGATGACATTTGCACCTTCTGAAGTTGTTGGGAACGCTTCTACCCACACGGAGAAAGTACAGACAAAGACTAGAAGATAGTGGAGCCGTTTATCGGGTGGCATGTGAGTGAAGTCTACTTGCCAATCTTGCCTCAGTACCTGGCCCTGGGCTTAGTGGCTAGGAAAAGGTGGAGTCAGAGGGAACTCTAGAGTGATACTGAGTGGCAGATAGAGCAGGACTGGGTAATCTCTCAAACACGGCTGGAAAGGTGAGGACAAGTGAGGATAGGTCGGAGAAGTTGCAAGAGAGGTTTGTACCCGACATGGAAAGAGTTGTGGAGGCTTTAGTTGACAGATTGTTTGAGAGTGAGGAAGAACGAAGCACCCTTCCTTGACATAACATGGTCTTTGCTTTTGAAGGTTTTGGGATCAGAAGTCCTGCTTTTCTTCTGAGGTGTAAGGAGGAGAGAAAAAGGACAGGGACAGAACGTGGCCGGGTTTAGACGGGAGATGGTTAGCATGGTGATGTGGGAAGTTTCTATGAATAGAGCATACAATTGGAGGAGCTGTGGGGCAGAGATAAGACAGTACACTGAGGTGAGCTAGCATGTCTTTGATGTTATGGGTTGAATAAACTGTTAGGTTGGCATAGAGAGATAGTTTTAGGCTTTCAAGGGTGAGGACTGCAGTTACCGCCAATGCGCCAATGCTAAGAGGCAGGCAGGCCATCCGAGAACTGTGGCTTCAAGCTGTTTAGAAAGGTAGGCAACAACCTGGAGGGTGGGTCCCTTAGACTGGGTTAGGACACCTAGTGAAATTCCACGCCATTTCTCAGTATAGAGGGAGAAAATTTGGTGAGGTCTGGGAGAGTGAGGACAGGAGCTGAGGTGAGAGCCTTCTGGAGTAGACGGAAAGGTTGGGTAATAGGCTGTGCACGGTTTGAAGATTCATGGAGAGGGCCTTTAGCAGCTTGGTATAACAGTTTGGCAAGTAGAGTGAAGGAGGGAACCCAGAGCCTAAAATATTCCACTAGTCCTAGAAAAGAGATAATTTCTTGCTTAGTTTGTGGAGACAGGAGGGACTGGAGGAGGGATATGTGGTTGGTTGTGAGCCCTTGGGTTCACGGGGTAAGAGCTAGGCCTAGATAGGTGACTGAGGGGTTGCATATTTGTGCTTTCTTAGGGGAGACCCAATACCCCATTCTGCCAAAAAGTTTAAAAGAGAGAGATAGTATGGGCGTTGCAGTCTCTTGGAGAGGGGCTACACAGGAGCAGATCATTAACACATTGAGGGACAGTGGACGGTTTTAGGGATAAAGTACAGAGGTTGTGAGCAAGGATCTGTCCAAAAAGGTGGGGGCTGTCTCTGAAACCTTGAGGTAGTACACACCAGGTGAACTGACGTGAAAGTTGGGTGTCGGGGTTTTCCTAAGTAAAGGCAAAGAGGTTTTGGGAATCAGGGTGTAAAGGAATTGTGAAAAAAAAAGCATCCTTTAGGTTTAGAACAGAAAAAGGGGTGGTATTGAAGGGAATTGTGGAAAGCAAAGTATATGGATTAGGAACTACTGGACATACTGGGAGTACAGCTTGGTTAATGAGCCTGAGGTCCTGGACTAAGCGGTAAGTTCCATCTGGCTTTTTAACAGTTAGAACTGGTGTGTTAAAAGGGGAGCTTGTTGGGCAGAGTAGGTGACTGGCAAGGAGGCAAGAAATGATAGGCTTTAGGCACATGAGAGCTGCTTGGAGGATGGGATACTGCTTCTGTGACAGGAACTACGTGGGCTCTTTAAGGATAATGCAGATGGGGGTGTGGTGTTCTGCGACTGAGGGTGTGAAGTATCCTAAACAGTGGGGTTAACTACAGATGGGGAATAAGGAAAAGTTGCATGGTTTAGGGTGGAAGGTTGGAGGAGTAGAAGGAAGTTAGAAGTACTGGAGGGGACAGGGTAGATGCATTGGGTATATGGCAATGTGGAAGTGGAGAGTAGTGTGGAGTTTTGAAAGGATGTCTCTGCCTAGGAGCAGAGTTGGGCATGAAGGCAGGACTAAGAAAGGGTGAGTGAAGGAAAAGGTGTGCAGGGAGAAGAAAAGTGGAGGGTTGGCTCAGGGTTTGGAGACTTGTCCATCAAGTCCTACAAAAGAGACCTGGGAGGACTCAGTGGGTCCTGAAAAATTAAGTAAAGCACAGTAGGTTGCCCTGGTATTAATTAAAAAAAAAATACTGGCCTAACTACCACCATCAGGGTTCCCCTTGGCTCGGATGAAGCAATGGTAGTTGCCAGTGCCTCTGTTCCAGGGCACCATCAGTCTTCAGCGGCAAAGCCAATGAGATCCAACTGGGAGGTTTTGACCAGCTTGGGAAGGGATGGGGGCAGTCCTTGCAGGGGCCACTCACAGTCTGACTTCCAGTGGGGTCTTTCTCAGAGGGGGCATGGCCTGGTGGGCTTACCTGGGTTTGGGCATTGTCTGGACCAGTGGCCCTCATTGCCGCACTTGAAACAGGCACCAGGAGGAGATGGATTGCTAGGAGGCTTCTGTGTGGAGCTGCAGCCCTGTGGGCCTGCAGGGCCCCTGATGGCAGAGGCAAGCATTTGAAACTCTGCCTGTTTTTGCCTTTTACTTTCCTCATCATGATTGTTAAAGACTTTGAAGGCTAAATTAAGAAGGTCTCGTTGTGGGGTTTGAGGACCGTCCTCAAGCTTCTGAAGCTTGCACTGAATATTGAGGGTGGATTGGGAGATAAACTGCAGGTTTAAGATACTGGTTCCTTCTGGGCTGGCTGGGTCTAGGTTGATATACTTTCTCATGGCTTCAGTTAAATGAGAGAGAAAAAGGCTGGGTTTTTGTCAGGACCTTGGGTGATTTCTGAAAGTTTTTCATAGTTCACTGCTTTACGGGCACCCTTTTTGAGTCCTGCAAGGAGACACATAATCATGTGGTCTCGATGGTGGCATCCAGGGGCCCCGTCTTGATAATCCCAGTAAGGGTCCTGGTTAGGGACTGCCTCTGCACCAGTAGGCTGGGCAGGAGCTTGGTGATGAATTGTATCAGCATGCACCTGAGTTAGGGCCCAGATACGGTCCCCATCTTCTGGGGTGAGGGTGGAAGAGAGGACAATGTAGAGGTCATGCCAAGTTAGTTCATAAGACTGGGTAAGGTACTGAAACTCCTTAATATAAGAGGTAGGGTCTTCTGGAAATGAACCAAGTCTTTTGTTAATTTGAGAGAGATCAGTGAGGGAGAAAGGAACATGAACTCTAACAATACTTTCAGTTCCTGCTACTTCCTGAAGGGGGCACTCTAGCACAGGCGCTGAAGTAAGGTTGGGGCATGGGCGGAAGATGGCGCCTGAGTGAGTACGGGTGGGAGAGAAGAAAGAACCTGGAAGTGGTTCCTGCTGAGGCTTTGAAGGGAGAAGGGGGTTTGAGTTAACAGGCAGTGGAGGATAGATAGAGGCGTAAAATGGTGGGATGGGTTTACAAGCCTCAGGAGAGGGCGGTGGGGGAGGAGAATGGGTATAGGCAATACTAAAATTGTCCTGAGGAGGGGACTGTGTAGGAAAAGAAGTGGATACAAATGACTGGGAAGATGGCAGCTGGGAAGATGGCAGCTAAGAAGATCGCAGCTGAGAAAATAAAGAGGAGGCTTATGGGGGTAAAGAAGACAGTTGAGAGGGAGAGGTGGGGGCTGGGAGGGGTGGACAGCAGTCTGCTGGATCTAACGAGGAAAAAGAGGTAGGGTTGGGAGGAGAAAGGTGATCAGGGTGGAGAGAATGGAGGAGAAGGATTTGAACAGGGGAGCAAGAATTGCAGAGGTCGGGTTGTGATCCGAGGGCAAAAAGGCCTGGACATAAGGAATTTCTCCCCATTTCTCCATTCATCGGCAATAATTGCTTAAGTCAGTTAAAATTGTAAAGTTGAATGTTCCATTTGTGGCCCATTTGGACCCACTGTGGCCAGACAGAATTGCAAAAAAGACAAGGCCCTTAGTGTGGATATTTTGCCTGAGGACTAAGGTTTGCAAGTTTTTTATGAAGCAGCCTAGAGGGCTGTTTTTTTGGAATGGAGGACCGGGAGTTTCCCATAACGGAGGGTAGGCTTGGGAGAACAGGGAAAAATGAGACCGTCCTGGATGGCCAGAGGGAGACGATAAAAGGAGCAATCGTCACTGCTGCCTTTTTCGTTCCCGGAACGGGATCAAATGGCTTAGAGGCACCCCCCTAAGACCAGATGATCAGTGAGTGCCTGGCACATGCGGGAGCCTTCTTGGGCCAATGTTGAATTTTTGGACAGGAGAAACCAAGAGAGGCTGTGCAGATTCTCCTGTTAACTGGGCTCCTGGGAAATTTACGAGTAGGTGAGATCAGTGACCGATGTGCATGCACAGAGAGGCGACTGGAGGCTGAAGAGCTTCCTTTGTTTGGCTGCTGTGGCCTGCTCTCTGGGGTGGAGGGGTAGGTCCACGGGGAATGCAAACGTAAGCCCCTCCTGGATTTCAGCACCAGATTGTATTGGTTCGAACCCTGAAAGCATGCCAACAGACAACATGAGGTGATGTGGAGCAACATGCTGTTTTAATGAGCACCTGGGTACAGGTAGGCTGAGGCCCAAAATGGCGTCAGCATCAAATGAGGATGGGGCAAGGGTTTTATGGTCTCCTAGAAACAGGAAGTGTCCTAGTCTGACATGACTGCTACGTAGTACCCGGATGGCCTCTTTCTTGCTCTTCAGGGGTACGTGTCTTCCGGCCAGGGTAGGTGTCTTCCACCTGGCTCTCTTCCTGCTTCTGCTATCTTGCTGATGCATGCTGCTGGCTCAAGTTGCCTTGTGCTTTGGG
Organism: Homo sapiens; assembly: GCF_000001405.40. Taxonomy (NCBI): domain Eukaryota; kingdom Metazoa; phylum Chordata; class Mammalia; order Primates; family Hominidae; genus Homo; species Homo sapiens. The sequence continues at coordinate 142,536,544 of NC_000006.12, read as the reverse complement.
ACTGGACTTGAGAGGGGAGGAGTTACTCATCCCTTTAAGCTTTCAAGCCCCAGGGAGAATCTTTCAGAGAGCAGCCTGGCCAACATGGCAAAACCCCATTTCTACTAAAAATACAAAAATTAGCTGGTGTGGTGGTACATGCCAGTAATCCCAGCTTCTCAGGAGGCTGAGGCCCGAGAATCACTTAAGTTTGGGAGACAGAGGTTGCAATGTCAAGATCGCACCACTACACTTCAGCCTTAATGACAGAAAAATGTCTCAAAAAAATATAACAAAACAAAAAACAAAACAAAAAAAGTAGCTCTAGAAGTGATTACTTTATAGTCTAAATCCCAGGCAGATTTAGACACAAAGCTTACGTTTCACTTTTTTTGTTTCCCTGAGCAGTGTGCTTATATATCTAGCATAAGCTCTGGGGTTAGAGTCCAGAGATGTGTGGCCATGCTCCATGCTCAGTGAGCCCTGGCTCTAGCAAGAGGCAAACATGTTGCTGCCCTTCCCTATGCCCCAGACAATGTATGTTTTCAGATGCTGGAAGTGAGGCTTATAGAAAATAACCCCATTGGGATATTGAACGTGCCAGTTAATTTGAGGTTGTTACATTACTTCATAACCAGGATTGTGGTGAAAAAAAATGGTGTGTCCTAAGATGACCCACCCCAATTCTACCTTGTTTTAGGGAAGTCACTTATTTCTCCATGCTCACAGCCCCTGGGAACCACCATATATTACCCTTAAAATACAGGTGTACCCTTTGCTCAATTTCTTACATGGATTATAGGTGAGTCATTGCATTAGCCTGTCTTCACACTGCCATAAACATGCTCTCTGAGACTGAGTAATTTATAAAGAAAGGAGGTTTAACTGACTTATAGTTCTGCATGGCTGGGGAGGCTTCAGAAAACTTACAATCATGGCTGAAGGTGACAGGGGAGCAGGCACCTCTTCACAAGATGACAGGAGACAGAGAAGAGCAAAGGGGAAGAGCCACACATTTATCAAACAACCAGATCGTGTGATAATTCTATTACAACAAGAGCATGGGGGAAACTGCCCCCATGATGCAATCACCTGCCCACCAGTTCCCTCTCTTGACACATGGGGGTTACAATTTGAGATGAGATTTGGGTGGGGATACAGAGCCAAGACATATTATTCAACTCCTGGCCTCTCCCAAATCTTATGTCCTTTTCACATTTCAATACGAATTATGCTTTCCCAACAGTCCCCCAAAGGTTTAAGTCATTCCAGCATTAACTCAGAAGTCCAAGTCCAAAGTCTCATCTGAGACAAGGCAAGTCCCTTCTGCCTATGAGCCTGTAAAATAAAAAACAAGCTAGTTACTTCCAAGATACAATAGGAGTACAGGCATTGGGTAAATGTTCCTGTTCCAAGTGGGAGAAATTGACCAAAACAAAGGGGCCACAGGCCTTACGCATGTCCAAAACCCAGTGGGACATTCATTAAATCTTAAAGCTCCAAAATCTCTTTTTACTCCACGTCTCACATCTTGGGCACACTGATGCAAGGGGTGGGCTCCCATAGCCTTAGGCAGCTTCACCCCTGTAGCAGAATTCTGCCTGGACATCCAGGCATTTCCATACATCCTCTGAAATCTAGGCAGAGACTCCCAAAGTTCAACTCTTGTCTTCTGCACATCCACAGACCCAACACCATGTAGAACCCATCAAGGTTTGGGGCTTGCACCCTCTGAAGTAACAACTTGAACTGTATGTTTGCCCCTGTTAGCAATGCTTCGAGCTGGAGAGGCTGGGATACAGGGCACCAAGTTCAGAGGTTGCACAGAGCAGCAGGGCCCTGGACCCAGCCCACGTAACCATTTTTGCCTCCTTGGCCTCCAGGCCTATGATGGGAGGGGCTGTGATGAGAAGAGTTAAGTGGAAGAGCCTCACACTTATTAAACTATGAATTCCATCATGAGAATAGCATGGTAAACTGCCCCATGATCCAATCACCTACCACCAAGTCCCTCCCTTGACACATGGGAATTACAATTAGAGGTGAGATTTGGGGGAAGACACAGAACCAAACCATATTGGTTATTGACCTATAACCCTTCCCAAACCTGTTGTTTAACCTTGAGGCAGAAGCATGTGCTCCAAAGTCTTTGCAGCTTAGTAATGTTGCAATTATCCAATAACATTTTACAAATGTTGGATCAATGATGTGAGAATGGTTGGGACACTGCCTTATTGGGATACTGCTCTGGGGATTCCCCATTCTCACCCACACTAAGCAATTAGAGATGCCTGGTCAGAAGAGTGTGACAGAAACCTGTGCCCACTGGGGGTTTGCTTCTCTTTAATAGGGAACAGTGCCAGCTGCATCTCTCAGGCCAAGCTTGAGGTGAGCAGAGAAGTTAACTTGGGTGTGCATCCTTTTCCCCTTCCTCACAATGACTCCGATGTCTCTGGCCCTGGGCATTTACTGGACCTTTGGAGAAGTGGCAAGGGGAAGGATGAGAATGGTCAGAGGAAAAAAGTGGAAACTTAGCTACTTAGCTACAAACAGAAAGATTACAGCCTTCCCCTAACAGCTGGATGGCACAGTGAATGTCCATCTGACATCCATGGGCAGAAATGGAAGGGCATGGCTGCTGATAATGTTATAGGCTTCAAAGAATATTTCTGGACTCTGGCCCTCTCCTCTGAATCTTGGACAGTTTCTTCTCTCTGAAAAGAAACACTGAATTAAATTTCTGGAATACTTTTTTATTAGAATACTGGTCACATTCTATCATCAAGAATTTTGGGTTAAAAAGTTAAGCAATGGTTTTGACAAGAATTCCCAAAGCATTATGGCTGTGGATTCCCAAGATGCAACCTGTGGTTACATTATGGCTGGATTCAGACAGAAATCTGGATCTTTAATTTTTTAATGAGACCAGGAAGTATAGATGGGTTGACCCTCCTGTGGCTTCCATGGCAATTTATATTTTTCAACCACTTATCATATTGCATGATTGCTGAATTTTTCACCTCATAGCATGCATTAAAAATTAAAACATTTGCACCAATCATTAGGATAATTAGATAGTGTTGCCCACAGTTAGAGGCAATTGGTCTGGAGTTCCGGCCATCCGGATCCAAATGGTTTCCCTGGGGCTGAGCTTACTGAGTTGAACTTTTTCTGGTCTTTAAGAACCTCTACATTGCCTTCAAAGAAATGAAGACGCTAGCTGTTTGTGTCTTTTTGTAGACTCAGTGTCCCTCTTTTATATCTATGGTGGGAAACATGGACAGGTGAATGATGCTCTACAAAGAGGTTAAAAGTATCATTGAGAAGAGACTTGAATTGACCCGATGACAGATGGATCCCCATCTAGGCAAGGTTCACTTACACTATGACTCTCCTCTTTCCCATCCGATTCACCTTTTCCTTAGTTGCTGTGTGCATGCTACCTTGAGAAGACAACCATCACTGCAGTTCCTCTAGCATCATGGAGTCTCCCTATATCTTGATGTTTCAAGAGACAATGAAACCATATAATGCCTTCTCTTTCCTACATTGCATCTGAAAGGCCTAATTGTGACTTTCAGATATTCTACTTTAATTGGAGAGCATGATAAACATAAATGCTCATAAAATGCAATTAGTTCCAACCACCTGATGATATTTAACTTGAGGATGAAGACCTCAGAATTTGATTCTATATTAGTCAGGATAGACCATAATATCAAATTTCATTTGTCATTAAGCTACATGTCCATCATAGTTTAGCAAGATGATTCTCCTCATCACAGGCCCTCAGGAATTCAGGATAGTGGAGGACCCACCTCCACACATGCTTCCACAATACAGGGGTAGGGAAAAGAGAGTGTGCTAAATCGCATGCTGGTCCTTAAAGCTTCTGAACACATATAACACAAATTTCTTCCCACTTACATTTTATTGGATAAAAAAAGTCATTTGGTGATGACTATGTTCTTTAGATGGTGAGGAGACACTGAATTTTTGTGAACAGTATTATAGTATACCACTAGCCGCAGGGCCTCGTTAAAATAAAGAAGGCATTCATGATTTCATTCAACAGACATTTTTGAACACCTATTATCTATCGGAACTGTTTGAAGTTCTTACAATATATCAAAAAACAAAACATACAAAGATCCCTGCTCTCATGGAGTTTATATTTTAGTGACAGAAGAAAGACAATACACAATGAACATAATGTGCAAGTGAATTATGTAGTTCTTGTCTCAATACAGCCTATTGGTTCTGTTTCTCTGAGAACCCTAACTCAGGGTTCGTTTTTGTGGGGGATAAGTGCTACAAAAAAAAACAAATTGTAGAACAAAGGTGGGGGTTGGGGAGTGGTGACCTCTGATCTGAAGTGTCTGAGGAAGAGGAGTGACAATTTTAAATGGAATTGTCAATGAAGGATTCACTGAAAAATTCATGTTTGAACAAAGGCTTGAAGTAGTCAGGGAGGTATCCAATTGTATATCTGATCATATGGAACCTCTTAAGTTTCTACTTTGAATGAGTTAGAAATCATTGATGGGTTTTAAACAGATGAGTGATGTGACTAACATGACTTCTGTTTTCAAAAGGAATTGCTCTGTTGAGCATGAACTGTAGGGTGCAGGAGGAAAATGAGGAGACTCATTGGAAAGCAATTTCAGGAATCCAAGTGAGATAGGATGGTGGCTCAGACCAGGGTGATAGCACAAGAGGTAGCGGGAAATAGAGTCTGGATATTTTCTGAAGGCAGAGCCAACAGGTTTTGAGGTGACTGAATATGGGATGTTGAAATTTTTGTCCTAAGAAAGTGGATGGCTAGAGATGGAGCAGACTTAGATAGAGTAGGTGCTATGGTTTGAATGTCCCTTCTAAAATTCATGTTGAAATTTAATTGCTATTGTAATGGTATGAAGAAGTGAGATATTTAAGAGGTGGATTTAATGCCTTGATAAAAAGGCTTTCAGGAATGGGTCATCTTTTGCCCTTTTTCCTCCTGCAATGGGATGGTGCAGCAAGAAAGCCCTCACCAGATGCCAACCCATCAGTCTTGGACTTCCCAGCCTGCAGACCTGTAAGCCAATACATTTCTGTTCATTGTAAATAACCCAGTCTCAGGTATTCTGTAATAGCAGGAAAAGATAGTTCAGTTTTGCATATGCTAAGTTTAAGATGTCTACCAAACATCAATGTAGAGATACTGGTTAGGGAGAATATATAAATCCGGGATTCAGCAGAGAAATTGGAGTTGGATACATGCATTTAGGAGTTGTCAAAGTGTAGATAGTATTTAAAGCCATGGAATTGGATCAGATCGATATGAGTGTAGATAATTAGGAGAATAATATCCAGGACTGAATCCCAGAGCACATCAAAATTAAAGGAAGTCATTTAGTTTTATAGGGCTGGTGTGGATCCAGTGTAGTGTTTATTTGGTTCTTGTGTTTTTTTGGTTTTTTGGTTTTTTTTTTCCTTTAGGTTAACCTAAACTTGTATTGCGTGGGAAAATAAATTATCAACTGAATGGATTTGGTGCATGAAAAACCATTACTGCCTGCCATCACTTGAAAATTGGACTTATTAGTCAGGGTTCTCAGAGAAACAGAACCAATAAGATATATGGAGAGATATATATTTGTTTGTTTATCATGGGAACTGGCTCATGCAATTATAGAGGCCAAGAAGCCCTGTGATCTGCCATTTGCAAACTAAAGAACCAGGAAATGTGGTGATGTAATTCATTTTGAGTCTAAAAGCCTGAGAATCAGGGGAGTCAATGGTGTAAGTCCTGATCAGAGTCTAAAGGGGTGGGGTCAGATGATGTAATCCCCAGGCTAAATCCAAAGGCCTGAGAACGAGATACTCGTGTCTCAGAAGAAGAAGAGTAAAACATGAATCATGAAACACAAATCATTTCCCACCAAAATGAATCAATGACCTTTCCAGGGTAGAAAATATTCAATGTAGCCGGCTTTCCACCATGTGGCTGATTGGCCTCAAGGGTTAATACCATACCTGAGTGGGGATGAGTGTCCTCACTGGCCTCTGTTGCTAGAAAGAATATTTGTCAGCACCAGTACCTGTGTCACTGTTGAGTAGTGGGAGTGAATATTGCTAAATCCATGCACAGCCTCCACTCCTACTACCAGGGCTATGCCATTCATGAACTGTTGTTTGAACACTGGCATCTAATGACAGAGGCTGGTCAATGCCAACCGGCCAAATTATTCTTCTGTGTCTATTGGTGATTTAGTGGGGATATTCTTTTGAAGTGCATATTCTCTAGTGATCATTAAGGTGTAATGCAAGTATCTCCCTGCTCAAGGAGAGAGAGGGTGCAAACTAGCCCACCCTCCATTTTTTTTTTCTTGTTGTTATTGTTCTATCTGGGCCGTGAACAGATTGAATGATGTCCTTCCACATTGGTTAAGGTGGATCTTCTTTACACAGCATACTGATTCAAATGCTAATCTCTCCCTGAAACAGCCCTCACAGATACATTTAAAAATAGTGTCTTACCAGCTATCTTGGCATCTTTAATCCCAGTCAATTGACACATAAAATTATCCATCACAAGCTCCAAGGCAATTCAAGTTTTTTGAAATGAGATCTGTGACTAGGTTCTGAGGATACAAACGTAAACAAAAGAGTTCTTATCTTAGTCCATCATATAAAAAATATATATATTTGTGATAAGTGAACAGAGAGGGAACCTTCTCTACCTTCTCTGCTGCAGATTTGTCAGTGAGATCACTATCTTCTCATAGATGGATTGAAAAACCTGGGTTTTATCCTTTATTCTTACGTCTTAACTCAATATTTCTTGTGGCCAAGATCTATTGAGTCCATCTTAAAAAATATTATTGAATCTACCCTCTTCTTCCATTTTTGATAGGGCAGTCAGTGTCATCTTTTTTAAAAAAGGCAAAAAAAAAAAAAAACAAAGAAAGAATGGATGAAGGGAATGAGGGAGAGAAGCAGGCAGAGAGGAAGGGAGGGAAGAAGAAGTGCTTGAAGCCCTTCAGTAACTTCCCATTAGCCTTGGGATAGTCTCTATACCTTTTGTTACCTGTTCTTGATGACTCTCCGAACCTATGTTAGAGTTCTGCAACTATTTCTTCCCTGGCTTTTATCCACCATGGCTAACAGTTTTATCTAATCTTTATCCTAAATACTTTCCAGGTCTCAGTTTAAATGTCAATTCTGTGACCTCATTCTTATACTCCCACCAGACTGGAACAAGTGTCCTTGATATTTGCTTCCATCAGCCCATTTACTTCTCGTGTCATTACAAATATGATACGTTATTATATTTGGACTCAGACACGTTGTGTTGCTCATCCAGATATACTCAGAGCCTAGCATTCTCTGAAGTATTCAACCAAAAGTTATTAAAAATGTGAAGTAATAAATGATCAAAAGGACATTGAAGTTTTATTTCCGTTGTATAGAGTTTTTGTTTTATAATGGGGATTAAAGCTTTATATAATGGAGATATAAAGTGTTTGCTTTATAATGGGGTGAAGCTATGATTTGTACTGGAAAAGACTAAAAACGTCAGGGCAACCACTGTGGAGAAAATGCCAAGTTTTTCAAAATGTTTGGACCTGGGAAGAATATGGTAATTCCCTGTATCCTATTTCCTCTAAAATGTGAGCTGAAGGGGGATGGTTTCGATGTGCCTAGCATGAGTGAAAGTTTTGCACATACCCAGGGCACCTCCCCTTCTTCCTCCTCCTCTGCTTTAGTATTTTACAAAAAAAAAAAAAAAAAAACCATTATTTTATTATTTATCTTGGAGATGCCACAGAGAAGCATTATTTTTTTCTTGAATTCATATACATTTATTTAGAATTACTTGCCTCATTCTGAAAGCTGTTTCTTATCCTCCAGTTTTTAATTTGCTAGAAATTTTAGAAAAGATGATCCATAAATGTATCAAATAATTCCTGTTTGAAGTCACTTAAATATCAGCATTACTGTCCTGCCAAATATTTCAGATTTGAAACAAAATATTTTGCCTTTAGAGTCTTCAGAGGCATTAGTAGAAACTAAATGGGAATATGCAATTCTTACCTGCCACAGCTTTCTGGTTGTTCAAGTGTTCTTGTAAAATGACTAACCAATATTTCAACTTTTCTCTCTTCTTACTTCCTCATTGCCTCCCTTCCTCTCTTAGTCCCAATATCATCACCAGATGAGAATATGTATGGATTCATGAACAAGAAAATTGCTTAACCATTTGATCAAGAGAGATTGGAAAATCAAGATGAAGCAGGTCTGGGTGAAAGAGCTGTGAATGGATTAATGGAACAGAAAGGAGGTGTGGAGATCCTTCTATTACATGTTAATGATCACCAGGGAACATCCACTACAATAGAACATCCCACTAAATCACCAGTAGACACAAGAGAATATGTGGCCAGTTGACTTTGGCCAGCCTCTGTCATTAGATGTCAATGTTCAAACAACGGTACATGAATGGCATAGCCCTGGTAGCAGGAGTGGGGGCTATGCATGGATCCAGCAATACACACTCCCACTCCACAACATTGACCCAGCCACCAAGGCTGACAAAATATTCAACCTTCCAGCAACAGAAACCAAGGATGACCCTTATCCCTGCCCAGGTATGGTATTAGCCCTTGAGACTAACCAGCCATGTGGTGGGAAGTTGAATATCTTCTACCCTGGAAAGGTCATTGATTCATTTTAGTATGAATTAATTCATGTTTCTGGGTTGGATTTGCTGTTCTTGCCTGCAGGGCCTCAGCTGGCACCAGCATCTAAAGGCTTAGAGAGTTAGTGATCCACCAACATGGCATCTCACATAACATCCCATCAAACCAAGTGACCCACTTTACTAGAAATGAGGTGCACGAGTGGACAAGCTCCAGCTTGACCCAAGTGGAACAAGCTCTACTAGTCCCATCAGATCATGCACCATCCAGAAGCTGCCACACTAACAGAGTGATGGAAAGGCCTGTTGAAGGCATAGTGGATGAGCCACACCATTGCAAGGTAATGTCATCGGAGGTTTATTTAGCATGTGTATTACACCCAGAAGAATGGTGTCCCATCCTTGCAAGGTAATGTCATCATCAGATTCTCCTGGGTGTAATATACATGCTAAACAAACAATCATTATATGATGCTGTGTCCCCAAGAGGTAAAATATGTGGGAGCTAAGGAGTGGAAGCAGCAATAGCCTCACTTACCATCAATACAATTGACTCCTTAGGGAACTTGTGCCTAGGCTCTGTGGGTTTAGAGGTCCTGGTGCCCAAAGGAGATGTGCTTCCATCAGGGAATACAACAAGCATTCAATTGAACATGAGGTTAAGGCTGCCACTTGGGAGCATCAGGCTCCTCATGCCAAGAGATCACCAAGCAAAAAGAGGAATCACCGTACCATGAGCATTAATCAATCCCATTCTTCAGAAGGAGATGGGACTGCTGACACAAGGCCACAGAGAGGCCCCCAGATAACTTGCCTGGGTGTCCCTTAGAATTCCCTTGCCCATTTTTTAATAATAGATGGATAAATGCAACAGTCTCCACCTAACAAAGGCATAATGATGGGACTTCTCAAGAGTGAGAAGCTAGGTCATTCCACCAGCCAAGTAGACCAGCAGAGGTACCAAAAAGAGACAGGAAATCTAGACTGTAAAGTAAAACAGGAAGATTCCCCAGGAACAGAAGCCAACTGTGATCCTAGAGGAGCTTCTCCTTAACATGCAGAAAGAAGTGGATCCATGAAGCACAAGAGCTGAGCTGTCATGGAAACTGCACATCTCAAATTTCCCATCAGGACTGAAGGACCTAGTCCCCCACAGGCTGAAGACAGTCACCTTACCCAACTTCATGCTCTCTTCCAGGGGCAGCCTGCATCCAACAACTTGTCAGCACAGGACTATAAAGGCCTTACCCTTTGCCTCTGTGAAGCATCCCACAGAGAGGTGCATCCACCTCTGAAGGTACATCCCAGCTTCAGGCTCCCAGTCACTTTGGGCTTACCCAGCCTCTTCGTCTGCCCTGCTTTTCTCCCTCCCCTTCCTTCCTGCAGGTTTGGATCCTGAGAGCACTCCCTAATAAACCTCATGCCCACAAATCTCTATCTTGGAATCTGCTTCTTCGGAACCAAATCTGGGACAGATCAATTTACAAAGATAGAAGGGTTTAGGAAGGCAAAAGGGTTTCTGTTACCATGTCTAGGCCTGAAGGGACAAAGAGAGGAACTTGGAGCAAGAGCCATATGGAAAAAACAATCTGAAAGATTGTAGGGATTCTGGCAGAAGCACAAGGCCAAGCCCTGGCAATCCCCACCTCACATCCCTCCGCTCTTTCATCTCCCCTTAGTGCCTCCCATTGTAGAACCAAACTGGAAGTGGTGGTCAGTGGATTCCTTTGTCTGTTTCTTATAGGTCAGCCTCCTGGGGCAGAGAGCATGTTAGAGTGTGGATTTGGAGGTGCAAATGAAAGTTACCCTGTAGCCCACTTGACTCTGTAGATTTCTTTTTCTCTTACAGAAAATAAATTAAATTATGTATCTTCTTTAGAGATAGGGTATGACTTCTATTTTGAGTTATCTGTGTCATTTAATTAATATACAAATAAAATGACATGACAGAAAATACTTACTTGAATACAAAGGACAAGTAATTAGATCTTAGATAATAAATCCATCCCTTTAGATAAGACTTTAGGCAAATGGATTTATAAGTAAAAGCAATAGGAAAACTTGCTACCTAAGCATGAAAAATGATGTTCCTGATAAATTCCTGGAAGGAAGCTGGTGTCAGCCCCCAACTCCTTTCTAGGCCTCTACCAGCCTATATTCCAAATGGCCCTGCCATGGCTCTTCTTTTCTTAAGATTTGATCTTTCTCCAGGCATGGATGAACCACATGTAAGACATTTAAACAGCCCAGGTGCCAAATTTAGTAGGGCTTAGGATTACACAACATTCCCAAACCTGGGATCTGAAGGGCCAGGTGCTGACCAACAGGATCCCAAATTCATCCCAGGGGCTCTTTGACCGATAACCAGAATGTGAATTCAACTGCTGGATGACCCCATGCAAAGCTCTCCCTGGCGCTGAGTAATCCAGTTCCCTTTTCATTAAAAGCCATCTACTTTCCCAGGAGGGGGAATCCTTCTGCACAGCCCATTCCTATGACTAAGCTCTGTGTTCACAAGGAAGATCTCCTCTCAGTCCTGCTATGCCCCCACTGCTGAGCTTGGAACCCCAATACTAAGTATAGCCTGTGTCACAATTGTTCTTGCTGAGATCTTCTACTATTGCCTGAACACAACTCATTCCTGATCCCCTCTAGTGAGTATGTCCCTGGCCATTTTTCAGCACTTTTATCCTCTTTTCTTGCTCTGAGTTTTCATGGACAGGGTATCTAGGAAAAGGAAAAGGAAGAAGGAATAAATCAAATGCCTACAGACCTTCAAAGAGTGCTCCAAAGCCAGTGTAAAGCACTGGGGAACAGTGAGGATTAGGGCAAAATATTTCTTATAATGTTCTGAGTTTCATGAGTTGAAGGCTTTAGTGCTTAATGTCCAAATGATGCAAATGAAAACACCCTTTCATTCTTCTTTTCCTTTTTAAAAAACAAGGAAGAAGACAGTCAAAGCCTCAGTCTATACTATATTTACACTTGACTCAAATGCATTAATAACATTGTAGACTAAGGAGGTATCTGGGGGAAAAATAGTTTTGTGATTTAACTGTAGTGCAAATTTTACCTAGTAAAAGGTTTTTGATATTTATCCTCAGAGAAGATCTAGTTTTCCACCTGAGTGGTGCTATATGCCATTACAAGTGAAGGATGAAGATGTGAGGACAATATTTAATTCATTCTTCTCATTTCCATGTCTTTGGGACTGTTGTGCTAACACTTAGCTGTGATACCAACAAACGCCAACTTTGAAGATTCCAAAGTTTTTTTCTCTCTCTTTAAAACATTCCTCTTCCTTTTGCACATTTAAAAAGTAAACCTGACGCTAGTGCTTCAGAATTCCTGTAGCAAGACCCCTGTTTCTTTACTAATAATATGACCTGTTTTAACTAAACCTCCATAGCTTGCCAGCTGTCTTCCTTTACTGTATCTGAGATGGGAAGGGAGCGAGGCAGATGAAGTACATTGGTGATTGATGAGATGTTGGGGTGATGGCAGAAAGTATTTCCAATTTTAATTTATTAGGTTCATATTGATAAAGAACCTGTAAGCTCTTAAAAGCTTACTTCATTCACATATTTTTTGGCCAACAGAGTTTCACTGTTGCCAAGTAAAAATGCTTCCTTTATTTCTCTCACTTCTGCTGACATATAAATTTTTTTGGAAAGACTTAATTAGAATAAAAAAGCAGCTGATCCAGCCAGAACTGTTGATGGAGACAAGGTGTTTGGTAGCTGGATTTTGCTTTTTTAAAAAAAATCTATTTCCCTGGTTTTGCTATACACAGGAGTTAGGAGCCATAGTCCTTTGGCACCAAAGAGCTTCCTTCACACTGGAGTCCTTTCACTATTGGGGAAAAAGGGAAACTGGAGCTGTATGTACCACTCCTGCCAACACGGATACTGCTAACCTTGGAAGTTTCAAAAGAATAAACCTAGTTTTATAATTTTTGGAATAGCTGCTGCAGTGAAAGAAAGATTTGAATTCCTGATCAATTCTTTAGAAAAACGAGTTTTGCAATCTGTTCTGCTCTGTACTTGTATCCAGAAGTGAATGTGTTAAAGATGCTGAGAAAATAAATACCTTTTATAATCATGAGTTTGGGGGAAGAAGTGGGTGTATCTATTTGACGCTTGCCAACTCTTGCCTTTCTGTTTACTTCCCTCTTGTGTAATCATTCTTCATGATCCTCTTGTTGATGTTAACATTTAATGAGTGCCAAAAATATGCTAAGCCCTCTGTGGTACATAGAATGAGCAAGGCCCTTTCTCTGAGGACTCACATCAAGACACAAAAGCACTAGAAAAATAAAAGATTAAAACGGAAGACATAACCACAGAATTATAAAATAAATTCCACCAACCATTCTCAAGAAAACACAAAATCCCAGCCCTCACCAAATATAAAACAAAACAAACCCACAATGAGGCTTATTAAAATTGAGACTCAGACCATATATATTATACTTGAAGATATGGAAAATATATTTTTAATGAATATATGTTCATTAATTTATATTTTTATCCCCTCAGTCAACGAATATTTATTTCTTTATTGCAATGTCCTGGGATAGGCCCTGTGTAGGATAAAAATGTTTTTCCATAATGTTACTGACCTTAAGGAAGTTCTGATCTGGTAAGAAAAATAAAGCCAAAAATACATACGAGATACCTGTTGACTAGATAACCCCCACATGCTTAATAATAGGAACTCAGTGACTTCCCACTTAAGTAAATCTATTCCTCTCCATCCCCAAATCTTAGGTCGGTCCACATCATGTCCTTTCTGGGATCCTGCTTTCTGTCTTGCTTCCTCTCACCCACTGTTTATTTAGTAACTGGTGGGGCTTCTCTCATCCAGAGAAGGCCTAAAGAACATGTAGGATTTGGATGCCAGAAAGGAAAAGGAATGTTCTGGGAAGAAGAAATTTACATGTGCGGCAAGAGAGTGAAAGAAATAATAGTCCATTCGAGGAAAGGAAGCATGTTCCTTGGCCTGGGTGATGGTTTATGAAAAGGAGGGGGTGGCGAGACATGAGACAGGACGTAGGCAGGGACTCTCAGGTTACACAAAGGAGCTTATGCTTTCTCAAATATGAAAATACTTGAAGGCCTAGGAGAGTTTGATAAGGTACTGGGATCCCGCCACACTTCCTACTTTCCACATCTCTCTGCCTTTTTGTGCCCATAGCACATGGTATGGCTACTGTACAGAGCAGGCTATTGTAATTTCCTATTGTACAGAGCAGGCTATTGTAATTTCCTTTCCTTGGCCATAAATGAGAATCAGATTTCAGGGTCTAGAAATATAGTGGATAGAATTAACGCAGATAACTTTCCTTTTAGATACAGTTATCTGTGTTGGATCAAATATTTAAAACAAAATTATAATACTGTAAAAAGCCAGCCTTAGGAAAAAAGGAAACCCTCAAGTGGGATTTCAAAATCAAAGCAGTGAGTGTCTACGCCAATGCCAAGGGATACCTAACCCAGAAAAAAGCTCTAAAGACAAACAAACAAAATTTTAATGTCCTCACAGGAAATACCGAGCCAGGATTGTCTTAGTTTCCTAGAGTGTCATGACAAAGCACCACAAACTAGGTATCTTAAAACAACAGCAATTTATTCTGCCACAATGCTGGAAGCCAAAAGTCTGAAATCAAAGTGTTGTTGGTAGGGTTTGTTCCTTCTAGAGGCCCCGAGGGAGACTGTCCTGTGCCTCTCTCCTGGCTTCTGGTGGTGGCTGGCAATCCTTGGTGATCCTTGTCTTGGAGCGGCATCACTCCAATTCCTACCTCCATTGTCACATGGCCTTCTTCACTGTCTCTCTCTTTCCCTCTGTTTTAACAGCTCCCTTCCCTTGTCTTATAAAGACACCAGTCATTGGGTTTAGGGCTCACCCTAATCCAATATGTTATCTTAACTTGATTACATCTGCAAAGACTCTGTTTCCAAATAAGGTCACATCCATTAGCTCTAGGGGTTATGAATTGAACACATCATTTTAGAGGACACAATTTAACCCACAACAAGGATGTGAATATGAAATTTGGTCCCAGAGTAGTAAAATGCCTAAAGTACCACATAAAAGCAAACATGAAACCTCTCACTAGAAAAATCTCCACCAACCAAGGCACGTGGGACTCCAATTAAAACATACACACAAACACACACACCCTCCTGAAGAGAAGCTCACAATAAAAAAAATACAAAGCATACAGAAAAATGACCTATCTTGAAAAGGAAGAACAAGTACAACAATAAAGAACAAACATTTGAAATAATAAAAAATATCCCAAAGGTTTGCAATGATAAAAATAGCTCTGTAAAATAGTAATTGAAGTGTTTAAGACATATAAGAAGAAATAGAAAATAAAATTAAAGATGCGGCCACAGTAATGTGGACTTGGAAAAGAGAAAGTAGATATTGTGGAAATAAAAAACATACTTACTTATTAAAATTAACACAATAAATTGGTTAAGCAATAGATTAGACATAGCTAAAGAGAAAGATCAGTATGTTGGAAGATGAATCTGGTCTAAGTGCTCAGAAAAGCAGCACAAATAAAGAGAATAAAAAACATATTAAAGACAGTATAAGGGGCATGGAAGACTGTGTAGAAAAATTCAATATACATCCAAAATAATTGCAGAGAACAAGAAGAGAATTAGTGTAGATGACACAATATTTTTAAAAATAATGCCTGATAATTTTCTAGAATTAAGAAAGGTCATGATCCTCAGATTGGTTCTTAAGTATCCCAGATGCATTATAAGGAGATTGCAGAACACCAAAGACAAAAAATGAATCTTAAAAAACAACTTGAGCAAAGGAACAGATTGCCTGTAAATGAATAGCAATTAGACTTGCAGCAAAGTTTCTCATAAGTGAAAGTAAAGGCCAGAAGGCAAGGGTACTTTAAAACGTTATGGTAGTCCTGGAGAAGATAACACCAACTAACATTTACATAGTGATCTAGTATTGAAAAATGGGGGTAAAAAAGACAAAAGGTAAGAGAATGCGTCACTAGCAATAGAAAAGCCATAATTTAAGAAATAAAAGGAAACTCAGAAAAAAAAAGAGTAGGCATGCAAAACAATAAATATTATAGTAAAGAAAACTCATTAGCAATCTCATGTGATGAACATAGATATAAAAACAATGCATTAAACATTAGTACATCAAATCTAGCAATGTACCTTAAAAATACATATGACAAAGGGGGTTTATTTTGGAACTACAAGGTGACTTAATATTAGAAAAGGTAGTAATTTAACACATTGGCAAACTAAAAAGGAAAGACATAACACTGTACTTAAATATAGTTGGTATAGATAGAAAAAATATTGGATTAAATTCAACCTCTAGAGGTGATTAAACACCTCCTCCTACACACACATTTACCCAACTATGAATAAGACAGAAACCCCTTAAACAGCTGAAGAATACCTACCTAAAACCAACAGCAAACAACATATGCTGTGAGTGAAATGTTGAAGTCCCAACTAACACAACGATGTCAATTTACAAACTTATGTGTTTTAATTTTTTATATTGAACTAATTTTAAACTTATAGAAAAGTTGAAAAATAGTATGGAGAGTTTCTTTATATTCCTTACCTAGCCTCCCCAAATGTTAACCTCTTATATGATCAGAGTATGATTATTAAAACCTGGACATTAGCATTGGTACGATACTATCAGCTAAAGATCTTAGAGCTTCACAAGTTTTCTCCTAATGTCCTTTTCCTGTTCTAGTTTCCTATAGAAGATTTTACACGACATTTCGTTGTTAGACATAATTACCTCTAGAAGTTTGGAGTCATTCCCCAGCGTTACCTTGCTTTCCACGATCATGACATTTTTGCCAGGGTTGATCAGTTATTCTGTTGAATCTTCCTCAGTTTGGATTTTTTCTGATGTTTTCTTATGAGTGGATTGATGTTATGCATTTTTGTTAAGACTAACAGAAATAAGGTTGTATTTTTCTCAGTGCTTCATACCACGGCATTCAGTATGTCAATATGTACAAGCTATATTATTAAGATTTGTAATGAAGGTTAAATACATAAGGAGATACATTACATCCATGGATTCAAAGAATAAATGGTTAAAATATAACAATTCTCTTTAAAGTGATCTATAAATTCATGTAATTCCCATCAAATTCTCACCGTACTTTTTCATGGAATTAGACAAGCTGATTCTAAAAAAACTTGAGAAAAATAAGTCATCAAGATAAACCTATGCAATTCTATAGGAGATTTTTAAAATAAAGCTTTAGTAAATAACACTGTGATGCTTATGCAGGGATAAGCCCTGCAACTGAAAAAAAAAAAAAAAGAATTCCAAGAAACAAACTCACATATTTTGAGTACTTGATACAGGACAAAAATGGTATTAAAACTCTAATGTGGATGGAGATGATGGTGGACAGGAGGCGGAACTAGATTGCAGCTCTGACTCGGACAACATGCAGCATGTGGAGGCTTGCCTCATGAACTTTTGCTCCAGAACGACTGTAGGAATATATTAGGAAAACTGAGGGAACCACAGATCCTCTGAAGGAAGTGGATTGCTCCTGTAGGACCCTGAAGACACCCCAAATACTATGAGTGCCCAAACTGTGGAAGTGGGAAAGGGAGATCATCTGCCCCAAACATACATCCCGACTGGGGAACCTGCAGGTCTAGATTAAGGGAGAAGATTCTGATCTTACCTGGAGCTCAGTCAATTTAGAGAGCAGAGTGAAATACAGGGTAAAGAAGGCAGCAGGAAAAGACCTGTTGGCTCTCAGGGTCCCTTAGCAAGCCATTTCTGCCTTGCCTCACTGGAATCCCTGGGGACGGTGGATAGAGGCACTGGGAAAAGGCCAGAGGGAGAAGGTAACCTCCAGCTGAACTTTGTAATAACTTAAACCGATTGAGAAGTCTCCTGGCCAGAACTCGGGGGAGGCTTTGAATCCAGTGTACAAACTCCACAGGAGGGGGAAGAATAAAAGCCCTACTTGGTTTTGCAGCTGGGAGTCAGGTAGCCTGTGGCACATTCTCAGCCCTGCTCACCCACTGCTTGGAAACAGTCTTGGTGCTGTTGGTCGGGGCATAGTGGGAATGAGACCAGCCTTTTAGATTGTGTGGGAACTGGGTGAGACCTGTGACTGCTGGCTTTCCCCCACTTCCCTGACGACCTACATTACACAGTAGAGGCAGCCATAATCCTCCTAGGAACATAGCTGTTGACCTGGGAACCTCACCCCCATCCCCCACAGCAGCCACAGCAAGACCCATCCAAGGAGAGTCTGAGCTCAGACATGCCTAGCCCTGCCCCCACCCAGTGGTCCTTCCCTACCTACCCTGGAAACTGAAGACAAACAGCGTATACTCTTGGGAGTTCCAGGGCCCCCACACCAGCTGTTCCTCCCCATACTACCAGAGCTGATGCTGTCTGGAAAGTGTTGGCAGGAGGCCAACCAGCACAAAAATAGGGCATTAAACCACTGAAGCTAGGGTCCATCAAAGAGTCCATTTCATCACCCTGCCACTTTCCCCAGAGCAGGCGCTTGTATCCATGGCTGCAGGACCCACAGACGGTTCATATCAGAGGACTCTGTGCAGACAGTCCCCAGTACCAGCACAGAGCCTGTTAGACTTGCTGGGTGGCTAGATCTAGAAGAGAGATAACAATCATTACAGCTCAGCTCTCCAGAATCCACATCAAGAGGAAAAAGGGGAGAGTACTACATCAAGGGAACACCCCATAGACAAAAGAATCTGATCAACAGCCTCCAGCCCTAGATATTCCCTTTGACGGAGCCTACCCAAATGAGAAGGAACCAGAAAATCAACTCTGTTAATATGACAAAACAAGGTTCTTTAACACCCCCCAACAATCACACTAGCTCACCAGCAATGGATCCAAACGAAGAAGAAATTTCTAATTTACCTGAAAAAGAATTCAGGAGGCTAGTTATTATGCTAATCAGGGAGGCACCAGAGAAAGGTGAAGCCCAATTTAAGGAAATAAAAAATAACAATAATACAATAAGTGAAGGGAGAAATATTCAATGAAATAGATAGCATAAATTAAAAAAAAATCAAAACTTCAGGAAACAATGGACACATTTATAGAAACACAAAATGCTCCAGAAAGTCTCAGCAATAGAACTGAACAAGCAGAAGAAAGAACTTCAGAGCTCAAAGACAAGGTCTTTGAATTAACCCAATCCAACAAAGACAAAGAAAAAAGAATAAGAAAATATGAACAAAGGCCAGGCGTGGTGGCTCACCCCTGTAATCCGAGCACTTTGGGAGGCCAAGATTCGTGGATCATGAGGTCAGGAGTCCAAGACCAGCCTGGCCAATATGGTGAATACCCTGTCTCTATTAAAAATACAAAATTTAGCTGGGCATGGTGGTGCATGGCTGTAGTCCCAGCTACTCAGGAGGCTGAGTCAGAAGAATCGCTTGAACCCAGGAGGTGGAGGTTGTAGTGAGCCGAGATCACACCCCTGCACTCCAGCCTGGGTGACAGAGCAAGACTCTGTCTCAAAAAAAAATAAAAGAAAATATGAACAAAGCCCCCAAGAAGTCTGGGATTATGTTTAATGACAAAACCTAAGAATAATTGGTGTTCCTGAGGAAGAAGAGAAATCTAAAAATTTGGAAAACATTTGGGGGAATAATCGAGGAAAACATCCCCCGCCTTGCTAGACATCTAGACATTCAAATATAAGAAGCTCAAAGAACACTTGGGAAATGCATCGCAAAAAGATCATCCCCTATGCACATTGTCATCAAGTTAACTAAACTTAAGATGAAAGAAAGAATCTTAAGAGCTGTGAGGCAAAAGCACCAGGTAACCTATAAAGGAAAACCTATAGGATTAACAGCAGATTTCTCAGTGGAAACCCTACAAGCTAGAAAGGATTGGGCCCTATCTTCAGCATCCTCAAACAAAACAATTATCAACCAAGGATTTTGTATCCAGTGAAACTAAGCTTCATATATAAAGGAAAGATACAGTCTTTTTCAGGCAAACAAATGCTGAGAGAATTCACCACTACCAAGCCACCACTACAAGAACTGCTAAGAGGAGCTCTAAATCTTGAAACAAATCCTGGAAACACATTAAAACAGAACCCCTTTAAAGCATAACTCTCACAGGACCTATAAAACAAAAATACATTCAAAAAAACAAAAGCAAAAAACCAAGGTATACAGGCAACAAACAGCAACAAATGAATGGAATGGTACCCCACATCTCAATACTAATATTGAATGTAAATGGTCTAAATGCGCCACTTAAAAGATACAGAATTGCAGAATGGGTAAGAATTCACCAACCAACTATCTGCTGCCTTCAAGAGACTCACCTAAAACATAAGGACTCACTTAAGGTAAAGGGGTGGAAAAAGACAATTCATGCAAATGGACACCAAAAGTGAGCAGGAGTCACTATTCTTATATCAGACAAAACAAACTTTAGAGAAATAGCAGTTTAAAAAGACAAAGAGGGACACTATACAATGATAAAAGGCCTTCTCCAACAGGAAAATATTACAATCCTAAACATATATGCACCTAACACTGGAGCTCCCAGATTTATAAAATGATTACTAATAGATCTAAAAAATGAGATAGCAACACAATAATAGTGGAGGACTTGAATACTCCACTAACAGCACTAGACAAGTCATCAAGACAGAAAGTCAACAAAAAACCAATGGATTTAAACTATACCCTGGAACAAATGTACTTAACAGATATACACAGAACATTCCACCCAACAACCACAGAATATACATTCTATCCAACAGCAAGTGAAACTTTCTCCAAGATAGACCATATGATAGGCCACAAAACGAGCCTCAATAAATTTAAGAAAATTGAAATTATGTCAAGCACTCTCTCAGACCACAGTGGAATAAAACTGGAAATTAACTCCAAAAGGAACCTTGAAAACCATGCAAATACATGGAAATTGAATAACCTGCTCCTGAATGATCATTGGGTCAAAAATGAAATCAAGATAGAAATCAAAAAATTCTTCTAACTGAATGACAATAGTAACACAACCTATCAAAACCTCTGTGATACAGCAAAGGCAGTGCTAAGAGGAAAGTTCATAGCCCTAAACACCTACATTAATAAGTCTGAAAGAGCACAGACAATATAAGGTCACACCTCAAGGAAGTAAAAAAACAAGAACAAACCAAACCCAAACCCAGCAGAAGAAAGGAAATAAGAAAGATATGAGCAGAATTAAATGAAATTGAAACAAAAAATACAAAAGGTAAATGAAACAAGAAGCTGGTTCTTTGGAAAGATATATAAAATTGGTAGACCATTAGCAAGATTAACCAGGAAAAGATGAGAGAAAATCCAAATATGCTCAATTAGAAATGAAACAGGAGATATTACAACTGACACCACAGAAATACAAAAAATCATCCAAGGATACTATGAACACCTTTATGTGCATAAATTAGAAAACCTAGAGGAGCTGGATAAATTCCTGGAAAGATACAACTCTCCAGCTTAAATCAAGAAGAATTAGATACCCTGAACAGACCAACAACAAGCGACAACATTGAAATGGTAATTTAAAAATTACCAACAAAAAGAAGTCCAGACAGATGGATTCACAGCAGAATTCTACCAGACATACAAAGAAGAATTGGTAGTAATCCTATTGACACTATTCCACAAGATAGAGAAAGAGGGAACCCTCCCTAAATCATTCTATGAAGCCAGTATCATCCTAATACCAAAACCAGGAAAGGACATGCCAAAAAAGAAAACTACAGACCAATATCCCTGATGAATATAGATGCTAAAATCCTTAACAAAATACTAGCTAACCAAATTCAACCACATATCAAAAAGATAATCCACCATGATGAAGTGGGTTTCATAAAAGGGATGCAGGGATGGTTTAACATATGCAACTCAATAAATGTGATATGCCACATAAACAGAACTAAAAACAAAAATCACATGATCATCTCAATAGATGCAGAAATATCATTCAACAAAATCCAGCATCCCTTTATAATTAAAACTCTCAGCAAAGTTGGCATGCAAGGGACATACCTCAATGTAATAAAAGCCATTTATGACACACCCACAGACAACATAATACTGAATGAGGAAAAGTTGAAAGTACTCCTTCTGAGGACTGGAACAAGACAAGGATGCCCCCTCTTACCACTCCTCTTCAACATAGTACTGGAAGTTCTAGACAGAGCAATCAGACAAGAGAAAGAAATAAAAGGCATCCAAATTGGCAAAGAGAAAGTCAAATTGTTGCTGTTTGCTGATGATATGATTGTTTGTCTAGAAAACCCTAAAGACTCCTCCAGAAAACTCTTAGAACTGATAAAAGAATTCAGCAAAGTTTCCAGGTACAAAATTAATGTACACAAATCAGTGGCTCTTCTATATACCAACAGTGACCAAGTTGAGAATCAAATCAAGAACTCAACACGTTTTACAATAGCTGCAAAAACAAAACAAACAAACAAAATACCCCCAAAAAACAAAACTTTGGAATATACCCAACCAAAGAGATGAAAGACCTCTACAAGGAAAACTACAAAACACTGCTGAAAGAAATCACAGACAACACAAACAAGTGGAAACACATCCCATTCTCTTGGATGAGTAGAATCAATATTGTGAAAATGACCATACTGCCAAAAGCAATCTACAAATTCGATGCTATTCTCATCAAAATATCACCATAATTCACCACAGAATTAGTAAAAACAATCCTAAAATTCATATGGAACCAAAAAAGAGCCTACATAGCCAAAGCAAGACTAAGCAAAAAGAACAAATCTAGAGACAGCACATTACCTGATTTCAAACTGTATTAGAAGGCCATAATCACCAAAACAGCATGGTACTGGTATAAAAATAGGCACATAGACCAATGGAACAGAATAGAGAACCCAGAAGTAAACCCAAATATTTACAGCCAACTGATCTTCAACAAAGCAAACAAAAACATACAGTGAGGAAAGGACACCATATTCAACAAATGGTGTTGGGATAATTGGCAAGCCACATGTAGGAGAATGAAACTGGATTCTCATCACTCATCTTATACGAAAACTAACTCAAGATGGATTAAGGACTTAAATTTAAGACCTGAAGCTATAAAAATTCTAGAAGTTAACATTGGAAAAACCCTTATAGACATTGGCTTAGGCAAGGATTTCATGACCAAGAACCCAAAAGTAAATGCAATAAAAACAAAGATAAATAGCTGGGACTTAATTAAACTAAAGAGATTTTGCAGAACAAAAGGAATAGTCAGCAGGGTAAACAGACAACCCACAGAGTGGGAGAAAATCTTCACAATCTATACGTCTAACATAGGACAAATATCCAGAATCTATAACGAACCCAAACATGTTAGCAAGAAAAAAACAAACAATCCCATCAAAAAGTGGGCCAAATACATGCATAGACAATTCTCAAAAGAAGATATACACAGGGCCAACAAACAAATAAAAAATGCTCAATATCACTAATGATCAGGGAAATGCGAATCAAAACCACAATGCAATACTACCTCACTCCTGCAAGAACGGCCATAATCAAAAAATCAAAAAATAGTAAATATTGGCATGGATACGGTGAACAGGGAACACTTCTACACTGCTGGTGGGCATGTAAACCAGTACAACCACTATGAAAAACAGTGTGGAGATTCTTTAAAGAACTAAGAGTAGAAGTACCATTTGATTTAGCAATCTCACTACCGGGTATCTACCCAGAGGAAAAGAAATCATTATAGGAAAAACACACTTGCACATGCATGTTTATAGCAGCATGATTCACAATTGCAAAACTGTGAAACCAACCCAAATGTCCATCAGTCAACGAGTGGATAAAGAAACTGTGATATATATGTAAGAGATATATATATACACACACACACACACACACACACACACACATACATACATATATATATATATTATATATGATGGAATACTACTCAGCCATAAAAAGGAATGAATTTATGGCATTCACAGCAACCTGGATGAGATTGGAGACTATTATTCTAAGTGAAGTAACTCAGGAATGGAAAACCAAACATTGTATGTTCTCCCTCATAAGTGGGAGCTAAGCTATGAGGATGCAAGGGCATAAGAATGACACGATGGACTTTGGGGACTCGGGGAAAGAATGGGAAGTGCGTGAGGGGTAAAAGACTACAAACTGGGTGCAGTGTATACTCCTCGTGTGATGATGGGTATACCAAAATCTCACAAATCACTACTAAATAACTTACTCATGTAACCAAACACCACCGATTCCCCAATAACCTATGGAAATAACAAATTTTAAAACAAACAAACAAACAAAAAACTCCAATGTGGAAAGAATGGGTCACTCAAAAAAATATTTGGATACTTGAGGATATCCATTAATACCTATCTCACACAATAACAAAATACCAACCCCAGATAGATTAAAAGTCTGTGGCCAAAAGTCAAAACTGCAGAATTTTCAGAAAGAGATGTAGGAGACTATTTTTATGACATCAAGTAGGAATATCTTAAAGCCTAAATTAGCTATATGAAACATTTTTACACATTTGACTACTCCAAAATTAAAAACTTCCACATGATAAAATATACATAAAGAAAGTTAAAGGACAAATTTTAAAAATAGAAATTCACACAATGAACGAAAAACTTGTATCCAGAATATTGCATAACCTAGATTATAAAATGCACATATTTTATATTTTAATATCTCTAAAATGGGTACATCTTGCTATGAAGAGAGCAACTTGGCAACATACAATGAAGTTGAAATGCTCATACTCTTAGACACAGCAATTCTGCTCCTGGATTTATACATTAAGTTAGTGTTTTTCAAACCCTAGATCCTGACTCATTGTTCAGTTGACAACTGACATCCTGACAACTCAGTATGTCAGTCCCTGAATTTAACAAGGAGTAGAAGAGAGTAGAATATAACAAGAAATAGCATACAGAATAGAACAGAAAAGGAATAGAATAGAATAATATGAGAATATATCTTGGGTTTGTTTCAGTTGAATGACTATGTATGTGTTTATATGTGTTTGCACCTGGACTTGTCATGATGATATAAAATGTCTACATGCGGATCCTTGTCAAAATAAAGTTGCAAAACATTGCCCTAGAGAAATTCTCACACACGTAAGCAAGGAAACACATACATGAATGCTCACTGCAGAACTATAATAACAAAAACCCTGAAGTGAGTACACATAATCATCAAAATCAAAAAAGATAAATTATGATAAACTCACATAACAAAATAACATTCAACTGATAGAATACATTGAATTGGTTCTACATGTATTGACTTGAATAAATGTCAAAAACATTATTTTGAATGGAAAATGTAACATCCAAGAGGACATATCAAGTATAATACCATTTTAGTGTATTTTTTTTTAATAAAAATGCTACTTTTTATGAATACATGGCCACTAGGTAACTAGGCTAGTAGTTACCTTTGGGGAAAAAATGGAGGGAGGAAAGAAGGAAGAAAGGAAAGAGGGAGACAGGGAAATTTAGAGGTTGGCAGAGGTGTCCTCAACTCTGTTGATAACATTTTCTTTTCTACCAATGTAAAGTCTTCAAAACCTTGGCAAATGTTGATGTTTATATCTCCTTAGTGTTATAATTGCTGTACTTTTTGACTATTTGAATTATTTTATAATAAAAATTTTTAAAATAAGCTTCTTGAGAGCAAAAGAAAGTAACCCAAGTATCAAGTCTGTTCCATATTCTCAGTATCTAGGACATGTTTGGGTATACTAGATGCTTAATTCATTGGTTAGTCAACCAAGGACTTTGGGACATTGATGCCATTAGAGAACAGGCTGGAATCAGATCTCATGCATGACATGACCTGGCAGAGAGTTCAGGCTTGGGAGTAATGGGGTACCGGGGAGGTGAACAGGGTTAGCATGTGACAGTCTTACTGCCAGTGGCTTGCTTCATTCCAAGGCGCCCTACAGGAAAGCAATAAGAGGGCTCAGACATCCTGGACAATGTATTCCCAGCAGAGATGTCAGGTATGGAGAAAAATAATGCCACTCTTCCTTCTTCAAGAATGAGAGGTCAGAACTAGAAAGTGATTTTCAGTTGTCGGATGTTTTTTGTCATTGTCAAGAATTCCCAAAAGGATATCTTTGACCCCAAGAGTCTGGGGAGAAAGAAAACCCTTAGGGTAGCAGAGGCATCACCCAGTGTGCCTCAGACTGCTGTGGAGCTAAAGAATCAGAGAAACAGCGTTGTGGGATGAAAAAAGGGAGGCAAAAAGGGTCTCTTGGGCTCAAGGGAATTACTAAATCTCTGCTCTGACCAAGTGTAGCTCTATAAATTGCTCTGCTTTTCTCCTGGTGCTAGCAGGGAAGGCAGCTGTTTGTACTCAGGACACTTCCCCTTCTAGGCTGCAGCTGTGATGGATTCTGTTGCTCTTGGGGATGGGACAGAAATAGGTTCATGAAGGCATACAATTCCCTGATTTAGAGTGAAATAGAGTTGACAGGGAGAAGAAAGATTGTTCACTCCCATTCTTCCCCGTATGAACTGCTGGAAGGGGGAATATGCAGTTCCAAGCAGTTCGAGGTTGATTAGAAGTGAAAATCCCTGTAGCAGCCGATAGCAGCTATGGAATCAATCCGCTCCAAATTATTTTTTAGTGCCTGTTGAGGACTGGCCATTGTGACAGATTCGGAGAGGTAGGGGATAGAAGGCAGTTTACTAGATATAATTTAATAATCTTCCTGAGTTGTCATCTTTTAAGAGAGACATCTCATTTATTTTGACAAGGAAGAAGAGAAATTTTCTGTTCTCTTTTCCCTAGCAATGGATTTGTAGGGTGGTGGGTGGAGAAGGCTATTCTCCTTGGAGGAGTGAATGCACTGGCAGATCAGAATAAAACGCGGGCTGGACAGAGCAAGTCCAGGGCTGAAAGAGAGGTACTGGAGGAGAAGACAGTTAAAGAAAAGGGATAGAAAAACACAATAATGCTTAAAAATAATTTAGGGTTTACTTTAGATCAATCACTGTTTGTAGCATCTTGTTTCTTTTAAGACGCTTTTTTTAAAAAAGAGAAAAGTGTTTCTTTTCTCTTTTAAACTTTCTGTTTAAAAGAGAAAGTGTTTCTTTTAAGACGGGAAGTACAAAAACTATGTTTATATGCCAATGTATATGACCCAATAGAGAAGCAGTCATGATGGTGAAGTAAAAAGGGAGAGGTACTAAAGTGATGGTTTTGAGCAGGCAAGAGTAGACAGGACCCAGTGTCAAAGTGGAGGGCTCAGCCAGAGAGTGGAGCATGGGGTTGGGGGTGCTCATCTAACAGTAATCTCATGTCTGCCTTCCCCTTTGGTATATTCCTTTTCATCTTTCTAGAAGACTTTACTACCATTTTCTCAGCAGAGATAGCACTAGATAGAATACTCTCAAAAATATGTGTGTGGAATGAGTAGTCAATGATGAATGACCTAGACTGTATAACCATGTGCAAACCTAAAACACAAAACACATTGTCCAAAGAAGAGAAAAATTATAAATTACCTATAAAAAAATTATAAATTATAAAAAACACATTTTGTTTATAAGTTGAAAACCACTTTTAGGCTCAAGATTTCTTTGGATATTTAGTGTCTTTTGTGATTCCATATGAAATTTTGTATTGTTTTTCTGTATCTGTGAAAAAATGTTATGGAAATTTTGATAGGGATTCACTGAATCTGCAGAATGCTTGGGCAGTTGGACATTTTGACATTAATTCTTCCAATCCATGAACATGATCTACCTTTCCATTTATTCGTGTTTTCTTCCATTTCTTTCATCAGTGTCCTAGTTTTTGGTGTATAGCTCTTTCACTTCCTTGGATAAACGTATTTTCAAGTGTTGTATTTTTTTTTCTAGCTAACAATGCTGGAGGCATCACAATAGATTATTTCAAAATATATTACAAAGCTATAGTAATCAAAACAGCATTGTACTAGCATAAAAGCAGATACATAGACCAGTGAAACAGATAGACAGCCAAGAAATAAATCCATGCATTTATGGTCAATTAATTTTTGACAAAAATGCCAAGAGCACATGGGAGAAGGACACTCTTCTCAGCAAATCATGTTGAAAAAACTTTACATCCACATGCAGAATAAAATTAGACCTTTATCTCACACCATACACAAAAATCAAAATGGATTAAAGACTTAAATGTAAGACTTGAAAGTGTAAATCTACTAGGAGAAAACATGGGGGAAAGCTCCATGACATTGCTTTGGGCAATGATTTTTTGGAAATGACTCCAACAGCACAGGCAATAAAAGCAAAAATAGACAAGCTGTATTACAAACTAAAAAGTTTCTGCACAGCAAACAATTAACAGAGTGAAGAGACAACCTACAAAATGAGAGAAAATGATTGCAAACCATATATCTGATAAGGGATTGTGGTCTAAAATATTTAATGAACTCAAACAACTCAATAGCAAGAAAACAAATAACCCAATTAAAAAATGGACAGAGGACTTGAGCAAATATTTCTCAAAATAAGACATTCAAATGGCTAATAGGTATATGAAAAAAAAACATCAACATCACTAATCATCATGGAAATGCAAAGTAAAACCACAATGAAATATCACCTCACACTGTTTAGAATGGCTATGATAAAAAAAAAAAGATAACAAGTATTGGAGAGAATATTTAAAAAGTGAACTCTTGTACACTGTTGATGGGAATGTAAATTATTAAAGCCATTATAAAAAACAACATTGAGGTTCCTCAAAAATAAAAAATAGAGCTACCATATGATCTAACAATCCTATGACTGGGGACATATCCAAAGGAAACAAAATCAGTATGTTGAAGAGATATCTACATTCTCATGTTTATTGCAGCACTAGTCACAATAGCCAAGATATGAAATCAACCTAAGTGTCCATCATTAAGGAAATATGATATATATACATACAGCATTTACAGTCTCTCCACTTCAGTGTCCACTTCAAACAAATAATTTCATTTTATATAAAGTAGCCCTCAAATTGTGTTTTGAATATTTGCTTTAAACAATTCCACTAAAAATCTTTTTTAAACTGAAAGATTAAATTATTTTATTCTTCATCATAGCACTGTTAATAATGAACTGGAAACAAAGTAACCTGCAATAAGAAATTAGAGAGAGGCTGGCCAAGATGGCTGACTAGAAGCAGCTAGTGTGCGCCACTTTCACGGAATTAGAAGGGGGTGAATAAATACAGCACCTTCAACTGAAACATCCAGGTACATGTATTAGGATTCATCAAGGAAACAACTTGACCCAGGGAGAATGGAGAAAAGCAAGGTAGGACAACCACCCACTCAGGAGCAACACGGAGCCAGGGAGCCTACTGCAACCAGGGAAGTGGTCTGGGTCCTCACTTCTCCTCACTGGGCAGGCAGTCAGACCTTGGACTCCAGCACAATCATCCTGCCTCCACCTGACCACTTCAATCACAGGCAGCTCAGTATTTATCTCAGGAGGAAATCCCAGAGTCAGCCCATAACCCCTCTGCTACTGCAGTCGCGGTGGTACGCCCTAACAGCCCTCAGGCTAGGGAAGGAACAAAGGGCCTAGTCAGGATGCTGGCACCTCCAGCACACTGCAGCCACATAGGAGGAATCCAGCCTCTCTTCCCTTGGAATCCTCACCCCCTACTCCTCACCAGGCTGGCCCCCCAGCTCATGACCACAGAACAGTTACCCCCACCCACAGCTGAGCATACCCCTCGTAGTAGCCTGGAGTCTCCCTGGGGAGAGACTCCCAGAGACATCTGACAGCCCCACAGCCACTGTCGCAGCAGTGGTTCTATTCCTGCTGCCCTCAGTTGGGGGAAGAAACAAAGAACCTGAGGGCTACACCCGAGCTTACAGGATGCCACAGTCATCATATGAAGAGAACAGTCTCTCCTCCCATTGAGCCTGCAACCTCCTGCTTCCCTACAAGCAGAATTCAAAGCTCACATCAGCAGTGCAGCTACCCTACCCCACTGGCTGAACACTCCCAGTAATAGTGGCTCCACGTTTCTCAGAACTGGAGGCCCCAGAAGCAACTGAAAGCCAATCTGGCACTGCCTCTGCGGTGGTACTATCTGCTACCCTCAGACTAATGAAGAAGCAAAGACTCTAAGGGCCTTATCCACCCTCCAACAACCTGCTGTCGACCCAAGGAGAGGAGGCCAGTCTGTCTTATATGAGTCTCACCCACTCCTCTGCTCATCACCAGACAAGGAACCCTTGGCTTGGGCCTAGAGCACAGACCCCACGTCCTGGGATGATTACACGGAGCAGTTGCTGACCTGCATCTCTCTGGGGTAGAGCTCCAGTAAAAGACCCTTGGCCACAATCACTGCTAAGGTTCCTTCCTCCGCTACCTCCAAATTAAGGAGGAAATATAAACCCTGAGATTGCTCCAGAGTGCAGTGGGCAGCCCAAGAGTGCCAAGCCATGATCTACAGCCAACACTCAAGTAGGAGAGGAGCCCACACTTTCAGAGGATTGAGAGGCACCCTGGCTGCAAATGTGAGAAAATATAGGGAGGCCACATGACCAAGAAAGAGCTGATCAACTGACCTGTGCACCTAAGTGCCACCTACTGGATCACACCCCAAAGCTTCAACACCAAAAATACCTCACTAACATACTGCCCTGTGAAGCAGAAGACAAGAAGTCAGCTACAAATAAAGACTATGAACAAAGCTTCACCCTGTGAAAACATCCAGAAAAGAAGTCTACTGACTATACTCAATCTATACTGCAGTTAAAGGAACACACCCACATTCTGAGATGAGAAAGCACCAATACAAGAACTCAGGCAACTCAAATGGCCAGAGTCTACATCCTCCAGACAAACACACTAGTTCTCCAACCAGGATTCTTAACCAGGCTGAGCTGGCTGAAATGACAGAAATAGAATTCAGACTACGGATAGGAACAAAGATCACTGAGATTCAGTAGAATGGCAAAACCCATTCTAAGGAAACTAATAATCACAGTAAAATGATACAGGCCCTGACAGACAAAATAGCCAGTATAAAACAGAACCTAACTGACATGGCAGAGCTGAAAAACACACTACAATAATTTCACAATGCAATTGCAAGTATTAACAGCAGAATAGACCAAGCTGAGGAAAGAATCTTGGAACTTGAAGACTGGTTCCCTGAAACAAAACAGTCAGACAAAAATAAAGAAAAAAAAATAAAAAGGAATAAATAAAGCCTCTGAAAAATATGGGATTATGTAAAGAGGCCAAATCTTCAAATCATTGGCATCCTTGAAAGAAAGAGAAAGAAAGCAAACAACTTGGAAAACATATTTCAGGATATCATCCATGAAAATTTCCCAACATCTTGCTAGATGAGACCAACAGTCAAATTCAGGAAATACAGGGAACCCCTGCAAGATTCTGCACAAGAAGATCACCCCAAGACACGTGATTGTCAGATTCTCCAAAGTCAAAATGAAAGAAAAAAATGTTCAGCCAGGGTATTATTCTAGGTAAGTAATGAAATTAAGGCAGAAATCAAGTTCTTTGAAACTAATGAAAACAAAAATACAATGTACCAGAATCTCTAGGACACAGATAAGGCAGTGTTAATTTATAACAGTAAATGCCACATGAAAAAGTTAAGAAGATCTCAATTTACCAACCTAACATCACAACTAAAAGAACTAGAGAAACCAAGAGCAAACCAATTCCAAAGCTGGCAGAAGACAAAAAATATCCCAAATCAGAGCTGAACTGAAGGTGACTGAGACACAAAAAAAAAACACTCAAAAGATCAACAAATCCAGGAGTTGGTTTTTGGAAAAAAAAAAAAAAAAAAAAAAAAAAAAAATATATATATATATATATATATATATATATATATATATATATATATTTATAAATAGACTGCTAGCAAATGGGATCTAATAGAAAAAGAAGGCCAGGCAGGGTGGCTCAAGCCTGTAATTCCAGCACTTTGGGAGGCTGAGGCAGGCGGATCACAAGGTCAGGAGATCGAGACCATCCTGGCTAACACGGTGAAACCCCGTCTCTACTAAAAATGAAAAAAATTAGCCAGGCATGGTGGCTGGTGCCTGTAGTCCCAGCTACTTGGGAGGCTGAGGCAGGAGAATGGCGTGAACCGGGGAGGCGGAGCTTGCAGTGAGCCGAGATCGTGCCACTGCACTGCAGCCTGGGCAACAGAGCAAGACTCCGTCTCAAAAAATAAATAAATAAATAATAAAATAAAATAAAAAAAGAAAAAAGAGAAGATCTAAATAAACACAATTATAAATGACAAAAAGGGTATTACCACTGAGCCCACAGAAATACAAATAACCATCAGGGAATATTATGAACACCTCTGTGCACGCAAACTGGAAAATCTAGAAGAAATGGATAAATTCCCGGACACATACACAATCCCAAGACTGAACCAGGAAGAAAGGGTATCCCTGAACAGACCAATAAGGAGCTCCAAAATTGAATCACTAACAAATAGCCTACCAACCAAAAAAAGCCCATGACCAGACAGATTCACAGCTGAATTCCACTAGATATACGAAAAGAGTGGGTTCCATTCCTACTGAAACTATTCCAAAAAATTAAAAAGGAGGGATTCTTTCCTGACTCATTCTGTGGCCAGCATCATCCTGCTACTGAAACCTGGCAGAGACACAAAAAAGAAAACTTCAGGCCAATATCTTTGATGAACATCAATGCAAAAATCCTCAACAAAATACTGACAAACTGAATACAGCAGCACATCGAAAAGCTTATCCACCACAATCAAGTAGGGATGCAAGGTCAGTCTAACATATACAAATCAATACATGTGATTTGTCACATAAACAGAACAAGAGAAAAAAAAACACATGATTATCTCAATAGATGCAGAAAACGCTTTCGATAAAATTCAACACCTCTTGCATTAAAAACTCTCAATAAACTAAGTATTAAAGAAACATACCTCAAAATAATAAGAACTACCTATGACAAACCCGTAGCTAGCATCGTACAGAGTGGGCAAAATCTGGAAGCATTCCTCTTGAAAACGAGCACAAGACAAGGATGCTCTCTGTCACCACTCCTATTCAACATACATATTATTGAAAGTCCTGACCAGAGCAATCAGACAAGAGAAAGAAATAAATAGCATCCAAATAGGAAGAGAGGAAGTCAAATTATCTCTGTTTGCAGATGGCATAATCCTATATCTAGAAAACTCCATAGTCTTAGCCCAAAAGCTCCTGAAGCTGATAACTAACTTCAGCAACATCTCAGCATACAAAATCAATGTGCAAAAATCATTAGCATTTCTATACAACAACAACAATCAAGCTGACAGCTACCTCAGGAACGCAATCCCATTCACAATTGCCACAAAAAGAGTAAAATACCTAGGAATACAGCTAACCAGAGAGGTGATAGAAGTATGAAATGAGAACTATAATGAGAACTATGAAACATTGCTCAAAGAAATCAGAGATAACATAAACAAATGGAAAAATATCCCATGCTCATGGATAGGAAGAATAAATATTAAAATATCCATACTCCCAAAGCAATGTGCAGGCTCAATGCTATTCCTATTGAACTACCAATGACATTCTTTGCCTAACTAGAAAAAACGATTTTAAAACCCGTATGAAACCAAAAAAGAGCCCAAATTAGCCAAAGCAGTCCTAACCAAAAAGAACAAACCTGAAGGCATCTTGCTATGTGACTTCAAACTATACTTCAGAGCTACACTAACCAAAACAGCAAGGTACTCATACAAAAACAGATGCATAGACCAATGGAACAGAATAACGAGCTCAGAAATAAGGCTGCATGCTTACAAACATCTGATCTTGAACAAAGCTGACCAAAACAAGCAATGAGGAAAGAACTCCCTATTCAGCAAATGGTGCTGGGATAACTGACTAGCCATATGCAGAAGATTGAAACTGGACCCCTTACTTACACCACATGCAAAAATCAACTGAAGATGGATGAAAGACTTAAATGTAAAACCCAAAACTATAAAAACCCTGGAAGACAACCTAGGCAATACCATTCTGGACATAGAAACTGGCAAAGATTTCATGATGAAAACATTCAAAAGAAATTGCAACAAAAGCAAAAATTGACAAATGGGATCTAGTTAAAGAGCTTATGTACAGCAAAAGAAACTATCAACAGAGTAAACAGATAACCTACAGAATGGGAGAAAATTTTTGCAAACTATGCATCTGACAAATGTCTAATATCCAGCATCTCTCAGGAACTTAAAGAAATTTACCAAACAAAACAAAACAACAAGCTCCATTAGAAAGTGGGCAAAAGACATGAACAGACACTTTTCAAAAAAAGACATACATGTAGTCAACAAGCATATGAAAAAAAGCTCAACATCACTGATTATTAGTGAAATGCCAATCAAAATCACAATGAGATACCATCTCACACCAGTCAGAGTGGCTACTATCAAAAAGTCAAAAAATAACAGATGCTGGAGAGGTTGTGAAGAAAAGGGAATGCTTATACTCTGTTAATGGTTGGTGGGGGTGTAAATTGTTTCAACCATTGTGGAAAGCAGTGCGGCAGTTCCTCAAAGAACTGAAAACAGAACTACCATTCAACACAGCAATTTCATTAGTGGGTACATACCCAAAGGAATATAAATGGTTCTATCATAAAGACACATACACATGTATGTTCATTGCAGCACTATTCACAGTAGCAAAGACACGCAATCAACCTAAATGCCCATCAGTGGTAGATTGGATAAGAAACTGTGGTACATATACACCATGGAATACTATGCAGCCATAAAAAAGAACAAGATCATTTCCTTTGCAAGAACATGGATGGAGGTAGAGGCCATAATTCTTAGCAAACTAATGCAGAAACAGAAAACCCAATATTGCGTGTTCTTACTTATAAATGGGAGCTAAGTGATGAGAATACATTGACGCATAGAAGGGAAAAACAAACATGGGGGCCTACATGAGGGTGGAGGATGAGAGGAAGGAAAACAGTAGAAAACATAACTATTGGGTACTAGGCTTAGTACTGGGGTGATGAAATAATCTGTATAACAAACTCCCATGACACAAGTTTACCTATATAACAAACCTGCACATGTACCCCAATCTTAAAATTTTTAAAAAGAAGAAATTATATTAAAATATTTATTAAATACTATACATACATTGAAATTAATGAATAAAATAATATGCATATTTAATTATGTGATGTATATTCATGATACACATTTACATTAAAATATTGTTTACCAATCATATGTTTAATATTTATTTGGGGAAAAATATAGAATTTGTGCATAGAAAAATTTCCTGGAAGGATATATATCAAAGTGTCACGTAATTTCCTCTATGTGTTGGAATCATAGGTGGATTTTGGTCTTATTTTTTTTCTTTTCTTTTTTCACTTGTCTAAATTTTCTAGCTTTCTGCAATGAATATATATCACTTTTGATTTCAGAAGTGTTATTATTAATTGAGGAAAAGGACCTACCGCGTATTTCAAAAACTCCTACAGTCACCATCATACCTGCATGGCCCATAGTTCTCCATCAATAAAGTCCTGAACAGAAAACACTTGCCTCCACCTCTCACAGACAAAAAACAGTTAACCTCAGTGTTAAATCTGTTCCGAAGTAAAGTGCTGTTCATACAGTGTTAGCATTCATCTGGAAGAAGTGTAACGGTGTGGCAAACATTTTTTATTTTCCAGTCCAGACCAGGAGATTTACAGGTGGTCTGGGTATGTCAGGAGTAAATATGCATGATCAATGGATGTTCCGCCTCTCCTGAAAAATGCTCTGGCGGCAGTGTGGCTTGTTTCTTCAGGTGGTAAATTGTTGTTCATTTATCATCTCAGGATATTTCATTTTCTCCAAAGCAAGCATGATATTTAAAAAGTAGACTTCAGTTTTCCAAATGAGGGAAGGGAATGTTTAAACTGGTGAATGCCTTGTGTCTTTAATATAGAATCTATAGCATCTTCAA
Source organism: Homo sapiens (assembly GCF_000001405.40). NCBI lineage: Eukaryota > Metazoa > Chordata > Mammalia > Primates > Hominidae > Homo > Homo sapiens. Next base: position 142,500,789 of record NC_000006.12, on the reverse strand, counting down.
AAGGCCATTGAAGGAGTGTGACATAGCTGGTGTTAGTGCTTCCTGGTGTGGCTGTTGATAGGTGAAAATAACATTTTAAATTTTATGTCCTTAATGCCCTCCATCTTAGTTATCCTTAATTTCCACTGTAATCTTCTCCAGAATTAGCCTCCAATAGAACGCAAGCTTCCTCTCCAAATATAGCCTTCACCAGCACGAAAATAGCAAGCTTTTCTTCCCCTCTATTTTTTCTTGGTCACAGTCAGAGAGGAGAGAATTCAGTAAAATACTTCCCTGTGTGATGCATGTTAAGCATAATTTGAATCCCTTTGGGAAAATAACAACTCATTCTAGTTGTGTGGTTGCCAGGGGCTTGAATTATTAAGCTGTTATGTGGCCAGTGTTCCTTGAGCCCTAGAATGGATTTTGCTTAAGCTGTGTGGACTCCTCTCCCGGCCAGGTGATGGGAAGGAGGCTGTCAATGTGTTTCGTGCTGTATGTTTTCATCAGTATTAGTGCTGAGGAGAATGCCAATATTTGTGAAATAAAGATATGCAATCAGGAAAGAATCAGCAGAAAAAATGAGTTTTAAAAATAGAACAAGAGAAAGACAAGTAGCTGCACATTCATGGGGGAACACAGAATTATAAATATTTGGGAGTATGTGTCAGAGAGAAAAAGATAGAGTAGAACAATATTACTAGATTAACTCAGGTGTTAGATGCCCAGCTAATTCAGAAATGTCAGCCCTAGTCAAAGGGAAGTAGATGCAAACAAAAGATTTACTGAGCTTCTTCAACATAGCAAGTTGAGAGCACAGGAGAGCTATGAGACTTCATGTGTAATAAATGTTCAGATATGGCATCTTTTTCCACCTTTTAAAGGGAGGAATTTAGATGGAAGGTAGCAGAGAACATATGAATGAGGAAATGTAGTTTAATGGAAGGGACAAGGCTTTGGAGGAAGAAAGATTTGAGAGTTGCTTCCTAACTGCTACGTGGGGCAAGAAACCTACCATCTTTTATCCTGGGTCTTTGCTTTCTTTTATTTAAAATAGGCATTGTTAGCCCCTGTCTCTTTGGAGTCTAATTATGTCTGAAACTAAATAGTACAATGCCGGACATATAATTGATGCTTAACAAATAATACTTATAATTATTTCCAAAAATATTTGAACTTTACGTAGAAATTCCCTTGAAATGCTCAAGTACTGTGGCACTGCGGTACAACATAATGTCTCTCCATGATTGATTAGTTTAGCCAAAGTTCTTCACTCTTTATATGAATAAACCAAGGTAATGCATAGCTTAATTAATAAATAATATATTCTCTTAACAAGCATTATGGTCTATTGTTAAATCTTTTAAATATATAAATATATTGTAAATGTATTTTGCTTTTGTTATATAAATGTAGGAACTTGACAGAGACCGGAATGGAGAAATAGACAAGAATCCACAATGGAGGGCAGATGGAATACAGTCATTGTCTTAGGCTCTTGGGTCTAATAGATCTGGTCTGAAAGATTGGCTCCTTCTGTTTAAAGTTGTGTGACTCTGAGCAACTTGTTTAAATTCTACAAGCATCAGTTTCCTCAACTATATAAATGAACATAGTAAATATTAACTAGTTGTTTGCAATTAAGGCCTAAAACAATGAGTGATGTGGAAGGTACTGGGTCCTTGCCTTAGGTGGTACAGAGTTGTGGTCCATGATAAGAACTTAGAGGGTCAGAAATGAGAACTAAAAGCAGGTACTATATTTGCAGGTATGAATTGCCTCTCTCTGAGTCTTGAGAAGGTGTTTAGAGCTCATTTAATATTAAATAGCTACCTTTGAGACTTGTCTCTTAAGGTACTATTCAGCAGAGATGATGAATGAAGCCATATGTTGCCCCTGTAAAGCATGGATCATCACAGAGTTCTCTCCAGGGATGTGTGTATATTGATACCAGTGGGAAAGTAATATGTACTATAGGAGAGTTATACATAAAGTGTCATGAGAATTTAAAAGAAGATTGTTTCCATTTGGAGGGAATAGAAATGTGATTTTAAAAACAATTCCCTCATTCAGTTTTTTAAAACTCAATAACTATATCTTTAGCTGGGGCCTCTAAGCCACAAACAAGCTCTTGTGTTCCAATTCAATCAGGGTGCTTTTGGATACAAATTGGAACTGTGTCATGGTGTCATGCACAGCAGCATAAACTAATATCCAGTTTCTTTTTAATGTATGGTAAAATATTAGTTTGTAACTTTGAGTGGAAGTTTCAATATGTAATGAAATGCACTGATAGAATGGATCATTCAGAAATTTTGGTTCTAATTGAGTTATCTCTTGTATGACTGGTCTTAGAGAAGAATAAGATAACTGAACTAGAACATCCAAAACTGTGACAAGGGCCATCAACTAAAGATTAAGCCATATTAACAATTATTGCACAGAACTGTTCATTGGGCATCACTCTTGTCTATACTCATTTACCTGGAGAGCAAGTTGTCCTCAAAGACTCAAAAACCACTTTCCTGCATAATGTGGCATATAGTCTGTAGAAAAAAGAAGTATAACCTTAATTGTAAATGGATTCACTACTCTCAGAGAAAATATTCTTTGAGTGAGGATCCAAATAGCAAATTTTCCTCTCCTTAGCAAAACTAAACAATGAAAGTAAGTATTTTTCATAAATTCTATATTGTCTATGACTAATGGATTCTCCAATGCAACCAGCCGTATTAACATATCTGTCATCTCTGTGACACCTTAGCTTTTCATAAAATACATAAAATTTTGGTTTGACCATTTGAAGTCTCCATTTTTTAGATTGCTTGTTTTTAAACTTTAGTGATAAAAAGACTCAGCTTATTACAGTTTCCCTGTCTCCTTTTCCAGATATTCTGCTTCAGTGAGCCTTGGGTGGGACCCAGGAGTCAGTTTACATTAAAATCTCCCCAAGTCATTCTGATGCCAGTGGTCCACAGATCACACTTGAGAAATCCTGATCTAGATTTACTAAGCTTGATATAATGTCCTCCTTTAATCAAAGGTCTAGGAAGCATTTTCTTCGTTCAGTTTCTAGAACACACTTTGCTCCCATTTTCATCCTTGCTTAAAAGTGCCACTCATTTCTGGAACAAATCTAGGCCATGCTGTGAACAGGAGAAAAAATATTCTTTCTGTGAATACCTTGCAAAATGCTCACAGCTAGTCATTTTTTATGCAGGTGTGTGCACCCTAAGAATTACACAAGGTGATCCAGTAAGGTATGGAAAAAGTATTAGGTTTTCTATTTATACTTATTTTTACCTACAAGGAAAAAGTAATCTTCACTGATTTTAATGTATCTAGACAATAGTATATATGCATTGTTTCTAAGGAAATAAATATATATAGAGAGGCATGCATACTCAAACACTTTCTACAAGTAGAAATGAGTAATGAAGAGGTTGGAAGCCAACTGGTCTAATCAATAAAGTCCTCATTTTCCTCAACACTGCACTGTGTATTATTGCCTTGTACCATTGCTTGCAAGTAAAGTATTTATGTCTTCTATCAGCAATTAGAATATAGACCAGAAGACAAGAACTGTTTAGGCAAGACCTTCTCCCCATGCCCAGCACTTAGGCCAGAGTTATTCAATTAGTAGGCATTAATCTTTGTTTGGAGATTTACTGACTTGTCTCATGTCTATCAGCCTATTAATTCTCGGTATTTAACATGATTGGTAGAACTGCTGACTTTCCTTTATCACCTTTTTGTCTTCTCAAGTTCTGTCAGTCAGAACTACTCTTCACTCACATTTTCTTCTGATGAGTATATGAATCTTCTCTGTGCCTCAGCTTCAACATTACCTGTTCTATGGTGGTGCTTTTCTTCTTTCCCAGCCTCATTCAGTCCCATCTGTTTGCTGGCTTTCCAGAGTAACTTGTATATGGTTCTATCGTGGCATTTCCCATGCTATGAATAAACTTTCTTCTGGAATCTGAGCTTAACAAGGGCAAGATGTATGTCTTATGTCTACAACATGCAAGACATTTATATTGGTTGAATGACTGAATAAGTAGCAAAGGAACAACAAAAAAGTGCCATCATCCTTTGTCTATAGAGGTATAAAAAACCTTAGAAATATGTTGACAATTCTAAAGCGTATTTAGCATTATCTAATCACCTTTTAAAGAGATTTTTTAAAGCATCTTTCATTTCAATGTGAGAATATGAAATTGCTGTGCTAGGAGCTTAAAAATGTTAAGCAATGCTTTAGCTCAGTTTCCCTTCAAAGGTAGCAATTTGTAAACAAGGACAACTGAGAAATGCTTTGAAGAATCCACAAGTACTCTAGGCATCTTACCTGATGGTTTAAACATAAGATGCCTATATCTAAATCAGTACGCTTCAGTTACAATGTCCATCTTCACTTCATATTTGAAATTAAAACGAGAACATAGTGCAGAAGAAGGAGAAATATGAAGTCACAACTATTTTTTTTCTCCAACCTAGATGTTAGAAATTCAAATGTTAATAAGACAGAAGGTTCTCTATCCCCAAGGAGTTTCTTATCTGGGGAGATAGGAAATCAAGAAGTAAACAGATGAATAAACATGATCATTTCAAACATGAAAAAAGACATGAAAGAAATCGGGTGATTTGAGAGACAGCAACTGTTGGGCATTGGGGTGGGGAAAGAACAGGAGAAAACAGGAACAGGAGAAAAATATTCTTTCTGTGAATATCTTTCTAAATGCTCGAAGCTAGTCATCTTACAAAATTGGCCTGGCCAACATGGTGAAATCTCGTCTCTACTAAAAATACAAAAATTAGTAGCGTGTGATGGCAAAAGCCTGTAATTCCAGCTACTCAGGAGGCCGAGGCATGACAATCACTTGAACCCGGGAGGCAGAGGTTGCAGTGAGTCAAGATCGAGCCACTGCTCTCTGGCCTGGGTGACAGTGAGACCCTGTCAAAACAACAACAACAACAACAACAACAACAACAAACATATAGTATTCTATCTATACAAATTTCAACAATAAGCAAAACTAACCTATATTGACAGGAAGCAGAATAGTATTTTCTTCCAGTGGGAATGGGGCTGGAAAGTTTTCATTGGGAAGGAACACAAGGATGTTTTCTGACATTATGCAAATGTTCTGTACATTGATCTGGTATATAAAAATGTAAATATCATTTAGCTTGTTTAATACTTAAACATCTTATTATATGCAAGTTATGTCTCAGTTTAAAAGAGAGGAAGGAGGGAGGGAGAGAGAACAAGAGCGAGAGAGAGAGATGTTGTTTAACTTTCCCATGGTAAAAACAAAAAACTAGTAAGTGATGGAATTGGTTTTCAAACACTCTTTGCCTGACACTAAAGCATGTGCTTGTCACCAATCTAGTGTTGATATGGTTTGGCTGTGTCACACAAATCTCTTATTGAATTGTAGTTCCAATAATCCACACATGTAGTGGGAGGGACCTTGTGGGAGGTAATTGAATCATAGGGATGGTTATTTCCATGCTGTTCTCATGAGTGAGTGAGTTCTTATGAGATCTGATGGTTTTATAAGGAGCTTTTCCCAGTTTTGCTTGGCACTTCTCCTTGCTGCCACCATGTGAAGAAGGACATGTTTGCTTCCCCTTCCACCATGATTGTAAATTTCCCAAGGCTTCCACAGCCATGCTGAACTGTGAGTCAGTTAAACCTCTTTCCTTTATAAATTACCCAGTCCTGGGTATGTCTTTATTAGCAGCATGAGAACAGACTAATACAAGTGTACTGGTTTCCACAAATGCCAACCAATGTGCATGACAAATAGTAAGTACTCATAGTAGGTGCTTAATAAGTATTTCTAGAATTGAATAGAATTGCACTTTGTAGTAAGAAGAGGAGATGGTTGCATTCCAGTACTTTTGTATGTGAATAACATGATCTTGCATGTTGCTTCCTTAGAAAAGAACAATGCAGCCTGATTTTTCTGCAGTTCCCTGAATAATTTCTCACTGCATTTGATTGTGTATCCTCCCATTACCAAAAAGCTAGATGCTCTTTCTTTGATTTATGTTTGTCAAATGGTTGTATTGTGCATGTTATTAATTAGTCAATTGAAACTCATATTATTAATATTTATTCCTTCATGATCCAAACGATACTAATTCTACTGGGGGGGACAGAGAGCAGTTGTTGATATATTTTGTCCTGAAGGCATTATTCTGTAAAACATCAGCCTGTGTTTACATTTGCCCTATAAAAACATTAGAAGTCCAAATCCTTGTCTCTTTTCCTCATTTGCGTTGCATTCCACCAACCTACCCCTATTCCAGAGAAACCATAAAAAAATTTCAGAGAGTGAGTAAACATTTTCATATTTTACATATAATAGCTTTGTGCATGGTAAATGTGTGTGTGTGTGTGTGTGTAATTTGTGCTTGTTATAAAAGTATTCTTTAGTGAATATAAAGGTGTATTAATTTTTAAAAGATCCAATTCTCAAAAATATTTTTGAAGGAAAGATGCAACACATAGTGAGTGCCTATTTTTTGAGGTCCTAGATTAGAGTTTTGAAAATATAAAATAAAAAATTTTTAATTATGCTGAACTGGGAATAAGGGGTGACAAGTTCAGATAACATTTATTCAAACTTTCAGGAATGTAAGTCCCACTAGATGTTCCATTTTTGTTTTCTTCCTTCTTTTTAACTTTTAAGTTCAGGGGTACATATGCAGGTTTGTTGTATAGGTAAACTCATGTCACAGGGGCTTTTTGTACAGATTATTTCATCATCCAGGTAATAAGCCTAGTACCCAATAGTTACGTTTTCCTCTTTTCTCCCTCCTCCCACCCTCCTCCCTCAGGGAGGCCCCAGTGTCTGCTGTTCCCCTCTTTGTGTCCATATGTTCTCATCATTTAGTTCTCACTTATAAGTGAGAACATGGTATTTGATTTTCTGTTCCTGCATTAGTTTGCTGAGGATAATGGCTTCCAGTTCCATTCATGTTCCTGCAAAGGACATGATCTCATTCTTTTTATGGCTGCATAGTATTCCATGGTGTACATGTACCACATTTTTTTATCCAGTCTATCACTGATGGGCATTTAGGTTGATTCCATGTCTTCACTGCTGTGAATAGTGCTGGAATGAACATACACATGCATGTGTCTTTATGATAGAACATTTTTTTTTTTTTTTTTTTTTGAGACACAGTCTCGTCCTTTCACCCAGGCTGGAGTGCAGTGGCATGATCTCAGCTCTCTGAAACCTTCGCTTTCCAGGTTCAGGCGATTCTCATGCCTCAGCCTCCAAAGTAGCTGGGACTACAGGTACATGCCACTAGGCCTGGCTAATTTTTTTGCATTTTTAGTAGAAATGGGGTTTCGGCATGTTGGCCATGCTGGTCTCAAACTCCTGACCTCAAGCAATCCGTCCGCCTTGGCCTCCCAATGTGCTGGGATGAGAGGCGTGAGACACTGAGCCCAGCCAATTTATATTCTTTTGGGGATATACCTAGTAATGGGATTGCTGGATGAAATGATCATTCTGTTTTCAGCTCTTTGTAGAATCACCATACTGCTTTCCATAATAGTTGAACTAACGTACACTCCCAGCAACATCATGTAAGCATTCCCTTTTCTCCACAACCTTGCCAGCATCTGTTTTTTGTTTGTTTGTTTGTTTTTTACTTTTTGATAGTAGCCATTCTGACTGGTATGAGATGGTATTACATAGTGGTTTTGATTTGTATTTCTCTAATAGTCAGTGATGTTGAGCTTTATATATTTTTTTCATATGCATCTCGGCCTTGGCCACATGTATGTCTTCTTCTGAAAGATGTTCATGTCCTTTGTCTGCTTTCTAATAGAATTTGTTTTTTATTCTCGTAAATTTGTTTAAGTTCCTTATATATGCTGGATATTAGATATTTGTCAGATACATAGTTTGCAAAAATTTTCTCTCATTCTATAGGTTGTCTGTTCATCCTGTTGATAGTTTCTTTTGCTGTGCAGAAGCTCTTTAGTTTAATTAAATCCCATTTGTCAATTTTTGCTTTTGTTGCAATTGCTTTTGGTATCTTCATCATAAAATCCTTGTGAATTCCTATGTTCAGAACGGTATTGCTTAGGTTATCTTCCAGGGTTTTTATAGTTTTGAGTTTTACATTTAAGTCTTTAATCCATCTCGAGTTGATTTTTGTACATGGTATAAGGAAGGAGTCCAGTTTCAATCTTCTGCATATGGCTAGCCGGTTATCCGAGCACACTTTATTGACTAGATAATCCTTTTCCCATTGCTTGTTTTTGACAACTTTATTGAAGATCAGATGGTTGTAGGTGTGCGACCTTATTTGTGAGCACTCCATTCTGTGCTATTGGTCTATGTGTCTGCTTTTGTACCAGTACCACGCTGTCTTGGTTAGTGTAGCCCTGCAGTACAATACTTTGAAGTCAGATAACATGTTGCCTCCAGGTTTGTCCTTTTTGCTTAGAATTGCCTTGGCTATTTGGGCTTTTTTTTGGTTCCAGATGAAGTTTTAAATAGTTTTTTTTCTTTCTTTTCTTTTCTTTCTCATTTTATTTTATTCTATTTATTATTATTATTATCTGAGATAAAGTCTCATTCTTTTGCCCAGGTTGGAGTGCAGTGGCATGATCTTGGCTCACTGCAACCTCCGCCTCCCGGGTTCAAGTGATTCTCCCACTTCAGCCTCCTGAGTAGCTAGGACTACAGGTGAGCACCACCATGCCTGGCTAATTTGTGTGTGTGTATTTTTTGGTAGAGACAGGGTTTCACCATGTTGGCCAGGCTGGTCTTGAACTCCTGACCCCAAGTGATCTTGGCCTCCCAAACTGCTGGGATTACAGGCATGAGCCACTGTGCGCAGCCTAAGATAGTTTTTTTTTTTTCTGGTTCTATGAAGGATATTACTGGTAGTTTGATAGGAATAGCATTTAATTTATAAATTGCTCTGAGCAGTATGAGCATTATGGCCATTTTAATGATATTGATTCTTCCTATCCATGAGCATGGAATATTTTTCCATTTGTCTGTTTAATCTCTGATTTCTTTGAGCAGTGTTTTACATAGTATGAGTGATACTATGAGAAATGATAAGAAAATTGAAGGTCAGAGAAATTAAGGAATTTGTCACATTGTAAATGGCACAACCTGTATCATTCCATTTCAGTTGTAGCTGTGTTAATGCTCCACACTAGAGTTATAAGGGTTAAGAAAGGATTAATATCCTGGGAAAATCGTCGCTTTCTGATGGTCTTAACACCCTTCCCATTTTGAAGCCTTCTGTTCTCAGAGGTTAGGAGAGATCAAAGCTCATTTTAAAGAATCAGGGTTGCCTGTAATCCCAGCACTTTGGTAGGTGAAGGCGGGCGGATCATGAGGTCAGGAGTTTGAGACCAGCCTGACCAACATGGTGAAACCCCGTCTCTACTAAAAATACAAAAATTAGCCAGGTGTGGTGGTGCGTGCCTGTAATCCTAGCTACTCAGGAGGCTGGGGCAGGAGAATCGCTTGAATCTGGGAGGCAGAGGTTGCAGTGAGCTGAGATCGTGCCACTGCACTCCAGCCTGGGTGACAGGGCCAGACTCCATCTCAAAAAAAAAAAAAATTAAGGTTTAGTTCTGATTAAATGGTGAACTTAACAAGGGAGTGGAGTCACCTAATCTCTCCCCTTCTTGTTACTTGCAGTGAAGCTCTAGCAAATTTTGGAGCAGAACGGAGTGCAGGCACCTTGTGAGGGCTCTTCACCAGCGCCCTGGAGACTGTACCTAACTCGGTGGCTGAGCGGAAAGTAGGAGGGCAGTCAGTAGAAAAGTGGCTCATTAAAAATGGAACTAGTTACAGTAATTTTTAAAATGTAGAATGCAAAGAACATGAGGGTTGGAGGTCGATGATGTGTTTCAGTCCCTCCTCTGGGCTTCTAATGGAATATAGATTAGTTTCCTCTGTAAAGAATGGTTACAACTTAAGTCAGTGGTAGTGTTCTCCTTGCAGAATGTGTTATAAAACTCATTCTCTACCATAGCTGATATATCCTCATTTTATAGTAAGGTAGCAAAAGTGACATACTAAATGTTTCAAGGAAGAGGCTTATGAAATACAATTAATAGAACAGCAAAAGTGAATATAATAGACAAGTTTATAACTTATTCCAGCTTTTGGTTGGGAAAATTTAGACAACATAACCAAATAATTTGGCCAAAGCCTTATATGGATTTGTGGTGAAATCACAGGTCTCCCAACCCCATGCATGTGAGTTACTAGTTGGACTTAGTGTGATTTTCCCCTGCCAAAAAAGACCATGTAGTATTACTGTGGCTTTTTTGGGCTTGGCTGCTCTGGAGTAAAATGCCATCATTGTTTTAAATTATCACCATCACCACAAATTGGGTAGAGTAGAAGAGGAATGGTGATACACTAAAGAGAAAAGAAAGAGCCAGGCATGGTGACTCATGGCTGTAATCCCAGCACTTTGGAAGGCTGAGGTGAGTGGGCTGAGGCAGGAGAATCACTTGAACCCAGGAAGTGGAGGTTGCAGTGAGCCAAGATTGCACCAGTGCACTCCAGACAGAGTGAGACTCCATCTCAAAAATAAATAAATAAATAAATAAATGGAAAGGAAGGGAAGTGAAGGGGAAGGGAAGACATAGGGGGATGAAAGAGAGAGGGAGAGAAAGAAAAGGAAAGAAAAAAAGGAAAGAAAAAAGAAAGAGAGAACGAAAGAAAAAAAGAGTCAAGAAATAACATCTTGAGAGAAAGAAAAAGAAAGAAGAAAGAAAGAGAAAGGAAGAAAGAAATGAAAGAAAGAGAGAAAGAGAGTCAAGAAATAACATGTCTTGAGAGAAAGAAAGAAAAAGAAGAAAGAAAGAGAAGGAAGAAAGAAATGAAAGAGAGGAAAGAAAGAAAGAAATGAAACAGAGAAAGGAAAGAAAGAAAGAGAAAGAAAGGAAGGAAGGAAGGGTGGGAGACAGAGAAAAGAAGAAAGGAAGGAAAGAAAAGAAAGAAATACTATAAAGGGAGAGGGGTGGAGGAAGGAAAGAAAAAAGGAAGGAGTAAATAAATTTTACAGTTGTCTTTAGGTGACAAACATTCATGAATGAGACGCCAACAGCACCACTTGGATCCTCACCTAGATTTCTCATGTCAACTACAGAGTTCTCTGAATATTTAAGAATTAAATGCTTTGAAGGAGTAACTAAGGGTCCACAGATGTCTTTGCTGCTTGGAAAGAATTTCTCCACTGATAGTTCTGTGTCTGTCTTATCAGAGTTCCATTGGAAAGGGGGAAAATATATATTTTTTTCCTGTTCAGGTCATTTAAATGAGCAATCATCTTTTGAATTAAACTTCCTGACCTATAATGCTTCTTTAGGCACTCAAAAAATGTACTGATTAGAATAGCTTTCAATTTTGAATTGACAGAAATTGGTGTGAGCAGGCTGCCCCAGGGTCTGGCAAAGTCACATTGCCCAACAGAAATATTGAGAGAGGCCCTGATACCTTAAGCAAGAGATTCTTTTTTTTTTTCTCTAAATTGCTCATTTCTTGAATTTTGAAACTACAAAGGTGTGTTCATTATTCCAGCTTTTCTTCTGTCTCCAAGAGAAGAGACAATATTTTCATTATTGTAGAATATGATTTAACAATCTCTTGGATTCAGGTAACTTTCTCTTATTGGCCTTTTCAAACTTAGATGAAATGTTTCTCTAGTGATTGATTTAATAACCTGACCCAGTTACTCGGGCTGAAGTACAACAGTTTGTCAAGGCCCCGAGAGGGATGTGCATGAAGTGGTTTGCATTCAGTCACTGAAGGCAGACAGAGTTGGATTTGGTTTTTATTTCTGCCACGTACTTGCTTGTGCACACTGGACAGCTATGCCATTCTTCCAGGCACATTTCCTAATCAGTAAAATTGGTATAGTTATAGGAAATAGTCCATATTTATTTTTCCTTAAGAATATATGATATAATAACTGAAAGTACCTAGCAAATGGTACACTCACTATAAGTGTTAGCTATTATTACTTGTGATGGTTAATACTGAGTGTCAACTTGATTGGACTGAAGGATGCAACGTATTGATCCTGGGTGTGTCTATGAGGGTGTTGCCAAAGGAGTTTAGTATTTGAGTCAGTGGGCTGAAGAAGGCAGACCCACCCTTAATCTGGGTGGGCACCACATAATCAGCTGCCAGAGAATATAAAGCAGGAAGAGAAAACGTGAAAAGGCTAGACTTGCTTAGCCTCCCAGGCCACATCTTTCCCTTGTGCTGGATGCTTCCTGCCCTCGAACATTGGACTCCAAGTTTTTCAGCCTTGGGACTTGGACTGGCTTCCTTGCTCCTCAGCTTGCAGATGGCCTATTGTGGGACCTCATGAACATGTGAGTTAAAACTATTTGATAAACTCATAAATATATCCTATTAGTTCTGTCTCTCTAGAGAACCCTGACTAATACGTTACTGCTACTCATGTTGGAAGAATTGATAAGGTTCCCAGCCAGTCTTCTAAGTCTTCTAATGGAAAAATCATTCAACTGTAAAGGGTCATAACATGTCTTGACTAACGAAATTGGAAATGGATTGAATGAAGGTAAAAGAAAGGTCAAAGAAATAACTGGAAGGGATTTGAGGCTAAGCTGGCCAAACTAGGAGATGGATATATGAACTGGTCAGGTGATCCATAGCAAGTACCAGAAAAGACTCTGACTGGTGTAGCTCATGGAGTTGATGGAGATTCAGGCTTGAGAATAGGCAGAGACACAAGGATTTTAGGTTGGAGGGTCTAAAATCATGGCCTAGAACTCACCTGGTGATGCCACTGAGCACTGGCACCAGACACACAACCTGGGAACCCCTGCCTTTGCCAACTCTAGAAAGTGTCTGATGGTGTTGCTGCTGTTCCAGGATTGGATAAATTCTCATTCTGCCTGCTTTGTTGCATCATTGTTTCCAAATTCAGGAGTCTTGGATAGGTGGGTCTGATTGGTAAAAGGGCCCAGCAGTGCAAGCACAATTCTTCACTTTCTAAATGGAAGTCAGTTTCACCTACCATAATCCACTGGGTGGAAGATCGCTAAGTACAGGAAGGATAAGGAGAAAAAGTTTTGATTAGTGTGTGTCCCCTATAAGAGAATAGAATCAATGTTAGATATATGAGGTACCAAAGGCAGCAGTATGGGTCATTCTGCTACATAATTCATGCTCAGAACATAGATTGGGGAGGTCAATCATTAGACCCAATGAATAATCTAGGGCTTGGAGCCCCTTAGAGGTCATTTTGCTCTGGAAGGCACCTGGCATCTCCCCGGCAGTCCCTTAGTTAATTCTGTGTGCTCTCAGAACTGAAATTTGATCTGTTTGGGAACTAAAGCCCTTTCCCTGATCTTGACATTCTCTACAATGTTTCCCAGGCTTGAACAGGAGAAGACAGAATAGAGTTTTTGATTTGGGGGGAAAAAAGGGTCACCTATAAGAGTAAGAGTAAGTATTGTTTCCTCTGTGCTTTCACCTCCAGCCACAGCCAAGACTCGAGTTTCCATGTTTGGGGGAAGTACGTGAATCTCTTCCTTAAACATGAAACAGTGTACACAGACTTAGATCAAATATAAAACATAAAAATACTTCTGCCAATTACTGATGATTTAACAAATAAACATGGTTTTATATAGAGTTAATATAATTGTATAAAGGAGAATTTTGAAAAACAGAGAAATGGAAAAAAATTAATAATCCCATCATTCTAACAAAACCACTTCGGGCCTTTTGACCTGTTTTCTGTCATGGATACGTTGTTGTTCAAAATCATCTGGTTACTCTCCCAGAAACTTTCCTATAAGACAGAATTTGAGAATCAAGTCCAGGTGTATGTGTGTATCTATGGGGGCTGGGAAAAGTGCAGATAGCATGCGTCTTGGTGATAGGGATGTAAATTCCAACTCTAAGTCCAAAGTGTTGTGACCTGAGCCACCGAGTGACCTCTGTGAACCTCCTCTGTCAACTGATAACAATATGGCCATGCAGGGTTGATAGGAGGATTAATAAAGAGTTGTAAAGCAACTGTCAAAATGGTGGATACATAAAAATACACACATGCACACACATGTGTACACACAGATAAGGAAGAGGAATAACAAAGAACCTCACTTATTTCCATTATCCTCCATGGCACAGGAAACTTATGAGAAATAGCCGCCCTCTAATGGGGTTATATGTATTACAGTCCATGGCTTTTGCCTACCCAATATTTAAATATAGAACATTTATATGCTAGATACTGTTCTCAATGTTTTACAAATGTCAACTCATCCATCCTCTTAACAACACATTGGGCAGGATAATTTCAAAGATGAGGCCTTTTTGAGTACAGAAAGTTTGTATCTCACATACATACCTCAGATTGCACAACTGGTAAGTGGCAGGACTGGGACTATTTTATTTTATTTTATTTTATTTTATTTTATATTTTATTTTTGAAAGGGAGTCTTGCTGTGTTGCCCAGGCTAGAGTGCAGTGGCATGATCTCAGCTCACTGCAAACCTCCACCTCCCAGGTTCAAGAAATTCTTCTGCCTCAGCCTCCCGAGTAGCTGGGATTACAGGTACCTGCCACCATGCCGAGCTAATTTTTGTATTTTTAGTACAGACGGGGTCTCACTGTGTTGGCCAGGCTGGTCTTGAACTCTTGACCTTGTGATCCATCCGTCTCAGCCTCCCAAAGTGCTGGGATTACAAGCATAAGCCACCATGCCCAGCCAGGGCTGGGATTTAAATATAGCAGCCTGGCCCCAGGATCCATACTCTAAACCTTCCTGCTATGCTGCCATTTGGAGTGCAGTGGCTTGATCTTGGCTCACTGCATACTCTGTCTCCCAGGTTCAAGCGATTCACCTGCCTCGGCCACCTGAGTAGCTGGGATTACACCATGCCTGGCTAATTTTTGTATTTTTAGCAGAGACAGGGTTTCACCATGTTGACCAGGCTGGTCTCGGACTCCTGACATCAAGTGATCCATCCTACTTGGCCTCTCAAAGTGCTGGGATTACAGGTGTGAGCCACCATGCCCAGCCATTTGCTAAGTTTTTGAATACTGGAAACATAAAACAATTGTCCTTTTCTCCAGTGCTCTTTGTAGTTGGCATAGTCATTCTTCTTAGGAGGCAGTGTGGGCTATTGTTTTGCTGAAACCACCCGAAAACCAATTCTAAACTTGGCATCTTTCCTAAGGGCAAACAGCGGCAGGTGTCACAGTGCTTCTTCAAGCTCTGAGGGCTGTGCAGGGTAGACTAGAAGGAAGAAGTATCTAGCCTGAAGCATAGAGTGTCCTCAAGATTGTTCCCTCCCTATAGCCATTTCCTAGACCCCAGTTAAAAATAAATATGCAATGAAGTAATCTAAACATTTCCCAATAAGGAAGATGAAATAAATGAGTCAAGTTTCAACAGCCAGAGCAAAATTCCAACAGCATCAAACCACAAGTTGCCTTGAATAAAATTGTAAAACATCTAAAAGCAAAGAGATAATGTTGAGTTGAATCAGGCTCAATGCATGAGGTGCCTCTTATGAGGAGGTTGCAGGTGAGGGCTTCTGGAATATAAAGTTCTCAGTTGGAATCTCTCTGCGTGTGATGGTTAATTTTAGAGGTCAACTTGACTGGGCTAACAGATGCCCAGATAGCTGGTAAAACATTATTTCTGGGTGTGTTTGTAAGGGTTTCCAGAAGAGATGAGAAATTGAATTGGCAGACTGAGTAAAAAAGACTGCCTTTACCAATTCAGGTGGGCATTATCCAGTCAGTAGAGGATCTGAATAGAACAAAAAGTCAAAGGAAGGGTGAATTTCTTCTTTCTGCTTGAGCTGGGACTTTCTTCTCTTGTCTTTGGAGATCAGCACTTCTGGTTTTGGGGCTTTCAGACTGAGATAAGGATTTGCATTATTGGCTTCTCTGGTTCTCAGTCTTTGAGGTTTGGACTGGAACTACACCACTGGCTTTCCTTGGCCTTCAGCTTATAGATGGCAAGTCATGGGACTCCTCAGCTGCCAAAATTGTATGAGCCACTCCATCATAATATATCTCTGTCTATATATCTATTGTATTAGTCCATTTTCATACTGCTATGAAGAAATACCCAAGAGGGGTACTTTATAAAGAAAAAGAGGTTTAATAAACTCACAGTTCCACATAGCTAGGGAGGCCTCACAATCATGGTTGAAGGCAAAGGAGAAGCAAAGTCACATCTTAACATGGCGGCAGGCAAGAGAGCATGTGCAGGGGAACTGCCCTTCATAAAACCATCAGCTCTTGTGAGACTTATTCACTATCATGAGAGCAGCACCGGAAAAACCCATGATTCAATTAACTCCTACCGGGTCCCTCCTGCAACACACAGGAATTATGGGAGCTACACTTCAAAATGAGATTTGGGTGGGGACACAGCCAAACCATGTCATCTTATATAGATGTCATCTTATTGGTTCTTTTTCTCTGCAGAGCCCTGACTAATACACTGTAGCAGAAATGTCAACCTGAGAAATATGTGCCTTCAGGTGAAATGTGCACAGTTTCCACTGGGAGTGGGGAGAGGAGAGGGGTGCTGACCATTTAGCCCATAGAACCAACATCCTCTTTTCCCCAAGTCAGGAATGGCTGCTTCCCAAAACTCACCCTTAGACAATACCCTCAATTTGCAGCTAAGGAAATTGATAACTTAAGGGTCTATGTCTAAATTTTCACTGGAAACACAACTTATGTCTCCAAAATCTTAATAGGCTATTCCATAAATGCTTTTCCTTTCCTTTCCTTCCTTCCTTCCTTCCTTTTTCTTTTGTTTTCATGTATTCATTCATTCATTCATTCATCGTATTTTGTTATTCTTTCTCTTTCTGTCTTCCTTTCTTTCTTCCTTATTTTTATCTCTCAACATTCCTTCTCTTTTAGTCAGTTGGAGAATTTTTAAATTTTTCTTTTCAGAATTGTCCAAGGGTAAGCCACATTTTCATGTAATCATAGTTATAATAACTACTCTTGCAAGCACTTCGTTGGTACAAGATACTTTATGTGCACTGTTTCTAATATTAATACAAATAGTCCAACAAGTATTTGGTATTAGTCCCATTTCACAGATAATGAGAGTGAGAATCTCAGAGATGGGGAACTTGCTAAGGATCAAACACTGACCTTGTATTAGAGCTGGGATTGGAAGCGAGGTGCACAGGAGGCAAAAACATGTTCCTTCCTCTCCACCATGTAGCCTGAAGTCATTCAGGCTTGGTGTAGATTTGGTGTTTAAAACAGAGTGCTTGTAGATAGGGCTACTTAACTCAAGACAAAATGGTTATTTCCCCTAAAGCATTTGGCTTAACAACCTAAGGAGGTATTACATGCTGATTTATTTGTCTTTCTGTGAGCTATCATGGGAAGAATAATCTTTATATCTCTACAACGTATTTGATCCTGAAGCCATGGCCCCAAATGGCCAAAGAACGAATGAGTAAAATGCAGTTTGAAGGGAAGTAGAAACAGAAAGCAGCATGACCCCACGATGTAATGCCCACCTCACACCCTCTCTATAAACATATTCAGAACAGGTGTCTTACACAATGGCAAGCCTTGGAAAGCTCAGCACTTAATGAGTCCAGACATTTCGCAACCATGCATCATGAAGATCCCTTTACACCAGAGTACTGTACTTTGAGTTATTCCCCCCTACTAAGTAATTAAACTGTGTGACATTCCCTCTCCCAAATTTACTCCCACCCTCACACACGGTTTTGTTAATAGGAACATGAGGCACTGTAATGTGCTTAGCAGCACCAGGTGTGGGGTGTAAATCTGTCTACAGGAGTTGGAGACAAGGCATGGAGGAAGAAACCTCTTTATGTGCCTTTGAGTAACCCTTTCAGGAAAAGAGAAGTGAAATAGCTGATCGATAAAGGGCTGTATTTTAGCTTGTCATTGATGCCATTTAATAGAGAAAATGTTCCCAGAAAAGGAAATTGTAAACTTTGTGGTATTTGGTACTCTTCCAGATTTTAACACTGGTCAGGTATCCACTAATTAAATAGCATAATCATTACAGAAGCTTGCACTAATTTGTCTGTCACTTGTCCAGCATTGTGCCAGTATTAATTCTGCATACATGCTTCACTGTATTGTGCTCCAGGTGGCAGTGGCATCATTCTGTCTTGGTGTGTTGGTCTTACCACTTCATGCCTTTGGAGGTGAGGTTCTGTCTTTGTGGTGGTATGAACAGAACTAGGGTTTAGTCACCAAGCAAGATCCAATGGTCCCCAAGTTAGCAAGCCTGGAGTATTGAACAGCTGTATTCCCTTGGAGACAGCCACGTCATGATTGACCTTGAAGTAACAGTTTGTAAGCATCAGCTGATATTATGCAACCTCAAGAACTTCCCCATTCAGGTGCATTCAATGGCTCACAGACAGCCATGAACTCTATTAGGGCTCATCTCTCTCTCTCTCTCTTCTTTTTCCCCCTTTGCTTCTTTCTTTTCTGAAACTGTAGAAAAGAAGAAAGCCAGGAATTCAATAATAAGAATATTAAGCTCTCATTATAAAAACTTGGAAAGATGAAAAAGTTTAAAGAAGAAAATGAATAACACCGGAAAATATGCAGCTTATAGATAAACACGGTTAACATGTTCCTACGACTTGCAGCTCTTTTTTACTATATGTATATGCGGGTGGGGTACAAAACTATTATGCCTTTCTATGAATTTACTGTGCTTCATCCTGCGAAGGTAAATATAATTTGCCATGAAATAATATTGATGTGTGAGCACTGAATCGTAATATTTTCCATTGGCCACTCTCAAACCTATGTTCTACATATTATAGCATGATATTTTACAACAATTTTAGTCTTGTAGACAAGTGCAAAAATAGTATAAAGTCTTTTTGTATACTTTTAACCCAAATTCAGAACTATCAACATCTTACCACATTTGTTTTATCATTTAATCTGTCTTACTTTCTTCTGTATAGATAATAGCTTGGTAGATAAAAATAGAGATTAACAAGGAAAACTTGTTTTCCTGGATAGGCACAACACCTCTGACACCAAACGTGTGAATTTTCTACACTCGGCACTTCTTCACTTCTCTGTGGATACCAGCTGAGTAGTGACTCACAGGTCATTTCAACTCTGACACTATCCACCTGGAGTTAGTTTAACATCCTGCAAGTTAAAGAGCTCAGTCCCACAAGACCGCTCCCACTTTAGATGCCAATCACAAGTCCCGGGTTTCCACCTGTACTTCTGACTGGCTGGTTATAAACTAGGGGTTTCCATGACCCCCTTCTTAGGTTCAATAATTTGCTACAATGACTTACAGAACCCAGGGAAACACTTCATTTACTTTGATTGGTTTATTATAAAGGATACAAATGAACAGCCAGATGAAGAGGTATGGAGGGCAAGGTATGGGGGAAGGAGCATGAAGCTTTCATGCCCTCTCTGGGCGGGCCACCCTCCTAGCACCTCTGTATATTCACTGTCTCAGAAGTTCTCCAAACCACTTCATTTAGGACTTTTCTGCAGACTCCATCATGCAGGCATGATTAATTAAGTCACTGGCCATTGGTGATTGAACTCAATCTCCAGCCTCCCTCTCCTCCCCAGAGGTTGTGGGTGGGAATGGGGCTGAAAGTCTCAATTCTCTAATCACATGGTTGGTTCCTCTGGCAACAGCCTTCATTGTGGAGATATCTAGGGGCTTTTGGCCACCAGTCATCTCATCAACATACAAAAAGATACTCTTGGCCAGGCATGGTGGCTCACACCTGTAATCCCAGCACTTTGGGAGGCTGAGGCAGGAGGATTACCTGACGTCAAGAGTTCCAGACCAGCCTGGCCAACATGGCGAAACCTTGTCTCTACTAAAAATACAAAAAAGTAGCTGGATGTAGTGGTGGGCACCTGTAATACCAGCTACTTGGGAGGCTGAAGCACCAGAATCGCTTGACCCTGGGAGGCAGAGGTTGCAGTGAGCCGACATTGCGCCATTGCACTCCAGCATGGGCAACAGAGCGAGACTCTGTCTAGAAAAAAAAAAAGATACTCTTATCACTCCAGAGGTTCCAAAGTCTTAGAAGCTCTTCTGTCAGGAACCAAGGAGGAACTAAGAAAGACTATTACAACAAATGATGCTCCTAGCAGTCCTATTATTCAGGAAGATACAAGAGTGTTAGAAGTTTTGTGCCAGGAACCTGGGGTGAAGACCAAATATACATTTCTTATTATATCACAAAGATAGGCAATTTTTAAAAAACTATTTGAGAATAAGTTGTAAATTGCAGACATTATGAACAATTATGCATAAATACTTCAGTCTACTTCAGTTAATTTCCTAAACACAAGGGCATTATTTTATATAACCATAACATGGCATCAAAATCAAATTAACACTGGCACAGAAATATTATCTAATCCATAGGCCTTATTCAAACATGGCCAACTGTCCCAATAATACCATTTATAACAAAAATAAATTATAAGCATGTATGTGTATATGAGTATGTTGGTATGTACATATGTATGTATTCATGTTTCTGGCCTGGAATCCAATCCAGGATTACACTTTGTATTTAATTGTCATGCTTCCTTAGTTTCCTTTAATGTAGAAACTTCCTCAGACTTACTTTTTTGGCCATGACACGTTTGAAGAGTACAGACCATTTATTTTGTAAAATGTCCTTCGACTTAGGTTAGTCTAATATTTCCTCATAATTAGACTCAAGCTTTGCATTTCTGGCAGGAATATCACAAAATATTCCATCTTTCTCAGTGCATCATGTTAGGAGGCACATAATGGAATTCTATCCCATTACCGGTGATATTAACTATAATTGCTTGATTAAGGTGTTGTCTTTCAGATTTCTTCACTGTAAAGATACTATTTTAACTGTTGCAACTAATAAACTTTGTAAATATGTATATGTATATATATATACACACACACACACAAACAAAATATATATATCACCACAAAAAAATTTATAGGCACCAGTGATATATATATATATATCTCTCTCCACAAAAAAACTTATAGGCACCAGTGAGATACATATATATATATATATATATATATAAAGTTTTTCTGTGTGTGTGTGTGTATATATATATATATGTATATACACATACACAAAAATATATATATACACGCCAAAAAAACTTAATTTCAAAGTTTATTAGTAAATCCCAACAAAACTGAATGTGTGTGTGTATATATATGTATATATAAAATTTATATATATAGTTTTGGTTTTGATATTTAACATTATATTATGATCGTTGTCTCAATAAATATTCTTCATTGAAGTATTTTAATATTTGCGTAATATTTCTTTATATGGTTGGATCTCAATGGATTAAAAATACTTTTCTACTGTCGGTTATCTAGTTTGTCTCCATTATTTCATAATAGTGTGGTGTGTTGTTCAGCATGTAAATTAGCTTGGTCATTACGAGAAACAGTATGGAGGTTCCTAAAAACATTAAAAATCAAGCTACCATGTGATATGGCAAACCCACCACTGGGTACATCCAAAGGAAATGAAATCAATATATGGAAGAGATATGTGTGCTACCATATTCACTGGAGCATTATTCACAATAAATTAAGCTAAGTGCCCGTCAACAAATGAATGGATAAAGAAAATGTGGTATATATATACAATGAAATATAATTCAACCTCAAAAAAATAAGGACATTCTGTCACTTCAGACAATATGGATAAACCTGGAGATCCTAACCTGGAGCTCTTTAGATAAGTGAAATAAGCCAGGTCCAGAGACACAAATACTACATGATCTCACTTATACGCAGAATCTAAAAAACTTGAACTCATAGAAGTAGAGTTACCAGGGGCTAAGGATGAGAGTGAGGAGATATTGTTCATAAGATACAACATTTCAGTTAGACAAGAGAAATAAAGAGAGCTATTGTATAACATGGTGGCTATCATTAATAACAATGTATTGTACTCTCAAAAATTGCTAAAAGAATAGATATCAATTATTCTCACCACAAAAAAGGTAACTATGTGAGATAATGTTTATATTAATTAGCTTGATTTAGCCATTTCACAATGTATACATGTTCCAAAACAACATGCTATAAATAATATATACAATTTTTGTCAATTAAAATAAATAGACAATATTGTAGTGAATATCCTTCTATAAGAATATTTGTCAGCACCTCTGATTAGATCACTTGAAGTAGAAATATTAGGTCAAAACGATCAGACTGTAAGACCCTTTCTACATATTTTTAAAATCCTTCTTAGACTGGTTACACAAATTTACTACCCAATTGTCTCAGTCCATTTGAGCTGCTATGAAAAAACACCATAGACTGGGTGGCTTATAAACAACAGAAATTTAATGGTCCCAGTTCTGGAGGCTGCAAGTCCAAGACCAAGACATTAGCAGATTTGGTGTGTGTGGTGAGGGCCGGCTTCCTGTTTTATAAGTCACATCTTTTTGCTGTGTCATCACATGGCAGGAGGGAGGAGGGAGCCCTCTGTGGCCTCTTTCATAAAAGCACCAATGCCATCCATTAGGGCTCTCCCCTGATGATCTAATCTCCTTCCAAAGGACCCACCTCCAAATATCATCACCCTGAGGATTAAGACTTAACATATGAATTTGGTTGGGGCGGCAGGGGGGTGGGGGTGGAGAACATTCAGTCTATAGCACCAACTGTCAATTTACAATGCCATGCTGCTTTTTTAACCTTACTGGCATAAATTATGTTTTCGTCTCTGCCCATTTGAAAGGAGGGCAAATTCTAGAATGTGGGTTCTGGCATTCTGCTTTTGATTAGAAAGCTGCACAAGAATGTCACTCTACTTATGAGAAAATGCAGATAATCTATAAAACTCTACCTTTTCTTGATCCTATCAGAGAGCTGGGATTGTAAGCCAAATAAACAAACTGATTCCAAAGGGTGACAAGAATCTTTGAGGAGAGATGGGGTCCAAGGACTATTTCAGTTTTGACAGAACATGAGAGAAAGGCGGCTGCCATTAAACAAACTAAGAGAAAGTTAGCTAAAAATTAGAAAACATACTAAAAGCCAAGTGTAAGCTAGCATATCAACTTAAAATAACCATAAGCTCATGCAAGGTGAGCTCACACTTATGTGCAGGCTTGTTTCCACAGGCCTGCACGAGATGCTCACAAGACACAAGGCAACAGAAATATCCTGTCAAGGATTTTGAAGACTGTGTTGTACAGGTTACAAAAGCAACATAAAATACCAAACTCCACATAACTATTGACTACATTGACACAGCCCGCCATACTTTTGTGCAGACAGAAATGTGGTAACCATTGTTACCACAGTAACAACCAGTAATGGTAACTGGTACCTATTACTACGTGTAAATACTATTTACCTCAGTTTTCATCATTCTTCTACACATAATATTAGACATTCAGTAAAAAATACCAGATATATAAAGTTAAAAATAGGAGAAAATGACCCACTTTCAATAGATGAATCAACTATAGAACAAGACTTAGAGATGCTTCAGATATTGGAACTATTGAACAGAATTTTTAAAATAACTAGAATTGGCTTCTGGGTATAATGGAAAAAAGATTCCACAGGATGACTTACTCTGAAGAAAACAACTATAAAACTTAAACAATTTAAAAAGCAACTACCTGAAGGTACTGGAGAATAAACAGAAATGAAGAAATGCTAATGGGAGTGCATGCTTACTTGATAGATCAGAGGTTGATAAACTTTTTCTATAAAGGGCCAGATAAAAGGCTTTGCAACTATGCAACTATTCAACTTGGCCACTGTGACACCAGAACAGTCATGGTTAATACGTAAATGAATAAGCATGGCTGTTTTCCAATAAAACTTTATATATAAAAACAACATGGTGGGCCAGTTTGGCCTACAGGTCAAACATTTCCAACCCCTATGCTAAAGAATAAGGTTTACTTTATTGTTGATACTTTAGACAGGGTGGTCAGAGAAGACCTGTCTGATGAGAAATATTTTAGCTGAGACTTTAGGAAATGACAGTGTGTTCTGGGAAAGGGAAAAAAGTACACACAAGAGTTCTAAAGACTGGAAAAGTTTTGGGCTATTCCAGGAACTGTCAGAAGGCCAGTGCAGCTGGAATATGGTCATCGAGTGCCAAATAAAGTCAGAGAGTGGACAAGGAAGATCATGCAGTGGCTGTAGGTCAGTGTGAGGAATGTGAATTTTCTTGGAAGTGCAAGAGAGAGTCATTGAAAGGTTTAAAAGTGCAGCGATGAGATCTGACATATCTTTTAAAGGTCATTCAGTCTGTTGTGTGGAGGATGGATTGAAAGGTGGAGGACCGATGAGGAACCCAGCCTGGAGATATTTGCAGGAATCCTGTGAAAGAAAACAGAAACTTTTACTTGGTGTTCATACACTGCTATTATTTGCCCTATGAGGTCTTCTCATTCCTAGGAAGTAATGTTATTAACCAAAATTAAAATTTAGAAACCAAAGTAACTTGTCAAAAGTGTTGGAGCTCTGTTGCAAACCCAGGAAGACTAATTCTAAGGCCCATCTTAGACACCCTCCCATAGTCCTTTGACCTTAAGTTGCCCTTCCCATCACTGCTGATGGCCATGTGGTTGAACGGTTTTCCAGAGCTCTTTGGCCCAATACACCATGGTGCAGCATAAGCCATACCACCTCTGGCTTTTGGCACTTACTACAGCCAAAAGTCTGTTGCCTAAATGCAGGGGAGCCACAGCGTTCTCCACAGGCAACCTTCTCATTTCTGAGAGCATGTGCCAGAGGATGTTCACAGCGGAAACCTGGCTGAGTGTGTTTAAGGGCCCTGTAAAGCATGAAGATAATGTCATTATTCAGAGGCATCGTGTTGAAAAATATTGAAAATGCTTTAAAAGTCAGTTTCTCTTTGTTCTTAACAATTGACTATTCCAGTTTGTCATCATCTTCAGGATTTAGTTTTTTTTTGGTTGTTGTTGCTTTTGTTTTTTACCAAACAGTAATCACTTTTGAGGGTATTGCTATCTCACAATTAATTCAATGAACTTGAGGGATAATGAATATTCAGAGCTGAAAGGTGTTTACAAGATCACCCAGTCTGATAGTTTACAAACTGTGCTCTGAGGAAACCTAAGATTCTAGGGGAGAAAGGAGGAAACTCAAGAGGAAAACGTCTCTTTCAACTCTAGCATTTTCCTTTATTATTTTAGGTTTTGAACTTCTGAATAAGAGTCTTAAAAAGAAAAAAAGGAAAAAACATTCCCTTGGTAAAAATGCTTGAACTTACCTAGTCCAATGCCTTACTTTTTACATAAAAGTAATTAAATAATTTGCTTAAGATCCCACAAAGGGGTCAGTGATGGGGCAAGGACTGGCATTCTTAATCCCTGAATTTGTGATTTCGAGAATCAGTGTGGTACCACGGATAGAGAAAATATTGGTCAACAGACTTGGAGCTAATCATTACCAGTGTGTTTGGGCAAGTCACTTTGCCTTTTTAAAGTATCTTCATTTATAAGAGAATTTTGTTGTATTTTGTTTTCCTTCCTTCCTTTTGCTATAATATTTTCTCTCAGAAATGTGACTTTCAATGAATGAGGAGCAGTGAGATGAAATTTTAAAAGACAAGACTGGGACAATTCTCTCTTCTTAATTGTGCTTGCAAGTTTAGTTTAGCACCCTCCATTAGAGCAGCTTTTGTCTCTTTTATTAACTAATGCAACCCAGAAGACCCTTGCACTTAGTAGCAGATCCGTTAATATTTGTTTAGTAGCTAGGTCTACCAAGCTCCAAAAAATTGAATAAGCCATTTTGTTCTAAGGGATGCGCCACTGTTATTAATGCTGTACTGCCATCTTCTGGTCACATGAATAATTACAGTTGCATCCGTGAAAATGAAATCCTTCAGGAACTTGTTCCTTTTTTGTTTTTATATTGCAGTAATAGCATTTAGAGAAAAAAAATTGTGGGAATATCTTATTGTTGTTATAAGCAAATTTTAAAGGTGATCTTTTTAGAGTAGGAAACGTTTACATTTTCTGTGCAAAATGACAAAAGAAATATGTACCCTCACCTGAGAAAGCCAAGCAAGCCAGGGAGAAGAAAGGCTGGAAGCTAAGGAACAGAGGCACCGGGAGGTAAAAGGAACCAAACCCCGGCGCTGGGCGCCGCCCTGCGGACACTCCGGTCCTCAGCTAGAGGGAAGGGGAGACGGCTGGGCCTATGGCGAGGTGGAAATCCTTCCTCAGAGAACTTATGAACTGTGAGCTTGTGAGAGTCCAGAAACCCTGGGAAAATGCCAGGTCCACTAGCTATAGGCCTGGTTCTTCAAAAGCAAGATTTCCCTCACCATATTTTAAAATAAACCCTTGTGGGCCTTTTTTTTTTTCTTAGAAGCCAAGATACGTTGCTACAAAGTGAGATTTTCCTCTGGGCTACAATTGTGTCCTATAAAATATGGATTGTTCTAGAGAAACTCTAAGGCAATAACTTCGAAAACCATTACATCTGATAAGCATTTCTGCTTTCCTGTTCAAAAAGTGTCCTCCCAGCTGGGCGTAGTGGCTCACGCTTGTAATCCCAGCACTTTGGGAGGCCGAGGCGGGAGGATCACGAGGTCAAGAGATCGAGACCATCCTGGCCAACGTGGTGAAACCCCGTCTCTACTAAAAATACAAAAATTAGCCGGGCGTGGTGGCGCACACCTGTAGTCCCAGCTACTCGGGAGGCTGAGAGACAGGAGAATCGCTTGAACCCGGGAGGCAGAGTTTGCAGTGAGCCGAGATTGCACCACTGCACTCCAGCCTGGCGACAAAATGAGACTCCGTCTCAAAAAAAAAAAAAAAGTGTCCTCCCAACACCCCCCATCTAAGATAAAGTACCTGTGAAGAGGAGACCTTATATAACCCATCAGCAGATGTGATTAAAGACTTTAAGATGGGGGATCATCCTAGATGTGATTTAGGAGAGACCCATGTAATCGCAAGGATCCTTAGAAGAAGGGGCAGGCAGACCAAAATCAGAGACCTGCAATGTGACACTTGCAATGGAAATAGACTGGAATGATGTGGTCACCAGTCAAGGAATCTTGGCCACAGCTTCCAGGAGCTGGAAGTGGCCAAGGATGGATTCACACCTGGAGCCTCTAGAAGGACCAGCCATGTGGATGTCTTTATTTTAGACCTATGAGACTTCTTTCAAACTTCCGACTTTCAGAACTTTAGGAGAATAAATTTGTGCTGTTCTAAGTCGTCAGTTTTGTGGTAATTTGTTATGGTGGCAATAGAAAATGAATTGAGTCTTTAATCAATAAGGGTTGTTTTAACATAATCACCATGCTATTATCACACATCACAAAATTAATAATGCCTTAATACCATCAAATATCATATCCAAAGCTCCTTGATATTATGGTTCTAATCACCTTGTATTGTCATTACCTGCTTTCACCACTAGACCATGACATTATTAAGGTGTGGGGTTGATTCTATTCCGCAGTGGATCCCCTGCAGTGCCCAGATCATTGCATATAGTAGATGCTTAAAAAACCAGGGTAAATTGAAATGAATCACATCAATGATAGCTTCAGCGTGAAGTTTCTGAAAATTCAACTTCACTGTTATGACTACATATGTTAAGTCAATATAACGACAAAGTCATGAAGCTTTTCCTTTATGTTTTCTTCTAGGAGTTTTAAAAATTCATGTCTTATGTTTTAAGCCTTTAATCTATTTTTAGTTAATTTTTATGTATGGTTTAAGATAAGGGTTTAATTTCAGTTGATTGCATGTGGATATCCAGTTTTCCAATTTCCATTTGTTGAAGAGACTATCCTTCTCCTGTTGTATGTTCTTGGAATGCTTGTGAAGATCAGCTGACCATGGTGTGTGGGTGTATTTCTGGGTTCTCTATTCTGTTTTGTTCATCTGTATGTCCGTCTTTATGTCAGTACCATAATGTTTTGATTACTCTAGATTTGTATTTTGAAATCAGGAAATGTGATGCCTCCAGTTTTGTCCTTTCTCAAGATTGATTTGGCTATTCATGGTCTTTTATGGCTCTACATGAATTTTAAAATTGTATTTTCTATTGCTATAAAAATGCCATTTAGATTTTGTTAGGGATTACACTGAGTTGGTAGATTGCTTTGGGTAGTATGGACATTTTAACAATAATAGTAGCTCTTCTAATGCAGGCTGTCTTTCCATTTGTTTGTGTCTTAGCTTCTTTCATTCATGTTCTATAGTTTTCAGTATACATCCATTTCATCTCCTCAGCTAAGTTTATTCCTAGATATTTATTCTTTTTGGTGATAATGAAAATGGATTGTTTTTGTAATTTCCTTTTCAGATGGTTCATTGTTAATGTACAGAAAAGCAACTGATTTTTTTTCTTCTACCATAAGCTATTTCTTACTGGAAGGATAATTTTTAATTTTTTTTTATTTTTAATTTTTATTTATATTTTTAGAAACAGGGTCTCACTCTGTTGCCAAGGCTTCAGTGCAGTGGCACAATCAAAGCTCACTGCAGCCTCAAACTCCTAAGCTCCATCAATCCTCTTGCCTCAGCCTCCTGAGTAGCTGGGACTATAGGCCTGTGTCACCATGCCTGGCTAATATTTTATGTTTATTTTGTAGAGAAAGGGTTTTGCTTTGTGGCCCAGGCTGGTCTTGAACTCCTGGCCTCAAGGGATCCTCCCGCTTCAGCCTCCCAAAGTGCTGGGATTACAGGCATGAGCCACTGCACGTGGTCAGATATTTGTATGTTGATTTTGTATACTGCAACTTATTGAATTCATTTATTAGACAGTTTTTTATGGAGTCCTCAAGGTTTTCTCTATATAAGATCATGTCATTTGCAAACCAGGGCACTTTTACTTCTTTGTTGCTGATGTTGATGCCTTTTTATTTTTTTCTTGCCTAATTGCTCTGGCTAAGACTTTAATCTTGACAATGATTTCATGGATATGACAACAAAACCACAGGCAACAAAAGCAAAAATTAACAAGTGGAACTACATTAAACTAAAAAGCTCCTACCCAGCAAAGGAAGCAATCAACAGAGTGAAAAGGCAACCTACAAAATGGGATAAAATATTTGTAAACCATTTATCTGATAAGGGTTTAATCTCCAAAATATATAAGAAACTTCTATAACTCAAGAGTGAAAAAACTAATAACCCAATTCAAACTGAGCTAAAAACTTGAATAGATATTTCGCCAAAAAAGACATAAATACAGCCAACAGTTATATGGAAAAAAAATGCTCACCATCTCTAATCATCAGGGAAATGCTAATCAAAACTACAATGAGGTATCAGCTCAGAACTGTGAAGATCGCTATTATAACAACCTAAAAACCAAAAGACAATAAGTGTTGGTAAGGATGTGGAGAAATTGAAACACACACTGTTGGTGGGAATATAAAACGGTGCAGTCACCATGGGAAACGTTATGGAGGTTCCTCAAAGAATTAAAAATAGAAGTGCCATTTGATCTAGCAATTCCACTCCTGGGTTTCTATCCAAAAGAATGGAAATCAGGATCTTGAGGAGATGTTTCCACTTCCATATTCATTGCAACATTATTCACAATAGCAAAAATGTGGAAACAATGTAAATATTCATTGGCAGATGAATGTATAAAGAAAATGCATGTTCATACAATGCAATACTATTCACCCTTTAAAAAAAGGAAATTCTGCAATATGAGAAAACATGGAGGAACCTTGAGGACATTATGCTAAGTGAAATAAGCCAGTCACAGAAAGACAAATAGTGCATGATTCTACTTATCTGAATTATCTAAAATAGTAAAATTCATAGAATCAAATGATGTTTTCTGGGAGATATGGGGAGAGGGAAATGGGCAGTTAGTAAAGCTTCAGTCAGCAAGATGCATAAGCTCTAAAGATCTGCTGTACAACACAGTACCTGTGGTCAACAATTATGTATTGTATACCTAAAAATTTGTTGAGGGTAGATCTCTTGTTAAGTATTCTTATTGCAATTAAATATATATATATATTTATATAAAACAAATATACACACATATAGTCACTATTTATTGGTTTGCCACTCTGTATTATTTTATCTAACATGTGGTCAAACTGAAATGTCAAACTGAAGTGTAGAGTAACTTAAACTTCACCCAACAGGTGATCAGCAGAGATAAGATTCAAACCCGGAAACATCACTGTGAACTACCCAACATCCTTTAGGAATAGCTGCTGCTTGGAGAATTGAAGTTTGTCACAAAATATAGAATGAGGAAAAGATAATAAATGCTTAGGCAAGATAACTGCTTGCTAGAATTCACATGCAGAACTGCAGGTGTCAGGAATAATAGACTGGAAGAAATGCAACCTGAGAGCCAGGCAAATTCAATTGTGATTATCAATATTTAATGTAAAATATAATTTCGTTCCTGGGTTGACATGGAATAAGAATGAATGTCATTAGCACACAAAAAATCAGTTGCAATAAAAGCAAAATACAACCCTACAATGAGGTATCAGCTCAGACCTGTGAAGATGGCTATTATAACAACCTAAAAACCAAAAGACAATAAGTGTTGGTAAGGATGTAGAGAAATTGAAACCCTTGCACACTGTTGGTGGGAATATAAAACGGTGCAGTCACCATGGGAAACAGTATGGAGGTTTCTTAAAGAAACCATGCCATGGTATGATATGGTTCCTGGATGTTGACCGGATTCTTCACTCTCTGACTTGCTCATTGTAGTAGGCTAAATTATGCCTTCCCCAAATTTCCAGGTCCTAATCACTGAAATCTATAAATATTACCTTATGGGGCAAAATAGACTTTGCAGATGTGATATAATTAAGGATCTTGAGATGGGGAGGTTAATTCTGGCTCATCTTTGTGGGTCCTAAGCATGATCACAAATGTCCTTAGAAGAGGGAGGGAGAGGGAGACAACCACACATAGGAGAGGGCAATGAGACCAAGGTGGAGAGAGATTTGAAGACAGTACATTGTTGGCTTTGGAGATAAAGTAAGGGTTCATGAGCCAAGGCATGCAAGGACTGAGGCTCTAGAAGCTGAAAAAGGCAAGGAAATGGTTTGTTCTCTAGAGCCTCCACAGGACGCACCTGTAATAAACATCCCAACAGGTGTGTGTGTGTGTGTGTGTGTGTGTGTGTGTGTGTATCAAGAAGCTCCTAATACAAGCAACACTGTGAATGGCTTTCAAAAACATGTTGAGCAAAGTAAGTATGTAGTAAATATGTAATAAGTACTGTATGATTACATTTGCATAAACTTTCAGACTAGAGAAAACTAATCTATAGTGATAGGAATGTGGTTTCCCTGTGGTTGTGGGAGTGACTGATTGCAAAGAGCATGAATCACCTTTTAGGATGATGGCAATGTTCTGTATCTTGATTGTGATGTAGTTACATGGGTTTACACTTTCGTCAAGTCTCATTGAACATTGCACCTAAAATGGGTACAGTCAATACCAACTGATTCAGGAAAAACAAATTGATATAAAGAGCACAGGCATATGGATCCAAAATTGGAAGTGTGGTTATGAAGAGTGCTAGTTCCTCATCACAGGAGTTTTCCCACTATTATTGCAGCTTTCCTGAGGCTTTATAATAGGGTTTTGATCATGTTCTTGGGATTCTGCAATCACTAACTGGATCGTTTTCCATCAGAGCTGGGTTTCAGAAGGATTCTCTTGGAATATTTCTCCTGGATTCTCTTGGGTGCTATGGTCTCAATGTTTATGTGCCCCCAAAAGTCATGTATTGAAATCCTAACTCCCAAGGTGACAATATCAGGAGGTGGGGCCTTTGGGGAGGTGATTCTGTCATGAGGGTGGAGCCCTCATGAATAGGATTAGTGCCCTTAAAACATATGCCCCAAGGGAGCTCACTGTCCCCTTTTACCATGCGAGGTTACAGTGAGAAGATACCACCTACGAACCAGGAAGAGGGGTTTCACTAGACACTCAATCTGCTGGCAAGCCTTGATGCTGGACTTTCAGCCTTCAGAACTGTGAGAAATAAATGCTGTTTATAAGCCACCTTGTTCATGGTATTTTGTTATAGTTGCCTGAATGGATTAAGACAATGGATCTCCTTAGAAGTCAGCCAGCACTGGAGTTTTGATTAACAGAGCCTAACCCTGCTGCTGTCTTCCTGCAGATAAAAAGGCATATCTTCATTTCAAAACAAGCTCAGGTGAACCAGGCTTCCCCAACTCCATCCATTCTAGCAGCATGTAGCAAACCACATAACATTAAAATACAAAAACAAGCAGCTGCGTCTCCTGAGACCCAGAAGGTTCTTTGGAAAATAACATCCATTGTCTCCAAATTTTCTCTTGGAGTATTCCAGGGCAGCATTCTAAATACAAGGCATTGAGCTACAAGGTGCATTACTCAAGGCTAAAGAGGTGTTGGGATGAGTTCCTTCTTTCTTAATTTGGGGAGGAAATCACCTAATACTATGAGAGTCAGATAAAATTTATAAACTCCCTCTCCTGACAAATGACCATATGAAAACAACTGGAAATAGATTTTGGGAATCATCAGCCCCCTTACAGCCCACACATGGAACACAATTTTATTTTTTTTTTGAGACGGAGTCTTGCTCTGTCGCCCAGGCTGAAGTGCAGTGGCACGATCTCGGCTCACTGCAAGCTCCGCCTCCCGGGTTCACGCCATTCTCCTGCCTCAGCCTCCCGAGTAGCTGGGACTACAGGCAACCTCGCCCGGCTAATTTTTTGTGTATTTAGTAGAGACGGGGTTTCACCGTGTTAGCCAGGATGGTCTTGGGAACACAATTTTTAAACAGTGTCCTAGAGAGTCCTGTCTACCCAGTGGGAGAGTCTGTGATTATGGGATAACAGACTGCTTTCTTTATGCTTTCTTTGCTTACACCACCATTTTTCAAAACTTTGTGTAAGCCAGTGGCTTTTAGAACCAGTCTATAACAGGACAAAAAAAGGAGACCAAAAATACATGATTTACCTTTCCATGGGAAATGTTCATTACTGGTGATACGAGTTCGAAGGTCGTATAAAGTGAGTCCTTACTACTGTATCATATATTATATACCTCTCTTTAGTACATTTGTATTGTAATAGTTTTTTTCATGATAAGAATTACTTTTATAAGAGATGTTGGTAAATATGGGTCAGGAAGGTGCCTTGATTGCTTTCAGACAAGTGGAATAGTATTTTTTTTCTTAAACATGTGGACTTTCATTTCCTGCATAACAGAAAACATAATGGAAACTGTCACAAATTATCCTGGATGGTGGATAATTGTCCAAACAGGACCAGTTTCCAACATTTACTTAAATTTTAATTTGAATTGCTTGTGGCAATTTTTCAAATTCTGCTTAGCCAAATAGAAAGATATCTCTTGGAGGAAGAATTAAAGGCTATTTCTTCTTTTGACTGCTCATGACATTTTAAAGGAAGTAGACTCTATAAGTTAAATGTAGTCTGGTCATCTTACTGTTTTGTGCCAAGAAACTTAACTATATGTTTAGTCTCCATAATCCTCAGCTTTGAGTTATTTATTTTTAAAATGGTTTTCTAGTAGAGTGCTCTTACATATTCACTTTTAGATGTATTTCTCTGCTATGGTTTCAATTGCTTTTGCCAGTTTTGGTCTGGAAGGGTTGACATCTGAAATGTCTGTCCAGCCTGCATGAATTCATCTTTCTGAATATATCTAGCAGTGTGCAGGTTGAGACTGCCACCCACCTTATCATCACACTTTTCCCAACACTGCCACTCATTTCTTAAGGTTTCTCTTATGATTTAAATCTTCAGCATAAATATCATGATCATATTCACTACAGGTATAGAGATGTCATCAAAACTGCAATTGATATTGTATGCCATTCATTTTCTTTTCTGTCTCTTCCACTCTTTAAAGGATTTATTTATGGAAAAACACAATAAAAGAAAACATTTTTGTTGCCTGCTTTGTGTCAAGCCCTGTACTGGGCACTGAGGATACATGATTGACAAGACACAGTTCCTGTCTTCAGCAAACGCACAGTCAAAAGCAAATGTGAGGCTGTAAAATCAAGGGCAACATTAAAGTGGGTATGATTAGCATGCATTCTGCCTTTTTTGAGCAGGGGTTGTTTCTACCCTTGTTTGGTCTGTTGGTCAGGAAATGCTTTTAAGAAAAGTATAGCAAATCTTATAGGATCTATGAAATATGAGATAGTGAGTGCATACAGGTAAGTGAAAAATCATAGTAATTTTAGGCACTGTGTACATGTCAGTGTGGAGAAAGTAAAGCCTACAATGGAAGACACAACAGGAAAGGATAGAAATACAGGCAGAAATGAGTTGAACGGACTGATCAGCAGGGCAGTGTGACTTGATCAGGTTTATGTTTGAGAAAAATAAATCATTCCAGAATTATAGAAGATAGACTGCAAGGAGGACAGTGAGAGCGATAAATCAGTTAGAAAGCTAATTTAGAAATCCAGGGTAAAAATAGTGAAGTCCACTATGGCATTGGAAGATTGACGACAGAGGCCTGAACTTCATATGGCCTAGTTTCATGTTTTCATTTATCCTTTTTATAAGAAAAAGCAATATTGATAACTTTCATGACCATTTTTTTCCATTTACGTTCTGCCACTGATCAGTAGTTGCATTTTTTTTTTTTTTTTTGTAAAATAGTTACTTATTTGCTTAAAATTGCAAGTTCTTCTACCTGAACTGTTGCTGTTGTTTAGGGACCCTGCTGATTTACTCTGCTGATTCCGAATATATTTGGAAGGATTCGTTCTTTTATTTGAGGATTACACAAGTGCCTGGACAAGGGCCTTTACTCAGCAAAGAATTACGGAAACTTGGGTACATTTCCTCTGCCTTCATAGACCCAGGAAAAAGTAGAACGGGGTAGGGAGGACTGGGGTGAGGCTTCCTTCAGCTGCTGCAGCACATTCAATGAAGCAGTAGATATACGTTTTGTCATTTGCCTCCAACAGGAACAGGTAACACCAGCTCAGGTTGTAGGATTTAACTGGACATTGTTTTTTTCCCAGCTTTCGGAGGCAGACTGAGAGCAATGCAAGTAATATCTAAGAATAGTTTGCTCTTTGTATTTCATAGGAATTAAAAGGTGCATGGAAGCTAACCATATTTTGACTCTTGTGTTTGTACTTTCTCATTTGTTAAAATGATTCAAGGGACAATATGGTCTGGCACAAAAATGGAAGACACCAAAACTGGTTTTTTTTTTCACATCCAGATTTTAATGAATCCATTTATCATATAAAAATTTTGGCTTATTGATTTTACATTTTCTCCATTAGATCATGCTGCAATCTTTGAATATCTATTTTGTTGGTTTTGAGGATTAGTAACTAAATGTGTTAAGAGCTTTCTGACATATTTGAAATCAGGAGAATAAGCAACTCTGAATATATGAATATATTTAACTTTGCTTTTATATTAGCATATATTATAAGAGAAAGATTGCAAGGAACCATATTAGTATTGTCCCAAAGTAAGAAACAATTTAGTGGAGTACCTCTGGAAGAAGAATTGTGGGTGAGTGTGAAAAAGAAAATGTGAAATATCTTCATTTATTTGGAGCAAATGTGCTCGACCTACCTACATAGGCGGGAGATCTTACCTCTCTTTAGAAAGCATCATGAAGGAAATTCTACATATGAAAGCAAAGGAAGGCGAATTGGGCCATGCATGAATATATGGGTGGTTATTGTAAGATAATTTGCCAACCAAATCCTCATAATAGTATGAAGCATCAGAAAACATAAATTTATAATCTGTTATAAGAAATAGAAGATGAAAACAATTTATAAACAATAACCAGAACAGTTCTCCTCACACTCAGAACATGTGCCTCTCCCAGAAAACTATAGAGAATTTTAATGCTGAAAGAGCCCTGACTCCTTCTGCCCTTTGAGTTAGGGGCAAGTATTTCTTAGGAGGAATGCAAAGTGAGAGAGAGGAAGTGCAACCCTCTGCTCTTCTAGGGTATCTTTGGAATCTGCATGTAAAGATGTTACATTGTTTGGTATCTATTAATAAAATTCCTACAAAAAACCTAGTTGTAGATTGGTTGAAGAAGGTACAGAGAGAGACTTTTTTTTAAGACTACTCAAAAAAAATGGTGAAACTAAACTATCATTATAAAAGCCCTAGACTAATACAAATTAATGAATAAATGTAATACACATTAATTGAACACAAACTATGTGTAAGGCATTGTGTTTGTTGCTGCTTGGGATATAGAGATAAGCAATAGTAATGATACTCAGGGCCTTAGAACTTGCACCATAATTGGCTCTTTCATTTAGTTAAATGTTATTCTCTTGCACCCCATAAACCAGCCATCCCAAATTCATTGAAGGTCCTCAACAATCTCGCAGTTTAATTTCTTTATGTCCTTGCTTGTGAACATCCCTCTGCTTGACAAACTTAGTAGCTGAAGGTAACATTTTAAGATCACTTCAGTGAATTAAGTCCTACCCAAGACCTTTGCTATGGCTTGGCCGTGGACCCACTCAAATCTTATCTTGAACTGTAGATCCCGTAATCCCCATGTGTTGAGAGAGGGACCCAGTGGGAGGCAATTGAATCATGGGGGCAGTTTCCCCCAGGCTATTCTTGTGATAGTGAGTTCTCATGAGATCTGATGGTTTTATAAGGGGCTCCCTGCTTCACTCGGCTCTCATTCTTCTCTCTCATGATGCCACGTGAAGAAGGACGTATTTGCCTCCCCTTCCACATGATTATGTTTCCTGAGATCTCTCCAGCCCTGTGGAACTGTGAGTCAATTAAACCTCTTTCCTTTATAAATTACCTAGTCTCAGGTATATCCTTATAGTAGCGTGAGAACAGACTAATACAGTAAATTGGTACCAGGTGTGGGGTGCTATTATAAAGATACTGAAAATGTGGAAGTGACATTGGAACTGGGTCATAGGCAGAGGCTGGAACAGTTTGGAGGGCTCAGAAGAAGATAGAAAAAATGTGAGAAAGTTTGGAACTTCCTAGAGACTAGTTGAATGGCTTTGACCAAAATGCTGATAGTCATATGGACAATAAAGTCCAGGCTGAGATGGTCTCAGATGGAGATGAGGAACTTCTTGGGAACTGGAGTAGAGGTCACTCTTGCTATGCAAAGAGATTGGCTGCATTTTTCCCAGCCCTAGAGATCTGTGGAAATTTGAACTTGAGAGAGATGATTTAGGGTATCTGGCGGAAGAAATTTCTAAGCAGCAAAGCATTCAAGAGGAAGCAGAGCATGGAAGTTTGGAAAACTTGTGGCCTGATGATGCAATAGAAAAGAAAAGTCCAGGCCAGGTGCGGTGGCTCACGCCTGTAATCCCAGCACTTTGGGAGGCCAAGGCAGGCAGATCACAAGGTCAGGAGATCGAGACCATCCTGGTTAACATGGTGAAACCCCGTCTCTACTAAAAATACAAAAAATTAGCTGGGTGTGGTGGTGGGTGCCTGTAGTCCCACCTACTCAGGACGCTGAGGCAGGAGAATGGCGTAACCTGTGAGGTGGAGCTTGCAGTGAGCTGAGATCGCACCACTGCACTCCAGCCTGGGCAACAGAGCAAGACTCCATTTCAAAAAAAAAAAAGAAAAGAAAAGCCCATTTTCTGGGAAGAAATTCAAGCTGGCTGCAGAAATTTGCATAGGTAACAAGGAGTCAAATGTTAATAGCCAAGACAATGGGGAAAATGTCTCCATGGCATGTCACACACCTTCACACCAGCCCCTCCCATCACAGGCCTAGAGCCTTAGGAGGAAAAAATGGTTTTGTGGCCCAGGCCTGGGGGTACCCCTGCTCTATGCCACTCAGGGACATGGTGCCCTGCTTCCCAGCTGCTTCAGCTCCAGCTGTGGCTAAAATGGGCTAATGTACAGCTCAGGCCATTGCTTCAGAGGGTTCAAGCCCCAAGCCCTGGTGGCTTAGATGTTGTGTTGGGCTTGTGGGTGCACAGAAGTCAAGAATTGAGGTTTGGGAATCTCCACCTATATTTCAGAGGATGTATGGAAACACCTGGATGTCCAGGCAGGAGTTTGCTGCAGGGGCTGAGCCCTCATGGAGAGCCTCTGCTAGGGCAGTGCAGAATGGAAATGTGGGGTCAGAGCCCCCACACAGTGTCCCTTTTGGGGCACTGTCTGGTGGAGCTGTGAGAAGAGGGCCACTGTCCTCCAGATCCTGGTATGGTAGATCCACTGACAGCTTACACCGCTTGCCCAGAAAAGCTGTAGACACTCAATGCCAGCCCATGAAAGCAGCCAGGAGGAGGGCTATACCCTGCAAAGCCACAGGGGGCAGAGCTTTCCAAAGCTGTGGGAGCCGAACTCTTGCATCAGTGTGCCCTGGATGTGAGATATGGAGTCAAAGGAGATAATTTTGGAACTTTAAGGTTTAATGACTCTCCTATTGGATTTTGGCCTCACATAGGGCCTGTGGCCCTTTGTTTTGGCCAATTTCTCCCATTGGGTGTGTTTACCCAATTCCTCTACCCCCATAGTATCAACAAATAACTAACTTGCTTTTGATCTTACAGGCTCATAGGTGGAAGGGACTTGCTTTGTCTCAGATGAGACCTTGGACTTGGCCTTCTGGGTAAATGCTTGAATGAATTGAGACTTTGGAGGACTATTGGAAAGGCATAATTGTGTTTTGAAATATGAGGACATGAGATTTGGGAGAGGCCAGAAGTGGAATGATATGGTTTGGCTGTGTCTGTACCCGAATCTCATCTTGAACTGTAGTTCCCATAATCCCCATGTATTGTGGGAGGAACCCAGTGGCAGTTAATTGAATCATAGGGGTAGTTTCCCCTATGTTATTCTTGTGATAGAGAGTAAGTTATCATGAAACCTAATGGTTTTATAAGGGGCTTCCACCTTCACTTGGCTCTCATTCTTCTCTCTCCTACTGCCATGTGAAGAAGGACATGTTTTCTTCCCCTTCTGCCATGATTTCTCAGGTCTGTCTTTATTAGCAGCACAAGAATGGACTAATACACCCATCCTGACCATTCCCCAACCTAGAAATGACCTGTCTCTTTACAGCTCCAACTGTTGCTTTCATGCAGTGGATTTGTATCATAGAATCACTTCACTCATAATTAATGTGTTACCTAGTGCCACATTGACATTGCATTATTTCCCTCTATCCCTACCAGAAAAAACAATCTACTCATATATATTGAGATTACAGAGGCTTTTTACTAAAATGGAATTGTGTTAACCTTGAAAATACAAGGACTCAAAAGAACTTAAAAAATATTTCTGGGTTCCCTGCTGTCATCCTCTAAGAAATACTGTATGCTTCTGAAATGTGCCTGAATGAGTGATATGGTTGAGACAGAGCTCCTGCTTTATAGAAGCTTACAGTTTTCACAGAGTAGACTAGGAAAGCTCAAAGATGACTATGGTACAGGGGGAATAAAAACAGGCTAAGGATCTATTATAAATGGAGAAATGACATTTATTTGGTGACAGGACAGACTTCATGGAAAAGGAGGCATTTCAAATGGGCACCACTGGAAAAAAAAGATACCAAGAGAGAGAACATTCCAAGACAGAGAAAATGGCAGGACATATGTGGGAAGACAGCTCAGTTGGATCATGGTATCGATGCATTATGGAGGCCCTTGAATTCTAGGAAAGGAATCTGACTTAATTCAATAGGCAATGATGGGGCTTTGGGGTGATACAGCCAGAGCTTAGATTTAGGAAAACTCATCAAGTTGCTCTGTGTATGATGATTTGAGGCACATACAATATGGTATTCTCAATAAAAGTTGGTTGAATGAATTGTTGAAGATATGACTTCACAAATTCAGAAGTACAAAAAGAAAAGAAAAAAATGCAAAATAGTTTTCCATTCAGGTTGATAAAACAGTAACATTAAGTTTCAAAAATTCTTAGTACTTGTTATACTATGTGGTATTTATGCTTGGTACAGGACTTAGTGGGGATGTGGGTGATTTTACCAACTAATAGAAATATATGTGAAGGATAAACAGAAAGCTTTTCCACTATTATTTTGATTATTTTAGTAATCTAGTTGATCAATATTTTGAAAAGAGATCAGGATGGGGTACAGTAATGAATCTTATCAAAGTACGAAATTGCAGTTGATAGCAGTAAAATTGAAATGTTCTTAAAGACTAGTAGTGGGTGAAAGGAAATCCCCATAGAGATGGAGAACTTCAGCTAAGCTAGAAACAATATCCTTAAAGGAAAAAACTCCACAAACTTTGGAGACATTGCACAGTTAGGATTTTTCCTACTAACACTTTGCAACACCTAAAGAACACTGCTAAGATTTTAGGTTTACTTTAGTATTTGAGGACATGGGCTTTAAGGGCACAAGATTGTTGCTTGCATCACAGATAGTTCTTTTTGTCAAAAGCAACAAAGCCTATTATTATACAATTATTATAAAATATTATAAAACTATAAAACTACCCATTTCTGTTTTTAGTTCATCCAGATAAGACAGAAGGTACATCTAATAATGTTCTGAGTGTTCCAATGAATGCAGAGAAGAATGGCTGTACTGGAGGAGAAAAGCATTTGCCTGAAGTTGACAATA
This sequence comes from Homo sapiens, assembly GCF_000001405.40. Taxonomy (NCBI): domain Eukaryota; kingdom Metazoa; phylum Chordata; class Mammalia; order Primates; family Hominidae; genus Homo; species Homo sapiens. The sequence goes on along the minus strand of NC_000006.12, from coordinate 142,460,170 downwards.
TGAAGCTCAGCATATTCCAGGTAGGGCTGCAGATCCACCAGGATGAAATCCCCTCTACCAAGATGAAGGTCAAATTCCTATATAATAAGTTAGTAATCTCCTGTAGACATAAAAGTTGCCTGTTTTTTAGTAGTCACAATTTCCACACCCATGCTAAGAAAACTGGGCCCTTGAGTGGGGCCCAAGGTTCTATAACTGAACTTAATAGAAAGTGAGAATAACAACCAAGGCCACGATGCTTTATCATTTTTCAAATACTGCCACATATTTATCTCAGTTGTTCTTTACAGTCAAGTGAGGTAGCTATGGACATTACCAACTTTATTCCCATTCTACAGTTGAGAAAACTGAGGTTTGGAAAGATTAAGATACTTCCTAGTAAGTGACAGTTGTCAGTCCAGACATTTTTCTTAAAAGAAAATCCTTTGCTGTTTCCACATCATACTATCATCCATTGATGTAAGGAAATTGCACTAGGAGACAGAAAGAACCATCAATGTTATTAATGTATTTAAAATTAATGATATTTTGGAATAATTTTCCTAGAAGTTTGGAGAGTATCTTGTAACTAAAATAATGGAAAGGTACTAGAAAGAAAATAGCCCAGAGAAGCTGGGAGCTGAGTTGATGACAAAGCCATGTGATCTCCTTCTGTTTCCATTATGCTAGCTACAAGATACTCTCCAAACTTCTAGCCTTTTTAGAGACAGTTTCTAAAGATATGAGTCAGCACTACTCCTTTTAAACCACAGAAGGTACTAAAGTATTTGCTTTCCAAAGTATTCTCTCTTTATGTAGGGCCAAGAATGGGAAGGGATAGATGAAGTGGTTAATGTCACTCCATCCCGCAAAAAGTGTCTTGCACATAGTGCCTATTAATGTTATATAATTGTGATAGTGAATGTTATATGTCAACTTGGCTGAGCCATAGTGGCCAGATATTCAGTCAAACATTATTCTGGATGTCTGTGTGAAGGAGCTTTTTGGATGAGATTAACATTTACATCTGTGGCCTCTGAGTAAAGCAGATTACCCTCTATAATGTGGGTGGGCTTCTTCCAATCGCCAATGGCCTAAATAGAAAAGACTGCCCTCCCCAAGCAATAAGCAATTCTGCCAGCAGACTGCCTTTGGAATTGAAATGCAACTCTCCCCGGGTCTCCAGCCTGCTGGCCTACTCCATACATTTTGGATTTGCCAAGCCTATGCAATCACATGAGACAATTCCCTAAAATAAATCTTTCTATGTGTACACACACACAGCCTGCTGGTTTTGTTTCTCTGGAAAACCCTGACTAATACAATAATGTTAGGTAATATAAGTAGTAAGTGTGCATGTGTGTGTGTGTGTATGTATATATATATATATATATATATATATAGCGTTATATAAATGTAATACTTACAAGTAATGTTTTATATGTGTACTATGTCTTCACTTAACATCATAGATATGTAATGTTATATATATGTAATACTTACAAGTAATGATATATATATGTGTGTGTGTGTGTGTGTATATATATATGTATGTAGTAAATCTTCACTTAACATCATGGATAGGTTTCTGGAAACTGCAACTTTAAGCAAAATGACATATAACAAAACCAATTTTACCACAGGCTAAGTGATACAACCAAGAGTTAAGTTCCTATGGCAACATTTACGGTCACAAAACATTCCCAAACTTCTAAATAAAGACAAAATATTTCTAATATTAAACATTGAACTAAGTGTGAGCTATACATATATTTAAGAAAGACTAATGAACACAAGATAATTATTTACTCAATTTTTGGTGAATCAGTGATGGCAGTTGTAATGGTGGTGAGTTAAATCAAGAAATAAAGGTTTGCAAAGCAAAAATTGTAAGGAGCACCTCCTCCCCTCATACAGTTCACAATCCCACAGATATGGCAGCTCACTGAGTGCTACTGTACTGCATCATTTATTGCTGTGCATTTGGATGATTATCCTAGACTTGACAGATGTTTACAATCATTTGTCTTCATTCATTCATTCATTCATTCATTCATTTTTTCAATCTGCTTATTCCAGTTCAGAGTCATGGGCAGCTAGAGCCTATCTGGGTGGGAACTCACCTGGTACAGGATGCCATCCCATGACAGGGCACACTCACACCCACACCGATTCCCACACTCACTCATAGTGGGACCATGTGAACCTCACACAGATGAACCTCACAGGCACACCTTTGGGATGTGGGAGGAAAGCAGAGGTGCCAGAGAGAACCATCATGGACAATGGGGAGAGCATGAAGACTCCACACAGGCAGGGGCCCCAGCCTGGAATCAATGTTTTTTCTCACCAATGTTATAACTAAACAACTTTGAATGAAACAACTTTATTCAAAGACCTGCTGTATACACACACATATACACACACACACACACCTATTCAATGCAGCAATGGAAACAAAAGAGTCTTTCTGCCTTCATATGAAATTAAAACTAGCCTGCTAAGAAGTGAACAAATAATCCTTTCCAGAAGATGCCAACTGCATCCTGGTTGAATGCAGTTGAAGTTCAGGGTTCAAGAAAGAAAGCAATAATCTCAGTTGGACTCTAGAGTTGCCTTCATCTCTGTGTCAGAAACAAATAGGGACTAAATTTGTCTTCTAGGCGTTTTAGGAGACCCTTTTCATTTGCTTAAACATATGGAGCAATTTTAAAGTGAAGGAATGTTTCATGAAACCTAACAGCTCATTTCGATGCATTTTAGAAAATAATATAACACCATTATCACTCAAGAAACATTAAATTCTGGGTCCTGCCCACACCCACCCTGGATTGATAGAGGTTTGTGCAAAAAGAATTTTGAAGGAGGGAAGGATTAGGGAACAGAGGATTTGTCCTGCCATTTTGTTGTGACTATGAAGAAAGCAAGGCTTTGCATGATTATAATTATTTCAGGAAGAACCCAGAGGGTGCTGAGGTTCACTCTCATACTGATTGGATTGGCGAACGTAAACGAGGAAGTGAAGACAAGGAGAGGCCAGATAAGCTCTGGCCACCCATGACTCTGAACTGGAATAAGCAGATTGAAAGTGAAAACAAGTACCTATTTTCTAGTTTGAGTCCTGGCCACTTTCATCCCAACACATGCCAAGGGAGATATGGGAAAAATCTAACTCAAAGATTAGAGGAGAGAATGCTTTTTTAAACTTCAAATGCTTTTATTGAGTAAACACTGACTATATAAAATAGCAAAGCAAATGATAGGAAAAAGATCTTTTGGAATAAAAAGAAATTTCCAAGTGAATTGGGAATTATTTGGAAGAATGAAAGCCACAACTATGTTAGCAATTCCTTATAGCTTTTGTGGATAAGGAAAACAGAAAGCCCAACACTCATAACTATAAACTGATTTTTCTGTTACTGTGGAAAAGGCCTAGTAAAACATTTTCTAACTTTTATGTTTGGAGTACTTGTCTGGAATAATTCCTGAAAAGAAAATATCCTCTTTGCAATTCTGAGCATTTTATTTAAAAAGTCAGATAGTGAGGTATATATATAGTTATCTACCAAAAACTTTGAAGAAATTAGTCTTTATTATCTTCAGTTAAAATGTTAACTATTAAACAGAAATGGATTAATCAAGATAGTGACAATTTATTTTCACAATATATGTTAGTTTTTAAAAATGTGTGGTTACTAATCTAGCAGCTGTACTGATTTCTGTCATTCAAGCACTGCTGCTCCTGTTCCACTCCCCATATTTTCATTGCCATCGGTGAGTTCCCATTGTCATGATGTCTGTAAACTCGTGTTTGATGTAACTTACAAGGAGATTCTCAGGGCCCGTGAAAGGCAATCACATGAAGTATAATCTCTTTAAAGCACTTCTTGGATCTCTGGCAATGGATTCTATGGCTAAGAATTGCGCCCCCCGACACACACCCCACCATAGTTTATATGCACACAGCTTCCTCTAATTTGAATGCAAACCTGCTCTAGGCACCCATGAGTAAAGGTACACACAGGGTTCTGTGCAGTGGGGCACATCCATGTGCGTTTACTGAACAGAACCTTTTGGTTTTGCTTTTCTCATTTGCCCAGCAAGAGATCCCGGATTGCACATCTGAGGCCACTTCTTGGCAACTGTCAAATCTGCTTTGCTTGCTGTCTTCATATTTCCTGCTGATCTGTTTTCTTCTTTTCCCCAGTGACTTTGCACCGTGTGGTAACACACAGCTGGGGAAGAGAAATGGGATTTTGGTACCTGTGTTGGGGGGGATCATTAATTTGACAAAGTTGCTAAAAGACAGGGTTTTATCTCTGCTTTTTACAATGATATTGCCTTACTGCTGGGCCATCTTCTCTTTTGTATTTGAGAGTGAATCTTCCTACTAGTTTTATCCCTAGAAGACTTAATAAGAGTCTCAAAAATACTAAATTGTATGTATAGGAAAGTAATTTACTTTGGAAATTAAAAGATATATTTAAGTTGGTGCATAAGTATTTTAATGACAAAAGCCGCAAATACTTCTGCAGCAAACTAATAGGATACATGTATTCCCTTGAAAAATTTAGATTGAACAAGGTCAACATCTAGGTTGACATTTAGCTTTTAGATCTTTGGACTTTGTGTTTATATGGAAATTACTAGCATTTTTAAAGAAGTAAAGGAAATCATAGCACTCAAGTGCTGAATATGTTTTAGCTATTTATTTTAAATATATTTTAGCTATAATAATCAGCCTCCTTTATTTTACAGAGAAGTAAACTAAGGCCTAGAGCTGGTAAGTGACATAGTAAAGTCATATGGCACAGACTATTACTGGCAGAATGAGTATTTCCTAAAAATTAGGCCTGTGACCCTTTGTCAGCATTATATAAGTTTTAAGAGTGAAGGAACTGTTGGCTTTAGCAAAATGGGATCAATCTACCTTTTGAAACCTTAACAATAGTAATTCTATACGACTGCTTTTTCTTTTTTTTTTTCTTTAATGCCCTTCCTGTTATTTTTTAAAAATTTTAAGTTCTGGGATACATGTGCAGAATGTGCAGGTTTGTTACATAGGTATAAACGTGCCATGGTGGTTTGCTGCACCCATCAACTGATTATCTAAGTTTTAAGCCCCACATGCATTAGATATTTGTCCTAATGCTCTGCCTTGCCTTTCCCCCTACCCCTGACAGGCCCTGGTATGTGATGTTCCCCTCCCTGTGTCCATGTATTCTCATTGTTCAACTTCCACTTATGAGTGAGAACATGCAGTGTTTGGTTTTCTGTCCCTGTGTTTGTTGGCTGAAAATGATGGCTTCCAGCTTCATCCATGTCCCTGCAAAGGACATGAACTCATGCATTTTTATGATTGCATAGTATTCCATGGTGTATATGTGCCATATTTGCTTTATCTAGTCTATAACTCACGGGGATTAGGGTTGGTTCCAAGTCTTTGCTATTGTAAATAGTGTGCAATAAACATACTTGTGCATGTGTCTTTATAGAATAGTTTATAATCCTTGGTGTACATACCCAGTAATGGGATTGCTGGGTCAAATGGTATTTCTGGTTCTAGATTTTTGAGGCATCGCCACACTGTCTTCCACAATGGTTGAACTAATTTACACTCCCACCAACAATGTAAAAGCATTCCTATTTCTCCACATCCTCTCCAACATCTGTTGTTTCCTGACTTTTTAATGATTGCCATTCTAACTGGCGTGAGATGGTATCTCACTGTGGTTTTCATTTGCATTTCTCTAATGGCCAGTGATTACAAGGTTTTTTTTCATGTTTCTTGGCTGCCAGCCTTCTTTTGAGAAGTGTTTGTTTATATCCTGCATCCACTTTTTGATGGGATTTTTTTTTCTTGTAAATTTGTTTAAGTTCCTTGTAGATTCTGGATATTAGACCTTTGTCCTATGGGTAGATTGTGAAAATTTTCTCCCATTCTGTAGGTTGCCTGTTCAATCTGATGATAGTTTCTTTTGCTGTGCAGAAGCTCTTTAGTTTGATTAGATCCCAATTCTCAATTTTGGCTTTTGTTGCAATTGCTTTAGATGTTTTAGTCATGTAGTCTTTGCCCATGTCTATGTCCTGAATGGTATTGCCTGGGTCTTCTTCTAGGGTTTTTATGGTTTGGGTTTTACATTTAAGTCTTTAATCCATCTTGAGTCAATTTTTGTATAAGGCGTTAAGGAAGGGGTTCAGTTTCTGTTTTCTGCATATGACCAGCCAGTTTTCCCAGCACCATTTATTAAATAGGCAGTCCTTTCCCTATTGCTTGTTTTTGTCAGGTTTGTCGAAGATCAGATGGTTGTAGATATGTGGTGTTATTTTTGAGGTCTCTGTTAGTTCTTCTTTTCCTTACTAGTTAACAGTATCACAGCTTAACAACCTTACTTATGGCATGATGTAACATGGTTTTCTCATGTCAGAAACTGCTAGACAGTAATAGAACCCAGGCTAATAGCTGATTGGGACTTCAGACTTTTCTTCAATTGCAACAAATTAACAGGAAAAACACTCACACACACACACACACACAAAACAGATTTAACAGAAGTTCACACAGAGCAGTTCTAACAAATATTGGATTTTTGTTAGCCAAATTACAATTATTCTCTCAACAAGCTAACAACCATTTGAGGAAACTGATTAATTTATCAAATGAGGATGAAAAATAATTTTTAAATGCCTTCTTCAAGGTCATGTTAATTGCTCAATTCAGCATAGTTTCTAAACCATCTCTTGATTTTACATAGTAAAATTGATAGAGGAAAATATGATAATTAGAATTCACAGTTAATCTCTAAACTTCCATTTTCTTTGTAAAACTCATTTTCTTTGTAAATCGCTGGCTGAAGATATTACTCACTAGAATTCTGTTTTCCATGCCTGTATCCAGAAGCACTTGGTAGCCAATCCACCAGGGTGATCAAAGCCATCCAGTAGGTTAATCTTAGCATTGCTCCTGGTTACACAGCCTTCAAGCCAGGCTCTAGCCATCCTGGATTTTTCTGAATATGGGGATGGCCACAGGGGTATCCCACTTGGATCTTTCAAAGAACTTGCTGTAATGAGTGGAGTCAGGCTACAGCTTCCAGATACAATGCTTTTGAGGTCTGCTGGAGGCTTAGAGCTGGGAACATCCTATTCCCACGTGGCCTCCAGTCAATAACTGGAGGTCATTTCCAACCAGAATGGGACTCCTCAATGAGAAATCTTTGTGCTGGATCTCCTTGATGGGCTGGCCAGGACTTCCTCAGAATTATACTGCAGTCTGAGGCTATTTCTACCTTGTCTTCCTCCTTCCTACTCTCCTTTTATAGGCTTTCCTTGCCTACTCCTGCTCCCTTTTCTGTTATCTTTCACAGGCACTATCCCCAATAAACAGCTGGAATTCCTAAGTCCACCTTGGCATCCACTTCCTGGGTGACCCAAGCTAACACAGTGAGTTAACTGACACTCTTTAATAAATAACTTTTTTGCATCATTTATCATAATTGAACACAGTCTAAATAAACATCCTGTCTGAATTAGCAACTTTGCCCCTTCCCTTCTCCACAGCTTCTTTTGAATGGGTGAGTCTCAGCAGCCATATTCATACCAAGTGTCCTTGGACCAGGTGTAGACACTTGATTAAAGCTGAGTTAATCATGGATCTTTCTCAAGAATTTAAATGAAGAGACACTGAAACAACGGTTATTTGGTATTGAGAACCAGAGCTGTATGTTTATGTTTAGGACTGAGGCCAGAATGCGTACCATGGTAATATCAAACCCCATATAACATGTAACTCTGAAGAAACAGAAATTAAAGATCAGTGGTTGCCTGGGGGCTGGAGGAGAGAGTGATGAATAGGCAGAGCACAGAGTTTTTAGGGCAGCAAAAATACTCCGTATGATACTGTAGAAAGGAAGCTAGTCTGCTGCAGATATGGAAAAAAGAGCAAAGATGAAAATGATAGCATCACCACTTTGGAAGGCAGTTTGGCAGTTTATTACCAAACGAGACATACTCATCATACAAGCCAGCAATCATGCTCTTTGATATTTATCCAAAGGAACTGAAAACTTACATCTATACAAACACCTTCACATCAATGTTTATGATGGCTTTATTCATCATTGCCAAAACTTGGAAGCAACCAATACATCCTTCAGTAGGTGAGTGGAAACTAAACTGTGGTACATCCAGACAACAGATTATTCAGCACTAAAAAGAAATGAGCTATTAGGTTATGAAAAGGCATGGTGGAAATGTAAATGCATATTACTAAGTGAAAGAAGCCAATCTGAAAATTCTACCTACCATATGAATCCAGTTATGAGACATTCTGGAAAAGGTAAAACTATAAAGATAATAAAAAGATCAGTAGTTGCTGAGGAAGGGGTAGTGGGGAGGGAGGAATGAATATGTAGCACAGAAGTTTTTAGGGCTGTGAAAATTTTCTGTATGATACTTTAATGGTAGATACATGTCATTATATATTCACCCAAACCCATAGAATGTACAGCACCAAGAGTGAACCCTAATGTAAACTATGGACTCTGGGTCATAATGAAGTGTCAATGCAGGTTCATCAATTGTAACAAATGTTCTACTCTGGTGGGGGATGTTGATAATGAAAAGTATGCATGAGTTGTGGAAGGGGATATATGGGAAATCTCTGTGCTGCTTTCCCCAATTTTGCTGTGAACCAAAATGGCACTAAAACATTCTTTAAAACAACAGCAGCAACAACAGCAACACAAAGAAAATGGCTGCTTGATGACCAAAGCCATCATCCCTTGGTCCTACATCCCCCAAAGTCTGGCTGCACCCCTGGATGCTGGGCTCTATGAGGTCCCTCTGTGCTCTTACATTAAATTTCTAATATTAAAGCTAGCTTGAGCCATAAAACAGTTCCCAAGACAACTGCTCAAAAGCAGGATTTTCTGCATATTCATCTCAGACTTGAGTCCAGCCAGTTCCTTTCCTGATACTGAGAGGTGAAGCCACCTGAGCTTCTGGGTCCGGTGGGGACTTGGAGAACTTTTGTGTCTAGCTAAAAGATTGTAAATGCACCAATAAGCACTCTGTGTCTAGCGAAAGTATTGTAAATGCACCAATCAGCACTCTGTAAAAACGCACCAATCAGAACTCTGTAAAATGGAGCAATCAGCACTCTGTAAAATGGACCAATCAGCAGGATGTGGGCGGGGCCAAATAAGGGAATAAAAGCTGGCCACCCCAGCCAGCAGCGGCAACCTGCTCAGGTCCCCTTCCATGCTGTGGAAGCTTTCTTCTTTTGCTGTTCACAATAAATCTTGCTGCTGCTCACTCTTTGGGTCCACACTACCTTTATGAGCTGTAACACTCACTGGAAGGGTCTGTGGCTTCACTCCTGAAGTTAGCGAGACCACGAACCCACCGGGAGGAGGGAAGAACAAACAACTCCAGATGTGCCACCTTTAAGAGCTGTAATACTCACTGCGAAAGTCTGTGGCTTCACTCCTTAAGTCAGCAAGACCACAAACCGAAGGAAGAAACTCTGGACACATCCGAACACCTGAAGGAACAAACTCTGGACACACCATCTTTAAGAGCTGTAACACTCACCGTAGGGGTCTGCGGCTTCATTCTTGAAGTCAGCGAGACCAAGAACCCACCGGAAGGAATAAATTCTGGACACAATACCATTAAAAAAGATTGACAGTGACTATAAAATTGCTGTCTTTTTGTTCTTAACCATTTGCCTGTATCATATAGGGTAACATACAGCAACTGGGATAAAGGGGCTTGAAGAGCATAAAGCTAATACTTTTTTTCTTTGCATTTTATTTCTAGTCCATGTTCTTGCAAACCACAAAAATCCAAGGTACTTTAACATCTACTTTTCTAAAATATACAATGCAAGTGGACCAGGTCAACTACACATTCCAATTTAATTCAATAAATATTAACCAAGCACCTGTTACGTGACTAAGCAGTATGCTACTGCTTATCAAAATGATGACTATAAACATAACCCAATGCACAGAAGTTTAATAATATTATTCAGTAGAAAAGTCACATGCACATGAAATTTAAAAACACACACACAATATATATAAGGTGTCAAATTTAAGGCAATATTTAATGCAGTTAAGTGCTATGGCAGAGAATGTATTTGCTCTAGTTGGGTATCACTGATTACATTTTAGATCTTTATAAATAAACCAATTATTCTTTGAGTTTAAATAGTTTTGAATGTGTAAGAACTATCATCTCTCTTGGCCAGTGAACTCTTCCTAGGAAGGTTCTGTGCTTTATTTTGCAACCCCTGAGAACCAAAAAAGGGCGGAAGTTACTTGGTATACATGATAGATTGAGGCTTAGGACAATGAAACAGAAAAATGTTCCAGTGTTCTACAGGTCTTTCTTTTGCTCCTAGGGTATTTAAACTCTTGATTTTGTTATTTTCACATGCAGTGTGAACCAGATACTACAAGTATCAATATTAAAATGTATTTATGATTATATCAGGCCCAGTGAGGTGGCTCACACCTGTAATCCCGGAACTTTGGGGGGCTGAGGTGGGAGGAATGCCTGTACCCAGGAGTTCAAGACCAACCTAGGCAACACTGTAGACCTCTCTACACAAAATATTCCACTACAGGTGCCACATGCCTGTAGTCCCAGGTACTCAGCAGGCTGAGGCGGGAGGATTACATGAGGTTTGGGAGGTCAAGGCTACAGTGAGCTGTATTGTGCCACCTGACTCTAACCTGGGTGACAGAGTGAGACTGTGTCTCAAAAAACAAAAACAAAACAAAAGCAAAAAAAAAGAGAATATCAAATATTTTATTCTAATTGACATCTGAATTTATAAAAATCATTTTCAGTGATTCAGAATGAAAAAAAGTCAAGTCAAACAGAATATGTAAGTTAAAAGATTCAAAAGATTTACAGTGTATCTGAAATTATTCATTGTCCATTTATTTACAAGTGATTAAAATACATCCTTGACCAATAAGGTTTGAGACTTTAGAATATTAAGTGTTTAGTTATGACCTTGAAACAAATTGGTTTTTCAAAACACAGCAAATAAAAATATTTTAATAAAATGATTTGGCTACTATCCTTTTAAAAGCCACCCTAAGGGCAAACATTATTTATTTATTTAATGTAATTTTGCCAGGGATTTGCATTCCCTGGGAGGTTGTTCCAAATCCTTTAACTTTTACTCAGGTCCCCATCCTAATACCTTCTATCTTGCAATACCCAGCAGGTGAAATGAGCCTCTAATTATTTTACTGAACAAAAATTAGGAAACTCAACAAGCTTTCTCCAATACCTGCACCTTTGTCTTATCTAATAGCCTGTTTTTTGATCTCAGAAGAAGATAGGCCTCTTCTGTTTCTCATCCATTCTCCTCTCACCTCTAGGAGCCTGCTGTACCAACCATTCACTCTCTTCTGATGCCTTTCATTTTGCCTTCGAATATTGTATTCCATAAAACAAGTGAACAAATTAAACTTCATAAGACACTTTCCTTTAAGTTAATACTCTTTTAAACAGCTTACCTTCTCTTCTCTACCTTCCCACATTTTTGACATAAGCAGCTTGTCTCTTGAAGGCTTGCTTCTTTCAAGGCCCTTCTAACTCCGTGCCAACTGGATACAACCAAGGTGTTCCCTGCTGTTCTGAATATGGCAAGGTAGCTGTACCAATGCATGGGATGGCTGCTACTTTGAAAGCCTTCTGACGGCGTTGCCACTTCTGAGACCTGTGACCCCCAGACACCACTCCTCAATTTGCCTTGCTGCTCTGCTGACTCTTCCAAAGGGCTCCTCACTGTTCTCTCCAAGTTCAGCCCCTCTTCATTCTGATGATCCCAGCACAGTCATGGCCCTAAAGCCCAACTAGGATTGGGTTCCTTCATTGCCTAGAAGCCTTTATGCCTCTCTTGTGCCTGCTGCTAAGCTAAAACTTCTCTAGCCAGCCACTTGGGTTATTCACACAATGGCTGTCATCCCTCTGCAACCCCTTTCGACACCCTGCAATCAAGTCAGCCTCAACTCTTTTCCACCCATTTCTTTGGACTTTCCAATCTCCTTGTCTAGAATCTTTCCTTACCTTCAGGAGAGGCCAATCAGAATCTACCAGAACTTGAAAGACCAAATCATCGCTACTGGTTTGCTAGCCCAGAGGTTTTGCCTGAAGCTCCAGAAGCTTCTGACAAATGGATATCAGGGCATTTATCCTGGCCTTGGATTCTCTTCCTTCACCAGGCTGTAGGTTCTTTGAAGGAGGTGGCTAGGGAAGCTGATGTAGAAGAATGAACAGAGTCAGACGGACTTAGATTTGAGTCCCGCTCTTACCGTCTCTGTGGCCACAGGCAGGTTACTTACTGTTTTTAATCATCTGTTTCCCCAAATGGAAGAGTGAACTAACAACATGTCATAGAACTGTGCTGAAAATTCCATGATATAGGAAATAAACATCTGGCATCCAAACATATTTATAAATTTTTGTTTTTTTTGAGATGGAGTCTTGCTCTGTCACCCAGGTTGGAGTGCAGTGGCCCGATCTTAGCTTTCACTGCAAACTCCGCCTCCCAAGTTCAAACAATCTGACTGTCTCAGCCTCCCGAGTAGCTAGGACTACAGGCATGCACCAACGTGCCTGGCTAGTGTTTGAGTTTTTAGTAGAGATGGGGTTTCACCATGTTGCCCAGGCTGGTCTCGAACTCCTGACCTCTGCCTGCCTTGGCGAAAGTGCTGGGATTACAGTCGTTAGCCACTGTGCCTGTCCATGGTTTGTTTTTGTTTTTTTGTTTTTTTTTTTCCTATATAGTTCAGATTACTCAATTTAGGTTGGAGCTGCCTATGGTAACAAAGCATCCTTTTTTCTTTTTTTACTTTTTTTCTTTTGCGGAACAGGCTATATAGAATATAAATGCAAACACTTGAAAATTTCACGTTTATTCTTATTTCTCTCTAGGGAAGCAAAAAAAGAACTGTTAACACTAATTATTCTTCCTTGAAATAAAGATGGAAGGAGGGAAGGAAAAAGGGAGACAGAACAGAAGAAAGGGGAGAAGGATTTTGGTGGGGAGGAGGGAGAGAGCTATTTAATGTTTTTATATGAGAGAAATGGAATGTTATTCAACTGGAAACAGAGAAGTGCTTCCAAAACACTGAATTTATACAGACCAATTCCTCCAGATTTCAAAAATATTACCAACACAGGTCAGCCTGCAAATCAAATACGTGTTTTTCATTTGTTCCCCAATTCTACCCCTCCAGCTTTCCGAAGTAACCTGCATGTAAATGACTGTAGATGAGCCTTAAGCAGCTGCTTGTCTATTTTCTTAACATGGCTTGGCCAGGAGTTGTGAACATTGGCTTGGAAGACCTGGTTTAGCAGTGACCGTCAAAACACCTCACAACTTTGCACTGGGCATACACTTTGCTGAGTAGGGCAGTAAGCAAAATTGGGCTTTGGCTCACTGCAGAAAAAAAGTTATCCTAAATATCTACAGTAAAAGGAAGTGGGGAGGTTCTGTTCTCATCAAGTAAGTGAAGTTCGCTAAAATGTATCATTTGCTAAGCCTCTCACAATGAAAATAGCAACTATAAATGTGAGAAAAATATCCTAGGTCCTATCTTCTACAGGTTACTGAATCAGTTCCCTTTTGAGGATACTGAAGACATTCCCCGAAAGAAACCTGTATTATTTTTAATCTGCTGTAGAACTTGGCTTTGCATCAGTCATCCCAACAAATTCTAAGAACTTCAAAATGCATTAATCCTTAGTGAACTGGATCTGTGTAACATACTCATTCTGAGTGTTTTGGCAAAGTAGCCCTATGTCACTCGCTTAATTGGTGGCAGGTTATTTTCCAGCTGTCAAATAATCTTTTCCTATTTAGGAGTCAAAAGTAAAAACATTCACTCATAAAGGAATTGAATAACTTGGAACATGAACAACATAAGTATTTATTTGAAAAACATTTTCCATTTAAGTAAAATGGCAAATTAGCTAGAGTAGCTTCTTACTGCTAATTCTATTTGCACTCACAGTCACTTTTATTCATCATATTCAAAGATATTGCTACCAAAAATGATTTCACAAAGTATTTAGAAAAAATATATACAGTCTCTCTAATAGAAAGTTAATTAAAACAACAAAGCTAGGCAATATCAAGCTAAGAAAGGAAACCAATTGACATATATAAACACAAATAAATAAATATGTACAAAAGAATCTATGCCAACAACAGACAAAGAAAATCTTTACAATGCAAGTGAATGGTGACAAGAATGGAAAATCTCTCAGGATCCTAGACTATGACTCTAACACAATGTAGTTTAAAAAGAGGGAAAAAGAAAAGAAAACATAATGAAAAGAGAGTCTGAATTGATGCTATTCTCAAAGGTAAGCTGAACTAAATTTAGGCTCCCCAGCTAAATTCCTGACCTCTGTTCTGATGGGGGACTAAATGGAGGTGAGAACTGCATGCTTAGAACTGACAACAGAATTTGGCTCAATCTTTCAAATCCATTTACAAATGTTTCCCTTGAGCAATTTCTTAATTTTTTTCTCATCTGGTTATTGAAAATTTCTAAAGTGGAGCTGACATTGTCAAATATGAAAAAAATATTTTTCTGGAGCCATACGAATATGAGTAGAAATCAAAAGCAAAGCCATTTTTGAAGCTATATCTTAATTACTATTGACTAAGCACTTTGGGCAGAAATCTGACTAGTTAGAAAGCTAACTAATTAAAATCTACTATGAATGTCTAAGGTTTTGGGGGAAATGTATATGAATATTCAGTGACTAAGATTCATTTTCATCCATATGTAACCTCCGCCAAAATAAGCAGCCTGTTAATATATGCCTATTGAAAAGGATTTGGCTCAGTGACCTTAGATTTACTATCTTACTTAGAATCTCAGTGACCTTATATTTACTATTCTTTTTTACTGAATACAACCCTCCCCCGTGAAAGCCAAGCTGGGTAATGCTCTTGTCTCCCAGGATGGTGTTGCAGGATGTTGCAAAATGGAACAGTAATAAAAAACCCACTACCTCATTATCTCATCATCTGCTGGAGCCAGGCAAATAGCTTCCTGATTGAAGCTCAGCAAAAGGTGAGAGGTCCCTTGGGTTGCTGTGTAGCCTAAAAGCTCTCCCATATCTCAGACTGCAAACTACCTGTTTTTCGTGCAGAGAGAAAGGCCTCTAGGTTCCAGGTTCTGGACTTTGCCTTTAAGCAGATTGGCTTTGCCAGAATGTCTCCTTTTCTTATCACTTAATGCTGTTGCCTCCCAGAACCTGATACTTCCCAGATAACCCAGAGCAAATGTGAAAAAGCACAGCATGCACTGAGACCGATTTCTAAGAAACTGCATGGACTCCATCATCTAAGAACAATTACAATGTGGTCTCCTATACATTCATTAGCAAGCAAGCATTACTCAGAATAGTCTGAGAGTTAGGTAAGCTGCATAATAGTATGCAAGGTTTGTATGCAGCAGCCTGATCCATAAATAATACACCATCTATCTTGCCAGACCTCCTCAGGCTCTTATATACTATAACCAGAGGACTGACACACAAGTAGTTTTTAGACTAGCTATTGCAGACCCAGCTCTTCATAAATTATTTTGATTATTATGACTCACCCATATGTCTCACTTCATATTCCTTGGAACAAAACTCTCAATGGGGAAATACGAGGCTTTTATTTGTGCTTTAGGAAATGTCTTAAAGTCTCCAAAGCAAGGACAGAACCAGAGAGTCTTAATTGTGTGTCTCCTAAAAGGAAAATTCCACTGCATACAGCTTGCCTAATGGAAATTCTCCTTCCTCCCACAAGCCTATGGGCTTAATATACAGTAGAGGGGCAAAAGTAGAGGTGTAAGAGATTCATTCTTAAACAACTCCTGGGAGGTCCAGAATGATGGAACATCAACACTAAACTTAACTCGAATGTATGGGATTAAATTATACTTAATGCTTTGGCCCTATGCCTTGAATAGAATAAGTAAAATATTAGAAATTTATATAGCCTCATTTAACTAGGTCAACATTTTGGGAAAGTTTTCTTAAGCATGTTATGGTTCTGAAGGTGTAATATTTAAAATAATAAAAAATCCTTTTTAATCTTTGGGTCAAGGAGTAAACAGTCTTTTCTGCCTGTGGTTGAAATGTCATTGAAAATGAGAATATGGTACTGCATTCACAGAAAGTAACACTGGAATGGGATTTGTGGGCATTCAAAATAGTTACATTTTTTATTGTTGAGAAAGAAGATGCAGAAAATGGGTATATCCAGATATAACGATTAGGTGGAGTAAAATGAGCTCTATCTAGGGTCTTCCTCAGCATTGCTTCTCCCTTGTCTCTAATTTGAATGTCTCCCCTGCATTATGATTACTCTGATTCAATTATATATTTTACAAATCATAGCTTCTGTGGCTACTGAGTCATGTTACTCTCAGTACTGAAGTTTTAGTGATGACAACTCTTCCATGGAAGAAATATATTAAAAAGAAAAATTCTGAATTTCACAAAAGCCTTCTTAACAAAATACATTCCTTATATATATGCAGTTACCTAGGTAATAGCACATTTACATCACTAGTTGCAGTTTACACTGCTTGCAAATCTTCACATTTCTGCAGATTGATTTCTTTTTCTTAAAGACATTAAAACTTTGTGCTGTGGCTGAAGGTGTCTGACATGATAATATTTTTATAGAAGTTGTCTGAATGAGCATTGCAATAACCCTTGACCTTATCAATGACCTGATGGACAGGGATGATTGATGTTTGATCTCCATCAGCATGGGCCAGTTTTGACAAGGACTTGTCCATGGAAGCACTGTCTGCAAGAAATGATACAAGAAATTAGGTTCAAGATGAGCTGGTGGCATGCCTACAGGCCACCATATTGTATACTCCGTTTTGCACATTAAAGAAGAACAAAAGAAAATAAAGCTCCGATTCTTTCTTATATTAGGTAATAGGCAACACTAAACTTCCATGTTTTTCTTCTTCTAAGTATACTCCTGATAGTCACTGAGTGTCAACTTCCCTTCTAGTAATTTGTACTGTGGCTTACCATACGAAATATTCTTGAATGTAGCAGAGCCAATGAAAAAATAATTGGAAAACCACTTCAAAAAAACATGCACTATGGCTTGAAAGATGTACAAAATTATAAGGAATTAGAATGTGCTGAAATATTTGTGGAAGAAATTATATCTAAGATATGTTTTCAAATAATATAGGAAGGGAAAAATGGGTAGGGGTGTATAACTGGCTATAAATTGATGGTTACAAGGGGCTTTATAATAGTATCCTCTCTATTTTTTATATAGGTTTGACACTTTTCATAACAAAAAATTTTATAAAATTAAATTTAAAGGATTTTGGAGAATACAAGCAAATGAAAATAAATATGAAATGCTACTTTGAACGTATTTTCCCAAGGTTTTTAGCTGGATAAACAACTGGAAAATAGCAAAAAGGGTACTTCTTGTGAATTATTTTTTTAATTGTAGCAATCAAAGTTATTACCAGAAATATTTTAATAGAAAATGATTTATTTATATTAATTATCTTGTAGTTTCTGAATGATGTTATTGCTAACAGCACTAATATTATAGCAACTGATAGTAATAAAGGACTGCTAAATAATTTTTTCTAAAATTTTCAGTATCATATATTTAAATGTTATTTCCCTATACACAAAAGCTTTCTAAAATTGGCTCAGATAGTGTTCTGAAACCCACTTATGCTCTATTATCTATAAAGACGTATGGTTGTCTTCATGTATCCTACAAATATCTTTTAAGCACTTCCCTCTCCAAATACACTTTAGGAAAAAATTCTACCCTCAAATTAACCAAATTATAGAAATTTTACACTGATAAAGAAGATATGAACTTTTATAAAGTATTCAGTTTCCTATGTACCTTCTCCATACATTGTGGAAGAGGCAAAAACTCTATCCTGAAAAATTTTTAGAAATCATGGCTCTAAAATTGGAATCTTCACTCCAATGCTTTTTACATTTTGAGTATGCTGGACTCAGTATGTGACAAAACATTTAAAATCCATCAATAATTGGTAAAAGCCATCATCATCATGATATCTGTTGTCTTTGGAAACTATTCAAATTGCTCAACTATTATCTTGTGTTGAAGCCGACACTAAATACAATGAGGGCTAAAAAGGGAAATGGGATACTCAACCCACACTAAAGGATGCTAGAGAGAAGAATAGATGGTTCATGGAGAGAACGAGCAAACTGAAGCATGGTGGAACAACTGAAGCATTTTCCAATGTCGGCAAGGAAAAGGCTCAAGGAGTCATGACAAAAGGCCCCTCCCCATTAGGCTCTCAGCAAGCTGATTGATTCTGAGCTTCCTTTCAGTTCATATATTCACTAGCCATTGGTTTTCTGGTGGGGATTTTTCTATTGACTTATATATTAATAATGAATAATTAGTGCTTGGTGTTTTTAGAAAACCACATATCCTCAGAGAGATATCAAGGATATAGTCACTCTGTTTCCTTTGTAACTTCCAGTGGCATGTACTTTTAGAGATTTTGAAAAGCTTCATTTCAACAATGTGATCCAATTTAGTGGGTCTTTGCAGTTTAACAAAGCAAAATTCTGAATGAGGGCTGTATTTTTATATATGCTATTCCCAGTCTTCTGGTTAGATATTACATTATGGGTAATAAAGACTTTGATTATAGTTGCAAGTCTGAAAACCAGGGGCTAGGGATATGAACTATTATTTGACCTATGCTGAAATTTCAAGCAGATAACAATTCTCACAAAGCAGGCTTGGAATTCACAATTTCACTTACATGACTTCTATGAATGTACCATGACATACCCAGAAATCCACATGAGCAGTGGAAAAATAAAGCATTTCATGTCCTTCTACAACAAATCTTTTCTCAAGTACTGCTTTCTGTCATTATTTTACATAATATGTGCTCCACTCACTCCAGACCATGGTACATTTCCTAGAAGGAGCCGCTTGCAGATACCCCATGCAGAGAAGAGCCAGCACAGCACACACTATCATTCAAAACTTCAGAAATTCCAGCTCAATGCAGGAATGTCATTGTGCTAGCTGAAAAGAACAAGCCATTTTGCCGATGCAGCAAGAATCTTAGCTTAATCCATGCACATATTCTCTTATTACCTTGCAAAAAATTCATGCATTCAAAAAAGTAACGAAAGTTTACCTGAGTGATCCACTTTTGTTGAAGGAATGCTCATAGGAGACATTATCTATACCATAAACATATGAATATCTAGATCAATTCCAAGAAATGAACCAGCTAGATATCCATGATGATATGCAGTGACGTTTTGCATACCTTGAGTGATCCCAGGATGCTAACTGTTCCACTGAGAACTGTCTGGGTAGCCAAAGCCTATGTGAAGTCAGTTGACTGTAAACCAGGATTTATTATAACATTGAAGTAATGCCATATAACTAACTATATTCTCATCCTAGTTGACAAGAACCCATTTAGCCCCAAGGGTTTTTTGTTAAGGGAAACAAGAACATTAATGCATTCTTTAAAAAACAAAACAAAAGGCTAAGTGTGGTGGCTCACGTCTGTAATCCCAGGACTCTGGGAGGCTGAGGCAGGAAAATTCCTTGAGCCCAGGAGTTTGAGACTAGCCTGGGTAAGATGATGAGACCTCATCTCTACAAAAATACAAAAATTAGACAAGTGTGGTGGTGCACACCTGTAGTCCCAGCTACTCGGGAGGCTGAGGTAGGAGGATTGCTTGAACCCAGGAGGTAGAGGCTGCAGTAAGCCTCTACCGTGAGTGTGCCCTTGCACTCCAGCCTGGTAAACAGAGCGAGACCCTGTGTCAAAATAAATAAATAAATAAAATAAAATAATAGATGAAATAAAACAAAATGAAGAACAGACAATATTTTAAAATAGTAAAGTCTGCCTTTGGACCTCCATCTCTGCATTTCCTCTTTTATCTTCTAGTCCGTTTTCCCCCGAATCCTATAGCCCTTTCTATCCTTAATATTTCCAAAATGCCTCATGTTCCAAATTAACTGCCTTGTTATCTTCTTTCCTCTTTTAAGAGTGGCATTTCTTCAGGCCAGCTATTTTCAGCTGTTTAAGAGGAAAGCAATTCATTTGGTTTAATTCCTATTCATTAATAACTGATAAGGCATTAAGTATTTGTATTTTAGAAGGGGAGGCAAAATGAGTATCAAATTTTAAGTTTGGTTAAATAAAGTGAAAAAAATAATTCATTATAAGCAAAAATATTTTGTGCCACGGAACCACCAAATAAGTAGAATAATCTATCTTAGGCTATACCCCTGTTATCAATTTATTTACACAGGTATTCTTAAGCAGAGGTGCACAGACTTCTCTAATTTTATGCAAAATTGTGAAAATGATTCAAAGTCTGTACCTTTTTTTTCTGGAAGAGAATCAACAGCCTTCATTCAATTCCCCCCAAAATGTCCTAGACTTCAAGAAGCTTTAAGAACTGCTGTTCTAAGTTGCTCCAAGTTCTTGGATTTTTAATTAATTTTGGAATTAAAGAACTGTCTAAACACTCAAAACTTTTTCCATAGCACTATCATGAATCCCAGGCAGTGGCCACCCCAGTGGCAAGACATAGAAAACGGTGCAAACAGGGCATGTATATGGATTCAAATGTACACCAGGGTTATCTGTAATTCAAGTATTTGCAATATGAATAATTACAGACACATCACACACCTTACTCCCTATTTGCAAAAAGCCAAGTATTAATCTTCTTTGTGCCATTCACCTCTGCTCATGTTTAATAGCTAAACAAATTAAAAATTTAAAAGTTATTTCCATTATCCTTTTAGAATTATCTTTAATTAGGAAAGTGCTCTGTTTTAAATGTTGACAGCTGTCTGCCAGGGGTTTAATTTAAAAGTAGCAATTCTATTATTTCCCTTTGAAAACATGAAAAAGTTACACATTTTCACATCATTCACTATCAAGTGCTGCAAAATATTACTATTTTTTTGAGATGGGGTCTTGCTATGTTGCCCAGGCTGTGGTACAGTTGCTCAATCATTTCTCACTGCAGCCTGAACTCCAGGGCACAAGCAATCCCACCATCTCAGCCTCCAGAGCAGCTGGGACTCCAGGCATGTGTCATAGCACCTGGCTTAAAATATTCTTTATTTCCATGGTGTCGTCAGGATTTTTCACATACATGTTCAGTGTCAGAATGTGCAGCAATTGTAAATATCATGAAAAAACAGGATATTATGAAAGACAGTGTTTCTTATAGCCCTGTGTCACTTTCTAAATATTATGTTCTTTCATATATAATCAGTGATTTAAAGGGCAGTCATCAATAACATTTGCAATGGTTAAGGAATTAAGTCTTAAATAAAATGTACATCCTAGATATTGTTTCTTCCTGTTCCCAAGACAACTTGTCCAGTAATTATCATACTATGCTGAAATAATCTGTAATTCAATTTTTAATTTTAAAAATATATAACTTTTTAAACAAAATACCATAATTGTTAAAGATAACCAAGTTTTTGAATCAAATGATGAAGTAACAATAATATACAGAGTGAATTATTATGGTTATATAGCTAGAGTTTGGGTTACAAAATTTTTAAAAGGACAAAATATTCATAAAGGTGTTGGATAACGTCTTCAAACGGATTTTTATTTTCATAAATCTAAAAGATGCACCCTCTTAGGCACTGTGATTTATCAATCTTCATGATATGCCAATTTTTGCAATGAAAATGTGATGAGAACTAAACTTGAGGACATCTTTAGACTCACCTGTGTGGCTATTCCTTTTGAAATAGGTGGTAGAGCTGGATTTAGATTTGGATGTAAGATAGGTTGAGTTGGAACCAATGGAGCTTGAAGACAAAGATTTTCCTAGATTATCAGAACTTTTCTTGATGATATTGGTAGCTGTCTTACTCCAATCTGAAAAAAAAAATGACATCACCCTATCAATCTGCTTTACCGGGAATATGAACTGCTCTGAAAAAATCATCACTGCATTATTTATCTGGAGCATCTGATTTTCTGATATGCTGGCAATGGCTCAGAGAAGAGACTGACATGTAAACAATAAGAGGATATTGATAATTTCTTACTTTGACCTTGTATACGTACTATTTAAAATCTCACTTTCAATATCCCAAAGATGAGAAGTAACCACTGACAGTAAAAAGAAAAACAAAGAAAGATAAAGAAAAGAAAAAAGACAAAGTAGGTTTTTTCAGTTTTTTTTTTTTTTTTAATACTGAGAAAAATCTCTTTGCTTAATAATGTAATTGCGGATCTAGAAAATGTGGAAAGGTGAGTCTGGTATAGTGGAACCTCTGGGTATACGGGTTATTAAATTAGACATCAAACCTCAGGCAACTCATTTAACTTGTATGGAATTCATGCTTCTCCTCTGCAGAATAGAAGGGTTGGGCTCAAAGTTCTCTGATCTCTTCCAGCCCTGATATTCTATGATTCCAACTACGCATCTTCACATGCTCCACTTCAATAGCTTGCTACCACTGGGACTGGGTTGCTCTGACAATGAAAGACTGAATGACAAACTTTCCCATCTACTTGTAGATGTAAAATTTAATCAACAACTCTTTACCTGAGTTATCTGCTAACCGAAATCTACCACAGCAGAGATGCTGCCGCCACTGTTTCTGAACATTCTCCTTCATAGCACAGTGGAAGATGAATATAAATAAGCCTGTGACAAAAGAAAATATAAATATTTAAGCCAACTGACACATCTTTAAAGAGAAATCTTATAAAATACATGGATTCATTTTAATTTTAAATTTTTTACATCAAAGGCACTAAGAAACAAAGATCTTAAGGAAATGAATCTTGCAGTATGTAGCAGACACTTTAATCCTTTAGAAGAGAACACAAAGGCTCTGATAAAACTAGAATAACCACAGGGATCTGATTCTGTCTTTGCCTGTTCTGTTCAGCATTCATTATGACTTAACCTAAAAGCCAAGCTGAAATAAGCAACATTCAATTCTAGAAGTATTTAGTATTTCCCATATATTTGTCCTAAAATTATGTTAAAACTTTCCATACATATTTTAACAAAAGAGAAAATGGAAAACACACATAAGCTCATCATCTGTTTCAATTTGTGTATTCTGAGCTATTTTACATATGTATATTATAGTTATATTCATAGTATATTAGCTTGGGCCATAGAAAAGTGGTCTTTTTGCAGGTGAAACGTGGCACCAAATCAGCAAAATCATGCGGCTCCACCTGGCCTACTTTAGCTTTTCAAGATTTTAACACAGAAATATTTCCATAATGAGAAACAGTCTTCATATTTATAGTCACTCCTTGTGCTTATCAAAATCTGTGTCATTTGTATCTTAGAAGCCAATCCCTTTTAACTTTTCAGGGCATTTGCTTCCGCATTTTAAACCTCTCCTTGAGGCATCATCGATCTTTCTCTTGATTCCTCTATACTTGGTTATGTCCATTAACTTACAAGCATACTGTTAAAACACTTTTTTTAAGAACAAACAAAAAATTCCTCCCTTAACCTCCAATTTTCTTCCAGCTTCAATCTCTTTATTCCTTTTCCCAATAAAACTTCTTGAAATGGTTAACTTTTGCTGCCTCCCCTTTTTCTCACACCTTATCTTCTCCACCCAGTCCAAGCAGATTGCTATCCACATCCATGACCCTACTATGACCACTCTTGTAAGAATGATGGCAACTCCAATATTGCTAAGTTTCCCATGACCACTTTACTAGACGTCTCGGCAGCACTCAACACAATCAAACAGCCCTTCATTCTCAAGGTCATTTTCTCCCAGTTTTCTTCCTAATTTGCTGGGGATTCCTTCTTGGTCTCTTTAGTAGATTCTTCTGCTTTACTCTAAAAAGGTTTACATGTCCATGACTTGGTCCCGGGTTTCCATCTCTTCTATGGTTACATTGCCACTTTGGGTACCAACACTTCTAAAATATAAGCACCACATACTGATTTTTATATTTGGTTCTGCCCCTTTCTCTCCCCTACCCCCCACCAGGATTCCAACACATATTGCTCAAAGGACATCTTCACTGGGCTGTATCTCCCCTTGGCAGCATCTCACATCCCAGATGTCCTGAACAGAAGTCCTTGCGATCATGACCCTCAAACACACACACATCCCTTTAATTCTCAATGTGTCCAGCTCATTCCAGCCCAATACCATGCTGAACGCTCTTCTCCCAAATCTTTCCATAACACGTTCCTACCTGTCATTCTGGTCTCAGACCAACTGTTAACTCCTCAGAGAGGCCCTCAGCAACCGTTATTTTATTTTATTTTTAATTTTAACCTTTAGTCACTCCCTTTCACATCTTTTTTTCACAGCACTCCTCAGTATCTAACATTCTTGTATTCCTCATTTATTCATTTATTCCTTTGCTTGATCGTCTCTTACTAGCAGATAATAAGCTCCAAGAGAACAGGGATATTTGTGTATTCAATGCTGTGCTGGCTGTTTCAAGAAATATGCAGGAACTTAATGAATGTTTATTGATGGAATGAATGGTAACCAAGATCAATCAATCATGTAGTCTACATGAGTTAATTGAATGCTTACATGTATACTCTAATGTGTTAAATGTGTTTGGAGACGTGGAGGTTAAAAATAGGACTGAGCGGTCAAATTAAGAGGTAATAGGAATGAAAAGAAAACATATTTAAGGAAAAAGTTTCTGAAAAGCATGCAAATAAGTTGCTGAGGTTGTGTCCCAGTAAAACATTAAGCAGTATATCTACATAAGGGAGGGCTTTTTAGGGGATCTAGCGCTTGAACTGAACCTTAAGTTCAGTAGGGAAGTGAGGGAAGTTTCCAGGAAGGGTAATTGATTCAGTGACAATTTATTAAGCGCTGCTAAGCAGGAGGCACTGTGTTTTAGGAGTTGGAGATTCAATGGTGAACCAGGTAGGCAATCCTTGTATTCATGGAACAAAGGGTCTAGTATGGAATGGCATAAATGTAAAACTTATGACAGTCCTTTTAAGGGATCATTAAAACTTATATGTTCCTTTTGAATATGGAGTATTCATCAAGAAAACTACATTGCAGCTTGTACAATGGAAAAAGTGGGAAAAAGTCTTAACAGTACTCTCTTTAGAGTACTGTTTGCATAAATTTGCAAAATAAGTCTAAGGTTATGCTTACATGTTTTATTTTTTAATACGAAGATTCAAAGCGGCCCTTAGTTTTCAGAATAAATTACATTATTAGCAAATGTTATTATAGAAAAGGAGCTTAATTTCTACATGATGGGTCCTGATCACAGTAAAATGACTAGGCTGATTCTCCTCTAGGTTTAGCTTGTTGTTTGGTGATTAGCAACTGAGCACAAGCCCTGATACTTAATAGGTGCTGTCTATAAATTCCTATTTAAATTACTGAAGAATCATTACATATTTTGACTTGCAGAAAAATGCCACTATGAAAGTACTGACTATATTTGGTCATTGATTTCAAGTAGATGACCAGCCCATAAAAAGTTCTTCAGGGCCGGACGCGGTGGCTTACACCTGCAATCCCAACACTTTGGGAGGCCAAGGCAGGTGGATCATGAGGTCAGGAGCTGACCAGCCTGGCCAACATAGTGAAACCCCATCTCTACTAAAAACACAAAAAATTAGCCGGATGTGGTGGTTGGCACCTGTAATCCTAGCTACTCAGGAGGCTGCAGCAGGAGAATTGCTTGAACTCGGGAGGCGGAGGTTGCAGTGAGCCGAGATCGTGCCATTCCACTCCATCCTGGGTGACAGTGCGAGACTCCGTCTCAAAAAAGAAAAAAAAATTCTGGGAAATTTAAATATGTTGATCTCTGAGAGGTATGAATAAGGCATGCAATGACCTAAGTAATAGTGCATTATATTTATTATTACTATTATGTTATTTGATATTAATATATGGTTATATATTTATATAAATAAAATATGATTTTATTTATTATATAATTTATTACTAATACTTTATTGGTAATGAAGTAATTTGTAAAGGAAATAAATCCTAATGATCTATTTCTTTGAAATGTTATATCAGATAGGGTAGAGAAGTTTTTTCTTTTTTAAGAGACAGATTCTTGCTCTGTTGCCCAGGCTGGATGAAGTACAGTGGTGCAACTGTAGCTCACTGTAGCCTTGAACTCCTGGGCTCAAGCAATCCTCCTGCCTCAGCTTCTTATGTTGCCTGGACAATAGGCATGTGCCACCACATCTAACTAATGTTTTGTAGAAGTGGGGGTCTCACTATGTTGCCCAAGCTGGTCTAGAACTCCTGGCCTCAAACGATTCTCCTGCCTCAGCCTCCCAAAGCACTGGGATTACAGGCATGAGCCATCGTGACTGGCTGGGAAGTTCTAATTTAACAAAAGAAAAGCATTAATAAATATCAATCAATTTCAATTATTTAGAAAGCAAACAAGCACCTCGTGAAGGTCCCTGTGCTCCAGGTTGGGGAGGAAGAGTTGGAGAGGGCACTGGCTGCACACTGTCCTGGCCTGTGTCAGGGCATTACAAATCTCAGAGTAAGGAAAGATTTTCTTCTATACTCAGAATCCCTCAGAGCAGGCTTTGCAGGCTGATCCTCCTTCCCAGGAAGTACGGAATAGATATCATTCGGTTAGGATTTCATCCTCACACTCTACATGACTAAATCTCATTGCTTTTTAAAGCCTTTCCATACCTACCACATTCCCTAATCAGGTTGCCAATACAGTCAATCCTTTCAATAAGCAAATACACTTTGTACCACCAGCACTTTGAATAAGCAAAAGTGTATAAATAATTCGAATTGGTTACTAGATTCTTTTAAGTTTTGAAGAGAGGGTGGCAGTTACAGAGTAGAGTGGACTGAAGGAAGCCTGAGGTAAGGTAAATAGAGGCTACAGATGACGGAGGCTGCAGCTCCAGAGAAGGAAGTCCACATTGTCTCAGCTTACTCTATGTTCCCTTAACGGGGTCAGAATTTCCAGAATTTGTTCTTGGAGGTATTTTTGTCACACAGCTAGAAATATAAGTAACTGTGTATTCTTAAACAATTGTTTAACAGAGTCACATTTTAGAGCTGGAGGGGAATATAAACTTCAACGAAGGTCTTTTGTTCCTAAGCATTAACCCAGGTATTATTCGTTAGAGGGCCTCACATTTAGCAAATGATTTTTAGTTCTGGGTAGAAAGAAAAATTGCTGAATGTTGCTTCCCTTAATACTCTATTATTCTTTTGTAACCTTAGTAGTCTTTCTGTATGCTATATATCCTGGAAAAAACATTCAGAGGTTGTGTCTGGTGTTTTGAGGACATCAGAAAAGAACGAGGTCACAGATTCAGTTTCTTAGCCTTGTTGGGGTAGTAAAATGTGAATTATTCTGAGAATCAAATGCTAAGCACAGCCAGAGAGGATAAAGTTAAAGATAAGACTGACTTAATAAAACAATTTTTTAGATTGTATAGTGCTGCCCTATATCATAATTATATAACATTAAATGACATTGCCTATTTTTAAGTAACCATTGTGGTCTGTAAATATACAGGCACTCAATAATTTTTGGAAACACTGGAGAGGAGAAGTCATTTAAATGTTCTACCTTCCACTATGAATTGTGACGCTATGGAACAAAATTACATAATAAGCGTAACAAATTAGAATTCTTAGGAATGAATATATTTTAAATTTTAAGGTATTGTATTTATAATATATATATGGTGAATCCTATAATCTTGAGATTCATTTCTATTTTAAATAAGAATAGGATTCTCATAACAGGTTATTTTACTATTTGTAGTCACTAGCCCTTTTCCCATGAATTTAAGTTAGTCTGGCAATAAATATTATACCAAAATTCCTCCAGGACAAAATAGCCCTTTCACAGTTCAGTAGTGGGCAGTGTGGCAGGCATCTGGATCTGTAACAGTGCACACAAGCAATATGGAAAGAAATTCTGAACACTTCAGGAAGGAGCAGTAGAAATGAAGCCAGAGAGCCAAGGGCACCTGGAGGCTACTGTGAGAAAACATGGCTATTACCTCTTAAATTCTGAGGTTGAGGGTTTTTTGTTTTTGTTTTTGTTTTTCCTCCATCTACTTATAGATCTCGGTGTCAGAAGCAGGACTAAAATCACAAACTTTAATAGAGTTCTGTGTTGACAACCAAGAAAATCTGTTTGATTTCTCATTCCAATTTCTGCTTCTTTCTTTTGTTTCGAGATGGAATCTGGCTCTGTCGCCCAGGCTGGAGTGCAATGGTGCGATCTTGGCTCACTGCAACCTCTGCCCCCTGGGTTCAAGCAATTCTCCTGCCTCAATCTGCTGAGTAGCTGGGATTACAGGCGCATGCCACCACCCCTGGCTAATTTTTGTATTTTTAATAGAGGCGGGGCTTCACCATATTTGCCAGGCTGGTCTCAAACTCCTGAGCTCGTGATCTGCTCACCTCAGCCTCCCAAAGTGCTGGGATTACATGCGTGAGCCACCGCACCTGGCCTCTTTCTATCATTTTTTTCCCTTTGCTAATCTTCATACCACCTAGGAAGAATATGCTGTTCTAGCTTTCTGGAAAGAGCATTAAGATGTGACTGGGACCAGGACAATCAGGTTTTATTCTTCATAGTACTTGAAGCTTTATTTAACATTGCCCATAAAAGGTAGAAATAAAATGGCCCAAAAGACTGAATGCAGAGTTAAAGCTTTTACATCATCCTGAAAAGCTAGTGCCAGTTTCAAGAAACCTTCATGTATCACAAAAGGGAGCTCATGATAGACCTTTTTTGGTGCATTTTAGCCTGGAAAACTACCACTCTGGAGAATCCAAGCCAAAATTCCTTAGAATTAAGTTTCTTCAGCTTGATAACTGCCTTGATTCTTTAAGAATCCATTCCATGCTAGAACAATAAGGAAAAAAACCTTCATGCTTGTTAAATGAGCAGATTCCTAATCAGCTCCCAAAACTTTCATCCCATCCTTAGTCCTGCCTTCATTTCACTTCCATCTTTCACTAATCAGAGATATATGCTTAGCTTTAAAAAAAAAAAACTGTAATTGTGAATTGAAAATGTTTTAATTCTCAGTAAAATTTGCAATTTCCTCATTTAAAATAAATAACATTTTAATTGTAATGGAGAAAGGGTGTTGCAAGTAACACACAAGTGCTGAAAGTGGGCCTACGGGGGTTGTTAGGACAGAAAATTTATCAAATGCCAACTTGTCTAATAC
Source organism: Homo sapiens (assembly GCF_000001405.40). Lineage (NCBI taxonomy): Eukaryota > Metazoa > Chordata > Mammalia > Primates > Hominidae > Homo > Homo sapiens. The sequence continues at coordinate 142,430,914 of NC_000006.12, read as the reverse complement.
TCCTAGAGAAAGACTCCTACGGGCCAAGGCTGGCTCAGCAAATATAGTGAAGGAAGATGGTGAATAAGCAGCCAAGAAGGTTTTCAAAACTTGGAGTGAGAAACATTCTGAAAAATCTCAAGTAGTGAATTTAACTTTTGATATCTAATCCTTTCATCTACCAGAGAACACAATCAAGTAGCATGTTTGAAAAATAATAATACACCTATTTCTAAGTATTGGCATTATATTTACTGTAGACTATATGGGGTTGTGTTTAACCTTGGTCTTGTTAGAGCTATTTAACTATTCGGGGGAAAAAGATACACTTAGATATTTAGGCTAGAAATTTGGCTCCCACATAGAACTCATTCCTTTTGCTTGTTTCAGGCTATGATCCATGGCTTTCTGGGGGCAAATGTAAAATCAGTAGCCAAAGGGATGTTCTCATATCTTTCTGGTTATCAAAAGTTAAAGAATTTCTAGAAAGAGTTTCCTTGGATACTACTATACAGTAAAATTCGAGGCAATGCATATTGTCATTTACTTGGTGCTCTAAAAAGTCCCTTTGAAGCATCTAGGTAGAGTGGGGGGAAACAGACAACCTTGGGTCCTCATCTCTTAGAGTTCTTCAACAACTAAAGGCCACTGACACTTTCAGCAGAATTATCATCAATAAACTGGATAAATATTCTAAGTTGACTTTTTCTTCCCTCGGATAATAAATATCCAGAAATACAATTAAAGGGAAGACTTGCAGATATAGATAACTTCAGGGATGTGAGATGGCATTAGAGTGGGTAGTAATGACTGGTGTTTTAATCAGGTCATGAGCATAACATACTCTGGCAGGTTTTTTGTTTTTGTTTTTCTTTTTTTTCCCCTGAGACAAGGTCTCACTCTCTCACCCAGGCTGGAGTGCAGTAACATGATTATAAATCACTGTAACCTTGAACTTCTGGGCTCAAGCAATCGTTTTGCCTCAGCCTCCTGAGTAACTAGGAATACAGCCACACCACTACACCTAATTTTTCTATTTTTATTTTTGTAAAGATGGGGTATCACCATGTTGCCCATGATGGTCTTGAACTCCTGGTCTCAAGAAACCCTCCTGCCTTGGCCTCCCAAAGCACTGGTATTATAGGCGTGAGCCACTACACCTGATCAGTTCTGGAGTTTTGGTGGGAAAAACTGGTCAAGAACTAGTTACAGCAGATATTTGAGAAGAAGTGGCCACACACTCTAGGTACCACTGATTTTTGACCAAATTAGTCTAGATGACCTCTGAGCATCCTTAGTAGCCTGTGTCCAAATCTTTAAACAGCTCCTGTTTTCAGTTGTCACACAGACACAGTCAGCTGGCTATGGGGCTGGGGATCTTCAAGGGTTTATGGCTCTCTCTGGAAACTTCTTAAATCCTCCTTTCATACTACCAAGGTGCCCTTTAGAAAATTATTTCTCTGTGGCACAAAATGCCCTGCCAAAGAGTGAGTAATTTATTTCCTTGCAGCTGTAATGTCTCAGCCAAGCTGATGTTTCACTTGTGAGGGACTGAATTGGTGGGTCATCTCTTTACCTTGGCACCAATTCAATATGTGTATTATACATGTAATTATGTAACAGCTCAACTTTCATGAGGCTCCTAACCTCAGCCTCCAGTGGCAAGGGACACTTCATTGATATTTGGCATATTTCACCTCATACTTTGACTTAATTTTCTTAGTTTACCAATACTATAATAATAATACGCATTTCTCTAAATTACTTAACACTGAATAAGGGTAAGAGATTAAACTATCCTCTACTCATTTAATGTATAGTTAGTAACAGCTCTTTTTTGAATGGAAGTAGAATATTCTCTGCTGCATAGCAATTTGTATACCACAAAATTTTCTGCTTGTATTCTTCAGAAAAAATTTAAAATTTCAATACAGTGATATGCCTGTTTTATCCTGGAAAACAGCAAAAATAGCAAAAGCAGATAGACATGTAATTCAACTATGTTAAGAGAAGGTACACTTATCTTTTAATTTTTGCAGGAAAAAAATCAACAAAATGTTTACTCTGTAACTTAAATTAAGTAGGTGATATGGTTTGGCTTTGTGTCCCCACCCAAATCTCATCTTGAATTGTAATCCCCATAATCCCCAAATGTCAACGGAGGGAACTGATGGGAGGTGACTGGATCATGGGGATGGTTCCCCCATGCTGTTCTTGTGATAGTGAGTGAGTTCTCATGAGATTTAATGCTTTTATAAATGTTTGGCAGTTCCTCCTTCACATGCTCTCTCTTGCCTGCCACCATGTAAGATGTGCCTGCTCCCCATGCTGCCATGATTGTAAGTTTCCCGAGGCCTCCCCAGCCATATGGAACTGTGAGTCAATTAAACCTCTTCCCTTTATAAATTACCCAGTCTCAAGGAAGTTCTATATAGCAGTGTGAAAACTAATACTGTTAGTAAAATTAAAAGACCAAAGCATTATCCTGTGGATAATTAGAAAATAATAAATTTGGTTTCAGCCTTGATTCAATTCATGATGTCATTTGCTTATTTAAGTAGGTAAAATTTTTATAATCAAACAGATAGTAACAATTTTCTGATACCCATTTAACATAATTTTTGGCAATTAAATTATACAGTTATAAGTGTACATAAAAATAAAAATACATGCTAGAAATAAAAATATAAAACATACAAATAAAAAATAAAAATAAAGCATATATAAAATTTTATAGATAGACTCTTCAAATTTATGTGAGTACCCATATAATTACACATGTATATGTGTTTATAAACACATACCCCTTCATACATTTCCAAAAATCCTGAAAGATTAAATGGAGTTTTTAACATGCTTGAGCCAAAGTTTTGAAGAAATAAACAAATGTGACAAGAAATCTATCAAAAGTCATTCCTTGGATGTATATGTCCTGATATGGTTTGGCTGTGTCCCCACCCAAATCTCATCTTGAATTGTAACTCCCACAATTCTCACACACCGTGAGAGGAACCTGGTAGGAGGTGATTGAATTATGGGTGCAGGTTTTTCCTGGGCTGTTCTCGTGATAGTGAATGAGTCTCACAAGACCTGATGATTTTAAAAATGGGAGTTTTTCTTTACAAGCTCTCTCTTTGCCTGCTGCCATCCACATAAGATGTCATTTCCTCCTTCTTGCCCTCCGCCCTGATTGTGAGGCTTCCCCAGTCACATGGAACTGTAAGTGCAATTAAACCTCTTTCTTTTATAAACGGCCCAGTTTTGGGTATGTGTTTATCCGTAGTGTGAAAACAGACTAATACAGTAAATTGGTACCAGAAGTATGGTGCTGCTGAAAAGATACCCAAATATGTGGAAGCAACTTGGGAACTGGGTAACAGACAGAGGTTGGAACAGTTTGGAGGGCTCAGAAGAAGACAGGAAAATGTAGGAAAGTTTGAAACTTCCTAGAGACTTACTTAATGGCTTTGATAAAAACGTTGATAGTGATATGGACAATAAGGTCAAGGCTGAGGTGGTCTCATGGAGATGAGGAACTTGTTGAGAACTGGGGCAAAGGTGACTCTTGTGTTTTAGCAAAGAGTCTGGCGGCATTTTGATCCCACCCTAGAGATTTGCGGAACTTTGAACTTGAGAGGGATGATTTAGGGTATCTGGTAGAAGAAATTTCTAAGCAACAAAACATTCAACAGATGACCTGAGTGCTGTTAAAATCATTCAGTTTCAAAAGGGAAACAGAGCATTAAAGTTTGGAAAATTTGCAGCCTGACAATGGTATATAAAAGATAATGCCATTTTCTGAGGTGAAATTTAAGCCAGCTGCAGAAATTTGCATACATAATGAGTAGCCAAATGTTAAACATCAAGACAATGGTGAAAATGTCTCCAGGTCATGTCAGAGATCTTTGCAGTAGCCCTTCCCATCACAGACCTGGAGGCCTAGGAGGAAAAAGTGGTTTCATGGGTCAGGCTCAGAGTCCCCATGCTTTGTACAGTCTAGGGACTTGGTGACCTGTGTCCCAGCTGATCCAGCTGCCACTAAGAGTCCAAGGTACAGCTCAGGCTGTTGCTTCAGAGGGTGGAAGCCCAAAGCCTTGGCAGCTTCCATATGGTGTTGAGCCTGTGGGTGCACAGAAGTCAAGAATTGAGGTTTGGGAACCTCCGCCTAGATTTCAGAAGATGAAATGCTTGGATGCCCAGACAAAAGTTTGCTGCAGGGGTGAGGCCCTCATGGAGAACCTCCGCTAGGGCAGTACAGAGGGAAATGTGTGGTCTGGGCCCCACACAGAGTCCCTACTGGGGTGCCATCTAGTGGAGCTGTGAGAAGAGGGCCACCATCTTCCAGATCCCAGAATGGTAGATCCACCAACAGCTTGCACTGTGTGCCTGGAAAAGTCACAGACACTCAATGTCAGCCTGTGAAAGCAGCTGTGAGGGAGGCTATACCCTGCAAAGCCACAAGGATGGAGCTGCCCAAGACCATGGGAACCCACCTCTTGCATCAGTGTGACCCAGATGTGAGATATGGAGTCGAAGGAGATGATTTTGGAATCTTAAGATTTGACTGCCCTGCTGGATTCTGGACTTGCACTGGGCCTGTAGCCCCTTTATTTTGGCCAATTTCTCCCATTGCAACAGCAGTATTTACTCAATGCCTGTACCCCCATTGTATCTAGGAAGTAATTAACTTGCTTTTGATTTTACAGGCTCACAGGTGGAAGGGACTTGCCTTGTCTCAGATGAGACGTAGGACTGTGGACTTTTGAGTTAATGCTGAAATGAGTTAAGACTTTGGGGGACTGTTGGGAAGGCATAATTGGTTTTGAAATGTGAGGACATGAGATCTGGGAGGGGCCAGGGGTTGAATAATATGGTTTGGCTGTGTTCCCACCCAAGTCTCATCTTGAATTGTAACTCCCACAATTCCCACACATCATGGGAGGAACCCAGTGGAAGGTGATTGAATTATGGGGGCAAGTCTTTCCTGGGCTGTTATCGTGATAGTAAATGAATCTCACAAGATCTAATGCGTTTAAAAATGGGAGTTTTTCTGCACAAACTCTCTCTTTGCCTACCGCCACCTACATAAGATTTGATTTGCTCCTCCTTGCTTCCCGCCATGATTGTGAGGCTTCCCCAGTCACGTGGAACTGTAAGTCCAATTAAAGCTCTTTGTTTTGTAAATTGCCCAGTCTCTGGTATATGTTTATCAGCAGTGTGAAAATGAACTAATACATGCCCTGATGCCACAGCAGACCCAGCTCAAACACATGCTCCCACACATCCCGCCTCCATAACATTACATGGTGACCCTGCTGACTTTAAGGTGCCTCCCTGCAAGCTAAATCTAAAAGGGACTAAAATATGTTTAGCACAGTTTTAGCTTTCAGGATGTTGCTCTGCATTCTAAAGCTTTAGCCATTGTTAAATATTGTAATGATAGGCATCCATTAACTATAATATTGTATTAACAAGAAGACTTCTTACTCGAATCATTCTAGAAAAGTAAGAGTTTAATGAGCAAATCAATGATGAGTATTTTGTAGCAGCATGCTTCCTAAATTTCCCTTGGTTCTGTGCACATCTCTCTAGCTCTCTCATCCCCACCACAGTCTAAAATACTGGACCAACTTTTCCCCAAACACTGAGAGTCTCCTCCTACCTGCTCGCCCTACAGACCCTACTGGGCAGCTCTAATCCATTCACCACATTAGGTACAGCTTTATCTTTACAAAGTGCACATCCAATCATGTCACTCCACCTTTCAAAGACTTCCTATTGTGTTTATAAAGATTGAAATACAGAGCCTTCTGGTCTAGTCCTTGCCTCTCTGTTGTGCCTCTCTGCTTTGTCACTATCCTGCACTTTTGTTGTTCTCAGGATATATGAGTTTTCTTTTAATACCTTGAATATACACTGTAATCATCAACTATAGCAAATTTTTTGCACATGAAATGCCCACTATCTCAAATATTATTCTTCCTACTCTTACTCCCATCTTTCATCTAGTTAATTCCTATCGATCCTCCTGATTTCAGCTTAGATATCATGTTTTTTTGTAACACATTCTCAACGTCACAAGGTAATTTCTATAGAGCAATATATTTAATTAACCTGTCTCCCCTACTAGAATATAAATTCCATGAGGCAGAGGGACCACATCATGATTTTTGCTGGAATGACAAATATAAAAAAGAGAAAAAATTATTCCAATCAATAGAAAAAGAGGGAATCCTCCCTAACTCATTTTATGAGGCCAGCATCATTCTGATACCAAAGCCGGGCAGAGACACAACCAAAAAAGAGAATTTTAGACCAATATCCTTGATGAACATTGATGCAAAAATCCTCAATAAAATACCGGCAAACCGAATCCAGCAGCACATCAAAAAGCTTATCCACCATGATCAAGTGGGCTTCATCCCTGGGATGCAAGGCTGGTTCAATATACGCAAATCAATAAATGTAATCCAGCATATAAACAGAGCCAAAGACAAAAACCACATGATTATCTCAATAGATGCAGAAAAAGCCTTTGAAAAAATTCAACAACCCTTCATGCTAAAAACTCTCAATAAATTAGGTATTGATGGGACGTATTTCAAAATAATAAGAGCTATCTATGACAAACCCACAGCCAATATCATACTGAATGGGCAAAAACTGGAAGCATTCCCTTTGAAAACTGGCACAAGACAGGGATGCCCTCTCTCACCACTCCTATTCAACATAGTGTTGGAAGTTCTGGCCAGGGAAATTAGGCAGGAGAAGGAAATAAAGGGTATTCAATTAGGAAAAGAGGAAGTCAAATTGTCCCTGTTTGCAGATGACATGATTGTATATCTAGAAAACCCCATTGTCTCAGCCCAAAATCTCCTTAAGCTGATAAGCAACTTCAGCAAAGTCTCAGGATACAAAATCAATGTACAAAAATCACAAGCATTCTTATACACCAACAACAGACAAACAGAGAGCCAAATCATGAGTGAACTCCCATTCACAATTGCTTCAAAGAGAATAAAATACCTAGGAATCCAACTTACAAGGGATGTGAAGGACCTCTTCAAGGAGAACTACAAACCACTGCTCAATGAAATCAAAGAGGATACAAACAAATGGAAGAACATTCCATGCTCATGGGTAGGAAGAATCAATATCGTGAAAATGGCCATACTGCCCAAGGTAATTTACAGATTCAATGCCATCCCCATCAAGCTACCAATGACTTTCTTCACAGAATTGGAAAAAACTACTTTAAAGTTCATATGGAACCAAAAAAGAGCCCGCATCGCCAAGTCAATCCTAAGCCAAAAGAACAAAGCTGGAGGCATCACACTACCTGACTTCAAACTATACTACAAGGCTACAGTAACCAAAACAGCATGGTACTGGTACCAAAACAGAGATCTAGATCAATGGAACAGAACAGAGCCCTCAGAAATAACGCCACATATCTACAACTATCTGATCTTTGACAAACCTGAGAAAAACAAGCAATGGGGAAAGGATTCCCTATTTAATTAATAAATGGTGCTGGGAAAATTGGCTAGCCATATGTAGAAAGCTGAAACTGGATCCCTTCCTTACACCTTATACAAAAATCAATTCAAGATGGATTAAAGATTTAAACGTTAGACCTAAAACCATAAAAACCCTAGAAGAAAACCTAGGCATTACCATTCAGGACATAGGCATGGGCAAGGACTTCATGTCCAAAACACCAAAAGCAATGGCAACAAAAGCCAAAATTGACAAATGGGATCTAATTAAACTAAAGAGCTTCTGCACAGCAAAAGAAACTACCATCAGAGTGAACAGGCAACCTACAAAATGGGAGAAAATTTTCGCAACCTACTCATCTGACAAAGGGCTAATATCCAGAATCTACAATGAACTCAAACACATTTACAAGAAAAAAACAAACAACCCCATCAAAAACTGGGCGAAGGACATGAACAGACACTTCTCAAAAGAAGACATTTATGCAGCCAAAGAACACATGAAAAAATGCTCATCATCACTGGCCATCAGAGAAATGCAAATCAAAACCACAATGAGATACCATCTCACACCAGTTAGAATGGCAATCATTAAAAAGTCAGGAAACAACAGGTGCTGGAGAGGATGTGGAGAAATAGGAACACTTTTACACTGTTGGTGGGACTGTAAACTAGTTCAACCACTGTGGAAGTCAGTGTGGCGATTCCTCAGGGATCTAGAACTAGAAATACCATTTGACCCAGCCATCCCATTACTGGGTATATACCCAAAGGACTATAAATCATGCTGCTATAAAGACACATGCACACGTATGTTTATTGTGGCATTATTCACAATAGCAAAGACTTGGAACCAACCCAAATGTCCAACAATGATAGACTGGATTAAGAAAATGTGGCACATATACACCATGGAGTACTATGCAGCCATAAAAAATGATGAGTTCGTGTCCTTTGTAGGGACATGGATGAAATTGGAAATCATCATTCTCAGTAAACTATCGCAAGAGCAAAAAACCAAACACCACATATTGTCACTCATAGGTGGGAATTGAACAATGAGATCACATGGACACAGGAAGGGGAATATCACACTCTGGGGACTGTGGTGGGGTGGGGGGAGCAGGGAGGGATAGCATTGGGAGATATACCTAATGCTAGATGACGAGTTTGTGGGTGCAGCACACCAGCATGGCATATGTATACATATGTAACTAACCTGCACAATGTGCACATGTACCCTAAAACTTAAAGTATAATAAAAAAAAAAAGAGAAAAAATTAGATATAATGTAGTTTGCCTCCTTACTACCTGAGTTCATTTTGCATTCACTGAATCATTTCTTTAAGCTGTCTAAATTCTACATGCTTCTTTTAACAAAGCATATACTGCTAACAACAAAGCCTCTCTTGGAAGGTTCTGAAAATGACTCAACAATAAAAACCATTAAGTAAATTTCCATAGCATCCTAAGAAGTTTTGGCACAAGCCTGGGCAGCAAGCAATTGTTGGTAGACTCATGTGCTCTGTATCACTGCCTTTTAATTTAAATTTTCTTTCTGGGAGGTGTTTTAATATAATTAAATGTGCTGAAATCTGTTCTGAATTTATATGATTTAAAATTAGTCTTAAAAGTCAGTGATTTATGAAGAACACTGAGTTGATGATGGTTTACAACATTTTTCCCTCCTGACAGGGGACCCATGCTGGGAAAAATAAAACATCCCAATTCTCATTAATGGAAACAGAGCTGAACAGACAACTGTAGCTGTTGAAGGTTACTGAAACTGCCAGGAAATTCTAAAAGCAAAACCAAGGCTGGGCTGGCAGATCAATGTGCCTTTTATATACAATCCTGAAATATGAAACCATGGAATTTCTAATGTTAATGGATACTTTTGTCAATATTTATTTAAGCACTTTTATGTTGTATATTATAGAAGAGATTAAATAGAGGAATACTCACTTTATAAAGCTAGATCCCAATAAAGATGTATTTATATGCTACATACTCATTTTCCAATTTTTGGAGTTGCACTTGAGGCTTATTCTATGGACTAAAGATAATGAGCCTACATACTTCCTTTGTTATAAGACAATGAACCTGAATAAAATTTGCTGAACTAGTTAATACATATTTATGCCAGAGGCATCTCAGATTGGAATAGGCCATCCCCAAAGCCTCTTTCTCCATCTAGCAATCCATTAATTTACCAATCATTAAGCACCTACCATGTGACAATTATTTTGCACTTCACAAGCTAGTGGAAGAGCATGGGAGATAAGCAGTAACCAACTCTCCCCTGCAGATAACTACAGACTTTCTTAAAACACACTTGCAGGGAGTACCCACCTTGGCACCTCATTTGGTGAGTAATACAAATCTGCTTTCCACCCCAGCTCAGATATATTCAGCAATTTCTTCCCCAGACATCTACAACTGCAAGACCAATAGCTTCAGTTAAGCCATTTGCACTGCTCTACTCAGAAACATTCCAAGCATTCTAATTTCTTTTAGAGTGTTGGCCTCATGGTGCTTCTGCACACTAAGGAGTTTCATCAACAGTACAGGGTATATTCAAAATCTTAAAGAATTCCATTTAATGATCTAAAAAGACAATTTATATTCCCTTAAGCTTAAAAGTTAAATTTATTATAGAGTATACTATGGTATGTATTATGGAATAAGAGGTATGACTGCAAGCTCTTTGAAGGAAGCCTGGTATTTTTATGCAAAGCAGACCATTGACAAATGTTTGTTGAATTGTTGAACTAACTGTGAAATGTTCAACATTTCTCATAAAAAGATAAAAGTTCCTGAACTAGAGTGTTGGTATTTATTCTGAAATCAAAGGACCCAAAAAATCAAGGTGAACTGCTACTGTTCTTACATAGACTCTAAAAATTCTTCTGGCCATCAACGGTAAATCTTCAGGGGACAGGATGTATGAAGAGGACCAACATTCAGCAAAACTGTGAAGAAGGTAACTTGTCTGTGCATCCCTTTAAACTCCCCGTTTGGTTCTCAGCTAGATACTTCCCTTGCTCCATATTCATTCATGAAATAATATGCATTTATGGAGTACCTACTATCTGCCAGGTACAGTGTTCTAGGTGCTTGGCATATACCACTGATAAAAAGGCAAAACTAACATTCTACCTCATTTATCTATTCAAGACCCTTTTAACAAGTGACCACACTGCACATGGAACTATATTCAGCACTTGAAATAGTGACACAGAAACTTAACATGGCATCTGTCCAAAAGTGAAGCTGCTTGCAAATATGACAAAATTAGAAAGCAGAGACTATTCATGTACAATTTATCTTACCTTGTAATGAATTGAAGATGGAGAAGAGGTACATGAAGGGGATATTTAAGGGTCCCCAGGCAAAGAATGCAAAACCCCATGTCATGCCCAACAGAAAGGTCAAGCTAACCACACTGCGCAGGTTCCTTAACACTTCTTCTCTCAGGGTCCGGTTGCTTCTCTTGCCATTCCTCCCACAGATCTGCACCATTACCACAATGAACATGGCAATGTTCAGAAAAAACATGACTCCAAAATACCCAGCACAGGTCACATAAAATATGACTGGATCTTGAATCCAACAGCTTAAAAAAGAAGAAATGAGAAAGAAAAAAAGATTTATTACCATGTCCTGTTTACCTAAGACTTTTCTCAGCTTAGTTTGGGCTACTGCAGATTTTCCTCTCAAATGTCTTTAGAAAGCCACTTTACTTCCTTGGACCTCAGTTTCTTCTTCAATCTCTTCATAGGTCTTTTGTTCATTTGTTTTTGGATGGCCATTGTCTTAATATCTAGGTAAGCCAATATTACAAAGAAGACAAGGTTGCTTCCTGATTTCTGAGTTGATATGAAAACACTCTTGGCTGACTTGTTCCAAGCCATGTCTAACCTCCTTTTCTTTTGGGTGCCTGTACACTGAGAATGGGAAATTTAAAAACTAATTTTTGGTCTCCTTTGTATTTAAGGAGTGGCTGTATGACATCGTTTTATAAAGTGATATGGAAGTAGAAGTCTGCCAAAGGATTTTTGGAAGAGCTATTAGTGGTAGACTCAACTGGCAAGGTCCTTATTCCTTCTTCCTGCTTCAAACGTGCAAGTGAGCTATGGAGCCGCAGCCAGCATCTTCTGTCCAATGACAGAGAGGTCAAGCCTGCTGCAGAGTTGTTGGCCCTGACATTTTTAGCCACAAAATCCATGCCAGTGATTGCCACTACCATGTTTCTTGTCATGTGCAAAGAGTAAACTCCTACTCACTTAAGTCACAACTAGTTGTGAGTTTGTTACTGTGGCAAAATAATTACTACTAATATCATTGCTGTAGATGAGGCAAGACCTTATAATTGAGATTAATATACAGATGGTTGTCATGCACAATTACGTAGCTTACAATGATTACAAAATATCCCAGTGACATGGAGAAGAAGATACTTGATACTTATAATATATATATTGGATAGTAGATTAAAGAAATTTTAAAACTGTACTATATGCAAAGTTGTCAAATAATATAATTTGTAGATGTCCTAGTGCCTAATCGACGCTATAGGAATTCTTAAGACACCTCAAAAATTGAATAAATGATTTAAAGCAACTAAATTCATCTTGAAATTCTAGCACAAATGGTTATTATTCTGGGCCATATCTTCCATGTTGGAACATAACCTCCACAAAGGCAAAAGCTGTCCTGCACATCTTTGAATTCTAGAAACTAACATGATTCTGGCATACAGTAAATTATCAATAAATGAAATGTCCTAATGGTATAGCAGTTTACTAAATGGTACTTTAAAGTTCTGTATGAGTTGATGAACATACTTCTAAAATTCTCTTATTTAGAAATTATTTATTAATTTCTACTTTTAATGTATGTTGTTATAAATGTCCCTGGAATAATGTTGCTTGTCCCTAGAGCTAACGTTTCTTTTACACACAGAAGTTCTTCTAAAATTCTGGAATTCCTCACCTAGCCCCATTATTTTTCCCTAGTTCTTGTGGGGTCTTTTGAGTGCCACTTTACAAATATAAGAGATGGCAAGACTGTGAAGAAATGGGACAGAGATTGGATAAGTGATTGGATGTAAGTGGGTTTTTTTTTTTTTTTTTTTTTTTAGATGGAGTCTCACTCTGTTGCCCAGGCTGGAGTTCATGGTGCAATCTTGGCTCACTGCAACTTCCGCCTCCCAGATTCAAATGATTCTCCTGCCTCAGCCTCCCGAGTAGTAGCTGGGATTATAGCTATGCACCACCATGCCCAGCTAATTTTTGTATTTTTAATAGAGATGGGGTTTCGCCATGTTGGCCAGGCTGATCTCAAACTTCTGACCTCAGGTGATATACCCAGCTCGGCCTCCTAAAGTGCTGGGATTATAGGTGTAAGCCACTGCGCCCAGCCGATGTAAATGTTATCCATCCATGAGATATGCATAGATATGTGGCATGATGGGTCCCATTTCAGAAATAGGCTCTTTATTCATTCAGTAATTTTTTCAATCAACATATATTTATTGAGTACCCATGGTGGACTAATAAAATAGGAGATCGGTAACTGCCCAAACTGAACAATATAAAACCCTTAATCTCAATGATCTCACAATCTGAAGAGAACTTTTGAAATTGTTTAAGAACATGCTGATTTCTCCATTCTCTAAATTTCTACCTAACACTCCCATTGGCAATGAATCATTCACTCTCTGTCTGATACTGCTATTTAACTCTCTTGAAGACGTGGGTGGGTTTGAGGAGGTGAGAGTGTTATGAAATCTTCTGAAATAGAATGGGTCTTCTGAGGCTAAAAAACTGTCTTAGGCATTTTCTCAATTCCTCCATATGACAGAGTACAATGTTAATATGAAAAAGTGTCTCAAACATTTCAGGGCATTCAACTGAATTAATCTGTGGTGTAGCAGAGATTTTGGCAGTCATGTGAATAAACATCAACCTTTTAAAATGAAAGCCTTGTTATTGGCATGGAAATTAATGCTAAACTTCAGGAAACAAAGGATATCTACTCATCACAAAAAGTTTTTATTACTTACAATTCATCACCTTTTTCTTTCCCATAACTTTCTTTTCCATAGACTTCATTGTTGTTTCTGCTCGCTAGAACAACTGACACCACTAAGGCAGGCAAACCTGTTACAAAAACACCATGACACAAACTCTTTTGAAGCATCTGAAACTGCTTCATAAGACTGCTAATGAAATGTAAAGAAAAGAAATGAAAAGAAGAGAAATGCAAGCAAGCCAACATTCCATATCCCAGATTCAAACTTCTTAGAAATGGCAACTTGGTTAACAACAAAATCCCCTCCTTGGGGTTCAATGTCCAACTCTAACTGGCAACAATCCAAACCTACTCTTAAATGACAGATATTTAAATAAAATTCTGTTTGCTTAGTGGGACTCACTGGAAAACTAAACCTGATTTGTATCAAATCTAGCACTAGTGAATGTGGTTTCATTAATTAAGCCTTGTTAGACTGGCAGAGTTTAGGCAGACAAGGTCATTACAGCCTATTTTGCCTCCTTCTATATAAAGAAAACTCTTTAGAAAAAGTGGAGGAAAAGCAAGGGGGCTATAAAGTCTTTGTAGCCTTCTCTCCCCAGAGATTGAATAAAGTATTTCCATGTATATTTCAGTGGGGAAATGCTATGGCAGGCATCCCAGGTCTCTGAAGAGTGTGCTTATTGCCTCCTGAGGTGGTTTTGAAGGTCTTGAAAATATCTCTCACTTATATTTCCATCTGAAACAGATCTGTGAGAAAGCTCTAAAATGCCTGGCTCAATATGAAGCCTGCAAAAATAAGGGAGCACAATAGAAGATCTCAAACAGGTTAATACAACCACCTATGTCTGACTGAGGACTCATGTTATTACAAAAAGTTCAAGGCAATAATCCTATAAGTATTCTGGTTGCACACGCAAGAATAACATTCTTTCTCTGGTTTCCAAGACATAGGCATGTGTCTGGGGATGAGTGTAACTAGCCGTCTGAGCTGGCCTTTGTATTTTAAAGCATCATGGAAAAGACATCACTGCCTGCCAGCTGCTTCTTCAGACTTGGGTGGGCTGGCTCTGGGCTCAGGAAATAAGTTTGTGGTGACTCAGGGAGTGAGGGCTTTTCCTTTACTCGTGTATATAGTGAGTGCTGTTGATGAGTTTTAAAAAATAAAGTTGTGAAGATGTCCCTTCCTTAGGCTATGTATATCTAATCCATGCCATTCACAATTTTGAGGTTCCTCTTAATGGTACTATTTTTTTTTAAATAAGATTTTTTCCTATGAGAATCTGGCAATTTTCATGAGGGAAAAACAAAACCAAAAAAATTTTAAGAGGCTTACCCCAGCCAATGATGCAGAATTTTAGAATGTATCGGCGAATGTAAGTGTTAAATACTTTAACTAGAGCAATGTACATGTGAATTGCTTCTAGCCCCATCCAGGTAAAGGTTGCCAGAAGGAAGAAATGCAACAGGACTGCAACAGCAATGCAAAGTCCATCCACATTGAAGGAGGTGATCCAGCCATCTAGGAGGAAGAGGAGATTCAGGAACAGCAGGGCTGTGCTCAGGTTCATCAAGATTTTGGAGGGATAATCCCTTCGCAATTTCCTAAAAAATGAAAAAAGGAATCTATGAGAGAACTAATACTGTATATCAATCTTTTAAGCACAGGCCTGTATAAATTCGTATCTTATACAACCCTGCAATGAGATAAGTAGCACCACCTTTCTGATGTGGTTCTGCTAAAAGGAGGGGCTAAGGATATTTATGAGTATTTGGCAAGTTATAAAGACTTTAAAAATATTAGTTTACTTCAAAATTATTTCCAATTGTTTATACAATTCCCAGTTGGGCTTCAACTGAATTTTTTTTTAACCCAGGAAAAATTCTAGAGTTGTAAGAATGACATTTTTCTTAAAAAATAATTTCCCTAAATTATTTGAACCTTTTTGATTTTTAATGAGTTAAAAGGATCTTAAAAAAATTGTTTCAGGACTAATTTTATAAGATTATAAAACAAACATTTTCATGTTTTACAATACAGAAAGCACCTTATATAATTTTTACTTACTTAAATGTTAATCATTTCTAACAGATTTGAATGCATTTTATAAATAGAAATACAGCAATTATAAATTAAAATTCTATAGCTGGAAAATTCATGTTACATAATATATTTTATCAGAAACATGAACATTAACGTTCAACCACCCTACAGTGTATAAATGTTTTTCAAAGCCGAGGCAATTTTCTTATTCACATTTGGAACAGTTAGCAATGGGTTTGGCAGATTAAAAATATACTTACTCAAAAGCAACATATGTCAGGAGAGTTGCTGCTGAAAAAATAGCAGATATTCCACACCCAATATAGCTGATGAAAGTGAGGACTTTAGTGTTTCTTGCATCTAACTGTGAGGCACTTCTTGGAAGGTCCTACATAAAACATGGCGAGCAGCTGTAAGAAACTCTCTTCTCATGAGAATGGTTCTCTGTTTCACTAGAAAGTTCACTGTTAACATTAGAGCAGCTTACTCTCAGGGGCTAAAACCAACAGTGTAAATCAATATTAAAATTTCCATTTATTATATTATTTTCGATCAATAAATAAAAGAAAAAAATGCAGCATTACTTCTGGAAGTCGTTACACATTGTTTTTCATCATTACCTTCTTTCCCAAGCTTTCTGCAAACCGGTATAACCTGAAGATCAAAACCACCAGGACTCTCAACAGAAATTGGAGAGGAGACGGTTGCCTTGCATAATAAACCATCAGGCCCATTCCTAACAGTTGCAGGGCTTGGGGCACCAGTTCAAATGGAGACCACAGTAGTCTATATGGCCAAACCCTCAAGCCTTTAGGTTCCTTGCCAGGTAGCAAGGAGCTCAGCCAGAGGCTGGTGCTGGTGCTGTGACTGCCAGGCTCTAAGGGTGGTGCGGAGGCTCCTAACCCTGGTTATTTCAATGCTTGGTATGTATGAGGTGGGACTGTCTTTATTTTCATAACTGAGATGCCATTAAGACTTTTGGGGGTCATAGACTTTTTTATTCCTATAGTACTGAAAGGATACAATTTAAATTATTTGGGGCTGTTGTGGAGTGGAAAGAAGTAAATACTTTCCAGTGTATTAATATAAAGTATTAATTTCAATGTGCTAAGGGAGACTTACAGGTCTGGACTTGGTAGAAAAATCTTTCTTTTCTGCCTTAAATGGGGGATTGGGATAGGAATAAATCTTGAGGTAAGACCACTCACTCAATCCTGGTTGGAGGAGAAAAGTACCTCCTTTATGTAGATGTTAAAAAATGGAGTGTTCTTACAGAAGGGATGTATTGAATATCTAGCGTAAACTTTTAGGTTTTAAATTATGGAGAAAATGTTTATGATTTTTCCTTCTATATGTAAATTGCCTTTAACTGTCATCAAAATGCCAATAAAATCTGCTACTCACACACAGGCCTTAAGTTGTGTGTGTGTGTGTGTGTGTGTGTGTGTGTGTGTGTGATAAAGAAATGTGGGTTAGTTTCAGGTTTCACTGATGCAGTAAAGAACAGGTACAGTATCTCTGCAACATCAAGCCATGCACGAAGTGATGGAATTCAGCAGAAGCAGAGGCTCAGAGTCTGAGGGGGCTCCCCCTATCTTCTTATCCCAGGAATCCCTTAAAACACTGGGAGAACACGGGGCACCCAGGGTACATGGGATGGGGTTTGAGTTGGTGCCACTTGATTCACAGATAGGCTAACTCAACCAATGATTCATCAGCCCAGAGAGATGAATCATGGTTTTGAGAGATTGCCAAGTGATGTGTCACAAATTCTTGAAAAACCTATGACTTGCAAATCACAATTAAATCCAGAATTTCAAATAGAAATTAAATAAGGCTGCTTACAGATTTGTTTACAGATTTATACACAATTTCATGTTGTTTTGTTCTTTTAGAGAATGAAAATATGAAAACTTTTATGATATAGCCAATATGAAAATGTACTAATCTTCATGAAAGCCAGTTTTAGTACAAAGAAATGTAGCAGAAGACATTAAATTCTTGAAATATTTGTAGACCAGAAGATATAATTATAGGTATGAGGTGCATTGTTTTAGCATCTCATATGGTGAACTGGTGAATGTGTCATGGGACAATGCAGACTCTGGGAATATCTTATACAAGTGAATAAAGAGTTTCTAAGTCAAGAAAAACTCTTAACAAAGTCTTGGTGGTCTGGAAAAACTGAAAAGATAAGAGAACATCACCAAAAAGGATATGTTCTGAAAAGATTTTCTACCAGCAATTTTTAATATTACAAAAACAGACAAGGTAGAAAATGGAAAGAGAACATGAATGATGCTTATCTTCACATATATATATATATAATTAACCATTCAATCAGATAGCAGCAGAAAAAATAATGCGTAATTACAAACTCATAATAAAATTTAGACAATATATGAAGGAACTGGCCATATGAAGTCGTGGGCAGGCAAACTCTGGCTTCATATAAATCATCTCTGAAGAGTAAATTTTGTTACTGTTATCTATTTATTTAATACCAGACTTACAACATGCACATAGTTGAAATATTTAAATGAATTAAGCTAAAGCTTACATACCTGAATGAGTAATCACAAAAAATAAGTGTTCTTTGAAAGAATGCCTGCTATCACTTTTGCAAAAAAGAGAACATGGAAGGAAACTGAATTTTCTTTTATAATTACTTAAGGAAAACATGCAATAGTTAATTGTTCATTTTCATGCTTTGACAGCAAAAGGAAAATATTTGTATTTTAGATAGTTAAAAAGGTGTCTTCTATGATTTATCACCTTTTTAAATGACTTGCTCTTATTCTGCAGAGCATTTATGTACTTGATTGTCAGGAAAATTACAACTTGCAGGGTTGCCATATGACAATGGCCATTTACATAGGCTGAGTAGATTTGTGAGCCAAATACTACATCCCACAGATCCTCAAGGCTTCCTCCCAGTCCCCACAGGAAGAAGGGTGCAAGATTTAAAGGCGGGAATAAACAAAACCTGACGTCTGTGATTCTAATTTGAAAAGCTTTATTGCCTCAGCTCACATCACTCCTATCTCCTATTAAAAAACAAATGTGGTTTGGTCCCTTTATGAAAACCAAACAGAAACAAAGGCTATGCTACAACCCAGAGCATACCCTGGAGACCAGAAAAGTGTTTGCAAAATCACAGGTAAACTGGATAAAAGGGAAAGGTATAAATCTATGGATGAGTTCAAAGAAGTCGCTGGATGCGTGGTGCGTCTTAAAATTTGGTGGGATAAGAAAAACACATTGACGCAATCTAATTTTGTTTAAAACTGTTTGGCAAGCTGGCTAATAAGATAAAACAGGGGCATGGAAGAAGGAAGGAAAGAATGATATAGAGGCCTAAGAGTGACAGAAACATCATAACCATTATCTCTCTTGCAGCTCTGAAGTCTCCATTCTAACCCTAGTCACTAGTCTGTCCTAACAAACTGCAATCTCTAGGAGGGAGATCACTCGGTGCAGTACCAGGTACAAAGCAACGTTCAAATATATTGAATGAGTGACAACATAAGAAAAATTTTTTTGATTACACTATTCACAATTCCCTTCCATGTTAGTAACACCCAACATTTTCTTCTTTAACTTTCTCTCCCTCCTCCCACTTGTCTCCCCGTCCATCTCTTTGACTCTGTTTCTCTCTTAATTAAAAAGTTTCATGAGGATTTTCTTGTTTCTGGGATTATTTATCATCACTGTTAATGCTACAGGAAAAAAAGGGAGAAAGTTCTTTTCTATAATTACTTTCACATATTTTTAATATGTGATCTTTGCTAATTAGATTCTTTATTAAGAATTAAGATTCACGGTACAGATGAAAACTATCAGGAAATAATTCCCAAAATACATAATCTAAAAATACATACAAAAAAGGAGTATGCCATCCAAAGTTACAGCATGTCAAAATGAGCTTAGAAATTCCCCCCTTACCATCAGAACTCCAAAGTGTGTGAAGTGGTTACACAGGCAGACTGTCTCACTTGCATCTGAATCTCTGTGTGCAACACATCCTGACGTGTTCCATCCTCCAAAACTTTCTGTTGAAGGAATCAACAAACAGTGTGAAAACAGCAGGTCAGTTTCTTCTCTATAATGGATGAGACCTTCTATAGAGAAATTTGCCTCAGTCTCTTCTGCCATACAGAGTTTATCTGTAAAATGGATACCATTATGAAAGTTTTCAATGCTTAGAATAATTTGGATTCCTAGAATAATCAAATGTTAGCTCTGGGTGGGCAGTTAGAGGTGATCTAATCAGTAGGTTCAAACTTGAGAGTTCCACAAATGTTTGATTCAAGTTTAATTTTTAACATATTTTAAAATGAACTTCCACAAAAAGAAGACTCATTTTCAAATACACTACACACTAATGAACCAACAATTTTTTCTGAGGGTTAATCTACATTTTCATGAAGACATAAGAACAAAGAAGGTTTGCTTTCTTAGAATGTGCCATTTATGTATACAAAAATCATGAATGGTAGTAACTGATTGTAAATGGCTTGAAACCACCTTATTTGACTTTCATGGTATAAAATGGAATATGAGCAATGCATATTGTCAATGTATTGAATCCATTTATTTAAATAATATTTTAAGATAATAAAGTGATACTTTTAACTAGGTAAATGAGTAAAGATCTTCTCAAAATTATGCAACTAAACCCCTCCACCAAAAAACTCCTGTCTTGCTGTGACAAGAACTATCAAAAAAAGAAGTTTTTGCCCTTTTCAGGCTGTTTTCATCAGCAAAGTACCCTGCCTTTATATCAGAATGAATCTGGCCACAATAATCCTCACAAGGGGACAAACAGAAGAAGCTTCTTTATTTGTACTTCCTTTCAAAGAGATTTACACCTTATGCCTACTGATTGATTCATCCCTTAATTTTGCCTTCCTTTCTTGATTGTCAAATCTAATTCTGCAGGCTCTTCATCTCTTTCAAGTAATATATGTCCATTATATCAATTTCTATATTTACATTCCTTCAGTCAGCTTCTCACCTCCCTCATAACTGGAGGTCTGGAAGCTGGATTTTAAATTGTCTGCCTTACACATATCAAATAATCCCCTCAACTGTGTCTTAGAAGAATGAGATTAAGTGCAAGTCTACTTTCATCAAAAGTAGCAATAAAATTGTATGCTGTATTTTATAAATAACTGATGTCAAAGAGGTTGTTCAACTGAAAAATGAAAGAAAACACAGTGAAGTCTGCCTATTTCTTCTTGCAATGACTAAAAAGTTACAGAAATTAGAACTGACTTCCCAAGCTACCTAAACTAACTTTGCAGCTCATTTGCCATTTACACTTACATTGTGACTCACTCTGGTTTGGGGTGGAATTAAAGGAAATGGGGGTGTCTAACAATGTTTAAAATTCAGTTGTTATCTATATTAAGACAACCAATATTTTAAAACTTACTGTTTTTGTTCAGATCCCAGAAGGCACAGATGGGATGATGCACTTCCTATATTAACATAAGAATAAACATGTGAAATTGTGTTTAAAATGCCATGATTTAAATATGGCAAAAGAATAAAAACACGAAGGGTTTCACAAAGAAATAGATTAGTATTAACATGCCAATTCAACCTGAAAATGTAGGCAATTTAGGGGGATCTTCTTCTCTCCCATAGAGACTTCAAGCGAAAATCAACTCTAACCTCATAAGGAATCATACTACCTACTCATTTATCTGTAGGTTACTACAAATGTCCCATCATTAAGTATATTGATTCTACTCTCATTCTTAGCATTTAGAAAAGCTCTTGACACTACAATTTCACATCATCTTCAAAATTCTCCTTTATGTCTGGGTATTTACATAGACAAATTGAAAACAAGGACTCGACAAGATATCTGTAGACTCATGCTCACAGTAGCATTATTCACAAGAGCCAAAAAGTAGAAGCAACCCAAGCGTCTATCAATGAGGAATAGACAAACAAAATCTAGTATATACATACAATGAAATACTCTTCAGCCTTAAAAAGGAAGTCAGTTCTGACAGATGCTACAACATGGATAAACCTTGAAGACACTGTGCTATGAAATAAGCCAGTCACAAAGGACAAACACTGTATGTTTCCACTTATATGAGGTACTTAGAGTAGTGAAATTAAGAGACAGAAAGTAGGATGGTGGTTGCCAGGTGCTATTGAAAGGAGAGAACAGGGAATGGGTATTTAATGGGAGGAGAGTTTCAACTGGGGAGATGGATAGTGGTGATGGCTGCATAACAATGTGAACACACTTAATGCTATTGAACTGTACACTTAAAAATGATTAAGATGATACATTTATATTATGTATGTTCTACAATTTTTAAAAATCGTCCTTTATGAATGAAGGGGCTGAAACAAAGGAAGCCAAAGTGTTGAACACGGAAGTCTAAGACGGTTCGTGGCAAAGGAGGCTAGATCTTAGGTGACTTGGCTTTCAATCCTCAGCACACTCATTTCCAGCCTGTCTTCCTGCCTATCTAATAAATGGCAGAATCATGATGAGGGCCCTTTGGAAAAGTGAGAAAAACCTGTTCTTGGGCCATCTGGGACAATGAGAACTTCCATCTAATTTTATCAAACAAACAGATGACAAGGGTAATGAAGCAACAAGAAAAGCAACATTTGCAAAGACTAACCACTGCTAACCTCTCAAAAAATAAGTCCACCCTCCCCTGTTTCTTTGTTGGCTTTCCCAGTTGCAGTTATCTTTGCAAATATACACAGAAATACAAAGAAACAACCAAAACCTCTATTGGCAGAATTGTGCAACTACATCTGCATCTAATTTATCTGAAGCAATATATGTTATATCTGAAAAATAGAAGCCCTTCTCTTCACTTCCCTTCTCTTTCTGATTATTGAGTCCTAGATAAGACTAACCTCTCCAGCTGCTTCAATTTACTGTGACTTTAAAGCACTACCTGATCAGTTGTTCTCTCTTTATAGAAAACTGGGCCCTACTCCACAAAAAAAGGGTCAGTTACTTTTTAACATGTAGAAAAAAAGGCCCCACTAGTATATTAAATAGTCCACTTCTGTCCAAATGCTATTGGGAGCGTTTTCTTACCTGAGTTCTTGTATGTTTGATTTTTATTTGAACAGGATCCTTCAGATTCTGGATAGTAATGTTTCCAATACTGCACGCCATCACATAACTCACTAAAGTTTTTCTTTGGGGTCCTACATCCTTTTAAAGAAAAAAAAATCGCGTGTATCAGTCAGAAGTACACTTTTATTTTACTTTGGTGCTCCAAAATAAGCAAACTGTCAGCAATTTTTACACTTAAGATCTTCAGTTCTAGAACATCCTGTTTATCACATCAAGTTGCTGGCTTTCCTGAAGGAGGTTTGCTATTTCCCTTATTATAATAAATACATTGAGGGAATGTTGGGAGCCAATATTGTAAGACTGAGTTCATAAAACTACATTCTTGATTGTGGTGACTGATGTCAGCCAGTTAACAACTGAAACAATGCAGACTCATAAATAATATAAACTCATAAAAAGCTGTGAAACAATTAGATCATTTCCCTACTTTAGAAGATAGATGTTGTTTTCTTTCAGAGAAGTATGAAGAAAATATGGTGTGAAAAATAAAAAGCAAGACATCTTTCACATCCATGCCAACAGCCTGACATGTTTACTAACTTATACCTAAAAGTAATACTGGATTCAAGTCCCATCCAGGACTTCTACCTTCTTCTCTGACTGTATACTTGCCAGCATCTGCAGATTTCACTTAAGCAATAAGGCTGTCAGGAAATCAAATCTGTCCCATAAAATGGTTTGGACCAATAAGCATTCTATTCTGCAAGTTCATCTCTATTTTTTTCTTTCCCTTGTATTTCTTGTCAAATCTCCTGAATTTCTCTTTATATCATAGCTTACAAATCAGTTGTTTTGGAATAATCACAGGATAAATTCCAAATAAAATTCAGCATCCAGAATATAGCTTTTTGTTAATTTTGTGTGGTGGTCATTATTAAACTCAGCTATTAGCTGGTGATACCCAGCCTTTCAGTAAAACACAAAAAAAAACACCATCACCATCGTACCTTGCCCTCTATGATAGGGGAGCACCACAGAACCTTTAAAGTTTTTTCATTCTCCTGTAAATTAACTTTAGAAACTGAACATATGCTTCCTTTTTTTTTTTTTTTTTTTTAAAGAGACGGGTCTCACTATGTTGGCTTGATTGGCCTTGAACTCTTGGTCTCAAGCAATCCTCCCTCCTCAGCCTCCCAAAGTGCTAGGATTACAGGCACGAGGCACTGCGCCTGGCCAGATATGCTTCCTAATAACAACTTTGGTAGAGAAATACCAAAGGAGAAGGAAACAATGATATGGAGAAGACTCAAAACAATGACAGATGCTTGCAAATCTAAGAGTGCAGGGCTAAACCTTCTCCCTGCACTGGACTCCATTTCTGTACCATTCACATTTTGTGGCACCTACATACATACATGTTTTGCTGCATTTTTATATTGGTTTTAAGGTAACATTGTCATACACTTCAAGTTACCATAATTTTTAAAACTGCAGTTGTACATGTTTATAGCTATTAAATCTTTCAGGATAAATTACACGTTTTATACAAAATATATAAATTGCATTCATATAAATCACCAAATTTGTATAGAGCTGGTTCCTAAAACATTTGTTGATAAAATTTTTAAATTTTGGAATTAACTACTGTCAAGGATTCCATGGTATTATTTTTCCTTGACTATATCTCTACTTGGCTGCTCCTCTACACATGACATATAAAGGCAGATCTATTAGAAACAATTCTCTGACCTTGAGACTTGCTATTTTATATAAGTCACATTGTTCAATATGCAATGATATCTTGAATTTAATAGATAAGTTTTATTTTTTAAAAAGGGCCCAGCGAACCTGCTCTCGATCAGGTTGTACTTGTAAAGGCAAACAGAGGTCACCAGTGTTTGCTGGCAGTGGGCCTTCTAGAATCTAGAAATGATGCCAATAAAAATGATAATATGTGCTTAGCACAATTCCATCTTACTCTGCGGATGTGTAAAGACCAAAGGTCACTTGAAATACTAATGGGAAAACTGATTAAAGCCAAGAATGCTGCTCATTATGTAAACAGTACTTACTGCTAAATTAAAGAAAAAAAAAAAACCCTTTCCTTTGGTGTGCAATTTCTTTAACTGTAAAGGCCTAAATGATTGGAGAGCATAAAATATTTAATAAAAGTAATAATAAACGGTCATTTCTTCACTAATTCAATTTCTAATTGTTTAATGCAAGCCTTAGCCTAATACTTGAATTATTTTAAAAATTGAAGTACATACAACTTGTTAATTAGCATATTATCTGAAATAAAATATTTAAACAATTATATTAAAAATTTTCAGTTTTGAAAACACAGTAAATTTTTCTAAACCTTCTGATATATTTCAACAGAATCTAAAGTTTTGTTTTCTTTGCTCAAAGAAACTTCATTTGCAGTTGAAAAACAATAATTTAATGAATGTGCTTACCTGGAAAAGTCCAGTTTTGTTGAAGAAAGTAAACTGTGCTCTTCTAACTAATACAGAATCTTCTGGACTTAAATTCTCAAGTAAGTTTGGAGGCAAAATTACAGATGCCAGTGGATCCACTTGTCCACTCTCAAAATCCATCTGTCACACACACACAGATATATTGGTCAAGTAATCATAATTGAATGGTAATAACTTTATTCCACATGTATAGTTAGGCGAGTGAACAATTGCAAGTTCAAATTAGCCAGTACCAGGACTTCCCTTTGTATCTACAGTAGTCACTGCAACTCCTGGATAAACCCCTACAGACAGAGCTGTAGATCTCATTTGGGTTTTACATGTGTGCCAAAGGAGAAAATGCATTGATTTTAATTAAGACATAGGAAGAAATCTATAAATCAGTCAACATTTTCAAGTATAAGAATTAGATTTACCAGCAGCAGATTTTGAGGTTTTCTCAAAACACGTAGTGAAAGATAATAACTATGGGAGAAAGGGGCAAGGGAGAGAGAAAGAGAAAGAGACTGAAGTTAACTTGTTGATTTCAGACTGCATTAAAATTTTATGAACACTCTCAGATAGCATTTTTCCTGAAACCATAGCTCAAGGACAAAGAATGCTTTCCTGCAAATTGTCTTGGAATGAGACGGAGGTTGACTGAGTTTTACTCTTAAAATGTGAAAAAGAATTACCCAAAAGAGCCCCTAGTCTAATGGAGAAAAAAGGTCTTGCCTGTATCCTGATTTCAGGCTTTTTATATTTTCAGTTTGTTCTATCTCCACAGTTAAAAGATATATTGTGCTTCACATACTATACTCTCCCAGGTCAAGGACAATGCTTCATTCATTTTGTTTGCTCTGGTGGCTAATAGTGCCTGGCATGTAGTAGGAACTTGAAAACTCTTTGCTTATGTGTCGCTTGAACATGTTGAAAAGGTTCTCCATTAATCCAGCCCCAGCTTATGTGTCCAGCCGTACTGTCACCTGCTATCCCAGACTTCTACATCACGGGTTCTCAAAGTATGATCCTTAGACCAGCAATGTCTAAGGAACTTGCTAAAAGTGCAAATTTGGTGGGCCTACCCAGGACCTACTAAATCAGAAACTCCTGGAGTAGGTCCCAGAAATCTGTTTTAACAAGTCCTCTAGTCCTCCAGAAGATTATTTTTTTCTTTTTTCTATTGAGACAGAGTCTTGCTCTGTCGCCCAGGCTGGAGGGAAGTGGCATGATTCCGGCTCACTGCAACCTCAGCCTCCCAGGTTCAAGTGATTCTCGTGCCTCAGCCTCCTGAATAGCTGGGATTACAGGCCTGCACCACCATGCCTGGCTAACTTTTTTTTGTATTTTTAGTAGAAACAGGGTTTACCATGTTGGCCAGCCTGGTCTCAAACTCCTGACCTCAAGTGATCCACCCACCTCGGCCTCCCAAAGTGCTGGGATTACAGGCTTGAGAGACCGCGCCCAGCCTCCTCCAGAAGATTCTAATGTTCAGTTTGAGAACCACTGGCAAAGAGAATGCACCATGCTTCTTTTCACCTTGGGGCCCTTAAAGCTCTTTCCTCTAACTGAACTGATGCTCACCCCAAGTATGGTGGCCCCTACTCATGCTTAGCTCCAGTAACCCCTCTTGTAGAAGGTAAGCTGACCACCCCTGTCACCCAGATTATGAAAGCATACCCACTCTGAGCTCCCACAATACTTTATGGCTACTGCTCTAGTTAAACTTAGCCAACATTCAGACCTTGCCACTTCATGGACCAAGACCTCTTGGAAGCAGCAACTGCTAAGTGATCAGCAAGTTTTTATATGTCTAACTAATTAATTAAAATGAAAGAAACCACTGGCTCATTACCTGGAAATACGATTCATTATTGCTTGGAAGACCAATGCTAAAATTTGAAATTGCATTTGTCCCTGGTAACAGGGATGATACGCTGAGAGCCAAGTTCCGAGTTGTAATATTCACATGTGATGTGCTATTTAGGTCTATCTTGAAGGCCAATTCATCAATTGTTTTTAAAGCTCTAAAGTAACGACAAAAAATGCCACTATTAAGTAATATGATATTTTAGATTCTTAAACATACATGTTTTGCTGCATGGCAAAATACAAACAAAATAAAATTGTGTTTAGATTTTCTGATCT
Organism: Homo sapiens; assembly: GCF_000001405.40. Classification (NCBI taxonomy): domain Eukaryota; kingdom Metazoa; phylum Chordata; class Mammalia; order Primates; family Hominidae; genus Homo; species Homo sapiens. The sequence goes on along the minus strand of NC_000006.12, from coordinate 142,403,680 downwards.
TAACATGAACACCCATAAAATTACCCCAATCCACAGTGATATCTGTTAAAATATGGAATCACAGGGATGGATAAATCCTCAAGAGAAATATCTGCTTTAAAGAAAATTAACAATTAAATCATCCTGAACAAATACTGTTTTTCATTTATTTTAGCCTCTCTTTTCCAACATGAAAAAGCATCCTCCCTACCTTACGGCTTATCAAGAATCAAAGGAAATAATGCGATAAAAGTGTTCTGTGAACTGCAAGATGCCATAAAAATGTTTATATTGTTATTATGTAGATTGTTAGAAAATACATTTTTAACAAATATAAAATTTTCTTCAGAGAAATGTAGAAGAGAAGGAAATAGAAAAACATTAAATATTTTAATATTAATACATTAAATGAAGCAATTAAATACAAATTGAATCATATAAATACAGGTACATTTTCATCTGCCCCAGCATGTTCATTTCAGAAGTCCAACAATCATGTGGCTGTGGCTGTCAGTGGCATAGTTCACAGTATAGTGGACTTATAATGATCAGTTATGCATAACTCTACTGGTCGACTAAATTTAGAATTTTATAATTTTTAAACTAAATTTAGAATTTTCAAATAAAAAATGAAAGACTGCTTATGCTTTCTAGGGCTATGTATATTGTAAATTGTATTTCTCAAAAAAAAAAACACACAGAACTTTTAAGTTCATGTTGTGAATGACCTTGCTTCACTATTAACGACTATCAATACATCTTGCAGAGATTTGAATTCTGAAATCTGGGCACAAAGTATTCAGATAGGTGAGAAATCATGTAACATCATTATCCAATAAAATTTACTCTCCAGGAAAAAAAAAATACTTACTCAGAAGATGACTCAAGCAAGTCACTGTCTGAACTGCTTAAGATATTAGAAAATATATTCATTAGAGTTGAGCCAAGTGTTATATCAATGTTTTCTTCTTTATTCACAATTCTTTTGACCTGTTCCACAATGTTGGTAATATTGGCTGAGGTTAAGTTCTGCCCATCAGCAGTTAAATTTAAAATCTGGTTAGCAACTTCATTTGCTTCTTCTAAAACAAAGGCAGAAGAAAACAACACTAAGTTTTACCTGAATATTTAGAGCATTTCCAGGAATCCAAAGTAGAGTGTAATATTTCACTTTACAGTTGAAGCAAGAAAGTGAGATTTTCCTGTGTATACCTCATCCCCATATTCACAAGGCAATAATATTTCTTTCTATGCAGAGACTAACTTCTCTCTTTAGTAAGATACAAATAACTTGGAGGGATGAATGAACACACAAAGTTCTAAGAGAAACATTCCCAGAATCCCTGAATTAGTGTATATTTGCTATTTAAAATTAATGCAAACTACAAAACATTGATACAAATATCAATTTATATATTAGTTTTGTCTTCTCTAGATTTTCCTTACTATTTTTAATCCCCTACAGAACAGAAAGTTAAAATGAGAGTAAAAAGTATTTTCTGTCTTAAGTGAAACAATCATTTGCCTTTTAATATGAAAACAGTATCACAGAGCAGAAGAATATTCTCGAAGACAATGAAAATCATGAAGCATGAAGTCATGTCATTTTGTCCTTGAGAAATAAAGGAAAACTGCTCACTTACTTAAACAGTTGGAGATATCAACAGGTCCCCAGTAGGTTACCAATGGGTTGGTAGCATTGTAAAAACTATGAAACAAAATAGATATTTTAAATATTTGATATAACTGGTATTATTTTGTACTGCTTAAAGGGATTTTTACATGATATATACATTTATTACAATATGATCAATGGACAAGCTTCCCTTTAAGATACTGAGCTTCTCACTCTTTCCATTTTAATTCTCTGTTTATCTCTGTACCTGTTTATATGTCTACGTTCTATCTCTCTAGCCTATTTCTGTTTATCACCCTATCTATACAATGTTCCCAAATTCTCTCCATTTCTCCACCTCATTCTTCTCACCCTTCCTTATTCTCTCCTCTCTCACCCCAGTTTGTTTCTCCATTTGCACTATTTCCTTCTACAAGTTTTCTTTTCCTGTTTTCCTATAAATGATATTAGAACTGAAAAGATTAGTTAATAACTTTTGGGATTTGCCTTGATTTCTAGGTTAAGTTTCCTTTGAAAATAAAACTGTAATGCACTGAAATAAATTTCATGCTAAAAATTCTTATGGGAAAAAAATCAGTAGCATGCATCTTGGAAACAAAATACCAGCAGTATCCTAACCTAGGATACATTGGCCAAGTACTGCTTTAAGAACTTTACAGGTAAAATCTGATTTTGAGTTCACATAACTCTGCAAAGCAGATTATAATTCACATCTTATAGAAGATTAAATGGAATTTGGTAAATCAACGAATTTTCCAAGTTCTCACAGCCAGGAAGAGATGGAGCCACATTTCAAACTCAAGTCCATACATCTCTACAGTCCCCTTCTTTGCTCCCTACAAAGTGTCAAACCCAGCAATATTTATAGTATGCAAAGTATTTATGCTTAGGCAGTTTCCATTTCTGAATTTCCCCCAGGAAAACTCTAATTGGGAGTGAGGTGGGTAGAGAAATGGATTTGACTTGCTATTCCATGAATCCCTGCAATTATCTAGTCTCTGAGGTTTCTGTTAAACATTTAGAGAAAATCTACACCCTGACAGTTTCCATCAGCAGACTATCCCAATCTGGATCTTGTCTTCATTTCCTCTTTGCCTCCTCTCCCCATTCCAGCAATAATCAGTCAAAATAGTTAAAAAGTTTCGGAATTCCAGACGCATGTTCCAAGGGTAGGCTAGGTTCATCCACATACAAGGTACTTTGCTCTGGTGCTACCCACTGGCTTCTAAACTCTTCAGTTTTTCTGTGAAAGGGCTTGATTAGCATGTGGCTGGGAGGAAAACACTGCCTTTCTGAGTCATCCACTTATGTTATCTTTATTCCCCAGGAGTGAATGATACAGGCATACACAGAGATTCCTGCCCTTCTTTGCAATCAATATAATGCCTAAGAACTACCGTGCTGCACGTATAACCCTGGGAAGGCTGATAACATGTAGCTTTGCTGGCAAGAGTCAGTGAAAATATTACCATATCCGAGAAGCAGAAAAGCCAGGCTTGTCTGGACAAGGAAGAACGTATTCAGAAGGTTGGATAGATGGCCAGTAGTAGCCTTTGGGTTCCTCCATGGCAAGACAATGACCTATATGAACATAAGAACCAGCATGAGAAATATTCACCTATTTTTTAAAGTTAGAGATTAGAGATGCAGGATGAAAGCAAAATGACAATGCTGGTAATTAGGTATTTCTTTAATGTAATACCAAAATATTAGTGTTTATCTTCAGAATTTGTAAAAAAAAAAATTAGAAGTTAGAAAAAACATTAACATTTAATACACTTCAAATCCAAAAATCATTACATTGGACAAAACCTTAAGTAAAAAACACAGTTATGTAAGTATAAACATGAAACATACATTATCATTCTAATCATTAGCAGATACTAGTTTTATTCAAAGAAATAAACCCTACAGAGAAGGAAAACAATCCTGAAAAATTCAAAATGTAATTTGATTTTTTTCAAAGGGGAAAGCCTAGAAATGATGCCTCAATAGTGTCTTCTTTGAGTTGTGTGGCTATTTTATAGAAAATGTTCCAGCTGCTCTGATAGCCTCTCCTGCCTGGAAGCTAACTAAGGGGGACACAGGAAGTCACCTGCAAACCAACAAACTCTCAGACTTCTTTATCCTCACATCATCTGACTTTTTGTTTGACGACTCTCTAAGTAAGCCTCATGACATCAATGATTCAGATTCTACATTTTAAAGGATATCAAAGTAACAGCAATACGTCAACAACAACAATAAACTCTTGTATTTCAGTACTGAGCATTAGTGAGTTATATCAGTTTTCTGGGAACAAGTACTGTCATCACCAACTGAAAATTCAAATAACTTTCCCATGTATACTGTGAACTTTAAAACTGTTAGGTTTTAGCCTTTTATTTTTCCATTGGTAGAAGCGCTTATCCACAGATTCATTTGCAGAAAAACAATAAAACGGATAATTTAAATTAAATGGTATAAATTAAATGTCTAAATATATGGACAGAGTGGTGCTGGGCTTTCACAGCCTATGAGGACAGAGCCAGTGCTGGTCCTCCTAGGGTTCTCCAGTCATAGATAAACTACCATTTGTCAGACTCCTTCTTTGTGAAGACTCCTATACGTGAAAGGGTAGCAGCTTGCATTCTCCCTCCCTCCAAAAAGCCCCATTTGTTAAGAAGTATTTTCCCATAGAGACTCAGAAATGGTTTATTACCATGATTAGTATTATTATTTGCATTCATCCATCTCTATGAGTTCTTTGTAACGGTGTACATCCACCCAATAGAGATGGGTGGCTCCTCACAGAAGTGGAGATGCCTGCCTCTTTACTAGACTGTGATTATGGCCTTGGTCGCAATCGCCCTCTTCAAGGCTGAGGAACACTTGCCTCCCTCAATTCAACCTCCTGAGTGTAGAGAAGGCGAAGGGTCAAAGTTTTCTTTTCTTTTGATCTCTACTAATGTACCTAATCACAGTATAATTGCAATCATAGAATAACATTAAAACAATTGCTTTTTGTTATCCATATTTGTGAACATTTGATTTCCTAAAATATTCTCATGCAGACTCATTCATTTGTCTATTCAACAAGTGTTCCAGTTCCAGGGAATGTGCTGGGTTCTGGAAATATGTGGGAAGTAAGAGTTAAAGAAAAAAGAAAATATGATCTTAAGTCAGAGATTATTGTTTACAGAATATATACATATATATATATGTGAACATAAATATATCTAGTCTTCTAAGTACTATGGTCTTCTGATGCATATGATGCTCTAGGCATCTGGACAGCATGAAGTAGAGGCTCAAAGGCAGTGATGTCTATACTTTATTTCAGAAAAGGTTCCAAAGAAGAGCTGACTTAGGAGCTGTCTTTAAAAATACATAGGTGATAATGAGGTTGCCGGTGGGAGTGGAGAAGAACAGTGTGCAAAGATATAGAAAGGGTATCTAAAGGAAGCAGCACAGCCTCTTTGTGGAAGTACAAGCCGTGCCATATGTGTGGCTAGAGCTTAGGATGTGAACGATCTCCAGGAGAAACTTGATTTTAGGTCCAACAGAATCCCTACATTCATGACCTAGTCCTGTGAAGACAGTGGTATCACTAATAGAGACAGGGAACATGAGAGAAGGAGACGTTTTCTGTTTGTTTTTTTGAGACAGGGTCTCATTCTGCTGCCCAGGCTGGAGTGCAGTGGCATGAACATGGCTCACTGCAGCCTTGACCTCCCAAGCTCAGGTAATCCTCCTGCCTCAGCCCCGCCTAGTAACTGAGATTACAGGTGCACAGCACAACACCCAACTAATTTCTTAATCTTTCGTAGAGACAGTCTCCCTGTGTAGCCCAGGCTAGTCTCGAATTCCTGGGCTCAAGTTATTCTCCACCTTGGCCTCCCAAAGTGCTGGGATTATAGGCATGAGCCACCATGCCCAGCAGGAGATGTTTTAAAACAGGAAATCTCCTTCTATAAGATTTATCTCATTAGAGTTCCCACATTCACATCTACACACTCTTTTTTTTCCCTAAAGTTGACAACAGTGATGATCAAGATTATTCTGGCATTTTGTTCATATTGTTAGTATTTTCAAAATATGTTCCTAAAGTAAAATATAAACTTTCATCTACCTCCTTCATTCCCTTGGATTCACAGACACTGAGCTGATTTTTTTTTTCTGCTATGTCATTCATTTGTTACTGAACTTCACCATCAGAAAAAAAACTTACATAAACAAATAGCGCATAAAGAAAATTTCTGCTGTTGTTTCAAGTAAACCTGAATATACAGTTGTATAAAATGCATATTATAAAAAAATTAGTCACTTACCCAGTTGTCTCACATTCACTGTATGTAGCCTCAAGCCTTCATCCAAGGACTCATTATTTTTTAGGAGCTTCTGCTGAATGATTTTTCCTTCCAAATTAGTATTGTTGGTAGCATTGTAAACTAGAAGGGCCCAAAGCACCAACCTAGGGAAACATTTCGGATAGAACTGTTGTTGTTGTTCATTGGTTGCTTGTCATTTGGTAGGAGAAACAGAGTATTTGGATGTAGAGGGATGACCATCACCTGTTGAGACTGAAGAGATTAGCCAAGGTGCTCACAGACTTTCTCTGCTGCTGTGTAAATTATAATGTTAAAAATATTCCAATATTAATAGATTCTATAGGCTATTGCTTGTATAATTCTGTCAAATAACTCCATTTCTTTTCAGAAATATTTTAATATTTAATATTTATAGTAATACATTATATAGTCATTTAAAGCATAAACACAAGAAAACAGCATTCCTGTGGTTAATTCTACATTTTTTCTTTGTGGCCCCAAATTAATTTTTTTTAATAAAACTATGATTTCAACTGACCATTTATCTTTTGAAATTACCATTTCTAACTATTAGAAATTAACTATTTATATTTACTAACACTATAAAAGTGTTACTATTCATGAATGTGATATAATTTCTTCAGAATAGCAACAAATGATTTTCTATCTCCATGAGGCATTTGCAAATACTTTTTATGGTAAAAAGTTTCACAAAATAAATACTTAAAATCGACTCTGTGATTGGTCAGCATATTACTTAAGAAGGTTATAGAATGGTTGACTTTGAAGGTCTTTAAAAAGGAAATACCTCTATGGGAAGCAAAGAAATGTATCCCCAAAGCCCTGTTAAAAACTTTTGGTTCTACAATTTAAAGTAATATAATTTTCTGTTCCACTACAATCACAGCTATAGTCAAAAGCAGAAATCAAAACTATTAATTTAACACTGAGGTAAAAGTAAGTAACATTATTTTGTCAGGTAGAGGAGAATTTCTTTTGCTTATATGTGAAAGCTCTGGATTCACAAAAAAATTGTTTCTTCTTCATATTCAGAGGAGAAATGAATAAGATAAGACGTTATATTATTGAGATCAGTTACTGTCTTCACGCCAAAGACAAAGTGGTAGTATTGTTTTTAAACTAGTTATGGAATGTCTAGTGGAGAGGCAGTGACATTTTATTTATGAAACTATGAATATTAATAAGTATTATAGTAGTAATTTATTTGTGGTGTTAAAAAATAAGAAGGAATATGTGAAATATTTGCTATTCAAGGCTAGGTGAAATTAAAGAATAGCTCAAGTTTTCTTTCCTAAATATCTGTGCTAATTTCAAGGAATAGGTGCTCTACTCTTCTCATAATTAACTCTGAAAAGCTCTCTCTAAAATGATCTACTGCTTACCATTCGCATACAAGCCATATTTCAGGATGAGGCAAACATAATGAATATAATGATAGCTGTGAACATAGATGTGACTATGATAGCTTAACAATTTTTAAAATGGCCCATGAAAAAGTATCCCTGGATTAAGTCATTGTTTAAAGACAAGCTTCGCCACTCCAGTTGGTGAGAACTTACAGCTGGGAATGTGACCTTTTACTTGTCTTGAATACTGAGAACATAATTAGCCCAAAGTATTGTGGGTGATATTGAATACCCAAACCCAACAAGTCAGGAATAGCCATACATTTTCACAGGTCTTATCTGTGTGTTTTCCTCTCTCATCCTGAAAACTGAAACTATTTTATGGTTCTACAAAGTTACATTCTATCTGTTGTTACCATCAGCCATTCTTTATTTGAAAAAAACCTCTCTGTGGCTTTGGTTTCCTGTCTGTCTAGGCAATAGAGTATGACAGCATTATCTGAAGCTATGGTCTGTGTTAAGTGATACAATCAAATTGAAAGGAAAAGTTTTTTTAAAAAACAATGTATGTAAAAGTAGTAGACTGTGGTTTTGACAAAAACTGAGACTATAAAGCCTCACCAATGAGGGTAAGAGCCATAGAGAATAGAAAAAAGAGACAAGAAAGGCTATAAACATAAATATTAAATAATGGCAAGAGTTCATACCAAAAAGCCCCTAAATATGTGGATTTTGCTATATACACTGTCTCAGTTCATTCTCCCTATAATTTTCTGTAAAATTACTCATTGCTTTGAAGACCAGGAAACTGAAATCCCATGAATTTAAATGTCCTTCAAGAAGAGTTTCTGAGGTGCTGACATGTACTAACGATGGCTGATTTTAGTATCACCAGGTAGTAGAAGAACCACAGTAAGTACACTAAAAAGCGGACGCTGACTGCCTGAAGAAGGTATACCATTGGCTATATCTACCAAACCCAGGGCTGTCCCAGTTGCTACACAAAGTGTCCAGCAAAGGGATCCTGATTGCTGCTGGATCCATTACTGAAGATGCAATATGACCTAACAGAAAGGATTGAAAAAAATTATTTGGTTAAATAGTGGAGAAGAGTTCTGTCACCTTCAAGAATACAGTACTGAAATATACTACTGTGTTTTCATATCATAAAGAAAAAATTATAATACCAGAAAATAAAAACAAGTTTCCCTAATCACATGGCTCAATCCAGTCCATTTACTATGTATACAAAAATGACATCTTTCAATATAACTTTCAAAACATTTGTTTTTCTAGTGTTGAAAAGAAAAAAAAAGCTCTCTGGTCAATTCTCATATGAAATTTTATCTTTTCATAGTAAGAAGATATCACCTGAAAAGAAGCAAGCTCCGTCATCAGGGCTGTATATCCATAAGATTTAATTCAGTCTATTGAGATCCAGCAAGACTTATAGAAACTTTTGCTTCACAACAAATTTTTAAAAAATTGTATGGAGGCCAGATATGACATCTCACGCCTGTACATGTAATCCCAGCACTCTGGGGGGGGCTGAGACAGGAGGTTTACTTGAGGCCAGGAGTTTGAGATGAGCCTGAGCAACATAGCAAGACCCAGTCTCTACAAAAATAGTATTTTAAAAATTAGCCAGGTATGCTAGCACATGTGTGTAGCCCCAGCTACTCAGGAGGCTAAGGCAGGAGGATCATTTGAGCCTAGGAGTTCAAGGCTGCAGTGAGTGATGGTCACACCACTGCACTCCAGCCCGGGTGACAAAGTGAGACTCTGTCTCAAAAAAAAAAAAAAAAAAATCTACAGAGATGCAATACATGACCTGAATAACCTAAATACAACTAAATTTATTCCATTTGGAAATTTAGGGTTTTTTTGTTTGTTTTACAGTACTCTGAACATTTGGTCCTTACATGCCAACTGGTCATATATGCTGGACATATCCATTAAATTACCTGCATGATTAAGGCATGATCCTGATATAAATATTAAAAGGGAGACTTCAGAAAATTAACTAATAGCTTTAAATGCTGAAAACATTTAGGCATCTATTATCCATATTATTAGATGTTATCATATATAAACACTTTATTTAAAGCTATTTTCTTTGAAGGTACCTTTGCAATTTCAAGTAAGAGGCAATGGGTTATGATAAATAAACTGGAAATACTAAAAATAATAATCCATCCATTTTAAATGCCCTATTTCTCAATTATTTTTCATTGGATATACATTACTACCCAGTCTGTTACATTACAGTTTTAACTACAAGAAAAAAGTAGTGTACAGCAGTGCTAAAGAAATAACTGTGCTATGTGATTAAGTTTTTCTTTCCTATCTAATTGTTTTCATTTCTCTACCAGATAAAGTAGTGAGCAAGAGAAAGAATGTTATACTCTTTACAATACTTTGTCCTGTTACCTTGGCTCATCCTCAAGGCTTCTCTTGACTTTAATCTTGTCCTCTCCAGCACTCAGGTGAAAACTAAAAACACAAATACATATATTCATTAATCCACCTCACCAACTACATCATCAACAATAAAATTTGGGGACCTGAAATAAAGAGACAGAATGGGAATTCTAAGCCAATATTTTCAAATGTGTGTCCTGAGGTTCTAGCTTCTTTCAGAAAGCTAGGCAACTGTGTGCTTTTGCTCTGTTTTGAAGATTCACAATTCATATTATTACACTAAAGAAACTGAGACGTTCTGATAAAAAAATCTGCTTCAGTTTGTACAATAACGTACTTCCTGAACTTATATGACAATTTGACACCTGTTCTGTGTTATTAAATCTCTTATCTTCACAGAATATATGTTTAGGGGTCATGACATACACTTTAGAAAACTAGTTCAGGTATAGAACTATGAAAACAAGGTACACAGGAGGATATATGGACAATACAAATTGCTGAAGATAGTGGAGGATTTAAATATAAATACAGTGAAGGATAATTTCGAAAAGTTAGGTTGCAATCAGACAGACTGTCGATGTACGAAATTAGATCTGGAAAAAAAAGTGGTCTTGAAATGGGTACACACAACCAGGGGGTGCTCTAGGTGATCCACCAGGGTGTGAGAAGAAACTAACAACTTCTATTTATATTTAATTATCCGATTTTAATTTTTGACACATTATAACATGATTTAAAACAAATACAAATTAACTGTAATGCATGATCAAAACAGTTTAAAACCATCGCTGCAGCATGGAGGTTTTTTGTGCAATGAACTAATACACAGTTGTTTTAGAAAGATTATGTATATAGTAGCTATGTGTGTGTATTTGTATGTATATTTTGGTACAATCAGAGAGACAAATAGTAGCATTAAATTAGACACTACTTTTAATTTATCAAATAATTTATTCTGTCTTACCTGATATTAACGACATAAACCGTGTAGTTCCAATTTTGGAAGGTTGAATTGAGCTGGAAAACACAATGGAAAAGGCTGAGTTTTGCTAATACCTTTAAAAAATATCTAATTCAAGTTTCTACCTAAAACATAAGTTGTTACTGAGATAAGACCCTGGGAAAATCCTGAAGAGTTGGAGGAGTGAACAGTTAATGGATCATTGTAACAGTTAATGGATCACTGTATACCAAGAATTTGATAAATGTTATTCCTTTCAATCCTCACAACAACCAATGAAATAGGTATTATCCCCACACACCCCATAGTCTTATATATAAAGAAACTGAGCTTTCACAGATAAGAAATGGTTTGCCCAAGATCACCCAAGTAAGCAGTAGCAGATGCCAGATTGGAACCCAAGTCTGTCTGTTTGGAAAACTATCATTTCCTCTCTAGCCCTCATATTAAAGAAGATTTGCAATAAATATCTTCTCTATTCTTCATTTAACAACACTAAGATACACTAAACATTTTTCTAGTAATTACCATCTCACAATATTAGTAATAAGAAAAATTATAAATTAACAATATAAATTAAAAAAATAAAATAAGTTCAATACTATTGGAACTATGTATTTATTATGTGGTTATTTAGCAGTCTTTATGGTCTCAGCATAAGAGTTTTTAATGAAGCAATGGATTCCTCCAATATAAAGAAGCTTCTATGATGCAGTTTCCCATACAACTGCAAAACGAGATTCCCTCACTGACATGAGAGACTCCTATTTACATATCATCTCCGAATAGTGATTTAGGCCTTGTTTCATACACACATTTAGCCTCTCTTTTAAGCATTTCTAAAACTGAATGTAAGTTTTAGGGAATCCTGGCAAAAAAAATGTTAAATTATTTTAAAATTGTAAATAGTAATAATTTGAAACAGGTACACTATTTATATTTTCTCTGTTATCAAGTATCTGCTTTGGTATCTTGCATTTTAAACAAAAATGTCTAGTAAAGTTTAGCTGCAGATGAGAATAAAGCTATGTTGAAAACCATGCATGAAGTAAATATAAATGTAAGCTTATACCTTATCTAGCACAAACTTTCTAGTGAATGCTAAATTTAGATTAATAACATTACCCATTATTTGCACAAATAAGCTAACAGTAGCTTATTTGAGAATGAAAATAAAGAATTTTATCTTCTGAAATCACTCTAACTTTAAACAAAAAGAACAACTCTGGAAAGAAAATGGGATACACAGAAAGAATATACTCTTTCTGCAGCCTGCTCTCTCCATTGAGAGGTTAAACATCTCCTAGTATTTGAATGAGTTACTAATCTCAATGTGGCATTCCCAAAAATCAAACGTAGTATTTTTCTTTTATTTCAGTAGAGGATTTCACCTTTCTCACCAACTTTGTAACAGAGTTAATTACCTACTATTGTTACCTATGGTCAACTTTTTTTTAAAGAGTACTGCCTTTAAAATGAAGACTGTTTTCTATCAGTTATTTTTCAAATATATATAGATGTCTCTGTGTGTGTGTGTGTGTGTGTGTGTGTGTGTGTGTGTGTGTGTGTAGCTACCACTTCCTCTCAATGCGTAAACTTTCTTTTGCTACCAAAGACACGTTTATCAAACACCAAATATATATGAAAACCCATTTTTCTTATTTCAGAATGTATAGTGACTCAATTAAAAAAATTGTTTGAACTGTAACAGCATTATATATAAAAAGAAGTACAAAGTCTCACAGTATGCTGTAGGTAGGAAATGAAATAATAGAAAAAATAGAAACCTATGGAAAATAAAATTGAGATTGTTATTGTGAAGAAGAAAATGAAAAAATCCATGTGTTGTATTTGTAAGAAAAAGAAGAAAATAAAATGTTAAATTTTTTAAATTGAAAACTACAAAATGTTTACCAATAGGATACTGGTTAAATAAATTACAGCCTAACTGTCCATCAACAGAAGATCTGCTAAATAAATGACTGAACAGCCACATAATGAAATATTATGCATTGTTTTTTCAAAACAAAAAAAACATGTAGTTCTCTAATGTTGCAAATCTGGCAACAATAAAAATAAGTACGGTATAGAACGGTATGTAAAGTATACTACTTTTCGTGTAAAAAAGAAGGAAAATAAGAATCTATAGTTTAATTTTCTTTCATGTGCACAAAGAAATCTGGAAAAAAGCGGAGAAAACTAATAGTGATTTCCTATTTGCTGTTGGTTATTGGGTTGGTTCCATGCAGATGAGCAGCAAGGATGGGTGGAAGACTTTCATAATGCGTCTTTTCATACTTGCTGGTTTTGATCAAACATTCAAACAATTTTTAAAATAATCTATTTAAAAATATAGCAGAAAATACATGGATCTAATATGAAATACAGATACCTGTTGCCACCAAAATCTATTTCCATTTGTGCGATACTTTTCTTATTTAAGACATTGATAGTCTATTAGGCTCAGTTCTTATCCTTTATTCAAATGTACTTCTCTTCCTATGCATAAGGACAACACCTCACTTACATATCTACTCATATATTTCTAATGAATACCATCTGTGTTTCAGTATGATCTGTGGATTCAGTTAACTAGTCTTTTCCAGATTCCCAGAAGTTAAAGAATTTTTTTAAAAAAGAAAAGTTACAAGCTCACTTACCCATTCTGCCACCTTGCTCTGTACTTTTACCTCAGGGTGACGAAGGATGTTCTGAATCACTACGGATATTCTATAGATAATTCCATCTGCCCATTGGAAATAGGATTAGTCCATTAATTATATGTTTATAGTTATATAATTATCAAACAATTTAAAGTTATGATCATGTAAGTCTTACATAATCATATAGTTTTATTCATAATCACATAATTTACAATATAAGTTAAAAGAAACACCTTCTACATAGGCAAAAAAAGTTCTGAAATATTTTGATGTTAAGCTTATTGACCTTCCAACTTCTTAGAAATAGTTATCAATTAGCTTACTCTTATTACTTGCATATGTTTCTTCATATTTTTAATTCTATAGATTTCTTATATCTACTGTCTGTAATGTGTTAACTGTTTTCATGTACAATTTGACTTCTTATAACAGGCATTATGCTTTCTGTGCATTATAAAGAATGATAAAGAGTTTGGGATGTGAAAACTTGAATGAGATCATATGGAGGAATTAACTTGAAAAAGCAGAACAGGCATACACATACTTACTACCCTAATTCCTCTCCTTTTCCTCTCTTTCCCCTGCTTAATAAAATACTTCTATTAAACTACTAGGCTGCATTTCACCAGACTTTTCATCAAAATTTCTTAAATATGCTCATTTATACCAAAATAGAGGGAAAAAAAGAAACAATATTTGCAGGTAGAATTTTCATTGGACTAAATCACTTGAAAAAGAAAATAAAAAGAAAACCTTATTGTAAAGAAGATTCTGCTCTTTGGGTGGGGGGAATCTTTAAAGTAAACTGATTTTTTAAAATGAAAAATCAAACTCACCAGCAAGGGTTTGCTAAATAGCTGTAAATGGGTGCTTTAGTCAAAGTAGCTAGTAAGAAAAATACCCTTTTAAATTATGGTAAGATACAGAGAGAAGAAAATTTTTTGAGTCTCCTTTGTTGATCATCTTTCTTCATGCTTATGTTTAGGTAAGTCTTAAGTAAAATAGGCACACAAAATATAGAAATACATAATTATAGCAATGTTGAAGAAAACAGTAAAAATTGTGGGGAGGCAGTAGAAAAAAAAATGTAAAAGTTTGCCTCTGGGAATTTCCAAATCCACCAAAATGCAAATTCCAGTCCCACTACCAAAGGAATGTCTTTCCAGTAAGAATCAGAGTCTTGTGCTAAACAATATAAATTGCTGCCCCTGGATGTAGTAATATAAATATATAAAACTGGCACAAGTCCAAGCACAGGTGAGTTTAATTTATGCAGACTATTTCAACTTCTAAAATTCTTCGGGTATTTTAATGATCTTGACTTTTATATTCCTTTAAAAAATGTTCTGAATGAAAAATATTTGGAGGAACATATAAAACAAATAATTCATATAAAGATAACTTTTACACTGTGGATCTCATCAAATAAAATCACAGATGTTCTGAATGATTGGGAGGAAATTCAGAATTGCAAGGGTCAAAGAGTTATTTCAGGATCCTGATAATATTCTGTGACTATACAGAAGCTTCCCTACTTACAGTTCAAGATCATTCAACTTTACGATGGTGGGAAAACAACAGGCATTCGGTGGAAACTGTACTTCTAGTACCCATATGACCATTTCACTTTTCACTTTAAGTTCAGCATTCAATAAAGTACATGAGATATTCAACACTTTATTATAAAATAGACTCTGTGTTAGATGATTTTGCCCAGCTGTAGGCTAAGGTAAGTGTTCTGAACGTGTTTAAGGTGGGTTCAGCAAGCTATGATGTTCAGCAAGTTGGGTGTATTAAATGTATTTTTGACTTTTGATATTTTCCAGTATTTTCAACTTAATAGTGGGTTTATAGGAATGCAAACCCTACCGTAAGTGGAGGAGCATCTGTATTATCAATGCTAGCAGAGTATCTGAAAAGCCACCACTAGATGGAAACCTAAAGCATGCTTTTGTTATAACAGTAGTATTTGTTCCCTCTAAGGAAAATATTGCAAAATTCTAAAAATCATTGACATTTCTGAATTTTTAAGAAAGCATCCAAATATTTAAGATGTTTTCTTTAAACATTGTTTCCTGCCCCAGTCCACTTGTTATACTTATTTAAAATTTTGGAATAGTGCAGTCAACAAGTAACCATGAGAAAAGTCCAAGAGTGAACTGTCAAAGCAACATAAAAAAATATGCCCACTGAAGGGCTGATGAGCAGGGTTTTGGACTACAGCAAAATAATTGGCTTCAACATTGCCATTGGAGGAAATGCATAATTAAGACACACTTATGCAGGATTTTCCATGTTACCATAGCAGTAAAGTTGTCCTCTCTTACAAATGTTAACAACACTCACGGTGTTTTAAAAGCTATTCACAAATCTTCATGTGTTCCAGAGACTTCAAAATATGTATGTACTATCCTAATAATGACATCTAGGCCCAAAGAATTTATTATAGACATTAATTGGGGAAAAATGATTTAAGAATATATCCATTTTCCATTTAGATACTTCTTTCAGCATGTAGAACTTCAAGCAGAAATCACTGTCTGCCATTACCAATGTATCAAAACAACATTATTTTTTGTAGGTCTCTCTCCAATTAATCTTTCCCTTTTTTATCTTCTTACACTTTTTTCAGAGTTTCTTGGAGAATACAGAAATGACACTGCTCTATCTATGCTATTTCAAGGACGTAAAATACAGGTTTGAAATGATAGGCCTATTTGAAAAAATAGACGTTAAAATATAAACCAAATGCTAATCTAGACACCTGGTTATTTCTTTGAACTAGTGATGAGGCAATTCTATTACGACAGTGGCATTTACAATATGACTGGCATCCTGCAGCTCCTACATACACAATTTCTTTAAGACATATGGCATAAAAAGCTAGAGTAATGGATCCATTCAAATGATCTTAGAAGGAATTTGTTATTTAAGCAGCTAAACGTATGTGAGAAACTGGAAGCAGTGTTACAATCTGTACTTACTTGTAAACTAGGTTTTTAGAACAATAATAGAGACTAATGGAGTTAATTCCTTACTTGGGTTGCTTGTGACAACCTCACAAAAGCTTACTATTCAGTAGCTAGTGATGTTTGAGCAGAGAAGATATGATTTGGAATGGAATAATAATTAGTCCAAGAGCTTTTCTTGGGAATGTAATGGAAAACATAAAAAAGATCATTATTTGTGGGAATCCCCAGATTACCCATATCCTGAAATATCTGTTTGTGAAAAGTAGCTTTAAAGACTTTCTTAGTGTACACAGCAGGTCCTTGAGTAACATCATTTCATTCAACAGAGCTTCATTACAAAGTTGATGAGGAGACGACTCAATGCCTGGCCAGGTCCCCTGTCTGCGTAGGGTCTGCATGTTCTCCCCTTGTCTTCATGGGGTTTCTCCAGGTCCTCCAGTGTCTTCCCACATCCCAAAGCTGTGTACCTTGGATTCACTGGCCTGTCTACATGGTCCCAGTGTGAGTGGGTGTGGGTGTGTGTGAGTGTGCCCTGCCATGGGATGGAGTCCTGGCCAGGGCTAGTTTCTGCCTGCTGCCCCGAGCTGCCCAGATGGCTCCAGCCACCCGCTACCCTGAACTGGATGGAATAAGCAGGTTGGAAAGTCAATGAATGAATGGCTACAAATTACTGTAAAACAAAAATTCATAAAGTATAAGATAATCATATAAATGCACGACAATAAGTGATACAGTATGAAAGCACTCGGCAAACCCCCATATTGGTGATTGTTTTGGAACTGCTTGGTGGCAGGAGGTGCTCCTCACAATTTTCATTGTGCAAAAATTTGTTTCTTGATTTAACCCACCACCGCCACTAAGACTGCAGTCACTCACTGGCTCACCCAAAATTGGGCAATCAATTATCTTACTTGTTTTCACTAATGTTTCTTAAATGTATGTACAGCTCATATTAACTGCAATGTTTAATATTAGAAGTGTTTCGGCCTTTATTTGGAAGTTTGGTGATGTTTCTGTGACCAGAAATATGCCGTAGGAACTTAACTCTTGTTTATATCAATCAGCCTATGGTAAGATTGGTTTCATTACATGTTATTTTACTCAAAGTCAGAATTTCCAAGAACCTATCAATGACATTAATGAGGACTTAGTGTAATTTGAGGTATCAGATAAAAGTCCTATTGCAAACAACAAAAATAACTTCACACAGAAAAACAGGGACATTTCACAAAAGCCAGGAAAACAAATTCTATTGATATACTATGATAAATATATCTGATTATCAAGCAAACTCAACCCCTCTCCTCTCCCCACAATGCAATATTGTTATTGATTAATTCAGTAAAATTCTGATAGCCAAGAGTTAAAAGGAATGGACAAATTAGATAATAGATTTGACAGTTGTGCCAATCTTTCTTACAGTAAATAAAATAGTATTCTCTAATATATCAGAATGTAAGCCTGAGAATCTTTACTCTCTGTTTCCCAAAGAATAAGAAATTATTAATGTTATATCAATGATGATAATCCAGGACATGACATTAAATAGCATGTATTCATAAGGTGAAAAAGTAATTCTCTTTTCAATTATTTCAAATTTGATTACATCAAAGAAAAAAAACTTAATATAGTCTGTCTCTAATACTTTGTTAGTCTTCCTTTTTAAAAAGATAATAAAGGCTTCAGGCGCTAAGATGTGAGAAGGCAATAGGATACAGGGAGAATTTTAAAACATTGTTTACATTATATTTATATTCACTTTTTACAACTGTGTTATAACAAGTAGGACTGGTTTCACTTTACAATTGTGAAATAGATTTTCCCAAGTAAACACAAATGTTTACATTAAAAAGTGAGTCAATTTAGGAAAAAAAACATAGTAAATAGTATAGGTGGTTCAGAGACATGGTAAAAATAACAATTGTTAAGATGGTACACAAATTTGAGAACACAATTTTGAGAATATTTCTGTCATATAATGACCTGAATATTTTTAAACGCTGATGACATTTTGATTAAGAATTATCTGAATTAGATTTTTTTCATTAATGTGGTCAAGACAGACCATTTTAACTGATTCTAACATTTGCTTGCTTTGTTAAAACTCCAATGAAGGTTATGACGCAGAGAGAGATGGCCTAAACAAGGCTTTCTTCAAGAATGTCAGAAATGACATGATTGAGTGAATACAGCTCCACTCCACCAAGTCAAGGACTCTGAAGCACCGTATAAATGTTCTTGGACAGTAGAGGATGTGTCAATCCTGGAGGGAGAATACCACAGAGGCTCTTTGTATGTTCATACAAAGAGTGAAATACTTAGTTAGAATTATAATATTCCCATCTACTGGCTAGAGTCCATGTGAAATATGCACTGGAAATTTCAGCTGCTGTTGCTTTCTTGGGGGTTGCTGGAATTTTTGCTCCATCATAAATCTCCTTGGTGTAACTATCAGAATAACCATAAACACTATCTGAATCGATGTCTTTATAACCCTACTGAAATTTATATCTATGTTTCATGTAAAATATTCCATAGTTCCAATTTAAATGTCCTACAGAGGAAATTGATGTAACCTCTGAAGCCAAGAAAAAATGAACTATGTGGGTTTCTTTTCTCAGGGTTTTGGGTCCCTGGTGATATATTACAGATGTCTTGGCCTCATAAGCTAAATGACTGGAGTTTAGAAAATTCCTTTGTTTCTAATGCTTCATATTTGAGAATATTACTGTATTCAAAGCAATGGTGTGGTCACCTGATTGGAATTTCTCTTTTATTAGAAGAAACTGAAATTGCTCACTGTGAATTACTGAAAGGCCATGTATGTCGTTCATCTAGGAACAGGTTAAAGAATTCCACTCACCTGACTTTTCCTCTGTTTATTTCTTACCGTACACTGCTGTATTTGCAAATTATAAATAATAGAAAAGTATATTTGGAGAAAAAAGCAAGAAGTATTTGAAGTTGTCATTCAAAATTTGATTTGTTTTAGTTGATATATAATCATATTCTATTATTCTTCGGCAAATAAAAACAGAAAGCAAAGTATTACTATGGACATTGATGTAAATGTCACAAATATATGACCATAAAGTTCACTTAAGTGAGAAATTAAATTATTAAAATTACTTAATTTTTTGAAATTTATAAAATCCTTTAAAACTTGTTTCCTGCAGCAAATAATCTGACAAAATACCATGGAAATACGTTTTTCTCTGATCTCTATTATGATGCACATTAATGCCTTCTAATTAAATGCCTTTCCCCTAAAACTTCCTTTGAAAAAAATTTTGGCTAAAAGCGCAAAAGAGGAGTACTGGAGATGTACTCATTCCACTCGTCATAAGAATGAGGAACTCAACAGAGTTAAGTGATCTTTATTAATTTTACTAATCTTGTAAACCTACAAATGTACCAATTGACTCCAGTAACAGACACTTTGTTGGAATAATACATATTTCCATCCTTAGAATACAATTTTTTATGTTAGACATACTAAAAATATAAAAGGTAATGATTTCTTACCATTCCTTTGTTTATCGATTCTGTTAGTAACAGGCATGTTAGTGGTGACAGTGGGTGGTGTAGTACTAGGAGAGTTTACAGTAGCTGGTAATAAAGATGAGAAAGATGTAATTTTGCAAAGAGCACATGACAGTTAATTTGGATAAGCAATCTATAATTAATGCATTAAAATATATAGGGGAAGAATGGAAACCACTTTGAAATACAAAAGACTCCAAGGTTGTAATGTATAAGATGAAGCAATGCTTTCTATGGCACATTAAGAATCAGTACACATGGCCTTTGATGCTATAATACACAAGGGTCTGGAGCAAGCACATAGTGATGAGAGAAAGGACATTTTGATTCTAGATTCTAGACCTAGATCTCCATTAACAAGCTGGCAATCACACAGTAAAACACTAAACCCTTCTAGAACTTGGTTTCCTGAGTCTGTCAAAAGAAAAAGTTATAGAAAGCAGCCTGTACAGATCTGCAGCTTGAAAGTTATCTAAACTAAGTTTGCCTAATACACTGAGACTAGAGAAATAAAATCTCAGAAGAAAAATGTACTTCTTCTTAAGATGAATGTAAAGAAAAAGACAAATGAAATGCATAGACTAAGTTAATCATTTAAAGATTCCAAAAAGTTTACTAAACATTGATGGATAAAAAGTATTTCACAGGGCAAGCTTTATAAGGGAGACATTTTCAAAGTATTATGTCAGATATCCCAGGTGAGAAGAATTTTAAAAATAAAAATAACTTTTTTTAAACTTCAGATCTTGAACTAAACAGAATTACAGATTTTTTTATTTCATATAACAATTTGAAAACCACATGGAGATCATGGAAAAAAAAACTACTTGATGACTTAATTTTCATAGGGTATTGATTAATAATAATATCAAAGAAATAATGTCTCCAAAAGGAAAAAAAGATAATAATGAGTTACCCCACCCCACCTCCTGCCTGCCCTACTCTCACACTGGAACCACAGAAGAGAGCTTAGGTTTTTATTTCTTCAATCTCACTTCTAAGCCCTGTCACTTTTGTGCTATGATCTTCTTAATAAGAGATCCAGCTTTTACAAAAGGCATGGCTGTGATTCTTAATGTGGTACACAGAACATGCTACTTCACTATAGAAGTATTTAATAGAATAAATAGATGAAAAGGGTCATGGATAATTAGGAAGAGCAATGATAAAATAAAGCAAAATATTTATATTATTATTTTAAAACTTGTATAACTTTAATTATGTATTATTTAGCATGCAGCTATTTAGTACATAACATGTAACTGAAATACTGACCACGATATAGTAAGCATCGTAATAATTAACACAGTTACATTAACATTAGTTCACTATAACCATTTTAATCTTAAAATTTAAGTTATCTTGTCATCATAAATTGCCTCATGGCCTTATCTTAAAGTTAACTGAATAGTCAAATTAATTTCCCTCTTTATTTTATAGACATGAATACTTCTTCAAAGTATTGTACCACTGTATTTATACTGGACTTTTTGCAAGTCCAATATATTCTTGAGAAGACATGGGGGAAAAATGAAACCAATCCATATTTAATAGGATATAAATTCACATTTTTAAAACTCAGAGCTTTGTGGAATTGTGGTTACCCATGGTGTGAATGCATTCTTTCTCCATGCCGTACGTACTGTGCACCCACACAACTAAAACACATGCAGAAATTCTTCTGTTTTGCTGTTTTCTGGCTTTCCAAGTGAAAATTCAGATACAAATCAAAACAATGACAACCACATTACCCAAAATTGCAAGTAGAAAGCAAAGAGATTCCAGAGCACGGTGTGGGCTCCCTACCTTGACAGAGGGTCCCCAGGTCTGCACAGCTGGCCAGTTCTGCTGCTGGGAGCGGGATCAGGTAGGAACCTTGATCAACACAAAAAGAATATGTAAGTTTGATTTATGATTTAGTGATATTATCCAGAAAAATCATACGGTTGATGTAATAGAAGCAGCCCTAGAAGAGTCCACCAGTAATTCTTTGATATCAAGAAAGTCTCTTAAGGCCACTGTGCCTTAATTTTCTCAAATGTAAAACCAAAGTATTGATATTGTCCTCAAAATCTTTAACTCAACTTGTGAGTCATCACACATGAAAAGAAAAGCAGTGCCACTGCCCCTTAAAGTTTGTGCAAAAAGTTCAGGGCTTTTTGTATAATAAATTTTAAGAGTTTGGGTGGGAATTCATACAAATAAAATAATACAAACATCAAGAATAAGTTTCAAAAGTGAAGTTAATATGAATTACCCATAAAACGCAGTTTTGGTTCATACATCCTAGCATATGCTATTTGTAATTCCAGAAATATGTTTCTGTGACTTCAATTCAGTCTCTGTGTCTTTTTATTTCAAGCTTTTACTAACTCATCCTCAGCAGGAAACAAGTTTTGAGCTAATTTTTTAGTAGAAGTAGATTTTCATTGTTGCACTAAATCTCCCTCTGACAATTAACAGACTTTTTCCAACAGCTTGAGTCTGAGAAAAATTGGCTAAGCTTATAACAAAGCATATTGTATCATAAACACACACAAATACAAATATATATGTATATGTGTGTATACACATATATATACACACATATATAATATGCACGATATTTTAAGGGACATTTATATAATAGTGGTTTTATTCTAATAAATATTTCAAAACTTTCCTGTGGGAATGTGTAGGCACAGCTCGCACATGAGCTAACAAAAGATACATAACTAGGTAAACGGTATGCATAAGCAGAAAATAACCTAACAGTTTAACAGTATCTCCAGAGGCATGGTTTCTTCATCCTTGATACCTCAGGGCACTTGACCCAAGGAAAGAATCATGATACTTCAGAAAGGCCTGATATTACAGGCAGGCTATGACATGACACTGACTGGCAAGAAGCTCTTGTCACAGACCTTTACACATTCACTCAACAAACATTTACCTATTGCCTACATTATGTGAGGTACAGAGGCCAGAATGATGCTTTAAGCTAAGTCGCTGCTCTCAGGGAGGCATGAAAGGGAGATGGCGTCACAGTTCTAAGTGCTATTAGGGAAGTGCTCCGAAGGTGGCAGTGGCCCAAAGGAGGATGTGACAGCAGCTTGGTAAGAAAAGCGAACAGAAAATCCATTTCAAAGAAGAAGGCCCATGAGGCACAGGAGGCTGTGAGAGAGCCAGGGGTAAGAAAGTAGAGATGGGTATTTTACTGGCAGACAGAATTTCTAAAACAAGTACCAAGGAGGCACTGAGACGGTCTGTGCACTCAAGTCACTGGGCTTTGCTAAAGTAAAGTAAAAACTGATAAGGATGATCAGATACACAAACAATGGATAGCTGCTGTAAGGCTTTGGAAAATAGCAACACCATGAGCACTAGAACCCTCTGTCTTTCTTCCAGTGGTTAATCCCACACACTAGAACCTTGAGTGGTGGGCACTCAAGATTGTAAACCAAAAATGAACTTCTAGGGCCCCCCACAACCATCTGAATGGACTCCTCCTCTTGGCCGAGGTCCCTCCAGAGTTAACCTGAAAATCGAGTTGAGGCCATGATGGAAGAGAGGGTTGGACATGCCTCATTACACCCCTCCAGCATTAACATCAACATAGACCCTAAGTCTGATAAGAAACATTTACAATCTATCCTCTGTGAAGCCTGTTACCTGGAGGCTTCATCTGCATGAAAAAATCTTGGTATCCACAACCCTTTATTTAACCCAGACATTCCTTTCTACTGATAATAACTCTTTCAATCAATTGTCAATCAGAAAAATTTTAAATCTACCTATGACCTGGAAGCCCTCTCCCCACTACTTTGAGTTGTCCCACCCTTCTCCAGATTGAACCAATGTAAATCTTACATGTATTGGTTGATGTATTGTGTCCCTAAAACATATAAAAGCAAGCTGTACCCTGACCATCTTGGGCACATGTCATCAGGACCCCCTGAGGCTGTGTCACGGGTGTGTCCTTAACTTCGGAAAAATAAACTTTCTAAACTAATTGAAACCTGTCTCAGATATTTTGGGTTCACCAGGTGAACTAACATTGTGAACTCTTTTTCTTTTTTTGAGATGGAGTCTCGCTCTGTTGCCCAGGCTGGGGTGCAGTGGCATGATCTTGGCTCACTGCAAACTCTGCCTCCCGGGTTCCCGCCATTCTCCTGCCTCAGCCTCCCGAGTAGCTGGGACTACAGGCGCCCGTCACCACGCCAGGCTAATTTTTTGTATTTTTAGTAGAGACAGGGTTTCACCATGTTAGCCAGGATGGTCTCAATCTCCTGACCTCGTGATCCGCCCGCCTCGGCCTCCCAAAGCGCTGGGATTACAGGCGTGAGCCACCGTGCCCGGCCTGTGAACTCTTTCTTAAAGGCAGTGAGGGAAAATGAGGAGGTAGGCAAGTAAACTATATTTCATTTGAAAACAATCATTTAGGTTCTACAACCAAAAGAAGGGAAACAGAAGCAGGACTACTACTAATAATTCAGCCTTGATATCATAAGTAATAAGGATTGACAGAAAGAGATAGATACAGATACAAGAAATTTAAAGATAGAATGCATAACATTTAGCAACTAATTAAAGACAGAGGAAAAAAGGAAGAATAGAGGACGTTTTGCTAATTTCCAACTTCAAAAACTGGTACATATCGATCTAATAAAAGGAGATAGGAAATAACAGAAGAAGAGCAGACTTAGGTGGGGTAGGGTAAACACTAAGTCCAGTAACGGAAACTGAGGTGCCTGTGTGACACCTAGACGCAAAAGTGTTTTTGTAAGAGGTGTAGCCAGGAAATACTCATCAGAAGCTATAGAGTGTTTGGGATCACTGGAGATAGATTGTAGATTTGAGAAGGAAACAGGATGGAACCACAGATATTTCTATATTTAAGCATCAGATATAAGAAAAAGAGCTATAGACTTAAAAAGGTAAAAACAGCTTTTACAGAGGTGGTTTTACATAATTTAAGAGAAGAAAGTTTAATGCAGGGTGTGACAATATCAAGAATACCAGAAAGGCCAAGAATTATAAAGAATGAGAAGACCTTTAACTTTGCATTGGGATTTTGGTAGTAACTCTATAGAAAATAGTTTGAGTTGTGTGGGAATGATGAAATCTAGACTGCCAAGGTCTGACGAGTGAATGCAAGAAGAGGAAGCTTGGCTGTGAAAGGAAGCAGAGAGAGGAAGGGGGAGTTTTAAAGATTGAAAACTTAAGCAAATGCACAATGAAAAAAGAACATTTGAAGAGGCAGAAGTTAAGGCAGGACTGAGGTGGAATTTTGTCTTGAATGCTTTTTGCCCATTATTCCCTTGCATCACATTTACTGTATGCCCATTTTTTGTAGGACCTCCCTTTTGTAGGTACTTATATTTTGTAAGGGACTTCCGCAAACTAAAAAGCCTTTAAAGTTCAGAGACTAATGAAATCTCAGCCTCTGTAGCATGCAATAGAGGAGACCCTGGAGGGAGTTCCTGTGGTTCTCATATTACACACAATGTTGGCAGTCAAGGGCTTCTTAGGCCACTTCTGGCACTGATACAATATCTCTGGAAGACAAAGGGAGATAAGGGCTCAGTGTTGTGGGAAAGCAGTTTTTAGGCAAACTACATTCCCAGTATGTTAAAGAGCTTAGAGGTAAAAATAAGAAAAGAAAATCAGAAGAGCTATGATTTAGAGCAAGATATTTAACAATTTTCTTGAACATTTCATCAGTTTCATTGCACAGTAACAAGTATAAATTTCAATATGTAGCATTCTTTTATGGGAAACTGCAACAATTACTTCTCAGTATTTTAGTTAGCTGTTCCTTCTGGGGAACTTCTAGTTTAGCAAATTGACATTGCTTTAAACACTCAATAAACACTATTTTAATATGATCCAATATAACAATAAAAATCACACTGGAATATTTTTAAGTAAAAATGGTATAAATACAAGTGACTAATTTAATTAAAAGGAAATTTAATTGATAAATGAAAACTTGCATTACAAACACACCAAAATAAACAAATACATGAACTATCAAAAGTATATACAAACTTTATTTCTACCCAGTTCCATTTTCAGCATATCTGCATAAAAAGTCAATATCACAATCAGTTTTCTTTGGCTGATGGATTTACACATCAGGAGGTTGTTAAGAAAGAACAAACAATCCACTCTCCTGGATAATGATATGTTTTATCATCAACAAATTGGTTTTAGAATATGATGTGTATGTGTTCACTGATTTTCGAGGCTACCAGAAAGGTGTTTTCAGGTGTTTACTTAATATTAATGAGACAGCCAAATGTCTAGGCAGATAAAAAGGGGCGCCCGGAGAATCTCCCACCCGCCCCACAAGTGTTTACATCAGATGCTTTCGTGCAGATGAGGAAACCTGCCCAGGCCTTGCCTGAGCCTGCCCATAGAGGACTGGAGCCCGACTTGTGGGAGGTGGGTGGAGCCACGGGGAATTCATGCCTTATGCAGGGGAGGAGGCTGCTCTCTCCAGCTCCTGTGGGGACCTGGGAATCAATCAGTGAGGTGGAGGGCCTGTTGGCAGGCCTCCGTCTCACTTTGCTGAGCTTTTTGTTGTTGTTTTTTGTTTTGTTTTTCCTTTTTGCCCAATAAAGTCCTGCTCTACTGACCACTCGATGTGTCCGTGTGCCTAAATTTTCCTAGTTGTGTGACAAGAACCCGGGTTCTAGCTGAACTAAGAAGCAAAGTTCTACAACATTAACAGCAACATTTAGAGCCAAGTTTTCTTGAAAAAAATGTAATCACTGGAAACAGGCAGTTGAGGAAAAGCTCTAAAGCTGTTAATCCTTCTCTATCTGTTGTACTTTCCAAATTATGCTACTGAAAGGAGTCACTATATGTTAATATTTACACAAGTTGTGGTAAAAAAGACTGATGTGTAGCCCACTGCTCCTCTCATACCTACTTAATGATACTCCAAATAACTGAAGAGCAAATCCTCACAATAAGTTGCAATAACAGAAAAATAAAAACAGTAATTCCTTTCATTTTTTTCTTTGCAGTTGCTACTAAGATGAATTTTTCAACTTTTCATAAATAAATATATTTAAAGTGAAATTTAGTCATCTATGTTCATAAAGAGTTTGGGCATCCTCAGAGTATAAAGTCCTTTGCAAAGATAAAATGATTTATCTTAATTTTATTATTTAAAAATGATTTAGTAATCTAAAAATATTACATTCAATCATTTGTTAGAAGTGCAAGGGAGGAGCCAATAATGAATTGAAGTTTTATAGCTATGAAGAACAGAACTGTAATGATTATGAAACGGTAAAAATCCAAGAGTTGATGAAACCTTAGCAAACTCTGTAAAAAATCCTAGAGAGGGAAACAAAAATACAAATCCAGAAATTTCAGAAAAGAATAACAATAAAGTATTTATGAAGTGTGTCTTATCTCTACAACCACAGTAGCTAACCAATGGAAGTGCCTAATAAATGCTTGTTAAAATAAATGTAATTTGTTTGAACTTAGACTATTCATTGCGTTATACTGTACCACTCCCTCAGGAAAGAGTAGTAATCAGTAAAATAAATAAAACTAGTAGAGAAGGCACTGTCTGTTCTTTGTGAAAATTGACGGACATCAGCCAGTATCTAAACTTGAATCATTACACAGGCAAATAAATACTTGCACCTATAATTAAAGAGTCCACTAAAAATTTATCTATCCATGAGGGTCATAAAACTGAATGTATTTAATAAAATTGTTATGAGAAAAATGAAGATGCTATAAAATGAAGCAGATTTACTGCTAAATAAACATTTCGTTTTTAAAAGTATTGACAGGTTTAACCATGTTTTTAAAAATCTGCTGAAAATTTCCTAATTAAGGTAAAATTCCCAAATATTTTTTAGAAAAGTATAGGAAAACAAAGTCATATACTAAAATCGTTAGAGTATTTATTAATAATATATCAATTTTATTAAGGCTAGGATGTTTAATATGTGAAAAAAATGACAGGATATTTTAATGTTGAATTGAGTCAGTTCAATTCTACTATGTTACTTTCGTACTAAAATTTATTTAGCAATATACCTTTGCAAAATCTATTTATTTTTCCATCACAAATTAATCCTGAAATAAAAGCTCATATTTAGCAGACATTGTCCATTCAGTGGAATGCTAGAAATAAATTTCTATTCTCCCATTGGTTACTGTACTGATTAGTTTGTTGGAAATTATAACCATAAACAGCAAGATGCTTTCATTTCCTGGAAAAAAAATGAAAGGTTAAAATGTTAACAGGGTACACTTATCAAAGATTTGCTTAGCTAACAAGCCTTGATATAATCTCTGTTTACAGGTATTTCCTGTCAGTTAATGAGTGACTTGGACTCTTCAACTCCCAAAGCTGATGATTAAGCAGCAGGAAATTCCCTCTCCCATCATTTCTCCTGAAACACAGTCCAGGACATCTGAATGTCTGGAATGTGAGTGTTTAACGTCAACTTGGAATGGCAAGAAGATCACTATAAAAGTTAGAAAGACTCAAATATATTGACTCCGTTAAGTTCACGGTACCCTTTTGACAAAATTACTTTGAAAACTTATAGATGACTAAGATACATGAGTATGTATTTGATGCACTCCGATAATCTTAAGGCTTGGGAAAGGAGTCTCAGGGACAGAGTTTAAGAAATTATGAGAACTGCATGATCTTACTTAAATGTGGAACCTAAAAAGGTTGAACTCATAAAAGCAAAGAATAGAAGAGTGGTTTCCAGGGGCACAGGGGTGGATGGGGCACAGGAGTTGAGAATGTATGGGTCAAAGGATGGAAAATTTCAGTTAGACTGGAGAAATACATTCAAGAAATCTATTGTACAACATGATGATTATTGTTAATAACAATGATTGTATACTTGAAAATTGCTGAGAGATTTTAAATGTTCTGTCTACAAATAAAATGATAAGTATATGAGATAACAATGAAAGTTAATTAGCTCATATTAGCCATTCCACAATGTATACCTATATTAAAACATGTTGTATACCATAAACACATATAGTTCTTATCAATCAATTAAAATAATTTAAAATAATTTTTTAAATGAGTATTCCCAGACATAAATACTAGACAAGGAGACAGGAGACACGTGTTGGAGCCCACCAACTGCCTCTGCCACTTTTTTTTGTCTAAGCTTCAGTTTCCTGGCCCGTATAAAGGGAGTGGCATAAATCAGCATTCCCATTTAAAAGCCCATCAGGGCCAGATGGCCATCTAAAGACAAAAAGGGGGCTGGAGTGGGAAGAATAAGGGGTTGCTAAGGGCTAAAGTAAACTGGGAAGCTCCTTTGAAAGCAGCAGCCACCATTTAGCTCCAGCTGTGTTGGCCATGCAGATATAGTAGCCTAGTGTATTCTGTTTACCAGAAAAATCCAAAACTTCATTTTTATGTGAAATCTAATTGTTTAATATTGGAAATAATTCATCAATTAAAAGCACTGTGTGAAACAAATGTAAATGAACAGGAACAAATAAATGCTACTACCACCACCCATGTCGTAGGGCTAAACTAGCCTGTGGGTGATTGGTTTGTTTTCCCTGGCTGAGGAGATCTAGCAGGTCTTTTCTAGTGCTGTCCAAAGTATGTGGTTCAGCAAAGCGGACTCTCAGTTCTTTAGACTAGTTTCAGGGGGTGGCAAATGTTCTCCTAAAGGGCTAGACTGTAAACATTTTAGGATGGCAGGCTATACTGTATTGATCACAATCAATTAACACAGCCATTGTAGCACAGAGGCAGACAAAGACAATATATAAACTAATGGGCATGGCTGTGTTCCAATTAAACTTTATTTATAAGAACAAGGGAGCTTAGTCCCAGCTACTCAGAAGGCTGAGATTAGAAGATTGCTTTAGCCCAGGAGTTTGAGGCCAGTCTGGGCAACACAGTAAGACCCCAACTTAAAAAAAAAAAAAAAAAAAAAAAAGAAAAGAAAAAGAAAAACAAGTATTAAAAAAACATGTGTGCTGGGCACAATCCCTCATGCCTGTAATCCCACCACTTTGGGAGGCTGAGGAGGGAGGATCACATGGGGCCAGGAGTTCAAGACCAGCCTTGACAACACAGTGAGACCTCATCTCTACAATAAATGTTTTAAAAAATTAGCTGGGCATGGTGGTGCACACCTGATGTCCTACCTACTCAGGAGAGCTGAAGTAGGAGGATCACTTGAGCCCAGAAGTTCAAGGTTATAGCGATCTCTGATGGCACCACTACAGTCCACCCTGGGGGACAGAGTGAAACCCCGTCTCTAAACAAACAAGTAAACAAAAATGCATGGCCTGTTACAGGCCCTCCTAATTTGCCAACCTCTGGTCTAGAGAAATTCTTAGAGAAGCTTAGGAATCCCTGTAAAACTGAATCATACTTTTTCATAGTTAGGTATCCAGGAAGTATTGTGGGAAACAAATATTATTTGTTTGAAACAAATATGTTAACACACTGCAAACCTAGTGTTTTCTCACAGAATGCACTGCTGGCCAGAGAGATGGCTCTTGGACCTTCATACTTCTCCCCTGAGCAAGAATGAGCTTTAGCCTATCCTGGTACTAAATCTAATATCTAATCCTGTTTATGATGAATGACAGTCTAATTTATACTGGTTAGAAGAGCACAGCTCTAATACCAAACTTTCCAAGCTCCAATCCTGGCTTGGCTACTTACTAATTAAGAGACACTGGATAAGTTAGTTAATCTCCACGTGCCTCAGGTTCCTTATTTGCAAAATAGGATCAATTATAGAACCCGTAACATGGGATCTATGGTGTAGGTAATCAACCAATATGTGTTAAGTGCTTAAAATGACATTTAGTACAAAATGTGTGTTCAATTTAAATATAAGTATTAGCAATTATTAACATAGCCATATTTGTTTTGGTTGCTGACATCTTCAAAACATTGTCCCATAAAAAGGCAAATATTAGAATGGTCTATACTATGACTTCTTAATAATGTCCCAGTCTATGGTGAAAAGAGACCCCTGAATTAAAGACAGTCACCCAGAATGCAGGAAGTGCACCATTCCCTCTCCTTATTCTTCACTGTCCCACACCAAACATACACACCTGACTTTCTCAATTTCTTCTCTGATAAAAGACTTCTCAAGGAGTCCCTGAAGGTCCTTTCTAGCTATCCTAACACTGAGAGAAGATCTTAGGGAACATCACCAGCTCTTATAAAGCTCTGCAGTTCCCTTGTGGAACAGGGTTGTGGTTTATCTACTTTCCAACATCCTGCAAGGAAATATCTTTCAAATGACATCACTTCACAGCCTTTCCACCACCTGTAGGAGTGCCATGGACCACACGAACAGGTGGGTAACAGGAGTTCTCAGGCCAGAAGGGCAGGCATGGGTCTGAGAAATTGGGAGGTGGCCTTGAGTCATCATAAGGGTGCTACTTTGCTCAAAGCGTGGGAATAAATTCCCAGTAAACTTCCCTCCAATATCATATACAAATTACTTTTGAATACTAGGCTCCTTCTTCTCCTTTTTAATTGAGAGTTATGTCTGTGACTAAAATGTATATATTATCACTGCCTTAGATTTAGTCATATGACATTTAAAGTTGATAATGAAACTTCTACTTTTTGTGTTTGAATCAGTCCTATAATAAAATAAAGGCTTCCAGAATTAACTTGTGTAAATGGAGAATATTAGGTGGAGATCTATTTTAATACAATTTTTATCACACAGAATTATTTCTCAAAATATTCTGCATTTAGCTACTTCCAATAATAGCACATTTACAGTCTCACAAAGAAGAACCAGAGACAGCACAGTATTTGAAACAAACTATAAATCCTCATTTTAAAAAAAATGGAGAAAAATGTTCAAAGAAAAAAATGGATAATTCCTGATTAAGATTTTCTATAAAATGGACAGTTTTGATATTTAAACTGGCTGAGTAAATACTATTCTCTTAGGTGCTGGTTGTTTATTTAAGTCATCCAATTGAAATTTAATTCCAGGATGATATAGATCAGTTTATTACTGTATCACCTTTGTGATTAAAAACAGTAACTGGGCCGGGCACGGTGGCTCATGCCTGTAATCCTAACATTTTGGGAGGCCAAGGTGGGCCGATCACGAGGTCAGGAGATTGAGACCATCCTGGCTAACACAGTGAAACCCCATCTCTACTAAAAACACAAAAAATTAGCCGGGCATGGTGGTGGGCACCTGTAGTCCCAGCTACTCGATAGGCTGAGGCAGGAGAATGGCGTGAATCTGGGAGGCAGAGCTTGCAGTGAGCTGAGATCTCATGACACTGCACTCCAGCCTGGGCAGCATAGCGAGACTCTGTCTCAAAAAAAAAAAAAAAAACAAAAAAAAACAGTAACTGGCCAGGCAGGGTGGCTCACACCTGTAATCCCAGCACTTTGGGAGGCTGAGATAGGTGGACCACTTGAGGTCAGGAGTTTGAGACCAGCCTAGCCAACATGATGAAACCCCATCTCTATTTTAAAAAAATACAAAAATTAGCTGGGTGTGGTGGTGCACGCCTGTGGTCCCAGATACTTGGGAGGCTGAGGCATGAGAATTTCTTAAACCCAGGAGGTAGAGTTTGCAGTGAGCCAAGATCACCCCACTGCACTCCAGCCTGGGCAACACAGTGAGACTCTGTCTCAAAAAAAAAATACCAATAACTTACTTATTAATTTCTTTTGTTTCAAGCCTAGTGTTAACATTTGTATTTGAGATTCCACAATTATAACTATTGTTATATTCGTGATAAACTCTGTGATATTTTATGACATAGGGAAAACTTAAGAATGGTAAAACCAAATGTCTTGATGGAGCATGCATGGCTTATAATCAAATGTGTGCTATAAGAGCTGAGCAGACGACATTTTAAAAATTAAAAGAGCTTTTTAATGACAACATATATATATATGTCTATATGTGTGAATATACATACAGGTACATTTGTGTGTATGTATAATTCTTTGTTGACAATCATATTCATAGAATAATGCTAAAAAAAAAAAAAAAAAGGAATACGCTACAAACTCACCACAGCTTAGGTTGCTTTCAGCTTTCAGAGCTAGGTTTGGGATATTCCAGAAGTCATTTTGCCAGTCGACTACATTCCCTTTCACATTACAGCTGAGGTTGGAGAGGATTTTGGCATTCATGGTAAAATTCCAAAGTCGAAAGTTATAAATGTCCCCTTTTAGAGAGACAATTTCATTTTGATTGGAGCCCAACAACAATTTCCCATTCCCAGGAATAACTTTACTAATGGTAGAATCACATGGAACTGTTTCATAGTTTCTTTTGAAATTTACACCAATAGAGCCCAAAGAATTATTCCAAACAAGGCAGAGCTGTTCAAAGCTTTCTGCAAAAATGTCTTCTTTTTCTTTGACAGGTAATGCATTATTCAACAAACATTTTGAATCAGAAATGGATAGAAAGTAGCCACTCTTGGCCTTTCCAAAACTGAGCAATTGTGTGAAGGATGCATTTGAGTAGGAGAAAGCTGTCCAATCACTGTCTTCATGGCCAACTTTGGTTGCTTCAAAGCAGAGTGTGAAAGCACTGAGCTCTGGAATAGAGATGCTTTTTGCAACAGATACCTGGTAAGCATCTGATGTCTGGGGTAAAATGACCTTTTGATTCCTTAAGGACACGGCAACTAGGACAAAACATAACAAGAAAGATAAACCTGTTAACTTCAGAACACAGACTAATGTGATGCAAAACATCAAGCCCTCCATCGCTTTCTACTAGTTAACTTTTTACCTACCATTTGCCCCATCCCTCCCCTCTTACTCATCTATCCTCTGTCACCAGCCCATTACCAATCGTCTGATATCAGTAATAATAAGAAATTCTACTCATTTCATCTCTAGTCATGATTGGATCTCACACCTAAACTTTTGAGTTACAGCCAGCAAAGTTGATAAGTATTTTTTAATCCTGAAACTAAGAAATTAACAATTTAAAAACCCCAACTACCTAATTAAGGAAATAACTGGTTTCAGGAAGGCTTTGTTTATACATTAAGATTTTCAAAAATACTACTTTTCAAATGATTTCTAAACATAAATAATAGTTCTTATTTTCATTAATGATTACTTTTCACTCTTTCCAAACATTCCTGTACTGCCATCTCCCTTTCAGTTACTCTATATCCTCCTATTTTTTCCACCATCATCAGGCTGTTTTAGGAACAAATGCAAAAATAATTCTATTAAGGAGAGGGAGTCTAGTGAAAAGTCAAACAAAGTGGAGATTTAAGGTATCCAGGCATATAAGCCAGTTTTTGAGTAGTAAAGGGCAGACCATGGAGTTTCCTACTCCAGCTCTTCTGGGTAGTGGCCATGTGACCCTGGGTATGTTACTTCATCTCTCTCTACCTTTGTCTTATCTGTAAAATGGGCAACAATGGCACCTATTGTATATATGGTCAATAAGAATTAAATAAGTTAATATGTCCAAGGCACAGAGCAGTGCCAGTACCACAGCAATAAATAGCAAGTACTATTATTGTAATAGACGTGCAATAAATTCAAAATAAAAATGTATTCACCTAATCCATGATACATGCAAAATTATTACATAATACAACAGATTTAGCCCTATGCTAATATAATAGCCATTGTGAAACTAATTTGAGAAAGAAGTATTTCTCCTCAAAAATACTTTTTAATACTGGTTTCATATGAAAAACAGTTTGAATATATTTTAATATTCAGTACATCAAGAATAGTTCTATAATAAAACATCGTTTTAGTATAACTATTCTAGTAAAAATCTATGATAGAATTTAAAGGAATCATGGACTTTAGTTTACGTTTTAAATATAAGGCAGTTTATAGGTTCACTTATGCAAAGAGACACAATATGAACCAGTATTCTACATGCATTGTTAAAATTAAAAGCCTAGAAATAAATATCTCCATCAACATTTTATTAGTGGTTATGGCTGGGTGGCATTTGTATAGGTAATTCTAATTTGCTTTTTTTGTTTTCCAATGTCCTATATTTTATCATTTTTAAAACATTATTTTGAAAAATTTAAAATATTTTGAAAAATTTAAGCATGTGTGTTTTAACCATGGTAAACACAAATCAATAACTCCACAATCAAAAAACACAATTTATAATAGTGAGGGTCAGTCATTTTCATAGTCGTGTCTTTCTGTTTTTACTTAGAAAGTTCAGAAGAAAAAAAAGTATAACTAAATCATAATAGTCATTTTTATAGTTGTACCTTTCTGTTTGTTTTTACTTAGAAGGCACAGAAGAAAAAAAAAACAGTATAACTAAGTCTCACCATGTTGAAGCTTGAGTTTCTTTAGGGAAACACAGGTTTTAGAGAGAAAGATTATTTAAATGTTATGTTGTGCCAGAATATAGAAAACATATTTAATAAAAATATGCCTTATTTCATTCAGTTAGCCATTTTCAGAGGGCTTTCCTCAAGCTGTGTTATTTATTAGCTTAAACTGTTAATAGCTTGTTAAAAATTTACTGTTCATTTTCTGTATTTGTTCCCTACCATAGTTCCTTAAAAGGACAACATCATAAAACCCAAAATAAAATGATGTCTAAATAGGGATGTTTTAAATTTTCAGTGGAGAGATGTTAGAATTATAGATTTTAATTATTAGCCGTGGAATATCTACAGTGTCTTCCAAGCAGCCTTTAAATGTTCCACATATAAACAATATAAAAGAATTCAACTCTACTGTAACCACATTTTGGATCTGGTAATTATATTTTGCTAACAAGAATGCTCAGAGAATATTAACAGATTCTTGCCCTTATATCCCAATCCTAATCATTCACATTCACATAAAAGAGCATAACTCTGTCTTCTGGTCCTTGTGTTTACTGCAGAACATGTTAAATAAAAGCAGAAGGTTGGCGTTGCCTTTGGTTTACATACCTCTGATGTAGCTGGCATTGAAACCTTTCTTCTGGATGCTAAAGTCACTTGAAAAGGACACATGCATCTCATTCGCACTTGAGTTAAATGATAGGCCTTTGGCAGTTGCTCCACAAAATTTAGTCTGGCTCTCTCCATTATCAAGGGATAATGAGTCATAAATGCAATTGGGAGCTTCTTCAATGTCAAAGTCGTTAAATGTTATCTGAATGATATAACCGGTGGGGGCTCGGAGCGTCCACATGCAAGCCTGGCTGTTTGGGTAGTCGTTAGGGTAGCATGGAGAAGTAAAGGTCCCAGAAGGGTTGGACAAAACCACTCGGCAGTTGGCACATCCCCACACTGCTGGCCAGACAAAAGAGAGACAGAGAGAAGGGCTGGGTTCAGATGCATGCAATAAACCGAGAATACCACACACTGGCGACAATCAAGCAGTAAATATTTAAAAATACCAACATACAATCATAAAAAATAAATGGAAAATGAAACCCTCTTGAGGAGAAAAAGAATTATCAATAGAGCAACAAAAAGTAAAAGAGAAACAAAAAATTTTAATGCAATGATTCTTAAATTTGGGAGGTTATACAGTCTGAGAATCTGTTATACAAACTCTCTCCAGTAAAATGAGCAGGGGCCACACACGTTACACACAATTTCAAGGAGTACAATGAGGCCTCAGGAGGCAACAGCGAATTTCACAAAGGTTCACTGACCCAGGTTAAGAATCTCTACTCTAGAGGGTAACTGAACTGGGGTGGCGGGGGTTATAGAACCATAAAGATAGTGCTCAATGTTACAAATCATAGATATAAAGGAAGAGAAACTCTTAGAAAATAAATAATTTAATAGAAAGCTATCAATACAAAAAAATAATGAGCTATCTTCTGGCAGACTGTATTTTTTTTCTGAAATTCAAATAAATAGCATCACCTTGCAAACATGGATTATTTATAGTTTCGAAAATACATTCACTTATCCCATTTGTTTGTCACAGTTGGTAATTATATGCTTGTGGGCTCATCTCATTTACTCATTCATTTAGTAAATATTTATTGTGAGTCTATTATGTGCCAAGCACTATTCTAAATAATATATATCAATATCAATGAGCAGCAAAGACAAAATCTCTCTATAAAGGAATCTTTTTTTTTTTTTTTTGAGACAGTCTCGCTCTGTTGCCCAGGCTGGAGGGAAGTGGCATAATTCTGGCTCACTGCAACCTCTGCCTCCCAGGTTCAAGCAATTCTAGTGCCTCAGCCTCCCGAGTAGCTAGGATTACAGGTGTGCACCACCACGCCTGGCTGGATAAAGAATTCTTATACTTCAGTGTTGGACCTAAAGGTAACCACAAGTATAATGACAGATAAAGGTGGGGAAGAAAAGTAAAGCAAAGGATAAAGAGAGACTGAAATCAATGTTAGCGATGCTGGTTCTCCAAAGAGGTGACATTTGAGGAGAGATCCAACTGAATGATGTGAAGGAGCATGCCATGAGCATGCTAGAGTATAGCACCGCAGATCACAGGAATGGAAAAATTAAGACCCATTGTAAATGAACATTGGTTTTTCCCATGGAATGTAAGTCCTATGAGATCTAAGATCATGTCTCCTTTGCTCATCACTATTTGTTCTCAGTATAAGGTTCACAATAAATGTTAATTGAATGAATTATGTAAAGAAAAACCCTTCTGAGGTAGACAGGGGAAATGCTATTATCCCATTTTCACTAATGAGAACAGTTAGGTTCTTCTCAATTATTATTTATCCACCAGTTGGAATCAGAAACCAAGGTCTACTATCTTCCTGTCCAGAGATGCTTTTGCAACTAATATTCACATTGCTTTTACATATTTATATAAATGAAGGCAGTAATCTCATTTATTCAAAATACTGGATAAATTGCCATTAAATGGACACATAAACTTTCAAACAATAAAATACTTAAAAAATATTAATGAAAATAACTAAATTTATTATATCCCTCCCTCTTTTACTGAGTTGACTAGAATGCATATACAATAACATTTCTTGAAAAATGGTAGTTACTACAAATACTACTATTCTTCTATGATATGGTGATTTATTCAAGGACTAATTCGATGTTTTATACAGCTCAAGTGAGGTTTTTCTCTTCTCTTTGGCCACCTTGTATTACTCAATGTTTCACTTTGCCAACTCTGTCTCCATCCATTCTTTTTAACTTGCCCTCCTCCTGCTCTTCCTCCCTAAGTCTCTGACATCTTGTACAAGACCGAAGACAGACAATGGAAAATAAATGATGATCATCAAGTGTCTGCCAAATGCTTTCTCTTATCCATCCCTGGAGCACCATGTTCCTCTGCTTTGTAGCACTATTCAGAGGACTTGTGTTACTTCCATTTGTGAGATGATTTTCTTATTGTAAATCTTCTTCCACTACTTTGTGAACTCAACAAGCAGAGGGTGTGTGACTGTCATATTTGCCATTCTACTCTCCAGCACTGCACAGTACCTCTGGCACATAGGAGATCTTCAATAAAATTTGCTAAATTTATGAACAAATGAGTAGCTTAAATGAAGGGAACCATGCCTAAATTAAAGAAAGACTCCATGCAGTATAACCAAGTCAAACAAATTCTAATTCTGAAAAGAAGATAGAGTACATGTGCTCTGGAACATCTCTTTGGGTGGGGTGTTGGGCTGTTTCTTCCAATTATATCACTCACAGCACAGGACTGAAATGATTAGGACTTTCTGACAAGTTCAGCTTTGTGTTACTTTGCCTTGGGCTCAGGAGACAGAAGTAATCCTAGGAAATTAACAATAATTTATCCAGTTATAGGCACTGGAGATTAAAAATAAAAATATAAAGGAAAGTAAGCAACAACCTCTGTCATCGCAACATGCAGACAGGCAGCATCATTTTTCCAAGAAGAGATGCCATCCTTTATATCCAAGACCCAAGTTATGTGCATGACTTCCTTTATCCTATATATTATCTTTGCCAAATTCTTCCCTAAGACCTGAAGAAAGGGTTTAAGAAAATTTATTATCATTATTATTTTTTAGAGACAGGGTATCTCTCTGTCACCCAGGCTGGAGTGTAGTGGCCCTCGCTGCAGCCTCAAACTACTGGGCTCAAGCAATCCTCCCACCTTGGCTCCAGAAGTACTGAAATTACTGGCCTGAGCCACCACGCCTACCCACGGGTATAAGAAAGTTAAATTTGACTGATAACACTGACTGTGTAATCTTTAACAAGTTAATTTATCTGTGCCTCAGTTTCTCCACCTTTACACTGGTGATAATAACAGCAACCACTTCCCAGAGTTATTGGGAGGATAACATGGATTAATATTGGAAAGTCCTGGAAGTTGTACCTGGGACATAGTTAGCACTAGTTAAGTGTTGGCTATTATTAATAATTACTATAACACAAAATTAGTGCCTTAAAATTTTAAGAGAGGTAAAATAGCACACCACTTTAGTAGAATTTCTTTTTTCCTTAGGCACTCAGAGGGATAGAAAAAAGATAAAGATGACACTCATAACATGAATTCAGAAGAACATTTGATACATTCTTCCATATTATTCTTACCTTCAGTGGCTAGACAGCATTTAGAGATAGTGCTACTAAATAATAATTATCTTAAATAGATGAAATGTCAGTTAAGCTAGACACAGTATCATCCTCTTCATTATACTTATAGAGCAATTCACAATAACAAGCTTTCACATATATCTCATTTAACATTATAATAACCCTGAGAATTATTACCACCTCTATCTTTAGAGGAAACAAATGAGGCTAATATAGATTGGATAACTCACACAAAGTCACACATCTAATTGATAGTAGCACCAAAATTCAAACCAGCCCTTCTGAATGTAAGCCTAGTATCCTTCTAAGGAAAAAAAAAAAAAAGTTGCCACAATTAAACAAAAAATACAGAACAAAACGGTGAGCTCAAGTGCTTCTTTAAGAGACGTTTTTTAAACGGACAATTTCTTAAAAAGAGTTTCATAGCCCTAAAATAAACCTATTTTAAGAAACTCATTTGGAAACATTTTAATAAAGAGTATTAGGAAGTATGAAATATAGTGCTTTGAATTTTCCAATTTGGAGTAGTCAAATATCACTGCTAATTGATTCCTATACTATGAGCTAGCCTAGTAAGTAATTACTTTGATCTCTCTTAAGAGTCAGGGCTACCTAATTAGATGGTTACTGAAGTAGCCACTGAATGAGGTATTGGTAAAATCAGGATTAACACATATTCTAAAAGCTACTCAACTCAAAGCATCTGGCTCAATATGTTCTCAAAGACAGATATGGTAACATATTCTTACATATAATTATAAAAGCAAGGTTTTCAAGTAATCCAAACAAACAACAAACCAAATTCCACCCTCAGTTCTTGCCTATGCTTACAAATATTTAGCAGTAATTTACTTGTGCGTATTTTTACAAGTTTATTTTTCAATGAAACTCTAATCTATAATGAAAAGTCTTCCAGTCACGCCAAAGCCTAATTCAATTGATAAATAACATTTTGATATAGATTTAATAATCATTAACTTGTGAGGTTTTTTTTTTAATCTCAGATTTGGATTCTTACTCTACCTTTGCCACAAGTACTTCTTTATAAAATCCAAATGCCTATTCTTTAAAATCTCTTTAAAACAAGAATTTTAGATCCCAAGAGATAAATCAAAATGGAGATCAATTTTAGCTTCTTTCAACACAGATTTGTGGATGATATTGAATAATTGCTTCTTCTAGACTGTGTTAAATGGTGAACAAAATGAATTCATTTAAGTAAATCTTGATCTCTATTTGAACATATATAAAATTGCAGCTAATGAGCTTGTAGAAAAACCTGGTCAGTGAAAATTATCTCCAGAAAATTTAGCTTAAGTTGCCTGCTTGGTCTGCATTTATTCAGTCATTATTTGAATTATCCATGAGGATATATTAAGTTCTAACACATGAAAAGCTCATTTGTTGCTTAAAAACATTTAAAATATTTAGTAGTCTTGGTGGCTTCTAAAAATTAAACCTAAGGGCCAGCAACTATGAATTCTAGAATCAGTTCTAATACCTAAGTCAGTAAAGAGCCAGGATAGCCACATACCATTTCTCCAGATCTAAGTAAATTGCTGTCAGATGTAACATCATTGAAATGTAAAATATCAATAACATTTTAGATGCTGGCATTTATCAAATGATTGATAATATGCAGAAATGGACGACTTCATCAAAGTAAGTTATTTTAAGTGATTTCAGACCACTATCCAGATTTTTCAAGATGGCATAGAATCCAAGGCAATCTGGCTGTGACATCTGTGATTCTGTTAATGTGACAGACTTGGCAAGCATCCCCACCACCCTCACCGCTCCTCCTCAAGCTCTGCACTCAAAAATAGCATTTCTACACTTGAGGAGGGTCTTTCTTAAAGCACGGTTACATTGGTCATTCCAATCCCCTACCAGAACTTCTGACAGACATGCCAGAATACCAGTTCATTCACACACTCCTCCTAAAACAATGGTTTCCTGAGTAAACCGGATAATTGTTTCATTTCCCTCTGTAATGGGTCAACCCCAAAACGTTCTTTGGAAACACCCTGAATAAGGAGCTACTTCAACGACTTAAGCATGAGTTCAAAAGGGTACCGCTTACTTGAATCAGTTCAATTAAGCTTGACATTGCTAGAAAATGAACAAGATGTTGAACTGAAGTTTCCTTGATGAGGCACCATTAAGACTGACAATTTTTTGAATTTCCAAAGATACCCACATGCACCACACCCTCAAACACATCTCTTTCTTCTGTAATACTGTTAATGTTTAAACTTTGAGTTCTGTCTTTCCATAATCATGTTGGCAAGAGAACATTCCATGCCTGACTGCAAAAGATAATACTTTCTGAAGATCCAAACAAATGAACTGTTGTAAATCATTCCAGAGTCAGCCTGTTATGTAGATATACATCACTTGCAAGAGGCTTAGACACACAAGCACATGGGTATGCATATGTACACACACCCACACATATTTTCGTGGGAAACTATTCTCTCTTAAGCAATGGTTGAGGCTTTTCCAGCTTTAAAAAAAAAAAAACAATCTAAAGGCAATGAATAATTTGAAACAACATAAACTGCATGGTCTATCACCAAATCTACCTCCTGGTTAACATATTCATTCAAGTTCCTTATTCTCTTCCTGCAAACCCCCAACTCTGGATTAATCCAGCTGCGGACCTTCTTGCTCATGAATCCATAGGCCTCTGAACTCAGTTGATAAGAACTTACAAAATTTCACACAGTGTTTATACTAAAGTGGCTTCCATTTTTATTTCACTCATCCTCTCCAGCACTGGATGCCTCTGAGCACACGCTGCTTCTGGACAGTCTCTTACCCACAAATTCTCCATTCTCCTCATTTCCTTCCTGCCCTCTCAGCCCTCTCCAAGCACCACCTCTGCTACCCTTGCCTTTACAATCCTTTCTGTTTGGCCGGAGGATCTCAGACAAGCAGCATGGGCATCATCCGAGAGCTTGTTGACGCACAGAATAACCCAGACCTACTAAACAAAATTTGCATTTAAACGAAATTCTTGGATGATTAATAAGCAAGTTAAACTCTGAGAAGTACTGCTTTAAATAACAGTTTACTACAAAAGCTACTCAATCTTCTTAGGTACAACTTCTCCCAAGAGGATCTGTCTCCTCTCACACCTCTTGCTGTCATCTTTATACTACTTGGTCCAAGGAGTAAACGCCTGACCTGAAGGGAACCAAACCACAGGCTTTGCCAATCAACCAAATGCTATCTTTCTCTAAGAATTTCAAGTTAGAGACACACACAACCAGAGAATGACAAAAAGAAGAATGATGACATTATAGAAATTCAAAGGCAGCAGCTGCCTTGGCCACTTGGAAATACAGGAAGCTAAGGGGCTAGAGAGCAAATGTAGAGGCTGGGCGCAGTGGCTCATGCCTGTAATCCCAACACTTTCGGAGGCTGAGGTGAATCACGAGGTCAGGAATTCAAGACCAGCCTGGCCAACATGGTGAAACCCCATCTCTACTAAAAATACAAAAATTAGCCAGGACTGGTGGCA
This sequence comes from Homo sapiens, assembly GCF_000001405.40. NCBI lineage: Eukaryota > Metazoa > Chordata > Mammalia > Primates > Hominidae > Homo > Homo sapiens. Next base: position 142,360,805 of record NC_000006.12, on the reverse strand, counting down.
CATGCCTGTAATCCCAGCTACTCAGGAGGCTGAGGCAGGAGAATCACTTGAACCCAGGAGGTGGAGTTTCAGTAAGCTGAGATCACACCACTACACTCCAGCCTGGGTGACAGAGCGAAACTGTGTCTCAATAAAAATTAAATAAATAAATAAAAGAAAAGAAAAGAAAATGTAGAGCACAAAGATGAGAGAAAACCAGACTTTTGAGAAACAGAGGTGCTTTAATTCCAGCCATTCCACATCCAGTAATGAAGGGTAGGAGCTGTTCCTTGTGGCCTGTCCTAGAATTATATGACAATAATTCTTATTATACCTGCTGCTCTACTACTTTACTTGGTTTTAGTCGATTTCTGTTGGTTGCAACCAAGTGTGCCTCAAGCCAGTACTCTAATAGAGCTCTCCTCTATGTTCAGCTCTTCTTTATATATACTCATTCTCGCTGGCTAATCTCATCTGAACAAAAGCCTTCATTATACCTAAATGTTCATCACATACATGTGCTACTGAGCACCATATCCTAGCTTTGCAAATACCTACTCAATATCTTCACTTGGATATCCCATAGAGCCATCAGTCCAAACATCATTCCTCAAATAATTTGTTTTTATCCTCCTTATAATTGTTAGCAGCATGAACATCACCCAAATTAGGACTCTGAACATCCCTTCTCTCTTCTTTCTCCCACACCATCTCAAATAATTTGCCAAGGGCTATGACATTTGTTTTATTCATAGTTGTTAAATCTGCTCCTCATCTCATTCCCACAGTTTAAGGTCCTGTAGTTTAAGGTTCTCATCCTTTCTCTCTTGGATAAAAGTTTGGTCTCCTTGTCAATATTCTTGTCACCTGCAACTAACTCATCTTCCACATCACTACCAGAAAGATCTATCAATATCCTAGTATGAAGGTAAGTTTTCTCTACCTCCAAATCTTCTCTGGGATCCAACAAGACAAGTCCCTTGACTGACATATACAGCACTCCTTATTAGCTCTGTTCACACTTCCTGTCTCTTCTCATCTCCCCACATCCCCGCACTTAATAAATACTTACTAAACATTTATCTGCCTGACACTGTGCCAGGTTCTGGGAATACAGTCATGTACAAGATATAATCTCTGACTATGGATTATTGGAAATGCAGATAAATAAGTAGATTGTGATCATACAATGTGATAATTGCTCTGATAGAACAGTGCTATACTATAGCCTGGGTTTAGACTTCATAGAAACAGTACCATTTCTAACCAAATCAAGAAACTGAGATGTAAATATGCAGTTTGGGAGTGAGCCAAGTAAAGGAGGAAGGCAGAGACAAAACAGAAAAGAGTGTCCTGGGCAGTGAGGTCAGCAGGTACAAGACAGCATAGACTGTTCAAGTAACTTAAGATTTAGTTCAGCTGGAGCATCGTGTGTAAAGTGGGGAGAAATAAGAGATAAAGATGACAAAGTAGGCAGAGATAAGATTTTGCAGGATTTTGCAAGCCATGCTAGAGAAAATGAAAGTATACCAACAGCAGTAGGGAAACTAAAAAGGTTTTAGTTTGGGGAAGGTAAAATAACTGGATTTTTGTTTAGCACTTTTTTTTTTTTTTTTTTTTTTTATAGGGTCTTGCTCTGTCTCCCAGGCTGGAGTGCACTGGTACAATCATGGCTCACTGAAGCCTCAACCTCCTGGGCTCAAGCAGTCCTCCCACCTCAGTCTCCTGAGTAGCTGAGACCACATGTATGCACCACCATGCCCAGATATTTTTTTTTTTTTTAATTGTAGAGGGGATCTCATAATGTTGCCCAGGGTGCTCTCAAACTCCTGGACTCAAGTGATCCTCCCACCTCAGCCTCCCAAAGTGCTGGGATTACAGGCATGCAGGCATGAGCCACTGCACCAGGCCAGCACAGATACTTTTTTTGAGACAGAGTCTCACTCCGTCGCCCAGGCTTGCATGATCTCGGCTCACTGCTGCAACCTCTGCCTTCTGGGTTCAAAGGATTCTCCTGCCTCAGCCTCCCGAGTAGTTAGGACTACAGGCATGTGCCACCATGCCCAGCTAATTTTTGTATTTTTAGTGGAGACGGGATTTCACCATGTTGGTCAGGCTGGTCTCAAACTCCTGACCTCATGATCCGCCCTCCTCGGCCTCCCAAAGTGCTGGGATTACAGGTGTGAGCCACCGGGCCCAGCCACAGATACTTTTTAAAGCCTTGCTCCTTTTTATATAAACAATACAAAACTACCAGTGAACAAAGATCCTTGTAAAAATCACTGTAGCCCAATTCTAAGGACCTGACAAATGACGAGAAGAAAGACAAAAGCTAGCAAGCTGCACTGACAGTTTGTGGAAATAACTTAGCAGTCACAGTGGCAAGGCAGACTTATTCTACAAGGACTGAATTCACTGAAGTGAGCCTAACTGCTGATGATAAGACAGAAAAGCAGCAAAGTGACTACTCTTATGTTCATCAAAAATTTGTCTCATTTTGATCTTATCTGCTTTTATTATACCTAAAGAAAGACTCAGGAAACTTAAAAGACACACACTCACCTTATGTTCATCTCATATGAGAATGTCACAGAAAATCTTTCCATATGGATTACCTAGGCAGCATTGCAGGGTGGAACAGGTTTATGTTGGCATTAACCAGAAAAATACTGCTAAACACTACCAACATAAGTAGAGAATGTCTTAGCTTCATAAAAGCTAATTATAGTTCTAATACCCATGAAGGCAATGATGTCATTACTGGCTAAACAGCACATAACTAACTTCTTGAGCACATGAAAGTAGCCAATGAGATATCTATATAAAGTACTGGGACCATACATGACTCACAGTAAGATGCTTAAATAATATTAGTTTTCAGTGTTGTTGTGACTGTGGTTGTTATTAAATAGCAAAGCATGTTAGCCATATTTTAGTTTGTTCATTAATTAATCTAACTTACTGAGCCCCTACTTCCTTTCATGTCCAGTTTTCTTTTAGATGTCTTTACATATGGTCACCAGAGGGTTATTGCTTCCTATTTATTCCATGTTATGTGGTGCAGGTGAAGGACCTGAAATTAGTAGCTAGAGCAAATTTTGGGTTTACAAACTTACCTTCCCAATAAGTTGGGAGAATATATTGGGAAAAAGATGGTAGTGGCAGGATAAGTGTGCTTGTTAGCTCAAGTTTTCCAAACGGGCCTTTAATTTGAGGGCATAAAAAAAACTCATTCAGGTTTGTGCACATAAATGGAAGCAGTTTAAATAGCCAAGGTTTGGAGCAAAGCAAATTATAGGTGCAACCAGCATAATTTTTCCCCTTTATGGAACACTTTTTATGTAAACATCTTAGTAATAAGAGCTGATGTAAAAATTCCATAATACAGATTTTTTTAAATAATGTTTTTTTAAGAAAAATTTCCATTTTTACATGAACAGCTTGTTTAAATATGCTATCCATCTAATGCTTTAAATTAACTCATCACTGGAATTAGTTTTCAAAGTATTTATAAAATGTTAGCTTTTCATATAGATCTCAGGTATAATGTATCAGGGGAGTATGTATGTATGAATGAGAGAGAGAGGGGAAGAGAAACAGATGATCTTAATTTTTTCAGCAAACTCTGAAAATGAACTTTAAAAAGTTTTCTTCTATTCAAACTATCTTCTAGCTAAAATCACAAGATCTAGCTAAAAAAAGATATTTTATTATTGTGGAAAAAATCACTGTGGGAAGGACAATATTATTATGAAACTAAACTAGAAGCTCTCTCGAGATCTTCCCCAGACCTAAACTTACACAAGATCTTTTCTTTAAAATTTGAATACAAGCCATATAAACCCTTAAAACATATTGTTGTGAAACACAATAACATCTGGAGAGGGAGGGAAATAAAAATAATAAAAATAACTCTAACAACAACTAACATCTAGTAAGTGATTACTTTGTGCCAGATAAGACAGACTAAATCACCTTCCTTTTGAAGTAATTCGTGCTTATGTGGTTATTTGGCTATGTTCGAAGTGAGATCACAGTGGCTTCTGGTCTTGGCTCCTCCATTAGCAAACCATGTGACCTTGAGGTAGTCACTAGCCCCCGAGGTTCTGATTTCCACATCTGAAGAAAAAAAAAATCCCTTTTGGCTCTAAAGCTCTACTATGGGTGGCAGATTCAGGTTATGACACATAATAGAGCCTCAATTTTTCCCTTTACTACAAAAAAGTTTCCAAGGAAGTTATGAAGACATATGATGCTTCACTAAGGAAAGGAGTGCCCTGTATAGTTCACAGGGTTATGAAGCAAGAAGCTCTTTTTGAGTGTTCATGAGACTTTGTGTTCATTTGTCCACTTTGGAGCCATAAGTCTGAGTCCCTAAGGGACAGCCAATACAGGTTGCATGCAAGTAGAGCTAATGGTCGGCAAACATCCTGACTTCTGGGGTACATTCCTACTGCTCAAGAAAATTTCCACATCTTGCTAACAGTACTTATTGTGCTATTTTGAATATTGCTGGCTTAGAATTATAGAGCAAGCTTTGACAGATTGTGAAGATTTAGAGTGTGGTTACATCAGGAAAAAAATCACCTCCTTTCTACTTAATACAGCTGCTTTAGCGTGCTCTTGATGCCTAACAGCTTAGTTTACAAAAAATAGCTTATTACTTTTATAAAGTTAATAGAACTATTGAAAAGCAAGGTTGAATTTCGGTTTGCCACATCATTGCCAAAATGTTTATCTAATTTCAAATTGCACTGGGCTGGGGGTGAGGCAATGTATGCATTAACCTCATAGAGCCTCTGGCAGGTTATGTACAAGAGACAGCTCACTCAACTTCCTATCTTTCAACTGCTTTACCTATGCCCCAGGGGGCCTCCACATCAATCACAAGTCTGCGGCAAAAACATGCTTGAAAAAGTTCACGAAGTTCACCAAACTTTATAATTATAACTTTCCAGGACAGTATAAAAATCGACTTGCTTACTGTCTTCTTTTAGCCAGTCATATTTTTAAACTTCAGAAAAATGGCAGAGTAGCTTGTTCTCGGTGGGTGAGTAAGGGCACACCTGCAGGCAAGCCTTACAGAAGGCCAAACCACAAAAAGTGGGTGGGCTGGGTGGTCTACAGGGCACACAGTGCAGCATGTTTCCAATAGGAGGCACAGACCTAAAAATAGAAGCTTGTCAGTGCCCCCAGAGGTTTGAATGGTGGCAAACCTCACTCCCTGTCGCTGGAGAGCAGAGGTGTGCTCAGCTGCATTTGTCTGTTCCACTCACTATCGAGGTGCAGTTGAATGATCATTCAAAATCTCTGCAAAATTGCTTCTATGCTCTTGATTACCATTTAGCTTTGTAGTGGTATTTGAGAGAAAGAGAAATATTATTTTAATACTTAGATTCCTTCCATGATCCCATTTAGAATATCAAGTAGGGATGTTCTATGGAAAGTCATTTTGAAATAATAATAGGTATATTATTATTATAACCCTAAACTATAACACAGTATAGTCTCCCCACTCTCCATGAAAATAACACTGATAGCTGGGAAGACTGAGCCCCAGTGATTACTGAAATTATATAGAGAGGTCCATCTTACGGAAAAATTGAAAGGGAAATTTCAAAAAAAAATGCCAATTTAGAATTTCAATATAAATACAAAGTTTTAGATACAAATATATTGCTCCTCCAGAGAAGAGTATCTAATGGGAAGACTATGTGCCATTTTGCCATCAAATCTCAACCAGGAAAAGATGAGAAACCCCAGGTTTTTGGTTAATAGTGAATTAAAGTAAATAGGAGATGTTTGGATAATAGATCACTCTATAAGTTATTCGCTAAGATAATCCGAGTTGAATCTCTATTCAAAGAAATCAAAATGATTGTCTTCTCCCTATAACATAATCACCAGACTTTCAGTTTTTAGGATGAACAAGGCATCAGGCATTTTACTGAAGGGCCATCCAGCCAATGTTGTACAGCTTCTAAGTAGATGAACTGTTAGTTCCATTATGCAAACTGAGCCAAAAAAATTTTTAATAAAACTTGATTTGCTTGGGAATTAATGTTAATAGTTTACATATATGCAATTTTGTCTGAAAGGAATAGCTTTTAAATTGTCAAAAACATTTTTTCTGTAATACGTCCCTTTTAGGGATCTCATTTTACAATGTTTTACAGATTTCTTTTCTATAAAACTAAGTCATAATTCAAAAGCAAACAATGCAGATGAACTTCCTTGATTACTATTTGTCTTATACAAATAATCAATAAGAAATGTAGGTATCACACTGAATTTGAAATTCAGGCTAAACTCCTGGCCAAAACACAAAAGAGAATGTATGAAATGATTTCATAGAAGACTTAATAATGTGTAACTGACAAACTGAGGATTATATTTGGCCATTAAAACTCAAAAGTTTTTTTGTTTGTTTGTTTGTTTGTTTTTGAGATAGAGACTCGCTCTGTCACCCAAGCTAGAGCGCAATGGCACGATCTCAGTTCACTGCAACCTCCGCCTCCCAAGTTCGTTCAAGTGATTCTCTTGCCTCAGCCTCCTGAGTAGCCGGGATTACAGGCGCGTGCCACCACGCCCAGCTAATTTTGTATTTTTAGTAGAGATGGGGTTTCACCAAGGTTTTTTTTAATAGGAGAAAATGAGAAGAGCAAAATCTAAAAATTATTTATTATTTTTAAATATCTGCTTACAGGAGGGCTGAACATTAAACATCTATAATTCATATAAAGCTATTTTGGACACAAGTCTAAGTTTCTATTTGAACTGGTTTCTAAGTTGCTCCTATCCCAACATCTTTACAGCTGCTCTCTGCATGTAAAGTCTCCATATACTTGACTAGAAATAGCACATTGCCTGGGTGGAACTTTCTGTAATGTTTCGGTTTGAAAGAGGCTACTGTCCTCTAAAGCACATTATTCAACAATTAGATTTGGGCTGCTGAAGCAAAAGACAAAGACAGCACTATATCCTATCCAGTTCTACCCATTTGCTTCATGACGTCATTTTTAGGTACAGCCTTTCAATTCAAAGTTTGATGTTTTTATACAGCTTTTAGTGATGTAAAAGCTATGTAAGAAGATGTGTAAATCCTCCTCTTGGGGCATACTCTTTTCAGAAATATAAAAAAGAAACATGAAATCTCATTAAGTTAGATCAACTTTTTAAACAAAACCATTAATCAAGGCAAATTTTAATGTTAATGAAATTTTAATTTAAAAAGTACATCAAATTCTAACCTACTTGATACAACATCCAAGTAATATTAATATAGTAATCCCTTTGCTGTCTTTGTTGAATTTTTTTAAAAAAAGAAACTTTTTAAAAAAGAAAAGATAATGTCAAGTCTCAACTGATTTGATGCAAGATTTCAGGGAAAGGCTGGGAGGGAGACATCCTACACTAAGAATGTTTGATATAAATCATGATTAAACCATTGCAAGATGATTGGCATCTTGTTAAACATAATTAGAATAACATCATGGGAGATTAAACTGTCACCTTTTCCTCTAGACCTCCTGTAGCAATTGGTGATAAAGAATGCAAAGAAGTAAAATAAAATTTATTTTAAATAAAATAAATAGGTTGGGTGGGAGCCTTTAGCTTGGGTGGGAGCCCATAGCTTGGGTGGGAGCCTTTAGCTATCTGTTTCCTCTTTGATTCTTTGGGGATTATCCAATAAAAACGGAAGTAGAGGGAAAAGAAAAAACAGCAAGTGTATATCTCCAAGATGACCCACTTACCTTGAGTTCATACTGTGACACTGTGTAATGCCAATACACAAAGTTATAGATTTCCTTCATCTCACATAGGGAAAGGCTTGGGTTTGTTTTTGGTGGAGAGAGAGAAAGGAGAGGGAGGAGATCTGAATACCTTGTGGCATGCCCTCTGAAATTTAGGATTGCTTTCCTTGGCACACTTCATCTAATTTTATTTGCTTGCTTTCCTTGTCAGATATTTTTTCTTAAGTACTACAAATTCATAAGAAGAGACAAGTTTTTTAAAAAGCAAAAAAAAGGGGAGAACTATTACATGCATATACATAATGTATATGCTTTTGGGATGCATATATATGTTCACACAATTTCCCTGTGGTCAGGCAGCATGTCTACTTGACATGTATATTTCAAAATACATACAATATCCAACATATGTACTTATACAAATATATATGTTAATATTACAAGATAATTTTTTCTACTTTTATTTTAGGTTCAGAGGGTACAGGTGGTTTGTTACAGTGAAAAATTGTGTGCTGCTGAGGCTTGGGGTACAAATCGTCACCAAAATACGGAGCATAGTACCCAAGAGGCAGCCTCTGGACCCACACCCTCTTTCCATCCTCCCCACTCAAGCAGTTCCTAGTGTCTGCTGTTCCTGTCTTTATGTCCATGTGTATTCAATTCAAGCTCCCACTTATAAGTGAGAACATGTGCTATTTTTGGTTTGCTGTACCTACATTAGTTCACTTAGGATAATGGCCTCCAGCTACATCCATGTTGCTGCACAGGAAATGATTTCATTCTCTTTATAGCTGCATAGTATTCCATGGTGTACATGGACCACATTTTCTTTATCTAATCCACCATTGATGGGCATCGTGGTTGACTCCATGTCTCTGCTATTGTGAATAGTGCTGCAATGAACATACATGTGCAGGTGTCTTTTTGGTAGAATGATTTATTTTCCTTTGGGTATATACCCAATAGTGAGACTGGTGGGTCCAATGGTAGTTCTGTTTTAAGTTCGCTAAAAAAATCTCCACACTGTTTTCCACAGTGGCTAACCTAATTTACATTTCTGACAGCAGTGTATAAGTGTTCACCTTTCTCTGCAAACTCACTAGCATCTGTTGTTTTTTAACTTTTTAATAATGGCCATTATGACTGGTGTGAGATGGTATTTCACTGTAGTTTTGATTTGCATTTCTCTAATGATTAGTGATGAGTAATAACGGGGTTGTTTTTTGCTTGCCAATCCGTTCAAGTTCCTTATAGATCCTGGATATTTGACCTTTGTTGGATGCATAGTGGATATTTTCTCCCTTCTGTAGGCTGTCTGTTTCTTCTGCTAATAGTTTCATTTGCTGTGCAGAAGCTTATTAATCAGGTCCCATTTGTGAATTTTTGTTTTCACTACAGTTGTTTTTGGGATTTGGTCATAAAGTCTCTGCAAAGGCCAATGACCAGAATGGAATTTCCTAGGTTGTCTTCCAGGGTTTTTATAATTTTGGGTTTTATATTTAATCTTTGATCTATCTTATATTGATTTTTGTGTGTAGTGTAAGGAAGAGTTTCAGTTTCAATCTTCTGCATATGGCCAGCCAGTTATCCCAGCACCATTTATTGAATGGGGAGTCCTTTCTCCATTGCTTGTTATTGTTACCTTTGTTGAAGATCAGGTGGTTGTAGGTGTGCGGCTTTATTTCAGGGTTCTCTGTCCTGTTCTATTAGTCTGTGTGTCTGTTTTAGTGCAGTACCATGCTGTTTTGGTTACTGTAGCCTTGTAGTATAGTTTGAAGTCTGGTAGTGTGATGCCCCCACTTTGTTCTTTTGTTTGTTTGTTTTGTTTTGTTTTGTTTTTTGAAACAAAGTCTCACTCTGTTGCCCAGGCTGGAGTGCAGTGGCGCAATCTCGGCTCACTGCAAGCTCCGCCTCCTGAGTTCTCCTGCCTCAGCCTCCGAAGTAGCTGGGACTACAGGTGCCCGCCACCATGCCCGGCTAATTTTTTGTATTTTCTTTTTTAGTAGAGACGGGGTTTCACCGTGTTAGCCAGGATGGTCTCAATCTCCTGACCTCGTGATCCACCCGCCTTGGCCTCCCAAAGTGCTGGGATTACAGGTGTGAGCCACCGTGCCCAGCCTACTTTGCTCTTTTTGCTTAGGATTGCTTTAGTGATTCAGACTCTTATTTGGTTCTGTATGGATTTTAGAATAGTTTTTTCTAATTTTGTGAAAAAATGATGTTGGTAGTTTGATCGGAACAGCTTTGAATATATAAATTGCTTTTGGTCAGTATGACCATAAGAGATAATTGTTTTTTAATAATCAAGAATTTTCCTATGGTAGAAGAACTGATCAATTTGCTTGCTCCCTCCTCCCACTGATCATGATAAAAGTTAAACTGAATTCCACTTGAGGATGAGATTATATCTGATTTCATATAATATCTCTGTCTCACTCTAGTCACTTTATATTTATTCAGCACATACTTTGCATAAGGCACACATTATAAATATTAAAGAGGAAATGGATTTCTTTAGGAAAGACAAGAAGCCATAGCAGAGTACTATAAACTTCCTCACACAGGTGCATCATGTACCAGTTGCTGAGTTTATGAGTTGTTTCATCTTGAACCACCTGGATCTCTATTGTCAACAGCATTTAGTAGAATATTACTGCTGGTATAAACCTTATAATTCATCCACCTTGTGCACTTCATTTTTGAAATGTAAAAGCCAAGGGCCAGAGATACCAACTGACTTGCCCAAGAGGACACCGCTAATTAAAATCAAAATGAAAATTATTTTTTCCCAACTATGATAAATGCAAATATTCTCTAATATCTCTATGCTTGTACTGAATATAAACACAGAAAGTAAATTTTCAAGTGCCTAAGATGTCTCAAACTTTGTGCTATTATCATTCCACATATAAATTCTTATAACCACTTTACAAAGTGGGTGGTGTTACATTATCGATGAAAAAAACTCAGATTTCTGTGTATCATTTTTAAAAATTACCTTGCTTATGCAATCAAGTCTGTAAGCTTTTCAAAGTCAGGGATCCTAACTAACTTGGTTTAATCATCATTCAATGGTAAATATATCCCGAGTGCTGGTAGTACTTGTGGTAACAGTATTTATGAATACAATATTTAAATTTTCTCCACAATCAAAGGATTTTGAGGAACCACAGAGTTTAGAAAATCCACCCTCCACCATTTATGCTACCTAAAGAGCAGCTTTATGAAAAAAAATGAGCTTTTTAGCCAGACAGACTTGCCATTTTTATGTAACCTTGGGCAAGTTATTCAACCTCTCTAAATCATGATTTATTCCTAGAAAAGGGAAGACATCAGCACCTTTTTTTGTGTGTGTTTACTCTATGGATTAGTGAAACCCTACATAGAGTGACTTATGCAATAGCCAACATCATGTAGTCATTCAATAATGGTGTAGTAGATGCTGTGGAGCACTGGCCAGGTCCCTCTTCGACACTGTACTCATTCTCTCAGCTGGTGAGACTAACAGCCAGTGACAGTACCCTGTTGAGTTTCCCTCAGACTACGGGAGGACTGAAGAGAGACACCTCACCTAGTTATGACTCCTTCCCAGGTAGCTTCCATCCAGTGATTGCTCAAAGTGGGGGATAAGGTCCAGTCCCCTTGTGCCAGTCTAAGCAACTATGTGGGGCATTCCAGCTACATGGGGGCCTGCAGTATCTGCTGAGGCCGCTGTTGGGACTGTGCCACAGGCCAACTTCTTCCTCTGCCCCATTCTTCCTTCACTTTCCACAGAGGTGTTGCTCCAAGATTAGTCCCTGACCAACCCCCTGCATTCTAATCTCTATCTCAGAGTCTGGTGTTTCAGGAACTTTATCTGCAACATCTGGTTATTTCATTGTCTTATGTTTGATTGAAACAAGAGGCACTGAGGAAGCTCATAAAGAAATGTCTATTCAAACTGCAGTGATACAGTGAAAACAGTATTGAAGTGAGAAAAAGATGTAAGCTCTGGTTCCACTCACCACCTAACTAGATTGGATCACTTACTTAATATCTCAGCATTAATGCTTTAAAATGTGATGGCATTGTAACTTTGAAACAAAGTTTAGCTTCCCTCATTTTAGAACCCTCTTTAGGCCCAACTGTGCTAGTATTCCCATAAGATCAAGAAAAAAAAGTTTGTATTGAAAGAAATTAATAATTACATTTTTGTCAAATCCCAATCAATTCAAAAAACCAAAGATGACTAATTTAAAGATCACCATGTTTTCTTAACATATTTGGAATGCAGAACTTTCCAGATAAGCCTAAACAAATAGAAATTCATTAATTCATTGTAGAATACCAATCAAGGTAGATTGCTGATAAATGAAATTTCCTACATTCCCATTAAGATTTAACATAAATTTCAGTAAACCAGTTCCTTCTTTTCTATGAAGTCTAAATATCTAAAAAAAAAAAACCACCCCTCACATTCAAATATTGCTTTGCTCATGATCCATGAATGTTTTTGAAGCACATGGAAGAAGTTGGTTACTGAAGTCCACTCTGTATTCACACTGAAGCAGCAGATATTTCCAAATGATGTCAGGAATGAACAGAGGAGGGATACTTTTTAATAATGTAGGGAATTAGAAAACAAAATTTTTGTTTTCCTTTTTTTTACCAATATAAATATACACATTATTCCCTCTGGATAAATGACCTATCTCATGCTTATATCTAAATTTTGCCTCTTCCATCTGATCTTTTAACATTTGATGCTGAGTCTAATTTTAAGAAGGCTCAGTTGATCAAAGTTGGAGTTTCATATTCCCTTTGATGTATTCTCTGGAGGGATTAACAAATACCATTTTAGAAATATACTGTCCTAGAACATAAACCTATCATTCATGTTTGTTTTTTATTGACTTCTGGTAAGCGGGCGGTATGATGATTCTCAAAACCTTAATTCCACCACCCCATTACCATGCAGCTAATGGGTTCAGAAAAATCCAACCACAAAAACATAATCACAGTAGCTCTCTGTAAAGAGGTACCTGAAACCTCATTGATTATGATACTTAAAATGTTCCCTGTGAAGGTCAAATTCAAAACATATTTATGAAAAATAAACCTTTATGTTTAGATTTTAAATCTGTTGGCCAGAAAAAACATGGTAGTTTGGTCCAGAATATAAAAAATAACCAACATAGAAATCAAAAGAATATTTAGCTACTTTATTCAAATAGAAACTCTTGTTAGTCCTTGGAAGCTATGATGAATTATTTCTTAAGAACTTAGAAATCAGATTGTTCTTCAAAGTGTTAAATGTTAACTCTTTTGCACTGAGACAAAAAGACGTAGTCATCTTAGACAAACAGAATCTGAGAAGAATAAGACTTGACTGTTACCAGACTGAATGTAGAGACATACACCAAGTATAGTAAAAGAAAAGTCTAAGAAGAGCTCAATAGTAATATCCACCCAAGTACTGTACTGGGCCAACTACAAAAATCCAAGCAAATGACTCAGAATCCTTGTGCCACTGAGAAGATCAAGACTCTCATCAGATGGATACATAAACCTCATTTGGTTTGATGAGATTAAACACTGGATTCATCTCAGTCTTCTAATTCACACTCAGATCATTGTTTGGTTTTCTACATAGGTGAACTATCTACTCTTCCGGTTCCTCTGAAATATTTCTCATTATATATCAACAAATTGACATTAAAATTTGGTTTCCCAAGTAGAGAGATAGTCCCAATACAGTGATATAAAAACTATGGTAATATTTAGGGCTCTGATCAATCAGAATGGATACTGACGTGGATGGCAGACAACTAAAAACAACTGAATATCAGCTCTGACTATAAGCAAACTTTCACTTGTTCAACATATCTGTTCCCTCTTGGACAGTGACAATGACTTATTTACTACTGTATCTTCAAAGCCTATTATAGTGCCTGTCTCTAGCCCTAAGAATTCATATATACATCCATACATATATAAACAAATAAACAAATATGTTATATTAATTTAGATGAATCTTTTTTTTACTTGACTAAAAAATGGCTTTTTAAAAAAACATATAAAGTTCTGGGATACATGTGCAGAAGGTACAGGTTTGTTACATAGGTATGTATGTGCCATGGTTGTTTGCCGCACCCATCAACCCATCATCTACATTAGGTATTTCTCCTAATAGTATCCCTCCCCTAGCCCCCCACCCCCCAACAGGCCCCAGTGTGTGATGTTCCCCTCCCTATGTCCATGTGTTCTCATTGCTCAAGTCCCACTTACGAGTGAGAGCATGTGGTGTTTGGTTTTCTGTTCCTGTGTTAGTTTCCTGAGAATGCTGGTTTCCAGCTTCATTCATGTCCCTGCAAAGGACATGAACTCGTTCTTTTTTATGACTGCATAGTATTCCATGGTGTATATGTGCCATGTTTCCTTTATCCATTCTATCATTGATGGGCATTTGGGTTGGTTCCAAGTCTTTGCTATTGTGAATAGTACTGCAATAAACATACATGTGCATGTGTCTTTAGAGTAGAATGATTTATAATCCTTTGGGTATATACCCAGAAAAATTTACAAGAAAAAAACAAACAACTCCATCAAAAAGTGGGCAAAGGATATGAACAGATACTTCTCAAAAGAAGACACTTATGTTGCCAAAAAACATATGAAAGAAAGCTCATCATGACTGGTCATTAGAGAATGCAGATCAAAACTACAGTGAGATAACATCTCACGCAAGTTAGAATGGCAATCATTAAAAAGTTAGGAAACAACATATGCTGGAGAGGATGTGGAGAAATAGGAATGCTTTTACATTGTTGGTGGGAGTGTAAATTAGTTCGACCATTATGGACGAATCTATTTTTAAGAGATGGATCTACTCTTACAGTGGGTTCAAAGTCAAGCTTCTGAGCCTCCAAGACTGATGCTTAGACCAATTCATGAGGTGAGGAATACCTTTAGTAAGGTGTCTCAGGAAGGTTTTATTAGCCTTCCTAAAGGCAGCCCACTATCCTAACCCATCCCTAAAGACACAGTAGGGATTTCCCTTCACAGGAACTAAAGTGAGATTACTAAAGTGAACATAAGGAAGGGACCTCAAACAACCCTTAAAAATGCAAACTCGCAAATCGAAGTCATCTACTAATGTTTTTTCCTTAAAATAACTTTACATTCTTTGTGTTAACACAAATCTAAAGTATAACAACAAACTAATTTAATGGATTACTAGAAACCAATTTTGCCACAAATTAAAGTCTAGCTAGTGGTTAAAAGTTTGACTACTGAAATAGTCAAATTTAACCATGTAATAAAGGAAACAAAACTTTCCTTTTCAACTGGTTATACTTTTGCCTCAGACAAATAGCCATGCTGTCACTGGAAAAATATATTTTTAGTTGACTGAATTATTTGATCACAAAATTACATGAATCATAAAAACATCTTGCAGGGTATATTCACTACATGCTGTTAGGGGGAGAAGGAACCTAATATTTATGATATTCTGTTCCTTTCCCTTTTGCATGTCAGAAACACCCACTAAAAATTCATGTATTTCACTGACATGTAAACCAGAAAGACTATTTTGAATTCAAACACAGTTGATCATGATGTGAAAAGAACTTCTAAACAAAAAAACTAAGAGGTTTAATATAGTGTTTAATTTTATATTTACAAACTTTGGGTTAGTATTTTCATCATGTAGACAATGTTTATAGTGATCAGCCAACAAGTATAAGCAGAACAGCCTTGACTATGACTGCCAAAGATATTACGATATGTTTTCAAGTTACTTATACTTTTCCCCTAGGCTATTTCCTAATTGAAAACTAAAGAAAGATTAGAGACAATTACATGTTTGTATCGAAAAACGTTATTAATTCATCAGTGAATCTGTAGCACATATTTCTTTACTCTTTTACCACTCTGTAGAAAATGTTTTAGTCATGTAAAACTTGAAAATACAAAATAAATGTTCCTCACATCTCTTTTGACTTTCACAGGCAACAATATTTTACAGTCCAATTATTGAATGACCCACAATTCTGACCTTTATTGGGCTGGTTGGAATCCTAATTCTCCTTATGTCCCATTCCTCTCATCCTATGTTGTAGCCTCAGTATTTGGAAGTACTCTGTATTTGAAGTGGCAGTAGACTCAGTTTATTTCCTAATATTCCCAACATCTGAGGAGATTTTTCAAATATCCCTGTAGTCATCTACTTTATCACAAAACAACTTGATGGCCACAACTGTAGACTCATACTGAATATCAGTATATTAGAAATGTTAAAAGCTGTGTCTGTGTATCTCTTCTGCAAATCCTTTCCATAAACTCTTACCTACCAATTATTACCTCAAATAGAATAGAAGCAGAAGCTTTTTCCTTACAGTTTTAAGGAAGCCAGCTATTTTATGAAAAATTTTTGGAGGAAGAAGTCCATATTATTGTATCACCTGATATCAGATTTCTTAAGAAAAAACATCATTTAATCAGATAATTATAAAAATGATATTGCCTGATCTTAGAAATTTCCCTCCCTTAAATCCTAGAAATCAGAAGCCTTTAAATGTTCATCCACACTGTTTTCTTTAAAATGTGTTTGTAAGGAAATGCCAAGTTGTACAATCTTTAAGGCTAGATATTTTCTTATGAACATTTACAACAAAGTAGACATGATCTAGAACAGTTCTGTGTGATGTGCTACAACTCATGTCAAATACTCAGATTGTATTAATAAAGCATTTCAAAAATCTTTTCACTGCAAAATTATAGCATAAAGAAAAGCTTGTTTATATTGAACATCACATTGTTAGACATTGTTTTCTCAAGTATGTATTTGTTTTACAATTTTGAGCTCACATAATATTTTTCTTATCACTAATACTTTGGAAACAAAACAATCAGTGACACCATCTAGGGAAGGATTTTTTTTCACATTTCACAGAATAATAAATCAAGAATAATAAATCATGTATTAGCATGTGAACTGGATCTCTCTGACTTCTCTCTGAGCACTCTTTCAGTCTTCCAACCAAAAGAAAATCCAGTAGGAACTGTAACTGTTGTTCAACAGAAAGATATTTCATACATTTCATTTAGCATTTAGATAAGCTTAGGAAACAGGAATTCAGTGTTGCGAACTTCAAGCACTAATGAAATATACCAAATTAGATACTACGGAGTTTTCTAAGTCTTAATGTTTCAATCCAGGAGAATACAAATTGAGGAATGCCCACTTTTGAATTTTTTTCTTCTGCCAGATAATTCACACACTTGACTTTTTTGTACCATGTTGAAATAAGTGATTGAACTGCACAATTGGCTTTTGATTTGGATTTGGTTAATCTAAAATTATGGATGATTTAATGTTACTATTCTTGGAAATTAAATCTATTTTTCAATTTGACTCTTGCTCTTTTTTGCAATGGTAATTATTACTATTACCTATATATTGTTCTAATGTTAAAATATGTAATTTAAAATGTATAATTGTAAAAACTATATTTTATCTCAAGAAAAACCTGAATGTAGATTTAATAAAAGATGTATCTCTAAATACTGTTTATCTTTTTATGTTTCTTAGAACAATTTCACTAAATAAGATCATGAGGAAAAATACATGTTTTTTTAAAAGAGTAAGTAAAGGTCTTTAGTGAAAGATATTGATATCCCTACTCATTATTATTAAAAATATATGTAATTTTTTTCTGCATGTTATTGTAAAAAGTAGAATTTACTATTTATTTGCTTACCAATGCTTTGTCATCTTTGGTTATTGAATTTTTTAGATAGGTTATTTTCCTATTTCCAAGTACTCTCTCTGTCCTAACCAAGTAAATACCATTTAAGTTTGTCATGAATATGAAAAATGCATAGGCACTTAGGTAACATGAAAATTATTAAACAAAAAAACAGGAAAAGCAGGAAATGTATTTTATATATTTGTCAAAAGCACATATCTGATTTTGCAGAGAATGCAGATAATACATTTTTATAAGCTTATATTTACATACCCTATATAAGTAGTTTTATAAAACTTTTATAAAAAATTTTTACCATATATAAAAGTTTTATAAAACTTTTACCCAGTTTTATATTAAGAATCCATTCATGTATATCTGCAAGTCATGTTGAAATATACACAAAGGTAATAATAACATGAGTAAATCAGAGGTCAAAATTTCATTTATATTCTTAGCATTTTACTTACTAAAATATATTTTAAAATAAAAAAATAAAATATTTTCCATCAGTTTTCCTCCTTTAAGTAGCTAAATACATATCTACCTACAGAAGTAATGATTTATGCCAGATGATTACAAATGAAATGGATTTCTGTCATTTTTCAACTGTGTGATTGGCTTTGTTACGTACTTTTGGTAATTTTTTAAATATCTTATAAGGTTAGCAAAGTTTTAAAAAGCTCACAAGAGAGCATTGGAATGCTACTGTCAGCCTCGTGGCTTACAAATTTTGATCTGGGTAAAATACAACTGAAACAACCAGTTAACTATGAAAACTTCTAACGCCTTATTTAGACGGTAAAGTATCAATAAGAATGCTCAGGAAATTAGGGTTTTCATAATCTTTAAGTTAATGGCAGGAATCTTATCTCCTAAAATTCATTTTCAAAGAATATACTGTATTCCATGGAACAATAAAAATCATTTAACTTTTGTTTGATTCTTCAGGATATTACAATTTTCTTATTTTGAATAATCATCATCACTGCAGCACAGCCTAAGTATGGACTGAGAAAGCATTGTGGAAATGCATCTTCTCTGGAATTTAATTCTTGGAATAAATCCCTGAGATAAAGTTTCCTATGTTTTCCTTTCAACAATTTTCTCCACTCTCTCTGGAGAATTTTTTTTTCCATTCAGTTACACTTGCCTCTTTCCATTTGCTGTATCTCTCCAATAATCCCGCTCCCTTGCTTGCTGTCCACTCCATTTTATTCCCTCTATGCACACAGATCCTTGCAGCAGCAGGCTCTTCTAGCCAGTTCAGTTGCTAATGCTGAAACGATGGGCATTTTAAGAGGTAAACTTCACCAAAAAACTGTTTTCTAGGCTAACCCTAAGTGGCAAGCCTTCTAGGCATGAGACTGACTCAAGGGTCTGCTTTTTACATTCAGAAAATAAAACAGTTTGGGAGGCATTTCAATTACTCAAGTTTCAGAATGATCCAAGTTTTTTTAAAAATTTGGTATTCATTGGTAAAATACTCATAGAATTATGGAATTTTTAATTGGTACAGAATGAGACAGCATATAGTGACTGTCTAATTTTACAATTTAGAAGGAGAGGTAAAAATGGGGTGCAACTTGTCCAAGTCTGCATAGTTACTCAGTGGCACAACTATCATTAGAATCTTGCTCTCCAATGAGGTCTCCATTTATATATATGTAATATTATATATACTATATAGTATATATTATATATATTATATATTATATATACTACATATTATATAGTATATATAATATATAATATTATATATACTACATAATATTATATAGTATATATACTATATATTATATACTATATATACTATATAATATTATGTAGTATATATACTATATAATATTATATAGTATATATACTACATAATATTATATATACTATATATACTATATATATAATTATATATATTATATAATTATATTATATAATATATTATATAATATAATATATAGTATATATATAATATATATTCTTACAATATGCTAGGAATCCCAGTGAGGCAGAAGTTACTAATAACCCAAGTGAACAGTTAATAAAGCCAAGGCTTAAAAAGAATTAAGTAACTGCCAAAAGTCACAAGGCTTGGAGGTGGTAGAACAGGATTCAAACTCAAGGAGTACAGCTCCAGAACCTCTTCTCTTAACGACTTCATTTACTGCTCCCCATCACACCCTAGAGACATCATTCATTACTCTGAAATTCAGAAGTCAACTCTAGGCTATGTAATTTTCCATTTTGAAGATCACTTTCATTCATAACATCCATTAACAAGATGCTTACTCTTACATGACAATCCTTTTAATTAAAAAAAATTAAGACATCTTCCCACATGGCTTCCTGAACCAATTCCTACCCCTGCATTTTGAGACTATTATTTTCTATGCAAGTTAAAAGTGCCACAACCTAAGAAATCCTGCAATTTGAAGTCCAAGACAACCACAGAAAATGATGTAACAGGGCAGTACTCTACACATTTAACTATGAGAGTATCCTCAAACACCTTAACGTCAGAAACATACACTACACAGACATCAAATACATGTTCTAAGCTTGTAAAATCTGTCCTCTTATTGAGGCTCAGCAACTTCACTGATGAAGAGTTAAAGGTTTCTCTGCTTCTACTTGGAATGATGTGGGGGGACAAGAATGTCTCTCTCAGAAAAATGTACTATTCAAAGGACTTCAGAAAAGGCAGAGAATGGAAATCTCTTTATCTCTTCAATTTATTCTTGAAGGATATATTCCTTTGAATTTTTTCTTAGCACAGCCAAATTTTTGCTACATGGATTTGCACAATGTATATGTGCATACTTATGATTACATACACTGTAACCTTATATAGCTATGTGTACATATGAGCACTTCTAAATTCTTACAAGTAACCTTATTACCATTACAACCTTATATAGTGAGCTAAATTCACAGACTGGGAATTGAATAAGTTTAATCATGACCACAAATAACCTTGAATAATAAGTCTTGAATAATAAGGTTATTCAAGACTTGTACATATTAGCTAACTGATAAATATTTGGTAATGTAAAAATTGCTATAAATGGACATTTATTCTTGAGAATACATGTGCATTCCACCTTGTCTTTCTTGCAAAATAACTTGCAGCAGTTGTTGGTAAGTCGGCATAGCAACACTTGTTAAAGTAACTCCCACTTCTAATGTTCCCCTTTCCACAGATGTAGAATTACTCTCAAGAGAAAGAGCCTGGTTTCTACTGTGCATATAAGCTATTGTTCATATGCAACATTTGTCAGTAACATGACAAAAGAGAAGTTAACTTTATTAAATGGGGTAGCTTAGCCCTATCTAATTTCTGCATCTAATATTCAAAAGCTTTTTTGCCAGTTTATCAGCCGCCAAAATTTCCAATGCCAACTACACCTGCAATACACATGTATGATAATGGAACACAGAAAAAAATACTTATCCTATTATGTTAAAGAGCAAAACAGTAGAATAAAAGAAAAAAAATCATCTGGTTTTTGAAGTTTCCATGATGTAAGGCAATCCAAAACCAATTATCTGCCATTAAGTAAAAAGAGTTGCAATTAAAAGGCTAAGAAGGTCATTTCAGAGTCCTTTGTATTCTGTGCTTCTAGTAAAGCATATAATAATTCTTGAGGTCAAAACATCCTACGAGCATGGCTAGTCTTAAATAAGGCCTGCTCATCATTGCCAAGTGTAACAGAGCACTGCATGAACCTAGCTTTGACACCACAAAAGGATCATGCTTTTTAAAATAAGACAATATTAGTAACAACATACAATGTCAAATCCAGATACTCAAGCAAAGCAGAAGTAATGAAAAAGAAATGGCCAAAGTTTGCATCAGTACTCATTCTTGACATCTGGGAGGGGAAGGAGGGTTCAAATTTTAGTGTGGTTTCCAGAAAGCTCTGATATTAGCCCTGATGGAAGCATGTTTGATAGTTCCTAAATCAAATCTTTAATTTCAGTGCTTCATGCCAATTTCTACTATTTGCTGGTCTCCAGCTTTTCTGGAAGCATTCATATTTTTGTTACGCCCCAGTGGATATTTGACAGTAGAGAAGGGATTCTCCACCTGGCTTGTTCTTGCAACTGCTCTAAGCAGTTTATTGACCCGTGATAAGTGATTATGAATTCTTGTGCATAGCTAACATCAGATTCTCTGTAGGATCCCTGACTCAAAAACATAAAGATGACTATTAATGTATATAAATATTTAAGTTAACACCTGAGATTTGTACAACTACTGTGAGAGACAGGTTAAAAATTAATAACTATCCTGGATGTGAAGTTTTAAGAGTATAAAGATTGAAGAATTCTTACATTAATTTAGAGAATTAATACAGCATAATCACATCCAATAAAATGTGGAGTGTGTTTGTGTAGGTAAGGAAATTTGATAATTTTTTGGAATAATGAGTTAGCTATTGAAAGAAAAGTCAATTTACATTTTGGTTGTTTCCAAGTATGTTTGTGGGGCAGATGAGGGGCTTGATGGTGGTAAATGAATGACTAGAAGACATATAGGCATTACTATTTTTAATTAAAATGTTTCAGTTACATATCAGATGAAATTAAGAATTATACTTCTTTTAGATTACAGGATTATAAAATTATAAATCAAATGATGTTAACTACAACTATTTATGCAATAGCAATTACCTCAGTACAATTTGTGCTGAGTATTAAAATGATATCAAAGAAAATAAATTTAGACATATTAAGAGTTCTATAGCTAAAACGAATTTAATAATATATCGATTAACTACTATTATTTAAGCACAAAATATATGATCTATATTGCTCAAATTTAAAGAATAAATTATATGTAATAAATATAATTAAATATACAATATTTAACATAATAAAACTCTTATTTAGAGCCTTCAATAAAAAAGAAATCATTGAACTACAGCCAAAGAAAATTAGATATTCGAAACATAGTTTAAGAAACAACTGTAATATCATTAAATTCAAAGATTTAGTCTCCTTAATTTCAATACACTATCAAAGATACAAGGCATAGGCCGGGCGCGGTGGCTCATGCCTGTAATCCCAGCACTTTGGGAGGCCGAGGCGGACGGATCACGAGGTCAGGAGATCGAGACCACGGTGAAACCCCATCTCTACTAAAAATACAAAAAGTTAGCCGGGCGTAGTGGCAGGCGCCTGTAGTCGCAGCTACTCGGGAGGCTGAGGCAGGAGAATGGCGTGAACCCGGGAGGCAGAGCTTGCAGTGAGCCAAGATCGCGCCACTGCACTCCAGCCTGGGTGACAGAGCGAGACTCCGTCTCAAAAAAAAAAAAAAAAAAAAACAAAGATACAAGGCATAAAAAGGATTTAGTGTCAGAACATTTGTTTATTTTCAACAAAAGTATATATAAATTCAGTGTCAGATGTATATAAATGATCAGATATAATTATTCACTGATAATATCTATTTCATATATATCTATGAGTCCCCTGTGTTAGCCCACTCTTCCCTATCAAGATCAGTATAGACTGAGAAATAAAATCTAAAAGTAAATATAAAGGTTAAAATATTATTGTTATTCCAAATAGAGCTGGACTTAGCAACTGAACCTGAGAACCAGGCTTACTGACATAACTTGACTGCAACCAACATTTACAGACCCATGAACCCACTTTGGGGAACAAACCTGTAGAAATGCACTAGAATGCATAATGCCTCCTCCCTTGGGTAGGCAGCTGCCCCACAAAAGAGGGGAGAATCAGGTTGAGAATTCCCAATTTTGCTTTCCACAAATAACCAATCACTTGAGTCCCTCCGAGAGTAAAGCAAGCCTTGAGCTCTCCTCACAAGGAGGAACTACTGGAAAAAGATAAAGTTCCCCCAAACATGCGTGCCATTGCCATTTTTCTGGTTTGTTTTGGTTTCATAGCTTGAGTCCCAGTGCAGCACTCATTAAAACAGTTCATATATGATTAAAACTGAACCACATTCTATTTTGTTTCCATTACAACTTCCAAAAGACAGTACAAAATTATCCTTAAACTGTGATGCTATTTGACTGCTTCCAATAGGTGGAAACTCTTTGTTCACCCTTAATGGCAGGCTTTATCTGGTAATCCACAGTTCTAAACTTACAAAGAATACCAGATTACATGAAATGCTTGAAGACACATAACAGTATAATAAAATACCAGCATATTATTTTAAAGGATGCTAATGGCAAGAAGTTTTAAAGGTAAAAATTAGATGGAGTACCTGTGAAATTTATTCCAAAAGAGAAAAAACTGCCCCTGTTGAAGCACCTAGTGGTGGAAGGGACACTGCCCTGGTAGACGCAGACCTGGTGCCAGTCTGCCCAGCTGAGGCAAAACCATCCACACTTTAGCTCTCTCACTTGCACACCTCAATATCAAAGTCCTTTGGCAGTAACAACACCTCCATATCCTAGGTAGTACAGCATGATGCAGAGAAAAAGAATATCAGGTTCGAAAACAGATTGCCCCAGGGCCATTTCTCACTTCAGTTCTTATATCCATCTGAGATCGAGTACTTATAAGATCTCTCACAAACTCAGTTTGCTCATCTGCATAGTGACAATAATACCACCCCTCTAAGGAGGGTGTCATAAAAGAAGGTAATAAATATGCATGTGTGTGTTATCTATGTACAAATATATCTATGTATGTGTCTACATATAAATACATATAATGCTAACATAGTACACAGTTCCTTAGAACATGCCTCAATATACATATGGTGGATGTTACATTTATTTTAGTAGAATTGCTATATTTGATTATCAGTAGCATGTTTTGTAGCTGCTACCATGTAACAGATAAGCTATTTGAACCAAGGGCTGTGGTTATTTATTTTCAACCCCAGACACAACCCCAGAGAGCAAACCACAAACAAGCAAACCTTTAAGTACTCCAAAATTATGGTGTTATCTGTATGTATGATGAAACTAATTGTGACCAGGGAATTTGCCCTTTCTGAATTACTAAACAAAAATCAATCTTAGAAAAAGGTTACTGCACACATAACAGTATTTCAGAGAGAACTGAAAGTTCCATGTTAGCATGCCCTGATTGTCTACTTCTCCCTAAGGAAGAAAAATAGCAACAATCACTGTCTTCCACTGGAGTTTGAATCAAAATTACAAATTTATCCCACATAAAGCCTTTATCCTTGAGAGAAGTCTGAGCTGCCTGCTGCATGGAAGACCTGCACATAGACCTGCACACAGAGAGGCACTGCTATCATGCAGAAGGGGAAAAAAGAGATCATAAAAAGTTGCTTTGAGTAACAAGCAAAACTTTGACTAATGTAATTTTACTGTTTGTTCTTTCACATTTACAAAATTATATGGCCACCCCAGTTCCAAACCTCTTGAAGGGATGGTTCACATCCCCCATGGAAACTTCCATCTCACATTTTTTTCTTACTTCTTACTACAGGGGCTCCCAAAGGATCCCTGATTACATTCTCTTGAAATTTTCTTTTCTCAGATTCCAAGAAATATTCTCTTGGTTTTTCTTCTTACATCATTAAGTAGTCTATAACACCTTCTTCTCTGATTACTTTTTTCTCCTTTTTCCCTAAATTTTGCTGCTGTCTATAGTTCAGCTCAGAGATCTCTTTTCTCTCCCACCCCACCCCCTATGGTTTTCCTATTGGAATTTCATCAGACTTCATGATTGCAGATTCATCCTCTGTGTAAATAACTTCCAAATCGGGATCTCAACTCCTGACCTCTGTTCCATGCACCACTTCTGCAGTGTGGGACACCAGTGGACAAGACAACCTCCTTTCCCACTGATGCCCTCCAAAGCTTTTCTCTCCACGTATTTCCATTGCAATGAAAGGCAGCTCTGTCCTCCCAGGAACTGAATCCTCACTACTTCTAACTGTAAAAGGCTTTCTTGTGCTCCCCTGTTCTCCATTTTCATTCTCTATTTATATTCTGGCCTTCGATTTTCTCACCTAACTTTTTCTACTTCCCTTCCAATCCTCCTTTTTAAAAACTCCTTCCCCACCACTACCAAGATCAATAATTGTGTAATAAAAAGTTCACATCATGTCCATCTCTATTTCAAAAACAACAAAACCATCAAAAGAAATCAGGTGTCCACCAAAAACCAAACATCTAAACCTGAAATTCAAGGTTCCCCATGACTTAACACTATTTCTGATCTCTTGGTTCTCAATACTATCCTCCGATCACCTGTAATAAACAAGAATATTTGCCTGTAGCTCTTTAAACACGTCTTTTGCTTTCTTACTACTGCACTCTGTGTAAGCCCTTTCCTGTCAGAATGCTGCTAAATGCAACAATAAACTCTTTCTAGACATGCTTTTGTCCAGTGCCAATCACCTTTATTCATTCTATTAAGATTTATAATCACTCCCACAGGTTTTAAACAATATGGCTTTCAAAAAATCTTATATTTTGTTTATTTCCCTCTAACATATTATTTTGAATTTCATTTGATTACTGTTTTAAAAGGATTGCCACAGTTCATCTTATTTCATAAGCCTAAGTACTGCCCTCTGTTTATTAAAAGATACTTATGAAACACAGTAAAACTGAGTATGAAAGAGAAAAAAGGTGTAACCAAAACAGTCATAGAATCACAAAATCTTGGTAAGGGACCTTCAGGTTCACCCGATTCAAACTCTGACCTCATGCTAGAGACCCTTGATTGCAACCCTGCCAATCTTCTAGCAGCTACCTGACTCTCCAGTGACAGGAAGCTCATTACTTTGGGGAAAAAGCCATTCCACTGTTGGCACATCTTATTGTCAGAAAGTTCTTCCTTATTCTGGGCCAAGACATACTTCCTGTAGCTTTTCCTCATAACTCCCAGCTCTAACTCTACAGGCACTTGGGCTTCTGCTACGTGTGGAGAGTTAGGTAACAGCACTTCTATAATCTGTTAATGTTTGCAAATTCACTTCATGGTTTTAGGGGGCATAGGATGGTATAGATAGCCTGGATTCCCTAGTGTTAACAAGTGTAATATATCTGGCAATGTGGAGTAGTTTTGTTTTTCCTTCTCTTGTCTTTACCACCTTTTTCCTTTAGCCAAACACTGTTTTTGATTCCCTGCTTTTTATGTGAAATGTTATTCTTCTTAGCTTCCTTCCTGAATTATTTCTTCCATCTTTTGTCTAAGAACTTTGTATTTCCATTAATGATCATATTTCTAGAATTTCAAGTTGAACATTCATATCTTGGGGTAAACCTTGGAAACATCCTGAAACTATCATAAAACAGATGCCATATCCATTCATTTGTTGGAAAACCGACTTTCTTCCTTCAGACAAAAATCTGATATCATTTATCAGTGGTAATTTACACCACATACCATCCCTGGTAAAAGATTTTATTCACCAAAATATATTTGAATTAAGAGCAATGACAGTGTGGACAAGCCATAGGATTAGAGACAGAAGGCCGGAATTAAAGTCCTTCCCTGCCACTTAGTGCTAATGTGATGATGGACAAATCCATTAACTTCTCTGTGATTCAATTTCCTCATCTCTCAATAATAATAAATTACAATGTACCAGGGACATGGATATCTATTGTATTGTTTCAGCCTCACCAGAGTGTGAAGTAGGTATTATTGATCTCATCTTGAAAAGATAAGAACCCTAAGTAATATTTCCAGATTCTCAGACCTTGAAGCTCAAAAGTGATGAAGGTGGCCGGGCATGATGACTCATGCCTGTAATCCCAGCATTTTTGGTGGCCAAGGCAGGAGGATTGCTTGAGCCCAGTAGTTGAAGCCTAGCGTGGGCAACACAGTGAGACCTTATATCTACTAAAAAAAACTTTTTTAAGTGATGAAAGTGAGATTACATCTCCATTCTGCCTGACTGCAACATTCAGTCTTCACTACACCACACATTAATATCAATAAGAAAAACAAGCTGATAGTCCAGGTCTGCCATACCTTGTGATCCTAATGTTATATGTAAACTCTTAGGGAAATAGTACAATGGGTCAGAGGGGATATAACCCTGAAAAACCAACAAATATGCTTGGTGATGAGTTAAAACAAAGGAGTCATCATACAGACAGTGCTCTTTTTCTAACCATCTGGGTCTCCCATTCTGTCCCCTAGAGGAGTTTGAATGACAAATCAAACTGAGTCACTGACTGACAAATTCAAGCAAGAAAATAATTTAATACTGTCTCAATCAAGACTTGCATCATATATTCTCTTTGCTCTGAAATGTAAGGCACATGACAGGATTATACTTTTCCACACTTATCACCATTTCAATCACCATTTCAATAATGGAAACCTGTGACCATCTCCACTCTAGCTTTTGCAACAGTTCAAATAATTCTCAGTCAGTAACTGCCAAGCTATTTTTACGCTCAGTATATTTCCTAGTGTACTTAGGCTAGGATGATAACTAAACTGCACACTAGCACTTCCATGTGCTTAACTTTCCAGGCGTCTGACAGAAGCCCTTACCTGGAAGATTCAAGAACTCCTCCTGGCTTGTTCTTACTGCCACGATCCTTCAGCCCATATTATGGTCCTTTACTTGTTGCTTGGGAGGATGAAGGCCGAAGGGTATTTTCACTAACTTAAAATCCCAAAGATAACAATAGATGTCTAAAAGATAAACACAATCTACTATATTGTGTCTCTCTTGCAAAAGCTATCATTTTTGGCGTGGTAAGTAATAATGTTTTATGTCCACATGACATCCAAGCCCCATGGCAAGATTTATAAGAAAGGGAAATCATTTCCTAGAGAAACTGCCTTGGAATGAGGTGGCTCATTATCTAAGCCAGCAGAACGTCAACTCTGCTTAACCCAGACTTCCTTCACAAAAAAAAAAAAAGCAAAAAACATGCTAGTTAAAAAATTCGAATTTAGTGGAGAACAGAGAGCCAACTGAGGTCTCAAGCCAGAAATTTACAAAATTTACTTTAATAATTAAAAATAAAAAACTTTCAATGTCTATGTAAAGACACCTAATACCTAAATATGCTTAAGTTTCTCTGTGAATTAAATTAGAAGAGGTATCACTAATATGCTAGGACTTTCTACCTACTCATCACTATGTGGTAAGTCAGCCTCTCTGCTGCAAACATTCAGTATTCGAATCTTTCACAACTAAAAGAACCAATAATATACTACATATGTATAGTTATTTTACAGTGATCGAAAAGGGGCGGCCACCTATATTGTGATCTTAAATCCCATTCCATCTACTTTAAGAAGAATTGTGAGCCATTCCTATATTTATATATGGTTTCTCTTTTTCTGAAGTATCAATGATATGTATTTTAGATTTAACAGCATATTACTCTAAAAACCTAATGATCTGTATTTAATTGTCCCATTATAAAGCTGTTATTACTGCAAAATACCAATATGGTACCGAATTAATAAAAATACAGTTAACTTTTCTGAGATAACATTTATTTGCATCTCACTAAAAGATGGCCTAATGACTAGACAAAAAAGTTAACATGAAAACATGCCAAATTCCACAAGCTGTGAATGAAAATGATTAGTTAATGAGGGGAGTGAGGGGGTGCTAGCAAGCAGTGACACGTATTTTCCTACTTAGTCACAAATACACTAAACAAAAAAAGAGCGTTTACAAAAAAAACAGAGAAGGCAATAGTTTTCATTATTCTATTCCATTAACACTGCCAACAGTAATCAATATTTTTGCTTTTAAAAAAGTAACAATCTAGATCTACATTCTGTAAATAACACTGCATTTCAGGACTATTTTCATCAAGGAAAGCAAAATGAGATCAAGTTAACAATATTTCTAAAAAGTTTTTTAAAGTACCCTTTTCAGAGGGTCATGTCATTGCTGGGTTCCCACTGCATTTTCGTCATACAGCATGATGATTATACCGACAGACACAGAACAGAAGAATCTCTTTTCATTTCTGACTCTGCAAGATGAGATCACAGAAAGCCTCACACAAAGCCCATGGGCTGCAGGATATGTCTCACTAGGCCTAAAAAGACACAGCTCTTTTCACTGTGGCTTTTCTTTGAACTATACACTTTAAAGGAGCCATAAGATTCAGAGGGGAGGGGCAGTGAAAAAAAAGAGGCAGCATATCTTCTCAGATCTAAAAGCATACAGATGGCAAAGGTTAGACCTTAGTGGGGAAACACTAAAAAGTCCAGGACAACTGAAAAACACTAGTTTGATAGTTTTTTTTTTTTTTAACTCTTTTCTACCCTGCTGTATTCCATAGAATGTCCATGTCACATACAGCCATGTCTGACCTCAACTCCAAAGGAGCTTTGGCTTC
The DNA here is from genome assembly GCF_000001405.40 of Homo sapiens. NCBI lineage: Eukaryota > Metazoa > Chordata > Mammalia > Primates > Hominidae > Homo > Homo sapiens. Next base: position 142,331,048 of record NC_000006.12, on the reverse strand, counting down.
CCTGGGCCCCAGTCGGTGACTTCAGGCAAAGGCAAGTTTTGCTTCTGAGTTCCCATAGAAAAACTGTTCCTCAAGTCCAGTTATATAAATGAAGCTTAAAAAGCTTTTTTTTTAAAGAAACAATTCTGAATTTGTTTACATGGGAAAGAATTATATACTCTAAAAATATTGGCTATAGTTCCTCTGATGTATAATAAATTGAAAATCAATTTTTCAAGGTCGAAAGAGCATGTTTTTATACTCTGGTTTTGAAAATGGAAAGAGTAAGTTGTAAATTCCTCCTCCTCAAAACCCCAAATTAATGACAATCAGGGGAAAAGGCATATACAATATTTGCAACTTTCAGCCCACTAAATGCATTCCATACTATAAGGTTATAGAAAATCAAATCCATCTTCTTCTCAAGCATATTTTATTCCTCTTCCTGAAGGGAAAGGCAAAACTGTAATACATCATCTGTTTCTTGATTCTGAACAGAGAACAGAAATCTCTGAATCTAAAAATGGATCTGGTGACCTAGTATATTACATTGAGGGTTAGGGGAAGCCCTTTCCTTAATATGGTTTTCATGATTAATGAATGGCATTGCCATATTTACTCCCACATCTTTCCGGCTTGCATGAGCTTGTTTGGCTGAGAATAACATCAAGAAAAAAATGTTTTCACCACCGAATTTTTTTTCCACATTTTATTTCATTTTTTTTTAACTTGTAAGTTCAGGAGTACATGTGCAGGTTTGTTACACAGGTAAATTTGGGTCACGGGGGTTTGCTGTACAGATTATTTCATCAGCCAGGTATTAAGCCCATTAGTTATTTTTCCTGATCCAATGCAGCCATTAAAAAGAACGAGATCATGTCCTTTGGAGGGACATGGATGGAGCTGGAGGCCATTATCCTTAGTAAACTAACACACGAACAGAAAACCAAATACCACCTAATTCTTAACCTCTCCCTTTTAAAAAAAATTGCAGTGGCAAAAAAAAAAAATTGCAGTGGCAAATGAAAAATTTCTTCCAGCAGAATATGTTGTTTTCCTTGCCAGAGCCTAGTAGAGACTAAAATAAAGAAGCACACAACTGCAGGCTATATATGGGCTGCAGTGGAGAGTGAAGTTCATCAGTGCTCACGTATCTCACCTTTACACAGCTGTCTTCCCAGCCTCCTCCTTTTCTACTCCCTTCCTATAAGTGGCAGATATGTGACTGTTGTCATTGCACTGCAATTAGAAAAACTTAGAGAAGAATAAGATATCTTAAGGAGTAACCAAGAATGCATTAGCTACTGAAGTATTTGTACACCAATGTTTAAATGAAAAAGAAACCCTCAAGGCAGGAATACCTATTCACCACTCTAAGGTCCTTTCATTTACCCTTTGTGTTGATCACAAACATGACTCAATGATGGGAGCTTTTTCTACAAACAATGATTATTCACTAAGGGAAGGGGGAAATGCTAGTTTATATTAAATTCACTCACGTTGTGACAATTTTTGTTTTAGTAAGGACTGTGATGATCTCGTAAGGTAACAAAATAGATGCAAAAGGCTGCAGAAGATGGCTGATGCTTATACAATTATTTTCTTCCCTTTCAAAAGTGAAAATATTAGAGAAAAATGAAGAAAATAACCTTCAAATATTTTGGCATAAATGTCTTCTTTATAGCTACTTTTAGTTACTAATAAATTATTAAAATGAAATTGCAAACAACACTCAGAAAGGAAAAAATATGGCTAATGAGCCATGAAGATTATATATTACCCCAGAAACTCTCCCAAATTGGTTGTCTCCCCAAAAGTTCATTTTTAAAGTCCTTGGTTGAAACTTAAAATATTACTTTCCAAAACAATACTTCATGATTCATTGTGCAAATAACTGTGCTAAATAATAACAACTATAGCTAACATTTTACTTATTTAATTATCACAAAGACCTCAGAAGGCAGGAAGTACCATGACTGCATTTCACAGAGAAGTAACTTTTCCAGGGCCCATATGAAGTGTAAGTAATAACACCAGTATTCCAACTTACAGTTCATCTTCAGAGCCCACACACTGAACCATTATACTCTACTACCATCTCAGGGAGCCAATGTGGGGATGTGGATATAAGTAAGAAAAATATTATAAATGCTGGACAGACTTTTTAGGTAGCTCAGGACAAAAATTAAACTACAATTTACCTCAATGTCAATTTCATCGATTAAGAGTTTAAAACAGTCCAATTTTAGCTAACATCGAAATCACCTGGAAAGCTTGGGCAAACACAAGTCAATGAGCGCTACCCCAGACTTTCTGACTCAGTAGGTCTGTAATGACGCCCAAGGATTTGCATTTCTATGGCATTCCCTGGTGATACTCTACTGTTGGTTCCAAGACCAGACTTCACTTGAAAAACCACTGGTATAAAACTCTCTGGCAATACTTATAATTGAAACATAATAGAAGAAATTTTGTTGAGTACAATTACTGAACTATAATTAGATTTAAAAAACACAACCTGACTCCTGGCTATCAAGATGAAAGAAATGGAATCAGAAAAGGATAAGCAGGTCAGCCCAGTGGCTCACACCTGTAATTCCAGAACTTTGGGAGGCCAAGGTGGGAAGATCACTTGAGCTCATAAGATCGAGACCAGCTGGGCAACATGGTGAAACACCATCTCTACAAAATACACAAAAATTAGCCAGGCATGGAGATGTGTGCCTATAGTCCCAGCTACTCAGGAGGCTGAGGTGGGAGGAGGGCTTGAGTCCAGGAGGCAGAGGTTGCAGTGAGCTGAAATCATGCCACTGCACTTCAGCCTGGACAACACAGCAAGACCTTGTCTCAAAAAAACAAAACAAAACAAAAGGATAAGCATGTAAGGAGGTGTAAACCTCCATAGCCTTTGCTTGATATTGGTGGGCCCTTTGGAGGTTTACCTCCAAGATAATGGAAAAAACAATGACTAAGGACTAAGAGTCTGAAGAACTGCGTTCTGTTTTGTTTCTGTTTTCCCATAGGGCTGGCACTTAAGTATTCCTAACTTTGGTCTCCTTATCTGTAACGTAGGAAAAATAATTCTTTTGCCTTTTGGGAAGGAGGGAGAAATTGTAAGAATCTGATGAAGTAACTGAAAAAAAAATTACACACCAAGAAACAATATGCAAAATAAAGTAACATTATTGAGATATTGATCAAATTTGATTTAATCTCAAAATGTAGGATTCTTGTTTTCTTTCAAAAAAATTAAATGTTAACACTAGTTTATGATTACTGATCATTACAATGAGTCATGGAGGCATATTTCAACTCAAAAGATTTGTAAAAAAGTGGAGGAGTAAATGGAAGGGAATTCAGTGAAAAAACTGATAAAGAGCTTACCCTTTATAGAAATAGCTGACTTCCCAAATAGGATGAATAAAGATTGGTTACATAATACTCTTGCAGAGAAAGGGAAGTGGAATGATGACAGGTAAGAAGCCATCAGGTGCAGGTAGAAGAGTTCTGGTGCTACACAATGAGGGAAATGATAATACACATTTCCTATAAATATCTAGTAGCTTATCTTCCAACTGAATTGAATAACGATGTTCAGCCTCAGAGGTTTACTCTATGTCTGTATTAATTAAAATCTGTTTCTTGCTACAGCTGATTTTCACACTGTGTTCCAAAACATTTCCTAATATAGACGGTGAACTCCATGTGTTAAGTTTGAATGAGAAGATTTTCCAGTTTACACAGAAAGTTGCTGTTATGGTACTTCCAGTTCCTCCTAGTCCCCAAAGACTTTTTTTTTTTAATGAATTCCTCTTTTTATCTTTTTGCCTATCATTAAGTTAAATCTATGGTTCATTTGCCTCATTCTTTATTTTATGAGGCTTTAAAAATTAAAACATTTTTAGAAAAGTCATATTACCCCACTGACAACTGCATTACATCTAAAAACAACTTAATTAATAAAGCATACACACCCAAACAAAGTACTGGAGCAAGATGGAATACTAGTCTTTCATAATCAGACCAAGATGAGAAATTATCTTGGGTACTTTCACAATACCCATGATTTGGTACTAAATCATTAAATCATGTACTAAACGTTTTCTGGATGCCATCAGTTTCTGAAAGAATGATCTGTGTCAATTAATCTTAAAAGGATTCTTAAAGTAAAAAGATTTTCAAATAAAAAGCAAATGTATGCAAATATAAATCCCACAAGTCTACAAAAAGGGTTCAGAGCCAGCTAATCACTCATGCCCCTCCACACACATACACACACCCTTAACCCTCACTTAACATGACTGCATGACTCTTTCCACAGATGCTTCTGTGATCACTTCAGCCATGATTTATCTGTCTCCACCTAATAACGGAGTTTTGATAACAGATGATCTCAGTCTCATAGAATGAGTTTGTTCTCACACCATTAATTTAAAAGAACAATGAACAGTCAAGGGGTACATAAGAACAAAACTCTGTTCTGTACAAGGAGTTGGTATTCAGTGTGACACTCATCTTGAACCATATTCAAGACCAAAGAAACCAAAAAAAAAAAAGCCAAGAGTCTGAAAACTCACGATCACTATTGTATATTGTAAATAATTAGGTCCAGCAAGATATGCCAATTATCTTTCTAAAATTCTAGTTAATTTTTCATTACCATTTCTTTTTGTATGGGAGTTTTGAAAATTCACAATTTTGCAGAAAGGAAAGGGAAACACAACTAGAAATCACTTATTAAGAAAAATCTTTTTTTTTTTTTGCTGGGAGGACATGCAGAGAAACAATAAAGTTTTGAATTTGTTTTGATGTATCCCACTTTAAATCCGTGTACATGAATTGTTCCAGAAACAACGTGTTTAAAGTCAAGTAGAATTATTTTGAAGACATATTTGGAAAAAAATAAAACTATTATTAACTCTCTCATCACTATGTTAATATTTGCATACTATCTACTAGTTTTTTACAGGCATGCATATTTTGCAAACATAGTATTTAGTATTAATATTTTATTATACTAAACCTACCTGTATTTCTACATTATAATTATAGTCATTTTGCCATAATTCATAAAATTATTCTGTATTACTGAGATTTTAGGTGGGTTTTTTTTCTACCTTACATAGTTTTAAATGAATATCTTCATGTGTGAAGCATTTGCTACTGAATTATATTCTTAGGTAATCCTCTTAGTAATTAATCAAAAGTACATTATCTTCCTGGATGATTACAGCAGAGACTATTTTTAAAAATCAAACACCTACATTTAATTTTAGTATAATAAATCCACTAATTCTAAGATAACTCCTTTTTTAAAAAAATCTACAAATATTCATTTAAATGGAAGCATATCAGATAAATTAGTAAAAGTTTGAAACTATATCATGTTTCTAAATAATTCATTGAATACAGCTATGGTTACAGGTATTTTGATTTTAAAGAACAGGGCACAGATACAATAAATGTAGAAATATTTGGTCTTTAAAATGTCAAAAATCCAAAACATACAATTCATTATATTGCAAAAAATAAGCTCCAAATTGGTTGTTTGGATTTTAGAATTCTTTTTCCCATGGAAATAACATTATAAAATTCAGTTAAAATCCCAGGCCAACTCATAATATAGCTAAAACAAAATTAATCCTAAATCCAGTTAATACCGTGGAGCCTCAGCCCAAGATTCTGCTAAGCTACAAGCCTCGTGGGAGATGTAAAGAATAGGAAGGTGGAGCTTGGTGGAAGCTCTAGCACTTCTCTCCTATGGGAACCCGGAGGAAGGTGATTACAGTGGAGGGCTATGCTGGAGCACAAACCTACCACAGGGATTGTTGGGTCAAGAAAAGACAGGAAGATGTAAACTTCATGGCCTTTTAGACATATTGTCTGTAAGTCCAAAGTTCTTATGTTACCAACTGCTTGGGAAGGTTTTCTTAAATCCTATGTACTTTTTAGGTATACAGCAAGAGACAAAATGACTGAAATGCAGAATGAGCTACGAGGATTTGTAGCATTCTAAATAATCCAAGTAAATATGCTCCCAATGTAACTAAAATGCATGGTTGTGCCTCATTCTATTTGTTTACAACATAGTTTCTCTGCCCTTCACATCAAACTGAAGAGTGGATACGTTGCCTTAATTATAAATGTCTCCCTTCTAATAATGGGCTTTACTTCATTCCCGTTGCAGTACCTATACTTTCTTAGTTTTGGGCAGAATCCAAAAATAAAGAAGATATACTCCCTACCTGTAGGCACTAACAATAAGGGAAAAATAGAAACATATTAATAATCATAAAACACAATATGGCAACAAGACATAGAATAAGTATGAATTGTTACAGAATTCCAAATGACAGATGGAGGAAAACTGGAGATTCAGAAAATACTTTGCTGCTCCATTTCCACCATTAAAATACTATCCAACAGGTGGTCACCTGGGTACACACATACCTGATAATTAAGACGAAAAAACTACCTATCTTTCTATCCTTATTTTAAATGCTGCCTACATGAAGAGGCATTTGAGACAGATCATGAGATGGCAAAGCACTTTATTAGGCAGCAATGACGGAGAATGGAGTTTTAGGTTGAATAAATGGTGTGGAGGTAGGGAAGTTTGTGGAATGCCAGAGGAAAAAATGTTTTCAGCTTGTTTATTTCTTAGATTATGTGTAAGGAAGTAGTGGAAATAGCTTAGAAAATACTGGTTGAGGATACATAGTGAGGGAACTTCAATGCCAATCAATAAAGGCCATGCTGACATCAGCAATTGAAAGCTCTCCTAAGAGCTTTAAGTGTAATTTCCTATGCAAATTACACTTAAAGAAATGTTTATAGGAAAGTGCTTTACTGCTAGATTGCAGAGGAAGACAGAAGGCAACAAAATCCATTTTTCTGTTTTACAGAAGCTGAGGCAACAGGCAATAAGGTCTGCATTAGAATAAAGGACATTCAAAAAATACAGTCAGACAAGAAATGCTCTCATATTTAGCAATGAATTAGATCTCAAAGAAGTCTGGAGGGAAGAGAAGTAATGGTATTAACACACTGAAGACAGGAAAAAGCAGCTTAGGTTGAAGAAGAGCTTAGATTGCTAGAGGTCTATGAGAAGCTCTCATAATCAGCCAGCAATAAAAATACAGTGGTATAAAAGATAAAATATGGTACACCTGTATAGGGCAGCTCCATTATACAGCCATGCACCCCATAACAACGTTTCAGTCAACGACAGACCAAATATATGATAGTGGGCCCATAATATTATAATCCTGCATTTTTATTGTACCTTTCCCAGACACATTCAGATACGCAAATACTTACCATTATGTTACAATTCCCTACAGTATTCAGTACCTGTTAAACAGGTTTATAGCCTAGAAGTAATAGGCTATACCATCTGCGTAGGAGGCTATACCATTTAGGTTTGTGTAAATACACTCTATGATGTTTGCACAGTGACGAAATCACCTAACGATGCATTTCTTAGAACATACCTTTGTCGTTAAGCAATGCATGACTAATCTTATGAGACCACTGTCATATATGTGGACTGTCAATGACCTAAATGTTGTTTTGTGGCACTTGGCTGTGTAACTGTTAACACAGGTCCTGTATAGCAAAATATCCGCTAAATCAGCTTTAATCTAAATGTATAAAACTAAGGAATGAGATCAGATTTTAAGATGTAAAGATTGAGCCTCACCTTTTTTTAATGCGTACTGGAATTCAAAATCATACTTTTCACCCTTTGGATTTACTCAATTATATATCGTACTTCTTCAAATTATCCATCCAATAAGGATACATTCTCACTTTCATGAGATGTTTTTGTATAACCCGCAAGCCATCTGGGACCTTAATATTAACAGCTGATGATTATGGGTCCTATTAGTTTGCTTCAATCAATAGCCCCATTCTCATTACAGTCTTCATAGGCAAAAAAAAAAAAAATAAGTGACATTTATACAGGGGTACAGATATAGCAGGTGCTTCTTCAGAAACAAGACTGTCTTGACTGATGCTTTCAACTCACTACTCACTCATGTAACCTCTCAAGTCAGTAACCAGGGCAGAACAAATAACACTCTCAGAGGCCATTCACCAGGTGCTGAGCTCCTCTAGGTCAGTGTTTTCAAGTGTTTGATTGAAATGTACTTTCTGGTTCATGCTTTATATTTGCTGGGAAATGAAATTTATAAAGATTTGTGGAGTTTTTCACCAAGAGCAGGCATTTGTGAAATGAGGACAAATCACTTTATAGTAAATAGATGATAAACCACTCTGTTACATTAAAACAAGTAAACAGACAAGTAAGCATACAATAAAAAATGAAGTGAGCTTTCCTGAGTCACCCATGTTTTATCTCTACTTTTTATTATGGTGACAAGCCAAAAATATCAGTAAGTCTTGCACAAGGTCCTAGTTAAAAAGCAAAATCCAATATATTATGAAAAAGGATATGTTGGTTTTTGCATTAGTTTTTAATTAAATGGGGGAAAGAAGCTCTCAAGGAAAAGAGCCTTCAGGCAAAGGTAGAATAACCCAAACTTTTGAATGTATGTAGAGGCTAAAGAAAGGTGAGGTGGCATCTTACACTTGACCTAAGCGAAGTTTATATCTTTGCAGAAATGGGTTCTCTTCCTCCGACCCAAATAATTTTTTTTTTATTTTGAGATGGGGTCTCATTCTGTCACCCAGGCTGGAGTGCAGTAGTGCAATCATGGCTCACCACAGCCTCAACTGTCCCAGCTCAAGGAATTCTCCCACCTCAGACTCTCAAGAAACTGGGACCACAGGCATGTGCTACCATGCGTGGCTAATATTTTTATTATTTGTGGAGACGAGGTCTCGCTATGTTGCCTGGACTGGTCTAGGACTACTGGGCTCCACTGATTCTCTCACCTCAGCCTTTCAAAGTTTTGGGATTACTGACATGAGTCACTGTGCCCAGGCCCCCAAAATTCTTAACTACTGAAAATATCCCTGAATACTGAATAAACATAACTAATACAAATACAGTAAAATTGAATATTCTTTTCCTGCTGGGAAGAAATATTTTCCAGCCAAAATACTCTAACAAATAAAGAAGTTGTGTTTTAGAAAGCTAGCACGTAATTCTCGATATAGATAGTAAAATCCTGATAGTTTTGGGAGCAGTGAAATTATGTTAATTGTGTCCTAAAACTATTACTTGTATATTTTAACTGGATGAGACTGTTCTAATAGAGGTATAATTTACATAGAAAAAAATGCACAGATTTAACTAAGCTGTTCAATGAGTTTTGATAAATGTATACCTCTATGTAATTATATTCAAATCAAAATTTGAAACATTTCCATCAACACAGAGAATCTTACCATATCTCCTTCCAGTCCGTTGCTCCCTAGAGGCCACCAGTGTTCTGGTTTTTATCATTATAGCTTAGCTGTGCCTATTCCGTAATTCCATATAAACAAAATCATAGAGTACGTACTCTATGTCCCTCTCTTTGTTCAACATGTTTTAGAGAACCCTATTCTTATTTTTGCATACATAGGTAGTTCATTCCTTTTTTGCTGAGTAATATTCTATATTATGAATATACCAAAATCTGTTTATGTATTTACATGTTGATAGACATTTGGATTTTTCTTTTCCACTTTGTGGCTATTATAAATAATGGTGGTGTAAAATTCTTATATAAGTCTTTTTGTGGATATTTTCATTTCTTTTGGATAAATACCCAATAATATAATTATTAAATCATAGTATATACACGTGTGTGTGTGTGTGTGTGTGTGTGTATGCATGCTTATTTTTGGAAACATAAGGATGTAATGAAAAAGGAAATATGTGAATCTTAAAAGCATGCAGATTGCTATCTTGCCATTTTTTTAATTTAATTCAGACTATTGTTTAAAAAACACTACTCAGTTTTATGCCCTGCTTCTCTCAATTACATTTTTATCTTTATCCCATTTCACTAAACATTTCAAAAATTAAGTTATGGTTATGTATACCTTTCATAATGTAAATATTCCATAATTATCAAATTCTTTCTTGGTGGATATTTGTCTTTAATATTTAATTATTATAACTATTTTTGTGATGAGAATCTATATGTGTTGTTACACATATGCACCTACTGGTCAAAGGGTTTAAAAAGTATGATAGATATAGAATTTATCAGCCTTTGAAAATGTCTTATTGCTCTAATATATATTTACAGAAAGGGATGACTACAACATAAGAAATTAATTCACAGGATCCTTTTTCAACTTAATGGTGTATTTCAAATAAAGCTGTACCACACTTATGCAATGAATATACAAGTACCGAAGCTAATTTTTGATCAAGTTATATCTGGGCTATGAAACCAGAAAAATGGAAATCAACCATCCAATTTAACGTCTGCTAACCATCCTCTGCCTGATTTTGCTATTAATAGAAACACAAGCTAAAAGTTCAGGCACGCAGTTTTCACTATGTGTACTAACTGTATCTTCCTACTACAGCTCACAAGGAACAAAGCCTCAGTACATATGGAAAAGGTATCTCTGACTGTAAAGGAACATTGTTGCAAAATTTCATTTCAGAGTCAGCATTTTAATTCATGCTACTAAGTTACTCAGAGTCAAGTTAGCAGTGCTATTGATATCAAAAGCAATTATTTTCACTCCCATTATTAGTTTAGTTGCATCCAAAAGTGCTTTAATGCTTGGTGTGTGCTGTTCAAGTTTAAATCAAATCCAACATAGATTTAAGTTTTTAATGTATTTTCTCAAAGGCACATTTTTATCTCAAATAATACTTTATTTTTAGCCTGAAATAGCCCACAATATATTTTCTGCTTTTATTTCTAAGATTACTAAAAATTAAAATACTTTTTAGGTACCATGTGTAAAGTACTACTAATGCTTCTAAGGCATAGAGTCTTAAAAAGTAACACTGTAGTCTTACTTTTAAAATATGAAAAGCTCTCCTTTAAATATGGGGAAAACAAAACTACATATGTTCATTTTTATTATTAGATTTCAAATCTAATTTTTTTTACCTCCACGTGAACAAACTGGTTTATGTATTCTGCCCTAAAAGCTAACATATACTTTTAACCTATTTTAACAAAGCCCAATGAACTACATCTTTTTCTGACCAAAAACGTAAGTTGTTACTTACAGCACTAAATGTTTATATTTTATACAAAATCTCTAGTTCCCACAGATGGGAGTTTTAAACTTAAATTAGCCCAAAGTTCCCAATTCAAGATGCTTTCAAACATAATTATGATAAAGATAAAGGCTGTGGTAAAGTAATGTCAGGCACACATAGTGGACAGAGAATAAAGATGTCTTTCTCTCTGTTTCACTTGAAACAACTGCTTTAAAGTAAATATTCTAATAACTGTCTTATGGAAAAATTTAAGTTATAATGGGAAAATTGAAATGTATTCAAAAGGAATAAACAGGAATGGGAAATGAACTAGGCAAACCAGGTGGTAAATCTGATTTAAATGAGAAACAAAAAAAGTCATATTAGTTGCTCAGAAGTCAGAAGAACCTAAAGGAACAATTTGAAGAATATGAAAAACTTCATGTAAAAAAGATGTGCTCTCAAAATTTGAATGTCAATAGACTAAATTTTAAATCATTAGTCATCTCATTCTGTCACACAATTTCACCCTTAAGCCAGACTTCCTATAAAAAAGGAGATTTTTGTCCGATTTACTTTGGACCCAGGGATTTTACTTAGGAGCTCTTACAATATACCCAGTGGAGATGAAAGCCTCAAAGGCGATAGTTATAAAGACAAAGAAGGTATTTCTGATCTAGATTCACCAACCCTCAGTCACAACTAAATATGCGTTTGAGCAAGAAGCAGAAGGCATCCAGGGCACCTGAAGTGCTATTACTATCTCCAGGTTTTCAATATGTGTGTCAGGGCTGTTCACCAATGAGGAAACTAAGGCTGCCATTTCTAAGGCACAACAGTATGACAGAGAAAAATCATAAAACTGCAGATTCAACAAACAAAAAACAATTTTTTCATTGAGTGCCCTACCACCCTAGGGAAGCTCTCAACCTCTGTGCCCTTCAGCATTCATCTTCATCTGCAATTGCACAAATCTTACTTACAGAACTGTAGCTAGTGGGGACATATCTATCTCCCCTGCTGGGCTGGAAGTCCTCATTCAGCTTTGTCAGCATCGGCCCTCACTTAACATCCTCCAGTCTGGTCTCCCACTTCCCCATCTAGCCTCATTCCCTACCTTCTTCTGCAGAGACCCTTTATTCTAGTAATGAGAAATATGCATGCTTCTACAAAGCCATTTATAATGCATCTGTGCATTTGTCCTTGTCCCTGCTCCCTTCTCTGCCCAGATCCCCCTTCTCCATTTCTAGATCCATTCTCCATATTCTCCCTTTCTGTTGTCATCAGAAGACACAGTTTTAACATTATCTATCCATGAGAATTTTTCTGAGATCTCTTCTGTTATCTCTTGACATCATGTCTATAATTCTACTAAATCGCACATCACACTGCATCCTATTATTTTTTCTCACGTTAGTCTCCCCAATAACACTAAAATTCCTTAACATTAAAGGCAATGATTTAGCTTTGCAAAATTAGGACTTTGAAATGAGCCTGATATATAAATATATAATATATAAATATATTATATATATATTTAAATTACATATAATATATAAATATATAAATATATATAAATATTATATAATATATAAATATATAATATAAATATATATAATATATAAATATATAATATAAATATATATAATATATAAATATATATAATATAAATATATATAATAAATATATATAATATATAAATATATATAATATAAATATATATAATATATAAATATATATAATATAAATATATAATATATAATATATAAATATATAATATATATAATATATAATATATATTATATAAATATATAATATATATAATATATAATATATATAAATATATATAATATAAATATATAATATATAAATATATATAATATAAATATATATAACATAAATATATATTATATATAATATATATAACATAAATATTATATATAATATATAAATATGTAATATAAATATATATAATATATAAATATATAATATAAATATATATAATATATAAATATATAATATAAATATATATAATATATATAAATATATAATATAAATATATATAATATATAAAAATATAATATAAATATATATTATATATAAATATATATAATATAAATTAATATATATAAATATATATAATATATATATTATATATAAATATATATGATATAAATATATATAATATAAATATATATTATATAAATATATATTAATATATAATATAAATATATATATATTTACTGAATGAGCAGTAAGATGCTCATTTCAAAGTCCTATATATATAATATACACCCAAATACACACACACCGCTCATTTATAATATTACAATGACATAGCCTTTAGCGTTTAAATGAGTCTAAGAACAGCAACATTAACTCTATGTTCTCTGTAACTTATTTAAGTACTATAATGCTCTCACAAATGTTAAACATATTTTAATAATGGTGGGGAAATGAGGGGACTCTGATTAAAGATACCTAACTCTTTGATAAGCTAGACACACCCTGCTAAGGAAAATCCAAGTTCTGTCAAGACAGCTTGGAAAGCAATTCAATTCATTTGCTACACATTTACTGATTCTGTCTTCCATGGTGTCACAATTAGTAGTATCATGTTTGCAAATGGACACTACCTTAAATATCAGAAAAGGCTTAAAATTCAAAGAGAACTTTCTTCTGAAAGGTCAATAAAAAAAGCAGACATCTCTAACTCATGTGTGTGGGACATGGAAGCCAGTCAGATGATGAGAAGTAATAAGAGTCCTAACCAAACGCCAAGTAAAGCATCAAGGATGCTTACCAAGCTGGAAGGAAAATGTCCTGTATCAACTTAGCAAAAGCTCTGAGAGAAAAACCACAAACCCTATTGTTTGGTGAAACATTAGGTTATCAGCAGTATTGAAACAAAAATGTTTGTGGTCTTGAGCTGCCTACAAGTAATAGATTTTCAGGTTACCATTCTAAAGAGAGATGAGATTAGCAGTTCAAATAAAACACTAATATTGACCTCTGATGAGCCAACCAGGAGACAACTGGTGTACACAATCTGATGAGGAGAATTCTGGAAAAGGTGACAGACTACATTTCCACAACCTCAGTGTATACTTGGAGCTCATTTTCTCTAAAATTAAAAAAAAACACTAAGGTAAATTATCTCTAAAAGTCTAGCTTTTCCTCCTCATAGCACTGCTACTGCAGCCACTGAAATCACTGTGATCAGAAACTCTGCCTTAAAACTCTATTCAATAAGGCCAGTGATACAGCTAAACTATTCTTTATACTCATAGGGGCCAGTATCAATTGTACATAATGTCATATTTCTGGACATATTTAAGGCATAAAACAAATAAATGAAGGACAGAAGAAAGGAACTGTGTGTATAAAAACAGTGATTAATATTGCCAGAGTATTTTTTTCCTCCAGATCTATATTTTACTTCAATAATTCTCTTTAATCAAGTTTTGGCCAGGTAAGGAATCTTCTAAAAAGATCCTTCTGTTTGCAAAAATTATGAGCATTTTCTCATTCTTGTAGTTTTGCCCAAACCAATAAGAGTGACTAGTGTAATTCTGTCATTATTAGAAAAAAGATCCTGATTTTTAAATGGTTGACACAATCCATCTTCTGAGCTCTAGTACAAACACTTTTTCTCTTTTATCTAAACCAGCAGCACCAAACTTGGAGGAGAATGTAGTAGAGGAAGGGATCTTTTTTGACTTATAATAATTTATTGCAGAAAATTATGTAATTTTTTTATAAAGCATATCATTTCTAAACCACAAGTTTAAGATGAAGTTAGTTTAGGAATGACTAAAAACCAAGATATGTTGACATGAAAGACCTAATAATTCAAACCATTTTCCTGAGAAAAATCTCATTCAAACGATTACAAATATTTTTAATGATTTTAAGAAATCAAGATAATTAGTCTTAACCATAGAAATATGGTGGCCACATATTCCCCACTGGGATACTTTATTCCTCTCTGAGAGTTTTTTCACAGGAGATGGTTAAGGTTAACCTGAACTGGTGACAGCTACCATCCATGTGCTGCCAAAGAACCTTGCTTTATTTATTTATTTATTTATTTATTTATTTATTTATTTATTTATTTATTTGAGATGTAGTTGCCCAGGCTAGAGTGCAACAGCACGATCTCGGCTCACTGCAACCTCCACCTCCCAGATTCAAGTGATTCTCCTGCCTCAGCCTCCCGAGTAGCTGGGATTACAGGCGCGCACCACCACACCAGGCTAATTTTTGGATTTTTAGTAGAGTCGGGGTTTCACCATGTTGGCCAGGCTGGTCTCAAACTTCTGGCCTCATGATCTGCCCGCCGCCTCGGCCTCCCAAAGGAACCTTGCTTTCTTTTCAGGTGTATAATCATGTTAGTTCAATGGAGGGGAAAGGATGTTTATGTGACTTGATCCTCATTGTGGGATTAATACACTTTTCTCATCTAACCTCAAAACCTTCCTCCCCATACTACCCCACCCTATAAAGTATATTTGCTCATTACATCTGGAATATATTGGGGTTTGTCTTTGGTTCTCCATTCTGTTTTTTTTTTCCATCTTCTTTACTTACTGAATACTATGATATTGCAAGTACAAACAATGCCAAAGAAGAAAGAATAGTAAGAACAGTGCCAAAGAGCACATATTCTACTTGCTGAAAATAAAAAGAAAACTCCTTAAAGAATTAAAAAGAATTTAAAAGTGTTAGACAATTTTGTGTCTGCGAAAGTCTCAGAGTTGGTATGTCCCCATTAAACTCTACAGCTCCCCAGGTTTATCTTGTCCAAGAAAGTTACCCGCCCAACCTCTAGGTCTAGTTCATTATTAAAAGTACCCGCTAAAATTGGAAGTACACAGAAGAAACTTTACAGGTAAAACAATTAAAACTATGTGCACAAAACAAAATAGACTGTATAACACACACACACACACACACACACACACACACACTCCATGATTGGACTGTAGGCTAAGGAGGTCTTCGAGGTTTCTGGTACAAATTCCTCAATACTGAGATTCCTTCATGTCCCGATTACTAGTGATAGGGGAATTTGAAGGACAGCTAGGTTTATCTTTGGACAATTAATTACTAAGAGAGTCATTTGGTTCTTACAGCATTAACACACTTGTCCTAGTTCTGCTCTTTGAGATACTTAGAAGAAGTCTGTTATCACTTCCAGATGACCACTCTCCAGATATCTAAAGGCCAGTATCTTATTCCTACTGACTTTATTACTTTAAAGTAAATGTGCCATTTCTCTACATCCATTTTTAATGCAACAATGCAACAAAATTTGTACTTAAAAAACAAACAAATTGATACACGAAAGCAAGAACGTTGTAGCTGACACAAAGGGAGTTCACAGTCGCAGCCCACCTCTAAAGAGGTTTCACTCACCCAGTATTGACAGGGACTGCTCCAAAAATTCCTCAGATAGCTTGAGACTCATCAGTATGCTGGTGTGCCTCGTCTAAATATTCTCTGTTTACCAACCCTCTCCACATTATGACAGTCATGCCTGGAGACAAGCGTGATCTCACCAATAAAAAGTAGGACACCTGACATCTCCCTCTTCCTAATATCATTTAAGTGGTGTCAGTTTCATTAGTGGTCCCATCACACTGCGGGTCACTTGAGATTGTCACTGTGGTGACAAGGCAGGTCATTCCCCTTCTACGTTTATGTAATTGGCTTTATGACCCCTCAATGTATGATTTCATATTGAACAACATCGAATTCAGGCCATCCAAAGGTGTATGAAGAAAATTATCTAGAAAGTTGCCTCAAGGAAATATCTGTATAAAACTTTCTAGACTTTATTCACTCACACTGACGCTAATCTGAGGTCTGAAACAGAAAAACAGCCTTTTAGCTGAAAGCTTCAGACAGTAATTTGGAGCACTTTGATTCTGAGTGAAACACACATACACACATTTATCATTATATGCAAAATGGTCTGTACAATTAGAGCCTTATTTTTGACCTTTAAGACACACTTAGTAATTTTCAATACACAATACTGAATTTTTTTTTAAAAAGGGGACATTCATAAAAGGATTTTTTTAGACATTTGAAAGTCCTCTGACCAAACTTTGATTTAATTCTTAAATATAGATTGCAATGTAATTGATACTAAATAATAATTGTTGATGTTATGATCATAAGAAAAATTAACACATACTACTAAATAACTGTTCATTTTATGATAAGAAAAATTAACACATAAACAAACAAAAAAGCACAAGATTCTTTTTACACAATCACCTGCCTTCCAGAACTATGCTGTGCCCTGGGCTAGAAAGTACACAATTCAGGCCAGATTTTACTTTCAGAAACATTTCCCCTGGTAGCTGTTGATGTCTCATAGATATCAGAGTAACACTGTGCTTTGAAACGATCTGCTGATATCACTGATTTTCAGGAGAGAAGGGAGGCTCCTCCTGCACTGCTCATGACTAAGACGATCTGTGTGGAAACAAGCTCCTGGTTGCTTAGAAATGTATTGGCTCTTGGCTGTTTCCCACTCTACTTGAATCCATAACCCTCTGTCTGCTTGAGATATCATCATTCATCTTCAGAGTCATGGAGTGTTAGGCCACAAAAAAGAAGTTATTATCTGAAACTCCTTTTAGAGATTCCTATTAAGTGAAGAAAGAGCCAGAGTAACAGTTAAGTAACTAACAAAATTTAAATATTCATACACTTCTATGCCTCTCTGGTCATTTTTATGTGGCTTTTTTTAAAAAAAGAAATTCATCAGCTTTTTTTCAGATTAGTAAAGTAATACCTGATCGTTGTAAGAAGGCAAAAAAATTCAGAGGTGTATGAAGTTCCATCGTCATCCCTCCTGTTTCTCCAAACTGTGCCTCTGAGACAACCCATTTTAGAAGCCTGATGAGTATCATTCCATGTTTTGTTAACATGTTTACAAAGTCTTATATAAGTGCTGGGATTACAGGTGTGAGCCACAGTGCCTGATTATAATTTGCTTTTTAATTTAACATTATTATCATGAATAGCTTCCCAAGCAAATAGGCAGTTTGACCACATTGTTTTGAGGCACTGCACAGTATTCCACAGAAGGAATGTAAAATAATGCACATAACCATCCCCCTTTCAGTGAACAACGTCTCTTCCAGTTTGCTATTGCAATGCTAGTTAACACAGTGATACAGATTTCTCTACATATTTATGTTTTTTTATTTTATAGGGTATATGCCTACATGTGAGAGTGATACACCAATGTACACATTCTTGATTTTTTTATGTGTTACCTAATTACTCTCCCAAAAGAGTCAACAGTGTCAGTGCACACTCTTTTCCTAACAATTTTGATTGTATTGGATGTTGTCAACTTTTCTAAATGGTTTCAAGATAGTGGGTAAAAATAAATCGCATTTTTATTGTTTTAAGGCATACTTCTATGGTACAAGTGTAAATATTCTAAATTGTTATTTTATTGTAGTTCTTATTAAAGGTTATAATCATCACTTGTCAAGACACAGTGAGCTATTTTTCCACACTACTTTTGAAAATCCAGAAGGTCACAAAACTCACATATTTCTTTTTTAAGTGTCCCATGAAATATAAATGTTAACTTACCTACTAGCAAACTTAATACTGCAATTCTATTATAAGAATTAAACTATGGATGTTATTGGAATCAAACCATAAGATTCTAATTTTAATCATCTGAATTAAGTGTCAATCGTAACAACCAAAAGAGATCTGCCAATCTCCTAACCTAGCTATCACAGTCAAATTAACAAAACATTAACAAACAAGACAAAAACCAAAATCTATGCAGATTATCACTAAGAATATGATATGATCCAGTGGCGCTCCTTTGAATTGAGGGATAGGGAAGGATTACATGAGGTGGTAATAATTAAACTGAGATCTGAGTGTCAAAAAGAACCAGGTAAGGGAGAAGAGGAGACTAGGAAGGCATAGACAAGGAATAGAAAGGCCAATGTGTCTACAAAATAGTGAGAGTAGGAGAGAACAGGAGGATAGAAGGAGGAATTTTAAAGGTTAAAAGAGAAGTAGATTTGAGGATAGGAGATAGGAACTAGGAGTCCTGTTTGCACATTTAAAGTTTAAGGCCTATTATAAATCCAAGGGTAGATGAGGATCAGCAACTCAAGAGATGGCTCTAGGAGCCAGGATGGACAATACAGATTTAGTGGACACTGGCATCAAGATACCATTTAAAGCCACTTGAGATCATCTAGGTGTTACCTAGAGAAGCAAAAATTAGTCAACAAAAGTGTAAACAGGGATATAACATCAGTTAAGCACTAGTCTTCAAAAACATAGCAGTATTACACTTTGATTTATGCAAAAAAAGATTTTAAATATCATATATATCCAAAGTTGTAATATGCATTATTTTAAATGGCTTGGGAGTTCATTATAAGGAACCCCATGCTGAGTCATCTTATAAGGCAAAAATTTTATATTAAAATACCTATAAGACCCTCTAAAGAGTGTTTGTGAATTCAGATATTTACCTGTGAGGTGGTGGCATTTTAAATGAGTCATTATTAGAGTGATATAGGTATTAATACAAAATGTTCTGGCCTCAAAAGTGAAACAG
This sequence comes from Homo sapiens, assembly GCF_000001405.40. Lineage (NCBI taxonomy): Eukaryota > Metazoa > Chordata > Mammalia > Primates > Hominidae > Homo > Homo sapiens. The sequence goes on along the minus strand of NC_000006.12, from coordinate 142,311,321 downwards.
AAAACTATCTGTCACAAGACCTTATCTGATACACAAAAAGTTTAATAATGCAGGAAATAACAAAAAATAAGAAAATCTTGTGTGAGAGAGTAACTTAACAAGTGTAAGTACTTTGATTCTGGTGGCCTTGAGAATGAGTGCCTCCTTAAATTTTGTACCCCAGGTGATTCTCTTCCCTCAGCCTGGTCCCAGACAAGTTGATTCCTTTTCTTTAGCCTAAAAACATGTGCTTCATTTATTCAAATGATTAAAATTCAAGAATGTGCATATATTCATTAAAATGTTGACATCTAAAAGTCCAAATTGGAGGTGCCGTGGTCTCAAGAAGCCTTAAAAATATATAAATACATGACCTAACAAAAATGAAAGTAAACAGACTTCAACTAATAATGTTAATCTCATAATTTATCTCATATCATGTAATTGATTCTTAGAGAATCACTTTTGAAAGTAGTTCAACACTGTACATCATAAAACCTATCTTTAATTTTCCAATCTGTTTACAAGTGTGTTTCCTCTAATAATGACAGTAATAAGGAAAATGGCTTTACAATAAAATTCTAACAAACACACACACAAAATTCACTGAAAGATCTGTTCTGTTTTGAAGCCATTAAATAAGTGCCAGGGATTTTGCAAGTAAATAACTGAAACTCTTAAAACACTTGGAGGCTTGGAAAAAAAAGTTTTCACATCTCAATACAAGTTTAATTTCTTGATGCGTGAATAAGCAATTTTAGCAGATAATCTATTTCCACGATGTTTAAAATGTATTCTTTATGATAATATATATTATAAATATGAAATTAATAAATCTTGATTAAATTCCAAGTAATAAATACATAAGACTTCAAGAATTATGATTTTCTTAATTGACATTTTAGCTTTATTCTAAAGGAAAACATAATAAGCCTAATACATACACCAGGAGAAAACAAAGAATAAAATAGAACGGACTTAAATAAATTTGCTCAGTTCAGTGACAAAACCAGAAAATGAAGAAACAGTTTACTTTTAGATATCATTCACATTCCTCAGCCTCTAATTGGCTTATTCATATAATTTGCTGTTTACAGAAAATTTAGTTTTTTCAACAGCCACCAAGATCTTATTTCAAAGTTCAAAAAAATGTAACTAGAAAAAATACTTTAATTCCAAAAATGCTGTAATTAAAATTAACTTTCATATCAAGTAAATTAAACTGCATAGTCTAAAAACTGAATTTTCAATTCCTAATTCATATTGCAACATGCTAATAAAATGAGGATGAATGAAACTAGCAAAGTCTGTACTTTCCATAAATAACTACATGAAAACTTGAAAAGAGAAGTACTGTATATTTATTCAACAGTAGAAGAAACAGCTACCACTTTTTAAATGCGATTTATGTAGTTATCTCATCACTCAATATGGGCTACGTAAATAAATAAAAGACAACAAAGATTAAAGAAATAAACTCATTAGAAAATAAAACAATGATCAAAGAAACAGTATTCACACAAAATTCAAAGAGAACAGACAAATCATAAACAGAAAAAAACTGCCCTATAAGGATAGAAACAGGAAAAAAAAAAAAGGCAGTAAGTAAAAGTAAGGCAACATAAATAAGTAGCATGCTTACACTGCAGACAATGTCATCATGATTAAATTCCAGGTGTGAAAGAGGAAGAGTCTTACCTGAGTGAGGAACACACATGATATATAAAGCAAATAAGAACAGGAGAGGACTGGGCTTCCATTTCCAATGGCAGCTCCACATTCGATCTGAGCGAAACATCCTGCAAAGAAAGAAGATGGCAATTAGGACATTCAACATTCAGTAAAGCATTATGACAAATAAAGTAAAAACTATAGGTTTCCAGTAGGGACTGGAAAATAAACCTTTTTCATCCTTGCTTCCAAATAGAGGAGGAACTTAAAAGATGATGACGACTTGATCACTTCCTTCAAGCTAATTAGCAAAAGAAAATAAATCCATGCATTTTATTTGCCACATGGTAGCAGTTTCCTTATCAAAATATATATAATAGGTGATTTCTGCATGAAAATGGGTAGTCAGACAATTCAAAAAAATTATTTATTAAAAAATAAAGCAATGTTAGCTTCAGCCTCACCAGACTCATGTTCATCTGGGTAGAAGAAGGATGTTTCTATCAACCTTCCTTATAATCTCCCAGAAATTCAGATTGTAAGGAAATGTTTTCTTTAATGTCTGCTGCTTTACAAACGGAAATATTTAACATAAAACCAAATTGCCCAAACTCTGTTCTATCCCCTAAAGTGATACATTGAAGCATTAACATTCCAAAAAAGGTGAAGTCTTTATATATAAAATAGCTATCAAGTTTTTAAATGGCTATTGAACACCAGGTATTATAGAAAGTAGTAAATGACATTAGATGGAGAGGTGGTGCTTTGAAAACTCAACTATCCTTCTGCATGACTTACTCATTTAATTCTGAAAATTATATTTAATAATGATTTAGAAAGCAACATTCATATTATATTGTCTCAAAACAATGGTATAATACAGTTCATTGAATCAGCACCATCAAAAAAAAAAGGCAAACCAGCAAAGAAGGAAGAAATTACAAAAATCAGTCATCAAAAAGGACCATAAGTGGACTGGTGAGCAGAAGAGTTGTGAGGCAGGAAGGTAAGTAAGCAATAGTCAGAAATCTCCAGGAAACCTGAAAATCCCCTGAGAGAGAGTTACTTTGCCTATAAGTAGTAACTGAGACTCATTTTAGCAAGGAGTAACTAATAAGATAGTTTAGGGTTACAGTAATATCTACCCTAAAGCCTGCAGTTTGCTTACCTGAGTAAAATGTGTAATACTAAACAGAAAAGCAGAAAGAGAAATACTCAAATGAGCAAAATTAGACATCAAAGGACTCCTGCACTTGCCTCAAGACTGCATTTTTAAACTTTAAGAGACCATCTCCATCTCATAGCCAAGAGAATAAGCTTAGAGTGAGACAGATCTGGTTTGCTACTTATGAACTATGCTGCAAACCTTGGGAAATTGCTTGATCGCCTTGTGCCTCCTATTTCTTACCTGTAAAATAAGGAACAGCAATGAACCTAGTCCACAGTGTTGCTGAGATGATTACATAAGACGATGCCTTTCAAGAACAGTTCCTGACACTCAGCAAGTACTCAATAAATATTAGCTATTATTATGATTACTATCATTCCAGGCATTCTCATTTAAGTGGTGTTATTCTGTCCACAGTGAAATCAAAGGAAAAGACTCAAGCAAGAGTAAACAAGATTAATCTCATATGCCAACACCAATCAATTGACTTTGTGGTCACTTCTGGGATCACCTGGGCCAGAAATGAAATTGGTTATTCATGTTTGCTATGAATAAAGAAATGTTAAGTAGTATCTGAAACTCAAGCCATGTTTTAGTATTCACCAAACTAGAAGTTCTAAAATCATGCAGCTCTCCTGATGGAAATTCTAAACTAGGAAAATTCGAAACCAGGAAAAGGTTAAGATTTGAAGAGTATCTCTTGTTTGCAAGTTGTTTTCAAATCCATCCATCCAAAATATTTGAGATTAAAAGAAGTACTGCTAATGAGAAGTATGTTTTAGTAAGTAAGAAATTAGTAATTATAATAATGGATGTGGACTCTCAAACAGCAACAACTTACCTCCTGGTGCCTCTATAAACTGTGTGGTTTGTAGGGCAAGTACTTAAACCCTTAGTCTTTTCTTCTGTAAATAGGATATTACCCACCAAAAAGAACTGGAAATAACAGTACAGGTTAATCTGTAGGGGCTTTTAAAACGGTAGGTGACAAACTTCCGTCCCATAGAAAGTTCACTTATTTGGAAGAATAGGCCTGTTTCCTACTGATGCTGGATGAATGAGTATGCTTTTAAAACAAAAGCACAATTACATATTCAAAGAAATTTAGAGCTAGGAGGACCAATGCTGAAGTCTAATCTAACCTCATTTCACAAAAAAAGGAAACTTAGGTCCAGAAAAATAAAGAGACAGACCAATCAAACCTGGCTGTCACCCTTACAGATATTAACAGAAGGATGTATCAGCTCAAGAGAATTCCCAGCTTCTTACACTCTTTGACATACGACAATTATCTTTCATCAATGTGTGAATAATAGCTTTCTCTCAGATTCATTTAATCTCTAAATAATACTCATAGATTCCTGCTCATTAGTTTGGCCACAAAACACTGTTTATGCGCTCAGGCAACTTCTTTGCTATAAAAGGTTTCAGCATTTAGGGATTCCATATTCAATTCTGAAGCTGTCTTATCAAAGCTGCCTGCAATCCTATCAGTTGCAAATGATGACCATGGCTTAAGGCATTCCATGTCTCCAGACTCTATCACTTCAGACAGAAAAGAAACCCAACAAGGCAAGCACTTGTAACTAAACAAACCATAGGACAGGCCAACTTTCATCCACTTTACTGTTTACTGAAGAAGATAAACAAATAAATTAAGAATAGAACAGAGGAAGGAAAGTACTATGTGTTTTCTCAGGGGATCACTTAGCAAAGATATATCCCTGAGATTTAAATAACTATCTCCCAAGAATGGAAAATCCTGAACAGGGTTACTAAGGTTCTAAATAGGAACTACAAGGAAAAAAAACACACACACACAAAAGTACACTCTTACACCATTTTGATTGTGGCCTTAAAGTTCTACTGAAGACAGCAGGAACATTTTTTAAGTAAAAGACAGTCATAGACTCCTATATCTGGAAGAAACCTAAAGATTATGCAAAAAAAACCTATCATCTTACAGGTGAAAAACTGAGATACTAAACTACTTGCCCAAGATCATAAGATCAGTGGTGTCAGAGCCAAAAGATCCTTTTTGTCACTTGGCTTCCAACCTAGCGTCCTTTTTGAGACCCACACTACCTCTGTTGCAAACTTGTTCTCTTTTTCAATCTACATAGGCTACAAAATACAATTTGCTTTAGTCCTGTTTCCGGAAGCTTTAGAATGTAACCCTTCTACAGAATTGCTTTAAATGTCGATATGATTCCTTGTAGGCATTATTTTATCCAAATGGATCACCGAAATAATCTTAAAAACCTACCACTTTCCATCTCTCTACTCCTACTGGTTTCCCCAAAAGTCACAATTTAAAGAGAAATTAGTGAAGAAATTTTGATATTAGTGGAGAAATTGATACGATACTAATGCAATCAATACCAGCAACTGTCAGAAATAACTGCTTTCGCCATATCCCAACTCTGTTTCTATGGCAAATCTTTTCATAAAAGGGACTGGGGAATGGCAGAGAAAATACCTTAATTCTTCCAGAGTGAAAAGAACAGTAATTTGGTTTATTCAAGTCTGCTCATAATCGTTTTTCTTTTTTTTGGTTAAAGATCATGTTCCTGAGCCAAAGCAATGTATTTAAAAAAAAGTGCTATTCTATTAACTCGATTTGAGTACCTTTATTAAGCTGGGTGTACCTCCACTTCAAAAAGGCTGATTTATTCTTCAACCCTGCACAAATCTTAAACTTTATTTGAACAGTAACATGCATAACTGGCTTATACTAGAGGTGAGAGTAAAACTCAGCCTTAAGAATTACATACATAGGTACACAAGAATGACTACACATAAAGCTTGGGAAATCTGAAAAAGAGAAGTAAATTGTGTCAATATACTTGTTTTAATATTGTACTACAGGTTTTCCAAATGCTACCATTGGGGGAACTGGGTCAAAGGTATACAGGATCTCTATTTTTTGGCAACTATATTTAAAGTTAGAAATATCTTTAAAATTTCAATTGAAAAATTAAACTCTTAAGCCCTTATGCATACAACTTGTTCTCAGATGGTTCAGAAAAAAATTGTGTGTGTGTGTGTGTGTGTGTGTGTGTGTGTGTGTGTGTACAGGAGGGGCTCGTGGGGGGGGGCAGGAAAGGAGGAACGGGAATGATTAAACAAATGGGGCCAATAATTAGAATAGGTGATTCTGGGTAAAAGGTATAGAGGTGTGTTCTTTGCATAACTTTTATTTTTGAAAACGTCCTGTAGATTTAAAATGATTTCTAAAAGAGTTAAAAAATTCACATTTACATTGAAACATATCACTGTTTTCATGTCACGGCCCTCTCCTCACTATTGAGTATTATTGCTTTAATCCCTGTCACTTTGATAAAAGAAGTTGCATCTCATTTGAATTTCCTTTATTTGGATTGTCATGTTCAAGTCATTTGTATGGTTTTCTATTACAAATATACATATTTTCTTCATTGATTTGTGATTTCTTAACGACTTATTTTAAATATGTTAAACTTTTGTCATATTTGCTCTGTTTTAAATAAATGGATCTTGAAGCTTTTTTTTAAGGCATTCCAGATAATTCCATTTCAAGTAATGCTTATAATGGAAAGTAACATGACACTCAGGTAGCCACATTTTTTGATCAATATATCCTTTATATGGCACCACCCCTGTCAATTAGTATGCATCTTAACATCATCCAATGTAGATAATAATCTCATCCAATTAGAAATGAAAATGGAAAGATACAGTTTTTGCCCATGCATACCACAAACATTGAACAAAGTCTTTTCCATTTAGTCTAAATTCTAAATAGACTGTAGAAACTTTTGATTAAAAATCATCCCATCAGAAACGTAAACTCTGTAAGATATATAGGCCATTAGAAAAATAGTCAGGTTTTAAAAAGCAGTTATTAGTTTATTTTTAATATGTAAACTAATTCTCTTTCAAATCATTATTTCCAGACTTCAGAGTCATGTGTCCAGTTAGGCTACAAAACTACAGGCTTCTAATATTTCCCATAAGCCAAGAGACAATAGCCTTATTCACCATTCATATTGAAAAAGCACAATGTCATGTAATTTATATAAGCCATAAATGGAACAGTAGCTTCATGCAGCTTGAGACGAATTAATGCAAGTCTTGCTACATCTGCTAAATTTCTTAGGGTATGAAAAATATGCAGTCACTACAACTCCCAAATATATTCGTAAAGTCTATAATTAAAGAACCTGAGTATAACAATATACAAATACACTTTCTCCACAAGGAGGAGGCAGAAAATACACTTAAGTAGTTTCTGAACTTGAATCTATTAAAATTTAAAGGATAATATAGCTTATGTTACCCATTTTAACATTTTTCAACAAGATAGTAAGAATATTAATCTTGGAAAGGTTGGTAATTCTTTCCATATATTCTAACAAACCAATACCTAAAAAGAATCAGGCCATCCTAAACCACTCCATATGAATCGTAAATAGCAAAATGGAAAAAAATATACTTACCATCTGGTAAAAAATGAAAACTTTCAGTCAAAATAGCTCAAAAAAGAATCTCAAATCTAGGTATCAAGCCCTATTTTCTATGTGATTTCATATTCACGCTTTTACCCTATAATGACATGATTTTTTAATCACGAAGAATTCAAATGGACTATATAACTTAATTTCATGATCAGGAAATTTTTACATTACCTGTTGATAAGTTTAACATCTTTTATTTTAAAAACAGGTATTTATACTTTCATGTGTAATATGCTTTTTTTCTCATAAGATCTAAATGCTTAGGAAAGCTGAAAAAAACTGGGCAAATACCTGCTGTAAAATCCCTAGTATATTTTCAAGAAAAACTGAAGTTGAAAACAAGCTCATATTACTTCAAAATGTGTAGCCTGTATATGAGAACAAGTCTTATATGAAAATGCTGGCTGTATCCCAAAATAAATTTTTTCAAGTTGTACCTTGCCGATTCCACTGGCATAAATGAAACTTTAAAACTCCCAGGTGTGGAATTATTTCACATGCAGTTTCAGTAAAAATAAGTGGTTCATTTCTGATTACATCTCACAGTACCTGGAACAGAGTTACAGAGTGCTAGGCTTGTGGGCACTATCCTTTCTTTCTCCTATTTTAAAATGTGTGTTGGGGAGTGGGGAAGTAGGGAATGGAAAGTGCAGGAAAGTGTGGAAAAACAGGACCTAGGGGGCAGGTCTTTCCCCATGTACTGAACTGAAAGAGTAAATTCATGTAAGATCCAGGAGTTGGGGGAAGGAGTGTTAAGTACCAAGTTCTAGAAATTGTTGTACATGAGTTAGTGGAAGGGGATAAAATGTCTGTCACGGTGTCCGTCCAAGATTAACTAAAACATCAGAAGGAAAATTACCTATTACAAGAAAAAGAAACTTCTTAGTTGGCCACAAAAATAAGCTTGGCCCTTTGGAGTACAATCTTCCTTTTCCCATTCTGGAAAGCCAGACGGTGCTTGGCGACCCTTTCATGGGGTCGCTGTGCGCCACCTCACCATTAGGATGACAATTCTATGGAGGCAAAACCTTTTAGGTTTCTCTGTTTCAATGCCCCAATTCCCCACGCCCCCCATAAGTCTATGGAAGTCCCCTCAAATCCTATCACGTAACGTGGCGTAACCCTTAATTACTTCCTAAACTACAAAGCACACTGAAAACATTTTCTGCACACCTTAAAAAAATTCAAACACCCCAAAGATCCAAGAATAACTTCTACAGTCAATGGTGACAATGTGTAAAGTCAACATTTTCTCGGCATACTAGTACCTTCCAAGCCCCCAGGTGTTGATTCCGGAGAGCGCCTTCTTGGCAGGGCCAGGCCTCTGGACTGAGGAGCGGTGCCTGTTACTCCTTGTTTAATTTGAATTGAAAACACGTTTTCCCCATTCTTGAAGCCCTGCCCTTCTTATTAGGCTTTACACCGCCCAAATGTGAGGTTTACCTCGCTGGGGGAAAAAAAACAGCCACACACACATGTCACAACTCCACTTGGCAATAGTCCTACTCCTCAGTGCCTCGAGGGGCAAACTGAAGACAAACCGGTTTATTCCCTCCGTGCAGTTGAAGTCCTTATAAAATCATTTCTCTTGAGGGTGGGGTGGTCGGGGAGGGGGCGACAGAAGGTGGACACAGATAAAAGAGTGAAGGAATTCCAAGCTGAAAGGTGAGACTTACATGTTGACATTACTGCGCCGAGGTCCCCTTTGGCCGCAAGATCATCCTCCACCACTTTCCCGCTCTGCTGCCGCTGCTCCACCCAGGGGGAACCCAGGCGCCCCAGCCCTGCGCCGCGGCGGGACCCTCCTTTACGCCGTTTCTGGAGAGTTCATGGGCTTTCCCGACGGCGCAAGGTGAACCCTGGGCGCGGCAGCGTTCAGCGCAGGGCCTGCGGACGAGGAAGCAGGCTGGCGGCAGGTCCCTCCTCGCAGGGAAGTTGGCAGGGTGAGGGCGAGAAGCTGAGGAAGTAGGGTGTGCGTGGGGCTGGTGCTGAGGAGACCGGGCCAGGCAGGGGTGCGCGTCGCAGGTCCTCGCCCCCGCTGGCGGGAGGCGGGACTCGGCCACCACCCTAGGTACTTGGGTCCCCCTCGCGGGCGCAGGCGACTCTCCCCGGACCCGTGCGCTCCGCCCGCGCTTCCGGCGTGACTGGAGCTGGGCTCAGGTGCGGCGGCCCCGGCGGCGTGCGGCGTATGACCCGACTCCGGCTGCCCTGGTCTGGGCGCTCCGCGGCTGGGGCTGTCCCGAAGGCGCAGCTGCCCCACACAGGATCTTCAACCCCAGGGCCGAAAGGGAGAAGTCGCCCCGCGGGGCGGGACAGGCGCTTTTGGAGCGAGCAGCGAAGGGAGAGTGGCCGGGGTCGGCGATGGGCGCAGAGCCGGGCTCAGCTCCCCAGCTGGGAGGGGACAGGGCGGACCCGGAGGTCGCCGAAACGCCGGGAGCGCTGAACCCCAGAGACCCTCGGCGAGAGAAAGGAGAAGCTGGGAAGGCAGGCGCTCCTGTGGCATCTCCCCAGCGTTTGCAGCCTACCCGAGTCCCCGCGCGGGTCCCCCCGCCACGCTCCCGGGCTGTTGCTTTGCTTCACTTTTCTGCCACTTTCTTTACTTAACTTTTCTGTCTTCTCTGACTAGTTCGCTTGCTCGAAAAAATGAAGGGATTTTAACGGGGGGCTGGGAAGATGGTCACATAACATTTTATTGAGAGGGATTGATTTGCCAACGTAAATCCAGCTGCTTGTTGGGGAAAGTTAGCTGCCTGCTCTCCAATGCTCCTGTAAAGTAGCTGTCTGGCAAAGGGATCTGGACACACCTCCTTGGGAATGAGAAGAGAGAAGGGCTCACACTTGGAAAGAGGTTTTCTTCCCATTGTGTACTGCCAGAGTTAGTCCACAAAATGCTAGAGGCAAACCTTCCGGTGCCAGGGCTGTATGCACATCCAGAACCTCAACAGCTCAGCTTGCACGGTGTACACACTGGCACATGCACAGGCCATACACAGAAGTGCCCTAACAATTATTTCAAGCTGATTAGCTTATGATAGAGAGCTGTTGGTGGGTGCGGGGGGTGGGAAGGAGGTAAAGCAGGACTTACTCACAGTTACAGGCAGAAAGGAAGCTGGAACGCTGCCACCAATTCCAGAGGCCTGAACATCTAGGGTGTGTTCTACTTGTCATTTTTATCAGTATTCATTTTGATGAATAAACGGTATGATTAATAGAGACGCTGAGTTGTAGCATTTAAGGGAAGCTAAAGTTCTTCTGCCCAACTGTCTCACGTTAACAGGTAGGGAAATGAGACTGACAAGATCTGAGGTCTGTGCACACTAGCTAGAGGTGACCAGGGGCTAAGATTAGGTTTCCAGACTACCCTTTTGAGTCAGTCGCTATTACACGGTATAGTCCCAAAGAAATTTAAGGGCCACTCTTGGAATTTTTTAAAAGCAACATGTATTTCACAGTTTGTGGGTCAAGAACCTGGATGCCCTTAGCTCAGTGTCTCTCAGGAGGCCACAATTGGAGTGGTGACTAAGGCTGTGGTCTGATCTGAAGGCTGGACAGGGGAAAGATCTACTTCCAAGTTCACATATGTATTTGTTCCAGTCATAGAATTTTAAAGTTAGAAGAAACCTGGAAACATAAGAGCAAATAAATATAAATAACTGCCAGGCACGGTGGCTCATGCCTGTAATCCCAGCACTTTGGGAAGCTGAGGCGAGTCAGTTGGGGTCAGGAGTTCGAGACCAGTTTGGCCAACATGGTGAGACCTCATCTCTACTGAAAAAAAAAAAAAAAATTAGTCCTGGTGGTACACACCTGTAATCCCAGCTACCTTTTCTGAGGCAGGAGAATCACTTGAACCCGGGAGGTGGAGCTTGCAGTGAGCTGAGGTTGCACCACTGAACTCCAGCCTGGGCAAAAGAGCTAGACTCTGCCTCAAAAAAAGAAAAGACATATAAATAACTTCATTATTCAGTGTTCTCCAGAAAAACGGAGCCAGCTAGATGTGTGTATGCACATAGATATATATATTTTAGTTTTAAGGTATTGTGGAGGTACTAGTGCAAAATTTACAGTCAGGCAGCCTGGAGATTCAGGGAAAAGTTATAGTCCAACTCCAAATGCAGTCTGGCAGAATTCCTTCTTGCTTAGGGTAGATCAGTCTTTGTTCTGTTAAGGCCTTCAACTGATTGGATGAGGCCTACCTGCAGAATGGAGAATAATCTTCTTTGTACATTGTCCACTGATTTTTTAATAGTTTTTATTCCGATTTTCTTTTTGACATTTATCTTTAATTGACATATTATAATTGTATATATTTATGGGATACAATGTGATATTTTTATATTTTTATTCCATGTGGAATGATTATATCAAGCTAATTAACATGTCTATCATTTTTGTGATAGGAACATTTGAAATTTAGCAATTTTGAAATATGCAAGGCATTATTATCTATATTCACAATGCTGTGAAATAGATTTCAAAAACTTATTCCTTCTAACTGAAACTTTGTATCCTTTGACCAACATTTCACCATTCCACCCCACCTCACCCTCTAGCCTCTGGTAACCACCATTGTACTCTCTACTCTTATGAGTTTGTTTCAGATTCCACATATAAGTGAGATTATTTGCTATTTCTCTTTCTGTCCATCAGTGGATGAATGGGTAAAGAAAACGTGGAATATATACACATCAGAATGCCGTTCAACCTTTAAGTTAGAAATTCTGTCATTTGTGACACGTGGATGGACCTAGAGGACATTATGCAAGACCCACTGATTCAAATGTTAATCTCATCCAAGAAACACCATCAGAGACACACACAGAATAACGTTTGGCCAAATCTGGACACCATGGCCAAGCCAAGTTAACACATAAAATGAACCATGACATTAACCGAAAAAAAATGGACATACATCAAGAAGATAGTAGTTTTCACACGTGCCATTATTATATGTTAAAATGTTCATAATTTTATGCATTGAAATTAATATATGATCAGAATCATAGCTAAAATATTTCAATGAATCAGTGCCTTTCATTGGTCAGTTTGTTAATAAAATCTGTATATTTTGACAGTTTTGTCCTCAAACTAAGAATTTGTTCTTTTCTTTTGAAAAAGCATGTTAGGAAAATGGAGTGTATAGTGGAAAGTACATAGTCTTTTAATGCAATAGACCTGGATTCTAAACTTGACCCTGTGATTTCTCAGCATTGTGAACTCTGGCAGTTTACTATGTAAACTAAGCTTGATTTGTAAAATAAGAATAATAATACTTATAGTGTTTAACTCGTAGAGCTGTTAGGCAGATTCAGTGAGACATTCTGATGTCATTAGACATTCTAATGACATGAAGCACTCAGCATATTTCCTGAAATTTGCTAATATTAGTTGTCTCTGCCCGACCTATTATCATTATCCTAAACTGAAAAGTGCCAAGACCACATTCCTCTACATACAGGAATCCTCTGACAACATTCCAGACAAAATGAATATTGAACATCTGTTTGAATCCCTTAACATTGATGCACACTCAACTGTGAGAAGCTTCCTCTTTCTGTGGGTTGAATCAAACATTCATGCTTTCAACTCCCATTCAGAACAAGCACATTCTGTCATCCACAATAAGCCTTTCAAATATCTGAAGACAGTTATCATCTCTCTGTTCAGCCTTCCTTCATTCAGTTTTGACAGCCCTAGTTATTTTAACCATTCAGTGTCTGGCTCCTCACCACACATGTGACTTGCCCTTTCCTGTGTGCATGTGAGTCAACGTCAGCCCTCTTTGCAATGTACTCAAAGTGGATTTCAAACCTCAGCCCTGATGACAGTGAGATTCTTACCATTCCTGAACTGGATATTACTGTTGTGTAAATAAAAATTAGTGTTGACTTTTTGAGCAGCAAAAAATTGTTTCAGCAACACAAATTCTGTGATTTGTGACAACATGGATGAACCTAGAGGGCATTATGCAAAGTCCAGTGATTCAAATGTTAATCTCATCCAAGAAACACCTTCACAGACATATGCAAAATAATGTTTGACCAAATATCTGAACACCGTGGCCAAGCCAAGTTGACACATACAATTAAGCATCAGATTAACCAAAAAGAGATGGACATACACATGAAATAAAATATAGCAGGAATAGTAACTATAATGACCTTCTGTGTGCCAGGGAGTATATATAAATTTTATTCTACAAATCAAGTAGATTAATAAATATATATTTGTAAATAATTCAACCCAATTGGAAATTTATATGTTTATGTTTCATTCTGCCTTAATCCAAGTCCTCCTGTTTCATCAAGTTTCTTGCTTTCTTCAGCAGAGAGGGTAGAAGAAAGTGGTCTTTGGCTTACTTGTGTCAGTAGATATCAACCTTTTTGGTCGCTGGCCGTTGGTCCACATAGAATGTCAGTCTGGTAAGTGAGGCTCTTTCAGGCTCTTTCTTGATTCCCTTGATGGCCTATCACAGTCTTCATAAGCCTGGCCCCCTCCAAGCAGCCCTTCTCTCTTTGTGGGCTTGCCGCCTTCCTGGGCCTCTATCTGAGGGGCAGGGTACACAGCTTCTCTTGGAAACCACTCAACTCCCTGATCTCACAAACCGCCCCTCCCCCACCCAACCTCTTTCCTAACATGAGAGAAGAGATAGCTTCTCATTTTTCTCTTTTTAAGAGAATGCAGTAGGCCAAGTTATGTACCTTGTGAGCAATAGAACAGGCTTTGTAAGATAAACTAGTGAAGGGGATCAAGATATGCCACCCCATATATGCTACATTGGCATAATGATTATTTTGAGCTGAAGGCAATTAGGAAGCAGCAAACACAGAAAGAGCTCTTTGTCCTCCCCTGATTTGCCTAAAAGCAGAACATGAATGTCCCTTTGTGAAGGTGTTCCTCCTTCCTTCTCCCATATCACAAAGAGGAAAACAACCATTATTACTGAAGTTGGAATGTCAGCACCAACATTGGTCTACACAAACAAACCTTACTAAAATAATCCTTATCTTCCATTAGTTTCCCTTTATATATTTACTTTCCCACAATTTACTGTTCCTGGAAGCCTAAACCCCTTTTCTTTAGTTTTGTCAGTTCTCCACAAACTTATCTTTCTTTCTTAAGATGGTATATAAGTTACAAATTCTAATCACGCCTTTGAGTTACCCATCATTGAGTTCTTCTATATATATGTACATTGCATGCATAAATAAATTCTGGGGTCCTTTTTTCCTGTTGATCTGTCTTTTTGAAGTGTAATTCACAGGCCCAAGCCACTGAACCTAAGAAGGTAAAAAAAAAAAAGGTTTTAATCTCCCTCCCTACAGAAGTCACTGGAAGTTTCTGAATAGACAAGAATATGATCTGACATATGTGGAAGATAGACACTAGGGAGTTTAAAAGTAAGAACAAGGAGACTATTTAGCTGGCTGTTGCATAATCCAGGTAAGAGATAATAATGTATCAGATGAACTACGGTGGTCAAAAAGGAAGTGATGAGAAGTAATTGGATGTGGGATATTTTGAAGGTGATTTGCTTATAATTAGATATTGAGTATAAGAGAAAGCAGAGACAAAGAATACTCTGAAATATTTCTCTTACGCAACTGAGTGAATGGAGTTTTTAATCACTGAGTTGGAGAAGACTTGTGGGGAAACAGTTTTGGGGAGAAAACTCAAGAGTTCAGTTTTGGACATGGTAAGTCTGAGATATTCTAACACATGCAGCTAACTCACTGCCTGGAACTTATTAAGTATTTGATAAAAGTTGTTAATTAAGAAAGCATTACATTCTAAGATTTTGTCTGAAGTCAATGTCAAACTTCCTAGGTGACTGCAGAATGAATTTTCATAGTAAGATGGAATTCTAATTGCGTATTCTAATACGCTTTATACGTATTAGAATACGCTTATTATTCAAAGTTGACTGCATGCGCATCCCTGGGCTTAAGGGATCCACCTGCCTTTGCCTCCGAAAGTGCTGGGATTGCAAGTGTGAGCCACCATGCTTGGCCTAATTAAGGGATTTAAATAGGGACTTCACAGTTAGATGCTAGGTTGAGGATGGATTACAGAGGAGCAATAATGAAAGTATGTTGTGATAATTAATTTTATGTGTCAATTTGGCAGGGCTGCAGGGTGTCCAGATACTTGGTTAAACATTATTCTGGATGTTTCCATGAAGGCATTTTATGGGTGAGATTAACATTTAAATCAGTGAACTTTGAGTAAAACAGATTACTCAAAATGTTGATGGGTCTCACTCAATCAGTTAAATGCCAGAATAGAACAAAAAGCTCGGCCTTCCCTGAGCGAGAGAGAAACCTTCAGCAGACTATCTTTGGACTTCATATGCAACATCGAGTCTTCCTAGTTCTATTGCAGGCAGCCTTCAGACTCAATCTGGAACATTCATTCTTTTGGGTCTCCAGCCCACCAGCCCACCCCATAGTATTTGGATTGTCAGCTCACATACTTGCGTAAACCAATTCCTTACAGTACATTTCTTTCTGTATATACATGCCTATATCATATTGGTTCTGCTTCTCTGGAGAACCCTGACTAATATACATGGTCACCTGGTGATCACTCAGGTGGGTATTGCAATAATCTAGGTAGGAAATAATGGTGGCTTGAATTGGGGTGTTGATAATAAAACCGGACAGAGAAGTACACAGATTCAGGATAAATACTGGAGATTGAGGTGATGGAACTTATAATGGTTTGGATGTGGGAGATGGAGAAGCAGAGAAGGTTCAAGGAGGACACTCATGTTTTAGGCTTGAGCAGCTGCAAGGATGGTGGTGGGTAAAAATTAATGCTGGAGAAAGGGTAGTTTTGAAGGAAAGGGGACATATTAAATATGAGATGCCTCTAGATGCCTAAGTAAAGACACCAAAATATATCATTGGCACATATATCTGGAATTTAACAGCAGATTTTGAAATAATCAGCAAATAGGTAGCATTTAATGCTCTGAGAATGAGACAGACTACTATCCAGAGAGACATATAGAAAGGAGAAGGGGCTGAGACCATGCACCAAGACAAACTGACATTTAAAGGGAAGAAGGGGTAGCAAAGAAGACTGAGAAGAAATGGCTAGTAAAGTAGGAAGTTGTCACAGAGTCAAAAGAGGAACATGTTTCAAGAAGGAGGAAGGGCTTAGCAGTACTAGTGTTGATGAGAAATAAAAATGAGACTTTTGGATATGGCAACATAGAGTTGTCTAGTAACTGAGACAGAAGTAGTGTTGGTGGAATGGAGGAGCCAGAAACCGTAATGGAATAGCCTGAGAAAAGATGAGCCTGGCTTCTTCTCCTGAGCATAATTTCCTCCAGGTTCATCCATGTTGCCATAAATGACAGGATTTCTGTAAAAACAACAACAACAAATAGTGCATGATCTCTTTTATATGGGGAATCTTTAAAAAGTTAAGCTTATAGAAGTAGAGATTAGAATGGTGGTTACCAGAGGCTGGGAGTAGGGATGAGATGAGGATGGGGGATGGAGAGATTGACCAAAGGGAACAGAGTTTCAGTCAGACAGGAGGAATAAGATCTATTGCACAGCATCTTGATCATAGTTAATAATAATGTAATCATGTATTTCAAAATTGCTAATAAATTTTAAATGTTCTCACTACAAAAAACAGGTGAGATATGTTAATTATTTGATAGAATCATTCCATAGTGTATACATGTATAAAAATATCACCTTGTACCTCATGAATATATCTGATTATTATTTGTCAATTAAAAATACAATTTAAAAAACAAAAAAGATGAGCAATTGGCCACATTTCATTTCTACAAAAAAATTAGCTCTGAAGTGGAACAGAACAATGAAACACAATGTTCTTTAAAAGGAGCCTAGTAGAAATGTTTTTCCCTTCAAATGAAGGTGCAAAGTAATACTGATAGGTTGACAGAAAGGATTCAAGAAAAAAAAACTGCAAATGGGGGACAGAGAGTTGCAGGAGTGATGTTCTAGAGAAGGGGGGAAGAGTTGTGGATAAATCCAGGAGTGATGTTCTGGAGAAGAAGGAGGGAGTTATGGAGGAATCCAGAGTGCATAGGGAGGACTTGGTCTCTGATGGGTCCCACTATACTATCCTAGAATGGCCTTTGCAAGATGGTGATTATCTATCATTTATATGGTTTGGCTCTGTGTCCCCGCCCAAATCCGATCTTGAATTTGTAATCCCCGCATTTGGAGGGAGGAACTTGGTGGGAGGTGATTATATCATGGGGTGGTTTCCCCCATGCTATTCTTGTGATGGTGGGGCAGTTCTCATGAGACCTTGATGGTTTAAAAGTGGCAGTTTCTCCTCCATACTTTTTCTCTCCTGCCACTTTGTGAATAAGATGCTTGCTTCTCCTTTGCCTTCTGCAATGACTGTAAGTTTCCTGATGCCTCCCCAGCCATGTGGAACTGTGAGTCAATTAAACCTCTTTTCTTTATTAATTACCCAGTCTCAGGTAGTATCTTTATAGCAGTGTGCAAATGGACTAATACAATCATAAAGCAAGAAAGTGACCTCATGGCGGGTTGGAAGGGTGGTTACACAGTTCATTGGAAATCCTTGGTAAGATTGAAGGATTGTTGGAATTCATATGAAAGAGCAGGTGAGCTGGAAAGACAAGAGGTACGTAATACACTTTGGTGAAGCTATCTTCAAATTCTACACATTGACCATCAACCATGTCCATTTGTCTACTGCTCTCATTTGGAATGAATGACTCAAGCCCTGAGGTTAGAGGTAAGAGGTTAGAGATGACCTATAAAGATAGCATGGAAGATGGAGTCCTTCCCCTGTCACAGTAACAATCCTATATACTTACATGCACCTGAGACACAAAATACACTACAGAACTGTCCCAGGATGATCTGGCTCTTCACAAAAATTTCTTATTGACAATTCATTAAAAGAACTTCCAATCAGGTTAGGCTTTCTCAGGTTCTCATTGTATTGAGCACCAAATGGAATTCCACCAAGCATTAGTTGGCTTTGCAATGCATGTAAAAAGTACTGTTGGGCCAAGTGTGGCGGCTCATGCCTGTAATCCCAGCACTTTGAGAGGCCAAGGTGGGCAGATCACTTAAGGTCAGGAGTTTGAGACCATCCTGGCCAACATGGAGAAACGCTGTCACTACTAAATTACAAAAATTAGCCAGGCATGGTGGCGGGTGCCTGTAGTCCCAGCTACTTAGGAGGCTGAGCCAGGAGAATCACTTGAACCCAGGAGGCGGAGGCTGCAGTGAGCCAAGATTGCGTCACTGCACTCCAACCTGGGCAACAGAGTGAGACTCTGTCTCAAAAAAAAAAGAAGGCATTATTGCCTCACCATACTTTTTCTCTTAAAGTTTTTAGGAATCCTAGACTTGGGCTTTTAGGAGTTGCAGGTGGAGGGAATGGCCTTGAGGATTCACCACTGTAGTAAAAATGTTTTGGTATTCTGTCACTTTTCATCACCCTACCCACCACTGGGCCTGGAGCCTGAAATCCAGAGCCTCTTTGATTTAGTTTCTCCAGAGAGTATCTTCTATGTCCTACCTGGTGGAGAAGGGTGGTTGCCTAACTTGTGTGAGTTGAGAGTGAGACTTTGGCCCGAGTTGTTCTTTTATAGAGATCCTCTAGCAGTTTTCTACCTCACCCCAACATAAAAGGAATTCCATGCCTCCAATTTCTGAGCCTTTCTAGGTTGATGTGGGCAGCTGTGCTTGCTTGCCATTGCACTCCTTCTGGGTAAACATTTAGATTTTACTTCTCTCTGCTAGGTCAGTCTCCCTTCCTCCATTAACATTCCAGATTCGTATATGGATCTCAGCATTACAGATATCTCCAGGCAACACTGAAGAGAGAATTTCTTTGAAGATGAACAAATAGACATGATTATAAAAACAAGTGTTAAATGGTGTATTAAATGATAAAAATGATCCTTTAAGAACTGAAGATTACTTTATAAAAATGAGCATATTTATCATTAATCAATTGTTAGAAATATCGGAGCTTAGTACATTTGTTCTAGTTTTTCAAAGATGAAGATTAAAAACTAAGTTACAGTTTAAGTTTCAAAGTATATGAAATCCTTGTTATTTTTAGCTAATTTTATATATTCTGAGATAAATAATATTTTACCGTGTCATAGATTTTAATTAAGTGTAAGTCCTAACATTGGTGAAATAAATCTCACATATTTTAGTTAGCATAGCTATATACTATTACCTTGTCTTAGTTCGTACATAAATATATGTGATGGCAGTGGTGATGGTAGCCAGAATTTCTGATGCTAGTATTTAGGGCATAACCATGACATGTTACTAAATCTTACTGCAATGATACTAAATGTTTCTGAAATAACCAAGTCTTATGCCAAGTTTTATGCCAGAAAATGTAAAACAAACAGAAGAAAAAACTAAGACATTGCTCATATTTCTAGAAACAGCAACAAATCACACATACACAAAATATTTGATCCATCAAACACGTATACAGTTTACAAAATTCTATCAGCATTTAGAGAAAAAACCCAGTAGAGATATGAGTCTGCGTATGCAGTCAACTTTGTTGAACGTAGGGAGGAAAAAGTTGACTTAAGGTTTTAAAATCTCTGCCGGTCTCAGAGGAGCTAATTTTATTGTTAGAATTGTATGGCAGAGTCAGGATAATTGGGAACAGAGGAAAGCACATTCCCAGGCCAGGAAATATGATTGAAAAGAAGGCATGCCTGTTAGACCAGAGATGAGAGTCAATAGGAAAAAACAATGAAAAATCAAATTTGTTTGAACCGGTGCACAGAGCATAGCTACTCAAGGAACTTAACCTAGAAGTAGAGATCTCGGAAAATAAATCAAGAGGTTCTAGGCCCTGGATCTAGCAGAATGAGCAGTGAACTTGGGGCTGCCAAACTCAGGGCACGACGGAAAAACACGCAGCTTGAGACCCACAGAAGCAGGAATGCAAACACAGGCTGCACTGCTCACTCCTTAGGTAACCTTGGGCAAAGATAGGCCTCTCTGAGTCTGATCTAATCTCATATCTAGAAATTAAAATAAATAATGCCCAGTTTTGTTAATTGCTATTAGCAAAATTACAAATATTAAGGATAGTATTTATAAGATGTCTGGCAAAGTTGGAGCTTAAAAATGACCAGGTGCCGTGGCTGGCCAGGTGCAGTGGCTCTCTCCTGTAATCGCAGCATTTTGGGAGGCTGAGGCGGGTGGATGGCTTGAGGTCAGGAGCTTGAGACCCACCTGGCCAACATGATGAAACCCTGTCTCTACTAAAAATACAAAAATTGGCTGGGTATTGTGGTGGATGTCTGTAATCCCAGCTATTTGGGAGGCTGAGGCAGGAGAATTGTTTGAAGCCAAGAGGCAGAGGTCTCAGTGATCACAGATCGTGCCACTGCTCTCCAGCCTGGGTTCCAGAGTGAGACTGCATCCAAAAAAAAATGGGAGCTATTATTATTAATAATAATTTCAAATCAGAATCGGGTTTTTCTAAGAAAAAAATAGATGCCTCAGGGAAGAAGTCAAGATTCATTAACAAAATAAATAGCCAAGATTACTCTTTAATTCATATTAGGTTGGATTCTGTGATGCTGTTTAGTGTCTGTATATTCCCATCCTGGAAATCTCTTATAGTCAGCATTCCTTGGAATTGTGGTATAGATTTTACCATCTCAAATTTTCATGGTTTGGCTGGCCCACAGTGGAGTAAAGACACAGATCTTGCTCTGTGGAGGTGTAGAGTAATCACTAAAGAGCAGATCAGCCAGGCGCAGTGGCTCATGCCTGTAATTCCAACACTTTGGGAAGCTGAGGTGGGAGGATTGCTTGAGCCCAAGAGTTCGAGGCTGCAGTGAGCTACAGTTGCATCACTGCACTCCAGCTTGGGTGGCAGAGCCAAACACTGTCTCAAAAACATAAAAAATAAAATAAAAAGTAAAGAGCAGATCAGCTTTGGATAGCTTGCTGTTTCCATATTTACAGTGCAAACATACAGCCCATGTAAACTGGATATTCAGCACACCTGAACTGAAACCCTTAAAGCACAAAAATGTAGTGAGTGATACCACCATCAGAAACTACCCTTTTTGAGGCTGGAGGTGGTGGCACACAACTGTCATCTCAGCACTTTGGGAGGGAGGCTGAGGCGGGTGGATCACTTGTGGTCAGGAGTTCCAGACCAGACTGGCCAAAGTGGCGAAACCTCGTCTCTACTAAAAATACAAAAATTTGCCGGGTGTGGTGGTGGGCACCTGTAATCCCAGCTACTCGGGAGACTGAGGCAGCAGAATCACTTGAACCTGGGAAGCGGAGGTCGCAGTGAGCTGAGAGAGCGCCACTGCACTGCACTGCACTGCAGCCTGGGCAACAAAGTGAGACTCTGTCTCAAAAATTTAAAAAAAGTAACTACTTTTTTTGAGTTCTGTGTAAACCAAGCCTGTTTTTTATTAACAAGAAACTATAAGAGTCTTCTTATGACTTATCTAAAGTGCCATTTGTATATTTGCCATCTGTGTTACATATAAATTTTTGGAGTCATTTCTCATTCATTTTAGTGAAACATTCAAAAATGCCTTTCCAAATCACATTTTAAATGGTTTATAGAAGCTTTATTAACTTTTTTTGTTGTGGTAACTTTTTTAGCTCTAGTAAAATGTAGATGACATGAATTTACTGGCTTAGCCATGTTTAGTTCAGTGGCATTATGTAGATTCACATTGCTATGAACCATCACCTCTTATCCATCTCCCTAACTTTTTCATCATCCCTAACTGATACTCTATACCCATTAAAAATAACTCCCCACTTCTCCCTCCCCCAGTCCCTGGTAACCTCTATTCTACTTGCTGGTTCTATGAATTCATCCATTCTAGGTACTTCATATAAGTTAAATCATACAATATTTGTGCTTTTTTGTCTGGTTTATTTCACTTGTCATTATGTTCATACATGTTGTAGCATGTGTCAGAGCTTTATTCCTTTTTAAGGTTGTGTTATATATATTTTTAAAGTTTAATTTGGTCAGGCATGGTGGCTCACACCTGTAATCCCAGCAGTTTGGGAGGACAAGTGGGGTGGATCACCTGAGGTCAGGAGTTCAAGACCAGCCTGGCCAACATGATGAAACCTCCTCTCTACAAAAATACAAAAATTAGTCAGGCATGATGGTGGGTGCCTGTAATCCCAGCTACTCAGGAGGCTGAGGCCGGAGAATCGTTTGAACCCGGGAGGCGGAGGTTGCAGAGAGCCAAGATCACGCCATTGCACTCCAGCCTGGGTGACTCTGTCTCAAAAAAAACCAAAAAAAAGTTTTATTCTCATAATTTGGAGGGTGTCCCACTGGAAGAATCACACACAAGATGAAAAAGTCACCAGTAAGCCCAAGGCTTTTGACGTGAAGTGAATGGGGGCAATCAGGAAGAGGAAAAGCTGGTGGAAGCCATGCTTATTTCCAGTGTAGGCTTATGACTGTTCTGCTGCCTAGTTACAACTCTGGTAACAAGTCAGGGAATTGTGGACGTGGATAATAATTTTACTATTTCCTAACTTAATTTATATCATTGAAATGTTGCTACATCTTTTTCTGAGAAACTAAAAAATACAATCTGAAGAAAAATAAGGACAAATTCAACCTCCCCATCCCACCCTTTTTCTTATTTCCATTAGCCAGCATTAAATATTTGCGCAAAAAAAATGATTGGAATGATTATAATGCTTACCTGGTAAATGAAAGAGAAAATAGTGAAATTCTGCAGAGTTAACAGCAAGCAAAATCTTGTTCTTAACAAAAAAAAAATTTTGTAGACGATTTTAATATGCCACAGCATGAATAATTATGTTTAAAATGTGGCAATAAAATAAAAAGAGACAAGAAGGAGGTGCCTGCCATGAAAGCCAGAATTGAATATTTCTTTTGAAGTCATAAAATATCATTAATCTTTGAGCGAAGTAAAAACAATCCTCCCTCTATTCTCACACAGACAGCTGCTAATAGGTAGTTTCAGGAAAAAAAATATTTTGACACGGAAAATGCTAGTGCTTTGGGCATGGGCAGCTATGCCTAGAATCCAAACTGATTCAACCAATGAAATATTTTTAAAAACAAATATCATTTAAAAGATTTTTTAATCAGTATTTTAAAGTTATCTGTAATATTTTTTCTTAATTATTTCTGTACTATATTAATACATTTTATAATCAGTTTCTCATTACCCATTATAGAAATAATGGTCGATATCAAAGAAATCATCTGTCATGCCACCAATTGATTTTTGTTTTACTTTATCACAATCTACATGAGTATGTTAAGTTTAATATTGCTTAATGTTTAAATGCCAAATGCCACTATGGAGTTGTACTCTTAGCTTACATATTTCTATTTTTATATATGATCATTGATTTAAATGAAAATCTCTGCCAAAATTAACAAGACTCCTGTCCATGGGTACACGGTCATTTTTATAGTTTCCCCAGAATCACATATCTTACTTTTCCAGATTAGCTAGTTGCAAAAACTTTTCCTCTTGTTTTCAAGGCCTAGGCCATCGCTTTGGATGAGAACTGATTTCAGTGCAGCTTAAGAGAACTATTATTCTACTCTTGCTGGACACTGGTCTTCAGGGTTCCTCATCGTGCTAGCACAGTACATAACATAATACAACATAATACAAAGTTATATTCTATAAAAAGTAGATTTATTCGTGAAACATACTTGAAATGGCTACTGCCTCTTAAAAGAGACATTTCCCTTTCAGCAAATCTTTGTAAAAATTGGAAGAAAATAGAAAATTATTTACTGTACTTCTTTGTTTTAAATGCTCAGAGCTAGATTAATAAAGAAATTTAGAATTTCTCAAATTTAATTATTAGCAATTCAAACTTTATTGAGTTCTAATATATAGAGAGCTCAATTAGAGGTATTATCTAATATTTCATAGAAAGTAAAATGATAATCCCTGAATGCAAATCCAGTTTTTGTTGTGTGTGCTCATATTTAAAGACAATATTCAATGTATTAAACAGTTTTTTAACAATGTAGTAAAGTTTCCTTTTTAGCTTTAGCAGTAAAGGGCACTATACATAAAACACCTACCATTATGCAGCCTGGCAAAAATAGGAATAAAATAAATTATAGTAATTATTAATATTAACAAAAGTATTACAGCTAATTTTCGTCATATTCTTTTGTCTTCAAAACAGTTATTAGTGCCTGTAACTAAAATAAAGATTAGACTACGATGTTTCCATAAATTTCCTATTCTTTTCTATGTCTACATTTCTTCCTAATAAGGTAAGCTTGTTTCCTAAAAAACAGACTTAACCCTGAATTTCTGCCTAACCTTATAGACAATGTATTAATATAGTCACAGCATTTTTTTCTTGTTTGGCCCTATATTACGAAGTTCAAGTTATTTACACTATATATTTTCCTTGTTGTTAATATGCCAAATAATGATATGCTAAAATTAATATTTTTGCTTAAATTGGTGAGCTATACACTATATAAATATAAATGTGAGTTATGAGCATTTAATTATATGTAACTCTCTGATTTGAATTTAATCTAAAATTAAAGTATAAACATTATTTTCATGATTGGTCTTTCAGATGGAATTGTTAAATACATTTCTAAAACTAACATTTTTGACATAATCCCTAGTAGTCCTACAATAGTATAGCTATGGAAGCATAGCATAAGTGAAAGAAACGTTGGTTTTGAAGTCAAAGTGAATAGGGACCCTTGCCATAGTTCCAAAGAATCTAAGCTGAGTGGAGTATGACATGGGCCCTGGGGACATAAAAGCAGAATTGTCTTATGCATCCTGTGAATAGACATTATAACTGCTAAGAGGCTTTGAACATTTAGCTTAATTTTGGTAAAATTACAATTATAGACACCTATTCTACTTATTGTGTGGATCACATTAGATAATAGATGGGCAATGCCTTAAAAATTGTAAAGTGTTGGGCGAATATTGGCCATTATTTGAATCTCTTCCATGTAATTTAAACTGTTTTCAGATTTCTGGGTTTTTTTTTTAAGTCATCTATCTTTGATGACAGTAGGAAACACAATGTTGAAATGTTAAGCCATAATTTTAAAAGGGCCCCCAAGTACAGTAAAATCCTGACAACTATAAGAGAGAAGACAGAAAATCTCAGGCAGAGTTGGCAGGACACAGAGTTCTTAAAAGTAAATATAAACTTCTAAAATCAACATCAGTAACCTATTGCTTAAATCAAATAGAATGGATAGGCTGGGTGGTATCTGAAGCTCCTGAGCTTCCATTTCATCATGTTTTAGAAGGGGAGGCAAGACTGAATGAGGAAATGTAACAATGTGGCATCTTTTCCAGAAATAATCCATTGGCCTATCAGTGTGGTGGAGGAACTCTCAGTGTATACTGGTTCTACAACTGTCCATTTTCATCCAGCAAAATAAAGATATATGTGCACGTGCACACACGCGCGTGCACACACGCACACCCCTTTTGTCATATTGATTTTTTTTCTCATGAGCTATGGAGACTTCCAAGATGCCAGTTGAAGTAAAATACCAGCTACTAAAAGCCAAAACACTGAGCGGAGGTATTAGTTACCATGTACTACGCGGAGATAGGTGTCACAGTTTGAGTTCAGGCAAGTTACAGAATATTAGCAAAAACTCAACAATTCTCAGAAGAGGAAAACACATTACAGCATGGTTATAGTGTCTAAAGTTCAACTAAAGTTTATTAGTCATACAAAATATTTACAAAAAAAGAGATTAAAGCTGTCAATAGAAATTCATTTGAAGTGGGACTGGGAGTTAAATATAACAGTTATAAAATTCAAAATAGTGCTACAAATGTTTTCAAAAAATTAAACGTTCAAATAATTAAAGAATAAACATCATATTAATGAGTAAATATATAGTGATATCAATAAATAAATGAAAATAAAAAACTGAAAATTCTATATCTAAAAATTATAACTAAAAGAAAAACCTGATGATAAACTCAACAGCAGATTTTAAATGACATATAAAAAATTAGTGTGCTTGCAAATGGATCTATAAAAATTATTCCCTCTGATGCATATAAAGGAAGCAAATATAGAAGAAAATAAAAACGTTTTGCAACAATATCAACTGGTACAGCACACATGTAATTAGAGTCCGAGAAGGAGAGGACTGAAATAAATAAGAGAAAAAAAATTTACATAAATAATAGAATAGAACTTTCTAAATGTGTTGATAAACATCAGCTTACAAATGCAAGAATCTTTGTGAAACTCAGGTAGAAGGAAAACAGAGAAAATCATACTCAGGCACATCAAATTCAAACTAATGAAAACCAAAAATAATCAAAATTAGAAAGCAGCAAAAGAAAAATGACGTATTACATAGAGAGTAAACAATATGATTAGCATCTGACTTTCATCAGAAACAATGCAGGATAGAAGATAGTGGAATGATATATTAAAATGCTGAAATTAAAAAGGCCTATAATTCAAGATACCTATAGTCACAGAAATTATTCTAAAGCTAAAATACTTCACTAAAGCTAAAATTATTTTTGATTAAAATAATTGCTATTAAATAGTGTAGAATTGCACTATGTAAAATGCTATAGAAAGTCCTTCCAACTAAGGAAAACTGCATCATATGGTAATCCAGACATATAGGAAATAATAAAGAGCAACAGAAAGGATATGTATGATATATGAGTTATTTTATATATACAGACACATACTTTTTTATTGACTTCTTACAAAATATATGCATATTTAAAGTGAAATTTATACTACTATACTCTTGGGATTATATTGTATATAGATGAAAACATACCAAAGAAAAGAGGGAGAAACAGAACTAGACTGTTGAAAATTTTCCATATTGAACTGGAATCAATTAAATACTAATTATGTAGATTTTGGTAAGTTAAAGTTTCATGTTTAATACCTAGAGCAACCACTAGTGAAATAAAAAGACATATTAGAATGTCAATACAAGATTTATAATGGTATACTGCAAAATATTTGGTTAGCACAAAAGAAAGCAGGAAAGAAGGGGAAGAAGAACAAAACAGAAATGAAACAAATTTTAAAACACAGCAAAATGACAGACTTGAAGCCCACACTATAAATAATTTTATTAAATGTGAATTGACTAAACACACAAAATAAAAGTCAAAGAATGCCAAATTGGATTTAAAAGCAGAACTCTACTGCTGTCTAAAAGAGACACACATGAAATACAGCAAGTTGAAAGAAAAAGGACAGAAAACAGTGTAAATTTAGAAGTAAGCATAAGAAACAGTTGTTATGTTAACATAAGACTAAAGTTTTTAGCAAAGGAATATTTCTTTTTTTATTATTATACTTTAAGTTCTAGGGTACATGTGCACAATGTGCAGGTTTGTTACATAGGTATACATGTGCCATGTTGGTTTGCTGCACCCATCATCTCGTCATTTACATCAGGTATTTCTCCCAATGCTATCCCTTCCCCAGCCCCCCATACCCTGACAGGCCCCGGTGTATGAAGTTCCCCGCCCTGTGTCCACATGTTCTCATTGTTCAACTCCCACCTATAAGTGAGAACATGTGGTGTTTGGTTTTCTGTCCTTGTGATAGTTTGCTTAGAATGATGGTTTCCAGCTTCATCCATGTCCCTGCAAAGGACATGAACTCACCCTTTTTTATGGCTACATAGTATTCCATGGTGTATATGTGCCACATTTTCTTAATCCAGTCTATCATTGATGGACATTTGGGTTGGTTCCAAGTCTTTGCTATTGTGAATAGTGCCGCAATAAACATACGTGTGCATGTGTCTTTATAGTAGCATGATTTATAATCCTTTGGGTATATACCCAGTAATGGGATTGCTGGGTCAAATGGTATCTCTAGTTCTAGATCCTTGAGGATTTGCCACACTGTCTTCCACAATGGTTGAACTAATTTACACTCCCACCAACAGCGTGAAAGCATTCCTATTTCTCCACATCCTCTCCAGTATCTGTTGTTTCCTGACTTTTTAATGATTGCCATTCTAACTGGCATGAGATGCTATATCACTGTGGTTTCGATTTGCATTTCTCTGATGACCAGTGATGATGAGCATTCTTTCATATGACTGTTGGCTGCCTAAATGTCTTCTATTGAGAAGTGTCTGTTCATATCTTTTGCCCACTTTTTGATGGGGTTGTTAGTTTTTTTCTTGTAAATTTGTTTAATTTCTTTGTAGATTCTGGATATTAGCCCTTTGTCAGATGGGTAGATTACAAAGATATTCTCCCATTTTGTAGGTTGCCTGTTCACTCTGGTGATAGTTTCTTTTGCTGTGCAGAAGCTCTTTAGTTTAATTAGATCCCATTTGTCTAATTTGGCTTTTGTTTCCATTGCTTTTGGTGTTTTAGTCATGAAGTCTTTGCCCAGCCTATGTCCTGAATGGTATTGCCTAAGTTTTTTCCTAGGATTTTTATGGTGTTAGGTCTTACATTTAAGTCTTTAATCCATCTTGAGTTAATTTTTGTATATGGTGTAAGGAAGGGATCCAGTTTCGGCTTTCTACATATGGCTAGCCAGTTTTCTCAGCACCATTTATCAAATAGGGAATCCTTTCCCTATTGCTTGTTTTTGTCAGGTTTGTCAAAGATCAGATGGTTGTAGATGTGTGGTATTGTTTCTGAGGCCACTGTTCTGTTCCATTGGTCTATATATCCGTTTTGGTACCAGTATCATGGTGTTTTGGTTACTGTAGCCTTGTAGTATAGTTTGAAGTCAGGTAGCTTGATGCCTCCAACTTTGTTCTTTTTGCTTAGAATTGTCTTGGCTATGCAGGCTCTTTTTTGGTTCCATATGAACTTTAAAGTAGTTTTTTCCAATTCTGTGAAGAAAGTCTGTGGTAGCTTGATGGGGATAGCATTGAATGTATAAGTTACCTTGGGCAGTATGGCCATTTTCATGATATTGATTCTTCCTATCCATGAGCATGGAATGTTCTTCCATTTGTTTGTGTCCTCTTTTATTTCATTGAGCAGTGGTTTGTAGTGCTCCTTGAAGAGTTCTTTCACATCCCTTGTAAGTTGTATTCCTAGGTATTTTATTCTGTTTGTAGTAATTGTGAATGGGAGTTCACTCATGATTTGGCTCTCTGTTTGTCTATTATTGGTGTATAGGAATGCTTGTGATTTTTGCACATCGATTTTGTATCCTGAGACTTTGCTGAAATTGCTTATCAGCTTAAGGAGATTTGGGGCTGAGACAATGGGGTTTTCTAAATATACAATCATGTCATCTGCAAACAGAGACAATTTGACTTCCTCTTTTCCTAATTGAATACCCTTTATTTCTTTCTCTTGCCTGATTGCCCTAGCCAGGACTTCCAACACTATGTTGAATAGGAGTGGTGAGAGAGGGCATCCAGCAAAGGAATATTTCTACAGGATACATCAAACATATCATAAAGTTAAAAGGGTCAATATAACAAGAAGATACAACAGTTATAAATGTATATGCACCAAATAGCAAACCTCCCAAAACTGACAAAACTGAAAGGAGAAATAATTTTGACATTGTAGAAATGGTTGGATATTTAAAATATTTGTGTGTAGAAAGGAAAACTGGATTTAATGTATTTTCAGTGAAAATGAATGTTTTGAACATTGCCAAAGTAGAATTGAGGGTATTTGGATTCTGGGGATGAAGGAGGCTATTAAGTGCTTCTGGGGTTTGTATCTGAATGAACAGAAGGATAATAATTCCAAAATGAGATTGGGAACAAAGTATAGGCATTCTTTTCTAGAAAAGGATCAGTAAGGCATTTATGATACTAAAGTGTAGTGAACCAACTCTTCCTTTCTGGATATAGTATTCTCAGCACCCACTGGGACTTTCTGTTCTTTTTCTTTTTTTGTTGTTTTTTTGTTGTTTTGTTTTTGAAATGGAGTCTCGCGCTGTCACCTAAGCTGGAGTGCAGGGCGCAATCTTGGCTTACTGCAACCTCCGCTTTTCAGGTTCAAGAGATTCTCCTCCCTTAGCCTCCTGAGTAGCTGGGATTACAGGTGCCCACCACCATGCCTGGCTAATTTTTTGTATTTTTAGTAGAGACGAGGTTTCACTATGTTGGCCAGGCTGGTCTTGAATGCCTGACCTCGTATCCGCCCACCTCGGCCTCCCACAGGGGACTTTCTGTTCTTTAGGGAAATCATTTAACTTCTGTTAGCTTTAGATGGCATTTCTATTTGAGACAGAAAAAGTATGTGTGTGTGTGTGTGTGTGTGTGTGTGTGTGTGTGTGTGTGTGTGACATTAACCAAAAGCCTGACATCATAACATTGTCACAATAGTTGCTATATTGCAGTAAGGATAAAGACCTCACCTATGCAAATATAAATAGCACTGTTATTATTCAAATAACACATACTACTCCATCGACATAGAATATTTGCTTAAGCTATACTGCTATCTTTTTTTTAGAGCATGTTTTTCCTATAACCAAAGGCAGGCTCTATGTGTCTAAAGGTGCTCTGAGGTCATAGTTCAGGAGAGCATCATTTGTCCCAGGAAGGAAGTCAGTCCTAGTCAGTCCTGTTTTCCTTCCTCACCTTTTACTCCAGATTTAGCTGCTGTATAAAATGACTTGCTTCAGGTTTAGGCAAACCAGCTTAAGAGTAAGTAGGGGAAAAAAGATTAGAGAAGTTTATAAAATATATTTTTACACAAAACAGAAGATTAAGCATTTGTAAAAACTACCACAATGCAAGGTAGTATGTGAGGATATCCTGATATTAGTGCTGAATCTTACCACAGTTGATAGGAACGAGGAAACATTCTTGCTTTCTACTGGAGCACACAGGGAAGACTTTAGGCTGAAAGTGACATTAATTTGGCTCTTAAACATGTGACCCTTCATGCTTAACCTCCCTTAAAAGCCCCTCCTTTTTTTCTCTCCTTTCCTTTACGGCATCTCATGGGCCTTCTGTTCCCTCAGGTACGGGCTCCCTCATGAGCTTTCTGTTCTCTCTCTAACCCTCATCAAAATGGGCTGCCAACTAAAAAGTTGAGAAAGTTGTAAATAAACATTAGAACTAGAGCTACGATAGTTACCTTCTTTCCTGGATATTTGTAGTTTAACATGTAGGGAACACAATTAATACATACCTGGGGTAGAATTTCAGGATTTTACAGTAGTAGTAAAGGTAATTTCCAGGATAAGGCCCTTGTCAGCAGCTGGGAAATCAGCTCTGCCTATCGATTGTAAATGACCCATAATCTATAGCTACATTCCAAAAGTATGAATCAGAAAAGGAACAAAATGGCAACTGAAACATGACCCTTTTTTTGTTCATCTTTCAAAAGATCAGGAGAGAGCAGCACTTTATTATTGTGCAACATGCCAATGTCAGGGCAGAATCCAAAGAATTTTTAAGAGGATGTGAAAAAAATGACTAGAGAGAGCTTTCCTTGGATTGTGTCTTGAGCGAGTGCTAGTCAAGGAAAAATATCACTTACATACCTTAGAGGTGTATAGAAATGTGATTCAGGAACACTTGATATTTGGACTGCTGAGAAACCTGAATATTAAATTGGAAGCCCTGCAGTACACATGTCATTGCCAAATCATTACTCAATTTTTCTTTGAAATACCCTCTTGCTTTAGTGAGGGGAATATTTTGATAAGTGCCCAGAATTTCTCTAGAAATTTTTGTACTGTTTCTCTGCCTGAGGCTGAAAAGATATGCCCTCTGGAATCTCCCTAAATAGGGTTTCTCTTGGGATAGGGTTTTGTTTCACTTCGTTTTGTTTATAGGAAACTTTATTCTTTGAACACTTGGACTTCATTGCAGCACTTGTTTCTCTGCATGCATGTAAATGCCTATGCCTAATGGTCAATTAATAAATCAAAAAGAATACCTAATTTCCTCCTGTTGAGGTAGGAGTTTCTACCAGAAGTATTGGCTGAAACATGTGGTTTTAAATTGTATTATGCATGAAAAACAAGGCATTCTTGGGTGGTCAGTACAATGTAGTAGTCACAATGGAAACCAGAACAACTTGAAAAGATCCTTGTGGAAAAAACTCTGTGTATGTTTAAAGGAAAAAATATGTAAAGACTCCTTTGGGGCAGTGAGCTTCTATATCGAAAATAGGTAAACTTAATGTAGCCTCAGAACGAGTTTTTAGTGCTTTGGCTTGAAATTTAAGCAACAGCAACAAAAATTGGTAGAAGAAAGCATAAATTGTCATTGAGCTAAATTTGTAAATCAGGAGAGGAAGTAGAATAACGTACCTGTTTTTAAAAACAAGAATGATGACGTGGGTAAAGATAATCATCCAAGCATAATTCTACCCAAATACAAAGACATGAAATACACAGCCCCCTGTTGACATGGTTGTTTCTCTGGGATTGAGTCTCCTGTGCTCACTGCTGAGTTAAAGAAGTCTCAACTCTGATTCCCCTTACCTCTGAAGTTCCTGAGAGAAATCAAAGTCGTGAATTACCCCAGAGCTACTGAAGATACAACCTCTGATAGGGTTTGGCTGGATCCCCACCCAAATCTCATCTTGAATTGTAGCTCCCATAATTCCCACATATCGTGGGAGAGACCGGATGGGAGGTAATTGAATCATGGTGGGTGGGGGGGTCCCATTCTGTTCTCTTGATAGTGAATAAGTCTCATGGGATCTGATGGTTCTATAAAGGGGAGTTTCCCTGCACATGCTCTCTTGCCTGCCACCATGTAAGATGTCCCTTTACCCTTCCTTCATCTTCTGCCATGATTGTGAGACCTCCCCAGCCATGTGGAACTGTGAGTGAATCCATTAAACCTCTTGCCTTTATAAATTACCCAGTCTCAGGTATGTCTTCATTAACAGCATGAGAACATGAGAATGGACTAATACAGCCTTTCAGCAGAGTTGTTGATACCATATTGGTAAGTTATATGGACTAGCTCAGGGAGGTCCCCAGGTTTCTGAAGCAGGACATAAATTATAAGTAATGACCATCTCCATGGTCGCTCTCATCTCTGTTCCATGAACACTCTGGCTAAAACAGTTGGAGACAAATTCAAGCTTGATTTGCTTTCCAAAAAAAAAAGGCTCAGAACAATATTGAGTTTTCAGACTCCTTAAGCATAGTTCTTTCTCAATTTCTTTCTTTCTGTGAAATTTAATTGCTAGTTATTAAAGTTCCACCAATGTACTTAGCATAGGCCATGTTCTGTGGAAGGCTAGAAAGAGATGAATGATGTGGTTCTCCTGTGTGCTTTCTTCTTTCTGACTGGAAAGGCCTTCCTGCTTGCCTGGTCCTTACCCAGCCTTCACCATTATTTCTTGATGAGGAAGATAATTCTCAAATCCTAATTTCTCCACTGGATGAATGAATGTTTGTGTCCTGTCCCCAAATTCATAAGTTGAAATCTTAACCCCCAATGTGATGGTATTATGAGGTGGGGCCTTTGGGAGATAATTAGTTCATAAGCATGCAGAGCTGGTGAATGAGATCAGTGCCCTTATAAAACAGACCCCAGAGAGCTCTGTCACCCTCTTTCTGCCATGTGAGGATACAACCAGAAGACAGTCATCTGCAACCTGGAAGAGGATCCTCACCAGAACCCAACCAGGCAGGCACCCTCGTTTTGGATTCCAGTCTCCAGAACTCTGAGAAATGAATTCTGTTTTTTATAAGCCACCGTCTATGGCACTTTGTCAGAGCAGCCCAAACTGATTCAGACATTCAAAAGCCTTCTCTTCTTTCTACTGTGCTCATCCTCATTTTCCTACCTGACTACAAATTTCTTGAGGTCTGGACCCATATTGCTCATCCCTGAAATCTTTGAAGTATCTGGCACTGGGCCTGGCACATATTAAGTACCAAATATTGGTTTTTACAATTTTACAGCCAAGTCCCAGATGCATAAAGCAGCAAGTAACAATAACATTTCAAAATAATGGATAAGTAGGTGACAAAATGAGTGATCTATGCAAATATAATGCAGGAATTCTTAGAAAAGAGAAACCCTTATGCAGGGCTGAGAAAAGCATCATGGAGAAGAAGGGGAATGAGATGGACATTAATGGAAGACAGGAATTGAATACATATAAAAAAGGGGGAAAGAAGTATAAATTTACAGGCAAAGGTGCTATCATTAAGAAAGTTTTTTTTAGCAGAAATAATTAGGAATCATGAGAAAATTTCCTGGCTCAAGTGGCAAATTCAACCTAAGAAGAATAGGACATAATGATAACATCTGATTTTTATGGAGCATTTTAAAACAGGTAAGTTTTTCATCTGGTCTGAGAATTCTTTTTGAGTCCCTTAGAAAGTAAAAAATTCCATTTTACATATGTCCTGTGACCTGCATAGCAAATCTATTCAATCACAACACCACAATTAACATTCTCTGTGTTCCAGGCACTGTTCTAAGTTGTTTTCCATTCATTGGGCACTCGTTACAGATTATTTCCACTTTATAGTTTAGGAATTTGAGACACAGAGAAGTCAAAGTGTTTGTCTAAAATTGTACATGTAGTACATAATGAAGATACAAATCTGGTCTCCCTGACACTATCAACAGCTCTTTCCAACTTTGCCTTCCTCTAGACAGCTATAATTGTTTCCTGGAGTTTCAAAGGATGTGTCAGAGGTTACTTATAGCCAAAGAATAAACATGCTATATATTCCTGGAACATCTATTTTATCTCCCAAAATAATCTTTAAAAAATCACAGATATGTTTTTTAAATATTAATTTTAATTAATAGAAATTAACCCAAACTCAGCCTTTAAGAAAACTTCAAGGATAGTTAATTGCTCTTCAAGAAAAATTCAGGCTTTTTGACAATAGCTAGCTATAATGGATGTTTTTGGTGTTGACTATTCAGCATCCATGCTGTCTTTCCTCTGGAGCATCAATTTACATCTCCCAGTTTCCTACCGCCTCCCGTTGTGTGCAGTCTTAGAGTACCGAAAACCAAGGAGTCTTCCCTCAACTGGTCAAAAGGTCAGCATAAAGCCAAAGCTAAGTGAATCAGGATTTTTCTCTTCCAGGATTTTGAATCTTGAGCCTAAAGTCAGAAAAGATGGTTGGAATGGCATGCCTTCTACTTCTGATGGCTCACTGACTGATAAAAGCAACAGAGTTCTGTTGCCACTGAAACCCCTGGAGCTAGCTGCTTCCTGAACTTTCTTATGCTGGTTCTAGTGCTTTCCCTTCACTCTGTGATCTCACCCAGCAACTCTCAACGAACTCCCTTTTCACTTACATTATCCAGAGTCTGTTTACATTGCTTGAAACTGAAGAACCTTGACGAATGCATCAGTTCTCCTAGTGCATCTAGAATGTAAGTTAATATAACAAAGTGCATTACATACAACGCAGTGTGTGTGTGTGTGTATGTGAGATGCCTATATACAGATTAAAATAATAGCAAATAGGGGTTCAGATCAGGGAGAAGAAGTTGTCAGTCTGGTCTGGCAGGTCTTTTGCCTTTTTTCCAGTGCTTTAGACAGTAAAATTAATAAATATACACAGGCACGTTTATCTTACCTTTCTTGGACCTGCTTGATAATTAACTCATTTTGTCACATAGTCACATATCCATCCTGGATGCATATCTAGTTTCCTCCATATAAAGTAATCCCTTGTCCTTAGGATCCATGACTCAGTCCTCATTCACTCCTCCACACCAGCGGGCATAGTGCAGAGCTCTGAGTGGTTCCTGAAGACAGTTTTGTTGCCTTGATTCATATAACCTCCACTTAAAATTGTAGAAACATATTTCTGAAAGAGACTTAAAGGTGATTTAATCTAGGCTTTATCAACAAAGAAATTAAAAGTTAGATTTAATAGTGATTGAATAGAAGACCTACAAAATTAGAGACAAACTGGTACTAAAAGTCCAGATAACTGACTTCAAATCCAAGTGAATGAATTTCCCATTCATTTCTCATGGCCACACTTCATCATCCAAGAGTCGAAATGCATTTGGCTTCATAGTAAGTGCTACCAACTTTTTGTTCTTGAGGGATAACTCTTACAAGCCCAGCATAAGGATAGGTCATTCTAATTCAATTCGA
Organism: Homo sapiens; assembly: GCF_000001405.40. NCBI lineage: Eukaryota > Metazoa > Chordata > Mammalia > Primates > Hominidae > Homo > Homo sapiens. Next base: position 142,274,930 of record NC_000006.12, on the reverse strand, counting down.
CTGGAGTATAAACTCCAAAGGCAGAGTTTATGCCTTTCTCTTATCTTTCTTCCTCACCTCTGGCTCACCTAGCAGTCTACCAGGAACATGTGGGACACAAATAAAACATCTGTTCAGCATACACATTATGGACTTAGATCTGCCACTTACAGGCGTGAGGAAGGACATGCTCTTTAGAATATAACATACAAACCTCAGAAGCTTCTTAAAGGAGATGTCCCGGCTCTTTAAAGCAAAAGAATTGCAGGCAGTCTTTTGACCTATTTGCCTCCCACATCATCTGAACATCTGGCAGCCGCCTTCTCCCTTCCCCAAATCTCTATGTATGACTGATGTCTGGGTATCAGTTCCCCCAACAAGAGAGGCATTTTGGGGACTGAATTTTGAAATCTCTAATTGAAAATCTCTGGATTAGGTGAAATTACATACAACTGCATTCAAGATTACCAAATTATTTAGCAAAGAATAATTTGGCCAATCAAAAGTATCACCCAAAGCATGTTCCTAATTAAAAAATTGAGTTCTTTCCATGCCTTGCTTTCAGGATGGAGCCATGTTTTTTAGAGAAATATATTTTAAAGATGTCTGACACATATTTGATTAACACCTATAGCTAAGAGCCTTTATGTTTTTGGTTGTCTGGCTGAAGAAAAGGGTCATACAATTTCACCATGGAAAATTAAGATGGAGAGTTATCATCACTGTCTACAAATATGCCCTTCCCCTACAGCTAAGATTAGAAAGGCACCAAGTTCTTGCAGGACTGTTATTCATGAGGAAATTATCTTTTCCAGAAGAGAAAGAGTCATCCAAGGGAAATTATGACATTATAAACAGAGAGAGGAGCAAAAAAGAGCTTTTTAAAAAAAGTCAGAATGAATGCCCTTGGCAGTGAAAGTTAAATGCTGTTATATGCTGTTCCAAGTAGACTCACTCAGCTATCGTGCTTACTACATAACACACTGGGCCATGTTTTTAGGGACATTATTTAATTAATCCTCAGAATTACTCCATGAGTAGATATTGCTCTTATCCCCATTGTACAGATGAGTAGGCTAAAATCATGCTAATGGAAAGTGATGAAACTAGCTTTTAAACCTAGATCTTGTTTGACTCGTAAGGGAGTATTTTAATCCATATGCTTTGCTACCACACCCAACAGAAATAACAGCAGGCTCTAGAAATGACATACAGTGCAAAATATATAGTCTGTCATTAGATAGATTTTGATCTGGATTCTGTTTTTACTACTTATTAGCAAATGTGATATGGTACAATCTACTTAACTTTTCCGAACCTCTGTTTGCCCATCTGTAAACTAATGGTAATAAAACATAACATGGGCTGGGCACGGTGGCTCATGCCTATAATCCCAGCACTTTGGGAGGCCTGGGGGGGCAGATTGCCAGAGTCCTGGAGTTTGAGACCAGCCTGGGTAATATGGCAAAACCCCGTCTCTACTAAAAATACAAAAAATTATCCAGGAGTGGTGGCTCGTGCCTGTAGTCCCAGCTACTTGGGAGGCTGAGGTAGGAGGATTGCCTGAGCCTGGGAGATTGCAGTGGGCCATGATTGCTCCAGTCTGGGTGACCCAGAGAGACTCTCTCTCAATAATAATCACATCAACAACAACATGTAGTTTTGTTGCTAGGGTTAAATGAGAATAGTAAAACTTCTGGCATATAGCACTTACTCAACAGCTTTGTTCACTGCCCTTGAGTAGTTCTTATTTTAAAACAGACAGCAGCTTACAGTTTTATTCTAATCTGAAAATGTGAAGCACAGGGACCTGCTGAGAATCCATGGAGGAAGAAAAAGACAAGGATATGGTCCTTGGACAGGCAGAGCTTTGCTGCCTCCTGCTTCCCATGAGCATGGGAAAGTGGACTTGCACTGTATGATATCCATGCTGTCTCCACTGTCATTTTATAATGAAACATGAAAGCAGCAGCTCTGAATCCTAATGGCAGGCATTAGTAGCATTGGAGGTGTGTGGAAAACAGGTATGTTTAGAGTCTGTTACCATATCAACAACAACACCAGCAGCAATAATAATAATAATTAAAAATAAACAGTTGTGAAGCCCCTTATGCATGTGTTTAGTGGCTGACAGGACAGGAAAGAAATCTTATTTTTGTAGTTCAGAGCATGGTGCAAATCAGTACATTTGTGTGGGCACCACAGTGTCCACACCTTTGTCTGACTCCACTCCCTTTTCATTTTTTTTTTTTTTTTAAGACGGAGTCTCACTCTGTTGCCAGGCTGGAGAGCAGTGGTGCGATCTCGGCTCACTGCAACCTTCGTCTCCTGGGTTCAAGCGATTATCGTGCCTCAGCCTTCTGAGTAGTTGGGATTACAGGTACGCGCCACCACACCCAGCTAATTTTTGTATTTTTAGTAGAGATGGGGTTTCACCATGTTAACCAGGATGGTCTTGATCTCCCAGCCTCGTGATCCACCTGCCTCGGCCTTCCAAAGTGCTGGGATTACAGGCGTGAGCCACCGCACCCAGCCCCACTCCCTTTTCTTTCTGCTCCCCAGTGGTGCACTTCTTCCTCTAGGTTTCAGCTGACAATTGAATTGTTCCATGTAGTTTTCCTTTTGATGATGAAGTGGATGGAAGAGTGGGCCATAGATGCTTCAGGTCCTATGTGTATCCAGGAGTGACAGAAACTGGTTCTTCCTGGAATCTTCTGCATTAAACAGCTTCAAGACACAGCTTGCCCATCATAACATCCCTAATCCTTCATTATGTCAACAAGACCCCCAGGTATATTATTTCACTTATTAAAGAGTGACAAGATGGTCCTTTTTGTTTGACCTAGCTTGGTGTGGGTCAAGGCTTCAGGAAGAGGGTAGAGAAACTCCCTGAAATATGAGGAATAGAAAATATAATTTGTCACCACCCATTTGTATATAATTTTATAGTTTATGAAGGAATTTTACAATCTGAAAATGAATTCCCTGAAAACACAGACCTCATAAAATTCCTATTGAAAATACAGAAATGGAAATAGATAGTGGTAATAAAATGTACAACTTTGTTTTTATAACTTTTCATTAAACCACTTGTGCTGTTTTATGCATTTTTAAAAAATCATTGTATGTCATGAAATTAAGACAGTTGTATACTACTTGGTTATCTGCTACATTTCTCAAAATTGAAAATAAAAATTGTATATATCTTTGACTAATCATCAGAGAAATGCAAGTTAAAACCAGAGTGAGTATTGCCACACACCAGTTCGAATGGCTGTGGTTAAAAACAAAGATAAATGTTGGTGAGGATGTGGAGTGAAGGGAACCCTAGTACATTGTTGGTGGGAATGTAAATTAGTACAGCCATTATGGAAAACAGTATGGAAGTTCCTCAGAAAGCTAAAAGTAGAAATGCCATATAATCCAGCAATCCTACTCCTGGGTATATATCCAACAGAATTAAAATCAGTATGTTAAAGAGGTGTCTGCACTCCCATGTTTATTGAAGTGTTTTTCACAATAGCCAAGATGTGGAATCAGCCTAGATGTCCATCAATGGATAAATATGAGTGTGTTATGTGTACACAATGTAATACTATTCAGCATTAAAAAGGAAATTCTGTCATTTCCAACAACAGGAATAAACCTGGCTGACATTATGCTAAGTGAAATAAGCCAGATACGGAAAGACAAATACTACTTTATGTTATTTATATATAGAATCTAGAAATGTTCAGCTCAGAGAAGCGGAGTAGAATGGCAGAGACTGAAGTGGTGTGGTGCTGGAGGGGGGAAGGAGGAGATGTTGGTCAAAGGGGACAGTTGCAGTTAGATAAGAGGAATAAGTTTTCGAGGCCTATCGCACAGCATAATGGATATAATTAATAATGCATTGTATTGAAAATTGCTAAGAGAGTAGATTTTAAATGTTTGCATCTCAAAAAAATGATAAAGTATGTGAGGTAATGCATTTGTTAATTAGCTAGATTTAATCATCCACAATGTGTACCTATATCAAAATATTACCTTGTACTCCACAAATATATACAATTATAATTTGTCAATTGAAAATAAGATTTTAAAAAGACAAAAAAAAAAGATTGAATGTACCTTTTCAAACCCTCAAGAGGTACTATTTATGAATAGAGACGTTTCCTGAATATATTTTAAGAAAGTTATTTACTAAGGCTTGGCAGCTGCACAGAATCAGCCAGAATGTAAACTACGAATGGCAGGAGTTTTATCTGGTTTTGTCCACTGTTGTACCCCAGCTCCTGGTACAGTAGGCACTTAAATTTTTGTGGAATTAACTGGGTAATAATTTATAACTTTGGTGCTTCTGTGCTATAACAATCTCTATCTATCTTTAACCACCTATCTCTATTTATTCCTCTATCCTGGTCATCCAATCCTTTCCCTCTCCACCCTTCTTCCCTGTCTTTACTTTTTCTCTCTTCCCATCATTGCCTCATGTTATTAGAATCCTCATCACACACACACACACACACACACACACACACACACACACACACACAGAGAGAGATCTTGACAGTATTCTTTACATCTGCTGAACACATAAAAAATGTAAGTCATGCTGTCCTTAACCATTTTATAGAATTTGGATGTCTATAGGCCAGTTGATTTCAAGGTACATGTAACTGGTGATATTATAGAATATCTTCTGCAAAGAGTATAACATTATAGGCAAACATATCTATTATGAGCCAGAGAAAGTCAAGTTTGGTAAGATGATTGTATTAGTTCATTTTCATGCCGCCAATAAAGACATACCTGAGACTGGGTAATTTATAAAGAAAAAGAAGTTTAATGGACTCACAGTTCCACATGGCTGGGGAGGTCTCACAACCATGGTGGAAGGTGAAAGACAAGTCTTGCATAGCAGCAGACAAGAGAGAATGAGAGCCAAGCAAAAATCTTATAAAACCATCAGATCTTGTGAGACTTATTCACTACCGTGAGAACAGTATGGGGGAAAACGCCCCCATGATTCAATCGTCTCCCACCGGGTCCCTCCCACAACATGTGGGAATTATGGAGCTGCAATTCAAGATGAGGTTTAGGTGAGGACCCAGCCAAACCACATCAATGATGTTTCTTGTTATTCCTCTATAACTTGTACACTTGTCTAAGGTGTTTGCAGTGAATTGAATGTTAGGCAAAGCCATGGTGAGTTTTTGAATCTGAGGGTGCCCTAGGATAGCCTGTCGCTTACGTACAGTTTTCTGACAATGTGAGAAGTAAGCCAGGAAACACAGCTGTTACACATATATAATTTTTTTCTACCTAAAAACTCTCATTTCTACCCAAATGAGTACGATAAAATCTGAAGCAGAGTTGCTTCTTAATTTGTTTTTAATTTAGCAAACATTCCATTTAAAAACAACTTTTGAAACCTTTGTTTCCCTTATGTCACCCACTATTGAGTGGCAAGGAAAGGATTTAGAAATGGCATTTTCTAACCAATGCATGATAGCAGCTCTTCTCAACTGGTGTGGGTCACCTGTGTGCCAGGAGATACTGACCCTTCAGCTGTCAGGTAGATGGAGCCCTAGGGATGGTCATTTCTGACCAAAGAAGGCATGTTTGAAGCTCCTTAGGTAGTAGCTGGTGGCACAAGGTCCAATGGGGTGTCTTGCTATCCCTGCAGGTGACAAGCATGCTGAGCCACATCTAGCACTACCTCTCCTCAGTGAAGTGACTGGGGAAGCCAAATGGATGATCCACCACCTGGACAACTTCTTGAGCAACTGGTCTCAGAGAATGCCATTTTACCCATCGTGTTCCGACACTAGGGGAGCCACGGGAAGAGTTTGTGGCCAAGGAAAAGGCCCATAGACCGAGGTGAGCTGGTCTAAGGAAGCTTGGCCGGGTCCACTGGCAGTAGCAGCACCAGGGGGTGACTGCAAACTTATGTTTGCACAGATCATATGAAATTTTCATATGACATTTACCGTTGAAAGAAGAGCGAGGAGCATTCATTTTCTGAATATAATTTCAAAAGTTATAAATTTGGGAATGGTTAAAACATGAGGTTGTAATATTTTCGTCACTTCATTTTGTGAACAAAGTATCTCTTCGTGGGAGGTTAAGAATTTCATGTCGCTATTTCAAACTAACTTTAAAAAGATGTATTCACAAAATCAAGCTTAAGTTTCCCATTAACCCATTCAAAAAATGTAATTTTGAGGTTATATCTAAATTCAACATTTAATATCATCTCTAATAATTTGGGCTTTTATGATAGTTAAGTAATGTAAAGATAATTTCAGAAAGCCCCATATAAACATCCCCAAACTACTTGTAGCTTATCTTGGTGTACTATATAAACACTATAATTGTCTATTTTGCCATTATTTGAAAAAGATTGGGAAGTAATTCCTTATAGAGTACATTTAACCAGCAGATATAAAGTAATAATAATAATAAGAGGAATAGGCTGGGCACGGTGGCTCATGCCTGTAATCCCAGCACTTTGGGAGGTTGAGGCAGGCAGATTGCCTGAGGTCAGGTGTTCGAGACCAGCCTGGCCAAAATGGTGAAACCCTGTCTCTACTAAAAAATACAAAAATTAGCTGGGCGTGGTGGCAGGCACCTTAATCCCAGCTACTCGGGAGGCAGAGCCAGGAGAATCGTTTGAACCTGGGAGGCAGAGGTTGCAGTGAGCCGAGATCGAGCCGTTGCACTCAAGCCTCGGGGACAAGAGCAAGACTTCTCTCAAAAAAAAAAAAAAAAAAAAGAGGAATATGAGTACGAACAAAATCTCAGGTACTTTGTATCTTAGATCACTTTAGTGAAGCATTGGAGACCTCACTAGGACTCAGAGAGTTACCCATGCCAACAAACCAATGTTTTTGTGGTTGTTGAAAGGTTGAATTGTGGTCTGATAGATGTCTACAGCCACAGTGAGAAAGCTGTTCTGGGATTCATTCATCATCAGCAGCCAAATTGCAATTTGTTTTTTATTTCTCCATATCTCTCAATCCCTTTCCTGCTTCATTTATGCAATAGAGAAGACTGATACTGTAGGAAAATAGGCTAGTAAAATGAACAGCTCACACAAAAAGAAAGGGATATGGTTCTTACTTATATAAAAAAGGCACATGAACTCTCTCACAAGAGAAATGCAAATTAAAACTCTACTGAGATACAATTTCTCACCTATTACCCTGGGAAAAATTATAGAGGTATGACAACCTAGATGGTTGGGATATTGTTACAGCAAAAGACTGAAAACACCTCAAATTGTCGTCAAGAGACTGGTTGAATAAAATATAAACCACAATGGAATATTACAGAGATGTAAAAAAGGAATGGGTAATATCTATATATACTACTATGGGACAGTCTCCAAGATTTAAGTCCAAAAAGCAAGATAAAATGTGTTTAGAATGCTATTATTTATCAAAAAGAAAATGTATGTAAACCAAGTAAGGTTTATCCTTCCTTTGTTCTTTTTGTAATATAAAATATGTATATTTTGTAATATAATATCTTATTATATTTTGTAAAATAATATCTTATATTACAAAAAGAACAAAGGAAGGATAAATCTTATTTTAGTTAGCAATACGTGAAGAGGGGAACTCAGGTAGAAGGGACAGGGATGGGAGCTAGAGTTCTTTGACTGTATCTTCTACTTGTAGATTTGTCTTTTGAAACATACATGTTATTTAATATAATTATTTAAAAAGTTTAAAATTTTAAAAATTTCTAAATATTAAAAATAATTTTTTAAATGAACCTATTTTGTACCAGTTGGTGGCACAACCACACCAAGTGGAATTATTTCCAATGATTTTAAAACACAGAAATTTGTATAGTTTCAGTGGGGTATACAGAGAACAAAAAAGCTACTAAATATTTAGTTCTTTCAGCAATTATGTTATTAGTGGTAATAATGTTATTATTCTAGAGTGTTCTGTGACTCAAGTGTACTAAATCAAATGAACAGTTATGTAATACTCAAATTTTAGTGTCACCATTGTCATTGAAAACCAGGACACTTTGCATCAGATAAAAGAAAAATTCTGTAATTGTAAGACAGTTGAGGGTATGCAGAAACAATACAGTTCTGAATTTGCATTGAATGTATCAAAATTAATTTATATTTTATAGCTCTGTCCACTGAAAAGGCCTAGAAATGATCAGGAGTAATCATAATACCCCTAAGGAATGGATTCCGGTTCCTAAATCATATTTCCCACTAAAAGAAACATGTCTTAGAGATATGTATAATTCTGAGGTCTGAGGTAGGAATTGTATGAGATGAGCTTGGAATCTGTTATCATATGAGATGGCAATGAACTTATCAAAGACTATAATTGCATCAAAATGACTCAGGATCCAATCTAACATGGTCCTACCAACCAAAGATGTGACATCTATAAAGACAACAATACAATAGATGAAAACATATCATTTATGCTCATATTCATGAGTTCTAGTAATTTTGAAAATAACAACCACCACCTAAGACTTGTCATGAGAGGATGTCTTCTTAGAGCTGTGCTGCTGACTGCACCTCTTCCTACCCAGTCCTTTTCCTCCACAGGCATCGGAACTGCACTGCAGACCGAACTCTCCTCCTCTTCTATTCTCTTCCCTTAACCCTTCGTAAGCATTTCCCCCAATATCTCTCTTGCACTTCTAATCCCATTTTGGCATCTGTTTCTCTGAGGTCTAAAACTAACACACCCCCATCAGCACATTAGTAACAATCAGAACATCAGATATAGTAACTGTTTTCTTAGGCGATAGAAAAAGTCTGGCTTTGAGAGATAGGATAAGAAAACAAATTCCTGGAGAAGCTAAAGGAAGTCATCTTTTAATGGATTCAGGAAAGAGACCTTCAACTCTGGATAAGAACAGTGTTTCAGGAGATGTCCAGCCCTGAAGGAGTGAGTTTGAAAACAAAGAATTAGACTTATGAGTTCCAGAGAAGAGTGTTCTAGATGAGTTTCTGGCAGGGATTTGGGCCTAAGGTGGGAGGCACTTGAGAGATGTTGCAGAAAAGGAAAAGAAATCAAGGTTTGTCTCAGGTAGAGTTTCAGTCTCATTATAGACACTAAAAGTAAACTCTTTACTTCTCAGTCTGGTGTGGGACCTGTTCTAAATTTTACTTCTCCTCTGACTGCCTGCAATTGAGGAGCTTTACTCTCCACTATAGAGATAATAGTTTGTTCTTCCTTCTCATCTTCCACTGTCCTAACCCAGAGCCAACCTTGAACTAAGCCTATCATATAACACTTTGTTTGCATATCTGCTTTTTCAACCAGACTTTGAACTTCACTACATCTCCAGCCTTCAACATAGTACAAGGTATACAGCAGAAACCCAATAAAGAAACAAACATATACTAAATTGAAGGCAATACAGGACATTAAAATACATCGCTTTCAGGGGCAGAAGTCCTCAATATTCCTAGAAACATTTATCTAGTAAGAGAGTCTGAATAAAATGGGGGAGTCACACAGTCACGTACAGTAAACCCTTCTCTTGAAGGATCATAAATCAGAATAACAAAATAAAAGCTCTGAGAAGTCCTGTATTAAAAAATTTAAATTCATTTAGTCTGAAATTTTGCAGAGTTTACTGTATTCCTATTTACATGGAACTATGAATTTATAAGGTGGCAGTGAGTGGTGGTCTCTTTTTTGATATGGTAATTTTCAGGAATAAAATGGCTTTTATACTGACAATAGTGCTATTAATCTTCAACTTTCTCATAATGATCCTCTGACTGCTCTGTCTTATTTTATTGATCATAGTTTTTACAAAATCTTAATTTGTTCCTATTAACTATTCTCTTATAGATGTGTTTCGTAAAAGAACAGGGTATTATTTGCAAGATTAAATTTGTGTTAGAAGAATACCAAGATGGGAGCTGGGTCTTCTCAGTCAATTAAACAGGAGAGTTTCCAATCATCATTTAAAGTCACATGAGAAAGTGTTTTCATCTAGTATGTTGTAACAATTCTTTTTAGAAATCTATTACGTTTTTGTTAGTATTCAGGAAGGAAAATTAACTTGAGAACTTGACACACACACAAAATAGCTTCAGCACAATTTTTAATAACACACTGGTGTCTTTGAATATATGTACTTGTCATTCCTGTTTAACAGCACAATATTAGACAGAAGTGAGCCCATAACTATACTTTACTTCCAAGTAAACTAGTATAGCAATAATTTTTAATGGTTGAATAATATTTTATAAACAAGTGTTCACAAGAGTAAGTGTTCTATAATTTCTTCATCCACTCCCCTATTAGTGGGTATTAACATTTTGCTTGTTTTCTTGCCACTAAAACATGGTTGCAATAAACAGTTTTATACATCTGTTAGTGCTTATATTTCATTGGGACAGAGTCCCACAAGAGAGATGGCTAGGTCAAGAATATATTTATTTTTAATTTTAGTGTATTTTGCTAGATTGCTTTCCAAGAAGTTGTAACATATCACATTAACATTGAAAGTATGAAAGTAATCTTTATATTCATTTTGACAACAATGGGGTGTTGTAGCTCATTGTTAAATTTTACTAGCCTGATGGGTACAAAGTGATCTTTCTGGGTTTTTTGGCTTTATTTTTTTTTCAAACAAGCATTTCTTTTAAGTGTTTCTTGCCCATTTAGATTAACTCCTCTGTGGTTTATGTACTCCTAGGTTATGCTATCGGATATGCTATTGAGCTGTCATTTTCTTGTCAATTTTAATAGCTCCTTGTATGAGTATACATTAATGCTTTAACATCCACATTACAAATATTCTCCATCATTATAATCACCTCTTGATTTTATTTGTAACAGTTTTGTTATATAAAAGCTTTTAATTTTTTTTTTTTTTTGAGGCAGGATCTGGCTATGTCACCCAGGCAAGAGTGCAGTGGCATGATCTCGGCTCACTGCAGCCTCAACCTCCCAGGCTCAAGTGATCCTCCCATCTCAGCCTCCTGAGTAGCTGTGACCACAGGTGTGTGCCACCATGCTCAGCTAATTGTTTGTATTTTTTGTAAAGACAGGGTTTTGCCATATTGCCCAGGCTGGTTCCGAACTTCGGAGATCAAGTGATCCACCTCTTTGGTCTCCCAAAGAGTTGGATTAAAGGCACTGAGCCACTGTGCCTGGCAGAAGCTTTTAATTTTGAAATTGTTATATAATTCTGAGTTTTCAGTGTTGGTTAAAATTTTCTCTACTCCTAGATTTTCTTACAAAAGTATTCTCATTACAATTTTACATCTAAATTTTAATTGTTAATCTGAAAAAGGTATAATAATGCGTTATTTTTCTTGTGTTTCTAAGCTTTTGGACAGTTCATATTCAAAATTAAAGCCAGTGCTTTTAATCCAGAAATACATCACTTGAAAATGTGTTGGAAGATTTTTTTTAAGTAAAAACACTTACTAATATACTGCTTAAAAATATACTGCTTAAAATATACTAAATAAAAATATACTGCTTAAAAATATACTAAAACAATACAACTAATAAACTGCTTAAAGATAAGCTGATTCTGTGTTTCCTAACTCTCTGGACTTCTTGTAAGATGTAACCTGAAATACTCTCTCTAATAGAAGAATCGAATCGAATGTGGTCTATTTATTTTTAGTGTGATGAGAGGTATTCCTGTTTTGTTAGTTTGTTTGTTTGTTTGTTTTTTGTAATTTCAACCTTTATTTTAGATTCAGGGGATACATATGCCGGTTTGCTACATGGATATTGTGTGATGCTGAGGTTTGGAGTACAATTGAGCTCATCACCCAGGAAGTGACTATAGTACCCAGAAGTTTTTCAACCCTTGTCTGCCTCCTTCTCCCACCTCTAATATTCCCCAGAATCTATTGTTGCCTTTTTTATGTCCATGAGTACCCAATGTTTTGCTCCGTCTTGTAAATAAGAACATGTGGTATTTGGTTTTCTGTTCCTGAGTTAATTTGTCTAGGATAATGGCCTCAAGCTGCATCAATGTTGTTGCAAAAGACATGATTTCATTCTTTTTTATTGCTGTGTAGTATTCCATGATGTAGATGCAGCACATTTTCTTTACCCAGTCCACCACTGATGGGCATGTAGGTTGATTCTATGTCTTTGCTATTGTGAATAGTGCTGTGACGAAAATGTGAGTGCATCTGTCTTTTTGGTGGAACAATTTCTTTTCTTTTGGATATACACTCAGTAATGGGATTGCTGGGTTGAATAGTATAAATTGGTGCAAAAGTAATTGCATGTTTTGCCATTGAAAATCATGGCAAAACCCTCAATTACTTTTGCACCAACCTGATAGTTCCAAGTTCTTTGAGAAATCTCTGAACTGCTTTCCTCAGTGACTGAACTAGTGTGTATTCCCACCAGCAGTGTATAAGTACTACCTTCTCTACACAGCCTTACCAGTATCTATTATTTTTTGACTTTTTAGTAATAGCCATTCTGACCAGTGTGAGATGATATCTCATTGTGGTTTTAATTTGCATTTCTCTGATGATTAGTGATGTTGATTTCTTTTAATGCTTTTTGGCCACTTGTATGTCTTCTCTTGAGAAATGTTTGTTCATGTGATGAACTCTGATGGAATGCACTATTTATAAATTTCTCTATGTGTTTAATTAAATATTTTGTTTTTTTGCATTTGGGGGCTATGTTTTTGAACACACACAAGTTCAGCTTTGTTATATTTTCCTATGAATTTTTTGTTAGCAGTATATAAGTAATCCTTTTGCTTATATTTTATACATGGCATGCATATTTTATACATGATTGTGTTAGGCCATTCTAGCATTGCTATAAAAGAATACTCAAGATGGGGTAATTTGTAAAGAAAAGAGGTTTAATTGGCTCTCAGTTCTGCAGGCTGTACAAGAAGTGTGGCACCAGCATCTGCTTCTGGTAAGGGCCTCAGGGAGATTTTACTCATGACAGAAGGCAAAGGAGGAGCAGACACATTCACATGGCAAGGGCAGGAGTGAGAGAGGGAGCAAGGGCAACAACTGACTCTTGAGTGAACTCATTACTGTACGGATGGAACCAAGCCGTTCATGAAGGATCCACTCTCTTGACCCAAACACCTCCCACCAGGCCCCATCTCCAACACTGGGGATTACATTTCAACATGAGATTTGGATTATTCATGATGTATCCCTTCTTTCTTTACTTTAAGTTTATTACTTATCTTACATGATTTTCTCAAATCTTTATTGTTTATTATTTCTGTGGGTTGATCAAATTTGTATTCAATTTATGTTTTTAATGACCTTGTTTTAGAATTTCTGATGATGTAATTTTACATTTCATCAATGGCTGACTTTTCTTTCTTTGCTCACATGATCAATCAAAAATAACCCAAACATGTCCCCCTAAATTTCAGTTTACCATTTAATATGCTCTAATTTTTCCTTATTTTTCTGCCATCCCAATATCATAAGAATGTTAGAAAACTTTCACCATCCTTTTCCTATAACTTTTCTTCCTACCCCCATGAGAACTTTAGAATGTTTTACTTCATCTTCTCTTTGTCCACTCCACCCTAACTTACATCAAGAATTTAGGGAGTTGTGCCATATTTTTATCCTCTGTAACAGTTTTTTCAGATAGGTATTATATGTTACCCGAAGATTACATATAATTTGCCAAGAAAAACATTGTTGTCTGGTGTTTTTCAGGACTATTTCTTTCTCTTTTCTTTGTTAATGATAAGTGGATTTAAAAATACAAATTTAGTTTTTTAAAGTTAAATTAATATTTTTCCAATAAATTATTTAAGTGTTATCTCAGTATTAAAATTTACCAAAGATAAAATTATTCATGTATTCTTCTGTGGTTAAAAAAATCTCTATTATAAATATAATGCCCACTTTTCACCAATCACTTTTATCAGAGGTTTGTTCATCTTCGTAGACAACGTTTGGGGTTTGCATTTGTTGGCTGGTCCTATATATTTTGTTTTGTTTACTTTCTTTTTCTCTTGTCAATATTTTCTTTCTCCTACATTTAGGTTTGTTTTGTTTCTTAACTATGAGTTGTTGATTACTCATTGTTTTCATCCTTTCTTTTCATGTTAGTATTTAACATTATACCTTTTACTATGGACAGTTTTGTAGCTGCAGGTTACATTTTTTTAATATAGTATGGTCATCATTGTTATGTTCTAGTTTCTAATGTACGTTTTAATTTTTTCTTAGAGTCAAAATAATCTGGAAGAGGGTTTTGATACTGATATATATTAAATTAATATATATAAATGATTATATTATTTGATAAAACTTACTGTGAATTATTAAGTGTTCAATATTTATATATATTCCATGTGTGTTTGTAAAGACTGTGTACCCTCAATTACTGGGTGCAGAGTTGTGCATCTGTTCATTAGATAAAGCTTATAAATCATATTTTTCAAATAATATAGGTTCATATCAATTAATTACTGGAAGAGGTAGGCTAAAATGTCCAACTCTGATGGAATTTCTCTATGTGTTTAAATATTTTGTTTTTGCATTTGGGGGCTATGTTTTTAAGCTCATACAAGTTCATCTTTGTCGTATTTTCCTATAAATTTTTCCTGTTAGCAATATATAAGTAATCCTTTTGCTTATCATTATGCTGCTGGAATGTATATTTTATTAATAAGGCTTTATTTATTTATTTATTTATTTTTGAGACAGAGCCTCACTCTGTCACCCAGGCTAGAGTGCAGTGGCACGATCTCAGCTCACTGCAAGCTCCACCTCCCGGGTTCACGCCATTCTCCCACCTCAGCCTCCCAAGTAGCTGGGACTACAGGTGCCTGCCACCACGCCTGGCTAATTTTTTTTGTATTTTTAGTAGAGACGGGGTTTCACCATATTAGCCAGGATGGTCTCGATCTCCTGACCCCATGATCTGCCTGCCTTGGCCTCCCAAAGTGTTGGGATTACAGGTGTGAGCCACTGCACCCGGCCAATAAGGCTTCAATAGCTTTGCTTGGTAGTCTTTTTTTTAGTCTATCATTCTCTATCTCTTTATTATATTCAATGTATTTTGATGTGTCTCTTATAAACATTGCAAGGATTTGTTAAAAATCTTATCAAACAGGAATGACTTTCACTTTTACCCATACAAAACATAAAGCTAAAAGATTGGACAAAATATGTGAAGCAATGATTTCCAGACAGTGGACTTTGGACATTGACAGTGCAAGCCTTTAATCCCTAACAGAAGAGAATCTCACGAGATGACTCTCACTTCATGCTAGCTCTGTGCCTGGAGAAAATTTTCTGAGCACAAAGAGGTAGAATGCAACCAGAAAGAAAACTGTGGCCCTACTGAACTGAGGAAGAAGAGGTCAGAGTTCTGGAATCAGAAAGAGCAAGTAGGAAGGGTGCTGCACCTAAGGACTCTAGATCCTTGGTTTGGGACTGGGCCTCACACATGTAATGTGAGGCTCTTGAGACTGAGGAGGACTGCTGTTCGGTCAGGATCAGAAGGAATATGCTAGAGTTCAAGCCACCATGCAAGATCCGTGAGCAACTCCTTAGGTGAATTGTGAAAGACAGCCAGGTATACTCTTTGCTATTGCAAATGGTCACACTTTCACTTCTATCCAAGACTTACTGTTGATTTTACCTTTCCCCTCTGTTTTCATTATGCTTGTGGGTTTTTTCCTGAACCTTTTTCACTCTGTCAAAATGTGTGCCAGGGCTCTCTGGGACCATTATCCAAATAAAACATAAAAATATTTCTTTGCCAATTTTTCTTAAAAGGAATTGACCTGTAGTGTCATTAAAAATATAAAATTGATTTGAGGGTAGATATAAGACCCAAATATCATTAACCAGGTATTTAAATAGGAATTATTTAACTAGATAAACTCCTTGTCAATGCATATTGTCAAGTTTTAAAAAATGTTACTCAGAGACTGATGCAATCAACTCGCTAGTTCTGGAATAGGGTAAAGACTAGAGGCAAAGAACAGTTCATGAGAATTAATAGTGTAGGTAGCCATCTACAAAATGTTACTGACTGGCCTGCCATAGGCTCTGTCATAATGTGGCCGACTGCCACGGTTACTACTTGAGACGGTCATTATAGCAGTTACTGTTGTTACTGCCTGAGACCGTCATTACAAACTGAACGAAGGGACGAACTTAGAAATTATAACAAAAAACAAAAGAAACTGTTTTAAAGGAAGGGAAGCCGGGGAAGAAGAAGAGAGCTCCCCACTTCCAGTGAGCAAAGGCACCCCTGAGCTTCCACAGCCCCTCCTATTTATTGGGTAACAAAAGCGAGGAGAAGGAGGTAACAACTGGTCAGCTGCTTAATTGATCACACGTTCATATTGTTACTAACAGGCTTCAGATGTACCTAATCACAAGAAACACTGCGCTTGGGGCATGACTGCCCTCAGCATTCCTTCTGGATGGCAGATGCAGTTTTGTCAGTTTGTCACAATTCTGCATTTATGAGAAACAGTTTTGTTGCTTACTCATATAGCCTCCAGTGGTATACTGAGTTGATCACGACCCTCATTCTTTCGGCCTGTAACATCATAGGACCAAGATTTATGCTTAGAAAATTCCTTCCAGTCTTGACGTCTACAGACATCATGTTCTTCATGCCTCTGGAAATTCTTTTTTTTTTTTTTTTTTTTTTTTTGAGACAGAGTCTCGCTCTGTCGCCCAGGCTGGAGTGCAGTGGCATGATCTCAGCTCATTGTAAGCTCTGCCTCCCGGGTTTACGCCATTCTTCTGCCTCAGCCTCCCGACTAGCTGGGACTACGGGCGTCCACCACCATGCCTGGTTAATTTTTTGTATTTTTAGTAGAGACGGGGTTTCACCGTATTAGCCAGGATGGTCTCGATCTCCTGACCTCGTGATCCACCTGCCTCAGCCTCCCAAAGTGCTAGGATTATAGGCGTGAGCCACCGCGCCTGGCCTGGAAGTTCTTTTTCTCTGTTTTTTTGGAGACAGAGTCTCATTCTGTCCTCCAGGCTGGAGTGCAGTGGTGCAATCTCGGCTCACTGCAACCTCTGCCTTCCAGGTTCAAGCGATTCTCACGCCTCAGCCTCCTGAGTAGCTGGGACTATAGGCGTGTGCCACCAGGACCCGCTAATTTTTAGCAGAGACAGGGTTTCACCATGTGGGCCAGGCTGATCTCGAACTCCTGCCCTCAAATGATCTGCCTGCCTCGACCTCCCAAAGTGCTGGGATTACAGGTGTGAGCCACCACGCCCAGCCAAAATGGGATGCCATGTTGCATAGGCCAGGAAATGAACCTGGACCTCCTGCATGGCAGGTGAAAATTCTACCACTGAATCACCCATGCACCTATGGAAGTTCTTTCACAATACCTCTTGAAGGGGTAGTATTTAAGTGGGATCAGCTCTTTCCACAGGAATAATCAATAATTTCAGTGGTTCTCTTAAGGTCCAAGGGGCTTCCATCTATAGTCTGATTTGATTTGGCAACATCAGATGTGTTGAATGGCACTGAGTAGACACTCACATCTTACCACTTGTGCTATGAAGCAACAGTGATTCCGAGATACCAGGTGACTTTTTTTTTTTTTTGGCTTGTAAGCACCAGTGTCTTACTCTTTCCACTTCTCCTTGCTGCTTTCCTAGCAACAGTTCCCAGCAGCAAGAGCTTCTGTGAGCTTTACTATTTGGTCAGGCACTAGTCTGTAGAAGAGAGGTGGGGCAGATCAGAGCCAAAGTCCCTAGCTCAAAAATTTCTCTTCAACATTATTTTGGGGTGGCACCAAGAATGATAGGCGTTCCCAAAGCCACATTTTGCTATAGCTTCTCCTCTGCTCTTCCTATGGAGTTTTCATAGTGAACCTGACCTCATTTACTCCCTTTTTTTCCATCCTCAGGCTTCCTTCTCACTCCTCTCCTCGGGCATACAGTAACCCCTACTCTATCACTTTACTCATTACCCATTTACACGAGAACTGCACTGACCAACATGGTAGCCACTAGCCACATGCAACGATTTAAATTTAAATGAGTTAAAACGAAATTTAAAATTCAGTCACTCGGTTGTTCTAGCCCCATTTCAAGTGCTCAATAGACACATGAGGCTAGTGGACTAAGAAAGTAGACGCACAAATATAGAACATTTCCATCATCACAGAAGCTTCTATTTGTTGAACAGAGTTGCACTAAAGTATAAATGACTAATAATAGCTTAAAATACTTTTCCTTCTGGGAGAGCTATATTTAACTGAATTCTTTTACTAAATGGATCCAGCTCTGATATTAGCCTTTGTTTAAGAGAAGGTTTATAAGCATCCAGCCTCTCCGCTGCCCCAGAAAGCTTAACACCTAGACCAGAGGTGCTCAGATCTATTTGCACATAGGATCACCTGGGAAACGCAATCAGACTCTCAGAAGGGAGCGGGGCAGGACACTTTAGTTTTTAAAGTCCAGGTGATTCTAATATTCAGTTGACATTGAGAACCACAGACCTAAGCTGTTACTTGGGATGGCCAGGTCTCTGATGGTGATAATTTTGCTTTAGGTGTAAAGTAATCCATCAGCCTGGCTTGTTACTTCCCAGAGCCACATTTACTATTGCATTCTGATTTTTGCTTGGGCTCCTTTGGCCCCAGAAACTTGCTTTGCTTTTCTTTAACTCGCAGCAATTGATTTTGTTAGAGTTTCTGTCTAACTGACTAATATATTTAATACTTAGTAATACTGATAAGGAGGAAGCCTCAATGATGCAGGTAATAGAGTGATAAGCAAATTTAAGGCGTAAGGCAGGAAATCATTGGTTATTTGCTTTCTGCTCTTCAAATAACCACATTCATTTCCTATTAGCCAAACTAAAAATAACAGAGTAAAGAGAAAGAATATTTTTCATATAGTTGTCAGAGGCCCGCAGAACCCAGAGCCAAGAACAATCACCGCAGACCATGCAGTGGAAGGCACTACTTTACTTACCTAGAGGAAGGAGGCACTAGGATTCAAGACACACACAGCTGTCTAGAGGCAGGACTACACAGCTTGGTCACTCCCAGCAGAACTCTATCCAGTCTGTGCTCCTGTCTCCCTCTGGTTCATTTAAAGCATCAATGTAACTACTCAAAATTCATATAACAAAGCAATATGTTCATTCAAAGCAGTATGTAACTATCAGAACAGCTTAAACCAAAAGCTATTGGGTTAGGAAAAAATGAGTTAGGGAAAATGGATTGGGGGAACGGGTTAGGGAAAAAACCACGAGACAAACCCAAGTTTTTTTGGTCCTGTTTTTTTTGTTTGTTTGTTTGTTTTTGAGACAGGGTCTTGCTCTGTTGCAGTGGCGCAATCATGGTTCACTGCAGCTTTGACTTCCTGGGCTCAAGTGATCCTCCCACCTCAGCCTCCTGAATAGCTGGGACTACAGGCATATGTCACCACACCCAGCTCATTTTTAAAATTATTTTTTTAGAGATGGGGTCTTGCTATGCTGTCCAGACTGGTCTGGAACAATGAGTTCAAGCAATCCTCACGACTTAGCTTCCCAAGGTGCTGGGATTACGGGTGTGAGCCACCATGCCTGGCCAGTCCTAAATGTTATACATTTTGTGGAACTCTCTTTAAGGATAGAAAAAAACATTAGGTATGAAACAAATATTTATAAAAGGTTACAAAACAAATAACATTACAGTTTTCAAAGACTTTCTCCAAATCAGAAAATCCAGAAAAAATATTTTATTTATTAACTGCTGATACATCTTATACTACTTCTACTGTAATTTGTGCTGCACGTAACAACATTTTTTTTTTGTAGAGATGGGGTTCTCACTATGTTGCCTAGGCTGGTCTTGAACTCCTGACCTCAAGCAATCTTCTTACCTCAGTCTCCTAAAGGAATTACAGGTGTGAGCTACTGTGCCTGGCCTATAACAACTTTTATATCACTATTTTGGCAAGAATAGTATGCAAATTCTGTCTTTCCACCATTGTGAGGGGTTAATATTATTAGCCAATATTTATAGTTACTGATAGTTTAGAAAACTTTCAGCTTCAAACTCCATTATTGATAATGCCATATGTATTTTTAGAATCTTCATCAAATCTAAAAAAAACTCTAGTTCCTTTTTTATATATAAGCTGTAAGATTTCTGGCATTTCAAGTTTTCTTGTCTATTGACTTATTTTAAATGCTAACGCCCACTAACCAGTGTGACGCTGATGTTTTTTATGGTGAATTAGGAGTGTATGTTATCTTTGCTAATGTCAGATTTCGTGCCATGTCAGCAAGAAAGTTAATAAACGCCTAAGCAAGAGCAAAGAGCATGGCCCAGCAAAGGAAGAAGTGCCCTTTGGCTGGAGCATGGTGTAAAGGGAGATCTAGAGGGGACATAACCTAGAAAGGTGTGTTAAAGCCAGGTCGGACACGAGTTGTAGTGCCAAATGCTGTTGGTGGTTGAGGATAGACTATCATGCCTCTCAGTTAAAGAAAGAATTAAGAAAACTGTTTATGGATTACTGAACACATGAAAGGAGTGTAGGGTACAGAGAATTTTCAATAGAGTCAGACAAACCTCTGGATTCTGTCTCTACCCTCACTAGCATGTGAGGCCTCCCCAACAACCAGTCATGGGAGTGACTGCAAGCTACATAAAGAGATCTCACTAAATCCAAAGTGAATGTGTCATCAACATCAACTCAACTAGCCCTTAGCTGTATTTCAAAAATGACATGTTTACTCCAACTCTACCTGGCAAGGGGGGAAACATGAGGGATCTGAAGTTGGATCAAAAAGGAGAATATTCTGAACTAATTGGATAAAATGTCTTACTTTTGCAAATTTTACAAGTACATATGGCCATATGAAGATACTACTGGGACCCCACCTAGAGTCTTGGTGTGGCACAGGCAAAGGAGAAGTCCCAAAGCTTAAGCATCAATAACATCAATGTAAATTCTCTGCTTGGAGCCAGATGCCTGGGTTTGAAACTTAGCTGTGTAACTGTGCAGAAGTTACCTAATCTTTCTGGGCCTCAGTTTCCTCATTTGTGAAGTACTAACAATAGTATCTACCTCATAGGGTGGTTGAGAGGATTGATTTATATATGTAAATAGCTAATAACAGTGCTTAGCACATATTAAAGGCTTTTTATCTTAGAACAAGCTTGTCCAATTCACCTCACGTCTCAAAGGCTGCATGCGGCCCAGGATGGATTTGAATGCAGCCCCACACAAATTTGTAAACTTTTTTTTTTTTTGAGACTGAGTCTCACTCTGTCACTCAGGCTGGAGTGCAGTGGCACCATCTCAGCTCATTGCAAGCTCCGCCTCCCGGGTTCATGCCATTCTCCTGCCTCAGCCTCCTGAGTAGCTGGGACTACAGGTGCTCACCACCACGCCTGGCTAATTTTTTGTATTTTTAGTATAGACGGGGTTTCACCGTGTTAGCCAGGATGGTCTCGATCTCCTGACCTCATGATCCTCCCACCTCGGCCTCCCAAAGTGCTGGGATTACAGGCATGAGCCACCGTGCCTGGCCAAATTTGTAAACTTTCTTAAAACACTATGAGTTTTTTTGTGATTTTTTTTTTTTTTTTTAGCTCATCAGCTGTTGTTAGTGTTAGTGTATTTCATGTGTGGTTCAAGACAATTCTTCTTCTTCCAATGTGGACCAGGGAAGCCAAAAGATTGGACACCCCTGTTTAAGAAGTATATTAACAATAGATCACATTTGTATGGTATTCTTCATTATAATATGATTCATCTGATCCTTTCAATATTTCCACAGTCTGGTTATCCTTGTTTCTATTCTTCAGATGAGAAAATCCAGGTCACAGGAGTTTAAGCAATTTGCCTCCCACTGTGTTTTAGATGTCTCTCCTTAGAGCTTTTTTGCCTGCCTCTCTTATTGCACAAATGATATGGCGACATGACAACATACGTATTTGTCCCCATCCTCCACTCAGGAATAATCACTGATGGAAAGGCCAGGGTCTTGTCTGACTTCAAATCCCCAGGGCCTGTTAGTGGGCAATCAAAGCAAATGTATGCTTTATATGCCTATATTTCTTTTTTCTTTTCTTTCTTTCTTTTTTTTTTTTTTTTTTTTTTGAGACGGAGTTTCACTCTTGTTTCCCAGGCTGGAGTGCAGTGTTGCGATCTTGGCTCACTGCAACCTTCATGTCCCGGGTGCAAGCGATTCTCCTGCCTCAGCCTCCCAAGTAGCTGGAATTACAGGCACCCGCCACCATGCCCGGCTAATTTTTTGAATTTTTAGTAGAGATGAGGTTTCGCCATGTTGGTCAGGCTGCTGTCAAACTCCTGACCCCAGGTGATCCATCTGCCTCAGCCTCCCAAAGTGCTGGGATTACAGACATGAGCCACCACGCCCGGCCATATGCCTATATTTCTTAAAGGACTAGTCCTTATTTCTACCACCTGACTTCATCTATAAACTCCGTGGATGTGTCTTTCAAGGTATAGAAATATGATCTTCTCTAGACATGCTAATGGTAATAATTGTTTGAAATTCCCATTCTTTTCTTAAAGAATGAGGCCCTCTTTTACATTATGGGGAAAACATGTACATTTTCTGACTATATTAAAGCATGGGAACTACTTGAAATGGGGAATTAAAAAACAGTTCTTCCTTTCAACACAAGCCAGTGGAGAGAAACAGAGCATGCTGGAACTAAAGTCATCCCCACATCTTTTGTTGGCCTTCTTCTAATAACTGGAATTTCCTTTGGAAATCATTTATTATAGGTATCTACTATTCTTAGAGCACACTTATTGGCTGTAATTTCTTGCCAGCTTGCAAGTTATTTGTAATGTTTTCCACCATCAAGAATCCCTGTTGTGGTTTATTTTGAATGGACTGATTGCCTAGTTCCACTGGAAAACTTCTATGATGGAATTTATAGCTACTTGATTATGTCTTTCCACATGTTTTATGTATTTAAAGCTCCTGGGGATTAGTGCATAGAAAACACGTGGATTTGGTTTGGGCTCTGATTTTTACTCATTTTCTCTGCAGGATTCCTTCAACCTACACAGTGACCAACCTCATCTCCTCCAAATTTCAGGTTGTGCTGCAGCCTAATCAATCAGCAATCTGAATAAAAATAAAACTGGAAAGTTATCCTTTCCAATCACCAACTTTCTCAGTTCACCTTAATAATCTTTTGTAGATGCTACAAAGCTGTGGTATCTCAGCTGTGTGAGAAAGCAAAACAAAACAAATTGAACTGGGCTTTT
This sequence comes from Homo sapiens, assembly GCF_000001405.40. Lineage (NCBI taxonomy): Eukaryota > Metazoa > Chordata > Mammalia > Primates > Hominidae > Homo > Homo sapiens. The sequence goes on along the minus strand of NC_000006.12, from coordinate 142,251,745 downwards.
TTAAGAGCCCAGCAGATTAGAATTTAAATGTGAAGATTGTCTTTTTTTTTTAAACACACTATCATCCTATTGAGAAATGATTCCAGATTTACAAACTGAATAATAATGAAATTATATAACTGCTTTTCAAACTAAGAAAACTAGGTTTGCAGACCCTAAAATTGAGCTACTATTTGCTCCAGCATTCCCATTATTGAGTATATACCCAAAGCGAAATAAATAGTTCTATCAAAAAGACACATGCACTCAAATGTTCATCAGAGCGCTATTCACGATAGGAAAGACATGGAATCAACCTAGGTGCCCAACAACAGTGGATTGGGTAAAGAAAACGTGGTATATATACACCATGGAATACTAGACAGCCATAAAAAAGAAAGAAATTATGTCCTTTGCATTGACGTGGATGCAGCTGGAGCCCATTAACCTAAGCAAATTAATGCAAAAACAGAAAGGCAAATAACTACATGTTTCACTTATGAGTGGGAGCTAAATATTGATTACACGTGGACATAAAGATGGGAACAACAGATACTGAGGACTACTGGGAGGAGGACATGGGCTGAAAAACTATTGGGCATTATGCTCACTACCTGGGTGACAGGATCATTTGTACCCCAAATCTCTGCATCATGCAATACACTCATGTAACAAACCTGCACAAACCTGAATCCAAAATAGAAGTTGCAAAAAATAAATAATAAAATTTGATTTTCTCTTTAGATCTTTCTGGTGAAAAATCCAGGTAATCAGAGTTGTCCTTGGATGAAGACATCCCCAAAATGTGTTTGATAGTTCTTCAAGGAGCAGACCTCTCCCCCTCGGTCTTTACTATTTTATTTTATATTTTATTTTATTTTATTTTTTGAGACAGTTTCACTCTGTCACCCAGGCTGGAGTACAGTGCTGTGATCCTGGCTCATTGCCACGTCTGCCTCCTGGGTTCAAACAATTCTCGTGCCTCAGCCTCCCAACATAGCTGGGACTACAGGCATGCACCACCATGCCCAGCTAATTTGTATAATTTTAGTAGAGATGGAGTTTTACCATGTTGGCCAGGCTGGTCTCGAACTCCTGACCTCAAGCAATCCACCTGCCTTGGCCTCCCAAAGTGCTGGGATCACGGGTGTGAGCCACGGCACCCGGCCGTTCTTTACTAATTTATTTTTACCTCCATGTAAATTTAAGAACTTTTTTTACTTATCTGATATTTAACACTGAGCATTGAAAGAAACTAAGACTTTTGAGCACGTGAAAACCACTGACTGAAAATGGAAAGTTAACATGTGAAATGGAAATTAGCAAGGTAACAGCAGTAGCAAAAAAGATATAAATAATAATGGTTTCAACACTCGTTATGTCTTCACATTTTTTGAATCCTTACTAGTCTTCACTGATCCATATAAACTCCTGGAGAAGCCTAGAAATAAAGGAGAGGACGACTCTACTCACACTCTTTCTTCCACTCCAATAATGGGAGACAGAGAAGAAAAGGAAAGAGAAAAATACCTTAGATAATTAGTCACAAAGGAATTGACCATTTTTTTCAGAGAAGATGAATTTCAAGGCCCCATTTCCTAGAAATTTTTTAAAAAGGAAACTTTGTTCCTTTTTAATTAATGGAAAGTTACAGCCACTTAAGGAACTTAAAGTTTAGGATGTATCATTTGGGAGAACTTTAATGAGTAGGAATGTCTTACTCATTCTTCCATGAGCTCGCTATTAATAGCTGTAATTCAAGTGCATCATAAAGGTTTAAAGGATGCTCATCCACCGGGAGATAGGTCCTATTTTTCTTGTACACTGAAACAGGTAATTAACAACCTGGAGGACATGGGGCAAAAGATACAAAACATTATTTGAAGTTTTTAATTTTTATTAATCTGCCTATCCTAGCATTCTCAACCTTTTTCATTTTCTTCAGTCATCCATCATTAGTAATTCTGAACTCCTTGCAGAACAGCTGACGGTCTCTTAGGAAGGATCTTATAGGAAGGAGAATAGAGTTAGTAGAACCAGACTTTGAATATCGTCTTTTTGGGACAACAAAGTGTCCCAAGTACCAGACCACTTTGTGCAGCTTCTGATAACCTGAGCAGAAGGAAACAACTGGAACCTTGAGCTCATTTAAAGTCGTGATAAATTATCTTTACAAAGGAGGGCCAACAAAAGAAAAAACAAGCCTATAAACTTTCCTCAGTCAGAATGTAAAGTGATGCAAGACTCACCTCAACCACTTCTACGGTATCAATTAGCTGAGGGAGGATAATATAGACCTGTTTTCAAACGGTGGTGAAAAGTCAGCTCACTCCCATGGCCAGAGTTCATATTCTCTAACTCTCAGGTATTTCATTTAGTTTAGTTCAATAAGTTTACTGAAGGCCAATGATGTATTGGTAACTGGAGGTGATACAATAAATAAGGTACAATTCTTTTCTGCTAAGAGCTTGGCAATTGATCACCTGATGAGCTGAATCATGAATTCTTCCCAACATGACTGTCAATGAACCATGTTCACTTGGAGCCTTTTGCTTCTGAATGTGAAATGGATTCAGTTTCTTACTTGACTAATTGTATGTCTTATTCCTCTATTTGGGTTATTTGTTGTCTGGGGGTGGGGCAGTCATCGAATGTTTATTCTAAGTACGTGTGTTCATTTATTGTCATTTTGTGTAAGCATATTTTCTTTTCATGCCTCTCATCCTTAAGATTTTATCCCTGGCTTTTTCCAAATCTTATTCTGCTGGCAATTTCTTTCTCCCTTTCTCTTGGGTTTTGACATATGTCTCTCTTTCTCTCTTTTTGTTGTTAACAGTAAACGTATTTGAAGGCAGGAGGGCCTAATTGCAAAGATAAAATTAAGGTTAAAAAAATTAAAATATTTAACAGACATTACATACAAATTAAATGAAATATTTTGTGGATAGAATGAGGTGGGGAGATTTTGATAGTTCACCTTCATCTGTAAGGATTTATCTCTTTTAGAAAATCTGAAGTTTGCTTCATATTTAGAAAATGTAAGCATGTTTAATTGTTGGAACCATTCATTTTTGCTATCTTTCTAACCTCCTGCTTTTATTTTTAATTTTAGAGTCACACACACACACACTTACACTACACATGCACAACATTGTTGTATAAAGGAAACATCTCTTCAATGCCTGTGAAATAAAATACCAATTCTGAGTCCACCTCTTCAACATTTCTCTCCCTTCCTCCCTGACCCTGTCTGCTTCCACTTGTTTTCTTACAACTCTGTGCTTCCGCTGACACCCATGTGCATGATCTTTCCCCACAGCTACACTTTTCTGAAGCCTACCTTGCCTTTAATGTCGATCTCTTTCATGGATTGTATGAAACATTTTGACATTTAAGCAGAATAATAATAATAATAATGGCAACCATTTGCCTTGCTCTGCACTAGACACCATGATGCATTATCTTATTTTGTCCTCCTGAGAGCCTTATAAGGGCGAGGAAATATAGGTTTAAAAACTTGCTCAAATTCACAAACTAGCAAATGTAGAGGTAGAATTGGATCTAAGGTTTACAGCACCCCAAGTTGCACGTTCCAAACCTGAAGAAAGAATCTCTGAAAGAAACTGAAGGTGTAAAGACTTCTAGGTGAGAAGTAAGGGGAGAATTAATGGAAACTGGGAGGAGGGAAAAGTGGTTGGAAAAGTATAGTGATGGAATTGACAATACTTGATATTTAATTGAATATGAAATCAGAGAAAGCAGTTAAACAAAATGTCATTGTTACTTGCCTTGGTAACTAGGACAATGGGAGTTCCGTCCAAAGCCATCACCTTCATTGCTGGAATCTGCGCCAAGGAGAATAAAGACATTTATTTTGGGATAATATAATAGCTTAAGTATAACCTATTGCATTATTCCTCTGAGTAATGAAGGTTTGTCCCTGGCAGCCCTTCTGCTGTGAAGATTCAGACTTAAGCCTGATCTTATTTCCAAGGGCAGCAGAGGGCAGACACTGCCAAGACCAAAGAAATCAATGTTCTGTTTTGAATTTCAAAATAGGTATTTTTGAAGTCTATGGTGAGATGATAATCTCAAAAGAAGTTTTTTTTTATTATTTGTAAGAGCCTGGCTTAATGAGCAATAAAAGGGTTTTTCCAGAATTTCCAAATCTAGGCTTTGAATATTAAGTCATATACAGAGGACTAAAGCACGACCTCCACAACAGAGGTTGCTGTTGTGGAGGTTGCTCAAGCAGTCCTCCCACCTTAGCCTCTCAAGTAGCTGGGACTTACAGGTGCCTGTTGCCACAACTGGCTAAGTTTTGTATTTTTTGTAAAGGTGGGGTTTCACCACGATGCCCAGGCTGCTCTCAAATTCCTTGGTTCAAATGATTCTCCTTCCTAGGCCTCCCCAAATGCATGAAGATTTAATATAACTACAGAGTAGGGAAGGATATGGCTATGACATAAGTGAGAGCAATTCCAGTCCTTTCTATGTCTGAGGGGAGGAATCGAGTCATGGGGAGAGGAGAATGAGAACAAGTCGAGTCTAGGGGGAGAGGAGAATGAGAACAAGGACAGAGAGAGCACGTGAGCACAGTGAAGCATGAAGACAAGAAAGAAAGCTGACCAATTTGGGGAATCTAGTCCATGCTCCGCTGCTCTCTTACAAAGGTGAAGAGGGACTTACTGATGACAGTCACAGTGGTAGAAGAACCCCAATAGCTTTGGAATAACCCCAAAGCCAGAGGATTTTCTCCTCCTTTCCTATGGCGTGGCCCCTTCAGGAACGTTTGCATTCAGCATCATTCTAGAGCAACATGGCAACCTGGAAATACAGCAGTGGATGAAATCATAATTGCCCATGTTAAAGAAGAGGTTTAAGTATATGGGCCTGAGATACTATTCTTGGTTTCCAGGGCCTATATTTGGAGTGCAAGGGTTCTGGAAGTTTCTGTATGTCCTGGAAGTAATGTGGATGTGGTAAGAGAACTGGAAAAGAGCAGAGATCAGGAAGCAGAGGCTGAAGAGTGAGAAGAACACCAGCACTAGAGGCCACCACTGGGAGGTCAGCAGGGGAGAAGTACAGAACCTGAGAGAACAGATGAATTCAGCAGTGCTTCATGGTATGAACACAGGCTCAGCATGTTTGTGACCAACTGGGTCCATCCAGACCACAGCAGGGGCCACCAGGACAGGGGAGGGTGGCAGACCAGGTGCTACTTCATGCAACAGGTCACTGAGCCTGCTTGAGACATTATATCTGAGAAGACAAGTAGAAAGAAGAAAAAGGTGAAGACTGTGTATGTATTTAATAGGCACTTATTTAACCAGGGAGATGAGTGTAGAATTTAATTGGAGAAACTAATGAATGTAAAATGGCAAGCAAAAGAGGCAGAAGGCCCTGTGAGGTGGTCCTAATGAGTCAGTCCAGTTGAGTTATAGAGAAATAAATTTACCATTTTCTGAATCAGAATCAGAGTGGGTCCACTTTGACCTCTCCACTCTGGATTGCCTCTAATCAACTCTGTATTTCATGGTATGGTACCCAGATTTTTGTTGTTAACAATAGGGACTCTCTGGAAGTTTTCTATTTTAACTATTTTTTTTTATTGAGGTGTAATTTAACTTAGATGTTAAATTTCAGAATTAATAAAACTTCATTCACTAACATCTGTATGCCTTATAAACGTGGATGCTTGGGGCAAAGCCCCACTTGCTCCATCATAATTACATGGGCAGAAATACGGAACATAAGACGAGTAAAAAGGCTGGGAAGGCAACAAGATAAATTTTTTAAAAATAAAATTTTTATTTTAGAATAGTTTTCGAGTTACAGAAAAATTCTAATGGTAGCACAGAAAGCTTTCTTATACCCTACACCCAGTTCCTTTGTTATTAAAGTCTTATATTAGTGTGGTGCATTTCTTACAATTAATGAACCAGTATTAATACATTGTAATTAGCTGAAGTTCATACTTTACTCATATTGTCTTAATTTTTATTTAGCATCCCTCTTTTTCTGTTCCGGAATCCCACCTAGGATAGTGGGTTTTGTTTAATTGCCACGTCGCCTTAGTTTCCTCTCAGCTGTGACAGTTTCTCAGACTTTCCTTGTTTTTGATGACCTTGTTAGTGTTGAGGAGTACTGGTCAGGTATTTTGTAGAAAGTCCTTTGATTGGAATTTGTCTCATATTTTTCTCATGATTAGTCTAGGTATGGGTTTCCGGAGATCACAGGGCAGTAAGGGTACCATGTTCATGACAGGATAGTAAGGGTATATGTGTCAATATGACTTATCATGACTTATCACTGTTGGTGTTGATCTTGGTCACCAGGCTGTGGCCGGGTTTGTCAGGTTTCTCCACATAAACTTACACTCCCCCCAACTTTATTCTGCTGTGCTCTTTGTAAGGAAGTCTCTATGTACAGATCACACCTAAGAAATGGGGAATTATGCTCCACTTCCTTGAGGGTGACGTTTGGACCTAAAATGAGTTCACTTTTGACACACAAAGTTTGAGAAGCCTTGGAAATACATAGTGGAAGCTCTCCGTGGGTGTTTAATATGCAAAATTATTGTTCCTAGAGAAATCAGGACAGAGAAGGAGAGAGAGAGAGTAGGAAATAAGAGCATCTGAGAAAGATAATATTCAGCAGTACCTAGAAGAGGCACCTGAAGGAGAGAGATGAAGGGAGAAATCTGTGGGGAAAATGGAACAACCGGTAATGAAGTGTCCAGGAAGCCAAGGGAAAACACACTGAAAAAGGGGAGGACAGTTAGTTATATAAAATGCTGTAATAAATTTATGCATTTGGTAACTAATAAAAGTTAATCATTGTCTTTTATTATTTATTAGTTGTGTGCCCCTATCTATTAATAAAAACGGGAGCATACTCTTGAGCTTATGCCCTTATCAACTCTTAGCCATTCCCAAGGTTGGCTTGCCCATCCCCCCCACTAAACTCTGGTCATGTTCTATCCTGGCTTTGCAATGAATTATTTCTTATTGTCATTACAAATCAGAATTTTCCAGTATCCAATGGAATAAAGGCATTCCTGCTATAGAAAAATGACAGCATGTTTTTGTAATCTTGAGTGACCTTTATTGAAGTTAAGAGGTACTTGAGAAAAACAATAGAATAAGGAAAATGCAGAGGTATAACCAGCATCATACATTTTGAGAGTGATCCTTGGGAACTCTGCATACATACCACATACACCAACAAAAAGAAAAACAAGTCCAGTGGAAAAGGCAATGGAAAGGAGTGTGGAGAACTGTACTCTAGCTCTACCTGTATTTGTCTTCATGCTGCACAGTCTGTGGAGACTCTTCTCTTCTTTGGATTTGCTGCCTCACCAATAAAGTGAGCAGACTGGGCTACCCAGCCTCTATAGTTCTGTTCATTACAGCACATGATCTGAGGTGTATTTTTTTTTTTTTTTTGAGACAGAGTCTCGCTCTGTCACCAGGCTGGAGTGCAGTGGCGCGATCTTGGCTCACTGCAACCTCCGCCTCCCAGGTTCAAGCGATTCTCCTGCCTCAGCCTCCCAAGTAGCTGGGACTACTGGCTCCCACCACCGCACCCAGCTAATTTTGTATTTTTAATACAGATGGGGTTTCATCATGTTGGCCAGGATAATCTTGATCTCTTGAGATCTTAAATGTATTTGATTCGGTATTGGTTAAACCTGAGATGTAAATGTTCTATTCAATATATCATTAAGAATTTTCCTCTTGAACTAAATACTTCTTCCTTATTTTCCTTTTCTTTGATTTTTATTTACTATCACCCCAGTAACATTGAACTAACTACCTTTTAGCAAAAGGAGAAAAGCACATTTATACTTGTGTAAAGTTTATTTCTTTATCTAGTCAATATTATACTGACAGCCTCAAGTCTTTGGAAAACGTTTCAGAGAGTCACATTAGAATTTGACTCTTTTAAGGCACAGTAGAAGCTATGAATTCTAAGCCAAATATTTGTGATCCCACGTAAAACCAGAACCAAAAGGAAATTAAATGTTTTAGGGCCTTGTTTTCTAAGCCCTGCTCTTGGATTGATACTTGGTAGCTGAAGGGAAGGACAATCCTGGAAATTAAAACTGTCATTGAGAAGAATAATTTGGGGCTTTAACATATAAATTTGTATAAGAAGCATTCTGTAGAATTCTGATAAAGGTAATGTGTGTAATCACCCAGTGCTGTCTTGGCTTATGGTAATCACTCAGTATTCTCAGCATTTTATAAAATAAGGTTTAGCTTTCATTGGGCCCTTATTAACTAAATTAGCTGTGATCAGCCAAAGTATTTTTCTTTTTCTTTCAGTGGAATATTAAGGCACCAGTGATTTTTTTTTCAACCTGTGGGTTTTCAGGAGAGTTATGTGCAAAGCTTTTGTCATTTTGAGTCATTTTTAAAATTTACTAGTGAAGATAATATTTATAGGGAACATGTGCTTTGAAATTTAGCTTTGTTTTACAGAAATTGTGCTGTGGAGAAAGATTCCTTCCAAATTGATTTCAACAATCCCAATTCTGTGAAAACTACCTTGCCTATTCTGGATGGAAACTTGATTTCCATCCAGTTTATAGTGTGTTAGAAAGAAACAAGTCCAGACGGATGCTTATGACACGCTGTACTTACTTGTTTTCAGGTCTCTATCCCATAGGCTGGAACCCGTACCCCCTGGGAAAAGATATTGTGTCTTTGCCTGGCACCTTACTTATAAGGTGCTCGATATATATTAAAATAACAAACTTCAGGTTCCAAATATAACGATAAAACCAATTCTAAAATCCACATTGTAAGGGGACACTGGGTGGGAGTGGTGGATAGTGTTTGCGGTTAAACATTCTCCATATCTCCTTCACCACCACCACCACCACCCTGAGTAAAATCTATGTACAGGTAAACAAAGCTTCAGGGGAAGTCTGTTTGGCCCTCCTTCCTCCCAGATGGTCTTAGACTCCTCCTACATAGCAATTTTGGAGCTGACACTGCAGAGTTTTGTTTGGGGGCTTCATGTTTCTAGCAAGTATTCCATTTATGTTGACATTTTATTCATAAGCTCTGAGACTACCTATTCCTAGAGCCTACATTTATTCTATCTTTCAAAAACAAATACGCTAGCATTCCTGCATACTTACTGTTTTATCCGCCTTAGAAGTGAGCCCCTTACACACTAGAAACAGCAATTTTATAGTTCCATGTTATGCCAGCCCTTTTCATTCTGTAAGCTAATATGATGTAATATGATGCTTTTTTTTTTTTTTTGCATACTGAAAGCTCAATAACTAGTTTGAGATAGACCTACATGCACACACAGCCTAATGGAATTCTAACCTCATTGTTTTGTAGATAACAAATTCTTCAAATTGCTCGGGGTTATTTAGTGGCCAGTGAAAACTGTGATCTATACTGATTATCTGAAGAAACTTTCGTGTGTAGATATCAATAAAATGTGTGTCAAGAATGGAATTCAGACTATACTTTTCACTTTGTCTCAGCAACACACAATTCTACCAAAATGAGTAAGTGAATATATGAATGAATGCTTAAAACCTTATAAAGTATAATTATATTATACAGAGCATCCAGTGTATGCAGTAACCAAGCTAGGCATTTTTTTCTTTTTTTTTTTTTTTTTGCCTTGGCCTCCCGAGTAGCCAGGACTACAGGTGTGCACCACCATGCCCAGCTAATTTTTGTGTTTTTAGTAGAGACTGGGTTTCACCATGTTGGCCAGGCTGGTCTGGAACTCTTGACCTCAAGTGATACACCCGCCTCAGCCTCCCAAAGTGCTGAGATTACAGGTGCGAGCCACCACACCCCACTCCAAGCTAAGCATTTTATACTCACTATTTCTGATCCTTTAAATAACTCTTTATTGTTTTTCCCATTTGTAGGTGAAGAGGCTCAGAGAAGTTATATACTTTCCTTCAACTAGTAAATGGCAGACCTAGGTTTGGAATACATTAACTACAAAATCCTCATTCTTTTCATTACGTAACTAGTTTCCTAAGATGAAGGTTGTCGCTGGTTCCCTTGAAAGAAAACCTTACGGCAGATATCTAACAATTTTCCCAAAGGATTATTTTAATAGTGACTTGTCAATATCACATTAACTCCATAAATTATCATTATGACTGTTTGGATGCTGTTCAAGGCGACAGGTTCTTTTCTGTCCTATGTTAATGTATTCCTTAGTGATAATGTCTGTAGACTGTAGACAAACTCCTGTGCCCCTGTGCTTCCCATCTGATAAACAGTAGTGTGGCAAAAAGCCTTCAAATACACACAGTGCACCTTGTCATTGAGATTTTTAAGAACACTTGAAGGTAACAAATGTAAAAATAAGATAGAGAATATAACATTAGCATGAATTATAAGATACATCTCATGATTTCAGAGACATGGCCTGTGTTTCTCCTTTATTCCAGAAAACTTGGCAGGTATCCATTCATTCTCTTTTGACTTCTTGAAAGGAACATGTTTGGAGCATTTGCCTTCCCTATTTTCAAAAAAAGTAACTCTCTGTTTTTTACAAATTATACTTCCACTTTAGACATTCTTTCATAGTTTAACTTCCTTTTCTTAAAATGCTACAGTTCTGGAGACTTTGAACAAGGAGGAAGCAGACTTTAGGTGTAGCTTTTCCACTAGTGATTATTGCAGTGCTTTTTCTTCTCATTAAGGAAATTCAGAAGATGTAATACTCTTTCCCCCACTCATTGATTAAGACACTTTGCACCATTTATTGATCTATCACCAACTTTAATGTCCAGAGATGGAAAAGGCTTATAAGGCCACCTGCATCAGTCATCGTAAGTATAGGCTGAAATGCTTCCATTTATATTTTACTCCACACTAGACATTGTGAAAGTGCTTCACAAGTATTCGGTTTTTATTCAAGTAAACTTATTTCTCCCATTTTGTGGATAAGGACAAGGAAGTTTTGTGGGTTCCAAGTAACTTGTCAGTGACAACATGGTTAGCAAGTTGTAGAGCCCGATTTTATAATGGTGATGGAATATCAGGGACTGTATTTTTATTATTTGTTTATTTTTTCCCACAGGGAATCATTATTAACATTTGTGAAACCTCTAAAATACATAATTAGAGGTTGGTTTATGCACATAAGCATGCAATTACTGGTTATACTTAACACTGGGAGAGAGAGAGAAGACATACTTTTAACAACCGGGTTTCACAGAAAGTATCGAAATGCTACTGCTGTCCCTGGAAATTAAAGAAATAGCCTCTTAGCAGATCAGAATTCAATGTTAAGCAGTAGAAAAGAGGTTGGACAAGCCCTGTGTACTTCTCCTCTAACATCTAAATGATTCCATTTTTAGATAAGTTGGACACATGCCAACTTGTCAATGCAATAAAAAAGCATTATTTTCTTCAATGGCGATGCAATTTTTCTATCATAAACCATGATGTTCTTAAGAATAGGGCCTGATTACTAATTACTCGCTGAAAGAACAGCTCAACCTCATAACATTAACTTCTATAAATACACACACACACACACAAAAAAAAATTTGGTAGACATTTTCTAATGTTTGAATGTACAATTCCAAGTCACTCTTCAGATAAATCAATTGATTCTGCTAGTTTGGTAAATTTTGCAGATAACTCCAGGCAGGTCCATCAAACTAGAGTGCAGTTTAAACCAGACATTCTAAAGAATTCATATTGAACATCTCTCAGATTACTAGTACTACCCAGTATTGAACTCTCTGGGCTAAAATATTTGCCATAATGTTTTATGATATATGTCACAAATCTTTTTCTGTAAAGGACCAGGCAGGAACTATGTTAGTTAGGCTAACCTGCCCTTCCTCCCTAGGTCTGAGGAGTGGACAATGATGTCATCAAGGAATCTCTCTGAGTAGTGAGATTATGGGTGATCCTTACTGTTTATTATATAACTTTTTCTACCCTTTCTTAACTTTCTTTGCTTTTTTTTTTTTTTTTTTTTTTGAGATGGAGTTTTGCTCTGGTTGCCCAGGCTTGCATGCAATGGCACAATCTTGGCTCACCGCAACCTCCACTTCCCGGGTTCAAGTGACTCTCCTGTCTCAGTCTCCCGAGTAGCTGGGATTACAGGCACCCACCACCACAACTGGCTAATTTTTGTATTTTTAGTAGAGACAAGGTTTTGCCATGTTGGCCAGGCTGGTCTCGAACTCCTGACCTCACGGGATCGGCCCATCTCGGCCTCCCAAAGTGCTGGGATTACAGGCATGAGCCACTGCGCCTGGCCCCTTTCTTAACTTTCTAAAATGAAAAAATATATTTTTATAATCAGAAAAAAACTTTTCAAAAAAAATTCACCCAACGCACATCACACACACGTATCAAAACAACTAAATAGTTAAGCTACAGCAACCTTTTAGAGAAATTTTGATCTTACATCTTAGAAGAACCAGAGTTGTTCCTGGGACTATGACACACTCTTACTGCCCAGGAAATATCAATGGCACCGAGTGACAAGAACACAGGGATGCTTAACAGTGAAGTTCAGGCTTTGCAGTCACAGTGATATGATTTAAACCCTACATCACATCCTTGTTAGCTGTATGGACTTGGCAACTTACTCACTCTCTTCAGCTTTATGTCCTTTGATGGAAATAGAAACCAGTAACCTTCCAGAGTTATTATAAGATTATGAAAGAACACATCATGCATTTTGTGGAGGGCCTGTCACAGAATCAGGGCATCGCATGTAATAGATACGGCTGAAAGCAATGTTATCATCCTGTAGTTCTTTGATCCAGGATACTTAGTACTGAAAGCTGAAAAGAGGGAGAGAGGAAGATTTATTTCACAAATATGTTGTAAAGTTTTAGAAAAGCAAGATATCTAACTGGATCTCGTGGGCCTCAAGAAAACCGAAACACAGGAGGCTAATGTCATGTGGCTCATGATGGCAGAGCCTGGATCATGAAGCCCAGTGCCCTTTAGGCCAGCGCCTTTGGTGGCAAGGTGATGCCTTTTTTTATTTAGTATATTCAGAGAGCAAGATTCCTACAACTCTTTGAATTATTTTAGCCATTAAAGTCCAGAATAGTCAATTAGAATTAGCCAAATAATACCATAACAGATACTACTTTATCAGAAGATATCCTTTTTAAAATATATGTGTTTTTTAAAAATTTGCTTGTTTCCTGTTTGATTTTAATTGCATCTCATAATTAAAAGAGGGAAGATTATCTACCTGAGAATGTAAACATAGGTTAATGGGTATGCATAATTTGACTGTTTTGCATAGATCCAAATATATCCATGTTTTATATACATAATACAATAATACAAAGTGTTTACAGTGATTGTCTCTGGGCTTGAGGGGATTTTTTACTTTTTGCTTTGCTTTCCTATGGTTTTTGGATTTTTTTCCCCTGAGAATGAATTGTTTTTCTAAGAAGCTGTATATCTCACTCACATCCATGAAAATTAACCTAAAATGATTTGAATACTAGAAATTATCCCATGCAGAGCTTCTCACAAAATCTGCTCCCCTTTATTTCTGGGCAGATGGCTGTGCTCCATTTCTCAACCTCCTCTGCAGCTAGGTGTAGCCATATGACTGCCTTTCCAATGAAATTGAAGTAGAACTGATGAGTACAATCTCTGCGGAAAGGCCTTAAGGAGATGACATACCACCTCCAAGGGCTCTTTCCATTCCTCCCACTGGATGTGGATGATGAAAAGGCTTTGGGTGATGATGGAGCCACAAGATAGAAGGAACCCGGCTTCACTGATCACCACCTGCAAGAGAGCCACCCTCTGACAAGATACACCCTCCTTGGACTTTCATATGAATAAAAAACAAACTTATATTGTGTTTGTGCTATTACACATTTTGGAGTACATATGTTGTAGTAGTATAATCCACTTTGGCTATTGTGAACCCCTACAGGTTTTCTTTAGTAGCATGAAATTGTATGACATTCTCTATTAGATTAAAGTTAATTTTAGAAAATCAGATTTACTAACTGCAAACCGTTTGCATCACCAGCAAATATTCTCTGCCTTTTTAAAAAACCATTTGTTGGCCAGGCGCAGTGGCTCATACCTGTAATCCCAGCACTTTGGGAAGCCGAGGAGGGAGGATCATCTGAGGCCAGGAGTTTGAGAATAGACTGGCCAACATGGTGAAACCCCATCTCTACTATAAATACAAAAATTAGCCTTGCATGGTGGTAGGTGACTGTAATCCCAGCTACTCAGAAGGCCGAGGCAGGAGAATTGCTTGAACCTGGGAGACAGAGGTTGCAGTGAGCAGAAATTGCACCACTGCACTCCAGCCTGCGTGACAGAGCAAGAGCTTGTCTCAAAAACAAACAAACAAACAAACAAAAAAAACTATTTGTCACTGCAATGCACAGGCATTTACGATTTGTTTAGTATATGAAAACACCAATAAAATGCTGGTCTCAGCTGAGGGTTACTGTTAGAGGTATGTTTTTCAGGTGTGGGAAAATGCAATTGCTTCAATGAAAAAGTAATTGAAAACTCTATGACGCACAATTTAAATTTTTAGAATTTTTTCAACTGAATTTTAACATCACAACGTTTTTTTCACATATGTGAAAACTCTCTGTAAGATATTCTAAAATCCCCCATGTTAAAATAGTTGTCATTTAATACAACTTTATGTACTTGAGGCCACAATGACTATTTATCGTAAGTACTGAGAAATGTTACTTTTGAATTCCTGAAAATACATTGAGATCCATGAAGGATGGGAAGCAGATTTATCAACTAAATTAGACCTTGCACAGTGGAAAGCTGGCAACATTCTAGTTTTGGCATTGCATTTTGTCTAAGATCCAGATATCATACTTTATTATACACTGTATATAATTCTCGACCTGGACTAGAGACAGACATCTTTAGCACATCTGTCTTTCATTACTCAAAGGAGCTACTCCTGGGAAAGAATGATTATATTCCTTCATGCATATTTTCAAAAGCAAACTGATAAAAAATTTGGAATTTTAGATTGTTTGCATCGACAGTTTTAATTTTTCATTCTCTTAAGATCCAAGTGCGTGCTTTAAACAAAACTGCTTGCTACCAGAGGATGTGGATGTTTTGCTGGGAAGTATACTGCAAATTATGCCTAACAGCAGACAGACTGGGCTGCTGTTGACAAAGACAGACTCAGGTTTGGTTATTTCATGGTTGTGGTTGTTCATAAGGAAAGAAACAATTCTTTTGGATTACAACTAATTTGTTTTTTTTTTTTAACTGACTGATAGACTCTAAAATAACAGTTAAGAATACACTTTTAAATTATATAAGGCCTTTCCCCAGAACTTGACAAAACTTAAATATCACTACCAATTTTAGTCAGTCAAATACTTCAAAAAGTGCTATTTACATTTAACAGATATGAAATTAAAACTATTGTAAAAATTGTTTTGGCATTAACATATTGTAACTGGATAAGTAATTGATCCCGAGAATGCCAATCAAGAAATCTCCAGAGACCCAATCACCCTCGAGAAGGGGAAACACGGTTCCTTTGCCATATGCCCTCTTTATTGGGTTATCATTTTCCTACAATTCCCTAGCATGATATATTAGTAACTGCTGGGTTCATTTGAAGGCTCATAAAGTAATAATGTCAATCACAAGGATTAAAAACACTCTTCCCTTGGCTCTCATTCCTGCATGAATGAATTGCCTATATGAATGTAATCCAAATTTGGAAATGGTGGAAGCCAGAAAAAATAAGAACCACTGAGAAAGAAAGTCGAGGGAAAAGCCAAGCTTGAGTGAGAACTTAACTTGTGATTTTGCTACAAAAATTTTTACTGGAGCGTCTGGATAATTGTGAAAACAAATAGAGTTTTTCCTTTTAGGTCCCACTAGACATTGACTGGTGTCAATGTCAAATTACATAAGGTTTTCCTTGTAAGTACAGCTGCATACACTACTTAGGCAGGGTTTTTTAAAAACTATATATTTTTTTGTGCCTGAGCAGCTTTGTCTGGTGAAGTTTCTCAGAATAATATTTTGAAATGGATAAAGTAAAATAAAGTATACTCATTTTCCAATGCTGCTGTACCAAAATACCACAAATCGGGGAATGAATACAAATTTATCTTACAGTTCTAGAGGTCAGAAGTCTGATAGAGGTCTTACTGGGCTAAAATTAAGGTGTTGACAAGGCTGCATTCCTTTTTGGAAGATCTAAGGGAGGCTGTGTTTCCTTGCCTTTCCCAGCTTCTCAAGGCCACCCGCATTCCTTGGCTCATGGTCCTCTTTTTCCATCTTCAAAGGCTGCAAAGGTGATCAACTCCTTTCCATAGCCCTCTTTGATCACAGCTGGGAAAGGTTCTTTGCTTCTGTAAACACATTAGATGAGCCCATCTGGGCGATTCAGGATAGTCTCCCCACCTGGTGGGATCTCCCCAGCAGTTTCCTTACCTTAATTATAAACACAGTCTCTTTTGCCATTTATAAGATCATATTCACAAGTACTGGGGATTACGGTGTAGGCTTCTTTGTTGGCCATTGTTTTACCTAGCAGAACTATATAGATAAAATAATTATGTGGAAATCAGTAATAAAAATATATTAAAAGCCAAGTTTTTGATATAATAATAAATACTTGTCTTTATTAACACTTTAAATAACAAGATCTAGAACAGATCTAACAATGCCCATATGTTCAAAAGAGTGATGAACATAAATTATTTTTCTGCAATGACTGTAATGAGGTTTGAAAATATCTGTAATTAATTTCTATTGATGATGGTCACAGAAATTGCTAATACTACTGTGGTTTGTTGTTTATATTCATAATTGCAGAAAATGCTAAATTTTGGCTGGGCGTGGTGGCTGATGCCTATAATCCCAGCACTTCGGGAGGCCTAGGCGGGCGGATCACCTAAGGTCAGGAGTTCGAGACCAGCCTGACCAACGTGAAGAAACCCCGTCTCTACTAAAAATACAAAATTAGCTGGGCATGGTGGTGCATGACTGTAATCCCAGCTACTCGGCAGGCTGAGGTGGGAGAATCACTTGAACCTGAGAGACACAGGTTGCAGTGAGCTGAGATCATGCCATTGCACTCCAGCCTGGGCGACAAGAGTGAAACTCAGTCGGGGAAGGGAAGGGAAGGGAAGGGAAGGGAAGGGAAGGGAAGAAGGGAAGGGAAGGGAAGTGAAGGGGAGGGGAGGTGAGGGGAGGGGAGGGAGAGGGGAGAGAAAGAAAGAAAAGAAAGAGCCAAATTTCAGCTAGATATAAAAAAGTAAAGATACGTTTTTTTCCCCTATCCTATCCAAGATCATAGACCCTTTTCCAGGTTAAGAACCTCTTGTTTAAGGAGACATCAAGAATTAAAACTCTGTTATTGCCCTGGGAATGGCAAAAAGAGTACAGACCCTTTTCTACAAGTCATGCAAATCATCTTGTACAGCAAGAGTTAGAGTTTCCATAATGCCAGGAAAATCCGAGTATCTTCAAGCTCTGCTTACTCTACAAAGCCTTCTTCGACATTTTTAAGGACACAGTGATAGCCTACACCCTTGTTATTTTCTCTCTCAATTTGACATTTTATCATACGATTTGACATGTTATTACACAATGTCTCAATTTGACATGTTATTACACATCGTCTCAATTTGACATTTTATCTTGGGACATTAGGTATCTTTTTATGTGTATGTTTCTTACTGCTCTAGGGAGATTGGAAACTGTAAGCAGAAGTGATATACGTCTTTGTACTTTTGTGGAGTTTTGAGGGCATTTTAGAGTAATAATTAGTGAATATTTATGAAGGAATTGACTAATCAATTAATGATCCCCGCTGGACTTACACATGTATTTTGAGGAAAATGTCAAATTTCAAAATGTGCTTAGCCAGCTGAATCATTTTGAAATAGTCTTCAGAACGTGATATAAGAAGAGAGTCAGAGGTGTTTTGGTTTTTACTCTTTCACTAACCAGCTGTGTGATCCCGAGTAAATAACTGCATCTCTCCTGGGTCTCAGGTCCATCCTTTGTAAAATGGAAGGACTGGAAAATATCATCTTTGAGGTCCCTTCCTTCTTTAAGAGTTTGTGAATCAAAGAGTTTAGATCACCTTCATCAACACTACTAAAGCTTTTTACACTTCATTAGGACTGAATTCAAGTTTCTAGGATTATTCATCTTCCCTGAGATGGTTAATACTGAGTGTCAATTTGATTGGATTGGTG
The DNA here is from genome assembly GCF_000001405.40 of Homo sapiens. Taxonomy (NCBI): domain Eukaryota; kingdom Metazoa; phylum Chordata; class Mammalia; order Primates; family Hominidae; genus Homo; species Homo sapiens. The sequence goes on along the minus strand of NC_000006.12, from coordinate 142,233,540 downwards.
TTGGTCTTGGGGGTGTCTGTGAGGGCATTGCCAAAGGAGATTAACATTTGAGATTTGAGTTAGTGGGCTGGAAAAGGCAAACCCACCCTTAATTTGGTGGGCACCATCTAATCTGTTGCCAGTGAATATAAAGCAGAAAGGGAAAAGGAGAGACTGGCCTAGCCTCCCAGCTTACATCTTTCTCCTGTGCTGGATGCTTCCTGCCCTCAAACATGGGACTCCAGGTTCTTCAGTTTTGAGACTCGGACTGGCTCTCCTTGCTCCTCAAGCTTGCAGATGGCCTATTGTGGAACCTTGTGATCAAGTGAGTTAATACTTAATAAACTCCCCTTTATATCTATCTATCTATCCTATTAGTTCTGTCCCTCTAGAGAACCCTGACTAATACATTCCCCAAGTAGTATAAGAATTTAAATGCCTAAACACTAAGACTTTCCTGAGAAGGTAAATTGTGACTGTATTAAACACACCTCGAATAATATGTGCTCCTTCTTCTCAAAAGACTCATTTGGAGGTTCACTCCAGACCCTGTTTGCCTGGGTATCACCAGTGGAGGCTGCAGAACAGCAAATATTGCTGCCTGATCCTTCCTCTGGAGGCTTCGTCCCAGAGGGGCACCTGCCTGTTTGAGGTGTCTGTTGGCCCCTACTGGGAGGTGTTTCCCAGTCAGGCTACACGGGGGTCAGGGACCCACTTGAGGAGGCAGTCTGTCATTCTCGGAGCTCGAACGTCATGTTGAGAGAACCACTGCTCTCTTCAGAGCTGTCGGACAGGGACATTTAAGTCTGCAGAAGCTGTCTGCTGCCTTTTTTTCTACTATGCTCTGCCCCCAGAGGTGGAATCTATAAAGGCAGTAGGCCTTGCTGAGCTGTGGTGGGCTCTGTTCAGTTCATGCTTCCTGGCGTCTTTGTTTACACTGTGAGCTACTCAAGCCTCAGCAATGGCAGACACTCCTCCCCCTGTCAAGCTGCAGCATTGCAGGTTGATCTCAGACTGCTGCGCTAGCAGTGAGCAAGGCTCCGTGGGCATGGGATCTGCCAAGCCAGGCACGAGAGGGCATCTCTTATTCTGCCAGTTGCTAAGACTGTGGGAAAAGTGCAGTATTTGATCAGGAGTGTACCATTTCTCCAGGTACAGTCTGTCACGGCTTCCCTTGGCTAGGAAAGGGAAATCCCCCAGCCCCTTGCACTTCCTGGGTAAGGCGATGCCCTGCCCTACTTCAGCTTGCCCTCCATCTCACTAAGAGCTGCAGACTGGAGCTGTTCCTATTTGGCCATCTTGGAAGTGACTCCTTTTTTTGAGATGGAGTCTTGCTTTGTCACCCAGGCTAGAGTGCAGTGGCCTGATCTCGCCTCACTGCAATCTCCACCTCCTGGGGTTCAAGCAATTCTCTTGCCTCAGCCTCCCAAGTAGCTGGGACTACAGGTGCCCACCACCATGCCCGGCCAATTTTTGTATTTTTAGTAGAGACGTGGTTTTGCCATGTTGGCCAGGCTGGTCTCTAACTCCGGATCCCGGGTGATCTGCCTGCCTTGGCCTCCCAAAGTGCTGGGATTATAGGCATGAGCCACCATGCCCAGTACACATTGATTTTATATCCTGAGACTTTCCTGAAGTTGCTGATCAGCTTAAGAAGCTTTTGGGCTTTTCTGCATCTGTTGCAGTAATCATGTGGTTTTTGTCATTGGTTCTTTTTATGTGATGGATTACGTTTGTTGATTTGCATATGTAGAACCAGCCTTGAATCCGAGGGATGAAGCCAACTTGATTGTCATGGATAACGTTTTGATGTGCTGCTGGATTTAGTTTGCCAGTATTTTACTGAGGATTTTTGCATCAATGTACTTCTGGGATATTGGCCTAAAATTATCTTTTTTTGTTGTGTCTCTCCCAGGCTTTGGCATCAGGATGATGCTAGCCTCATAAAAGGCCTTTGACAAAATTCAACAGCCCTTCATGCTAAAAATGCTCAATAAACTAGGTATTGATGGAATGTATCTCAAAATAATAAGAGCTATTTATGACAAACCCACAGCCAATATCATACTGAATGGGCAAAAACTGAAAGCATTATTCCCTTTGAAAATAGGCACAAGACGAGGATGAAGGATGCCCTCTCCCACCACTCCTATTCAACATAGTGTCAGAAGTTCTGGCTAGGGCAATCAGGCAACAGAAAGAAATAAAGGTATTCAATTAGGAAAAGAAGAAGTCAAATTGTCTCTGTTTGCAGATGACATGATTGTATATTTGGAAAACCCCATCGTCTCAGCCCCAAATCTCCTTAAGCTGATAAGCAACTTCAGCAAAGTCTCAGGATACAAAATCAACGTGCAAAAATCACAAGCATTCCTATACACCAATAATAGACAAACAGAGAGCCAAATCATGAGTGGGTGCCCATTCACAATTACTGCAAAGAGAATAAAATACCTAGGAATACAACTTACAAGGGATGTGAAGGACCTCTTCAAGGAGAACTACAAACCAGTGCTCAACAAAATAAAAGAGGACACAAACAAATGGAAGAGCATTTCATGCTCATGGATAGGAAGAATCAATATCATGAAAAGGGCCATACTGCCCAAGGTAACTTATACATTCAATGCTATCCCCATCAAGCTACCACTGACTTCCTTCACAGAATTGGAAAAAACTACTTTAAAGTTCATATGGAACCAAAAAAGAGCACGCATAGCCAAGACAATTCTAAGCAAAAAGAACAAAGCTGGAGGCATCACACTACCTGACTTCAAACTATACTACAAGTGTACAGTAACCAAAACAGCATGGTGCCAGTACCAAAACAGATATATAGACCAATGGAACAGAACAGAGGCCTCAGAAATAACACCACACATCTACAACCATCTGATCTTTGACAAACCTGACAAAAACAAACAATGGGTAAAGGATTCCCTATTTGATAAATGGTGCTGGGAAAACTGGCTAGCCATATGTAGAAAGCTAAAACTGGATCCCTTCCGTATACAAAAATTAACTCAAGATGGATTAAAGACTTAAATGTAAGACCTAACACCATAAAAACCCTAGAAGAAAACCTAGGCAATACCATTCAGGACATAGGTATGGGCAAAGACTACAAGACTAAAACACCAAAGCAATGGCAACAAAAGCCAAAATAGACAAATGGAATCTAATTAAACTAAAGAGCTTCTGCACAGCCAAAGAAACTATCATCAGAGTGAACAGGCAACTTACAGAATGGGAGAAAATCTTTGCAATCTACTCATCTGACAAAGGGCTAATATCCAGAATCTACAAAGAACTCAAACAAATTTATAAGAAAAAAACAAATAACCCCATCAAAAAGTGGGAAAAGTATATAAACAGACACTTCTCAAAAGAAGACATTTATTCAACCAATAGACATATGAAAAAATGCTCATCATCACTGGTCATCAGAGAAATGCCAATCAAAACCACAACGAGATAACATCTCATGCCATTTAGAATAGCGATCATTTAAAAAGTCAGGAAACAACAGATGCTGGAGAGGATGTGGAGAAAAAGGAATGCTTTTACACTGTGGTGGGGGTGTAAATTAGTTCAACCATTGTGGAAGACAGTGTGGCAATTCCTCAAGGATCTAGAACTAGAGATACCATTTGACCCAGCAATCCCATTACTGGGTATATACTCAAAGGATTATAAATCATGCTACTATAAAGACACATGCACACGTATGTTTATTGTGGCACTATTCACAATAGCAAAGACTTGATCAACCCAAATGTCCATCAATGATAGACTAGATTAAGAAAATGTGGCACATATACACCATGGAATACTATGCAGCCATAAAAAAGGTTGAATTCATGTCCTTTGCAGAGACATGGATAAAGCTAGAAAGCATCCATTCTAAGCCAACTATCACAAGGACAGAAAACCAAACACCATATGTTCTGACTCATAGGTGAGAGTTGAACAACAAGAACACACGGACACAGGGCAGGGAACATCACACACCGGGGCCTGTTGGAGCGTGGGGGCAGGGGGAGGGATAGCACTGGGAGAAATACCTAATGGAAATGACGAGTTGATGGGTGCAGCAAACCAACATGGCACATGTATACCTATGTAACAAACCTGCATGTTGTGCACATGTACCTTAGAACTTAAGGTATAATAAAAAAAATCAATGTGCAAAAATTAGTAGCATTCCTATACACCAACAACAGGCAAGCAGAGACCAAATCATGAATGAATTCCCATTCACAATTGCCACAAAAAGAATAAAATACCTAGGAGTACAGCCAACAAGGGACATAAAGAACCTCTTTAGGGTGCACTACAAACCACTTCTCAAAGAATTCAGCGAGGACAAAAACAAATGGAGCAATATTTTATGCTTATGCATAGGAAGAATCAATATGGTGAAAATGGCCATACTGCCCAAAGTAATTTATAGATTCAATACTATTCTCATTGAGTATTCTCATTGAGCTGCCATTGACATTCTTCACAGAATTAGAAAATCTTTTTTAAAATTTATATGGAAGCAAAAAAGAGTCTGTATAGCGAAGACAATCCTAAACAAAAAGAACAAAGCTGGAGGCATCATAGTACATGACTTCAAACTATACTATAAGGCTACAGTAACCAAAGCAGCATGGTAATGGTACAAGAACAGACACAGAGACCAATGGAACAGGATAGAGAACTCAGAAATAAGACTGCACTCCTACAACCATCTGATCTTCAATAAAGTTGACAAAAACAAGCAATGGGGAGAGGATTCCCTATTTACTAAATGGTGCTGGAAGTGCTGGCTAGTCATATGCAGAAAATTGAAACTGGACCCCTTTCTTACACCATATACAAAAATCAACTCAAGATGGATTAAAGACTTAAATGTAAATCCCAGAATTATAAAAGCCCTAGAAGAAAACCCAGGCAATACCATTCGGGGCATAGGTGCAGGCAAAGATTTCATGACAAAAACACCAAAAGCAATTGCAGCAAAAGCAAAAATTGACAAATGGTATCTAATTAAACTAAGGACCTTCTGCACAGTAAAAGAGTGAACAGACAACCTACAGAATAGGGTAAAATTTTTGCAATCTATCTATCTGACAAAGGTCTAACATCCAGAGTTTACAAGGAACTTAAACAGATTTACAAGAAAAACCAGACAACCTCATTTAAAAGTGGGCAAAAGACATGAACAGGACACTTCTCAAAATAAGACATACATGTGGCCAAGAAACATACGAAAAAAGCTCAACACCACTGATCATTAGAAAAATGCAAAGCAAAGCCACAATCAGATACCATCTCATGCCAGTCAGTATGGCAATCATTATAAAGTCAACAAACAACAGATTCTGATAAGGTTGTGGAGGAAAAGGAACACTTCTACACTGTTGGTGGGAGTGTAAATTAGTTCAACCATTGTGGAAGACAGTATGGTGTTTCCTCAAAGATCTAGAAGCAGAAATACCATTTGACCCAGGAATCCCATTACTGGGTATATATCCAAAGTAATATAAATCATTCTATTATAAAGATACATGGATGCATATGTTCACTGCAGCACTATTCACAATAGCAAAGACATGGAATCAACTCAAATGCCCATCAATGATAGACTGGATCAAGAAAGTGTAGTACATATACACCATGGAATACTACACAGCCATAAAAAGGAACACTATCATGTCCTTTGTAGGGACATGGATGGAGCCAGAAGCCGTTATCATGAGCAAACTAATGCAGGAACAGAAAACAAAACACTACATGTTCTCACTTATAAGTGGGAATCAAAGGATGAGAACACATGGACATGTAGGGGGCAGGGGACAACACACACTGGGGCCTGCTGATGGTGGAAGGTTGGGGGTAGAGAGAGCATCAGGAAGAAAAGCTAATGGATGCTGGGCTTAATACCTAGGTGATGGGATGATCTGGGCAGCAAACCACCATGGCACATTTTTACTTATGTAACAAACCTGAACATCTTGTTCATGTACCCCTGAAGTTAAAGTAACAGTTGAAGAAGAAAAATAGAGGTAGGGGCTTCTGGGAAGTGCTTAAGTCATGAGGGCAGAGCCTTCATGAATGGGATTAGTGCCCTTATAAAAGAGGCCGGGATGAGCTTGTTTGCCCCTTCTGCCATGTGAGGACACAGCAAGAAGGCACCATCTATAAAGCAGAGAGCCCTCACCAGATACTGAATCTGCTGGTGCCTTGATTTTGGACTTCCCAGCCTCCAGAATTGTAAGCAGTACATTTCTATTGTTTATAAATTACCCAGTCCGAGGTATTTTGTTGTAGCCTGAATGGACTAAGACAAGGTAGTAGGCTAAACTTTAAAACTCAAATTAATAAAACATGTAAACAAGGAGTAATTTGTTTCAAAAATATATTCATTGACATATTGAATGGATATATAACTAAACAGCCTCTCCTTAGGACTAACATGGCTATTTCACTGCTATTGACACAAGTTACTTGCTTTCCCACCATCATATTTTTCCTCTTATGCCTCCTCTTACCTTAATTACCCATCTCACTTTCCCTATTGAAATTCTACTCATTCTGTAAGGTGCAACTCAGATGCTGTCATCCCAGTGAAATGTAATGACGCAGTTACCACAGTTTGGAAAAAAAAATATTTAAGTTTCGATAGCAATGCATTAGTGTGCCTTCTCTTTGGCATTTTAACTATGCCTTCAATTATGTTTGTGCACATCTGTGTCCCTAAATAGACGTTAAGCTCCTGAGCGGCAGACACCTCTAATGAAAACTTCATGTCCTCAGTGCTTTGCACTTAACCAAAGTGTGTTGAACTGATATTAATTGAATATCTACCGTGTCTCTGCAGTAGGTCAAAGTTCATTCATCAGAAATGGTTCAATCTTTTGCAGTGATTTTGTAGAGACGTAACTACCTAGTATGACAGGAACAAAAAAGTCATCTCCAACATTGGCAGATGAGATTAGAAAATAAGTTACTCGCTGATTTACTTTGCTTTTTGTTCCACACAATTAAAACAACATTTTCAGAGGGATTACTGATACATATGTATATATCTGATATATATCATACATAGACATATATACAAATATACTATTTAACAGGATTCTGTATGCTATTCTACCTTCAAAGCTGAGATTTTTCTCATAAATGGTACCAAAAAATAATAAATTCATCTCAGAGTTTTTCTATAGAAACTTGGAATAGATTCTTCTAAGCTGCTTGGTTGGCAGACTTTTGGAAATACTTATAGGAGGATACTTACAAACAGTATCTCAAGATAGTATTGAAAAAAGGATCAACAAGAATATATACTTGTTTGTAAATAACTAAACACCTCTTGTGTTTCCCTTTAAATTCAGGACCAAAAAAGGCAGACATGTTGTTTGCAATCTTCATCAATGTAGAAATAAAATCTCCATTCAGGAGAAAAACATCAGTGAATTATTTTTATACCATTCTATCTCGGAGTCACCCCCAACAATAGTTCACTGAAGAAAAAAAACAACGTGTCATTCAGGGTCATAAGGGCCAATTTATTTTGGATCCAATGTGCTAGTCATATTTTTTAATGGTTCCATCAGTTATTGAGAGGGTGTCAAAATCTGTTTTTCTCTTTGCAGTTGTATTGGCTTTTGCTTCACGTATTTTAAACCTCTGTGGGTAGGCACATAAACCTTTAAGATTGTTATATCCTCTTGATTGAGCCACTTCATCATTATGAAATGACTCTGTTTATCTTTGGTAATGCTCTTTGCTCTTAAATCTTCGTCAGGTTTGTGCTCGTTGACAATCTTTACACTGGCAGAAGAATATTCCCTGCCCATAGAAACAGCAATTATTTTGCAATTACAGTCTTTCGTTTAACCTAGTTCAAATGGATTTATTTACTGAATTCTTGGCATATTAACAGAAAGTGTTCGGGGGATATTTAATCACAGAATAGGATGACTGTCAAGATTTAAGTTTTAAAAACATGTTATAATTTGTCTAGTTAAAATGAGGGCGTTTCAAGGGCCACACACCTAATCCCAAATTTTGTTTGCAGAAGTCTAAGTATTATTCAGAGACTTGAATATTAGATCTCCAAAACACCGTAGAAATCTAGTTTTGCCTGCTCCTGGTTGTTGTGGGAAAACTAAAGCTCACAGGAGGTTCAGAAGGGCCAATTTTCTGGTAGACAGAACAGATTGCCACAGTGAGCGTACCAGAACATCAGCTTCCTGACTCAGAACAGACCCCTCTGCGTGACAGCGTTCTGTGCCTATGGTTTTCTCATCTTCACACCTTTTTTTCAGTTGCTTATCTTTGAACCAGTAGGCAGAAGAAAAGATTAACTATTGAGGAAAAAAAAATCAAATGAGTTCTGACTTTCCCAAAATGTTCAGATGTCATTGGTGGCTTTAATTTTAAACTTCCTCTTGTCTCTTCATCTGGAGCAATAATCTTCCAGTTACAATTTCCTCAGTCACCATAAATATTTTCAATTTTCAATGTGGTCTAAATATTTTCTCCCATTTTTAAGATACACATTGCTACTTCTTCACTCCATTGAGCTTGAATATATTAATCTCTGCCAGAGTATAGACAGACCAAGAACATATAAGCTGCTAACAAGTATCATATATGTCTGTGACTAGGATGTTATTAGTGTATATTCTAAGAATGTCCTGAGCATACCTGACATCATGCTTCATGGTGTCAAAAGATAAAGAACCATGCATTCGAATTAAGAATCGAGACTTGCTGGGTGGCATGGACTGGATTTTTTTGATAAGTAAGATTAATATGTGATTTCAGAACGTTTTGATGCAATTATTATAATCTTAAATCACTATGATATAATAGAACAGAGGTTTCTGAACACAACCTTTATTTGATCATTTTAGTATATATTTTTTTGCCCATTCGTATATTTATTTCACCAGGTCAGAATACTTACAATGCATCAAGCTTCATGTGAATTACCAGGAATTCACAAATGTATAAAATATCAAGGAACTTAGCATCTAATGAGGGAGACACATGTAAATAAATAAAGTTTAACTTACGTGATACATAAAGTTAAGTGATCAATAGTAATTTTGTCAAGTTACTGTTGTTTCTCAGGTATTACTGGTTTTATACAGAAAGCATTGTATACAGAAAATATATAAGCATGGCACAATAGACCGTCCAGTGTCCTTGTCCCGTCTCAGAGGACTCCGAATATCCCCTATATCACAATACAAATAACATAGCCGAGGGGTCGAAAAGACAAAACAATTCCATGGGATGAATTAAAGCAGGCAACTGATAGGGTTGAGAGCATATTCGAGCCTCTGCGTGTCCTCACATGGCCTCTTCTCTGTACACGTGCAGAATGAGCCAGCTCCGGTGGCTCTTCCTCTTCTTGTAATGACAGCAGACCTATAGGATTAGGGCCTCACCTTTATGATCTCATGTAACCTTAATTGCCTCCCTATGGGACCTGCCTCTGAACACAGACACACTGGAGATCAGTGCTTCAAAATATGAATTCTGAAGGGATACAATTTAGTCATAACACATTCCCTAGCCCCCCGCCCCAGCCATAATACATTTACACTCCTGGCCTCCATAGGCCATATGCATAGTAACACTAAATTACTCGAGTTACCTGAATTGCCCACATTTGTTCCTCCATGGTGTTGCTTGTGCTTTTCTCTCTGCTAACTTCTCCTTGCTTCCCTGCCTGCCAAACCTTCAGCTCAACCTTATCTGTGAAGCTTTCCCTGACTTTAGGAAGAATTATTGTAACTCGTATATAATATCCAGTATGGCATTATCATATTAAATATTTGATGGTAGATGCTCAATACATATTAATATTTTTGAACATATGAATGACTTAATATTTGACAAGACTTCCCAATATTGCTGAACTCTGAAGCCAGTTCCCCATTAAGTTATATTCATGGAATACTGCTATGCAATTATGTCTTTCCCTCCAAACTTGATATATGAAGTAAGAGACAGGGGCTTTTGCCTAAGACTTTCAGGGAGAAATTTAATTGAGGAAGTATCTAATAATAAACATTATTGCTAATTTTATATTTTCAGTCCGTATCTCAATCTTATTTCCTGAAGATGAAGAATTTTTAGTTAGGAAAGACAGTGATGTTATTTAAAATAAAAAGGATAAAACAGGCACATCTGGGAAACCCAGACTCCCTAATGATGTGGAACACCTTCTCCAAAATGACCTATAAATCCATTGTAGCATTACTCAAACCCTGCTTAGTGTCCCCTTGGATTGCTGCAGTCCATACAATTTCAGGTCATAGATCAGTGTATATTCCAGATATTGAGGGTGCAATCAGATTTTCAAGTTCATACCCTGTGTTCACTGCCTAGCACTGTCAATTGGAACATATGGCCCAGATAATAGAAAAATTTAGGTGCTAACACCTCACTAATAAAAGGAACTGTCCAATGACCTTGATAATGTGGAACTCATAACATCTCATTGTACTTACAATGTAACAGGTGACTTACTGACATGGATGATACTTCTTATGATCTGAAACAGGCAGTCTGAGCTTAGAAATAAATATTAGCTGTGTTACCTTAGGCAAATTTGTTACTCTGTGGCTCCCTTTCCTCATCTTAAAACAGAAATAAAGCCTACCTCTCAGGACCACTGTGAAGATTAAATGAATTAATATATGCAAAATACTTAGAATAGTATCTGACATTTAGTAAACATTGAAATGTTAGCTATTATGATTATTATTGAAGTGTTGCTTACTTAGAATTTGTCCTACTTAAGTGTACTCCAATGAACAAGCCTGCAGTCTTAGAATTCCACATAGACTTCAAAGATTACAACCAACCAGGGAAGGATACTTCTCATATGAAAACCAAAACCCATCAACTCCATTAGCTATTATTCTTTTAGAGTTGAAAATATTTGTACAATGCTGCTATTAGGGTGTTTCTTTAGAAAAGACAGTATATAATCTTTCAATGCATACATAGAATTCTCAAATTTCTAGAATTACAAGTCATATATAAATTCTAAAAACATCTGAGGATATTAATTTTCAAGACCCATAACTGGAGTCTTTTTCTTGGTGTAGTCCTGATGTCAGTAAACTTCCTAGGCCATGCTAACCATGGGAACTATTCTTGGCTTGCAGCTCCAGTTCAGCAGTGATTTGGTGAGATATCTGTGGCAATCATTGTCAGCAGAACCTTATTTCTTCTTCTCCCTCTGCCGCATTGACAAAACACCGTTATCAGTTTCACTTGGGCTGGTCACAAAAACTTGGAAACATTGTACTTCAGTCTAAGTGAGAGAGGAATTCGGCAACTTTCCCTACTGCAGTACATGATTACTCATTCCTTTCAGGCATTCAGGTGAAAAATCTGGAGTCAACCTTTACTCCTTCTCTTATGTTCGTACCTCACATCCAGTTTACAGAAATCCTGTGGCTCTACCTAAAAAAAAGCCGCCAGAAACCAATCCCGTTTTATTACCTCCAAGGCTACTCCTGGACTAAGACATCATAATATCTCACCTTGATTATTGTAATACTTTTTTTTTTTTTGAGAAGGAGTCTCGCTCTGTCGCCCAGGCTGGAGTGCAGTGGCACGATCTCGGCTCACTGCAACCTCCGCCTCCTGGGTTCAAGCGATTCTCCTGCCTCAGCCTCTTCAGTAGCTGAGATTAGAGGTATGTGCCACCATGCCAGGCTAATATATATATTATATATTTATTAATATATTTATGATTTATATATAAATACATATTTATATATTAATAAATATATACTCCTGACCTCAGATGATCCGCCTGCCTTGGCTCCCAAAGTGCTGGGATTGCAGGTGCGAACCACCGCCCCCGGCCTATTGTTAATACTCTTTTTAACTGGTCTCCCAGCTTCCTCCCTTACTTACCACCCACCTTACGGTCTATTCTCAACATAGGAGCCAATATGATTATTTCAAAAGTTAAGTCACATCAGGCTACGTTTCTTCTGAAAACCTTTCCATATAGCTCCCAGTCAAGTGTCTTACAAAAAAGCTTTATGATCCTAAGCTTTTAGCTCCCTCACCAGCCTTTCTCCTGCTTTTACCCTCTGACCTGATTTCTGTCTACCTGTTGGGAATGCTCTTCCTCCATGTATGTATCTGCATACTAGTTACTCTTTTCCTTCTTTGCTCAAATGTTACCTCAGGGAGGTCTATCCTGGCTATTCTATTGAAATATGCATATGTCTGTACACACCTAAGCATCTCCTATCCTGTCCTCAATGTTTCCTCCATAGCATTTATCACTATTTAATACAGAAGTTCCCATAGTGTGGTCCCCAGAACTTTCTAGCAAGTTCGCAGGTGATGCTGATGCCGGTCGTCCAGAGACACCTTTGAGAACCGGTTTGAGGAGAATCTCTTTTCTCAGACTTGCAATATTTCTGATTTGGGTAGAGCTAAACCACTCGAACTTTAGGGACCACCTTAAGTGTCTCTTAAAACTCAGAAGGCTGGGACCCATCCCTAGAGTTTCTGATTGGGTAGGACAGGTGGGGCCCAAAATTTGTATTTCTAATCACACTCGGAGAGCCACTGATTAAATGTAATGTATATTTTATTATCTATTTCCTCCCTTTTAGAATGTAAACTCTATGAGGGAGGGACTTTTTTTCCTGCTGTTTCTGCTTTCAAAGAACAATACCAGGCATATAGTAGCCATTCAGTAAATATATATGGAAGGAATAAATGAAAATTGCTAATCCTACTGTTACATCAGAACACATCTCCTAATTTTATTTTAAGATTTTATAGGAAAAAATACAAATACAAAGTTAACAAACATTGTATAGTTCAATCCCCTCATGCAAGAAGGCGTTTTTAAGCACTGGGCCACATAGACAACTGGGATTTCCTGATATTAGGGAAATAAATTATTAACAATTTACATTATTAGAGCATTAGTATTGACACTAAACATTTATGAAATGCTACCATGCGCTAAGCACTTCAGGTACTGTATCTCTTTTAATTCTTGTAACTATTGAGATGGCTAGTGGTGTCATTTCCATTTTACAGAGAAGGGCTCTGTCACACCATGCAGCCCACTACCAGCGGACTCCGTAGTTTCTATATTGTCTCCTTCCCTCTATGTGCTCTCCCAATTGGGAACCAGAAGGTAGGGTATAAAATAGGAGGTGATGCGTTTACTTTTCAGTGTCCAGGCATATCAAGGTTTGAATTAAAATTTGCTGAACATCATGTAACACTAAAGGTCATCCTGGCCATCTTTCTATTCGTAATAACATTCTAAAGAGCATTGGATTTCTAGATGCAAATGTGGAACCCTACAAATGTTCATACCTCTTGTAAAAGATAGGAAAATGTTTTTTAGGAGGCATGTTGTTTGGGGACTTTTTTGTGAGGATTTAGAACAGTTTAGTCAGTCTGAATATTTATTCTACCAAACCCTGTACAATAGCATTACATTTATGCAGAAAATAATGGATATAAATGATTATGAGTTAGTGATTTGTTTTTTCCCAAAAGGCCATTAGACTAGGTGTCTTAACTTTTTCTTAGAGGGCCAAATAGTAAATGTTTTTAGACTTGCAAGCCATACAACTCTGCAGTTGTGGAAAGCAACCACAGACAAAACATAAATGAATGAGTGTAGGCTTGTTTCAAAGAAACTTTATTTACGTAACAGGTGGCCAATCCATGGGCCAAAGCTTGCTGACCCTTGTGTTTAAAGATTCCCATCTTAGTAGCATGAATAAAATGGACCAGATAAATTTCAGTTAACTTTGTCAAATTTATCTTAAAAAACAAAAAACAAAAAACCTGTTTCTTCCTATAGAAACACCCATATTCCTATAAATAAAAATGACTTTTAAAAAAGACAATCCTAGCAGGCAAATAAAAACAGACATTTGTCTTTGTAGTAAGTTGAATTAGCTAAACGAATCCTTGTATTTATTTTTCACACAGCACAAATGCAGGTAGTACACAGTAAGTTCATAATTCCCCACAAAACTTATAAACTTAACAAATGGGAATCTAAACATAATATTCTGAATCACCCATAGCTATCCACTGTGTGGAATCCATTCTACAGCAGCAGAGGAGTACCTTAATTTAAAGCACCAAGTTTCCAGGCATTACTACAAATATCTTCTTTTCATTCTCTAATACATGCAGTCAAACTGCCTATGAAGCAAATACCAATTCATCTTACGCTTTAACAGATAAGGTAAAGCACTTGGGAAATCAACATTATTCTTAAGTCTGAAAGTGATTCTACCTCTTTACCTTATTATATTTTCTCCCATGAAATTTTAAACTTTTAATGGAGTTATATTTAATATGAGAATAAATTAAAATTTGAACTTAATGTCTTTTCAGATTCATCCAGCAGTTTAGAATGTTTATATTTGTTTTATGTCTTGAGGGAAACAAAAACGTAATTTCTAATTTAGAATATTCTGGCTATCTTTATTAAAAGTTACATTTATAATTTTATAGCAAAGTAATATCATCTGTTTGTCCAAACATTACAGATTTTAAAAAATTCCCCTAATGTATGTAAATACAAAGCTTATTCCCAGTACACATTTTATAGAGGTGTGTTTTCATTTTTTGAAGCAGGGTTCAATGGACATTTTTAGGGTCTTGCTAACATCAGCCCTATATACTCAGAGACGATTGAATCTAGTAAATGGACAATGAAAACTGGTTGAGGCTGCTGATGAATGCTTCAATAAAAATCTGATACACACAGATTTCATTGTCATATTCAACAAAACCAAGTCTTCCTTAAAACTGTGATCCTGATAGGCTGAAGATAGAGTAATGGACTGTTAGTTCCTCATGCCAAAAATACATGGGTCTGTCATACAAAGGCTTCATTCTCTGCCTGTCGTCAGTAACTTGAGAGCCTTTTGTAGATTCTGGACAGCAGTGCTTACATCTTCATACTGCAAAGCACTGCCAGCATATTTGCAGTACTTCTGAGCTCTAGCAAAGTCTTCTGGGGTTAGACGAACATCCCCTAGAAGAAAAAGAACAATTGGGATATTTATAAGAATATAAAAAGTGTTCTGTAAGGTTGGGCAAATGCTTATGCTTAAGATTAAAAAACATATTTAAGGCTATGTAAAAACAGTAGTTTTAGTCAATCTCACATGAACTTTGATACATTTTCTTCATTCTTTTCAATTGTCTTTTTATTACTAATATAAACCACAGACACGGCAATACATAATAACTTAGATGAATTAAGATTTTCCTTCAAGAAGCAATAAGGACAAACAAGGATAGCAGCTTTGGTGTCTATGCTAAAATCACTTAGCCTCTCTCTTCATGGAACAATACACACAGACTAAACCAATTCAACCCTCATTTGAGCTGGAATGTAAGTATCACCTTCAATAAAAAAAAAGTGAATAACAAACTTTATGTAAAGAAAACCAGGTTGCTTAGCTTGTTTTAAGCATGAGAGTATTTTACATGTTTGTGCCATCCATGTAAAAATTTCTTAAGGTTTCTTAAATTTTATATCACTGAAATATACAATTAAACATGTAAACAACCATTACATATTATTTCTCTAAAATTTATTCTTAGCAAGTTTTCTAGTTATACATATGATTAACATGTAGTGCCCAACTAAACAATTTCAGTTTAAAAAAAAAACATTAAAAACATTTCATTTAATCTAAGATACGAATTTCCTTGAATATATATTTCTAAAGACAAAATTAAAAATGGACATTGTATCTTGTCTTTTGAAATAACCACCATTTTCTTTGGAAATTTTTATGAGAATTCTCAGGAGTACTAATCAGAAGGCTGGGAGGCATAGACTATAACAAGCAGACAACATATTTCAATTCTGTTTGAAATAAGTACAAGGCTGTACTTAGAATGACTTCGTTTAGTTGCTTTTAATTTTGCCATATGTATATATTTTATGCTGCGTGTGTGTATACACAAATACACACACGCAGCATAAAATTAAAAATTTGACATCACCTAGGCAAAGATTTCAAACTAGGTAGCAACTCCAGGCAAGTGGATACAATATTCTGATCCAAATTATTATTTTCTAAAATTTTCAAAAAGAGTACTGAAACAATTGATGCTACTGTTTCCAGCACAGTGCCAGGCACCTGCAGGTGCTCAGTAACTTCACTGCATGAATATGAAAAAGCTGTATTTTAAATTATTTCCCACATTTTAAAACTAAGTTCATATAGAATTAAACATTAATTAAATTGCAGATTTTAAAATACACATATACTTACTAGTGTAGGGTGCTAGAGTAAGTCTTCAAATATTTGTTGAACTAGTAGTATTTAAGATTACATAAAATTTGGCCTTCACTGTTGTGAATCAGGGATTACCGATCCCAATTTTAACAGAAGTTACTGACTTGGCATTTGTTGCCCATTAAACCTAAACATCAACTATCCTGAAGTTCTGTTGACAATTTAGTCAGGTATGCTCCAGTTCATATTTCTGATCTTGAAAAATACCTACCAGATTCTTTAATGGTTTTTCAAAATATATTTACACTACATACGCTGTCTAGGTGAGGAAACATCTTTGAAAATTGAGTTTACCTTAACGCTACTTTTTGTGCTTTAAGTCTCTCCTATCTCAGGGCACTCTTTTAAATATACAAGGCATCCATCCAGAATTTACTGGACATGCTGAAAGAAGGCTGTAATGGTCAGATTAATCTTTATTTTTACACCATTAGCTTTAGCACTGTTTGGCTGACATATCACTTATTAATAAGGTAAAACGTGTATAATGGCAAGAACTCTGTTACTATTTTTGTTTTATAAACTTATCTACCAAGGATTAAATTATTTTAAAACACAAATACTGTATTTTTTTGTGAAATAATTTCAATATTTAAAAAATGTGAATGAAATTAACAGAAAAATATAACTAGATATAAAATACATAAAGCTTACAGACATGCATAACCAATTATGTAACTCATATATAAAATACAAGAACTAAGTAACAACCAATGTACAGATTTAGATCCAAAATGTAACTTATAAACATATAGAGATATTTATTTTCAACAATGAAAAATTAAGCTAAAAAATCATGTTACATGCTATTTTGTAACACATAGGCTCTCCTTTATTTTGAAAATATAGTATACTAGTCTACATTCATTAATAAAATATGAATTAAATTCTTAAACTGAGTAAAAATAAAATGTCACCTAATTATGAGTCTTTAAAATTAGTATTTAAAAACTCAACAGAGTAAGCGAAAAATATATAAGGGTAAACACATTTCAGAAAGAGAACAAGTGTTAAATTTCAGTTTATCTGACTTTATACTCAAAAAGGTCAATATAAGCTTAATGCACCAAAATAAAAGCTGTTTTTTTTTTCTATCATTAAAATTTACTAGAGGCCATAATCAGAACAAGAGAGGGTGCAAGTGGACCTTAAAGATGCTTCAAAGATTAGAGGGGTTGTCTAATATATCTCTCTTCTGAAATCTTAGCTTATAAGTTACAGACGAGCTGCAGACAAGACCATCTATATATAAGAGGGCTTCATCTCCTCTTCAGAGGTCAGGACAAGATCAGGCAGAAGAGAGCTAGAACTATCAGTTAAATCCTCTACTACAGTGGCAAAGAGAGCCTGGGTCAGCACTGGATCAAAGATAACATCACTTGGTATAAAGAAAAATCACTGCGTGCTCAGTTGACATAAGCATCCATTTCCAAGGTTGATATATCTAATGTCATAAGAGAGGATAGAACACTTATTTGTAAATATTTCCAAAATGAGTCTTTAGCAGCTCTTTCCAATTTAACTAGATAGTTCTAGAAATTCTTATGTCAAAGGCCTTGGATAATCTCATTCTGGTATACTCTATTATCCTTTGACTTGGATGGAACACACAGGACACAGACTGAACCTTCATACATACAGGCATTGCTGAGACATGTCACTTAACAATTCCAACAATAGTAGTTATGAATACAGGCAGAATTTCATTATGTCAAGTGCTGTGCTAAATACTATTCAGATATTATATCACTTAATGCTCAAAAAACTTTTTTTTTTTTGAGATGGAGTCTCACTCTGTCGCCCAGGCTGGAGTGCAGTGGCATGATCTCGGCTCACTGCAAGCTTCACCTCCCGGGTTCATGCCATTCTCCTGCCTCAGCCTCCCAAGTAGCTGGGACTACAGGCGCCCACCACCAGGCCTGGCTAACTTTTTTGTAATTTTTTAGTAGAGACGGGGTTTCACCGTGTTAGCCAAGATGGTCTCAATCTCCTGACCTCGTGATCCACCCATCTCGGCCTCCCAAAGTGCTGGGATTACAGGCGTGTGCCACCGCGCCTGGCCAATGCTCAAAAAACTTTATCAGGTAAGTTGTCATTGACACTCTAATACTATTCAGAGATGTAAAAGTAAAAAAGTAAACACTGTGCTTCAAATACCTACCTATCCAATTCCATTCTCCAGAGTGAGCCATAAATTCATTACAATATATTTAATATACATTAATATCACACATATATGCATTAAAAGGTGATTAAATACTAAGCAGTAAGGAGAAATATGTAGCAGAAAAGGGGTATAAGTACTAGAAGCAGTAGTAATGGTAGTGACAGTGGTTATAAATGCACTATTTTTAAAAAAGACTTTATATTTTAGAGCAGTTTTAAGTTCACAGCAAAGTTGAGAGGAAGGTACAGAGATTTCCCTTATCTCCCCTTCCTCACCATGCATAGCTTCCTCCATTATTAAACTCCCCAACTTGAGTGGTATATTTGTCACAATCGATGAACCTGCATTGATCCATCAGTATTACCCAGAGTCTATGTTAGGGTTTACTCTTGACGTTGTGCATTCCATGAGTTTGGACAAATTTATAATGACATATATCTATTGTTACAGTGTGATATGGTTTGGATTTGTGTCCCCATCCAAATCTCCTGTCAAAT
Source organism: Homo sapiens (assembly GCF_000001405.40). Taxonomy (NCBI): domain Eukaryota; kingdom Metazoa; phylum Chordata; class Mammalia; order Primates; family Hominidae; genus Homo; species Homo sapiens. Next base: position 142,214,554 of record NC_000006.12, on the reverse strand, counting down.
AGGAGGAGAGGCCTGGTAGGAGGTGAGTGGATCATGGGGATGGATGTCCCCCTTGCTGTTCTTGTGACAGTGAGTTCTCATGAGATCTGATGGTTTAAAAGTGTGTGGCACTTCCCCCTTCACTCTCCTATTGCCGTGTGAAGAAGGTGCCTGCTTCCCCTTCACCTTCCACGTGACTTGTTGAATGATTTTGACCAAAATGCTGATAATGATATGGACAATGAAGTCCAGCCTGAGGTGGTTTCAGATGGAGATGAGGAACTTATTGGGAACTAGAGTAAGGTCACTCTTGCTATGCTTTAGCAAAGAGGCTGGAGGCATTTTGCCCCTGCCCTAGAGATCTGTGGAATTTTGAAATTGAGAGAGATGATTTAGGGTATCTGACAAAAGAAATTTCTAAGCAGCAAAGCATTCAAGAGTTGACCTGACTGTTTCTAAAAGTGTAGGCTCATATGCATGAACAAAGAGATTATCTGAAAATGGAACTTATATTTAAAAAGCAGAGCATAAAAGTATGGAAAATTTGCAGCCTGATCATGTGGTACAAAAAAAAAACCCTGTTTTCTGGGGCAAAATTCAAGTCTATCACCCAAATGTGCATAAGTAAAGAGGAGTTGAATGTTCACAGCCAAGACAGTGGGGGAAAGTGTCTCTAGGGCATTTCACAGACCACCACAGCAGACCCCGCCATCACAGGTTGGAGATCTAGAAGGAAAAAATGGTTCCATGAGCCAGATACAGGGCCAGCTGCTCTGTGTAGCCTTGGGACATGGCACCCCAGCTGCTCCAGCTCCAGCCATAGCTAAAAGGGACCAAGGTGTGGCTTGGGCCATGGCCACACCAAGGTGTGGTGTTGGGCCTATGGGTGCGCAGAAGGCAAGAGGTGAGGTTTGGGAATCTCTGCCTAGATTTCAAAGAATGTATGGAAATGCCCAGATGTCTAGGCAGAAGTGTGCTGCACTGGTGGAGCCCTCATGGAACACCTCTACAAGAGCAGTGCAGAGAAGATATGGGGGGTTGGAGCCCCCATGCAGCATGCCCACTGGGGCACTGCCTAGTGGAGCTGTGAGAAGAGGGCCACCATCCTCTAGACCTCAGAATGGTAGACCTACTGACAGCTTACATCATGCACCTGGAAAAGTCACAGGCACTCAACATCAGCCTGTGAAAGCAGCCAAGGGGGCTGTACCCTGCAGAGCCACAGGGGTGGAGCTGCCCAAGGCCTTGGGAGCCCACCCCTTGCATTGGCATGACCTGGAAGTGAGACATGGAGTCAAAGGAGATTATTTTGGAGCTTTACAATTGAATGACTTTCCTGGTGGGCTTCAGACTTGCATGGGGCCTGTAGCCCCTTTGTTTTGGCCAATTTCTCCCATTAAGAATGGGAGCATTTATCCAGTGCCTGCACCCTCACTGTATCTCAGAAGTAACTAACTTGTTTTTGATTTTACAGGCTCATAGGTGGAAAGGACTTACCTTGTCTCAGGGGAGAGTCTGGACTATAAACTTGAGTTAATGCTGAAACGAGTTAAGACTGGTGGACTATTGAGAAGAGATATTTGTATTTTGGAATATGAGAAGGACATGAGATTTGGGAGGGGCCAAGAACAGAATGATATGATTTGGACTTGTGTCCCTGCCCAAACCTCATGTTGAATTGAAGGAGGGGCCTGGAGAGAGGTAACTGGATCATGGGGGCTGATGTGCCCCTTGTTATTCTTGTGATAGTGAGGTCTCACGAGATCTGATGGTTTAAAAGTGTGTGGCACTTCCCCCTTCCCTCTCTGTCTCCTGCTGCCATGTGAGGAAGATGCCTGCTTCTCCTTCACCTTTTGCCATGATTATAAGTTTCCTGAGGCCTCCCAGTCATGCTTACTGTTAAGCCTGTGTAACCATGAGTCGTAAACCTCTATTCTTCATACATTACCCAGTCTCAGGTAGTTCTTTATAGCAATATGAGAACAGACTAAAACACAGTGTCATACAAAATAGATTCACTGCCCTAAAACTTCTCTGTGATCCACTCATTCATCCCTCCCTCTCCCCCTAACTCTTGGCAACTGCTGATCTTCTACCCCCTCTATAGTTTGCCTTTTTCGGAATGTCACATACTTGGAATTATACAGTATATAGCTTTTAAACATTGGTTCCTTTCACTTTGTAATATGCATTTAAGTTTCCTCCATGTCTTTTCATAGCTTGATAGCTCATTTCCTTCTAGCACTGAATAATATCCCATTGTCTAGATGTACTGCAGTTTATTTATCCATTCACCGACAGCAAGATAATCTTGGTTCCTTCTGTGTTTTGGCAATTGTAAACATTGCTGCTATAAACTTTTGCTTGCAGGTTTTCATATGAATATATGTTTTAAAAGCATTCAGGTAAATACCAAGGACACAACTGCAGGATCCTAAGGTAAATGTATTTAGTTAAATAAGAAACTGCCAAACTGTCTTTTAAAATGGCTGTATCATTTTGCATTCCCACCAGCAATGAATGAGAGTTTCTGTGGTTCCACATCGTCACCAGCATTTGGTGCTGTCAATGTTGTGGATTTTGGCCATTCTAATAGGTGTGTAGTGGTATCTCATTGTTCTAATTTGCATTTTCCTGATGATATATGCGGTGGAGTATCTTCTCATATGTCTGCTTTCCATTTGTATATCCTCTTTAGTCAGGTGCCTATAAAGGCCTTTTGCTAATTTTTAAATAGGGTTGTCTGCGTTATTGTTCTTTAGGAGTTCTACGTATATTTTGTTAACAGTCCTTAATCAGATAAGCCTTTTGCAATGTTTTCTCTCAGTCTGTGGCTTGTCCTTTCATTTTTTTTTTTTTTTTTAAGAGATGGAGTCTCGCTCTTTCGCCCAGGCCGGACTGCAGTGGTGCTATCTCAGCTCACTGCAAGCTCTGCCTCCCGTGTTCATGCCATTCTCCTGCCTCAGCCTCCCGAGTAGCTGGGATTAGAGGCGCCTGCCACCGCGCCCGGCTAATTTTTTGTATTTTTAGTAGAGATAGGGTTTCACCGTGTTAGCCAAGATGGTCTTGATCTCCTGACCTCGTGATCTGTCTTTTCATTTTCTTGACAGCATCTTTAGAAGGGCAGAAAATTTTAATCTTAATGAAATCTGCGTTATCATTTCTTTCTTTTATAGGTCATGCATTTAAAAAGTCATTGCTCAACCCAAAGTCATCTGGATTTTCTCTTATGCTATCTTTTACATGTTTTATAGTTTTGTATTTTACTTTTTACATTTATTTTTTATGAAGGTAAAATATTCATGTATAATTTGCCATCTTTACAGTTTCAAAGCATACATTTCAGTGGTAATAAAAACACGTATATTCTTTTTTTTCCACTTTCATCCTCCACTCCTTCCCCCTTTCCTTCCTGGCCTTTGGTAACCACTAATCTACCTCTATTTTCACGAGATCCACCTTTTTTAGCTCCCACATGTGAGTGAGAACATACGATATGTGTCTTTCTGTGCTTGGCTTATTTTATTTCAAACAATGACCTCTAGTTCTATCCATGTTGCTGCAAATAACAGAATTCTTTTCCTTTTTTTGGCTGAATAATATTCCATTGTGTATACACACCACATTTTCTTTATTCATTCATCCACTGATAGCCATTTAGGTTGATTCCATTTTTTGGCTACCGTGAATAGTGCTGCGATAAACATGAGAGTGTAGATTTCTCGCAGCATATTCATTTCCTTTCTTTTGGATATTGTTTTCCTTTCCTTTGGAACTGCTGAATCATATGGTACTTCTATTTTTAGTTATTTGAGAAACCTCTGCACTGTTCTCTATGCCTGTCTTTTGGTATGAGCCATTTTAACTAGGGTAAAATGATAATGCAATGTGATTTTGATTTGTATTTCTCTGATGATTAGTGATGCTGAGCATTTCTTCATATACGAAATGTTAGATCTTTTGCCCATTTTTGAATTGCATTATTTGTTTTTTGCTATTGAGTTGTCTGAGTTCCTTATATATTCTGGTTATTAATCCCTTGTCAGATAGATGGATTGCAAATATTTTCTCCCATTCCATGGGTTGTCTTTTCACTTTGTTGATTTTTTCCTTCGCCATGCTGAAGCATTTTAGCTGGATCTAATCCCATTTGGCCATTTTTGCTTTATTTGCCTATGCTTTCGAGGTCTTACACACAAAAAAATCTTTGCATAGACCAATGTCCTGGAGCATTTCTCTAATGTTTTCTTCTATAAGTTTCATAGGTCTTAGATTTGAGGTTTCAGATGTAAGTCTTTAATCCATTTTGACTTGATTTTTGTGTAGGATGAGAGATGGGGGTTTACTTTCATTCTTTTGCATATAGTTATCCAGTTTTCCCAGCACTATTTATTGAAAAAATTGTCCTTTCCCCATTGTATGTTCTCGGCATCTTTGTCAAAAATAAGTTGGTTGTAAATGCATAAATGTATATCAGGATTCTCTATTCTGTTCCACTGGTCCATGTGTCTGTTTTTTATGCCAGTACCATGTTGTTTTGGTTATCATAGCTTTGTAGTAAATTTTGAAGTCACATAGTGTGATGCCTTTAGCTTTGCTCCTCTTGCTCAGTTTTGCTTTTACTATTCAGGGTCTTCTATCATTCTACATAAATCTTAGGGTTCTTTTTTTTGGTAAAATGTCATTCTGTGAAGAATGTCTTTGGCATTTTGATAGGGATTGCACAGAATCTGTAGATTGCTTTGGGTAGTATTGTCATTTTAATAATATTAATTCTTCCAATCCATAAGCATGGAGTATCTTTCCATTTTTTATGTGTCTACTTCTATTACATTTATCAGAATTTTTTATAGTTTTTCTGTTATTAATATATACACAATGGAATATTATAGTTAGTTATTAATAACTAACTTCTTTAGTTAGATCGGTTCCCAGGTATTTTTTTTTGTATTTGTATTTTTTGTATTACATTTTTTGTATTACATTCAACAGAATTTTATATAGTTTTTCTTAGTTATTAATATATACACATAGTGTATATATACAATGGAATATTATAGTTAGTTATTAATAACTAACTGCTTTAGTTAGATCGATTCCCAGGTATTTTATATTTTTTTGTATTACATTTTTTGTATTATGTTCATCAGAATTTTATATAGTTTTTCTTAGTTATTAATATATACACATAGTGTATATACACAACGGAATATTATAGTTAGTTATTAATAACTAACTTCTTTAGTTAGATCGGTTCCCAGGTATTTTATATTTTTTTGTAGCTATGGTAAATGGGATTGCTTTCTTAATTTGATTTTCAGATTATTTGCTGTTGGTGTATATAAATGCTACTGATTTTTGTATGTTGATTCTGTATCCTGTAACTTCACTAAATTTATCAGTTCTAACGGTTTTTTGGTGGAGTCTTTAGGTTTTTATAGGCATAAGATGTCTTTAGGTTTTTATAGGCATAAGATCATGTCATCTGTGAGCAAGGCTAATTTGACTTCTTCCTTTTCAATTTGGATGAACTTTATTTCTTTCTTTTGCCTAATTGCTCTATTCTCTATACTATAAAATTGCTCTATACTAAAAAATTATATACATAGTATTAATTCTACCAGTGGATTTTACACCTTGAAATGTTTTCTTCTGCACATTAGTGTTTTCTTTCAGACTGAAGAACTCCCCTTAGCTTTTCTTGCAGGATGGGTCAGCTTTTGTGTCTGGGAAAGACTATATCTTTCCTTCATATTTGAATGACAATTTTGCTGGACACAATATTCCTAGATGACAGTTTTTTTTTAAAATGTTCCAATACCTACTGGCCTGTTGAGAAGGCTGTTGCCAGACGATTTGGAGCTCTGTTATATGCTATTTGCTTCTTATCTCTTGGTGTTTTAAGGACTTTCTCTTTGTCCTTGGCCTTTAGCATCTGATTACTACATGCCTTCAGGTAGTCTTATTTGGGGGTTGAATCTGTTCGGTGTTAAAAGACCTTCCTGTACCTGGATATTTATATCTTTCTCAAGTTTTGGGAAGTTTTCTGTTATTATTTCTTTGAATAAGCTTTCTACCTCTCGCTCAGCTCCCTCTTGAACATCAATGGCTCTTAGATTTGGTCTTCTGAGGTAGATTTCTATATCTTGTAGCCAGTCCTTTTCATTCTCTTTTTTTCCTTCTTCTGACTGTGTATTTTCAAATAGCTGGTCTTTGAGCTCACTGATTTTTTTCTTCTGCTTACTTCATTCTGTTGTTGAGAGCCTCAAAAGAGTTCTCCAGTTCAGCAAATGTATTTCTCAGTTCCAAGATTTGATTTTTTTTGAAAAATTATTCCAATATCTGTCAAATGTCTTTATTGCTTTTCTGTATTATCTTAGAGGTCAATGAGTTTTCTTAAAATTGTTATTCTGAAGTCTTGGTCAGAGAGCTCACAAACTGCTGTCTTGTTAGGGTCAGTTTTGGGATTTTTTTTTTTTTTTTTTTTTTTGATGGAAGTCTCACTGTCACCCAGGCTGGAGAGTGCAGTGGGGAGATCTCGGCTCACTGCACTCTCCGCCTCCCAGGTTCAAGCGATTCTCCTGCCTCAGCCTCCCAAGTAGCTGGGATTATAGGCATGCACCACCATGCCTGGCTAATTTTTTTTGTATTTTCAGTAGAGACAGGGTTTCGCCAGGCTGGCCAGGCTGCTCTTGAACTCCTGACCTCAGGTAATCTGCCCACCTCAGCCTCCTAAAGTGCTGGGATTACAGGCTTGAGCCACAGTGCCCGGCCAGGATTTTTGCTTTGTCCTTTTGAGAAGGTCATGATTCCCTGTTTGCTGTTGTTTCTTGTGGGTCTTTCCTATGTCTTTGCACTGGAAGAATTAGTTATTTATTCCAGTTTTCTCTGTCCAGCTTGTTTTGGTTTTTATTGCATATATTTGCTCAACAAATCTTCACTGCTAGGTCGCTACCTCCTTTTCAGCTCTAGGTGGCGCCATAAGCCCAGGTTTGCCTCAGCTCTAGTAAATGTTTGGAGCGCTGAATGTCCCAAATGGATTACACTGGCAGTGTGGGAAGGCAGGCTAGGTAGGGGTTTGTGCCTACAGGACCTGGGAAATGTACCTCCTACAGCATGGTACTGCTGAACAGCCATTCTGATTTGGTGTCTCCTTTGGCCAAGTTGCACAGTGAAGTTTCTGGGGCTGGGAATAATAGTCTCTGCTGGTCTTCAGTGATATTTTCCCTGCAGGCAGTCATGATGCTACCTGTGGGTTAAGGCAAGGACAGATCTCCTGCCAGGGAACCCAAGGAGGTGGGGAAGATGGTTGACCACTTCAATTTTACTTCTTTCAGTGTAGAAATTATGAGGTGGGGGAGATTTTCTGTGTGGGCATAAGGGTAGGGCAGAAGCATCATGAAAGTGGAAGTCTGATTCTCCTACTGGAGTTTTTCCACTTCTCTGTGGCCCCAGGAACTATTTCATCCTCATACTTGGGCTCTGGGTTGTTGCTGGTGTCAATCTCAGTGCTGTATATTTGTTTTTCGTTTTCTGTTGGTGGGGAATGAAGCCAGTATGCTTCTACACTGCCATTTTGGAACTGGAAGTCCCTAGTTTTGGAGTTCAAATTTAGGCATCAGAACCATTTTGAGTTAAATTTTGAGATGAGTGGAAGGTCTGTGTCTAGATTCACTTTTTTTGCTGTATGTGGCTGTCCTGTTACGCCAGCACCATTTATTGAAACGAGTATCTTTTTTCAATGGTGTTCCCTTTGCTCCTTTTGTCAAAGATCATATGACTTTTTCTGTATGGGTCTATTTTTGGACTCTGTCTCACTGATCTATTTGTCTGTTCTTCTGCCAGTACCATACTATCTAGATTACTGCAGATTTGTATTATGTTTTTAAGTCAGGTGGTGCCAGTCCTCCAACTTTGTTCTTCTCCTTCAGTACTACGTTGATTATTCTGGGTCTTCTGCCACTCCATATAAACTTTAGATAGTTGGAGTTCATATGCACCAAATAACTTGCTGGGATTTTGATGGGAACTGTCCATAATCTATAGACCAAGCTGGGAAGAACTAACATCTTGAGAATACAGTCTTCTTATGCATGATCACGAAATCTCCATTTATGTAATTCTTTGACTCTTTCATGAGCATTCTGTAGTTCTCCTCATATAGATCTTGTAATGTATTTTGTTACATTTATACCTGAATATTTTTGGTGGAATGCTAATGTAAATGGTATTTTGTTTTTGATTATTGTATTTATGTAAATACAAACACAATGGCAAGTGTATTTAAATTTCAAATCCCACTTGTTTTGTGCTGCTATGTGGAAAGCAATTAATTTTTGCATATTAATCATGTATACTGCAATCCAGTTACAATTGCTTATCAGTTCTAAGTGTATTTTTTGATTGATTCTTCCAGATTTTCTACAGACCATCATGTCATCTATGAACAAAGACAGTGTTATTTTTTCTTTTCCTATCTTTATAGCTTTTATTTCTTTTTCCTTTCTTACTGCACTAGCTAGGATTTTCAGTATGATGTTAAAATGTCAGTGTTGATATTTATATTTCATTCTGAGTGAAGTACTCTATGTTTTGTCATAAGCCTTTTACCTTTTGAAGGAGAATGTTCTTTGTGTCTAAGTCAAATGAAATCCTTTTCTTTTATATTCCATAATTCTATTACTGTTCAAAATCATGGCATATTTTTGTTTGCTTCCAAACTGAGATTTCTTGTATAATATCAAAATTAGATGTTTTAGTTCACTTTTTTTTCTTACTGGCAGGATTCTAGGGCATCTTATCTATGTCTTTCATATTCTGAAGCTCCTATTCTATATATTAAATGAAATCCATGTTATTTTTCTTAAAGGAGGGGAGTTCTCCAATTTCCTATTCTAATTTTGGAGCAATTGCTTTCCAAGCAGGTGGGAAAGCTATCATAGAATCTTTCTTCTTTGGAGTATCTAAAGAAGTATATTTCACCCTTTCTTATATTTCATATTTCTATTTTGCTTGATTACCACCCTTATCTTGATGGAGTACATCCTGAGTTAAGTTCCTTAAAAAAGGTATGTGCTAGGCAAAATGTGAGAGTTCTTACATATTTAAAAATTATTTTGCCCTAACACCTGCCTGACAGTTTAGATAAAGAATTCTAGGGTTCTGGTTCTAGATGGTAGACTAAGCATATATAATTAACTATTCTTCCTTCTGAAACCATAATGAAATGATAAAGTAACACAGAAGGAAATAAATCCACAAAATTAAAAAGGAGAAGAGAAAGAATGAAAAAAGTGAAAAGAGAAAATTGACAAGAGATTTAAAGAGCATCTCCCTAAAACTGTGTAACAAACTGCCCAGGCAGTGCTAGAACTCTTAAGGTAGGTATGATATCCAGCTCACCCCTAAAAGGCTCTCCTCATTCCATGGTTGAGAGGCAGGAAGGCTTATTGGCCAGTTCCCACTCATACAGGGAGAACAGAAAATTCAAGCTGAAAAACACACTGGCAGACATTAACAGAGGAAACTAAATAACAGCTATTAAAAATAAATGGCTGGGCACGGTGGCTCATGCCTGTAATCCCAGCAGTATGGGAGGCTGAGGCAGGCGGATTATGAGGTCAAGAGATCGAGACCATCCCTGGCCAACATGGTGAAATCCCATCTCTACTAAAAATATAAAAATTTGCTGGGTGTGGTGGCGCACACCTGTAGTCCCAGCTACTGGGGAGGTTGAGGTAGGAGAATAGCTTGAACCCGGGAGGCAGAGGTTGCAGTGAGCTGAGATTGCGCCACTGCACTCCACACTGTCTCAAAAACAAAACAAAACAAAAAAGGTCTTCACTTCCTTTAAATTAAAAGGATTTAAATTTAAATCCTTTTAAATATAAAAGGATTAAAATTTAAATCCTTTTAAATATAAAAGGATTAAATATCATCTGACATATGAAGAAAACAAAAGTCTGAATGAGAAAGACCAAAATAAACACAATGCCTGATTTGGGCTAAAAAAACAGAGAAATCAGAAAAGTAGTAAAGATTATACTTAAACCAATCACTTAGCCTATAAACCAACCAACCAAAGTAACCTCAGAGATTTTTATTTTTAATAATGGTCAGTTCCTTTCTTTTTAGATAATTTAATAACAGTGTAGATAAGAAAAGTCACAATCAGAACTCATGGTAATCTCGAACTAAATTAATATAATCTAGCATAGGCTTCCATGGTAGCCTTGGCTCCATGTTTGTTCTTCAATATCCGGTAGTGCATGAAAAAAAGAACTGTAACAAAAGGGGACAGCTTTGGATGTTGGTATTTTTAAAGTCAAACAATCCTGGCTCATTTGAGAATCTAGTGAACATAAGCATTCAAGGAAATTTATTTCAAATTACCTAGAAATTCAAATTTCAGTAACAACATTTAAATATATGGTACTGTCAAGGTAAAATTACAAAACAGCAACCCAAAACAGGAGATAAATGTATCTCACAAAATAGTCAGCTGACTTACCCTGGGAAATTGTATTGAAAAGTGCGGGATCAATGGCAGGTATAGTCTGTGGAGTAGGTTGGATAGTATTACTTGCTACACCTGCAAATCAGAAAAGCAAAAATGGGCATAGAAGTATTACACCTTTTAATTATACAGCAGGGCAGCACTTAAAAATCATGAGGCAATTTCATTACTTTGCTTATTTTCTAGAAACATCAATGGATTCTAACTTGACATACTTAGTTGATGTTGGAGGATATCAAGTGTTTACATATGTGTATGGGCTATGCATTTCCTAACATGTATTTTGTCTAATGCTTCGCATTACTTCTCCATTAAAGCTTACCAAATATCTGTAGAAGTAGCAAACTCCCTACCTTTCAATTTCTCAGCCAATTAAATAATTTGGTGATAAAGTAGAACATAATTCTAATTTAGTTTAACTTAGAGGATGAATCCAATTTCATCACTGTGCATGAAATTACAAATTAACATTTGTAATTTTCTAGTTTACACATTTTAAGATATTTTTACATATCCAATAAACAATTATCCAATAAACAACTGTTTTGACTTTGTTAGAACATTTCAAAACTGTCATATCAATGAATAACTTAGCATTCTTGATTAATGGTAAGGAATATACTGAAGTTGAAGATTATTTATTAATCATCTAAAAAACTAACAAAAAGTGTTAAAAGTTCCCCCAAAAAAGGACTGAAATGATTCAATCAGCAGGAAAATAAAATGAGGAAAAGTTGATTACTCCAAATCAATGGAGTTAAACAGTCTCTCAAGATGGACTGTTTGCCAAACTAATACACTGAATTCGAATAGGCAATTTGTAGAAAGGGTAAAGTGGGAAAAATACTGGAATAAGAAAAAGGAAACAGAGAAAAAGGTTAAAATAAATAGGAAGTTTCTAGGGGGATGGATATATATCCACTGAGAGTTCTAGAATAACGGTTTCACAAAAGATGGCTGAAGTTCTAAAATTTTCTAAAGGTCTAAAGTTTTTCTGGTATGAAGTTCTAAAGTTCTTCTGGTAAGAAGTTTTGACTTTTAAGATTTTTCTCAACCCCAACCTAAGAGAAAAAATGGTTTAAATATACATTATTTACCTCACTTAATTGTTTTCCAGGACAAACTCGCTCTGTATTTATACCCTTTGGAACTATTAAAAGCCATATAAATATTGCTTTTTAACTAAAAATTGAAAAATTTTAAAGTACACAGGGATACAGATGAAAGGTGAAGTACAAATTTTATATAGTACAAAAAAATATAAAGGAGAAAGCCTGCCTCTCCTACCCCAAAGTTTAGGGCTAGTACCAGTTTCTATGACACCTTTCCACCCACCTACAAATAACTGTGTGTCCAATCCAATCTATATATATGTCAATGCTGTTCTCTGCTAAGAAATTTGTGTACTTATCTAAACCAAAATCTTCTAGAAGGCATACTTGCGTGTGTGTTTTGCAAATGGTAGTAAGTTCTGCATACTATACTTTAGTTTTATGCATTTTTCACTTAATGTGTCCTAGCAATAATTCCAGATTAATACGTATAAATCTGTCTTGCTGTTTTTAATGGTTCCATAGTGTCCCATTCTCTGCATGCATAGCTTATAAAGCAATCCATTACTGATGGACATTTAAGTTTTAATTTCCAATCTTTTGCTATTACAAATAATGCTACAGTAAATATTCTCATATACTGTGTATATGAATATATTTATAGAAAACTGTATAAAAGTATAAATGCAAAGTGAGGAGACAGCCAAATCTTAGGCTGACCTATTCAATGACTATTTTTTGCTTGATTTTGATAAGTACTCACCAAATATATTTAAATTATAAACATCTGACAATTTTCTCCACAAAACTTGCCAAACACTGAAAGGCACATAAATATATATTATTTTAAAAATGCTAGAATGTAAAATCTGAGATGGATCTTCACACTAGTCATGTCTAGTGCTTTGAAACAGGTGTACCTAGGCTTATGTAGATTACATATATCATTCATATACATCTTAAAAAACAAGGTAAATCTACTATACTCTAATGGTCCAATCTATAGATCAATGTCATTCATTGCTAAGTAATTTGCATTTCTGCCTAAATTAAAATCCTCCAAACAAATCTCTATTTATAGAGAAGACTATCCAGAAAGTGTGATTAAACAGACTCCTGAAAGAACACAGCATTTGGAGAGACACAGAAAAAGGAAGAAAGGAATGTTACCTATATTGTCTATGAGTAACAGTATAAGGAAAGAATGAGTGAAACCTTAGTGTAATCATGAGAAACAGGGTTGAGAGAAATGCGTAGGCCAGAGTATCAACAACAGGTTATCAAAGCTTACAGAAGAATGCAAACATGGTACTTCTGACACAAGTACACAGCCTACATTTTGATCTATGAAGTGAGCTGCATTTTACAATGAAAGGCTAGCTTTAATCATAAAATAATTATATTATTTAATCTAGCTTTATTACTAAAATCTTCTCCTGTAATATGAACTATAAAAAGCTTATGTTTCTTGAGAAAGAAAAAAACACACTGTATCAACTACATGTGATATCTGTGCAGTGTTGAAAGCACAAGAAGCAAACACTTCGCCTGTTTAAACAATCACTATCCCTGTCCTCATTGCACCTCCTTTGCTTTTTTGTGGAAGAACTAAAAACTGCAAATTAGTACATACTATTCTTTTCAGTTATCTTAAGGATTTCCCTTTGATAAAAGTGCATCCTGGACCTTTATATGAGAGAAAATAAATCATTCTTAACGTGAGTAAGAGGGGAAACATTTGCTATTATTTATATTATTAAAAATGTTATTTTGTTTTTTATTAGGCAACTATGAACTTTTTTTACTGTTTCAAATATAATAGAAAAAAATCTGGGGCTAAAAGGAGGAGATTTCAACATCTCAAACCAATCTTAAAGGGAAATATACTATCAGAAAAGTAGGTTTTAATTTGAGAGGATTTTAGTTCCTTAGAGGAAGGAACATAGAAGGCACATGGCTAAAACATGAAGTCAAAAAAACGTGGATTCAAATCCTGGTTCTGTCATTACTGGGTATGTTTGTTTTCTTAGAATAATTGCTTAGTCTCTTGAGAGTTTGTAAGTTAAAGACAGTAATACATAATATAGTTGCTGCAAGAATAAGTGTGGAAATTAGCCATGATAATCATTTGACTGGTAAGGCTACAAGAGTGTATAAAATATGATAGGATCTCATTCTATAAAAGTTCTAAGTTTTTTAGTTTTATTCTTCCCTCTAAGGAACAAAAGACAGAGAAAACAAGAGGCTCATGCTAGAGTTAACTAGATCAAATTGAACTGTTTATGACAAAAAACTTTCTAATGGAAAACCACCTAATATTTATCTTTATGTCATGAATATTCTAGCCAGGATACACTGTGTATTAGTTTGAACATATAAGACTATCAATACTTTATCATTTTTGTTACACAAAACTAGCAATTTCATATGGATCGATCTACTATAGCCCTCCTGTTAAAAGTGTTCTCTTTTGTATACTCATAGAGTGTACCTATATATAAAATATATACTGATGTGCCTATACCACAACTCTGCCTTGAGATATACTGTCTAAAACAAAACTCCTTGGACAGTCTTTCTATAAGGTTAATATCCTACCCCCAGTTGTGATACTTCTCTTGATTCGCATAATAATTTTAAGTGTTCATTAACTTGCCATTAAATACCTTGACTTTCCTTGGCACAGAAATAGGAAGGAAGAGGAAAAAAAGAGGGAAAGGAGGCTAATCTGCTGAACACTGATTTTGTGATAGGCCTACTACTAGTCCATTTTTACAGTTTTTCCCTTTTAATAATTAAAATAACCATGAGAAGTAAGTATGATTAATTTCATATTAGAAAGAGGAAAAATTAAGGTCACGAGAAGTTAAATATCAGCTGAGTTTATGCTTTAGCATGGGGTAGAAACAAATAACCAATATGATTTGCCTCCTAAATGCATTTTATTTCCCCTTGGCTCCTCTATGAGAATGCTTGTGTCTGGGACTCTTGATCAGGATTTCAACCTTCAAGTATAATCTGAACAGTATTCATCTAAGGCAAACAGATCTAAGTAGCTGGTTTCACTTACATTATTCCACACTGGAAATAATGAATATTTCTAAACATAATAAAATACTTAAAAGTGTTCCAAGAAATTTTACTTCCAAAACAAATGCAAATAGGTTTGTCTATTAATATCATCACATAGGCCATAAAATATTGAAAAGTCAAGGTCAAATATGCTGACTGAAGACACAAAAAAAGATCAGTGCTAAAATTATCATTTCATCAATAATCTTAAAGAAAACGTTAGCAATATTTTTGCAGATAATATAAACTTGTAAGTTTTAAAATAGGAGGAAAGACACTAATCATACTTGATGTTACAATGGTCAAAATAGAAAACTTGCATATAATGTAATTCATGCAAAATTTGGGTAAAATAAAAAAAATTTGGGTAAAATAAGGCTGACAAATAAAAGTAAAGTAGTAGTGTGTTACATAATAGGAACAGTAGAAATCAGGGCATGAAGGATGACTATCATTCCATTAATTATTTTAAAGTGTTTGTATAGTTTAGTACCATAAGTCACCTGGGATAAAAGTAAATTTTTAAGAAAAGTTTTTGAAAAAATTAAATGTAAAATTTAAATTATAGCTGCAAGTGTCCTACTTGGAGATAAAGGTGACATTTTGTCAACAATGCAATTAAAGGGAAGAGTAACTGAAATTTTGTCAAAGTGTCTTTACTGACCCTGACTTAACTACTAAGGACTAACTTTGTCAGATTTTTAAAAATAAAAACATAAACATACAGTACTGATTTATTCACAGATAGGTCTCTCTTTCCTGTTAGTTTTTTAAAGTGTAAGGTTAAAAAAAAAAAATCCGAATCCCTGCTTTCACCTGTCTATGATTTCATTGTTACTGAGATTTCATGCCTCAAAGCCCATTCCCCATCATCAATAATACCCATCTTCAGGGCAGAGGCATAGTCCCAAGGGAATGAAACAAACCTAGATATCACAGTGAGACCCTGACTGACACATCCTAATATCAACTCCACTCACCTCCGAGCTATTCTAAAACAACAGTGAGGGGAAAAGAAAGGGAAGAGAAGAAAAAGAAAAACAGCAATATATATGAAAAGCATGGAAACCAATCTTATTAATAAAATATAAGGTTAAGAGTAATCAATGCACATAATACTTGTCATTTCTCAAATAATTAGAATACAACTAATATTAAAATTTTAATGAAAATAATTTAATGTTTCTTGTGGGTTCAAATGGAATTCAAGGAACTTGTCATGTTTTCATGACCATCATTATGAGGCACATATGTGATAAGAAATGCAGTTCTTCTTTATAAAAGGGGAATTAAATAAATCATTCAGTTACAGTTTCCCACCTGTGCTGTGAGGCACTTCTGCTGGTGTATTAGCTGGAGCGTGTGCACCCGGAGGAATCTGTATTCCAGTATAGTTGCCTGATGGCATGTTGCTTGGGTCATAAGTTGAAGATGATGATGGCTGAGTTGGCTGAGTGGGCAGAGAGGCTGCTCCAGCATCTTCATTTTCTTCAATATCTATCAGATCACATATACACAATGTTACAGTAGGTATTTTGAAATACAAGTGCTAGGTATTCTTATTTCATTATACACATGACAAATGGAATCTTTAAATGCAATTCTATTTAATGCAGTGGAGAAGCAAGCTCTATTCTTAAAACAATATTTTTAATTTTTTTATTTTCTTAAAAAATGTAATTGTACCTGACAATATGATTATCACTTCTTTCAGGTTAATATTTTTTAATTCTATAAAATCTTTGCATATAGTGTATATGTACACACATATACACACACACACACACACACACACACACACACACACACACACACATATATATATATATATTTTTTTTTGAGACGGAGTCTCACTCTGCTGCCCAGGCTGGAGTGCAGTGGCGTGATCTCAGCTCACGGCAAGCTCTACCTCCCAGGTTCACGCCATTCTCCTGCCTCAGCCTCCCGAGTAGCTGGGACTACAGGCGCCTGCCACCACTCCCGGCTAGTTTGTTTTTTTTTTGGTTTTTTTTTTTTTGTATTTTTAGTAGAGACGGGGTTTCACCGTGTTAGCCAGGATGGTCTCAATCTCCGGACCTCGTGATCTGCCTGCCTCGGCCTCCCAAAGTGCTGGAATTACAGGCGTGAGCCACCACACCCAGAATATGTTTTTCTTTAAAATAAACTTTCTTTAAACTTATGAAGACTCAAGGACATTTCTGGCAAAACATGCCACATTTATGCTATCCAATAAGAACTCCATTTTCTGACAGCGGACTTTTACTTAAGATTTACCGCGTACTAGCTACTAAATGATTATCTGTGAGTTGTTCAATGCATTTAGCTAATAAAAACAGAGGAATGAAATTTTGCATTTAGCTATGCAGAAAGAAATGAGATATTTCATTTTGAAAAGTTCTGAAATGCAAACTTTTAAAATATACTGTATCGTGAGCCGAATTTGAAAACTACTTTGAAAAACTGAATTTTGAGTATAAAATGACCATCAGCCGCTACTGGGAGTCATAGTAACTTAAAATAAAAGCAAGCTAGAGCTACAGACTCATCAAAGAGAATAGATCTTACTGCTTCCTACCACATTTTTAAATAACTTTTTTGTCTGATTATAAACAGGTTATTCAATGTAGCTAATTTCAAACAAGAAAAAAAGTTAAATTTACCTAATCTGAGATAAGCATTTTATCAAGCAACCTTGTGGATGTATTTATACTTTACATACATTAACATGACTTTCCCCAATACTGGAGAACTCTAACATTTATACATTCTGGGAAAGAAAAAAGCTCCACAACATAAAGGCACTAGAGCATGACCAAAAGCTGGTAGAAATGAGAGTAAGGGTAAGAGGAAATCTTACCAGGTAACATTTGATTTTATGTGGCTGTTCATCTGAGGGCAGTCAATAGTCTACATAAAAGAAAGTTGCCAAGAAGTGAGCCATGAAATGTTTGTATGAACCCCAACTAAATACCTACAAGCCCCTGAATTATGCACACTCAGGTAAGACTCTAGGGGGCCCTGGAGAAAAGCAACTTAAAGCTGAAACAGGGGGACAAAGTTTGAGTTCTGGCAAGTCAATGGTCTGCTGGAATAAGAATCAAGACTTTGCAGAGAAAGATAACAGGATGCAGAGGAGCTTCAACATGTTATCAACAAATAGAAATTATTAAAAATTAGGGGAGAAAAGGAAAATGTGAAAAAAAGAGTCTACAAAAAAGACCTCAAAATGACCCTGATATTGAAAATCAGCAAAAAAGCACTTTAAAGCAGCTACAATAAATTTGTTCAAGGCCACAAAGTAAAACATGGACATAACAAATGAAAGAGACAAAACTAACCAGAGGGGGGAAAAACTGTAAGAGAAAAAAAACAGATGGTATTAACAGAAAGGAAATGGCAAAATAGGTTTAAATCTAGCTATAGCAATTACATTAAATGTAAATGAACTAAACACTATTTCTCACACAGGGGTTGAGAGACAGAATAAAAAAGTGCCTATATGCTTTTTGCAGGAAATGTACTTTAAAACACAAAGATCTAGATTTGTTTAAACTAAAAGGATGACAAACCATGTAAATATCCAGCAGACAAAAGCTGGTGACTAATTTTAATAACAGACAAATAGAATCAATGACAAGGAATATTAGCTGAGATAAAAAGGACCATTTCATAAGGATTAAAACGTTAACACAAATACCAAGCTGACAAAAGCTGGGGTGGCTAACTTTAAAATCCGGCCAAATAGAATTCGTAACCAGGAACATCAGCAAGATATAGTGGGATGTTCCATAATAATAAAAAGGTTAGTTCATAAAAAATAACTATAAAGGTACATGTGCCTAATATAATAACAGAGTCTCAAAATGAAACAAACTGGCAGAACTAGTAAAACCACTGTACTTGGAGATTTAACAGAGAACATCATAAGCAATAACTGCAGAATACATTCTTTTCAACTGCACATGGGACATTCACCAAGACAGATCATATGCTGGGCCATGAAAGAAATCTTGATAAACTACAAAATACCGAAATCTTTTATAGTATGTTCTCTGACTAAAATGGAATTGAATTAGAAATCAGTAAGATATCTACAAACACCTCAAACATTCTGAAATTAAAGAATATATTTATAAATAATCCATTACTCAAAGAAGAAATCACAAAGAAAACTATAATTATGGTGAACTGAGTGATACCAAAATTTGCAGGATGTCACTAAACCAATGCTTAGAGGGAAACTGAAAGATAGATTTAAATTATTCTATCAGAAAAGAAAAATTTAAAGATCAAAGATCTACATTTCCTCCCTAAGAAGCTAAAAAAAAAAAAAAAAAAAAGCAAATTAAACTCCAAGTGTGGTGCAGCAAAAAATAAAAGGAATAGAAAATAAAGAAGAAAAAAACTGTACTAAGTACTTGTTGAGATAATAAAAAAAATTAAAACATCTCTGTCAAGAGACTGGGAGGAAAAAGAGGAAACAGCTATTATGAATATGAGAAATGAAGGAGGTGATATCAAATACATCCTACAGACATTAAAAGGACAGTGAAGACAATAAGAAAATATTACGCCAATAAATGGCACTACCTCAGGGAAATGAACAAATCACTTGAAGATACAAAATACCATAACTCACCCAAAAAGAGATGATCTGAACAGTCCTAAATCTATTGGGGAAATTGAATTCATGGTTAAAAACCCTCCTACAAAGAAAATGCAGAGCCTAGATGGAATAAGCAGTGAATTATATCAAACATTCAAGTAAGAAAAAATACCAATCTTATGCAAACAATTTCAGAAAACAGAGAAGGGATTACTTTCACCTTGTTTTATGAGGCCAGTGTAACCCTGATACCAAACCTCACCAATACTGAAATGTAGACACACAAATTCTTAGTATCAGAATCAAATCAGCCATATAATACAAGGCCTCATCATGACTAAGTTTACCAATGAGTGCAGGGTTGGTTCAACATTTGAAAATCAATCAATGTAACTCATATTAACAGAAGAAAAAAAGTCCTATGATAATTTTAATAAGTGCATAAAAAGCACTTGACAAAATTCAACATCCATTTATGACAAAACTTCTCAGCACCCTAGAAATAAAGAAGATTTCTCAGTATCACATAGGGCAAAAAACAAAACAAAACAATGGACATATTTATTGCCACTGGCACAATAGTCAAGAAAAGAAAGAAATGAGGATTGGAAAGGAAGAAGCAAAACTGTCTCTCCTTGCAAATGACATAATTATCTACATACAAACTCTCAAGGAATTTACAAAGTAATTATCAGAATCAATAGGTAAATTTAGCAAGGTTGCAAGATAAAAAATTATACAAAAATCAATTGTAATTCCTATTAGAAGCTAACGACTGGAAAACCAAATTAAAAAATTAATTTCATTTACAAGAGAATGAAAGGACACAAAATACTTGAAGTAAATTTAACAAAAGAGGTAAAAACCTCTACTTCAAAAAATCTAAAATACCGCTGAAAGAAATTACAGAAAACTTAAATAAATGGAAAGATACATTATGTTCATGTACTGAAAGACAATTAATTCTCCCTAAGTTTAATACTAATCATAATGCCAGTAGGCATTTTTTCTAAAAAAGAGAAACTGAAAATCTAATTCTAAAATTTATGTGGAAACTCAAAGGACAGAATAGTTAAGATAAAGGAAAAAGAAAAGAAGATTGAGTTACTCAGCAGATGGGTCAGAGTAATACACCCAAATGAGGAACGTGTTGACTCCAAAATCCAAACAGGTCCACTAGGCACAGTACCTCTCTTTTGGTCGTAGGAGTGGCTAGATGCAACAATATCACCTTACTATGAATATCTTGACATGCCCCATATCACTGGACCTTTAGAAATTTCACTGACATCCCTGAACTTTAGTCAGTTTGATTTCCCATTCTCTGAGAAGCAAATGTCTCACCACTAAGTCCAGAGTAGTTGCTCACTAGGTCCAATCAGCATAATGTCATCAATATAATGGACCAGTGTAATATCTTGTGGAAGGGTAAGAAGGTATTAAGATCCCTGCAAACTAAATTGTGACATAGAGCTGGAGAGTTGATATACCCCTGAGGTAGGACAGTGAAGTGTACTGCTGGCCATGCCAGATGAAAGCAAACTGCTTCTAGTGAACCTTATGGACAGGTATGAAGAAAAAGGCACTGGCCAGATCAATAGCTGTATACTAGATACCAAAGAATGTTAATTTGCTCAAGTAATGAAGCCACAACTGGTGCAGAAGCTGCAACAGGAGTCACATAAAGGATCATAATAAAGAATAATGAGTAATGAATTATAATCACTGAATATAAATTCATGAGCCCATACTGATGTAAATAATTAAATGAATAAATACATTTATTTATGTATAGACTGGAAAGTCCATCCTTATGATAGAGTGCCAACTAATTAAAATAAAAAGAATGATAAATCATCAATGAATGCTAAACCCAGGGGGTGAAGTTGCATAAAAAATATAGGATATTTACATAATATCAAAGTATCTTCCACAAATTACTTATTAATAGCAAAGGGAAAAATAATTTTAATGGGGAATAACCCAGAAGACACCACATTACCCAAGTGATCAGTTAACATCACCAATATTTCACCAAAATCATATACTTCTAATGTAAGGCAGGGAGGACACAACTTTATTTTGGGCTATTCTGCAAAAAATGCATAGGGTTAAACTAATTATGAGGCAATATCAGACAAACAAATTGAGGAACAGTTAAAAAGTAACTGTACTTTTCAAAAGCATCAAGGCAAAGAAACACTAGAAATCCTGGGGAGCTACTCCAGATTAAGGAGACTGAAGAGATATGGCACCCAGATGCAACGTGTGATCTATGTGCATGAGAAGGAAAACTACAAAGGGTATTACTGAGTCAACTGCTAAAATCTGAATACAGATGGAAATCAGATGATACACTAAATAAATACTATACTTCTCGATTTTGATAAGTACACTGTAGTAAAAAGAATGCCACTCTTCTGAGGAAATACAGAAGTACTCAGCAGTAAAAGAGCATATCTCTAATTTACTAATAAATACTTCAAAATATATATATAATGATATCCTCTTGTGAAGCCATAAGCCATTTCTAAGGAGATACTGCTAAAAATCATGACATTAACACCAGATTATGACACCAGGTTGTATTTTGAAATTTTACACACACACACACACACACACACACAAATATATAAAATAACCTCATGTCCTTTGTTTTTTATGTGTGGTAGGGGGAGTGGGGAGAGAGAAAAGGGGACAAGGGGTGAGAAAGAGGGACAGACTATGAATCAATGAGAGAATGTTTAATTCTGGATCAAAGGCATACTGGAATTCTTTATATCATTCTGGCAACTTGCCAGTAAATTTAACATTGTATCAAAACAAATTTACCATATAAAATGAATGGTTTCAATGATCTACTGTTCTTTTTTTATATCATTAATTCTACATACAGATGCTCATCAACATACGATGGTGTTACATCCCAAAAAACCCACTGTAAGTCAAAAATCTAAGTAAAAAATGCATTTAAAATACCTAAGCTACCGAACATCATTGCTTAGCCTAGCCTACATGAAACATGCTCAGAGCACTTACATTAGTGCAAAATCATCTAACACAAAGCCTTTATATAATTTAATAAATACTGTACTGAAGGTGAAAAACAATGACTGTAAGGGTTCTCGAAGTACAGTTTCTATTGAATGCATATTGCTTTGCTATCTTCTTAAAGGTGAAAAAGTATACGTTAAATCATAAGTGGAAGCCTGTTTGTAATATCTATTCAAATGTCACAGTGATGTGGTATTCAGCTAGAACTTAATACATAGTATTGTTTTCAAAAGTGTATACTCTTTTGTTCTTTATCTAAGTTAACTAAGTACAATATCTATTATTTTCTACGGTTTTACTAGAAATTCAATGCCAGAACAATAGACAATTAGGTTTTTGTGAAATATACTACCTTTTACACTTAGACTATGTTCCAAGAGTTAATCCTAAAACACAACAGAATATAATTCTACACTCAAAAAAAGAAAACAAATCAAAGTCTTAAAGAAGATTTTTCTCACACAAAATCAGATTTAATGACATTATATCTTGTAGATATATAGGCTATCTTTGAGAAGACATTATTAGAGGTTATGACATTAAGCCCTGATTATGACAACAGGTTATGTTTTAAGTTAATGAGTTGAAAAAGTATGCAGTGAAAATATTCTCCTTTATATTGTAGAGGATTTATTATTAGTATTCTGTAGCTTACAATTTTCCACTATCCAGAAACTCCAGCAAATATGTATGAAAATAAATAACAGAAATGACAACTTCCATTTAAGCTGACTTTTGGAAAACAAAAACTGTCTACATTTAATAATCTATTTAGTTAGCATTATTAATCGTAAGGGCCTACAATAACCATTTCAGAACAAAACAGATCAACGTGATAATCAAAATGCACACTTCCTACTTTCAAAGGCAAAATGTTAAAGAGTTTTAAGATTAGAGAAGTTACTGATATGGAAAGAATGCCGAAAACCCCAAATTGACAATTTATTAGGTATTTCAATATACCTAAAATGCAACATCTAAAATAGTCCCGAAAAGTAAAACAGCTAGTTGGTTTCACAAAAAATTTCCAGGGTGCATTTAAAGACCAGATAATTCCACTGTTCCAAAGCACAGAAAAAGACTAGAAATATTCTGAGTATATTTATGAAGTAAGCATAACATCATAACATTGATACCAAAAAGGAAAACTGTAGACCATCTTTAGTTATAAATGTCAACATAAAAATCCTAAATGATATAGTAGTGAACTGAACCTATCAGTATAATAAAAAAATAATATATCATGACCAAGTGGGGTTTATCACACAATGTAAAATTGGTTCAATAATAGGCAATCTTTCAATATAATTCATTATAATAATAGATCTAAAGAGATTAATTAGATTGGGGTTGGCCAACTATGGCCAGTGGGCTGGCAGGCTGTTAACTGTAAATAAAGCTTTACTGGAACACAACCACACTCATTTTTTTACATATTATCTATGGCTACTTCTGTACTACAACAGCAGAGCTAAACAGCTGCAACAAAGACAGTATCATTCATAAACTGAAAATATTTATTATCTGATCCTTTAAGAAAGTTTACTGATGCCTGCATTGGATAATTATCTTCACAAATGCATAAAAGTGTGTAACAAAATGCAAGGATCGTTTGGAATTTTCTCAGTTCCAAGAACAGTGGTCGTTCTCTTTATAACCATCTATTTACTACGTCTAATACATAAAAAACAAGTAAGTGAAAAAAGGTTTCCCTTTTCTATTACACATTAACTGAAAGGCCAAGTAAAATAATGAGACCTTTATTTTTTCATGATTAAAATTTGTAAAACGCACTGTGTGATGGTAAAATTTTCCTGTACATATTAAGTTAAAAAAAAACATAGCCAGGTACAGAACAGTATGTATATTACCAGTTGTATGAAAAAATGGAGCATATATGTTTCTACTTGGTAGTAAATTCATAAAAAATGATCTCTGTAAAGATACACAAAAAAAACTAAAAATGCTTACTTGAGTTTTGGTAGGATCTGGGAAGACGGGGGATGTGGTAGACAGGAGAAATTCACTTCATATTTTTTATATACTCTACAATTTTTTTGAACCATGTGAATGTATTACTAACTCCGCAAATAACCTACATAACTCAAATAGATTTACAAAAAATGATACGGTATTCTTCGTGGTTTGAAAACATTTTATAAATTATAAATGGATTGCCTTTCCTATGTAACAGGAATGAAATCTGATTAAAAGTAGGAGGCCAGGTACGGTGGCTCACGCCTGTAATCCCAGCACTTTGGGAGGCCAAGGTGGGCGGATCACAAGGTCAGGAGATCGAGACCATCCTGTCTAACACAGTGAAACCCCGTCTCTACTAAAAGTACAAAAAAATTAGCCAGGCGTGGTGGCAGGCGCCTGTAGTCCCAGCTACTCGGGAGGCTGAGGCAGGAGAATGGCATGAACCTGCGAGGCGGAGCTCCCAGTGAGCAGAGACTGCGCCACTGCACTCCAGCCTGGGCGACAGAGCGAGACTATGTCTCATTAAAAAAAAAAAAGCAGGAGACAGATAAGTCACTTTGTTGACATGGACAGGTATTACAGCAGTTTGACCTTTATTTCTATTTCTCACTGTCCCTAAGTTTATGATTTTATACTTAACTTTCATTGATTCTGGGCCTGATGAAAACAAAACTGTATTGTTCCCTCCAAAAACTTTGAGTAATCTACTGAATAATTATGATTCTACTAAGTCCTTTTACTCAGAATAAATAAATACATACCATTATCTTCTTCAATTCCAACAGGGCCTGCTTGAGGAGTCTCCCCATTCTTTAAACAATTATGGATGTATGTTGCCTTCCATCTGGCATACTTCCTGTGTTTCACATTCTAAAAGAGAGCATTTTTATATCAACATTGGACTATGGTAAAGAAGTAAAAAGTAAACATTTATGATGACCTATATCATATTTCTGAGATAAAACCTATTTTTGCAGATTACAGCTCTAAAAGAAACTGGCAATACCCCACCCTATTGCTGGAATCCACCAAGTATTTAAGGCTTGACAGAATTCATGAAAAGCTATTGTCCTCAAAACATACGCCCAGTTCTCTTTTATCATATAACATTTCAGAAAGGATATGCAACGGAAAAACAGGAGTGTCCTTCCAGCAAAATTTGCAACTCTTCTGCACAGGGGAGAAATAGGCTAAAGTAGAAATCTAAGACTAAATATAAAAATAACAATAGATTGAATTATTTTCACTAAAGACAAAAAAACAGAACTGTACAAATCAAGAAAAAAATAAAAAGAAAATTAAGATGTGGTGGTTAAAGCAAATGCTAGACTGATAGGCAGGTAAACCTGACTTTTTAACTAGTCACATGCTAGTTAACAGCTCTGAACCTCAGTTACCCTGATTCTAAAAAGGGAAAAATAATACCTCATTGGGTTAACTGAAAAGATCATGAAGAACCTGTTAGCTGCCTCTTCTTCTATGTCTTAAAACTAATGTAACATGATATGCTAATGTTACAGGATGTAAGATAAAAATTTGCATTAAAAATATAAAAATCTCTTAGAATTTTGGATGTGCTAGTGATTTTTAGTTTATATTTTCCACTGACCTTTATAGTGGCATCGTTATCACTTGGGAACTTGTTAGAAATGCAGAATCTTCAAGCCCACCCCAGATCTACTGAACCTGATCTACAAGTGCCAGCCTGCACCTGCACTACAAGACCACCAGGTGATTTATACGCACATTAGCGTTCCAGAGCGAACGTGGTTTTACTATTTGAAAACAGGCACGGTGGCTCATGCCTGTAATCCCACCACTTTGGGAGGCTGAGGCAGGCAGATCATGAGGTCAGAAGTTCAAGACCAGCCTGGCCAACACAGTGAAACCCTGTTTCTATTGAAAATACAAAAATTAGCTGGGCGTGGTGGCACGTGCCTGTAGTTGCAGCTACTCGGGAGGCTGAGGCAGGAGAATCACTTGAAGCCAGGAGGCAGACGCCACTGCACTCCAGCCTGAGCAGCAGAGAGAGACTCTGTCTCAAAAAAAAAAAAAAAAAAAAAAAAAAAAGAAATAAAGAAATAGAGGGCTAGGCACAGTGGCTCATGCCTGTAATCCTAGCACTTTGGGAGGCCAAGGAGGGTGGATTGCCAGAGCTCAGGAGTTGGAGACCAGCCTGGCCAATATGGTGAAACCCCGTCTCTATGAAAAACACAAAAAATTAGCCGGGCATGGTGGCACACACCTGTAATCCCAGCTACTCAAAAGGCTGAGGCATGAGAATCACGTGAACCCAGGAGGCAGAGGTTGCAGTGAGCCAAGACTGCGCCACTGCACCAGCCCAGCTCCGGACCTCCTCCCGGCCAAAAAAAAAAAAAAAAAAGAAAGAAAGTATCCTTTTGCAAAGATCCACGAAGTCACTGATAAGTACAAATGCAGCAGGTGGTCCAGATACTTAGTTGAGTATTCTATAATGTGAGTCTCTAGATACTACTACAGGCAGCTTCTGTACAGAAAACTAAAAAAAAATTAACCCCTAAATTACTAAATTTGTATCACATTTCCTTATCAAACACTCCTCTTACATATTCAATTTAAAAATCTATACATTGATTCTGATTTTCTTCCAGGTATGACATTTTGCTCCACTTCACAAATGAGCTTTCCAACAGAAGTATCCACATTTAGTCTTCACTACTTCACCACTCAGTTCACTCTGTGGGGTGGGGAGGGTATATTTCTTTTCTGTATAGTTCATATTCTCCAGTAACACAAAAGGTCAGGGAATTTGAATATGCCTGTGTCTTTTACTGGCAGGGAGCCCACATGCGTCAGCCTGTTCCTCACTTAAGTTGTCAGTTCATTTGAGGAATTGCTCTTGCTAATATCAACTGCCTAGTCTACACTAGAAAATCCAAGGGACACTTTTTAGGTATCATCTTACCAAACTGCTACACTCTGTAAATATATTAAAAGCCCTGGACTATGCCAATCTTTGTGAAACCTTCTCTATCTCTAGTTTTTGTGACACTCTATTCTCTTGGTTTCTCTCTAACCTCCTTTGGCTCCTAATCCTCTAGCTGACCTTCAAGTAATTTTAAATACTCTGTCCTAGGACAGAGTGCAAAATAGTGGGCGCAATCAATAATAACTCATATAGAATTTTAAATATGAATTATGTTTTATATATCCAAATATGGGAAAAGTTACATAAAAGCCAAATTTCTAACTTCTCTTTTAAAAATGAAATATCTGGGCCCAGATTTATTTAGTAATAATTATCTGAGCTGAATGAATAGAGGCAGTTCCCTTCAGATAATGTATGTTCATTCATTCTCCCTCTCCTCCATCTCAAGTTCATACATCATATCAGTTGCCATTTATTATCTCACAGTGGGGCTGTCTTAAGCCATTACACCACCTACCAGATTCATACAAACATCATGATCCTGCCATCTAGCTTTTTTTTTTAACCTCTTCATATGCCTTCCCATAGCTTTAAATACTATTGATAAATTTATTATTCTTAAATTTATGAATCTAGCCAGAATCTGCTTTGACAAATACCCGACTATGTGACATCACCACTTGGATGTCTCACATACAATTAAAATTAAAACTGTTCTTTTGATCCCCCTACCACCTCTCCTTTCCTCTGGGAACTTCACTCTCAAGTAAATGGGAGGAGTCATTTTTAACAGCTCTCTCTATACTTTGCCTCTCCCCCCACTCCCTTACCTAATTCACCAAGAATCCAGTTGATTTTCCTTTTGAAACATACCTTGATTGGTCTTCATCTCCCCATTTTCACTGAAATAGCCCCCTAATTTGTCCCAACTTCTATTCTTGCCCTAGCCCCTACCACACCTTCCTCATCTAGTGCTCTGAGTACAGTGATCTTTCTAAAATATAAATCCATTCGTGTCAATCTTTTCATTTAAAATGCAAAATAAACTCTAACTTTGGATACAAGGGTCTACTCTACCTGGTTCTTGATTGTCCAACCTCTTCTCAATGTCCCTATCCCATTCACTGACTACTACCCAGCTATGCATTTTTTTCTGTTACTACACATGCCATGGCCCATACAACCTGTTTGCCTATTGTCTTTTTTCTTCCTCACCCAGCTAACCCACCCCTACTCAGCTCATTCCTCATATGCCAGATCAAATGCCACTTCCTCAGAAAGGTTTTCCTGATGTTCCCAATCAAAGGTCAGACTCTCCGGTAATCTTACATCTTTTTTTAAAACAACATTTATCATAGTTTATAATTATATAAGGATGCTGACAAAGTGTCCTCCCAGACCCTCAAAACACCCACATACCTTACAATATAAGCTCATTAAAAGCAGAGTCTATCTGTTGTTTATACCAAGCACTTGGCTTTGTGACCAGTATGCAGTAGTTGCTCAGGAAGTATACATATCTCCAATGTATGAAAGCTTAACTGATTCTAACTGAAATTTCTGTGGTAGTACAAGAGATCATTATTTCTGTGGTATGTAAGTGGCTATTGGATTTAGGAAGTTCTGTTACGTTTATGATACAGTTAGATAGAATGACTTGAAATTTCCAGTGTTTTAGGCCTACAGAAACAGCAATATCCTGTGGTTCACCTTTTTCTTCCTTTTTCATTTTTTCAGAGCAAAGAATATGTGCTAAAGCACTGACTTTTCCAGATTATTTTTAATTTTTCAAAATCCTGAGCAATTAGAATTGAAGGGCTACAAATGCTGGATTAGTATCAGATTTGAGTCTCTATGTTCACTTGAATTCAGTATCTGCAAAATGACATTCTTTTAAAATGTTTATTATTAACCTATGCTCCAGCAATGAAAACTAATGAAGGTAATTAATTACCCTAAATTTTTAAACTTTCCCTCTTTGGGGAAAAACATAAGGTATGTATAGTTAACCTCAACATACTTTTAGGCTCTGTAAAAGTTTGCTGTTAATTAAGACCTTTAATTAGCAATATGGGATATATAAAATAAGTCAATACATTATTTCCACCCTTAGGGAGCTACTCATCTGGCTATCGATATGAAATTAAAATACAAAGAACTGTTACTATAAAAACACTTAGTAGGAAGTATTAAACCTGTTTCCTATAGTAAGTACATGGAACAGTTCAGAGAATAAAGAAAAAACAGAATAAGGTAAAGGAAATGATACTTTAGTTTGGCCATGCAAGATGGGTAAGATGTGAAAAAATGGAAGCAATAACAAGATTCTGGAGAGAAGGAAAAGTACAAGCAAAGATAGAAATAAGGAAATACTTGGAGAATAAAGATAAATAAACCAATATGCCATGGATAGAAGATACATATTAAATGCTAGTTGGATACGTAAGATAAATCCAAGACAAGATTAAAGTCTTGGACTGACATCTTTATAGCATTCTACAGGTTATAAAGCATTTCCACACATTTTCCTCTACTTGGTCTTCATCAAAACCTCGAAATTTAGGCAGGTCACATTTTACTCACACTAAGGCTTTGAGACATTATAAGACTGGCTCAATGTAAATACAGTTTAATCTGGCATTCAAGGCCCTCTACATTGTGGACACTCAGTCTTATTTCCATTTCCCTCAATCAAGATTGGATTCCTGTCTTACCTGCATTCTCTTCTTATGCTATTCTCTCTTATCTAACATGGTTTCCTTTCTGCCCAGTCTCTTTTCCTCCAAGGCTAAGTGCAAATGTTTACTCCCTATGAAGCACCCTCATTTCCAGTAAGTCAAGTTATTTATTATTTACTCAAGTCAGGTACTATGCTAAGTGCTGGGGATACATGAGATGAATGAGTCAAGCATGAGTTTTAGAGTCTAATGTGAAACCACGCAATAACTGACATCCCTAAATGTGACACGTGTCTTATCTGAAGTCCCTATTTCTTCATCCTTCTTTCTTGGGATTCTATAATCTTATCATTTTAGAGATGAAGAAATGTCATTACAAAAGTAAAGTAATTTACTGAAGGTCATACTGTTTTAGTAGTAAAGTTAGCCACTCATTCAGGTCTATCTTGGTAAACTACAATTACCACGCTGCAATTTGCAACTCAGATTAAAATAGATGAAATAACAGAAAATAAGCCTTAAAGATCAGCTACTTAATGTTTATCAATGCAGAATGTACCTTTTGGTAGTTACGAAGAAAACTATTTTACAAGTAAATGAAGAAATTGCTAAGGAAAGTTTAAACTGCCTTCTTTGAGGGTCTTTAAAATTAGGCTAAATTTTCTTCTATCTGAAATAATTTAATCCTGTCTAAAGACTTAGTAGAAAAGTTGTAATGACTTTAGAAGGTTCTTTCAGTCCTAATATCTAAGCATGAGCAGTGTAGAGAAGTTTAAACCAATTTGAGTTTCTGCATTAGTATGTGAAATTTAAGAAACTAAGTTGAAAAGGGCTCAGTTTAGTAAAGCAACGTATTTAATTTTTATTTCATCCTGTTTCCAAAACATCCCTATTCCTACAAACTGCTGCATATACTATTTAGCAGAAATTTCCGGCAGTTGTAATTCCACTAATTCACTTTTCAATGTTGTTTTCTTTAAAATAAAGGATGTAAAGGATGCTGGATACTAAACAATATTTTAAAAGGAAATTTTCAAGATGTATTTTTGAAATTCATTAACTCCTTTTGGCTGATTAAACATCCTTTCTAAGAGACAGGAACTGCAAAAAGAACTTTTACTTTTGTCCTTGGCCTCTAAGTTCCTGTTTTGTTATTAGATTGATGAGAATCACTGACAACTGCAAATTTTGGCCACTTAAGAATTAGCATGAATTTTCATTTAATTTTTAAATCACTTGCTACACTGAAGCATGACTGGTTAGACAACAGCAACCATAGGCGGGAGGAGGGATTTTCAAACTTAGGACCTGTAAGACTCACAAGAGTGTAATAATAAATTCCTGGCTAGAGCTATGAAAAATTTGATATAAATTATTCTCCATTAGCATACCAAAAAGTCACCTTGAAAGACAAAGTTTTACACCAGCTGTCTCTAATTCTTCCTCTTTGATTTTATATTGAACCCATCCTAGGCAAGTTTTTAATCTCCACCAGTCACTGCAACAGCTTTTGTCAAGGTTACAGATTACTTCTATATTGCTATTAGGTTGGTGTGAAAGTAATTGTGATTTTTGCCACCTAAATTCAAGGCTTACATGCCATCTTCCTTGACGCCTATCAGCATGAACAGGTGATTATTTCCCACCCCATTCCTTGATGCCCCCCCTTACACTTGCTTTCCTGGTTATCAAGACCTCCGGGTTTTCCTTCTCCCTTGCTGCGCGCTCCTTCAGTCCTTTTATACTTGTCCTTTTTCATGTCCCAGTGTCAGGAGTACCTCAGGCTTCAGCTCTTGGATTCCTTGTCTCTTCTTTCTACACTTGATGATCTCACGCAGTCTAATGGCTTTAAATGTACCACCCTTAAATACCATGAGGTGTATTTGCTGCCAACTTCCAAATTTATATCTTCTGTTCAGACTTCTCTGAACCTTAGGATCTTGTATAAGTATACATCCAATTCCATATTTGTCCTGTATGTTTGATAAGCTCCTCCAAGTTCAAAACCAACTCCTGATTTTCCCCCACCAACTCTATAAATGGCCACAATGGTTAAAAATCTTATAGTTGTCAGGTCCAACCCTTGGAGTCATTTTTGAGTTCTCTGTATCTTTTACACTCTGCCAATGAAACTGTTAAAATTTTGTCAGCTCTACATTCAAAATATATCCAGAATCCAACCACTACTCAACATGTCCTCTTTGGCAAACTCTGGTCCTAGCAAGCATTATCTTTTACCTTGATTATTTAATAACATACTAATGAGTTTGCCTTTTCCACTCTTGTCCATTACAGAAGGGAACAATACTTTAAAAATACAAGTCAAATTTTATAAATTCTCTGTTTGAATCCTCCCCCCACCACCCTCATTCTCATCTCCTATCCTATCACTCCTTCTCATTCTGGATTCTGCCACATTGTTCTCCTTGTTATTTCTTGAACAAGAATAGGTAGCTTGTACTGTAGTCTCAAAAATGTAGCACTCTCTCTTGCCTCTTCCTGGAACACCCTCCAAATTACATGCAAAAATGCAATACACATTAGCATGAGAATCCACAGCTTTCATAAGATTTTCAAAGTAGACAGTGATAAAAATGGGATTAATAATCTCTAACTTTGTGGCAACATCACAAATACATTTATACTCTTAGTCCCTCAACCTCCCAAGTTATTATATAAACAAGACTTCCACATAACTCCCAGAACACTGAGATGTGGTATAATGAGAAATGCTTGAAAAACATATTAAACAAATTTATTATCAAAATTACTCAGACACTGAAATATTTATAGTCACAGATTACATGTATTTCCTGATATTCATTCAACATTTTAATCCTTTTATATTTTTCAAAGCAACTATAATTTCAGCAAACAAGTTTTTAAAAGGGAGAGTAAAACTATACCCCCCAAATCATAACTATAACTTAATACACAAAGACTTAAATATAACTCCTCTATTTTTAAAATATCATAACATTGGAATATATGTTCCAAGTAAACAAAAGATTTCCAAACAAGGTAAGGTCGGTAACTGTTTAATACTTAATCTACTGGGGTAAGAAAAGAAACCAATGTTAATTATTTTTTGAAAAAAAAATATAGTTTTCATCAAATTTACAGAAAGTTTTAAAAATAGCACAACATACTCTCACATATCTTCTACTCAGATTCTCCAACTATTTAATTTTTATCAATTTATTTCTACATATAAATGTATAAAAAGTACATATACATATATATATATATATATAAAATATAAAAAGTGTGTGTGTCAGGCCTGGCACGGTGGCTTATGCCTGTAATCCCAGCACTTCAGGAGGCCGAGGAAGGCGGATCACGAGGTCAGGAGATTGAGACCATCCTGGCTAACACAGTGAAACCCCATCTCTACTAAAAATACAAAAAATTAGCTGGGCATGGTAGCAGCCACCTGTAGTCCCAGCTACTCAGGAGGCTGAGGCAGGAGAATGGCATGAACCCGGGAAGCGGAGCTTGCAGAGAGGTGAGATCGCGCCACTGCACTCCACCCTGGGCAACAGAGCGAGACTCCGTATCAAAAAAAAAAAAAGTGTGTCTGTGTGTGTGTGTGTATATATATATATATATATATATTTTTTTTTTTTTTTTTCTGTACCATTTAAGAGTAAATTGAAGACACGGTGTCCCCTTACCCTTTCATTGCACTTTCCAAAATCTAGGACAATCTCAAAAATCGGAAAATTTAATAGTTACACAGTCTGATCCACAGTCCCAATAAATTTTGTCAATTGTCCCAATCACGTCCTTTGTAGTTATTTTCCCCCCAGGCCCAGATCTAATCTAAGGAGCATGATTAGTGTTTCTTGACCTTGACTTTTTAAAAAATACCAACCAAGCTGTAAAATGTCTATTGATTTGTCTGATGTCTCCTCATGATTACGTTCGGGTTATACGTTTTTGGAAGCATTATCACTGAAGCGATGTTTGTCTTTTTCAGATCATCTTATTAGGATGCACATGACGTGAGCTGTCCCAATATTAGTGGTGTTAGGTTTAATGACTTGGCCTAAAGAGGTGTGTTACAAGTTTTCTCATTATTGAATTACTATTTTCCTCTGATATCAATAAGCAATTTGGTAAGATATTCAGAGACATGTAAATATACTTCTTTTTATCAAACTTTCCACCTACTACTTTTAAAGCCCACTAATAATTTAATTTTATCACTATTTGTATATTTATAGTTAGAATACTATGACAAAGAGCCTTCTCTGCTCTTCTATTATTTATTCATTTATTTATTTCTTCATATGTATCAGTCTGGACCTATACAGATTCTTAATTTATTCAATGAGTTATCATCCATTACTATCATTCTTATTTTTATGCTCAAACTGTCCCTGGCTTGGACAATGGGAACCCTTTCAAGTCGGCTTCTGGGTCCTATGATTATGATAACACTTTCCTCCTTTCTGTCACAAGAAGGTCTGGCCTTATCTGTAGCCTTCCTGGACTTAGCCCTAGATTAAGCACTTTTTACGAAAGTCCTGGTTCCTTATGCAGAATAAAATTAGAACAGAAAATCAGGCACTAGGGATGCTCACTGTGTGCTCACTGCTACTGCTGCATCATTGCTCCTAGCAGAGTATACAGATACACAAACTATAGTATACATATTATACCTATATAAATAGATCTATTCATCTAGTGTAATATATTTAAAAGCATGAATTAAGATTACAACAATTCCAACCTAACAGCACAACACAATCTAGTCTTCTCTCATTCCACATTGTAACTAAATTCCCCAAAAGTGAGAAAACTGTCTCCCTCAATATATTTAATCATTTGGTCACTCTTAGAATATAGAATAAGCAGGTTTAGAACTGTCAACCCATACTAAGATAAACCAAACCTATCAATAAAATAGTTCAACATTCAACTTCTGCAGTAAAACGAACATACTTTGAGATGCATACATCTTCAGTGCACAATTTAATATTGTGACAAACAGATTAATATACCTGGGTAAACCATACTTCTATTTATATCCCTTCCCAGATCAACTTCCTTTGGTGTGCGCGCATGTACACACATATGTATATGAAGGGAATCATATAGTTTGTATACTTCCGGCTCTTTTTTTGCTCAGCATAATGTCTACTAGATTCATCCATGTTGTAGGTTATATCAGCAGTCAGTTCCTTTTTGTATCTAATACCCCAATGTGTTTACCAGTGCCCCTGTTGGTGGACATCAGGGTTGTTTCTAGCTTTGGGCTATTATGAATAAACTTCCCATAAGCACTCCTCAACAAGTCTTTTTCAGGACATATGTTTTTATTTTTCTTGGATAAAAACCAGAATAGGAATTGCTGGGTAAAAGGGAGTATGTTTAGCATTAAAAAAAAAATGACCAACTCTTTTCCTAAAGTGGATATAACATCTAACATCTCCATCAAGCAATGTATGAAAGCGCTTGGTTTTTCACATTCTAGACAACAATTTATGTGGCCACTCGTTATTCGTGTTATTTTATTGATTTAAAAAAATTATTCTATCGATGACTAATGGGGGTGTTAAAATTTCCAATTATGATTATGAGTTTTTCCTTATTTTTCTTTTTTTGTTGATTTTTGTTTCATATAGTTTGAAAGTTTTATTATTAGGTGCACAGACATTTGTAACTGTATTGTCTTCTTGATGAACTGACCCATTATTATAAAATGGCCCCTTTTATTTCTAGTAACACATCTACTCAAAGCCTATTTTATCTATGGCCACTTGAGATTCTATTTACTTAGTATCTGCATTAAGCATCTTTTTCCATATTTTCATTTTCAA
The DNA here is from genome assembly GCF_000001405.40 of Homo sapiens. Taxonomy (NCBI): domain Eukaryota; kingdom Metazoa; phylum Chordata; class Mammalia; order Primates; family Hominidae; genus Homo; species Homo sapiens. The sequence goes on along the minus strand of NC_000006.12, from coordinate 142,178,884 downwards.
AATATTTATATTTGTATTTGAACAGTATCTCTTAGAAACAGTATACAGTTAAGGCTTGCTTTTAAAAAAAAATCTAGTCTGAAAACCTCTACTATAAAATTTGGGTGTTAGTCCATTTACAATTATGGTATGTAACAACATAGCTGTATTTAGGTCTAAAATTTGCTATGTGTTTTGCATTGGTCCCACCTGTTTATGTTTCCTTCTCTTCCCCTTCTCTGCCTTCTTTAGAGTTTGCCAAATATATATATGTACAGTTAAAATAATTTTTACAAATATAGTCATGTATCTTTTAAAGAAATTAAAAATATATAGTCTTTTACATTTACCTACATTACTGTGTCCAGTGTTGTTCATTCCTTCCTGTAAATCAAATTCCTACTTGGTATCCTTTTCCTTCTGCCTGAAAAACTTCCTTCATTTTAGCTGTTCTTTAGTTCTTTGGATCTTTAGTGCAGACCTGCTAGCAATGAATTAACTTGCCTAAAAATGTTTTTTTAAAACCTTCATTTTTTGAAGCACAGCTTTGCTGTATATAGAATTCTGAGTTGACAGGGTTTTTGTTCATTTGTTTTATTTTTTTTCTTTCAGCCCTTTAAATATGTCATTTTATTATCCTCCAGCCTCCAATTTTTTAAAAAATGAGAAGTCAGCTATCCCTCACAACACTGTTACCCTGTGTGTAACACATTTTCTCAAGGCTGCTTTTTCAAGATTTTCTCTTCCATCACTAGACTTCAGTGGTTTGACTACAATGTTTCTAGGTGTGATTTCCTTTATATTAACCTAATTGTCCACTGTGCTTCTTGAATCTGTAGCTGCTTTTTTACTCAATTTGGAAAATCTGTGGTCATTATTTCTTCAGATATCTTTTTGTACTCGTTTTCTTTGTACTCCTTTTGGAACTCCAAATGTACATGTTAGACTCCCAAATACAGTAGCAATAATACATTAATGCCCGTGAATAAGCTCATCTAAATACAAAGTAAATATATAAGCCACATCAGTTTAGGATAGTTTCCATGAAAAATTTTATGTATTTGCTGACAACCTCTCTAAATACAGCCCAGTAAAATATTATTAAAACATGGTTTAAACATTATTATATGATAGAGCTATATGCTTCAGACTCAGGTTACAGGCTAAAACTAGCAATGAATACACATTTAGTACTTAGAATGGACTACACGAACTGATTTTTTTGTGTGTAAAAAAATTACCTTCCAACAGAAAAAGCACATTTAGCATATTTTTTTTTAACGTAACCCTACTCTCTGATCTCCTTTCTGAAAACTCAAGTTTTTAATCTTTTACCCTAGTTCATAAAGGCTTCCTAATCGGCCTTCTCAAGCTATACTCCTTACTACTGCTAGAATCTGCAAGAGCCAATTTTTTTAAAGCACTTACATGCTAGGCACTTTGCTAAAGGCTTTACATATATTTCCTCACTTGATCTCCATGACAACTTGACAAAACAGGTATTACAATTTTCATCATCTTACGTATGTTGAAACAGGCTTACATAAGTTAACTTACCCAAAGTCATGCAGTTATGGAGTGACAGAATTTGGAGGCCCAATGCCTGCACTCTTAATTACTTTATACTAATACTGTATGAAAAAATATTTCATTCATTTACAACTCATCAATTAGGTGTAAGACATTGTTCTTGGCAATTATCATACAAGTGAGTACAAGACACATGGAATTTCTACTGTAATTAGACATAACTCTACTCTCATATTTATCTACTATGATAATTGCTAAGAATGAGACTTTCAGGATACAGTAAGAACATGAAAACCTAAAGTATGGTGTATGTAAGGAATAAATGCTTTTGTAGTTGGAAAATATCTCTGCTTTACCATGGTTTTCTAGGCTAATAATAAGATGTTGCTCACTTTGAAACGTTCCAGTACACACGGATACCCTTAAACAGACCACCTTCTCACAGCCAGCTATTCATGTGCCTTATTGCCTCAGTAAATGTGCAGCCCTGTTTTTCAAGCCAGGAGGACCATAACAGGATCCAAAAAAGATCTAGATCTGTGCCAATCAAAATGTGGTCCCAGAAACACTGCTGGTCTGCAAAACTGCTTACGAGTTTGTGACAACATAATACTGAAACTGGATTTAGAAATATTTGAAACACACATAGCAAATTATGCTGTATATCTATCTGTATGCCTTTTTAAATTTTCTCTTTTGTAATTCATTTATTACTTGCATTTGTATTTTACAAAATCATCTGCAAAGAATTGAAAATTTAAAAAAAAAAAAAAAGGCTGAACCTTTATCACAGAGAGTTTGAGAAATATTGTCCTGGGCTATGTATCTGGGGCCAAGCACTTTATATTTTTCTGACCCTCAGTTTTCTCACTATAATTCAGAGTTGTGAAAGATGAAACAAGGTGTCTAAGCATAGTGCCAGGCTAATGTTAGGTACTGCCAATGCATACCTTCCCTACATTTCATTAATACATCATGTATCATTAGAGTTATTCTGTTTCTCTTTCCAGGTTAGAACATAAGCTCAACGAGGGCAGAAAACATATTCATCTCATTCCCTCAAATAGCAAAAACTCCATATATAAGAATAGCATTATCTTTCACCTGTAATTTTCATGTTCTACCTAACTTGGCAGTATTAATCTTAACCAAAGATTATGAATGAAAAATAGTAAAATGTTATCTGTTCCTCAAACACTGCTAGTAGTGAAATGAATCTAAAATACAATGAAAGGAAGCCTATCAATAATATTGGCCACAAACAGATTATACAAGATGCTATAGCAGAAAAAGAAAATATTTATGTTGACTCTATAACTAAAACTGGGCACTGATTCCAAGAGAACTACAGTTTATGTAACAACAGAGCTAGAAGCTTACATAACAGCAAATTTAATTAAAATGTTGTGATGGAATGATAATAAGGCACAGTTAAAAGAGCTAAATACATATACCTAAAATAGAGATAAGATAACTGAGAAATAGAATAGTGGCAGACAAAATATTAAAAAATAAAAAAACAAAAATGTTGAAGGACTAAAGAAAATAGACTTTAGTTTTATACAAGTGAGTAATGACATGAAATTAAAAGGAAAAAAAAATCAAGAAATGACCAAGAAAATTATCATTGAGTAAATGAGATCTATTACATTTTAGAAAAGTTATGAAATAAAATAAGTTATATATAAACAAGTGTAAGGCATTTTTCCATCTACAGGTTAAAAAATGAAACACTATAGCAACTTTTCAAGCAGAAACTAATCAAGAAGACAAAGCCCCCTCTTCAAGTACTTGCAATATAATTTATTCAAAAATACAATACACAAAAATGAAGTCAATACATTTATAAAGTTAGAACTCTAAATACAGGTGGGGGAGAGCTGAGAGAATGGAGAAATTCATGTAAGGACTAGAATAATATAGGTGAGACCTGAAGAGAAGATAAAACTTAGGCAAAGCCGGCTAAAAACACATTTCCAAAGGTGAAAAATGAGAAGACAGTGAGCAGCCTGGTCTACAAAGTAGGACTGGCAAATAGGGCAGCAAGCAGAGTACGGAGCATGACAGAAAACCTGAAAATCTGACAGAGGAGCTTGGACTTGCAGTGTTAGGAAATAAGAAGTTCCTGTAGGTTCTTCAATGACAGAAGAACGAACTGCAGGGAAAAAAAGCTCAAAATAAGATGAATTAGTTATGTAAATTGCATAATTCATCTTGTGAACCAGTGGCCTTTTTGAAAAGGGATGGAATTTTAAGTAAAAATAACTTAATTAGAATATCCCAAATCATCATGTACAGATATCACACAGAAGGCTTCGGTTATTCAGGTTGTTTACATCTTGTATTAGTCTGTTTTCACTGCTATAAAGGAATACCTGATGTTGGCTAATTTATACAGAAAAGAGCCTTCACATTCCGCAGGCTGCATAAGCCTGGGCCCAGCATCTGCTTGGCTTCTGGTGAGGCCCAGGATGCTCTTACTCATGATGGAAGGCAAAAGGAAGCCAGCGTGTCGCAAGGCAGGAGAGGCAGCAAGAGAGACGCCAGGCTCTTTTAAACCACCACTTCTCACGTGAAATAACAGGGCAAAAACTCACTTATTACCATGGGGAGGGCACCAAGCCATTCATAAAAGATCCATCCCCATGACCACTCCTCCCACCAGGCCTCACCTCCAACACTGAGGATCACATTTTAACATGAGTTTTGGCAGGGACAAACATCCAAACTATACAATTCCACCTCTGCTCCCGCCCCCTCAAATCTCATGTCCTTTTCACATTGCAAAATATAATTATCCCTTCCCAATAGTCTCCTAAAGATTTAACTCATTGCAGCATCAACTCAAAAGTCCAAAATCTCATCTAAGAATCAAGGCACATTCCTTCCACCTGTGAGCCTGTAAGATTAAAAGCAAGTTATTTATTTCTAAGAAAGAATGGTGGTACAGGCATTGGGTAAGCATCCCCATTCTAAAAGGGAGAAACTGCCCAAAAAAAGGCACGATAGGCCCCACACAAGTCCAAAAACCAACATAGTAGACATTAAACTTCAGAGTTTCAAAATAATCCTTGACTCCATGACCAGCATCCAGGGAACACTGGTACAAGTGGTGGCCTTGGGCAGCTCTGCCCCTATGGCTTTGCAGGGTACAGCCCCTGTGGCTGCTCCCACAGGTTGGAGTTGAAAGCTGCACCTTTTCCAGGCTCAGGGTGCAAGCTGCCAGTGGCTCTACCATTCAGGTAGGTCTGGGTGGTGGCAGTCCCGCTCCTACAGCTCCACTAAGCAGTGATCCAGGTGGGACTGTGTGTGGGATCCCATTCCAGACCCCTCCAACTATCTGGAATCCTTTATCCACCAACAAAGACGCTACTTTATTCTAGCACCAGTGCAAGGCAAAGGGGCTTAGGGAGCAGGTTGGGTAGTGAGATAGGGGGTAAAAAAATCCCTTTACCCTTACTCTTTAGTAACCCTAATATCTAAACAAATCCCATCCCATCACCCCAATCTCACATGAAGCCTTCTCACTGGCCTCATTTACAGTTTTGCCCTAGTTACTATGTTCAAAAAATTAAGGAAGATGGTTCTTCATTAATGGTAGCTAAAAGTAAACCTAGATTATTCTCCTGAAATACAGATAAATTAATGTAGCTTATGTATGTGGAAGTGTTACATATTCCTTAAGTGAAGAGAACCTATTACTCACTTAAGAGTTCTGGAAATTTTGTTCTTTTTCCTATGACTATTACTTTACCTGTTGGCTGGATTCACCATTGTTAGCAGTTATAACTTTAAAGGATTATGTGCTTGCTTCTAAAATACATAGGGGAAGGTAGCTTCCCCAAATAAGAACTAGGAGAGGGCAGATCACGAGATCAGGAGATCAAGACCATCCTGGCCAACACAGTGAAACCCCGTCTCTACTAAAATACAAAAAATTAGCCAGGCATGGTGGCGCACGCCTGTAGGCCCAGAGCACAATAAACCATGTGGCATTCTGATCTGTTACTTTGCCTTATCATGATCCTCTCTTCTGGTATCTTGAATTTCCATTCACATCTACGAATGTGTTTATTAACTTCTTCCTCTTACACTGCAAAAATAAGTGTTTACCAAGGGTATTTATTTAGTCATCTCTCTCATTCAAAACAATCCACTTACCTGAAGGGTTTGTCTAATCTTATAACTTGAATTGTCCCCTCTACTTTGCTGTCTTTTGCTTATTTATTTCCAAGAGGCTTCTGGTAATTCCTTTTTGGCTGTCATACTTGCACCTCAAATTTTAAAGTCTAAGTTTCAATATATTATTGTTTCTCAAACCAAAAACAACTCATCATGTACAGTTTTCCACCTCTCAACTAAGGCCCATAGTTAATCATCAACCAGTTTTTTTTTCTTTTTTTTTTTTGTCAAATGGTTTTGTAGTTCTCCCTCACTTCAGTTCATTGTACAGGCTCCTATTATACAAAGCACCCCAAGGCATAGTTCTTTACTCAAAAATACAAACTGAAGATTGTAGGTCTTCCATCATCTGTCTGACCTGGCTTATGACTTACTCTTCTAATCTGAATTCTCACTATTCTTCTTCACCTACCTGGTACTCTCCAAAGTTCTACTGAACCACTCAAAGCTTTCCATCATGTCATGTTTATATTACCTCTGTATCCCCAAGTATTTAGCATAGTGCCTCACACTAGTAAAACAGAGAAGAAAAGAAAATTTGGATCATTAATAACAGGAGATGAGGTAAAAGGGAGTTAAAAAGGTGGATCCATAAGGCCATCAGAATATAAAAAGGTAATACCCATTGAGTAATAGTTCAGGTTTTCACACTCCGGGTATCAGTTCTCCTTTATATGACTCTGTATAAGAGTATAAAATATCTGAGAGCAGTGGCTCTAAATGGGCATTGCCCCATACCCTAGGGTAGGGCTGTTTTGAAATATCTCAGGTGGCTTCTAGTTAGCTCAATTACTGGGAAATGCTACTGGCAGTGTGCAGGCAAGGGCCAAAATTGCTCCATGTTTTGAAATTAAAGGGACAGTCACATTACAAAAAAAATGTCCTGGCTGGACTTGGTAGCTCATGCCTGTAATCCCAGCACTTTGGGAGGCCGAGGCAGGTGGATCACGAGGTCAGGAGATTGAGATCATCCTGGCCAACACAGTGAAACCCCATCTCTGCTAAAATACAAAAAATTAGCCAGGTGTGGTGGTGCACACCTGTAGGCCCAGCTACTTGGGAGGCTGAGGCAGGGGAATCACTTGAACCCAGGAGGTAGAGGTTGCAGTGAGCCAAGATTGTGCCACTGCACTCCAGCCTGGTGACAGAGCGAGAGACTCAGTCTCACAAAAAAAGAAAAGTCCTTCATTTGTCACAACTTTGAAATGTCCTGTACAACTTTCATGCTGGCAAAACCCCTGCTTATACTCATCAAGCTTAGAGAGTAACTTCATTTTGAATATAAACAAAAAATAACTTTTTGCAGTTTTGCTATACAATCTTTTACAAAAATGCCTTATACAGTGATTGTACTCTGTTTTGTTTGGGACTTTACTAAGAGCTACTCATCATTTTGAAAAAAAAGTTTAATCACAAAAAAAACATTGCCCATAGTGTTCAAATCACTCATATAACACATATGTATCAATCTCATTTATAACTCTTCCTTTTTCTAGATTAATATATTCCCTCTCAGAAAATAAATTCTCCACATGAATGGTAAAGCCTGTTATGGTGAAAATGATACTGAACTTAAAGTAGTAAATTTGTCATTTAGCCCCATTTGCCCATGTATACAAAGGTTATGTGCTTTGCTTACCTTATGGTAAATCATTATGGGAATCAAATAGATAGAATGAACAGGAAGTATGTTATAAAATATTAAGTCTTATATGCATTTTACAAGGGAAACAAACCATTAACAATAATGCTGACTAGAAATTAAACAGAAAAAAAGTCATAAAAAGATTCTACCTCCAGTCCCAGTGTGTTGGCTCATGCCTGTAATCCCAGCACTTTGGGAGGCCAAGGTGGGCGGATTACCTGAGGTCAGGAGTTCAAAACCAGCCTGACCAACATGGTGAAACCCTGTCTCTAGTAAAAATACAAAAATTAGCTGGGTGTCGTGGCATCCGCCTGTAATCCCAGCTACTAGGGAGACTGAGGCAGGAGAATCGCTTGAACCTGGGAGGCGGAGGTTGCAGTGAACCAAGACTGTGCCATTGCACTCCAGCCTGGGCAACAAGAGCAAAATTCCATCTCAAAAAAAAAAATGATTCTACCTCAAGTATGTTCAACAAATTACAGTGTAAAAACTTAACAACATACAGGATTAGTAATATGTTAATACTTAGTAAGATCAAACTCTAAACCTGTGCTGTCCAATACAGTAGTCACACATATGCTGAAGTGTAAAATACATGCTGGATTTAAAGAACTTATTACAGGCCAGGTGCAATGGGGTTCACACCTGTAATTCCAGCACTTTGGGAGGCTGAGGCAGGCAAGATTGCTTGAGCTCAAGAGTTCGACACCAGCTTGGTAAAACCATGTCTCTACAAAAAAATACAAAATTAGCCAGCTATGGTGCCTTGTGCCTGTAGTCCCAGATACTCAGGAGGCTGAGGCAGGAGAATTGCTTGAGCCCGGGCAGGCTGAGGCTGCAGTGAGCTGAGATCACACCACTGCACTCCAGCCTGGGCAACAGAGCAATATCCTGTCTCAAAAAACAAATACAAAAATAAAAATAAAGAACTTAGTACAAAATTAAAATATATTATTGGAAATAATTTACTTTTTAAAAATGGCTAATAAAAAATGCAAAATTACATTTTTTGCTTGCATTAATTTCTGACAGACATTCTGCTGTAAATAAACAATGCAATAACAATATTGATAAACAGAAACATTACTGATCTTCAGCTAATAAGACAATAAAGAATGTACACTCACTTCATCAGTGAGTTCTCCAAATACTGTTATGACATCTATCAAAAGACTTGCAGTATAGAAGGACTTGATCATGTTTCTGGAAGAGAAAAGAGAGCGGTCTAGTTTAAATATGAAACACATTAAAATGTAGTTTTGTCATTTAGCTATAAGAAAAAAAATTCCTATCTTTATAAAAGCACTCTGAAATTCATGTTTTAAATAAAATTAGATTTCAAGAAAATAACAAAAATGGTTTTCTAATCTGTTACTATGAGAAAGTAACAAGACTCACATTACAAGTAAATGCGCTACGTCAAGATTTTTTGTATGTTTTTGACTTTAGAAAAATGTAATTATAGTATTATCTGACTCCATATCAAACCATAATGTATTTCTTTAAATGTAAATATTATACTGATAAATCATTTGAATTGATTGGGGTGGGTACCTTCAAAATCAAAATCATCAGGCGGGGCTGTGATTTTGGCTAAAATCAACTCAGATTTTACTAAATGTTAAAAAATAGCTAAGTAGAGCATATTTACTAAGTAAATAAATCTGCCCTGGGTATTTCTTCTTTCAGCCATTTTCTTATAAGAGAAAGGCCCGAATTTGTAATCTAAAATCACCGTGAGGTTTGATAATTTTTTTCTAAAAAAACCTAAATCAATCAGCAGGTTAGAAAGTGTTCCAGAGAAAACTAGTTAATTTTGGTTATACAGTTACAAAATTAATAAAATAATTTTTATTTTTCTCTTTACTTACTTGTGAAATCGTCCAGCACGATCTTCATTGTCTGCATACAAAAACATTTTCAAAGCATAATTCTCCAAATGGGCACAGCCCACTATTTCTTGAGTAATAGCTTCATTATCACCCAACTGCTTCTTTAGCTAAAATAAAATCAGATACATAGCTTATGATTTTGGACTCTCAGAAGTGTTGACTTAATTACAAACAATTCTAATAATCATTTTAAGTAAATTATTTTACATTCATTTCAATAAAAGATGTCATCAATGAAATCTTGCAAAAAGAGCTGCTATGCCTCAGCCCAATGCATTTAAAACAAAATCCAATGCTTACAACTTTGAAGAAACACACTTATGATAAACTGAAAATATAATTTAGCTCTAACAATCAAAATAACCAAGCATAAAAGGATAATATATCCAATTATCCATGTGAAGGAAGCATCAAATATTTCAAAATCATGTTTTATTACCCAAACTATAAGTTACCCTAAAAATAGAATTAGAAAATAATTTCTAGGCATATATAACTTAAAATTTTAATTTATTCCCATTTCAATTTCTGTCAAATCTAAAAAAAATAAGACTAGAAGGTTCATCATGTCGTAAAATAATATCTCTCGGCCGGGCACAGTGGTTCACACTCGTAATCCCAGTACTTTGAGAGGCTGAGGCGGGTGGATCACGAGGTCAGGAGATCGAGACCATTCTGGCTAACACAGTGAAACCCCGTCTCTACTAAAAATACAAAAAGAAATTAGCTGGGCATGGTGGCGGGCAGCTGTAGTCCCAGCTACTCGGGAGGCTGAGGCAGGAGAATGGCATGAACCTGGGAGGAGGAGCTTGCAGTGGGCTGAGATCGCGCCACTGCACTCCAGCCTGGGCGAATGAGCGAGACTCTGTCTCAAAATAATAATAATAATAATAATAATAATAATAATAATAATAATGATATCTCTCAGAGCACATAGTGTGAAAAACAAAAAAGATCTAATTCAAAGTAAGGTATAAGATGACAAACTCAGAATCAAATTATGGAAGCTTTTAAAAATTAGACAAATATATACCTGCAATCAATGCAACTTCTATCTGTAAATTTTTAGCCCTTTTCTATAGACACAATAATTTAAAGCATTTAAAAAAAGTTCCTAATTTTTACTCAGACTACAATACAGGAATAAAATAACTCTCTGGAGTATCAGATCTGAGCATCAAACTAGTTAATTAAAAACTGCTTTTTTCAAAGATGTTATAAAGTAAAAAATTAAATTAAAAGAAGCCCCAGGATTTTTCATAAAATCAGCAAAGTAAATACTTTCATAATTAAACAGAATAACTTATGGTCCAGAAAAGATTTAATGCTGAAATTTAAGGAAATTTTATCTATGTTTATCCTGAACAAGAACAGAAAAAAGAAAAAAAAAATCCCCACAGATAACAGTAATTTGTGTATCCAAACTGCAAAATCATTTGTAAAGGCAGATTTCATTGTAGAACAATTTTAGTGAGAGTAGGCCACTTCATCTCATCTTCATCAGAAAATACCTGACAGCAAAAACATAATATACTTGAAGTTTTAAAACTGTAATACAAACACCACAGTGTGCCCTTACCATGGAATACATTTATCTTACCTGTCATTTAATGCAGATAGTGATAAATTCCTGATGAGTCCCTTTATAAATGTGATTTTACACTTCAGAAAACGTTTGAATTTTGTCTTACCCAAGAACTATTATCTGAGCTACTACTGCTATACAGTGAAGTTAATAAAGAGACATTATACTATACAAAATGCTAGAGTTGGATTTTACAAATATACTGCTATGTGTGAGAAACATTCTCCCTTCTACCCCAACCCATTCCCTAGAAAGAGAGTACTCAAATTTATCTTGTATCCATAGAAGCAGCTGTAGAAATGCAAGGCCAGATAGGCTCCAGAACAGCTGAATTTCCTCAGTGCTGCCATGAGGCTGATTTTGGGTAGTTAACAGTAGCAGACGACAGGAGTCAGTAAGCCAGACAGCCACACCAAGTGAGAGAGAACACTACTGCCCATGGCTGCTTTATACAACTAGGTAGGAAGTTCTGTCTTCGCATAAGTCTTGTTTGAATCATAACCTCCTAACAATACATAAAAACAATGAAAACAATAAAAAGCTCTGGGCTGACTAGTGTGTTTTCATTTTGGTTTTTATTTGTCTAAATTTTCTCTAAGCAAAATAATACAACTGATAGAATAGGTTTCTAATTCTCCTGAGGTTGGATATCTAAATAAGCAAATAAAAAGTAAGTCACGACTATTAATGTAACAGTCTTGGAGGAGATGAATTAATGAGTGTACCCTGACTTTGTTAAAAGAGAAACCAGGTATGGCTGGGTCCAGGAGTTACAGGACAGAGTCCTCATTACTAAGTGTGACTACTAAGGTTGGCACTGCCTTCTTTATGCACTGACATCCAATCCAATAGGCACTTCTCCAAAAGTACCTCTACAGTGATCTGTGACGTTATATTAGGTTCAAGAAGGTGACTAATTAGTCACCTACGACATTCCTGCTAGGAGGGAAGGATGCCTAAACCATAAGAATATCTTGCCCTGGGACCCCAGAGAGGGAGGAAGAAAGGATAAGTAATTGGCATCATTTCCTTCATTGTTCCTTTCACTAAATACACAGCCCATTATTTCATTATTATAAGAAATATTAAGATTCCCAAATTAATCATCCACGTGACTGCAAGGGAAGGTTAGAAAGGGTTTTTCACGGCTGGGCATGGTGGCTCATGCCTGTAATCCCAGCACTTTGGGAGGCTGAGGTGAGTGTATAACTTGAGGTCAGGAGTTTCAGACAGGCCTGGCCAACATGGTCAAACTCCATCTCTACCAAAATATACAAAAAAACTAGCCGGGCGCGTTTAGCGTGTGCCTGTAGTCCTAGCTACGTGGGAGGCTGATGTAAGAGAATTGCTTGAACCTGGGAGGTGGGGGTTGCAGCAAGCCGAGAGATCACGCCACTGCAATGCACTCCAGCCTGGGTGACAGAGTGAGACCCTGTCTCAACTTAAAAAAAAAAAAAGGAGGGGTTTTTCACCTATAAAAGGAGGAGCCAAAGGCCATCTATAATAATGTGGAACAAGATATGATGGCATATGCAAAGATACTTGAACATACTTTAATTAACACTCATAACCTCTCTGGAAGTATACAGCAAATAAATGAAAATAAATTATTACTAGTTTTTCCTCAGGTATAATGGCTTTGTTTGATTGTTGCCAAGGGAAAGAACTAAAATGACAACACAGACACGCAAATGAATAAAATGGTATTTTAACCATAACCAGAAAATAAATGATCAGTGGTTAACTTACAGCTTCTAACTGATCCATTAACTTTGATAAAAATTTGCGACATTCAGGAGTTTTACTATCGATCTTCATTCCAGTCTGCATTGCGTATAAACGACCTAGAAAGAAAAGTAAGATAATTTGAACAATTTCATTTTTAAACATCCATGTTTATGAGTGTTTAAAATATAATTGCTAATAAATAATTAAAAATTCAAGTAAATTTAGAAATAAAACTGATTTACTATGGAAGTTATAAACCTAAAAAGCACAAAAATATTATCCAAAGAATGCAAGACATTCATGATAAATTTTTTTATCAAATAAGGCCTTCTCTTTTGGTATTATGTTAAAAAAAAAAAAAAAGAGGACTAGGTATGTCCTAAGCTGTCAAAGGCACCTATAATTTAATTGGTAAGACAGAGCACACAGCAAACAACCATATGTACAAGAGCACCTGCCAAGTGCCAAATAAGTGATACTGACAAAATATTCAAAATGGGCTGGGATAGTGGGAAATGAGACTTGAACTGAGGTTTATAGAAAGAATTGCTATAGTAATTTTACATATACTCTCTCTTTGAATAAATATACCTTCTCTTTAAAAAGTTAATAAAAACAACTGAGATAAGGCTAAACCTAAATAGCTGTCACCACAATTTCAGTAGCTTTCCCAGTGATAAGAACTGTGAACAGTTCTAGTGGTAACTGCTGTTACCACTGATGTTTACATACAATGTCTGTAATTTACCCCTTACATTCAACAATATGTCCTAGAGATCTGTGTCAGTGCTAATGTTCTACAGCATGAATGCATCATGCTAACAAAAGCACATTTAGGTAGCTCTCAAATTTTCATTACAACTGTTGTGCACAAATGCAACAACAAAATGCAACGAAGTTTTTGAATGAAGATTGATAGTAAAACTCCTGAATTGCAAAATACCTCCTTAGGCATAATGCAAGAGAGTTCCCAGGGGAACCAAGAGGTGAGATTCTTGGGTCATAGTCTCTGTGCCTGTTTCATTTTGAGACCTACGGTTACGCTGCCCCCCAAAACAAAAGTATCAATACACCATTGTATCCGCAACATATACAAGCACTCATTTTGCCTAAACTCACAAAAAACTTATTAAACTTACATTCCTATCAATCTGAAGACTAAAAACACTCTGTTTGATTTTATATTTTCCTAACCACTAAAAAACTGTTAGATATTTACTGAATAGCTCCATATTCTCCTTTATGAATTAAGGATAGCTATCAAAATAAAATAATCTTCTGTCAAATTGGTTTGCTTTTAAACAAATTGACTTGTAACAATTCTTTATACTGTATGAAGTAGAGATATAACGTTCCCCCACCAAAGGGAATCTTCTATGTATTTAACCTGTCTGTACCCTAACTAGAATTTACACTCCATGATGACAGGGATATTAGTCTATTTGGTTTGCTGATGTATCCCTGGCATCTAGGACAGTGGTTGGCCCTTGATAAACATTTTCTGAATAGACAAACACATGAATGAAAGAATAGCTCATTCTGTCCTACTGATTTAAATGTCATTTTTATCATTCATTATAATATATTAAGTTTCCATGGGATAATAGGGCCCAACTCTGTATACTGCCTACCCTGCTGTGTTATTCTATGGGTCTACCGTTGTTTAATTTACTAGAGCTTTATAACAAAGTTGAATATCTGTTACTCTCAGAATTACCAATTCAATTATGGTCACATGTCAAAAATTCTCTTTAAAAATTAATATACACACGAAACAGTTACCTATTTATCATATCTGTGTGTTTTTAATTTTAATGGTTTTGTCCAGAGGAACTGCTTTTTAGTGCTTAGGCTTTGAGGGCTATCTCATATTACAGAGCTTGAAGTTTAATTTAATAATGTATTCATAACCACATATCAATTTTAAGAATTCGATCCATCTAGGTATTAAGGAGAAAAAAAAAAGAGTTCCAAAAGTGTAACCGAGATATACTGCACTACCAGCGTAGTGCACTTTGCTTTCACTGCACACTAACTAGCACTGAAGATCACTTTGACATACAAAGGGATGCTAATTTGATCTCAGATCAAATGTTATCTCCTTACAAGGTAATATCTATAAATCTTAATATGCTCTTTCCTCCTCAAATTTAAGCTTACTGTATCTTACTGTATTGCCAAAATTTCCCAAAGAATATTAGGTATCTTTTCTCTTATTTTTAAGAGGATGCTTCTAGCAGAAAGTAGGATCAGCTCCATGCCAGGTGGCTCATATTCCCCTAAGAGAGCCAACACCCTATGCTATACTGAAGCTAGCTAGGCCTTTGAGTCCCATATGATCCCAGGGATTGGCAAAACAATTGGCTAGAGTATGGAAAATAAAATATTAGCATTTATATTGATATTTTATCTAATTCTTTAAAAATTTCTATTTTATATATCTCTTATAATACAGTATTAGTACATCAATATGTAAATGTAATTCATAAATAATTTACATAACATATTGCAGATTTGTATTCAATGTTTTTTCTAACTCATATGGATAGGTGATCAAAAGGTTGAGACTTGCTGCTTTATGGCATCCTCACTCCTCTCAATTATGAACTATGTTTTCTTGCCCCAACCTAGCCCATGCCTCTTCCCCACACCCCCATGCCTTCTACCAAAATCTCGTGGAACCACTGCTTTTCATCAGCATACTCCTCTACATTTTCTGATTCCTTCTCCTTCTCTGTCTTAACTAAAAGCAGTTGTCACTTGAAGAAATCATTGTATTTGCAGTCTTCTTTAGTAACTTAAAAAAAAAAATTTCTCACATACCTCTTTAGGACTGGCAAGCTGCTATATTATTACTAAGGAGTTGTAACATACCTAGCCAAAAGAGTACATTTCCCAGTATTCTCCAAAGCAAAATATGGCCATGTAACCAAGACTAATATTATATTCCCAGAAATAGTTAGGAAAGACTGTTGCAATGTCTCCATAAAAGGGGGAATGACAGCAGGGAAAGATCTTGCAGACCCTCTCCCTTTTTTCCTCCCTACTACCTAGAATATAAATACTAGATGACTGAAGCCCTAGTACCTATCTTGGGCTACAAAGCAACCTTGGAAGTGTGCTGGCTGGTAAATTTGAACTGCAATCAGCTGGGGTCCCTGATGACTTAATGGAATTGGTGTACTAACATAGGGTACTGCCAACATCAGACTTTCTTTACATGAAAGAGTAAATCCTTACTTTACTTAGCCATTGTTATTTTGGATTTTCTGCAATAAGCAAGTAAATTGAATTCAAATGTAAACACAGCCCATGTTCTCAATTCTTATTGACCCCTGACCTCCAACAATTTTATGTGCTCTCTTTCACTCAGTGGCCATTCTATAATTAAACTGCCACCTCAAACTACTGCCAAAATCAATACATCAAGCGCCCACTCTCTAAACATAATCTCCTCTTCTTCCAACATTCAACTATGCACATTACTACAGGTTTCCAGTTCCCTGGCTTCTTACTACTTCTTCATTATGATCAGTCTTCTCCCCTTTAACTTCCCTCTGCAACTAGCTTTGATGTTACATTTTAAGAACTTTATTTTACTATCTCCTTCTACCTCTAAATTTTTTATTACATCCCTCTGGCAAAAGCATACTCATACATAAACCCAACTATCTTCTTTCTCTATATCTGCATCCAAGCAGCAGAAACTGACGACAGATTGTCATCATTACAAATATCGTAATTATCAGTCTCAAATGGGCTTGATACTTGCTTTCCCAACATCCCAAATGACTATTTCAAACACACTTTAATCTCGAAGACAACCAACTTACCCAATCATACATACACATCAGGTAATTATTCATGATCTAAATGTACACTGGCCAATATGATAAAATAATAATTTGAAGGATGGTACCGACAGTGTCATCTCCCCACAGGTCTTTCTCTCTTTTTAACCATAGTAGTGAACACTATGTGAGGCCTACCATTCATGGAGCAGAGTTAGCTACTTGATAGATCAATTTTGGGAAGAAATATAGGGAACAACCTAGACAGTAGAGAAATAAGGTTGATTCCTAAGACTGCCCTTGGCTTTAGTGACAGCCATCTCAGGATGTAACCATTAAGCAAACATGCAGATAATTAACGCAGCACATACAAATATAAACAAAATATTCACTTCTTGTCCTTTAGAAGTTAACCTAATCCAGATAACTAATAGTTAAACACAGTGTAATTATAATATAGTTTAATTAGCCTGGCCTACATTCATTTTTTTCTTAGTTTGTGTGCATATGTAGTCTTTGCAATTACAAGGACATTATTATATGGTAATATCTTTAATTGAAGAATTGGATCCTCTCAGCATTAAAAGATTTAGGACAAAAATTGGCCTGGCTTTTATATTTCTAAATATCTTACATTGCAAAGAATTCTTAAGTACAAAAAATTTACCATAAGATACATTTTCTACTATTAATAAAAAGGAAAATTCCTTGAATTCACTTAAGAAAACTCAGTTTAAGTACACTAAAACATCTTTTTGCCACAGGGATGAAAAAAGGATCTCTTTCATAAAGAACTCTGAGACAAGCAATTCATTCTAGCAGCAGCAATACGATGAAAAATTAATGTCTAACATGGAAAATACCTACAAAAACAGAACAAATAAACATTTAGCTAAAATCATCTATAAGAAAATATATTTGATTTATTTCATCAAGGAAATGTGTTTATCTTTATGAATAAATATTATTTGATGATGAGTAATGAGGCATATTTGCAAAAGGATTAAATACTTTCCAACTTGAATTTAATTTAATGTGAGACATTTAGAAAACAAACATTTACTAATTCTGAAGGTATATGTAATCCAAAGTTCCTTAGAATTTGAACATTAACATTCTAACACATCCTTGCTTATCCATAAGAACATAAAACTATGAAATACGCATGATAAAAACACACGCAAAAAGATATAAAAGCAACTGTGAGGAGTGAGGCTTTGATAGGTTAAAAAATGTGGCACTCAATAGAATACATATTGATACACAAAAGCAAATTTTATTCCAAAAAATAGAACTGAATGTTATTCTATTCCTAAATATATTGCAGATCTTTTCTATATGGTTAGTATTATCCTTTGTGAAGGGATTTCTGTGTCAAAGATTATTATACAGTTTTTGTACAAAACATATCTAACTACTTTCCAAATTAAATAATTTAGGCACACTATTTGACCCAAAAAAAGGGGGGGGGGGGAAGGAAGGAAGCATGAATGAATGCCTGCTAATAAAGAATACTTACTTCACTCATCCCTTCGTTAAATAAATACTTTTGGAACTCCTGTCGTAACAACAATTTTAAGAAAAAGCCACTCCTGACTTCCTATTAAATGATGTAATGAAAATCAAAGTATAGGGTAAGAATATCTGGCTTTTTCATTGTCCAAAGAATAAAAAGATAATCACTGGGATTCTGATATTATTGTGCTGACACATGGCGAACACTAAGTGATGATTTGATTATTAAAATGAGAACACAGATTCTACTTCTGGCCTTGATGAAGTAACTATGGTTATCATCCCACTGTAAACAGAAAAAATCTGAACAAAATATATGTAACAAGTTTTCAGACAACAGAGATAGAGGAAGACCATGATACCTGGAGAAAGGAAACAAATGAGGTGGCACCAATGATCAGCCCAGCATTCTGCCCGGAGGCACACGCCAAACTAAGGCCCAGGAAGAGGAGTCCCAAGCAGAAAACAGTCCTCTTGAGTTGAAAAAACACACTGGAGTGAATTCAGGGAGACTGAGGCAGTTGTACATTAAGGGGCAGAGGTCTAAAGAAAAGGGAGCTATGCAGGAAAAAACCCAGAAATCTGAAGAAGGGTAACCTGGAGACTCAGCTGAATACTAACATATGGTGTGCAGGGGGAAGCTCCTCAAGGCCAAAGAATGAACAAAACCTGTTCAATAAGTTGAATGTTCCCAATGCACACACAGGGTTAGAACGCATTCAAGCTCCAACCAGAGAGAGTGAAGAGTTCTATATGTTACCCTGGGTATTCAGTAGAGAATCCAAGATGGGCATACTTTTGTAGCGGTGTTAAACTCTCCCTAGAGCAAAGGCTACTTTAGACCTACCCTGAAAAGCTAAAAATAAACAAAAAAACAATACACAAAAGAATCAAACTGAACTCCAAATTACTTGTTGGCCAGATTGAATCCCTTCAAAGAAAGATGACAAACTCCAGACATTCAAGAATGTAAAATTCACAATGCCCTACTGCCAGTCAAAAATTACTAAAGAGGCCAACAGATAGGAAAATGTGATCCATAAGAAGAAAAAATATAAGCCAACAGTATGAGATCAAACAATGACAAAATAATAAAAACAGAAGATAGTGACATTAACATACTAGAGAACTATAGAAAGCATTTAAAGAAAACCATGAATAGAAAGGAGAAATGGAATATACACAAACGAATCCAAATGAAACTTCTAGAGGTAAAATATATATCGGCCGGGCACGGTGGCTCATGCCTGTAATCCCAGCACTTTGGGAGGCCGAGGTGGGTGGATCATGAGATCAGGAGATCGAGACCATCCTGGCCAACACGGTGAAACCCTGTCTCTACTAAAAATACAAAAAATTAGCTGGGTGTGGTGGCAGGCACCTGTAGTCCCAGCTACTAGGGAGGCTGCGGCAGGAAAATTGCTTGAACCCAGGAGGCAGAAGTTGCAGTGAGCTGAGATTGCATCACTGCATTCCAGCCTGGCAACAGAGCAAGACTTTGTCTCAAAATAATAATAATAATAATAATAATAATAATAATAATAATAATAATAATAATACCTGAAATGAAAAATTCAGTGGACAGGATTAATAGTATAGACACCAAAAAAGAAAAGATTAGTAAACTCTGGAACATTGCAATATAAACTACCCAAAGTAGTTTATATAATTTTTGAGATGGGGTCTCGTTCTGTTGCCCAGGTTGGAGTGCAGTGGCACAATCTCAGCTCACTGCAACCTCCACTTCCTGGGCGCAGATGGTTCTTCCACCTCAGCCTCCCAAGTAGCTGAGACTACAGGTGCGGGACACCATGTCTGGGTAATTTCTTATTGTATTTTTGGTAGAGACAGGGTTTCACCATGTTGCCTAGGCTGGTCTCCAACTCCTGAGCTCATGTGATCTACCCACCTCGGCCTCCCAAAGTGCTGAGATTACAGGCATGAGCCACCATGCCCAACCAATACCAGATTTAAAACTTGGATCTTGATGAGTACTGAAAATGATATTTATGTCGCAAAATATAAAAATTTTTATTTTTACATTTTATAAATTTCTTTAAAAGAGAATAGTTAAAAAATATATAAGGTTTATGGTATACGTATAAGTACAACGTATGACAACTATAGGCAAAGGATATGAGAGGGGAAAAGACAGTAAAGATCTTTCCTTAAATATTAGGTGGTATATTATGAGACAGTAGACTATGATAAGCTATGGTAAGCATTCTAGAGCAACCACTAAAAAAATAAAAGAGGAATATCTAGTAACTTCACAGTGGAGGTATGACAGAATTCTAAAAGAACTTCGATTATCAAAAAGGCAGAAAAAGGAGAAAGAAGAAACAAACAACAAATGAGACATAGAAAACCAATAGCAAGACTTAAACCCAAACATACTCATTACATTAATTATAAATGTTTTAAACATTGCAATTAAAAGGTAGAGGTTGTTATAATGGATAAAAACATAAGATCCAGCAATATACTATTGATAAGATCCCACTGAACTGGAATAATAATAACTTGATAATAACTAATATCAAACGAGTAATCGCCATGGATCATGTATTCATTTAGTCACATAAAAATAGAAAAATTGATTAATCCACCAAAAAATTTTGTGAAGTTGATCTTATTATTATCCTGAGTATGTTAATAAAAAACCTGAAACTCATAAGGTCATGCAGGCCATAAACGATAGGTTAGGATTTGACTCAGGCAGTGTGGCTCCAGAGTCTTACCCTGCATCCAGCAAGATGTCTCTCTTCATATACACATATAAAATTATATATAACCACAAATGTTATATACATTGCAACATGTAATTTGTTTGCACCCTTCATTTTTACATTATGCTGTGGGCTATGGCAGCTTTTGTAATAAATGTAACTCCATATATCTTTAACAGTTACATAATATAAACTTTCCATACTGATAGGTATTTAGATTTTCAATTATACTGCCTCTCGGGGGAGCTACAAAAGTGTGGAGGCTTTTTTTTTTTTAACTTCTATTTTAAAATGCAATGTCTGGGGGTACTATTACCATTTAAAACAGCAATATCCTGAAAGGTACTGGGCAGCCCTGACAACAAAGAATTGCTCCTCCAAGACTTGTTAAGGGTCACCAAGTAGAAACAATAATAAATTGAGGTTAAAAAAAAAAAACCCAAAATAGTAAAAACATAAAAATCTGACAAGCCACAGAAAAATAAATATAAAAAAACATAAAAAATGTAAATGTAACAGCCCAATGAAGAATTTCAGTGAAAGTAGGAACTTATATCAAGCATAGTTATTGAAATCTACTATATATATACCTTGACTGTTCAAGAGTATATAAGCTTCCACTTTGAACAACCAAATATAATTGTCATAGAAGACAAACCTTATCAAAGATGCTTAAACCTGTATGAATGCCAAAAAAGAAATGAAAGTTAAGAATCTGTTATCTGACTCCACAGCCCCTTCAACTTTACGGTTTTTTCTAAAGAGATGTAAAATGAGTTGACATTACTCAAAAAGGAAAGAAATAATTTTTACAAAATAAAACTCATGTTTGCATATATGTTCACAAAAACAAACTTAAGAGGAATGGAAGGCTAATGGATAAATCAGTAGTCCAACATTCTGTGTGTTTATTGTCAATGCTACAGTAAAGTACCCTGAGAAAGCTTATTAATAAAAAAAAGTAAGTAATCAAGCAATAAGACTATAGACTCTAGTCTATCATTCAGGAACCAGCAAAGACTGAAAGGAACTGCTTCTCTTTATTGGTTTAGTTAAACTTGTCTGAATGAATTTAAAATCCAATTTCTATGTGATTAACCCAACAAAAAATAGTAAGAGGCAAGTTATTATTATTATCATTTTTTTGAGACGGAGTCTCGCTCTGTCACCAGGCTGGAGTGCAGTGGCGCAATCTCGGCTCACTGCCACCTCTGCCTCCTGGGTTCAAGCGATTCTTCTGCCTCAGCCTCCTGAGTAGCTGGGACTACAGGTAAACGCTACCACGCCCGGCTAATTTTTGTATTTTTAGTAGACAGGGTTTCACCATATTGGCCAGGCTGGTCTTGAACTTCTGACCTCGTGATCTGCCCACCTGGGCCTCCCAAAGTGCTAGGAGTACAGGCATAAGCAAGTGATTGTTAATGCTAATATCCATGTAGTTTACCATCTATCAATAAAGAAATCCATTGTTATTTAGCATTTACACTAAATTAACATTTTCTACTGGTATGTCCTGTAACATCTCAGAACTGAAATAACTTTATATATACTTACAGCTTCCTGAACAACTATACTGTATTTAATTTTCTGATGATGATATCAACAAATGAAGACTCTTGAGACTGTGTGTATACTTTAACTGGAAGTTTATTAACTTTACAATGTCACCCCCTAGAGGAAGCTTTAAAAATTGAAACTTGAAATTTTATACATTTACTCACGGCAAACTGAAAAAGGAAGGGGAAAGTTCTGAGTTTAGCTTTATCTACAGCACCAAACCTGGCAGAATCAAAATATTTATCTAACAGTGCCCACTTTTAGTAAAGATTCAAATATTTTCCGGCTTCATTAAAGAAAAATAAAGAGATGGAGCTCAGAGACATACTATTAACAGAAAGCATCTCCTTCATTTTCCACTCTCCACTTAGGGGAATCTCCGAGATTTTTTCACTGGCTTTTTTGCCTTTTTCTTTTGCCATGGATTGTACTAGTCCCTTTCCCCTCAGTTACTCTGTGGCTCACTCAATAACTGGTTCTCTAATTACTAGCTACTACCAACAATTTTTCATTCAACCGTTTTTTTTAATCTGACTTTGTTTATTCGAGTCTTGGTTCTATCACTTAGTAACAGAAGGACCAGAAAGACTGTGAGGCAGACATCCTGAAAGAAAGCACTGTTAAAATGCCAATCAGCTACAGGAATGCTAGTTGTCTGCCTTATTAGGTGACAACTGTATGGCCATACTTCCCTCTAGGGACCACAACTGCCTTAAAATTCAGGTCAATTTGGCTAACACTTTTTGAGCACCTGTTCTTTATTATGTAAATATCTCTAGTGGCCTAGCACTACCAGGCAGAGTAAATGAATAAAAACTGGTAGCACAGTGTAAGCCTTCCTCAGTTTACAGTCTAGAAGAAAGACAAGCAAATGAAAAAGCAATTACGGTAAAGCTACACCAAGGCATAAAGAACAAAAAGAAACACCTTAAAACTAGGAGACTTAAGAAAAGGCCTCCCAGAGAAAGTGACTTTCAAGCTAGTACCCAAAGGATAAAAATCTAGTGAGTGTGGTGGGGAAGAGAAGAGGTGTCAAGGCAGATAAAGTAGAATGTTAAAAGGCTTGGAGACAACCAAGTGCCTAATGTTCTAGTAACAAAATGAAATTAATTTGATTAAAACTACAAAAGGTGATTCAGAACTCAAATCATGAGGGGTCACTGAAGACAAAGATTTCTTCAGATAGACATATGGAACTGCATGTATAATAATTCCGTATTCCACACTTTCATATAAACCTTCCCTCACGTTATAAAAGATGCTTTGTAATGTTTAAACAATTACATTACTTTCTATGCAGTGGATATAACATAATTTACTTAACCATTTCCATAATGATATATATTTTAGGTTATTTTGAGCTTATCATAAATGTATAAATAATCATTCAGGAAATTCTGCATAAAGGTCTTACTAAATGTATAGTTATTTCCTGAACACGTTTCCCCAAACTGGAATTACTGAATTAGATACTCTACATTTTGCCAAAATGCTTTCCAAACTTTGTACCAATCACACAGCCATGTCAGCAAGGATCTGAACGCGTACTCATTTGTACTGAGTCATATTTTTACAGTCAAAAATTGTTATTCCACTTTAATTTACATTTATTACTAACTAGGATGAATGCTTAACTCTAGCTAATAAATTTCAAAATACAGTAGAAATGAAAGATATTCTAGAAAACTACTATATCAAGAATGGCTCAAGAGGAAAATATTTTTCTAATGGAAGAAATTGAGAAATATAAAAAAGCACAAAGTTCTGCTGTATCAATGATTTTTTTAAATCTAAAGAAAGCGGTAAATCTGCTTGCGTTTTTAATCCAACTCACATTTGAGGAAAAGGAGTAATTTTCTCAACAATATCTAAGAAACCAGAGTAACGCTGTTACTAAAAATCTCAAAATGATAACGTAACTATAATATATTAAGAACTCTCAAACTCAAAAATAATGAGCAAAAACATGAAGACATTTTACTGAAGATGATACCCATATGGTAAATAAGCACATGAAAAGGTTTTCAACTGTATTAGCTATCAGGGAAATAAAAACTAAAACCACAATGAGATATCACTGTACCTATTAAGAATGACTAATTAAAAATAGTGACACAAAATGCTGGTGAGAATGAAGAGAAACTCTATCACTTATTCATGTGTTGCCAATAAGAGTGTAAAATGGTACAGATGCTCTGCAAAACAGTTTGACAGCTTCTTATAAAACTAAACATGCAATTACCATATGATCTAGCAACTGAATTTGTGGGCATTTATCCCAGGGAAATGGAAACTAGGGTCACACAAAAACTATACGTGATTATATTCACTTTATTCATAATTGTCACAAATTTAAAACACTTAAATGTCTTCAATGATTAAACTGTTACACTGTAGTATACACATAGGGTGAAATTCTACTGAGCATTAAAAAAGGAATAAACTTGGATAAATCTCCAGAGATTATGCCAAATGAAAAAAGCCAATCCCAAAAGCTTATATATGATTTCATTTAATAGAACATTTTAAATGATAAAACTTTAGAAATGGACAACAAGTTACTGGCTACCAGGGGATGGGGGTGAGGTAGCGAAAAGGAGAAGGCAGGTTATATTAATAAAAGGGCAACAAGGGGAATTCTTAATTATTCTCTATCTTGACTATGGTAATGGGTACAGGAATGTACACCTGACAAAGCTGTTTAGAACTAAATATACACACACACACACAAATACATGTAAAACTGACAAAGCCTGAATAAACCAGTGAATTGTACCAATGCCAATATTCTGGTTATGGTACATTATTATAGTTTTGCAAGATATTATCATTGGGGGACATTGGGTAAAGGGTACACAGAATCTCTCTGTAATATTTCTTACAACTACATGTGCTGCACATGGACCTACAACTATTTCAAAAGAAAAAGTTTAATTAAAAGAAAATGCAAAAACTAATGGGATTCTTTCCAGAAATGGAGGGATGTTTCAAATATGAGAGAATTTACTATTTTGCTGCTACTTACATTAAAAAGTTCAAACACATAAACAATAAGCCTATTAGCATTTCCATAGACGGCCAAAAGTAATTTGATATACATTATTTCAACATTCATTCCTGATTTAAAAAGAAAACAAAAGACCAACCAACTTCGAAATGTAGGAATATTAAGGTAATTTTAAAAAGTGATAAAACACTAGAAAATTCCCATTAAGGCCAGAAGTGAATCATTTTTGGAAATGATATAAATACTAGAAAGGATAGGGCACAAGGTGTAAATCATATGATAATATGACCTATGACTCAATCTAAAATTCATTATAAACATAGTAAGGTAATGAGTTAGAGTACTAGGATTGTTTCCATTCTATTTTGTCATTGATTTGTGGTAGAACATTAAAAAAAAAAGCTATGAATTACTGTATAGTTTGTTTACTCAATCGACAGATAAGTTTTACAGGTTATCTAACATGTCTTAGATACTATATTAGGAGGTGGACATTCAATGATCATCACACGACATACTTCTTGTTCTCATAGAGTTTACATTTTAGTGGACTATTAGTAATATTTAGAGAGGAGGCATTCATTAAGAATTTGTAAATTCCATTTATGTGTCAGGTGGTAAAAAAAGAAAAAGATAATCCCTGTCCTCCAGGAGAATCAAGATTGAAAGATAAACAGATGTTTATATTATAACACATGTGATGAGGGGCACACAAGAACAATTTCTAGATCATCTTTAAGAGGTCATGAAAAATAATCTGTAAGAAGTAAAATCTGCACTGAGTCAGTAAGTTAGTCAAATTAATAGGAATGCAGAAGGATTCCTGGCAGAGGGTAGCACATAGCCCATGGAGCTTTTATGAATCAGCAAGTAGTTTAGCAAAATACTCTTGAATTTTTTTCTCACAAAAAAAAGTTTCCCTGCTCTAGGAATTTATAAAATTATTATATGCTCTAAGATTATAGAAATGTATCCCTTAACATGTTTTTATGTTGATGTCTACACCTTTTCATGAGAAGGTTAAACAGGTATAAAAAATGTGATTTCTATACTACATCAAATATTGACATCTAAAAGTTGTATCTTTGAAACTAAACTATCATAGCAACTTGATATTTATCACATTTTAAAATACAAAAAGTACTTTTTTAACAGAAATTTTACATTGTTATGAATTAAATCAAATATTTATGTATTAATATTATTTATTGCCATAATGAGGAAGAGTAGACTATTGGGGTTCTGTTGTTATTTTTTATTTTTATAAATTAAATTCACAAAAAACAATCCCCCCAAATCCCAGTTTTTCCCATGTTACACAGCAAAATCACCAAATTCTTTAAATTATTTCTGAGTTACAGGCTAAAAACCATATAACCACCTATCATCAAATATTTTAAATAAATTCTAAGCTGACAATTAAATTAGGCCCACTTTAAAATTTGTTTAAAAATTAAAAAGGATTTGTTACCCCATCATTACTCATTTTCTCAATTCCTGTGATGTATGCAAAAAGATATTATAAAGATTCATCATCTTCTTTCAATCAGAGCCTTCTTATTTATTGTAGGATGCAGAAAGGATTGGGAAAACTTGAAATACTTGTTCCAACATCCCTCAGTGAAAAAAAAAAAATAGTAATAACAAATAAGGTTCAATCTCATCAGCTGTTTTATTTTCTTCTTCTTCTTCTTTTTCTTATTATTTTTTTGAGACGAAGTCTTGCTCCTGTTCCCCAGGTTGGAGTGCAATTGCACGATCTCAGCTCACTGCAACCTCCACCTCCAGGTTCAAGCAATTCTCCTGCCTCAGCCTCCCCAGTAGCTGGGATTACAGGCACCTGCCACCACATCCAGCTAATTTCTGTATTTTTAGTAGAGATGGGGTTTCACCATATTGGCCAGGCTGATCTTGAACTCCTGACCTCGGGTGATCTGCCTGCCTCAGCCTCCCAAAGTGCTGGGATTACAGGCATGAGCCACCGTGCTCGGCCAAGCTGTTTTAAATGTACTTCCAGAAGAACAAAACAAAACAAAAAACCTCAGAGCCGAAGATTTTAGCTCATTTAGTTTAAAGAGAATGTCTACCACACTGTTTAATGGCAATGCCAGTTGCTAACACCAAACTAATCAGCCAAGTAAGAGTTACTTTTTCAGAGAAATACAATATTCCAGTTGGAATGTCAACTCATGTCCCCATTTTATTTCTAAATTCTAATTATAAAATAGCAATAAGCTGCAGAGCCTTGCAGGAGCTTGTTTGGATGAAACAAGGTACTCTCATCTTCAGTATTTCTCCTTTGTTCTTGGTTTTGCTCTCAACCCAAGATTGGTATTCTTTAATAATGAATACAGAATGAGGCAGTAAGGTCATCTCATGAAAATTTTTATCATTTTGAGAATTCAGAATACTGCAACACAGGACCGGTTTTAACATAAGGCATTACCCTTAACAGATACATGTATAAATGTAAGAGACTCTGAAAGACTGAGATTTCCCACTGTGGTCCCTCCACATCCCTGTCCCTACAGCTAATCTTCCTCACATCATCTTGCTCATGACCTTGGCCCCAAACTGTTCCTCCTCAACCTCTTGATAAAATCCAAGATGACCTAACAATGGCTGCTAATATCGCAGAATAACTCCTCCCTCTTCGGAGATCCACTGACCAACTGTTCCTGAAAAGAGACAAACTCCAGGTGACTCCCTGCATCCCCCATATACAATTCCAGGTGACTCCCTGCATCCCCCTTATACAAAGTTCTACCTCCTTCCCCTCAAATTAGAATGCTCTTTTGGAACCTTTCATGCTTAGCTTTTTTTTTTTTTTTGGAGATGGAGTTTCGCTCTTGCTGCCCAGGCTGGAGTGCAATGGCACGATCTCAGCTTACTGCGACTTCTGCCTCCCAGGTTCAAGTGATTCTCCTGCCTCAGCCTCCCAAGTAGCTAGGATTACAGGCATGCGCCACCACACCCAGCTAATTTTGTATTTTTAGTACAGACAGGGTTTCTTCATGTTGGTCAGGCTGGTCTTGAACTCCCGAATGAAGGTTTATTTTTTGCTCTGGCTGGTTTTCTTCAATGTAAGACCAGGAAAGATAGGAAGGTCTATCCAATGCCTTAATTAATGGAGGCTTCACTAACATGGGTAATTTGAATTGTCTCTTTTGTCTGGACACCCTGGAGGATTTTCCACCTTCTCTTTCAAGGCAATACAACATAAAAGCACTCAGGATGCGTGAGAGTATGCCGTTCTTCATTAAAGTGGGAGAAGGACAATTGTGAACAGGATGTAGGAAAAGATAAGCAGCATATTATATACTACTTTGCTACCCTGACCACAGGAGCTTTGTTAAGAACAGTTTTTGGAAGGAAAACATGGAAGTCAAGAATTGGAAAATTGATTCCTTTGGAATTATTTGCCTACTCCAGTTTGGAGAGCGCTGGTCTAGCATGACTAGCCCACAATTGTAAGGAAAGAAGTCACCAAGAGCAGTGTTCTGTTGAAAAGCAGAATCAGGCCCACAAATATAGCAGCTACAATGTTATCAAACAGCAAACATAAATCCATATATTTAAAGTGTTCACAGAAATAGAGTGGTTAAAAATATCAGTAACAAGAAACTATCAGAAATGGCCAGGCCAATATGAAAACCAAAAGAGAACACTAAAATAAAAAATTAAAGTAGAAATTCAATAAAAGGGTTAAACAATAAAATATAGGGAGGTGAAGATAAACCTCAAGAAATTACACAGAATGCAGCACAGAAAGACAAAGAGATAAAAAAAAATGACAGAATCAAGAGACAAGGAAGTTAAATGGGAGAAGTGCAAAACATGTCTAATCAAACTTTTATGAGAGAATAGAAATATAAGCAATATTTGAACAAATAATAGTAGAGAAAATTTTCCAAAATTGATTAAAAACACCCATCTACAGATGTAGAAAGCCAAAGTCCCAAACAAATACACGAAAAGAAATGAAAGCCTATAAAATCAGAAGGTTAAGTCCTAAGAGATTCATACAATGATTGATAACATTTTTAAATTAAGAACTTCTGAACATCAAAGGTCTTCAGAGTGAAAAATCAAACTGAAATGGGAGAAGATATTTACAACACATATAACAAAGGATTAACATCTAACATTATTAAGACAAGACTGTGACAGATAAATGGGCAAAAGCAATAAACAAGTATTTCAAAACCGAATCACAAATGGTTAATTAACATATGAAAAGATGCTAAACCTCATTAAGACTCAGAGAATTGCAGATTTCGCTCCAATGAGACACCACCATTTCACACCCACCAGATTGTCAAAAATTAAAAAGTTTAATAACATCAAATGTGATAGGCATATTAGTGTTCATTTTATTATTCCTTAAACTGTCTGCACATTACATATGCTTTTATATGTACATGTTTCATAACTAAAATTGTTAAGTGTCACCTGAGCAATAAAAATATTTCTTCATAAGCCTGATGAGAGCAGTTTCAGTGAAATACTGGGCATGAAAACCAGACTGCATGGGCTGAAAGGCTCTACAAGATAAAGGCGTAAAGCTAACTTATGGACAACTATTTCAAACTTACCTATAAGGCTGGAAAAGCAGAGCTGCAACTTTAGGGAATGATATGGTGAGAGTTTATGTTATATTTTTAAATAAAGGAAACTGGATTAGGTTTAGAAAAATCTAGAGGGAAAGGACGACAGTGAGTAAGGTGTCCCTGGTTTGTCACAAAGATACATGATACAGGGATCGGGAACAGGAATTTCCTTTAGGGATGAGAGATTCTTTGACCTTATCCCATCACTCCCAAGCCCCATCCACTCCAGTCACAATAGTCTACTTACTCCTCCTTCCAGCAAGCCTCTACTTCGGGACTTTTATAACCTCTATGGAGAATACTCTTTCCCAGATGGTGCAAGGTATGCCTTTCACTCT
The DNA here is from genome assembly GCF_000001405.40 of Homo sapiens. Lineage (NCBI taxonomy): Eukaryota > Metazoa > Chordata > Mammalia > Primates > Hominidae > Homo > Homo sapiens. The sequence continues at coordinate 142,148,796 of NC_000006.12, read as the reverse complement.
TTTATTTCCCCAAATGTCAATTCAGTGAAGTGTTCCTGACCACTATGAAACTGAAATCCCATCTGCACTCCCTGCCACCACTACTCCTGATACTCTTATTCCTTTTCCTTGCTCTATTTGTCTTCATAAGCTTTTAATACTCTATGTATGATAGACTCTATATTGTTGAAACTCTCTACCTCCATTGTATGTAAGCTCCAAAAATGCAGCAAATGTAGTCACAGCGCCTACTAATGCTTGATACAAAGGTAGCTCAATGAACACATACTGAATGAATATGGACCCTGCTTGAGGAAACTGAAGAACAAGTATAATAAAAATGATGCTGTAAAATTTGAACAAAATGAAGTAATGCACAGAGAATAATCAATTTGCTGCCCACAGAAGTGGTGACATTTGGGTTAGATCTTGAATCATGAGTTTGCCAAGTGCAAGAAAAAGGTGCACATTCCAAGAGAGTGGAAGATGGTAGGTCTGAAAAGGCCTTGCACATTTGAGAAACAGGGTACATTTGGAGTATGGCAGAGATAACAGTGACCAGATTTTAGCTAACCTTACAATATACACAACAATGGACGCATTATATCCAACTTCTCAACTCTAAATATCCTTTTCAGAATTATAATTGTCCAGTTACTTGTTTTATTTGCAGTAAAGTTAAGAGTACAGAATACAAAATAAAGTTAACACAGAATTACTGGCACTCCCTTTACTCACTACAAGTTTGAGCAGAGTTAACCTATATTTTTTTTAATCAAACTGTAAATTCAACGTATAACACTCAAAGTGAAAATACTGCTTTCAAAGGTCTCAACAGCGGGTATTATTCAAAGAAGTCAAAACTAAAAATTCTGCATGGTAGGAGAGAGCAGCTGGGTGGGGAAAGGTCAAATTCAACTGCTTATTTAGTAGCAGATACTCCCCATTTAACCAAATGAGTTTCTGATTGGGCTTGCATGCTGTCATAAATAATATTCACTTATTACTATGTTTTCAACTAGTCTATCGTCCTTTTATCCACATCACTCCTTCTTTCGGACACTCACCTTCGTTTTAAACCTAACTCAATTTATTTTCAGGATTCCTATTTGAGACAAGAAGCTCTTGTGTGTACACACACAGAGAAAACCTTGGAAGATTATATTCCACAGTTCAAGAGCCTGTGTAGTCAGTACTGGAGCATTTAAGCACAAGATAGGAGAAGCAGTGGACACCATGGTGTTTTGGGATTCCTACTGCCAGGGGGTGGGAACCCAGGGAGTTCCCTGGGTAGGCTCGAGGTCAAAGCTCAGGTTTAAAGCGAGGGGGGCGGGGCATGCCCCAAGAACCTCAGGGAGGTGTGTGGGCCCTAAAATGCAACTGGGAAAGAAAGGGCGCGGCCACTCGGAAAGACTCACAGTAATAAGCCACCACAGGGTCTCGCTTGTCATGCTCCTGAGCCGTCCTCAGATGATGCTGTATGCTCTTGAACTGTGCGGGGAGCGGGGGCAGCGGTGCAAGCGCGGCCATCTCTACTCCGAACTCACCACTTCCTACTCGCGCTCCACCGGCACTTCCGCTTCCGTCTGGGCGGTAGCGCGCACGAGCGTTCAGAGCAAATGCTGCCCACTCTTCCGTTGCTCAGCGACGTCAAGTCAACTACGGATCCCCAGCTGGGACAACCTCAGGGTGCTTGGCTCTCGGCGGTTAGAACCCACAGAAGACCCGAGCATTTTGGCGCTTATGCCGCGCATGGCGCTAGCGCTCTCTGCTGGTAGGAGGAAGGGTTTTTGTTTTGTTTTGCTTTTTTGTTTGGTTTGTTGTTTGTGGCAAAAGGAAGGATAGAAAAGGAAAAACAAGAAAATAATGTATGTTGACTGGGAGAAAGTATAAAGGCGAGAATTGCCTTTGGCGTCATTCAGGAATTACCACTTCCAGTTAATATGCCACATTAATATTCCATATAGCAGTGTCCTTTAGAAGCCTTTTTGATTTTAGAAACTTTAATTTCAATACTTGCATGAGAGAGAAATAATGTGTTTAAATTGTAAATTAAATTTTTCTATGTTGACATACTGGATAAAATAATCAGATTTCGCGCCAAATTAAGCTAAACATATGAAGCTTAAAGAAGATTGAACTTTTGTTCTCAGCTGGCTAGTACGTATTTTAGTGAATGAATAATCTGTAGATCACCTTTTTTTTTTCTGGAGAGTGATTAACAATTTGTAAAGTATTTTCATATTTATTATCTTGTCTTAATGTAAGATAGGGTGTTTGGGACGTTTTCAACGCTGGTAACTCTTAACCATTGTACAGTAGGCATCACTTTTCCTTCTACCCTCAATGACTTCAATTCTCTTCCTCTCCTCTCCATCCCTTACTTATATCTTTCAGGACTGTACACTTTATTTACTTCCTCCAATAACCTTCTTTATTTTATCTCAGTCCTCAGTTTTGACAATTCATCTTAAAACTAGTTTTCACTGAAATCACACTATCCCCAAGAGCCAAAATCTCCAGCTCGGAAATTCCCCTCTGCCTACTATTTTCTGATCACTCTCTCACCCCCAGAAGAAACCGCTCCATGTCCTCATATTATCCCACTCCACATACGTTGCCTAGACCTATTTGCAAAGTCCATCATCTTATTCTGGGTCGGGCTTTTTTACTCAGCCTGAAACTCAGTTCTGTCTTCTTCCCCAATCTCAGCGGCATATTTCCTACCACTGGAGAATGTATGGTTTCTTTCTCTTTCTCTTACTCCCACTATTTGGACTTTCCAGTCAAAAGTTGCTAGATTGGTAGAGAAATCAATGAAGAAAAGCAGAGTTGGATAACCATAACTGTTTTCTTTCTATACTCACAACTTTTCATTTATTTGTTTCCTATTACTTCTTGATTCTCAACCGCAGCTGCCCTTAAAGATCAACTTTAAAGCCCACTCCAGGCATTCTCACTTAATTGTTCTAGGTGGGATCCTAAATGTCAGTATCTTTAAAAGGTCCTCATGTAATTTTAATGTTACGTCTAGGGTTAAGGACCAGTGCTGTAGTCCACAGATGGTGTTTCAAACTTCTCTCGCTCTATTCAAGCTAGGCACTCAGCCCCAATTTCCTTGGTCTACAACAGCATTTCCTGCTATTGAGATTAAGGCCACCACCAGATATGAATTATTTTGCCTTGCCTCTACCACAACTTAAAGTAATAATAACTAGCTAGCAGCATTTGCTGAGCATCAACTATGTATCATGCATGTTTCTAGGGTCTTTATATTAATTTATTTAATTTGCACCACAACCCTATGAGGAACATATCATTATTATTTTACAGATGAGAAAAATAAGACACATAGAATCTAGATAACTTGCACTAGGTCACAGCCAGGAAGGATGAGTATTCCACATTAAAATCTAGGTATTTTGGTTTCAGAGCCTGTGCACCTAGCCATTACTACTTGACTATGATGTCTTTCTAGATCTTATGTTTTATCTTTTCTCTATTCCATCATCTTATGTCTGAGAAACAAATGTTCCTCTTCCTGGTAGAAGGCTGCACCCTCCTGTTACTCTCCTGATCTCCCCCTTCAGAAGTGAATTTTGCCACTCTTTCTCATTTGCATACATTCATGTGTACTCTTATTTGCATACCCTCATGAGCAGGACTGAGGGAAAAATAAGAAAGTGAAATGGTTGGAGTTGGATTTTACTCTCTGATCTGCCAACACATGCTCTTTTCTTTTCTTTCTTTTCTCCTTCCTTCCTTCTTTTTTTCTTTCTTTTTTTTTTTTTTTTTTTAGACAGGTTCTCACTCTGTCACCTAAGCTGGAGTGCAGCACACTATCAGAGCTCGCTGCAGTCTTGGACTCCTGGGCTCAAGGATCTTCTTGCCTCAGCCTCCTGAGTAACTGGGACCACAGGCACATAACACTATGGCTAATTATTATTATTTTGTTGCCTAGGCAGGTCTTGAACTCTTAGTCTCAAGTGATACTCCTGCCTCGGCCTCCCAAAGTGCTGAGATTACAGACAAGAGCCTCATGCTCTCTTCTTTCTAAATATGCTAACCCTTTCATGAGATGATAATTGATTTGATGGAGAACAGTACAGAGACAGTGTTAGTGTAACACACATTGAAATTATGCTATAAAACAAATATTAATGACTGTGAGGTTGCTTTTTCTTGTTTTACTATGATATTTTACTAGAAAGACCTACATTCTTCTTCTCCATTCATCTCAGACCAGTTTCTGAAGGATCTGACATCACCCTCTAGGACTGGGCTAGAACCTTGGCAAGTAAGGGGAGGGCAGAGCTGTAGAACAAAATAGGGGGTGAGGGCAACCATAGGAAGAAGAAAATGGAGAGAAACTAGAGCTGACAGGTGTTTTGATGGGAAAAAATGTTTTACACCATACCCTACATACACACATGTATGTGTGATCATCTGACAATAAAAATATTCTGTGTCCGTTTGGTCAGAACCATCTTGTTGGCAAATGACAGGGCATCAGTCAATGTAATCAGGATAATATATATATCTATAGCTGTATCTTTTTAAGATACTGTATGTGGTAGAAATTTGGCTTCCAGTATCATGAGACTAACATCCTATTATTTTAGCATCCCCCCCAAGTAGAAATAATTTTTCCTTAAATTTTCCGCAGAAGAATGATAGGGAAGACCCTGAAAACTTGGCCAGGACCATTTGCCACCCCATCCGCCCATGGCTGGGACATGTAGACACTATAAACATTGCATTTTATGTTTTAAACACGGATATTTAATTGTTCCGGCACATTTAAAACAATAAGCTAACTATATACGAATATAATGTATTCACAAATGTGAATTGCATTAGCACATTTAAAACAATAAGCTAACTATATACGAGCAAACATATTTCCAGTCTCTTGATTGTTCCCATTCCATATGCCTATCTTCATGCCCGGTCCACATGATTTTGATTATTGTACCTTTAAAGAAGTCTTCAGAGTATGTAGTGTAAGTCCTCTGTCTGTTTTTTTTTTTTCCTTTGCTTTTGCAAAATTGTGTTGGCTATTCTACATCTCCTGTATTTCCATATAAATTTTAGAAACAGCTTGTCAATTTCTATATAAGTTTCCTAGGATTTTGACTGGAATTATATTGAATTTACAGATCAGTTTATAATGACTAAAGTTACAAATGAGTAAGACTGCCAAGCCTTACTCGACATGGTTTATTTTTCCACTTAAAATGGTGCAGTGGCTCACGCCTGTAATTCCAGCACTTTGGGAAGCCGAGGAGAGTGGATCACCTGAGGTCAGGAGTTTGTGATCAGCCTGGCCAACATGGAGAAACCCCGGCTCTACTAAAAGTACAAAATTAGCAGGGTGTGGTGGCACATGCCTGTAATCCCAGCTACTTGGGATACTGAGGCAAGAGAATCGCTTGAACCCGGGAGGCAGAGGTGGCAGTGAGCCAAGATTGTGCCACTGCACTCCAGCCTGGGCGACAGAGCGAGACTCCGTCTCAAAAAATAAAAAATAAAATTAAAATTAAAAAGTCTTTAATTATTTTCATCACTGTTTCGTAGTTTTCATTGTACAGGTCTAGCACATATTTTGAAAAATTTATCACTATGCATTTCATATTTTTTATTGCATTGTAAATGATTTTTTACATTTAAATTTTATTTTTTATTACTCTATAGAAAAATTATTCCTCATAAGTTTATTTATATATATTTTTAAAGTTAGAGTCTTGTTCCGTCCCCCAGGCTAGAGGGCAGTGGTGCAATCATAGCTCACTGCAGCCTCAAACTCCTGGGCTCAAGTCATCCTCTTACCTCAGCCTCTGGAGTAGCTGGGACTGCAGGCAGGCACCACCATGCCTGGCTAATTTTCTTATTTTTTGTAGAGGTGGAGTCTTGCTATATTGCCTAGGCTAATCTCAAACTCCTAGACTCAAGCGATCCTACTGGCTTCACCTCTAAAAGTGCTGGGATTACAGGCATGAACCACAGTGCTTGGCCTATAAATTTAATTTTTTGGAACGTTCTTTAGAATTTTCTATGTACATGACCATGTCTGTGAATAAAGATTTATTATTTTGCAATTCATATATTGTTTGTGTTATTGTACTTATTGCATAAATATATATTTATATATATATGTTTATTTTGTTTTTGTCTTATTGAATTCCAGTTCAACGTTAAACACAAATGGAAAAAGTAGAAAGCCTTGCCTGTTTTGAGACTACAGGGGAAATTGTTAATTTCTGTAAGTTTCCTTAGATGCTATTTATCAAGCTTAGGTAGATCTCATTTAAAGTGAGAGGTTTAGGGTTTTTGGTTTGTTTCATTATAAATGGGTGTTTATAATATAACTTTTCATTCCCGGGGTAAACCCCGCCTAATGTGATGTATTATTTTTATATATATTGCTGGATCCTATTTGTAAATATATTTTTGCTAAGAATTTTTAATATCAACATTATGCTAGCCTCCTTACATGAAATGGCAAATATTCTCTTCTAATTCCTAAAAAAGATTTTGGAGTATTATTTCTTCCTTAAACATTTAGTGGAATTCACCACTGAATTCATCAGGGCCTGGCATTTCTTTATGGGAAAGCTTTGGATTTAAAATTTTAAAAATCGATATATGGATAAGTCATATTTTTTGTTTATGTCTTTCAATTTTTAGTAGTTTGGAATTTAGAAATTTTTTCATCTAAGTATCAAAAACTTATTGACCTAACATTGTTCAGGATGTTTCCTTACAATCGCTTCAAGGTTTTACTACAATGTCCCTTTTCTGATTTATCTTATGGATGATTTTCATTTTCTCCCTTATTATCTCATATTATCAAACCAGAAATTTATAAGTTTTATTAATCTTTTCAAAGAACCAGATTTTGGTTTAATTGATTTTCTCTATTGTCTTTGGGTTTTATATCACTGTGTTTTGTACTCGTATTTTTATTTGCATCCTTCTATTTAATTTGTATTTAAATTATCTTTTAAAAACTTCAGGCCGGGCGTGGTGGCTCATGCCTGTAATCTCAGCACTTTGGGAGGCCGAGGCCGGTGAATCGCGGGGTCAGGAGTTCGAGACAGCCTGGCCAACATGGTGAAACCCCATCTCTACTAAAAATACAAAAAATTAGCTGGGTGTAGTGGCGGGTGCCTGTAATCCCAGCTATTCGGGAGGCTGAGGCAGGAGAATCGCTTGAACCCAGGATGCAGAGGTTGCAGTGAGTCGTGATCGCAACACTGCACTCCAGCCCTGGAGACAGAGTGAGACTCCATCTTAAAAAAAAAAAAAAACAAAGCAACACAACTTCAGAAAGTGAGCAGTTAAAATCACAATATAACTTCTTTTCTAACATAATATTTAGAACTTCTAATATTCCACCAAACACTGTTTTAACTGCTTTCCACTTACTTTGATAAGTTGTATTTGCATTTTTGTTTAAAGTAGTTTTTAATTTCCCAGGTAATTTTTTCTTTGATCCATGGGTTAATAAAGGTATGTTGTTAATTTTTCAAACATTTAGATGCATCCCTGATATCTTAATTTTATTAATTTCTAGTTTAATTCCATTGTGACCAGAGACTATAGTCTGTATGATTTCTATCCTTGAGACTTTCTTATGGGCCAGCAAATGATCTCTTTTGGTGAATGTTACACACACACTTGAAAAGAACATCTGTTCTGTTGTTGCTGGGTGGAGTATTCTATAAATATCAATTAGTTCAAGTTGCTTATTAATAATTTATAATCCTCTATATCCTTTTTGATATTCTATTTACTTTGTCAGTTTATTACTGAGAGAGAAGTGTTGAAATCTTTAGCTATAATAGGATATATTTCTTTTTTCAATCTATCAGGTTTTGCTTCATGCATTCTGAATCTCTATTAACTGGTGGCATACATATTACAACTATTATGCTTCCTGATGAAATTATACTTTCATCATTATGAAATGTCTCTTTAATCTCTGTCATCATTCCTTGCTGTAAAATTGACTTGAGTTTTCTCATATTAATATAGCCAATTGAGCTCTCTGATGCTTAGGATTTGCATGATACATCTTTTCCCATTTATTTTCTATAAAATATTCAAGATTTTAAAATATTAAACCTTTAAATATTTAAAAATGTTTAAAGTGGGGTTCTTGTTAATAATTTGGTCTGGCTTTTAAAAGATACATTTAGACAATCTCTATGTTTTTGGAGTGCCAGGATCTTTTGTATTTATTGTTAACCATTGATATGTTTGGGTTTGGTTCCACTACCTTGTTATTGTTTCTATTTGTTTCACCTGCTTTTGTTCTCTTTTTTCCTTTCCTGCCACCTTTTATATTAATTGAATGTTTTATGATTCCAGTTAATTTTGTTTGTTTGCTTGTTAAGCCAAAATTGTGTTGGCTTTTTAAACTGGTTGTTTTATATTTTATAATATACAACTTAAAGTTATCACAGCATACTTCAACTGATAATATACTTTACATATATTACAAGAATCTTATAATAGTATACTTCTACACTTGATTTGATTTGCCGAGGTTTATCAATTTTATTGTAATTTTCAAGAGTGATCTGGGATTTATTTATTTTATTTTGTTTGTTTTCTAAAATGTTACTTTTTACCTATATCCTTATTAAATTATTTTTGTTTATCTTTGTTTAATAAGTTCTTATGTTTGCTTTTTGAATTACATTTATGTTTCCTTTTTCATAATAGATGTATTTTCAGCTGTCAATTTTCAGTGCACTACGAATTTGCTCATATCTCATAGGTTTTAATATGTAGCATCCCACTTCTTGTTCACATAAATAGTCGGAAAAGCTTCAGTTTAAATTACCTTATTTCACCAAAGAGCTTTTTATGAAATGCTTTTAAATATCATTTCAAATGGTTAGATATTGTTTAGTTTTGATGCTCTTATTAATTTTTACTATATTTGCATTTTAGTCAGAAAAATTAGTTTTTATATTGGAATATGAATTTTGATATATAGCATTTATTATTCAGGACTATATAGCTGTGTGCTAACAATTCTGATATAGTTACTAATAAAATGAAATCATAGTAGGTCGGTAGTGAATTTACAAGATTGTCTAAACCACCTGTCTCGTCTTATCTCTATCTTTAAACATAACAATATGTAGTGTTTAGTTCAAAGAAGTAGAGGGAAGCAAAGTTTCTTTGGTGGCTTAGAGATGCCATCCTTCCACCTTGTCAGTTGAAGAGATCAAGAGCTCAGGGAGGCCGAGGAAGTTGGCTTTAATGGATGCTACAGTAAGGTAGCTGGAAAAGCGAGAGAGCTCCAGAGATCTGCAAAGGGCATTTAAGTGAGTCCTGATGGCAGTGCAACATCTTTAAATATCTTTACAGGAAAAGAACTAATTGAAAGGATCAAAAGGAACAATACTCAAGATTCACACAAGACTGAGAATAGTTGCTGTTCCCAAAGTCAGAGTGGAAAAATCCCTTAATAAAGGGATATACGTTGACAATGCCCTACCCTAAAGGATGAATCAGAGTAAGAATAAATCCAAGCGTTTATCTATGATTGGGCAATAATGTTAAGGGGAAGTCTTCTGTGGGATTTTTTGGAAAAGTGATCTTCCCTGGGGAAGAATCCTGAGAGGCAAACCAGAAGAAGGTCCTTTTGCCCCATCTCCTTTCTTTCCTTGGACACGGAGAGAACCTGTTTCATATGGCAGTGGCAATTTGTGTCACCACCACAGTCAACCAGCAGGAGGGTAGAATTCAAGATTTTTGAGACTAGTGAAAGGATAGTATTTCCAAACCACCAAATAGACATCTGATAGAGCACACAGAAAAGTTCTTCCTTAGTATTGGGGCAAAACTGGCCTTTCAGTAAGTACTACACTGGTCATATATAACAAAGCTTAAAAGGAAGCAGAAAGGATCATCTGTTTCCAAGTAACTTAACTGTGCTCCAGAACTAAGTTGAAGAATATTTATGAGAAGAAAAATAATTGGCATCCAACAGGATAAAACACACAATGCCTGACATTCAATAAAAAAGTACCAGCCTTGCAAAGTTGCAGGAAAAATAGGACCCATAATGAAAATGTGTATGTTTGTCAGCAGATTGGCGGGAGCATTCCACCTTGAATGCAGGCAATCAAGGGGTATGTTATCTATAGAGAATTTAAAAATAAGGATAAAATATTAAACAAGGTTGCTGTTTATTAACACCAATTGTTAGTTATTCTAAATAAAGAAAGTCAATAAATATCCTTTATTTGTAGAGTGGACAATTTTTACCAGTCCCCACCCTGTTGGCATGCCACTGCTATAGTATGATTTTATAGCTCACGTGCTAGAGTATGATTTTATAAAGGTATTAAATCTTGATGATCTTTTTATACGAATTTTTTAATGCAGTACTTGTTAAATAGCAGACATCAGTAGCTATTTGTGAAATGAAGATAAGTTGGATTTTCTCCTGTGCTTTCATGTAGAGAAAACCTCAATGATGAAAACCTTAGATCCAGAAATTCATGATATCAAACACAGGCTGCATAAAGCTTGAGGAAAAATGGAAAACCTTAGTATTTGACTATACTGATTTCCCTACTAAGTTACCAGTATAAGGCAGTAATACATAAGGATTTTAAATAATATCAAATGAATCAAATGATTGTTGGTAAGGCAGGCAGATAAAAAGAAATACACTAAATCAATATAAAATTGTCTCTGAAATAATTTCATAGCTATTGAGGAAGTCTAACTTAATATAAACACAGTGTTCCCTTTTGATAAATATAGAAGTTATAGTTGCAGGACATCTGTGGGCACAGAAAGGTTTTTTTTTTCCCCAAGAAGAAACAAGGATCCCATGCGCAATATAATCCATAGCATTTTTTATTTATTTGGTAACTATATTTCTATATCATTTTAATATTGAAACTTTCAAGAAAACTGATTGAATATCCACCATGATCAAGTGGGCTTCATCCCTGGGATGCAAGGCTGGTTCAATATGCGCAAATCAATAAATGTAATCCAGCATATAAACAGAACCAAAGACAAAAACCACATGATTATCTCAATAGATGCAGAAAAGGCCTTTGACAAAATTCAACAACGCTTCATGCTAAAAACTCTCAAGAAATTAGGTATTGATGGGACTTATCTCAAAATAATAAGAGCTATCTGTGACAAACCACAGCCAATATCATACTGAATGGGCAAAAACTGGAAGCATTCCCTTTGAAAACTGGCACAAGACAGGGATGCCCTCTCTCACCACTCCTATTCAACATAGTGTTGGAAGTTCCGGCCAGGGCAATTAGGCAGGAGAAGGAAATAAAGGGTATTCAATTAGGAAAAGAGGAAGTCAAATTGTCCCTTTTTGCAGATTACATGACTGTATATCTAGAAAACCCCATTGTCTCAGCCCAAAATCTCCTTAAGCTGATAAGCAACTTCAGCAAAGTCTCAGGATACAAAATCAATGTACAAAAATCACAAGCATTCGTAGACACCAATAACAGACAAACAGAGAACCAAATCATGAGTGAACTCCCATTCACAATTGCTTCAAAGAGAATAAAATACCTAGGAATCCAACTTACAAGGGACGTGAAGGACCTCTTCAAGGAGAACTGCAAACCACTGCTCAATGAAATAAAAGAGGATACAAGAAATGGAAGAACATTCCATGCTCATGGGTAGGAAGAATCAATATCGTGAAAATGGCCATACTGCCCAAGGTAATTTATAGATTCAATACCATCCCCATTAAGCTACCAATGACTTTCTTCACAGAATTGGAAAAAACGACTTTAAAATTCATATGGAACCAAAAAAGAGCCCACATCACCAAGTCAATCCTAAGCCAAAAGAACAAAGCTGCAGGCATCACCCTACCTGACTTCAAACTATACTACAAGGCTACAGTAACCAAAACAGCATGGTACTGGTACCAAAACAGAGATCTAGATCAATGGAACAGAACAGAGCCCTCAGAAATACTGCCGCATATCTACAACTATCTGATCTTTGACAAACCTGAGAAAAACAAACAATGGGGAAAGGATTCCCTATTTAATAAATGGTGCTGGGAAAACTGGCTAGCCATATGTAGGAAGCTGAAACTGGATCCCTTCCTTACACCTTATACAAAAATTAATTCAAGATGGTTTAAAGACTTAAATGTTAGACCTAAAACCATAAAAACCCTAGAAGAAAACCTAGGCATTACCATTCAGGACATAGGCATGGGCAAGGACTTCATGTCTAAAACACCAAAAGCAATGGCAACAAAAGCCAAAATTGACAAATGGGATCTAATTAAACTAAAGAGCTTCTGCACAGCAAAAGAAACTACCATCAGCGTGAACAGGCAACCTACAAAACGGGAGAAAATTTTCACAACCTACTCATCTGACAAAGGGCTAATATCCAGAATCTACAATGACTCAAACAAATTTACAAGAAAAAAACAAACAACCCCATCAAAAAGTGGGCAAAGGATATGAACAAACACTTCTCAAAAGAAGACATTTATGCAGCCAAAAGACACTTGAAAAAATGCTCATCATCACTGGCCATCAGAGAAATGCAAATCAAAAGCACAAGGAGATACCATCTCACACCAGTTAGAATGGCAATCATTAAAAAGTCAGGAAACAACAGATGCTGGAGAGGATGTGGAGAAATAGGAACACTTTTACACTGTTGGTGGGACTGTAAACTAGTTCAACCCTTGTGGAAGTCAGTGTGGCGATTCCTCAGGGACCTAGAACTAGAAATACCATTTGACCTAGCCATCCCATTACTGGGTATATACCCAAAGGACTATAAATCATGCTGCTATAAAGACACATGCACACGTATGTTTATTGTGGCACTATTCACAATAGCAAAGACTTGGAACCAACCCAAATGTCCAACAATGATAGACTGGATTAAGAAAATGTGGCACATATACACCATGGAATACTATGCAGCCATAAAAAATGGTGAGTTCATGTCCTTTGTAGGGACATGGATGAAATTGGAAATCATCATTCTCAGTAAACTATCGCAAGGACAAAAAACCAAACACCGCATGTTCTCACTCATAGATGGGAATTGAACAATGAGAACACATGGACACAAGAAGTGGAACATCACACTCTGGGGACTGTTGTGGGGTGGGGCGAGGGGGGAGGGATAGCATTAGGAGATATACCTAATGCTAAATGACGAGTTAATGGGTGCAGCACACCAGCATGGCACATGTATACATATGTAACTAACCTGCACATTGTGCACATGTACCCTAAAACTTAAAGTATAATAATAATAAATAAAAGAAAAGAAAACCGATTGAATAAAATTTTAAAAATGTAATTGTTCAATTTCTTCAAGTTAATGGTCAAACTATGTAATTACTCTTTAATAATTAATTTCCAACTTTTGTGCTTAATAAGTTATATTTTACATGAATGCAAAATAATTACACCCTCAAATTTAAAACTGTATAGTTCCACAGAAAGGGAAATATAAATATCTGGATTATGACTTTGACCACCTAAATTAACCCTCATGAGCATCAATTTTCCACTTCGTAAAAAAAGACAATAAAAGTTTCTCTGGCCACAGAAAAACTGATCAATTAACATGTATGTGAGAGAACTCTGTAAAAGCACTGTTTAAAAATAAATTAACAGTAGTTCTGTGTATATTTTCTAATAAAAGTGATCAAAATTAAAATGAAATATTTCTTCAAGAATCCTTACCTTACAACCAGGCACTATATTTTATAGTAGACAAAAATTTCAGACACATTGAAGTAAGTTTGTTTTGAAATTGTACTCACTGAGTAAGATAAAACTAAATAAAAATGATAAATAACTGCAGCATGACAATAGGTAATTATTTGGTCATTGTCTGAATGGAAAGTATAATCTTCTAAATATGATCTCAAAAATCTCAGCAACAAATAATAAAATTGTAATTGTTGTAAATGTATTTATTGCAATGAGAAAAATGGTTTTTTCAAAGTGTTCTGGAACCATGCATCTTATAATCATGTTTTCCCCAAGAGATCTAGCATCACACAGGTAAAGAGATTTTACTTGGAAACCAAAGAGGTAAATCTGAAGCCAGAATGCTATTGCCGCTAGACTAATTCTTAATAAAACAGAGAGTATATAAATTATAGTGTAGATAGGCTTTTGAAGAATGCATTCTTGATTGATGCTTTTACATGCAGCATAAAGGTGGAAAAGAGCTCCAGGAACCAGGACAATAACTAGTTGTAATGCCTAGAACACCTAAAGTATGTCAGAAATATCTTAGTAAATCAATTAATCAATATGTAACTAAAATACACTAAAAAAACCCCACTAACTCTCAACAGAGTCTAATTTAAAAATTCCAAGTTTCATAAAAATCTTATATGTGTCTTAATATAATGAAGGTAGTAATGTTGAACATATTTATTGTGAAAACATAGTCATATATTACTGTAATTGCCTCTCAATGACTGATAATGATGAAGTAGTTTATTTTATTAGACAGCTAGTCTATATCCCAAATATAGATCTGGAGAATAATGATAACATTAGTAGATAATAAAATGCCAGAATTGGAAGAAACTCCCCAAAACTCAATTTATCTGAAATATACAGCTAATTAAAGAAAAAGTAACATAATCCTTAGGAACAAAAAACCTGTTAGGGTATTTCTCATATTATGACATTATTTTACATTTAAAGAGAAAATGAGTTTGTTGTAGAGTTAATGTTTATGTGCACACAGAAAAACTTACTTGTGGAGTGATTGGCCTGAACTGATTGTAACAGAAGAGGTTTACTTCTCTTTTGTCTGGATCGCAAATGAAGTGCAAGGCCTCATTCCCATAAACTGCAAAGCCTAGCACCCCGAGGAAGAATATTCGGATCGATCCAAAGAAAAGGGTGTGGAATTGACCAATCACAGTTGGAGGTTTAACCTGTTATGGTTTTAGGAGAAAAAAAATCTTTTAAACACAAACATTAAAGGAGGACATTTAAAAAAATCCTTATATCACATTTAAAAAATGTAAGAGTCAAGAAGTTTTGAAGCCAAATAGACCCTTAGAGATCATCAAATCAAATATAATTCCTGCATTATGAGATTTCTCACTCTTAAAATATGAAAAGCAATAGTTGATAGGGACATGTGGCTAATCAAATGTGTAATTTTGGAAATATTTATACAGCTTTGAATTCAATTAATATCCCCACCATTATAATCCCTTTGAAATAAAATCAGAATATCTAATACTTCTTTTTGAAAATTAGATAAAAAATCCAGTAGTAAGCTCAGTCCGTACACTATCTTAACAACCAAATAATGTTTATTAATTGTAGTTAAAGCTTTTTTCCTCTGCTTCTTAATTAGGGAATTGAGAGAGTGAGCCACACTAAAACACCAACATCTAAAGACACTTCCTGAATTTTTCTCTTTATAGTTTTAAATTCAGAATATTTTGAAGTATATGGTTGACACTTAACAGTATTCTCCATAGATGTAGAGAATTTATTCACCAAGACTTATGCAATTCAGGGTAAAATACTCAGAAAAGACTCATACAATTGATTTTTTGTTTGTATAATACTTACACATCCTTCATAGAAGTTTTTGATGTAATTTAGAGACATGTCTCAGGAGATGTTATCCTGGCATTCCTGTTGGTTAATTCTTGACCCACATTGCCAGTTTGCTTCTGCCAGAATCAAACTCTTACATTCTCTCAGGACTCTTACAGCAGAAAACACTCATCACTACAAATTTCTCTCCCCTCCTCCTTTACTCTTAGATCTCTGGGGCCCCATTCAACCTTCCTATCTCTGTCCCAAAACAAAACAAAAACAAAGAAACAAAAGCAGAGAGCATGTGGCCAATCTAATAATCCCTTGACTTACACTGTCAGCATAGCCAGCCAGCCAGCCAGCCAGGAGTGCCAGCAAAGCAAGAGGCCACCCCCACAAAGGTTCTGAGCACTCAACGCTTCTGCAATTACCTAAAAATGGACTGTATCTAAATTAGTGGGCTCTTTAGCTTGGAGTTTTCTCTGATAATGTTGAAGTAATCTTTTTCTTTTCCTTTTTATTTTATTTAGGTGTGTCCTAAAGGAAAAGTACATGGGAAATATTCCTGATTCTTTATTGTTTACTTCCATAGAGTATAATTAATTTCTGGGAAATCCTAAGAAATTGTTAACACAGGATATAATAGTTATTGCATTATTGAATATTATTGATGTATTGCTATATTTGTCTAGTTGTTGAATGCTTGCCACAGACATGGAAAAATCTGTAATTAGATCTCTGGGCTAAGGAAAAAGATAGCGAACTACTAATTAAGGCAAGGCCAGGAGCTAGCACATATCATGAGAACAATCCTTCCCATCCTTTCTTTTGTCCTTCAGCAGATACATCATCTGTAAGACATTGTTATGGGTGTTGAGGACCAGCAGGCACCAAGACAGACCAGTAACTACCTTCTGACTTACATATCTGCTTACTATCTTCCATCCACCTATAATGTCATACAGCTAATCATTGATTATATTTGCTTTCTTCACTTGCCTTTCTCATTTTCTTGTGATCTGCCAAAGATTGTAACTCCAGACAATGTCATTGCTTTCTTCCAGCAAGTGGAGAAGTGACTGCATGATACATGTATTTGTAACCAATAAACAGGGGACAGTGTTCTCATTGAATAGGAGTACTGTGCTGGATAGGAACAAATAAACATGGACAACTTAATGATCCCTCAGAATGGTTAGATAAGAGATATTTGTGTATATTCCCATCTTCTCAGAATCAGAATTTCAGGTTTGCTTTGTGTTGATTCCCAAGAAGTGACATCTAAAAGCCCTAACAACCATTTGCATAAGAAGGAATAGTGCTTTGGCTTTTACCATTGTACAGTAGTGAATGCTATTGTTTAGTCAACTGTATACAATTGTCAGACATGTAGAAATCATCAGTGTCTCCTTTCAGGGGTGTATAGAATTGTCTTGAACCTTAATTGCATGTGTAGAAGAAGGGAGTGCAGCATCATTGTCATTGCTGAGATCTATGAGGGCCAAATAATGCCAATCTTTCTCTTACATGTTCTGATCCAATTGGGTAATAAAACAAAGGAATAAACCATACGTGGGCCAAAATATCACACATAAAGATTAGGCTGAGGAGGGATGTTGCTTATTTCTTTAGGAAAATATGATCCTTAGTGAGACTGATCTCAAATGTATGGCAATTGGTAAGGGTGTATATTGGAGTGACAACCTGTGTTTCTTGCATGCTAACAGCTGCAGGTTCCAAAAGCAGAAAAAGGGCGATTCTCAATGCATAAGCATTGTTTAGGACTCTGCTTGCTTTACGTTTGCTAATGTTACATTAGGCAAAGAAAGTTTCAAAATGAACCTAGATTTGAGAAACATCTTCTACCTCTTGATGGATCTGTGAAGTCACATTGCAGAGGTGTGGGTGTATGAAAAGAAAATATTTGTTGACAACTGTATATTCTATTGCAATGTGCCTGCTGATTACAAATGTTAACATGCCTCCCGCATGTCTTCACTTTCATTACAGGATGCCAAAACTGTCATCTAATTATAGAATTAAGATTGAAGTCCAGGATTTTGTGATTTGCATTATATCTGGATGTGGCTACTCTTGATCTAGAATCTGGAGAAACAAAGGGAAAAGTTATGTTCTACATGACATCAATATACAATGGTGATACAGGAATAGGATGACTACAGTAGACACTTACACTCCAAAAGTGGAAAAACAGGAGATATGTAACGGTCACTGGTCCATAACAATTCTGAAATCTTGCTAGGAAAAATATTGCCTGTTGTCCCTACTCTGGAGGCAGGGAACATTCCATGATTAAGGCACAGTAGTATTACCCTGAAAGCTGTTCTGCAGTATACTATACTCTTCTGCTTAATGGAAGTGGTTCCCTGGTCCATTGTTGTCAGTGGCCTGTAGCTCCATTCTCTGTGTTCTTGGCCGAAAGTGTCTTCCCTTTTTCATTAAAAAAAGAAATGACTATGCTTGAGTAAATAACTTGCTCAGACTGCTTCTTGCTAGAAAAAAGCTGGGGGGCCAGAAATCTTCTTTATAATTTGACCAATATCTGGCCTTTTAAGCCAAAGTAATAGTTGTTTTGCTGGTACAACCCTCTTAATCACTCTTTGGCTTTCTGTGTAATAGATTTAATATACTTAGTTTTAGTAAGAGTCATATAATTAAAGAAATATCTCTCTCTACACATACATTTACAGCTATTTTTGGATTAGGCTTTTCTGAAGTGCTCTTAAGATATCTAGAAATCTTTTGTCTAATTGAGATAGTCATTAGTCATGCCTTAAATATTTAAAAAGTCTAATCAAAGGACATTATAGCCACACCATTAATTTGACTTTTACCCTAAGACCATTTCTTACATTAGAAAGTTTTATGGCTAGGGAGACTAGAAATTAGAAAAAAAAAAATCACATGTAGCCAGTCCTGACCTCTCTATATTTTCTCCAAGTTTTTCCTGCAAACTCATCTCTAGGTCTCTTTGCAAGGTAATGTAGATTGATTGCTGAAACATGGGTAAGTGAGGGGGAAATAAACTTTGACCTTATTTTCTCCTCTGAAGAGCTCAGAAAATTATTGGGGTACATAGCACCTGGATGGTGCTGCAGAGCCTGGCCCTTATTTACACTCCTCAGCAGATCTCAGTGCGAAGAGCAAAGGCCAAGCAGAGAACTAACCAAGTACAATTCATACCAGGGGTGTAGTTGAGAAATACAAAGAACCCCATATAAATGAATGGCATTAATGTGAGTAGGAGGGAGCACACAGTACCTAAGATCACGGGCTCTGGAATCAGAGATTTGAGGTCTCAAGCAGATTATTTCACGTCCTTGAATCCCAGTTTCTCAAACTGGCAATGAAAATCGTATTTACCTCAAGTGATTGTTGTATGTGGATTATGAAAGGATTCGGAGAACATTTATCCTGTCCTTAATGAGACCGTGGACCAACTATGGTCTCCTTGTTATACAGACTACTATATATTAACAAATTAATACTCCTTAAGCAAAGAAGAGTCACTACTTCCTTGAGGGTAAAGAACCTTTGTGTTGGCCAGAGTAAGAGTGTTTCAGGGAAGAATAAATAACAGACGCAAATTCCATGTCTGTTTTCAATGTCTTTTCTCTCTCTCTCTCTCTGTCTCTACTTGGAAAATAAGTGCATTTTCCTTTTGAGTCTATCAAGATACCAAGACATCTACTTGTAAGCAAGGACTAGTGGGAGTGAACCCCAGAAAGACTTAAGGCTGTTAGTTAATTTAATCATTAAAATATACCTTTGTTCTTTTAGCCCTAAAATTTTTAAAATGACCAGGATACATTTATAAATTTTCTGAGTAAGTGGGCAAAATTTGAGGCACCAATACAAGGGTGTTTGCTCAAATTTGCTTGAAGTTTTTAGTTTCAGATAAAGGAGGGAAGGCGAGCTCAGATTTACTACTACTACTATTAGTACAAAAAGTTGCTGACATTTATTAATCACTACTATATGCCAGTACTATTCTAAACCCTGGGAGTAATGTATAATCTTTTGGTAGACATTCTTGGTGTCCTAAAACTTCTTTCTGAGATTAAAAGCATTTAAGACCTTGTGGTGTAAACAAGAAACAGGGTAAATTTTGTTCAGAACCCAAAATAGGATCAAAATAAATAAAAATGAGTTAAAGCATTATGCATGATGATTAACACATGCAAATTAATGCATAAATGTTATATATTATTACATTGACATCTGGTCTAATTTAATAGTTTGCAACAAGTTACCAAACATTCAAAGAAGAATGAATACTGATTCCTCTTAAGCTCTTCTGAAAAATTGAAGAGGAACACTGCCAAACTCAATTTATGAAGCCATTTTCACCCTGTTGCCAGAGTCAGACAAAAACACCACAAGAAAACTACAGGGCAACATCCCAGAAGAGTACAGATGCAAAAACCCTCCATAAAATACTAGCAAACCAAATTCAGCAACATAGATAGAAGAATAATACACCAGTGGGATTTATCTCTGAGATGCAAGGATTGCTTAATACATTGCAAATCAGTAAATGTGATATACCAACTTAACAAAATGAAAGACAAAAACCACATGATCATTTCAATAGATGCAGAAAGATCATTTGACAAAATTCAAAATCAATTCCTCATAAAACCTTTCAACTAATTAGGCATAAAAGGAACTTACCTCAACATAATAAAGGCCATATATGAAAAGCCCACTGCTAACATCATAATCAATGGAAAAAAAACTGCAAGCTTTTCCTCTAAGATCCAGTACAAAGTAAGGATGCCCACATTTGCCACTTATATTCAACATAGTACTAGAAGTCATAACCAGAGCAATTGGACCCAAAAAGATATCTGTACTAGCCTGTTCATGCATTGCTATAAATAAATAATGGAGACTGGGTAATTTATAAAGAAAAGAGGTTTAATTGGCTTATGATTCCACAGGCTGTACAGGAAGCATGGCTGGGGAAAACTTAAAATCATGGCAGAAGGCGAAGGGGATGCAGGCATTTATTTGTACAGCCAGAGTAGGAGGAAGAGAGAGAGAAAGCGTGGGGAGCTGCTACACACTTTTAAACAACCAGATCTCACGAGCACTCACTCACTGTCACAAGAGCAACACTGAGGTGGAAATCTGCCCCCATGAGCCAAACATCTCCCACAGGTCCCACCTCCAACATTGAGGATTACAATTCAACGAGATTTGGACAAGAACACAAATTCAAACCATATCAACATTTAAATCAGAAAAAAAGAAGTAAAATTATCTCTGTTTGCAGATAACATAATTATACAAGTAGGAGACACTAAAGACTCAACCAAAAAATCCTGTTAGAACTAACAAATGAATTCAGTAAAGTTGCAGGACACAAAATCAACACACAAAAATCAGTGACATATCTGTACACAAACAAAAAATGAGCTACCTGAAAAAGAAATTAATAAAATAATCTCATTTACAATAGCAATAAAAAGAAAAAAATACTCAGGAATTAACTGAACCAAAGAGGCGAAAGACTTGTACAATGAAAATTATAAAACACTGATGAAGAAAAAAAAAGACAGATAAATGGAAAGACATTCATATGCATGTATTGGAAAAATTAATATTATTAAAGTGTCCACACTATCCAAAGTGATCTACAGATTCAATGCAATCCCTACTGAAACCTCAATTCTGCATTCTATACAGAAATAGAAAAAACAATCCTAAAATTTATATGAAACTACAAAAGATCCCAAATAACCAAAGCAATCTTGATCAAGAAAAACAAAGCTGGAGGCATCATACTTCCTGATTTAAAAATATACTATAAAGACTACAGTAATCAAAATAGTATAGTATTGGCATAAAAACAGACACACAGACAAACGGAAATTAAGGGATCCCCAAAATAAGTCCACCAGAAGGTCAACTTATCTTCAACAAGAATGTAAAGAAAATCCAGTGGGGAAGTGATAGTTTCTACAACAAATCATGCTGGGAAAACTGGATATCCACATGCAGAAAAATGAAATTGGACCTTTATTTCACCCCCTATAAAAAAATCAACTCCAAATCAATTAAAGTTTTAAGTGTAAGACCTGAGAACATAAAATTACTGGAAGGAAACATAAAACAAAAGCTTCTTCGCATGGGTCTGAGCATGAATTTTTGGATAGGACACTAAAAGCCAGACAACAAAAACAAAAATACAGATAAGTTATTTGAATTAAAAAGCTTCTGCACAGCAAAAACAAAATAAAACAAAACAAAAACCACACACACACAAAAGTAAAAGGCCTTCAAAACCAAAACTAAATAAACCCCCCCAAAACCCAACATTGAATGAGCAACCTACAGATTGGGAGAACATTATTTGCAAACTGTATATCTGATAAGGGTTAATATCCAAAATATATGAAGAACTCATACAACTCAACAGCAAAAAAAAAAAAAAAAAAAAAAAATCCCTCAAATAACCTGACTCAAAAATGGGCAGAAAAATAAATAGACATTTCTCAAAAGAAGAACCACAGATGGCCAATAAGTCTTAAAAAGTGCTCAACATCGCTTATTATCAGGGAAATACAAATCAAAATCACAATAAGATATCACTTCACACCTGTTAGAATGGCTATTATAAAATAAAAGATGTGTTGGTAAGATGTAGAGAAAAGGGAGCACTTGTACACACTGTTGGTGGGAGTGTAAATTGAAATAGTCATTAAGGAAAACAGTAGGGAGATTCCTCAAAAAATTAAAAATAGAGCTACCTTAATAATTCAGCAATCTTACTTCTAGGTATAAACCTGAAGGGAATGAAATCATTATCTCATAGAGCTATCTGCACCCCAGTGTTCACTACAGCCTGATTCAACAATAGCCAAGGTATGGAAACAACCTAAATGTCCATCCACAGATTAATGTATAAAGAAATCTCACACACACACACACACACACACAGAGAGAGAGAGGAATATTGTTAAGCCCTTAAAGGAGGAAAATCCTGCCATTTGCAACATGAATGAAAATGAAGGACATTATGTTGACGGGAAATAAGCCAGAAACAGAAAGACAAATACTATATGATTTCACTGTATATGGAATCTCTAAAATAGTCAAATTCATAGAAGCAGAGAGTAGAATGGTGATTGCCAGAAGCTAGTGGGGAGTGGGAAATGGGAAGATGGTCAAAGACTAGAAAGTTTCAGTTATGCAAGATGAATAACTTCTGGAAATCTAATGTACAGCAATGTGACTATAGTTTAACAATACCGTATTGTATACTTGAAATTTGGTAAGAGGTAACTCTTACATATTCTCACTGTGAATATGTTCACACACACACACACAGGTAATTATCACACACACAAAGATAATTATGGGAGGCGATGGATATGTCAATTAGCTTTACTGTGGTCATTATTTCACAATGTATATGAATATCAAAACATGAAGTTGTACACCTTAAATACCTATAATTATTTGTTAGGTATACCATGATAAATCTGAAAATAAAAAAGCAAGTTACATTCATTGCTTTAGAGCTGTGCTGTTCTATGTGTTTGTCCTTATTCACCCCTTTTTTCTTTTGAATAAATGTTGAGCATCTATATATAATACCAGCTACTGTGCAAGGTGTTAGAAATTTGTGAGAACAGTGTAGCCCTTGCCTCCATGGGGCTTACATAAAAGCATGAGTAATTGTGTATGTATGTATATGTGTATATGCATGCACATGTATATGTGTATATGCATGCACATGTATATGTGTATATGCATGCACATGTATATGTGTATATGGTTGAAATGTATGCTGCTGATAATTTGCTTAAAATAAAGGATGATTTATATTTAATCCTTCAGAGTATGGTCACAAACTGTCTTGGCTTATTTTACATCTGGAAAACAAGGGGAAGTAATCTCTATATATGTTTCCTCTCTACCATTTTTTGATTCTCAGTATTTTGCATTGGGTCAGAGTAATTTACCCTTCTTCTCATGACATACCCAATGATGGTAAAGTGGGGTTGAATAGAGGTCAATTTAGGTACTCAGAATGGTATGTTTCACAGAGGGACAGCTGAGATAAGGCAATCTGAATAGCTGCCTAGATTCATAAATCACAACCCTTAGCCAATTCACATCTTTCTGAAATCTCTGACCTGCCAAAATTAAGTTTGTCTTTCTGCATGAATAATTTATATTTTCTGGAGTGGAACTGGGGATGGCTTAGTAGAAAGGGTCAACAACCAATCATGTTATTTTGGGCAAATGATTTAACCTTCTGGGGTATGTTTCCATTTCTCCAAAAAGAAGGGATTGGATTCTATGATGTGTAAGTAATTTCACAATTCTATGGTTTTATGATTCTAATTCTTATAACCATACTTAGAAGTATTGTACTTGCTCTGAGATTTATTGTCAGTAATTTAGATGTGCCAGCAATTGCCTGACCTAATGGTTAAATTGAAGGTCTTATTTTCCTTCTTTTCAATGAGTTCATATTTCAAATATTCCTAAACTGCATGATTTCTAGTTGTATAACACATATAACAATTTCTTTTTTGAATAGTTCGCATATCTACAGCTATTATTTTTGGCGGGGGATATGCCATCCACATATCTCTATAGGAAAGCCCTGCCTGGAAATACAGAAGACTTGAGAGTGCATTTTTTCCCCTACTTTACTGGCAATTATTTAAACACACAATGTTAATTCTGCTAGTTTCAGTTCTTCCATCTGTAAAATGGAGAAAATGATTCTTATCTACTAGATAAGTTGTGACCAAATGAGATAGTACATGAGATAATATCTTGTACAGTGCCTGATACACATGGGTTTCTCTAAAAACAATATTTTCACTCTTATTATGGAGACTAGACTCATTCTGGCAAGCTTGGGAGAAAGTGTACCAAATAGGTATAAACTTGGGTTCTTGAATCAACAAACATGAATTGGTACATACCTTGTAATAAAAAAGTCTTGGAAAAATTACCTAACAAGTCTAAGCCTACTTTCCTCATCTTCTTGGGGTTTCTGGAGCTGTCTTGATCTGTGGGTTTGTTTTCAATAAATTTTGGGAAAAATAATCAGCCATTATTTTTTCAAATATTTTTTCTGTCCCCTTTCTGTCTTCAGGGACTCCAATTTTTCGGCTAGACTGCTTGATATGGTTTCGAAGGTAACTGATCCTCTCTATATTCCTCCTTTTCCATCTTCGTTCTCATTATATTTCATTGTGAATAGTTACCGTGTTAATTTCACTAATCTCTTCTGCTACAGAATCTCATCTGAAGTTAATCCTATTTATGGCTTTTAAAAAAATATCCGATGTGGTATTTTTAGCTCTAGGAAGGGGTTCGGCAAACTACGGCTTATGGGTGTGCCACCTCTTTTGTGAAATAAGGTTTTATTGCAGCCTCGCCATATCCTTTCATTTACATATTGTCTATGATTGCTTTTTGCTACAGGGTCAGAGTTGAATGGTTTATTGTTTAAAAATGCTAATGATCACCCCAGCCTTTAGGGAGTTGTAATATTTTCACCGTGGAGGGTCTCGCCTTGATGTAGATGGCTGCTGACTGATTGGGATGTTGGCTGCTGAAGGTTGGGGTGACTGTGGCAATTTCTTAGTATAAGACAATGAAGTCAGCCACATCAACTGACTTCCTTTCATAAAAGATCTCTCTGTAGCATGCAATGCTTTTTGACAGTATTTTACCCACAATAGAACTTCTTTCAAAATTGGAGCCAATCTTCTCAAGCCCTGCTGCTGCTTTATGTACTAAGTTAATGAGATATTCTAGATCCTTTGTTGTTATTTCAACAATATTCACAGCATTTTCACCAGGAGTAGATTGCATCTGAAGAAATACTCTCTTTCCTCATCCATAAGAAGCAACTCCTGGTTTTATCATGAGATCACAGCAATTCAGTCACATCTTCAGGCCCCCCACTTCTAATTCTAATCCTCTTGCTCTTTCCATCCCATCTGCAGTTACTTCCTCTACTGCAGTCTTGAAACTTTCATAGTTTTCCATGAGGTTTGGAATCAACTTCTTTTGAAATTCCTGTTGATATTTTGACCTCCTTCTATGAATCACAAATATTCTTAATGGCATCTAGAATGATGAATTCTTTCCAAAATATTTTCAATTTACTTTGACCAGATCTATCAGAAGAATCACTATCTGTAGCTTTATGAAATGTATTCCTTATATAATAAGACTTAAAAGTTGAAATTACTCCTTTTCCCATTGGCTGCAGAACAGATATTGTGTTAGCAGGCATAGAAACAACATGAATCTCTTTGTACCTCTATACCAGAGCTGTTGAGTGACTAGGTGCACTGTCAATGAGCAATAATATTTTGAAAGGAATCCTTTTTTTTTGAGCAGTAAGTCTCAATAGTGCATTTAAAATATTCAGTAAACTATACTGTAAACAGATATTCTCTCATCTAGGCTTTGTGATTCTATTTATAGAATGCAGGCAGAGTAGATTTAGCATAATTCTTAAGGGCTACAGGATTTTTTGAATTCCAAATGAATATTAGCTCCAACTTTAAGTTACCAACTGTATTAGCTCCTAACAAGAGTCAGGCCTGTCTGCTGAAGCATTGAACCCAGGCATTGACTTCTTTCTAGCTATGAAAGTTTTAGATGGCATCTTTTCCCAGTATAAAGCTGTTTGATATACATAGAAAATCTGTTGTTTTGTGTTGCCACCTTCATCAATTATTTTAGATCTTCTGCATAACTTGCTATAGCTTCTACATTAGCACTTGCTACTTCATCTTGCATTTTTATGGTATGATGATATGGTATGGTGATATACCATCTTGCATTACAAGGTATATTTTTATGGCTTCTTTCCTCCAACCTCATAAACCAATCTCTGCTAGCCTCAAACTTTTCTTTTGCAGCTTCTTTAGCTCTCTTAGCCTTCATAGGACTGAAGAGACGGTATTTTTCTGGATTAGGTTTTGGCTTAAGGGAATGTTGTGGCTGGTTTTGTAACCGAATACAAACTCAGCTGCTCACTTCTTGCAAAGTCAGTAACATGGACAAAATGCGGTGAAAGGAAAGTGACTTTATTCCAGAGCTAGCAGTGGGAGAAATGGCCAAGGCTCATACCTTAAAGGAACCATTTCAAACTTTATGCTGAGGAGAGGGGCTTAAAAAGGGAACTGGGAATGAGAGGCATGTGGGGAGTAGTGCTGGGTACAATGTCTGTGTGTCTTGTTCTGGTAGCTATCTTGAGTCATGGTCCACCTGGAGTGTGGTCTGGGATCATATCAACAATGGCTGCATATTGACTACCACCTTGAGGTAATCTCTAGAATTTTGCAGCTTGGGCTCCATTCCTGGTCTGTCTCAAGATTAGCCACTGGAACTTCTAAGTAAGCACGTAATTAAATACAAGTATATAGTTAGGTAAATGTGCATGGTGTAACATAGTGTAGAGTGGGAAAGGGAGGGAAACAGAGTTTTAAAGTATGTTTTAGCGTATTTTTTTAAGGCTAAGGAGGGAATAAAAGGTTTCTGTTGTTTGCTTCAAGGTTACATCTTGAGACTAGGGAGAAAACAGAAAATGAAAAAAAAAGGTTTTAAAATGTGTTTTGAAGCTAAGCTACTGAGTTACAGTTTGATCTTCTATCCAGACCACTATAATTTTCCCCATGTCAGCAATAAGGCATTGTTTCTTTCTTATCATTCTTGTATTAATCGGAGTAGCACTTTTAATTTCCTTCAAGAATTTTTCCTTTACATTCACAGCTTGGCTAACTAGAGCAAGAGGTCGAGCTTTCAGTCTGTCTTGGCTTTGGTCATGCTTTCTTCACTAAGCTTAATCATTTCTAGCTTTTGATTTCAAGTGAGAGACCTGTGACTCTTTTGCTTGAACACTTAGAGGCCTTTGTTGGGTTATTATTTGGCCTAATTTCAATATTGTTCAGTCTTAGGGAATAGGGAGCCCTAGGATATGTAGAGACGTGGGGAAACAGCCAATTGGTAGAGCAGTAAGAACACACACAACATTTGTCAATGAAAGTCACCATTTTGTATAGGCAGTTTTCGAGGTGTCCTGAAAAAATTACAGTAGTATCATCAAAAGTCACTCATCACAGATCATCATAAAAGATGTAATAATCATGAAAACTTTTGAAATTTTGTGAGAATTCCCAAAATGTGATACAGAGACACAAAATGAGCACATGCCATTGGGAAAATGGTGCTGATGGACTTGCTGGATGCAGGGTTGACACCAACCTTCAATTTGTAAAAAATGCAGTATCTGCAAAGGACAATAAAATGAAACACGATAAAATGAGGTAACTCTGTAACTGGTAATTTTTGACTGGATGTCTGATGTTGTAAATTTTATTTTGTTGTTTGCTGAATTTTAAATAATGTTAGAATTTGTTCTGGCATGCACTTATTCTGCAGGAATCAGGTAGATATCTTTGAAGCTTTATTTAAGTATTTGTAAGGTAGGTTTAGATTAGCTTGTCGCATAGGGCAAATTTAGGCTGACAACCAAGGTAACATACTTGTGAGTACTCTACAGGATAGATCTTGCATTACAAGGTCTTTCCACTCTGCTCTGGAGACACAAATTACTTTCAGCCCTGTTTGTATTTCAAATGTTTTTAAGTGTTTCTCTGGCCTTGGGTGTTTTCTTGTCACACATGAACAGGTCAATACTCAGAGCCTCAAGTAGACCCCTCTGCAGATCTCTGAAGTTCTCCCTGTTTAGCTTCTACCTCTATAGTACCATATTCCTCTTAGCAAATTCTAACCATCTTTATTCCTCCAACATTGATCTCTGGTTCTTCAATTCAGTGAGACCACTGGGCTCTGTTAGGGTCCCATCTTCCTAAAAGGTGGTGTGAAACTGCCTCTGGAGTGAGCTGATGCATTCAGGGCTCACTCAATTTGTTTC
The DNA here is from genome assembly GCF_000001405.40 of Homo sapiens. NCBI lineage: Eukaryota > Metazoa > Chordata > Mammalia > Primates > Hominidae > Homo > Homo sapiens. The sequence continues at coordinate 142,120,278 of NC_000006.12, read as the reverse complement.
CTTTTTCTCAGAGATTACAGTCCCATGATACTTGCTTTCCAACAGCAGTCTCATCTTTTATAATGATTGTTATAGGTTTTGTCCAATCATCTAGTTGTTTAGGGCAGGAGAGATTATTCAATCCCCATTATTCCATTTCTACCAGAACACAAAAGTCTCTTAAACTGGTCTTGTGGTTCTCAATAATGTTCTTAAGAGTTAAGATCATTGGATATAGGACCTCTGAATAAATACAATGTCAATTTTGCAATATTTGTAATATAGTACATATGGCTTTATACTTTACTTAAAATTAAGCCAACAGATTTCAAATCCAACAAGTACAATGTCAATTTTTGCAATATTTGTAATATAGTACATATGACTTTATACTTAAAATGATTTATACTTAAAATGAAGCCAACAGATTTCCATGCAAGTGACAAGTAGTATACGGTCATTAATAAGCCAGACTCTGTGGGTTGTTTAGTAAAATTCTTAAAACGAAAGACTCTGAAACTCTTTGTTTCAAGGTCTATGACTTATTATTTTTATTGTATTGGATACATTTTCTGCATTTTTCTGGGTTTCAATTTTCCGTCTGTAACAGTAAAATAATAACACCTCATAGGGTTCCCGTTAAGATTAAATGAGATAAATTGTGTAAAGTATTTAGCATAGTATCTAGACTGTAAATACCAAATTAACATAAAATATTATTATATTGTTGCTGTTTCTGTGTTGTTATTGAGAAGTTGGTAATTTGTTATGTTGAAGATGAGTTTGTAAACCTTTACATCCCTGCCACACCTAGAGTCCTTGGCAATCCTTCACACTTTATGTTTTGGGTGAGAACAGACCAATTTACTTGGCATTAACTGGTTGGACCAGCTCCTGGGGCACCAGCCAATGGCAACCATGAATAGGCTTGGTATAATAAGCCAAGCCTAATGATATGGTCCTATTTAGATGGGGGTATCCTGACCCAGTCATATGTCCCATCCTGGTGTGGTGAATGCTCTGATCCTTCACCTAAGTGCCATTTCTCTGCTGCTGGGAATATTGGCTGCTGACAGTGTACAACTATTTCACTCACTGAGCATAGCCCTCCATTGCAGGGAAATGTTTCAGCCAGCTTATGTCATTTCCTAGAGGCTGACGCATAACCAGTAACTGGCTGATGTGGTGCTATAGAGCCTACTCCCATCTCAATTCAGAACAATACTCAGAGTCCATTCCATTTGCAGGGCTGCCCTTGGCATTGCCTAAGACTTCAGTTGCAATGACATTGCAGGTGTTTCTGTTCAGTCCTGCCTTCCACATTTCTTTACGCAGGCAACTCCTGAGAATACTTTTCAATAAACTTTCTGCAGAGAGCTTATTATCTCAGAATCTTTTCCTATGGACCCAATCTAATACACTTGGGGAGCATGAATGTAAGACACACACAAATAAGAGAATGCTGTATTCTGAATGCTGACAATCTGCTACTCTCACCCTTTGTGAGACTTGACATAGGCCAATTAGAAGTACTGAGATAAAAAGTTGTACAACTGCTAAGATGATTTCTATGTCCTTCCTTCCATGGGTTTCTTAACCACAACCTTCTATCGTCTTAACAAGTCTGTAAATGTTTTCTATTTTTAATCTGAAAGACTTTTATAATACATGTGTTCCTAAATACATTTCATGCCTGCTGAGTAAGAGCTTAAAGAGAAAGAAAGGTTATAGAGAAAGTGTAGAAGCAGAGGCAACTAGCACAGTGCCTTCTGAAATTCAAAAAATGATAGCTCTAGGCAACTTAGTCATCAGTCCTTCAGATGTTCCTAGCTAAAACTGAAGGGATATAAGTGTGATTCTTCAATTAACAGGTTCTTCGATTATGAGACAATCTGCATCATATAAACCTAACTTGGGGACCTCTCTTCTGAAGTAATCAAAAACTGTCATTAGCAAATGTGAAACGTTTGCATTAAGGTTGGCTATGTGTATGTGAATAATGTTGTTAGTAATGACCACAAATATAAGTGTATTAGAACTGGACTGTTAGCATATACCATTCAACATGCTCAGGTTTTTATGTTATTTCCAATCACTTTAATACCAAAGGAGTTAATGAACATTATGGCACCAGAACTGGATCAATTAGATTTATTGGTAGGAAAATTATACTCATCTTTCTGGAAAATACTGATTTTAAAATTTGTGCATGCCCAGTTTTCTTTTCTTTTTTTCTGTGTAGGGACATATACATCTAATAATCAATGGTTTTTGTGAAATTATTTGTAACAAGAGTCAAACTCAGAAAGCCCAGGTTTAATACTACACCTTTGTCAGTGCTTATTCCTCATGTCATCCCAATTTTCATCAATATAAATTATATAAGTCATCACTTTGTTATCATTTTTCAATGTTGGATGTAATGATAAATTGTAAATACTTTTGTTGTGTACTTTAGTGTGAGAAAAATTAATGATTGCCTTGTTTGGCAAAGAAGTATACTATAACTGCTTCTTAATTTTGGTATATACTGAATCATATTTTGTACGATTTTTTCATATTTGACATTATTGAAATATGTAGCATTCCTTTAATTTGGGAAATACTTGTAGAACTGAACTTTGGTTCATATAATCAGTCTTATGTGCATAAACTCCAGATTAATTAATTAAAACCTCATGGTAAATTGCTGGGCTATCATTAGAATTTCCGTTCCTTATTCCCTCTGTGACATGTTACCAGAGAAAATTCACTGCTTTGAATAATAATGAGCTTGAGACAAATTTAGCTTTTGAAAGCTGATTAATGCCTTTCCCTGTAGTGAACACCTAATTTATAAGACACCTTTGCTCCCTTTTATAAGAAAATTTAATGTCCATTATTCCTTGAATTTCTACTTATTAAGTATTGAGATGTGCTAATTTATATTTAAAATATTAATATAGATCTAGGGGTGTAGATTTATTGGAGCTGGTAAAATATAAAACTATATGTGAGGTGATTATGTTAATATGCTGCTAACTACAATTATTTGACTTTTTGGAGTCATATGAACTAAAACTATTAAATCCATCACATATTTTCTGGTAGTTCCAAAAGAAGTGATTTCTCTAGCTCTATATGTTTGGGCTATATACTTTTCAAGGTGTAGTGAAAGCTCCTGTAAATGTCTTGGTGACCTTCAGTGACCTTATCATCGCAAGCATTATTGTACACACAAATAAATGGAAGCCAGTCCTATTATTTATGTTATTGGGATTGGAATGGAAACAATTTAAGACATGAGTTTAAGGTGCTACAAGTTTTTAATAATAGTTTTTATCTATAAAATAAACATAGGATTTCTTAACATTTTCAGTGAGGTGGCAGATTTCTAATAATATTAATCATGATCATACTAGCAGGAGTTAATAATTGGTAAAAAGCAATTATGCTAATGACAATGATAATAATTATGGCTTATTTGTTTAACAGTGAATAACATTTACAGTAATAATAAGCTGAAAGATGATTTATACCAATAAATCAGTTGGCAAAAATTTATAACAAATTTTAACGGAAACATGAATAGGTAAGAAATAAAAAGAATGTGCCTAAATAATACCTGGCTAAAAATTGCTTATCAGTTGTCAAATGATACAAAAAGATCTTTACAAAAAGGAAGACTCTGCTGGGAAGAATTCCCTGAATTTGGTAGACAGAACAGTTGGGAATCAAATGATATCACAGATATGATATAAGGGATTTCTCTTGATTGTCAAGATGTCAGTACTCAAAAGCATCAATACCCTTGTAGGGTTTCAATACTGCTATTAGTGGATGTATGGTCCTAGTAATTTATCCTTGAGTTCTTCCTAAAAGTCTCTGAAAATAGAGCTCCTTGAGGGCCTCTATTTGTGTCCAAACAAGATGTTAATAACTCTACATACCCTCTTAGAGCCAAACATTCTATATACTGCATCCTACAGTAACTGTAGGCTGAAGAGGTATTTTTGTGTCGATGTGGGTATATGTGTTTGGGTATCTTTTTGGGAGACTAAGAGGGTGAAGAGAAGAAGGGGTATTGTTTTAGTCCATTGTCATGCTGCTGATAAAGACATACCCAAGACTGGGCAATTTACAAAAGAAAGAGGTTTAATTGGACTTACAGTACCAAATGGCTGGGGAAGCCTCACAATCATGGTGGAAGACAAGCAGGAGTAAGTCACATCTTATGGGGATGGCGGCAGGTAAAAAAAGAGAGCTTGTGCAGGGAAACTCCCATTTTTAAAACCATCAGTTCTCATGAGACTAATTCACTATCAGAGAACAGTGCAGGAAAGACCCACCCTCATAATTTAATGACCTCCCACCGGGTTCCTCCCACAACACGTGGAAATTGTGGGAATTACAATTCAAGATGAGATTTGGATGGGGACACAGCCAAAGCATATCAGGTATTAAAGTTCATTCTTTGATTGAACTCTTAAAATCATAATTCAAAGTCATTAGATAATTTTCACAACTATATCAAATTCCAAAACATTTTAGTGTTTAAATTTGATGACCACAGGAGCAAACATTAAATCTAGGAACCGAAAAACAACTATTGTTCACGGGAAGAAAGAATAATACTTGCATGTCTAGTGATAGATTACCTCTCTTCTCCATTTCCACCACTTCTACACTAGTGTAGTTCAGGTCTAGCCTTAAAAGTTTCTCCATTGTCTTCTTATTGTCATATTACCTGCTCAAAAATATCTACACCCAGCACCAGAGTAATAATCCTATTTTTGACTCTGTTGTTTCCTTCCTAATTCTCCACAGCTTCATGACCATTGACTACACACCTTAACTTAGCATTCTGAGTGTTCCACACGTTGGCCTTTCTAGTCCGATCTCCCATCTTGCTAGAAAATCTATGCTTCAGCCAATCCTAACTCCTATACCTCAAATAGGCCTTATTTTTTTCTGCATGTGGATCCTTTGCATGTTCTAAAAAGATCCTCTTTTACCCTCCCACTATACTCTCCATCTTCCCCATTAAAATCCTATTTATTTTTTAGGTTAAATTTAAATTTCTTTTCTCTATGATCTCATTCCTGATCAACTGAGTAAAAGCAAACTTTTTGAAATTTTAGAACATTTGGCAACACACAGGCTAATATGAGGTCACTTGACGTATTTGCATAAATTAGAAAAACCAGTCGATTTGAGCAGAAAGTCCTGAAGGCACACAGCTTCGTGAGCAAACAATCACTCTGAGTGAATTAGAAAAAAGTCTCTCTCAATCTTTGCAGATTTAGCTTCTTGCCAATATGTATGACTTATTGATTAGAGATCTGCTAAGTTTCAGTTCTCTTTACTGTCACTATCTAGCTGAGTGGGCTTGAAAATATTATTTTACTGCTCTAGATTTAGTTTTGTCATCTGTAAAATGGGAATAATAATATGGAGTTCATAGTGTTGCTATGAATATGATAAGAGATAATGAAAGTAAATTAGCAGCTTGATATCTGGCTCATAAACTCTAATCATTAAATTGCATTGACCATTACCACAATTATGTGTTATGTTACCACCTTTACTCTCAAGGCTCACTTGTTTTTCTCCTTAAAGTTTCTGTATATTAAATATAGTTATAGACACAAATACATTTTTATTTATATTTGGCTGAAATGTTTACTGATGTTCATTATCAAGTCAATACGTCATGTAAATGTTAATGGTACCACATTTCTTGAACCCTGATGTTATTTTCCTCTGCTGTTGACATCAGCTAGGCACATGCTGACATGAAATAAATATGAGGAATATAGGAGTCTCATATTAATACCCTGACTTTGATTTAAAGTTATGACAGGTTTTGAGAAAGACATTTATTAGCATGATCCATCATTCTCATTCAATTACTGAAAAAATTTTCTATTTCCTGAAAGAAAATTTGTGAAAAAGTATTAGATTACCAACCACAAAAATGTCAAAACCACCTAGTTATTTAAAAAAAATGAAAAGAAAAAAAGGTGATAGAGATGATTATCTCACACAATAGCAAAGAAAAAGGCATTAGCCTTGACCCATGGAGATTGCCTTCAAGGCATAAAGGTAATTTATTTTTCCAACCTGGGCTCATTCAAATCCTCTTTTCTGGCAATATTGCTCCAGGTTATATGCAGTGGGCCAAATTCATATCAGTCTTTTAACCTCTCCAGAACACTTTGCAGCTGCATGTATATATAGGCTTTGAGTGGCGCTTTTCCTATTTTGTAATTGGGCTCTTCATGCTGAGAAACCCCTGGGGGATTGGGGGATGGACATAAAGATGCCACGTAGGGGGAATTGGGCAAAAGGATGATTTCTGTTACACATTAATATATTTGCATGTGGGAAGTTGGATTGACTTCAATATTTTGGCTACATTTATATTTACAAAATGTCAAAGCCTAGTCTATGAAAAGGTAACATTTCAGGCAGTTATCTTTTATGTTTATGACAATCATTTAGAGGTTTACAGATAAATATCTGTAAATAAATATCTGTAAATAAATATCTGTAAAGCAACTAAATAGTTGCTTCCAAATTTGGTAAGGCTGCTTGATATTCTTGTCTATTGTGGATAAGAAAACATTCAAAGTGAGCATCATTTGATTCTTGAAAGCTTGTGTTCCACCTGCACTATGTATATGATAGAAAGACTAAATGTAGTGAATATATTTATTCAGATACATGGAATCACTTCATTTTTATTTTTAATTATTTTATATTGTTTTATTATTTCAGTCAAGACCTACAGAAAGGTGATGAAAGAGTCAAAGCTTGTGAGAGGAACATCTCTTATATAGAATAAATCTATTTTATAAACCTCACCAACAGTTGAATGTCAATAAACTTGATACTTAACCACATTAAGTTCCTCATGCGATTCATGAATCCTTTAGCAGTTTCAGCAAAACCAGAAGTTTGAATCACCAACTTTATTTTTATTAATGAAGTCTTCATATGCCACTCTCAGTGTGTATGATTCAATCTATTTTCAGAACTGAAAAATAAATATGACTTTAGGCTATAAAATAGCTTGTCTATTTTATAGGAATGAGAAAACAATATAAAAGAGATTCTAAATCATATAGTGTAGAAAATTTCCATCCTTTGAAAGTATATATTTCAGCTTTTCCAAATGCTAAGCTTAATTGAGCCTAAAAGTAGCATCTAGCATGTATCATAAATTTAGTTGTAGCATTTAAAAAATTTTTGAAAAAAATTATAAAATGAAAATGCTATTGCATTATGGAATAATGCTTTTACATTTTTTAATGTTTTGTGGTTCCCAAGGATTTTTCACATAAATTATTTTGTATAATTTTTGTTATAACTTTGTGAGATGGGTAAGGCAGGTATGGCTTAATAATATTTGCTTTTGTCAATGTAAATCCTCTTTTAATCAAATTAATTATCATATTTATATAAATGTAATTTATAATTAATTCTTTTTCTGACATGACATTCACTGCTCTGGTAACTGTACCTATACTTAAATAGCATTGATGAAAATAAAAAGCTGGAGATGTAATCATTCTATTGTCATCCTTTTGTTACTTTGATTTGGTTCCTTCTGCATTTTCAGCCAGTGATTTTTAACTGAGATTTACAAAATGTGACCAGCACTCAGTAGGTGGCGCTAACGAGACGTACAATATCGAATTGTCAAATCCTATTGCCACAGAGGATTTATTACTGAGTTTAGAAATAAGGATGTTGGGAGTAAAGGCAGGCTGATTGTACTGTCTCTCATTTGAGGAGTGCAGATGCCACATCAAATTATTTGAGAGATTTATCCAATCCATGCTTTATATTAATTTGAGCATAATGTTTATTGTTTCTTGTCTACTTCATAATATTTGAAAAAAATAAAGCATCTTTTTCCACTGAAAACTAAGCCTAGTTGTTCACCTATATGAAGTGCTTTCCTGACATATGCTGCAATAGGAGAAAAACTAGATTACATTGTGGTGATTCTGTTAAACATGAAATATCGAATGCAAATGAGATTCTTGGGAGCTACTAATTGCTTAGAAATTAGAATCCTGCTTATCTTTGAAAAATACCTAGCAGGTTATTTACCAGTTTCCCATTCAGGCCAAGTGTTCCAACTTTAAAAATTACTATTTTCTTTTTCATTTTGCCCATGCTGGTCTCGAACTCCCAGCCTCAAGCGATTCTCCCGACAGCCTCCCAAAATGTTGGGATTACAGGCGTGACCCACTGCACCCAGCCAGAAAATTACTATTTTTTTACTCTGTTAAACATTTGGAATGAAAATCAGATGTATTGTGGCAATTAAATAGATATTTTGAATAAGCAAATGCTACTTAATTAGAAAGGGTTGAAGTATTTGCTTACCTTTTCAGTTTAAGAATTAAGCTACAAACATGACATTCACTTTTGGGTTGGGGAGTGCCCTGATGGTTCCTGAACAAGTTATTTGGGAGCCATCTTACCAAGAAAGAAACAGCTACATTTTAAATGGGAATTCAGAGGCGTTTACTTAGAGCGTACTGATGCACGTTCTCTGGTCACCTTTCTATACAGATTAAATCAGCATTGACATTTCTCGTAGCCTAAGTTTTTCACTATTCAATTTTCATCCAGTAAAAACCAATCTCATCTCAGTTCTATGTTTCAATTTGCATAAAATGATTTATTCACTTTTTTATAATCCTATTTGAAACCGGTGGGTGGATAAAACTATTTTAAAGAAGTTCCCTCAAATACGACTAAGGTTAAGAGACAAATACATAAGTGACAAGCTAGTGGTTTTTTACAAGTAATATTAATAATTGGAAAATTCCGAGAAATCATATTATTATGTAACCAAAGCAACTTTTCTCACTAAGAAAATCATTTAATTTTGTTTGGGTTCCAACAAATCAGAAATTATGATTGTTGTACTCATTGCCCCTTGCTAATATAAATGACCTCTTCTTAGGTAACAGGTTTTGTTGTGTAGGGTGGTATAAAGGCTAAGCCTGTGTCTCAGTGATTTCAGTGTGTAAGACATTGGGTATGTCTTTTTTTTTTTTTGAGTTGGAGTCTCACTCTGTTGGCCAGGCAGGAGTGCAGTGGCACGATCTCTGCTCACTGCAACCTCTGCCTCCCAGGTTCAAGCAATTCTCCTGCCTCAGACTCCTGAGTAGTTGGGAATACACGCGCATGCCACCACTCCTGGCTAATTTTTGTATTTTCAGTAGAGACAGGATTTCACCATGTTGGCCAGGCTCGTCTCAAGCTCCTGGCCTCAAGTGATCCATGCGCCTTGGCCTCCTAAAGTGCTGGCATTACAGGTGTGAGCCACCGCACGCAGCCAGTATGTCTTATTTGATCTATGTCTAATTCGATTTTATTTTGATCAAAGCTATTAAAGACACTGATGTAAACTATATTACCCATTTAGAAACCTCCATAGTTAGGGGGGTTCTCATAGATTTTCTATAAACGAATTTGGCAGTTAAGATGAAAAGCTGATGATCTGGGCAGGTCCTCCTCCACTTCCTTCTCTTTCTTCCTTTAGTTAACACCTTTGTTGATATATAATTCATATCACATGCCATTTACCCATTTAAAGTGTACAATTAAATAGTTTTTGGTATGTTCACAGAGTGTACAACTGTCACCACGGTAAGTTTAAAAATATTATCACCCTCAAAAGAAAATCCACATCTGTAAGCATTTCCCCCCAACTCCCCTAGTCCTAGGCAACCACTAATCTTTCTATCTCTCTAGATTTGCCTCTTCTAGCATTTCACATAAATTTCATGCACTCCATTTCATATAAATGTAATCATACAATAGTGATCTTTCAAAATTAGCTTCTTTTACTTAGCATAATACTCTCAAGATACATCCATATTATTGCTTATTGATTCTTTTTTAATGCCATCCAATATTCCATTGTATGAATTTAACATGTTTTATTTAATCCATTCATTAGTTGATTGGACTTTTGGGTTGTTTCTACTTTTTGGCTATTATGAACAATTCTGTGATGATGTGTATATAGGTTTTGTGTAGACATATATTTTTAATTGTGTTGAGTATATACCTAGGATTGAAATTGCTGGATAATGTAGTAATTTTATGTTTAGCCTTATGAGGAATGGCCAGACTGTTTTTCAAAGCGGCTACACCACTTTAAATTTCCACTAGCAATGTATAAGGGATTGAATTTCTTCATATGCTTGCCAACACTTTTTTTTGTGTCCATCTATTTGGTCGTAGCCATCTGTCTTAGTTCATTCAAACTGCTATAACAAAATACCTTAGACTGAGTAACTTATAAACAAGAGCAATTTATTTTTCGCAGTTCTGAAGTCTGGGAAGTCCAAGATCAAGGAGACTCGTGGTGTCTGGTGAAGGCTCATATCTATATATGGTGCCATTTTGCGGCATCCTTACATGTGGGAAGGGGCAAATAAACTCCCTTGGGCCTCTTTTATGAGGGCATCAATCCCATTCATAAGGTTTCTACCCTTATGACCTAATCACTTCTCAAAGGCCCCACCTCTTAATACAATACCCCTAGGAATTAGTTTTCAATGTATGAATTTTAAAAGAGTAACAAACATTCAGATCGTAGCATTTCATCCCTGTAATCATCCTAATGAGTGTGATGTGGTAACTCACTGTGAGTTTGATTTGCATTTCCATGATGGGTAATAATATTGAGCATCTTTTCATGTGCTGATTGGCCTGGGAGGCAGAGGTTGCAGTGAGCAGAGATCGTGCCACTGCACTCCTGCCTGGCCAACAGAGTGAGACTCCAACTCAAAAAAAAAAAAAAAAAAAAAGACATACCCAATGTCTTACACACTGATTATATATATTTTTTGGAGAAATGTATTTCTTTCTCTTTCCAATGAATACCTGGGGTACATGAAGGAGATTTTAAAAAGCATCTTTTTCTTACTTCTGACCTTATATCCTCGAGTCCCAGTGACTTTTGCAGGTGCTCACCATGGGTGCAAGTGTGGAAGGGAAATGTGGGGTCAGAGCCCCCACACAGAGTCCCCGGTGGGGTATTGCTTAATGGAACTATGAGAAGGGGGCCACTCTCCTCCAGAGCCCGGAATGGTAGATCCACCAATGGCTTGCACCATGTGCCTGAAAAGCCTCAGACTCGCAATGCAAGCTATGAAAACAGCTGAAGCAGGGAGCTGTACCCTGCAAAGCCACAGGGTTGGAGCTGCCCAAGGCTGTGGAAGCCCACCTCATGCATCAGCTGAGGTGGGCATGATTAGATTTCAGACTTGCATGGGGCCTGTAGCCCCTTTGTTTTGGTCAATTTCTCCCATTTGCAGTGAGTGTGTTTATCCAATGCCGGTACTCTCATTGTATCTAGGAAGTAAGTAACTTGCTTTTGATTTTACAGGTTCATAGGAGAAAGGAACTTGCCTTGTCTCAGATGAGACTTTGGATGTAGACTTTTTGGTTAATGCTAGAATGAGCTAAGAATTTGGGGGACTATTGGAAAGGCGTGATTGGTTTTGAAATGTGCGGACATGATATTTGGAAGGGGCCAGGGGCAGAATGATATGGTGTGGCTCTGTCCCCATCCAGATCTCATCTTGAATTGTAGTTCCCATAATTTCCACATGTTGTGGGAGGGACCAGGTGGGAGGTAATTGAATCATGGAGCGGTTACCTCCATGCTGTTCTTGTAATTGTTCTCACGAGATCTGATGGTTTTATAAGGGGCTTTTCCTCCTTTGCTCGGCACTTCTCTCTTCTGCAGTTAGGTGAAGAAGGATGTGTTTGCTTCCTTTTCTCTCATGATTGTAAGTTTCCTGAGGCCTCCCTAGCCATGCACAACTGTGAGTCAATTAAACTTCTTTCCTTTATAAATTACCTAATCTCAGGTATTTCTTTATAGCAGTGTGAGAACAGACTAGTACATAACCTTACTGGTGTTTCCTTTTATGTAAATGTCATTTTTATCATGCTGCTTTTATTATTTTATCATTGCCTGTGAATATTTTTACTTTGATATGTCTAAGTGTAGGTTTCTTTGTGTTTGTCCTATTTGGAATTTATTGAGTTTCTTTGATGTATAGATGGTTTTAAGTCAAATTTGGAAGGTTTTCAGTCATTACTTTTTTGAATAACTTTTGTGCTCATTCCTTTTTGTCCTCTACTTCTGTTACTTTCATTATGCATATTTTGGTTTGCTTAATTATGTTCTACATGTCTATGAGGCTCTGTTTATTTTTCTTTCTTTTCTTTTTCCTTCTCTGTTTTTCAGATTATATAATCTCTGTCAATCTATCTTTAATTTCACTGATTCTTCTGCCAGTTCAAATCTACTGCTGAGCACTCTAGTAAATGTTTCATTCCAAGTACTGTACTTTTAAACTGCAGAATTTCCATTTGTTTTTTAAAATAACTTTTACTTTTTTTTTGATAGTCTCTATTTGTTGAGACATTGTCCTCATACCTTTCTTCCCTTCTTTATGGTGTTCTTTAGTTTTTTAAATATATTTATATTAGATGCTTTGAGGTCTTTTTCTGCTAAGTTTGACATTTGGATTCTCTGAAAGGCAGTTTTTGTTGCCTACATTTTTCCGGTATAAGGGTCACACTCAGTTTCATTGTATGTTTCATAATTTTTTGTTGAAAACTAGACATTTTAGAAAATATACTGTAGTAAATCTGTATATGGAACTTGTTGGATTTTTTAGTAACAAGGTGTACCATTTCAATAATGTCTATTTTTTCCCACAATGTTCAACCTCTGATGTCACTACTCAGAGGGTGAAGCCTTGAGTATGTGCATCATCACCCTGGGATGAAGTGGTTTTAGCAATATTCTCTTTGATTCTTTCTTTCTCTGATTTAATTATTAATTTGTCTGCCACTGTAAGTATTACATCCAGTTGTTAGCCTCCTTGAATTGCTGGCTGATTGCTTTATAGTTTTTAGTAGTGCCTTGGGGGCATTAATTGTTCCACAGTGTAATCCAATTAAATTCAGCCCCCTTTGCAAGACTGGTTTTTGAGGCCTTTCTTTGACATTTGTTTTTTTATTGTGGAATAAAGAGAGTGGGTCAAGTCTCAAATGCCATAGACTTTGGCTGGTCTCCTAGATAGTGTTTATAAAATATAGGCCCTCAGGTAAACTAGGCTTTCTTCTTTTTCAGATCTATCCATGCTGAGTTCAGGCAGAGAATACTTTGCCCTATTCATGATGAGCTCTGCCCTGAACTCGTAATTCTAGCTAAGAAACAGTAGCTAAGTTAACAAGAACACTTATGAACCTAAAATGCACCTTTCTGGAATTTAACTGGCAATCTTGAAACACTTTTGTAAAAGAAATTTACTTCTATAAAGGAAGTCTCCATTTTTAAGGATGTGTGTTGGTATACTTTAGAAACTCTTACCATTGTTTTAAATTTACATCACAAGCCATACCTTTGTTTAAGGTGCTTTTCTGGCCATCTTGTCTTGACTTAACTTTTACTTGGGCACTGTATTTTTCCCTTAGTTTGAGCAAATGGCAATACAATATTTAGGCCTAAAATTTTAGCTCTGTGCTTACAAAATACAATTCTTTTTGTTTCACCTAAGAGTTGTCTTTTTAGAAATGCAAATTTGTTGTCTAGTTAACAATTGCTTAGGGCAATGAAACAAGTAATTGGAAGATTGATAGTCTGAATGGGGAAAAGAAAAGCTATTTAAAAGCCAGCAAATGACAATCCTTTATAAAAGCTGTAAGAATTGCTTCTCTGTGTTTGTATGTCTGTATGTGTTATGTGTATGTGATATTATTTAGTAAATAAAGCTGCTTAAAAAGTTTTTGGTAAAACAGGAATGGTTTCAAAATTATCAGTTAAATATAATTAGAAACTTGCTTGATTTAACTGTGAGTTTATGTTTTTAGATTAGAGCCTCGGGATTTGGGGGTCTGGATAGGTGGACATGATGAGGTCTAGAGACAAGACAAGTTCTCAGTACCCAGACTAGCAACTGCAAGCCAGAATCAAGCCCAATAGAGCCCCTTCTTCCCTGCTCTCCCTGTTTTGCCTCCTTGCTATTTTGGGAAGAGTTAGATTGTCCAGTTGCAGTCTTCACAGCTCTGTCTTCTGTTCTGACCCCTTTAGACCTAGCATGTAAATTCAGGACTCAGACAGGTCATAACCTTCATAGTCCTGACCTTCCTGGGTGCCACATGGCTACTTGGGACCCAGGATGACTGGGGAAGACATTAGGGAGGGTTCTTGTGTTTAGTTCCAAATTATTTTCAGTAATTTAAAATCTTAAAGTCATATTATGTTAGATTAAGTAATAGATAATCATAAAATGTCTACATCATTTGTAAGTTAAAATACTGAAATATAAATTATTAAACATGAACTTAAGTCTATATAATGACATGCTACTTTTAAATGCTATAGAAAAGGTGTTAATAAGCACTAATTTGAAGAACCATCCTTCTAAAAAAATTATAAAATGTTTTTTATCTACAAATGGTGATATAAAACAAACAGTTCAAAATTGCTTTCTAGAGTTTTCACTACAAATTGGGATTACTAAAAGTTAAAATTGTAGTTAATGTATGTAACTAAAACTACTAAATATGAGAGAAACAATTCTGTATACAGAACATATAAACAAAAGTATAAACAAAAATGTGCTTTTAATGAGAAAATATATAAAGGCATAAAAATGTGTGCATGTTTAAAAATTTTGTCTAGTTTGAAGTTACAGGTTTCAAATTGAAGGAGTAAAAAATAGATAAATCTAGATGAATATATAAAGTTGGAGAAAATGTAAAACAAAAGGTTTATGGAAATCTTGTGTGGTTAAAGATGACAGATTTTATAAATTTATTTACAGGTTTTATTAAAATAAGCTTTAACATTGATAATACACAACATAAAACTAGAATTTGGTTTTCTCTTTTGAACAAAAATTTTACATAGTATTAATTGTCAGGCCTCTGAGCCCAAGCTAAGCCATCATATCGCCTGTGACCTGCACGTATACATCCAGATGGCCGGAAGCAACTGAAGATCCACAAAAGAAGTGAAAATAGCCAGTTCCTGCCTTAACTGATGACATTCCACCATTGTGATCTGTTCCTGCCCCACCCTAACTGACCAACTGACTTTGTGAAAATACCCCCTCCCCGCCCTTTCGATAATGTACTTTGTGATATTCCCCCGCCCTTGTTAATGTACTTTGTACAGTACACCCTCCACCCTTGAGAAGGTACTTTGTAATATCCTCCCCCACCCTTAAGAAGGTGCTTTGTAATATTCTTCCCGCCCTTGAGAATGTACTTTGTAAGATCCACCCCCTGCCACAAAAATTGCTCCTAACTCCACTGCCTATCCCAAACCTATAAGAACTAATGATAATCCCACCACCCTTTGCTGACTCTCTTTTTGGACTCAGCCCGCCTTCACCCAGGTGATTAAAAAGCTTTATTACTCACACAAAGCCTGTTTGGTGGTCTCTTCACATCCATGCATGTGACATTAATCAGACACATTCAAACATTTTTCCTCACTTTCTGAGTAAACTGTAACAAAAAAAGAGAGGGAGAGAGGAGAGAAGAAGAGATAGATTCTGTCTCATACTGTCTTAAGTCTTTTCCTTATTTGGAAAACAGCCTTCTCCATTAAAGAGTACAGGTTTTTTATTTTTAAAAATCTTTTAATTATCACTTTGGCTAAATGAATGACTATTATTTTATGGTGACCTGTGATCCTATTTTGGTCAAGTGTTTTAATACTTTGAAATATTTGACAAGCTTTCCAAAATCAAATTTCAGCTTCAAAGTTAAGTCTTTTTTGATCTCTAACTTTGGGATTCTGCAGAAAGCCCCTAAAGCATCCAAAGGCGAGAGAAGCCGATGTTTTGACATGTTAAATTACGTGGAAACCACTGCCAAATAAAAAATGATTTTCAACCTTCTTCAAGTTATATCTTAATGCATATATTATTAATAGATGTTCCAAAATGGTATAAAATTTCTAAAATTCTAATATGTTTAGCTATGTGCTATCAACCATAATTATCATTTAGTTATTGTAGGCCACAGAAATGACCACATTTCCTTGTCAGTTGTGTCTTTAACTATGACCATTTATGCTGGGTGTGGTGGCTCATGCCTCTAAACCCAGCATTTTGGGAGGCAAGGACAGGAGAATACCTTAAGGCCAGTAGTTCAAACCAGTATGGCCGACATAGTCAGTTATTTCCACATGTCAGTTATTTCCACAGTTAATTGCCTAATTCTAATGCAGTTTCTGAAAGCTTTACAAGCATACAAAATCCTAGAGTATGGTATCTTTAAGGAGGTTTGTGAAAGTATAGAAAGAACCCTGACAAGCACTCTTGAATACAAGTTTCTGATAACTTTAGGCTTATATGATTTGGACTGGGTAAGAATTTTCAACACTTTAATGAAAAGATTGATTAATTGGTTTATAAAACTGCTAACCCAAGCAGGGCAAAAAATTAACTGAATACCAAGAAAATACTTTGTGAGATTTTCATGATAAATCAGGCAGTACTGAAATATTTAGATATACAATTTGAATAAACTCCATGGTGCAAGTCAAATTGCTTATAACCCATCAGTATCAGTGCTATGCATATAAATTGGAGAAACAACTGGTATTTTAAAAAATGTAAATCTAGTGTTAAGAATGGACTCATGGAGATTCTGGACAGCCACCTCATCCTGAGTCCTTAAAGTGTTTGTTACTAGAAGCTCTGCATTCCATGACCCATCATGGAATAAATAAAATTATCCAAATTAAAAAATATATTATTTTGGTGGCTGTTCTAAATTGCTCAAATAGTTTTTGACCAATGTTTGGTTATCAAACTCATTCCTGGGTTTTAAAACTTTATGTACATTTCTGCTACCTGATGGGCCATTTAAACATTTATAAAAGGATTTCATTCAATTGTAATTTTTAATGCATGCTTTCTGGTTGTATAAAAGCTTTAACATACAAAAGGGCTGTTGTTATAATAGTAGCTCATTTTACCAAAGTATATTTTCACCAGGTAATGAATGCATTTCATGGTCTACTGACTGGGGACAATCAACCCTTTCATAATCTAGAACCCAAGGATTAGACTCCATGGTCTTCTCAGAGTATCAGAGAAAGGCTGCCATTGTGCCATCCACATTGCAGCAAAACTTTGGCACCTTGAACCTTGGGTTCATTATCTCACAACTCACATAGGCCCCCTGCACTCTTGGAACTGTACACCCATTTACAACCTTAAGGTAAAGCTAACCAAGGAAGTTCCTCCCCAGAAGCAGATGGCATCTTTGATATGGACAGCTCTTCCCCAAGATCATGGATCAAGATTTCTCTGCTATCATGAGACTCTTATCTTTCCATTTTCCCCTTGCTTATGTCTCTTTGAACAATAGAATTGAAAAGGGCATCTGTTGTGTACACTCATGGGGTCTATTTTTATTTGTGAAGAATTTTGCAGCCAGCCTTATACACGGACAACTTTATGCCTTGATAAATGGAAGATGAAGGGCCAGTGCAGGTGAGAAATTTTAATGGTACATTTGTTGCCTCATAATTAGTGAGAAGCAAACACTGATTCACTCCTCTTAACCTACATTATAGGTTCCACTCCTCTTAACCTACATCACAGGTTAAAGAGAACATTGTTAGGAGGCTTTAATGGTTGCACAACAGACTTTAAATTCTCTTGTGAAAGTTATACTACATAATAGAATTGCTCTAAATTACTTACTGGCTAAACAGAAGTATCTGTGCAGTTGCTTGTACTTCTTGTTTCCCATGGAGAAATACATTGGGTATTATAGATATTCAGTTGTAGGGGATCAATGAACAGGCTGCTTTGTTAAAGCAAGTAGACTTTTTTTTTTTTTTTTTTTGAGACAGAGTGTTGCTCTGTCACCCAGGCTGGAGTGCAGTGGCCCAATCTTGGCTCCTTGCAAGCTCCACCTTCCGGGTTCATGCCATTCTCCTGCCTCAGTCTCCTGAGTAGCTGGGACTACAGGTGCCCGCCACCATGCCTGGCTAATTTTTTGTATTTTTTTAGTAGAGACGGGGATTCACCGTGTTAGCCAGGATGGTCTTGATCTTCTGACCTCGTGATCCGCCTGCCTCAGCCTCCCAAAGTACTGGGATTACAGGCGTGAGCCACCGCGCCCAGCTGCAAGTAGACTCTTTAGCTCATTCTGTGATCTGTTTGATTGTAGTTGGTTTGGTTCATGACAACCCTGGCTAAGGAGCACACTCCAAGCTCTTGGTATTATCCTCCTGATAGTCTTAATAGTAGTCTCCCTGGTGTGCTATATTCTCTTAAAAGTTTTAAATGTTTGCATGCAGCCATCTTTAGAGTGTCGAATGGTCTGTCTTCAACTGGATTGACAAGAGCTGAAAAAAATCTGTGACCATGAGGGCACTGTAGCCTATAAATGACGTGCTGAGACCAGAAACCCAAAGTGATGGTAACTGAGAGTGGTGCTAAGGCCTGAAGTTTTGGTCATTCTCTCATCTAAGTGAGAACGTGACCAAATAGGGTTATTTTTAAGCAAAATTATGAGATGCCATTGTTTTGGATTGAGCTCATGCCCTAGGCCCCAACAGACCATTTTAAACCAAATTAGAGTCACTTATGCTAAATCTGACATAATCAAACTAAGACCTTAAAGAAAAAGATCGATCCTAGAACAAACCAAGTTTTGTTTTTCTCCTGTAAACAGGAGATTCCACCATAAAGAGCTACCCTGTAACCTAACCCCTACAAAGAAAATAATCTGAAGTCCTTGTTCTAACCTTAAAAAACCCACTGTTCTGCTATTTCCCAATGGGTTTTGAGACCAAATAAGTACATTTATCATGGTGCTAGTGACATCAATGATAAAATTTTGATCAATGATCAATTTTCAGAGGATGACCCAAAACAGGGAATTGTGAAATCAAGTTTAGCCAAAAGCTGTTTCCTTATATATTTTAAGGTTGACATAAAGGTTTCTCTGTACCTAGTGAACTATCACCTGAATAGAAGTGTAAACAGACTGGAACCTGCTCTTGTGCTAATCATTGAGACTGGTCCAATCAAAGAGGCCCAATTATTCAAACCATGTTCAAATAAGGCAAATGCTGATCTATAACCAATCTGGTTGTTTCTTTCCTTCACTTCTGTTTTCTGTATATCACTTTTCTTTTTCTGTCCGTAAATCTCCTTCTACCACATGGCTGCACTGGAGTCTCTTTGAGCCTACTCTGGCTCAGGAGGCTACCTGATTTGTGAATTGTTCTCTGCTCATTTAAACTTTGTAAAATTTAATTTGGCTAATAATTCTCTTTTAACAGACATGTGGAAAATACAATTCTCTTTTTATAAGCTACCCAATTTATAGTATTTTATTATAGCAGTCTGAACAGACTAAGACAGTAAAATCTGCTTTGAAATGGCAAAATTAAGAAGAAAGTATAGTTATGTCTCCTATACCCTCTACCAACACACGTACATAGTCTCCCATTATCAATTTTCCTCATCAAAGTGGCACATTTGTTACAATTATTTGAACCTATATTGAGACATCATGATTACTCAGTCATAGATTACATTAGAGTTCAATTTTCCTGTTGTACATTCTCTGGGTGTGAACCCACCTATAATTACACATTTCTACAATTACATTATCATACA
Organism: Homo sapiens; assembly: GCF_000001405.40. Classification (NCBI taxonomy): domain Eukaryota; kingdom Metazoa; phylum Chordata; class Mammalia; order Primates; family Hominidae; genus Homo; species Homo sapiens. The sequence goes on along the minus strand of NC_000006.12, from coordinate 142,100,602 downwards.
GAGTAGTTTTACTACTGCAAAATCCTCTGCGATCCACACATTTGTCCTTTCCTCCTCCAGTCCCCTGGGAAGCACATTTTACTGTCTCTGTAGTTTGACATTTCCCAGGATGTCATATAGTTGAAATCATACAGTACACAGCCTTTTCAGATTGACTTAGTTCAATCAGCAAAATATATTTAAGTTTCTTCAATGTCTTTTTATGGCTGGATATCTCATTTTTCTTAGGGCTGAATAACATCCAATCATCTGGTTGTACCACCGTTTATTTATTCATTCACCTACTAAAGGACATCTTTCTTCCAACTTTTAGCAATTATGAATAAAGCTGTTATAAACATCCATGTGTTGGTTTTTGTGTGGACATATGTTTTCAAATATTTTGGGTAAACAGGAAGGAGTGTGATGGATGAATAACATAGTAAGAGTATGTTTAATTTTGTATGAAACTGCCAAACTGTCTTCCAAATTTTGCGTTTTCACCATTAGTGAATGAGAATTCCTATTGTTCCACATCCTGCTCAGCATTTAAAGTTGGCAGTGTTTTGAATAAAGTTGTAATGTTGTGCCATTTTAATAAATGTATAGGGGTATCTTGTTGTCTTAATTTGCAATTGCTTAATGGCATGATGTAAGCAACTTTTTATATGCTTATTTACACTTGTGTATCTTCTTTGGTGAGATGTCTATTAAGGTGTTTTGTCCTCTTTTTCATTGGATTTTTTATTTTTTTACTGATGAATTTTAAAAATTATTTGTGTATTTTTGATATCTTGAGCTGTAAGAGTTCTACGTGATACTTGTATGTGTTGGATCATAAATCCTAGTCTTTAGCCTGCTTATTGTCTTGACAGTGTCATTTGCAAAGCAGAATTTTTAGTTTTGAATAAGTTATTAAGTATAGCTGATCAATTATTTTTTTCTTGGATTATCTCTTCAGTTTTGTATCTTAAGAGTCATCGATATACCCAAGTTGATATGGTTTGTCTCTGTGTCCCCAGCAAAATCCCATCTCCAATTGCAATCTGCACATGTCGGGGGAGGGGCCTGGTGGGAGATGATTGAATCAAGGGGGATACTTCCCCCTTGTTGTTTTCATGATAGTGAGTGAGCTCTCAAAAGATCTGCTCGTTTGAAAGTGTGTGGCACTTCCCCTTCACACTCTGTCTCTTTTCGGCCACCATGTGAAGAAGGTCTTTGCCTTGCCTTCTCCTTATGACATGATTGTAAGTTTCCTGAGGCCTCCCAGTCATGCTTCCTGTTAAGCCTGTGGAACTATGAGTCAATTAAACATCTTTTCTTTATAAATTACCCAGTCTCAGTTAGTTCTTTATAGCAGTGTGAAAACGAACGAATACACAAGTTCATCTAGATTTTCTTCTATGTGATCTTCCAGGAATTTTATAATTTTTGTGGTTTACATATAGGTCTGTGATCTACTTTTCGTGAATTTTTGTGGAGGGTGTAAACTCTATGTCTAGGTTCATTTCTTTCGCATGAGAACATCCTGTTGTTCCAGCACCATGTGTTGAAAGGACTAATCTTGGTTCCAATGTTTACCCTTTGGTTCCTTGTCAAAGAGCAGTTGGCTGTATTTATGTGGGTCCATTTCTGGGCTCTCTGGTCTCTTCCATTGATCTATTTGTCTATTCTTTCATTAATATCCATACTGTTTTGATTACTGTAGCTTTATAATAAGTCTTGAAATAAGGTAGTGTCAGTCTTCCAACTTTGTTCTCCTTCAAAATTGTGTTGACTATTCTGAATCTTGTGCCTGTTATCATCGCTTTGCTGATATCCACAGATTACCTTTCTGGGATTATGATTAAGATAGCATTGAATTTATAGATGAAGGTGAAAAGAACTTACAACTTGACAAGGAAAACTTGAGTTTTCCAATCCATGAATATGGAATATCTTTTTATTTATTTAGTTCTCCAATTTTCTTCAGTTTTGTAATTTTCCTTTTATGGATCATGCAAATTTTGTTAGATTTAGTCTAAGTACTTCATATTTCAGGGTGACTGTAAATTTTTTAATGTTTTCAGTGTCAAATTCCACTTAGTAATTGACGGTATATAGGAAAGTGATTTACTTTTGTATATTAATTTTTATTTGGCAACCTCTCCATGGTTACTTATTAGTTGCAAGAGTCTTTTGTTGATTCTTTCAGATTTTCTAATAGATAATCATGTTATTTGTTAACAAAGACAGTTTTATTTCTTCCTTCACAATCAATATCACCCTATGTCTTTTTCTTGTCTTATTGCATTGATGAGAACTTCCAGTACAAAATTGAAAAGGAATGGTGAGAGTACACATTTTTCTTCATCCCCGATGTTAGCAAGATAGTTTCGAGTTTCTCATCTTGGCAAATTTTTCTTTGTGTTTCTTCTGCCTGGGGTTTGCTGAGCCTCTTGGATGTGAAGGGTTTAGCTTTCATTAACTATGAAAAAATTGGGGCTGTTTTTTCTTCAAGTATTTTTTCTTCTGTTCTTTTTTTCTTCTGTCCTTTGGAGATCCAACTGTAGTCACATTGGGCCACTTAAAGTTTTCCAGAGTGCACACTTTATTCATTTTTTTCCCCAGTCATTTTCTCTGTATATTTTGTTTTGGATACTTTCTACTACTACATTGAGAAATTACCTTACCTTTTCTCCTGCAGTGTTTTTTTCTGCTGCTAATTTTATGAAGTTTATTTTTATGACTTTTTTCTTCTGTAAAATTTAATGTATGTCTTTTTATGTTTTTCATGTCTCTCCTTAATATGCAACTTCCTTCTTCAACACATGGAATAGAGCCTTGTTAACATTTTTCATGTTCTTTTATACATCTATCATCTGTGCCATTATTGGTTTAGTTTCAATTAACTGATTTTTGTCCTTATTTTTAGATATAATTACTTGCTGATTTTCATGGTTGGTAATTTCCAAGTGCATGTCAGCCAGATATTTTAATTTTACCTTGTTGCGTTCTACATAGTTTAAACATCACAGACAGCCCCCAGTTTACAATAGTGCAACTTACAATATTTTGACTTTAACAATGGGTTTATCAGGACGTAGCCCCATCCTAAGTCGAGGAGCATTTTCACTTACAATGATTTGACTTATGATTTTTTGACTTTATTTATGATGGATTTGTTAGAGTATTAAATGCATTTTCCACTTATGATATTTTCAACTTATGATGCGTTTACTGAGATGTAGACCAGATATAAATAGAGAAGCACCACCAGGCCTACCCTAAAAGATCTCCTGAAGGAAGCACTAAACATGGAAAGGAACAACTGGTACCAGCCACTGCAAAAACATGCAAAATTGTAAAGACCATCGAGGCTAGGAAGAAACTGCATCAACTAACGAGCAAAATCACCAGCTAACATCATAATGACAGGATCAAATTCACACATAACAATATTAACTTTAAATGTAAATGGGCTAAATGCTCCAATTAAAAGACACAGACTGGCAAATTGGATAAAGAGTCAAGACCCATCAGTGTGCTGTATTCAGGAAACCCATCTCACGTGCAAAGACACACATACGCTCAAAATAAAGGGATGGTGGAAGATCTACCAAGCAAATGGAAAACAAAAAAAGGCAGGGGTTGCAATCCTAGTCTCTGATAAAACAGACTTTAAACCAACAAAGATCAATAGAGACAAAGAAGGCCATTACATAATGGTAAAGGGATCAATTCAACAACAAGAGCTAACTATCCTAAATATATATGCACCCAATACAGGAGCACCCAGATTCATAAAGCAAGTCCTTAGAGACCTACAAAGAGACTTAGACTCCCACACAATAATAATGGGAGACTTTAACACCCCACTGTCAACATTAGACAGATCAACGAGACAGAAAGTCAACAAGGATATCCAGGAATTGAACTCGGCTCTGCACCAAGCAGACCTAATAGACATATACAGAACTCTCCACCCCAAATCAACAGAATATACATTCTTTTCAGCACCACACCACACCTATTCCAAAATTGACCACATAGTTGGAAGTAAAGCCCTCCTCAGCAAATGTAAAAGAACAGAAATTATAACAAACTGTCTCTCAGACCACAGTGCAATCAAACTAGAACTCAGGATTAAGAAACTCACTCAAAACCACTCAACTACATGGAAACTGAACAACTACATGGAAACTGAACAACCTACTCCTGAATGACTACTGGGTACATAACGAAATGAAGGCAGAAATAAAGATGTTCTTTGAAACCAATGAGAACAAAGACACAGCATACCAGAATCTCTGGGACACATTTAAAGCAGTGTGTAGAGGGAAATTTATAGCAGTAAATGCCCACTAGAGAAAGCAGGAAAGATCTAAAATTGACACCCTAACATCACAATTAAAAGAACTAGAGAAACAAGAGCAAACACATTTAAAAGCTAGCAGAAGGCAAGAAATAACTAAAATCAGAGCAGAACTGAAGGAAATAAAGACACAAAAAACCCTTCAAAAAATCAATGAATCCAGGAGCTGGTTTTTTGAAAAGATCAACAAAATTGATAGACTGCTAGCAAGACTAATAAAGAAGAAAAGAGAGAAGAATCAAATAGATGCAATAAAAAATGATAAAGGGGATATCACCACCAACCCCACAGAAATACAAACTACCATCAGAGAATACTGTAAACACCTCTATGCAAATAAACTAGAAAATCTAGAAGAAATGGATAAATTCCTTGACACATACACCCTCCCAAGACTAAACCAGGAAGAAGTTGGATCTCTGAATAGACCAATAACAGGCTCTGAAATTGAGGCAATAATTAATAGCTTACCAACCAAAAAAAGTCCAGGACCAGATGGATTCACAGCCGAATTCTACCAGAGGTACAAGGAGGAACTGATACCATCCCTTCTGAAACTATTCCAATCAATAGAAAAAGAGGGAATCCTCCCTAACTCATTTTATGAGGCCAGCATCATCCTGATACCAAAGCCTGGCAGAGACACAAGAAAAAAGAGAATTTTAGACCAATATCCCTGAGGAACATCAATGCAAAAATCCTCAATGAAATACTAGCAAACCGAATCCAGCAGCACATCAAAAAGCTTATCCACCATGATCAAGTGGGCTTCATCCCTGGGATGCAAGGCTGGTTCAACATATGCAAATCAATAAACATAATCCAGTATATAAACAGAACCAATGACAAAAACCACATGATTATCTCAATAGATGCAGAAAAGGCCTTGGACAAAATTCAACAACACTTCATGCTAAAATCTCTCAATAAATTAGGTATTGATGGGACGTATCTCCAAATAATCAGAGCTATCTATGACAAACCCACAGCCAATATCATACTGAATGGGCAAAAACCGGAAGCATTCCCTTTAAAAACTGGCACAAGACAGGGATGCCCTCTCTCACCACTCCTATTCAACATAGTGTTGGAAGTTCTGGCCAGGGCAATTAGGCAGGAGAAGGAAATAAAGGGTATTCAATTAGGAAAAGAGGAAGTCAAATTGTCCCTGTTTGCAGATGACATGATTGTATATCTAGAAAACCCCATTGTCTCAGCCCAAAATCTCCTTAAGCGGATAGGCAACTCCAGCAAATTCTCAGGATACAAAATCAATGTGCAAAAATCACAAGCATTCTTATACACCAATAACAGACAAACAGAGAACCAAATCATGAGTGAATTCCCATTCACAATTGCTTCAAAGAGAATAAAATACCTAGGAATCCAGCTTACAAGGGACGTGAAGGACCTCTTCAAGGAGAACTACAAACCACTGCTCAATGAAATAAAAGAGGATACAAAGAAATGGAAGAACATTCCATGCTCATGGGTAGGAAGAATCAATATCGTGGAAATGGACATACTGCCCAAGGTAATTTATAGATTCAATGCCATCCCCATCAAGCTACCAATGACTTTCTTCAAAGAATTGGAAAAAAACTCCTTTAAAGTTCATATGGAACCAAAAAAGAGCCCGCATAGCCAAGTCAATCCTAAGCCAAAAGAACAAAGCTGCAGGCATCACCTTACCTGACTTCAAACTGTACTGCAAGGCTACAGTAGCCAAAACAGCATGGTACTGGTACCAAAACAGAGATCTAGACCAATGGAACAGTACAGAGCCTTCAGAAATAATGCCACATGTCTATAACTATCTGATCTTTGACAAACCTGACAAAAACAAGAAATGGGGAAAGGATTCCCTATTTAATAAATGGTGCTGGGAAAACTGGTCAGCCATATGTAGAAAGCTGAAACTGGATCCCTTCCTTACAACTTATACAAAAATTAATTCAAGATGGATTAAAGACTTAAATGTTAGACCTAAAACAATAAAAACCCTAGAAGAAAACCTAGGCAATACCATTCAGGACATAGGCATGGGCAAGGACTTCATGTCTAAAACACCAAAAGCAATGGCAACAAAAGCCAAAATTGACAAATGGGATCTAATTAAACTAAAGAGCTTCGGCACAGCAAAAGAAACTACCATCAGAGTGAACAGGCAACCTACAGAATGGGATAAAATTTTTGCAATCTACTCACCTGACAAAGGGCTAATATCCAGAATCTACAATGAACTCAAACAAATTTACAAGAAAAAAAACAACCCCATCAAAGAGTGGGCGAAGGATATGAACAGACACTTCTCAAAAGAACACATTTATGCAGCCAAAAAACACATGAAAAAATGCTCACCATCACTGGCCATCAGAGAAATGCAAATCAAAACCACAAGGAGATACCATCTCACACCAGTTAGAATGGCAGTCATTAAAAAGTCAGGAAACAACAGGTGTCGGAGAGGATGTGGAAAAATAGGAATGCTTTTACACTGTTGGTGGGACTGTAAACTAGTTCAACCATTATGGAAGTCAGTGTGGCAATTCCTCAGGGATCTAGAACTAGAATTACCATTTGACCCAGCAATCCCATTACTGGGTATATACCCAAAGGATTATAAATCATGCTGCTATAAAAACACATGCACACATATGTTTATTGTGGCACTATTCACAATGGCAAAGACTTGGAACCAACCCAAATGTCCAACAATGATAGACTGGATTAAGAAAATGTGGCACATATACACCATGGAATACTATGCAGCCATAAAAAATGATGAGTTCCTGTCCTTTGTAGGGACATGGATGAAGCTGGAAACCATCATTCTCAGCAAACTATCGCAAGGACAAAAAACCAAACACTGCATGTTCTCACTCATAGGTGGGAATTGAACAATGAGAACACATGGACACAGGAAGGGGAACATCACACACCAGGGACTGTTGTGGGGTGGGGGGAGGGGGGAGGGATAGCATTAGGAGATATACCTAATGCTAAATGATGAGTTAATGTGTGCAGCACACCAACATGGCACATGTATACATTTGTAACAAACCTGCATGTTGTGCACATGTACCCTAAAACTTAAAGAATAATTAAAAAAAAAGAAAAAAAATTCTTAAGTTTTGTTCTAAGATACCATCAGGTTTCTTAGAACTAGTTTTACCATTTTAATCCTTGCTTTTAAGCTTTGAGGGCAAGACCAGAGAAGCCTTTGGTCTATGGTTAATTTTTCCTAACTACAAACACAATACACTTCTAAGTAATGTACCTAAAACTATGTGTTTACAAGGTTGTTATACTGTGGCTGGTAGGAACTTAGCTTCTTTAAATCACTAATTTACCCTTTTTGGGTAAGTGTTTTCCTGAGAATTGGTTAATTTTCCCACATGCAGATAGAAACACGTATTTAGCTGAAAACCCAAGGGGAAATTCTGTGAATCTCCAGAGTTCTTTCTCTGTATGACTCACTTTTCTCTGTTCTGCTGATTCCAATTCCATCTTCTCAAGTAAGAGAGACTTCCAGGCTCACTGTGGATTCCTTATCCTTGTGCATGGGCTGAAAACTCTTTCTCTAGGCAGTAAGATAGAGCGATGGTAGAGCTCATCTCATCTGTTAAACCTGTCTTAGGGATCACTGTTTTGTGCTGCCTCTTTTGTGCTGCCAGTGTCTAAAAACTACTGTTTAATATGTTTTGTCTGGTTTTTATGTTTTCAGTGTATTCTCTGTTACTCCATCTTGACTTGAAGTAGGAATCACTTCCCACCCCCGTGGTCTCATATATATTCTTTAATATTTTCTTCTATTATCTTCCCCAAATTACTTTTTCATACTGTGACCTTTAATGCACTAGAATTATAATACTACATATAGTATTACATAGAGACTCTGTTTTATTCTTCTTGCCTGTGCAACAGTTTTCCCAGTATTATCTACTAAGTTTTTATTTGTTGCAATACACATTTGAGTGTTGTTTCCTTATCTACATGCAGCTGACTTTGAACTTTGTATTCTCTTCCATTAATGTTTTTTTCTGTTCTTTCGCCAGTTCCATTTTAATTTTAATATTATATATTTGTATTAGTATCTCCTTTCTCTCAAATTCTATGCTTTTCATTTCCATTTCTGTTGCAATAGCATTGCTTGGAATCTCCTCCAGTGTGTTAAATAACAATGATAATAGCGAGTATACTTGCCTTTGTCATGATCTTAAGAAAAACCTATAAAATGTCTCCATAAGTATAGTATTTTATATTTTTTCATAATACACTGAAGGATAGATACATTGAAGCAGATGAGGATTACAAAATTGGTTTAAATTTCAAATTCTTCATATTCACTTACAACAATAATACTCATGTCAACGAATTTGAAACAGCATCAATATGGTTCTGAACAGTTCTGTACTAGGGCAATAAAATATACAATGTGTATTTATAAACATCAAATACTCAGGATTAAAAATGTATACTTCATTTATATAGAAATCACATTTTTTTGACATAATTGCTTTCTCCAGAAACAAAGAGACATAACAGACACTGATTTCAAATACAATAAATTTCAAAATGCAGTTTCATGAGGTCTCTTTCAAATTAGACAATTTATCTTGTCTCTGTGAATCATGTTAAGACTCAAGTATTTTTATCCAGGAATATTGATAAACATTAAGTATATGAGTCTAAGAAACCTAATATGGTATATGACATATTGAATACAATAATAAAGTTTGTATGGCTGGGTGCTATGGCTCATGCCTATAATTATAGACATTTGGGAGGCTGAGGCAAGAGGATTGCTTGAGCCCAAGAATTTGAGACCAGCTGGGGCAACAAAGTGAGACCCCATGTCTACAAAAAATTAAAAAAGTTAGCCAGGCATGGTGGGGCACACTTGCGGTCCCAGCTACATGGGGAAGGTGAGGCAGGAGAATTGTTTGAATGAAGGAGGTTGAGGCTATAGTGAGCCATCTTCATGCCACTGCATATGCCTGAGTGACAGAGCAAGACCCTGTCTCAAAACATAAATAAACAAATAGTGTTTCATTCCAGTAGATGTTTACCTTTGATGTGTGTGCATTCTATTAATATGAGACAATACTGTGTTCTTATATGTAATTTTGTGATGAATCTAAATAACACATTATTATAACTTTATAACATTTTAATAAAATACCAAAAAAATTATTAAAATATTCATTATATTCTTCACTACAATGAACACAAATCTTTAAGTAAATACATATAAATTTACTTAAAATGAAGAAAATTCAATCCAGATGGCTTGTTTCTACAATGCCTGTCAATTGGATATTTATTAATCCAGCTTTTAGACTAAACATTTTTTTCTCTTCTAAATGATTAGGAACACACAGACACAAGGAGGAGAATATAAAAATTCATACAGTAATTTCGATTTCAATATATTTTTATATAAAATATGTTAAAATGGCATAGTTGCAGTTTGAATTTTAGACACTTCATAATTAGAAGATTGCTTTAGTAATTTATTCTGTATAGTAATATTGGATGTTAAAAAGAAAACAAATAACTTTGGAGATAAAATTCCTAGAGACATTTCTCAACTTACATGTAATATTAATTTCCTTGCTCTCTTTTCCTCTTTCTCTTGCTCCCTCTCCCTCTATATATGTGTATAATTTTTATAAATATAAATAGAATATTTATATATTCAAATATATTTATACATAAATATTCTATTTAACTAATCTTAATTTTATAATGAATTATTTTAAGTAGTGAAATTCCAGAAGAGTACAATAAGGACTTTTGAGTTAGAAAACATAAAACTTAAAATTGATTACAATGCAAATGTTTACCTTGTCTAATTCAATTATGATGTGACAGTGCTCTTGGTGGGCAATATCTGGAAAAGTTGCTTAATTTATAAGTGACATTGCATATATACACATCTTATCAGTTTATGGCTAGATCATCATAGGTAGTCCTTGGCTAGTTACATTGTTATTATTCAATTGTTCAATTTTATCCTTTAATAACAAAGAACTAGTCAAATGTTTTCCCTAATGAAGAGTGTTATTTAGCTAACTCCAGAACTGAGCCACCATTTCTGATCAGTTTACATTAGACTCAGATGGTGGTGATTTGGGAAACTGTTTTGTGCTTAGGGACAACCTATTTAAAACAGCATATCAGATGTTTATTGAATATATATCTACGAGTGGCATTACTCAATCATAAGCATACATATACTCTGCCTTAATAGATAGAATTAACAAATAAAATTGTCGAGCCAGGTTCCAAAAGAAAAAATAAGTTAGTAATTTATTTTAAAAAATTGTCAGTTTCCAGTAAAGCTGAACATACTCAAGTACTATGACCTGGCAAATCCACACCTGGGATTTATTCAAATGTGCACCTGAACACATGTAAAAGAATGTTCATAGAAACGTTACTCAGGTTGACTAAAATTGTAAGGAACCCAAATGTTAATCAATATAGAATGGATAAACAAACTGTGGTATATTTATAAAATGATGTAGTATACAGTAATGAAAAATGCCACCTGAGAAAAAACATGAGTGGATCTCACAGATATGGTGTCGAGTGAAAGAACCTAGACACAAGAGTGTATGCTGAATGATTCCATTTATACGATGCTCAATAGGAGGCACACTTATTCAATAACAAGCCAAATGGTGGTTATTTTGGGAGATGGTGGCTAGATTGTGGGCTCTGAATGATGGTTAGATTAAGCAGAACGATTAAGAAATGTGTACGTTATACACGTTATAATTCAATAAAATATAAATTTAAAAATAATATGCCAACAATAGGAAATAATTTTCACATTTAAGGTAAGAACAGTAGATGATCAGAAGAAGAGTAGCGAGAGGATTTCATTTATGAGCTTCATTCTTTGGCACTCATTTTTTTCCCCTAAATTCTGTGTTTCAGCATTAGGGACTTGCCAACTCAGCCCTTTAATCCTCAGAGATTCCAAAGTTCTTGCCTGGAGCTCCTCCTGCTTGGAGGCGGGTAAGGATGGATGTATATAGGGGCACACACACATGCATGGAGGACTGACCTCCCCTCCAGTTCCACACAATACAACAGGAACTTCACAAACAAGAGCAAAGCTGTGGGAAAAGCAGGTTGCAGGTGGCCCCGCCTAGTTCCCGGGATTTCAGCTGCGGCCCGCTGGACAGCGCCAGGATGACTTCTGCTTCTCTGGGCGAAGAGTCCGGCAGGTGCTTCTACTGATCCCCAAGGGACAGCTCCTTGTTCCTGAAAGGCTGTTTTCCGCTAGATAACCGCGAGAACAAACCACTGAATACGGAACAAAGACGCAACCGCTTTGCTTTTTTTTTTTTTTTAATTTAAATTCAGAGTTAGCCGGAGCCATTTCCCCCCTCTAGAAGCGGAGCGCCCGAGTGTGTGGACAGACCCCTCCCCAGGTCCTGAACTCTTAGGGACGTGGTGCTGTGAGGCTTGCCCCGCGGACAGTAAACTTGCAGGGGCGAGAGGGAGGGACATCGATTAAACCTAAATCGTGGGCGTTCAGTCCTCAGGGCACCGGAGCGCGTGAAAACTCCAGCGGACTCTGCTGGAAAGGAGATCATGCCCTCTAAGTCTCTTTCCAACCTCTCGGTGACCACCGGCGCGAATGAGAGCGGTTCCGTTCCCGAGGGGTGGGAAAGGGATTTCCTGCCGGCCTCGGACGGGACCACCACGGAGTTGGTGATCCGCTGTGTGATCCCGTCCCTCTACCTGCTCATCATCACCGTGGGCTTGCTGGGCAACATCATGCTGGTGAAGATCTTCATCACCAACAGCGCCATGAGGAGCGTCCCCAACATCTTCATCTCTAACCTGGCGGCCGGGGACTTGCTGCTGCTGCTCACCTGCGTCCCGGTGGACGCCTCGCGCTACTTCTTCGACGAGTGGATGTTTGGCAAGGTGGGCTGCAAACTGATCCCTGTCATCCAGCTCACTTCCGTGGGGGTTTCCGTGTTCACTCTCACTGCCCTCAGCGCCGACAGGTAAGAGCACAGGTAGCTGTGAGTGGCTTGGAAAAGTCGTGGAGAGGGGCGAGTAGAGAAGACTCACCCGGAGTGCACCTACTGGCAGAAGGACGCAAGGAAAGGTTGGGTGTGGAGAGGAAGAGAGGGAGAGAGTGTGTACCTGGGAAGTAGAGTAAACAGAGTTAAAACGGACTGACATGTGAGGCTTGGAAAAATATAAGAAAATTACTATGTTTTAAAAAAAACAATTAAAATTGCATTTAAAATTGCATCTCCTAGTCCCACCTCCGACACTTAGGGAATATTATTTCATAGAAAAGCTATAGAATAAACATGCAAAAGAGCGAGTATCTTGTTGAAGCTTTCTGTGTGTGCTTAAAATCTTATTAGTGTTCTTTCCTTTATGCAGTAGAGTAAGAATCTAATAGGTAAGAATGTCTGCTTAATATTAGGCAAATATTTAATTTTTATTTCTTTCAAGTAAGAGGAGAACTTACTTAAATTTATTAACTGAATTTTACTATTTCTTAGAAGTAAAACCAATTAGATTAATAAATGTTCTTTGGGCAGATGACTTTTCACATTCTTCTTGTTTAATACCTGAAGCTAAGAGACTTTTTTTTTCCACAGATAGGTACCCAAAATACATCTTTGATATTAAATCTGCTTTTGACATATGTTAAGGGTGTGAAGTGTCCATTATTCTATTTTGCACATCAACTAGTTCAACTCTGTCATTTTTCAGATGTGCATATTGAGGCCCAGGGAATGTAATTTCTAATGGAAGACCAGGGAGGAAAATCCAAGTCTCCTGACTCAGGGTCCATTTAAGCAGAAGGGAATGTTTGGATAGGGGTGGGGAAAAATGCAAAATTAGGTACCTTTTCATGGAGCTGTGGTTTAATTCCCTTGGTGGGAATGGAGGACTGACTTAAGCTATTTAGATAAACAATTAACTTGGATAATTAAGGTGGTATGCCCTCTCCTCTTTAATTTACATATTCAATTGCTAATGAAAAATAAGTCTGTATCTGAATTTCCTGGTATTTGCAAGAATACTGGAATACTACTTTGGCATTGAAGAGTTAATCCTGACTGAGGGAAACACAGCATTCAACAGAGACTTGAGAAACTGAAAATGATTCACTTTCTTAAAAACCACACTCCTGGAAACTTAGGTGCCTTTTGTATAAATTATGTACCTAATTTTGTTTATGTGGCAGCATTTCTATTATCTTTTAAAATACTTTCTCTGAATTCCAAAGCAAAAATATGACTAGTTTAGCTGCCCCTCTTTATGCAATCTTATTTTACCTAGAAAGTTTAAAAAACCTACTTAGTGATTAGAATAAAACTTAATGATTAGCAACCACAGTAGTTTAAATTACTATCATTGTGCTTTTATTCTAAAGACATGGCATTGGTAGCAAGACCCAGGGTTGGAGTTTATTTCACACCAGTTTTTACAATCTATTGTCATGGCGACACATGACCATTTACACAGGTAAATTTGCCCTGGCCTAGATCAGAGAAAATAATAATCCTTATATATTTACTGACTTTCTTTGTTTCATTTGTGCATCATATATTCTGTGAATACAGGATGAATACTTTAGTAATAACAATAAGGAAAGGTGAGATGCCTCTTCTACTTGGTCCGTAGGCTACCCTTGTCTACCAGTGTGTGTTTAGGAAATATAAACTAGGAAACCTGAGTAACTGTTGATGAAGTTATGCAATATATTCCATGATTCACTTAAAATGGGTTGGAAATGGTTTGTTATATATTGTCTACACTTCTATTTTTCTTCTAGAGCATAGCAATCAATAGTTGACTAGTACTTGATGACTTCTTACTATATCTCACCAAAAGCTATGATTTCTTGTGGATGTGGAATCAATTGTAGGATTAATTGTGCTTAGCACAGTGCTAACTTTTTTTGTGTAATTTTTCAACCCTCACAATGCTGTTAGATAGGCATTATTTTATTTAAATTAAAAACTTTAAAGCTAAGAAAACAGATTAGAAATTCAGCAACATTTTTATGATCTCACAGCTAGCCACTGATGGTGCCAACATGTTTGAACGCCATTTAAAGTCTGAACTCTTCACCATTAATCCACATTATTACAATTCTTGGTATAAGAAATTACTAATAGTATTTTTTATTTACCAGCAGACTTAAAAGCTGAGTTTAAAACAAAACACCCAAGCATTAAAAAAAAAAAAAAAGAGTACAGGAGCTGATTCATTAGATTTATTACAGTGAAAAAACATCATAAAATGTAACTGCAAAATAAAAGAAGCACCTTGAATTCAATTTTAAGTAGTAGTTGCAGCAATAAAAACTATAATAAACAAATAAAAATTATGTTATTAGAGTCTTTAAACAACAAATTCAATTATTTGTATCATATATCCTGTCTTCACAGATGGCCTAAGTGTCTTTGCCTAACAAGATCTTTGCCTAAGATCTCTTTGCCTATAGAGATCACAGTACATAGAAAAAAACCCAGGAAGATAATTAGATTTCAGAAAGCATATTCCAATGTGAAGTGGAGACTCATATTCTACACTTCATTGATGTCAGCATCATTAGATTGCAGAGACTAAAATGAAAAACACAAATATTTTGAATCCACCTTGAGGCCTAAAACACCTTGTCTGATATGGCCAAAGGGTGGTCAGATGACACTGGTATCTGTGATTATTATTATATTTTATTTTTTTGAGACAGAATCTTGCTCTGTCACTCAGGCTGGAGTGTAGGGGTGCGATCTCGGCTCACTGCAACCTCTGCCTCCCAGGTTCAAGCAAATCTCCTGCCTCAACCTCCTGAGTAGCTGAGATTACAGGCACACGCCACTATGCCTGGCTAATTTTTGTATTTTTAGTAGAGACAGGGTTTCACCATGTTGGCCAGGCTGGTCTCGAACTGCTGACCTCAAGCGATCTGCCCACCTCGGCTTCTCAAAGTGTTGGGATTACAAGTGTGAGCCACTGCTCCTAGCTGGTGTCTGTGATTATTAATCCTCAACTTTCCAAACTCTTCCGAGGAGTTTCAGCAGACACATCCCTAGGCAACAGCTTTTGTGCCCACTGCAGTCATGCCTCAGAGGCACATCATCATAACCAGTATGGCTGGAGGAGAGACAGTGCATGGTATGAAGTGGTGATAGTGGTAGTCTCAATTTTTTATTATTTTTTAAACTGTTATCTTGATAGACAGTTTTGTTACAATTTTGAAAATGTATATTGCTTGCTTGCTTACATAAAGTAGTTGATTAAAAGTATTTCTATATTCTGTCATGTTTCTAACACTTTTATACATACACACATACACACAAACACACACATATTCTCACCTCCCCCCGTGGAGTATTGGGACGTGTGTGCTGTGACATCAGGTTGGTGGCGCCCCATAAGCCATATTTTGCTCCTGGTTGGCGTTATAGTTATCTCTTTCTCTGTATATGAGTAGCTGCGTTTCCAAATTTGGAATGTTATTTCTTTGATTCTTGAAGATCTTTTGGCCTCTGATGGCACATTATTAAAATGCAAATAACTCTTAGGAATGGAGTTTTCCTTTTTCCTTCATAGGAAAAATTCTCACAGATTCCTAGTGCTAAACTGTAAACTTCATAATTTCATGTATTAACAAATATAAAACTAGATATCAATTCTTTATTGTGGCTTCTTATATAACTGTTAACCAAAACGCATTTATAAATTAAATTTAAAAAATAAAACTATAAAAACCATAAAAATAAACTAATATTAGTTTAATGTATTGGGTGATACTTTCTTCTGATACCAAATAGCCAATGTTGGATTAAATGCAAAAATAATGTTGTACCAAATCTGATTAAGTTTCTAATGCATTAATAGTTATTAATACAAAATCCAAGTTTTTGAGTGCTGGTTAGGATAATCAGATTTCATTCCATAACTAGGTCAGTAGACAAAGTCTTGAATCATTAATATTATTTGTATATTACATCAATGCAAACAGATATTTTATTGAGTGTAATTATTTGTTAAGATACTGAAATAGATTGGATACAGGCCCTGGGTCTAACACTCACTAGGCTTCATAGGACTTTTCCATCAGTCTTTGTTCAGTGGTGGGAGGGAGTGCTGTTAACTGTTTGCTGTTTTCTCATCAAAACTCCTGACTGAAGCTCAGGTTCATGTTAGCCAGCTGCCCCTGACTGGAGATGATGCTTTCTTTTTTGCTCCATAGCCCTTGCCTCTCAGTCTGTTAATTGGTAGTGAGATTGGCACCAAGAGTGTGCTTCTCTTTAGAACAATAGTCCACACTTACCCTATAATGCTAGAGTGATGACTTATTTATGTTCAACTTATTTTTGTTCAGCTTTGTATTACTCACGCTGCTATAAAGAACTACCTGAAATTTGGTAACTTATAAAGAAAAGAGGTTTAATTGACTCACAGTTCCACAGGCTGTACAGGAGGCATGGCTGGGGAGGCCTCAGGAGACTTAGAAACATGGCAGAAGGGTGAAGGGGAAGCAAGCATGTCTTCACATGGTGGCAGGAGAGAGAGAGCTAAGGGGGAAGTGCTACACGCTTTCAAACAACCAGATCTCATGAGAACTCACTCACTACCATGAGAACAGGAAGGGGAAATTTGCCCTCATGATCCAGTCACCTCCCATCAGGTCCCTCTCTCAACCACTGGGGATTACAATTCTACATGAGATTTTGTTGGGGATGCAGAGCCAAACCATATCAGACCTGCGACAGGAGAATGTAAGGCAGCTTAAAAATAAGGATACAAACAACACACCACAGGACTAAAAAGGGAGGAAACCAAGGGCAGGGAAAAGAAAAGTTGGAAAATATAAAATGACCCATACTTTCACAAAATGTGAGTCATAGGTTTTTCTGAGAGCTTTCTCGTAGCCTTTTCAAAAAGAAAAATTTGCTTTCCATAACCAATTCTCTGTTATTTTTATATAACCATAGAAACAGAATCAATTGTAGTTTCTGCACATAATTTATTAGTTTTTAATTTGAATTTATGGGGCTTATTGTTAAATAAATGTTATTTGACTCCAATAAATTAGATATCTTTTATTCACTGATCTTGAACACTTCTAGTTTATCTCTTTCTTTTATACTTAGAAGTAATTTCACACATTGAATTAGAAAGGCACTGTATAATTCTCACAAGATTCATAATATTGCCATAATTTATATGTTGCTTATAGCTTTTGAAGATTATTCATCTACCTTGATCTGAAACTTTTGGGACACACTATAAATAAGGAGGGATTGCATCAGGCTTGGGTTTATGGTTTCTGGGTGCTGCTAACCATGTATCCATTACATCCAAATGTTTTTCTTGGAGAAAAAGGATAAAACAGCACAAAACTCATGGCCATAAGGTGGTGCTTTCCTTATTTGCAAAAGAAGAATGATGTCTTCCTCATGATGTGACATATCATAATTAAAGAGCAGGCATCTGATTCTTCAAATGCTGAATTTCTGCTGGATTCTGGATACTATCCATTCTGTTGCTGAATGTGCACCCATTGCACTGCACCTTGCAGGAAGCCTGTGGCAAAGATGCTCACTGCTGCACACAACTCTCTTAAAACATGGTTTCTAAACCCGGCTTATCATCAGAATCACCTGGAAATGTTAGTAATATGCAGAATCCCACATTTCACATTCTAGGGATTCTGCATTAGTAACTCTACAGAGAAGCCTAATCATATTCTCTCTTTTTTTTACTTCTCTATGTGTTTCTGAATATTGATGCGTCTTAGGCATCATTAGATTAGACTCAGTCTCCGTTTGTCATCACCATTCCCACTTCAACATAATACCCAACAACTCCCACCCACTTTACCACAATTGCTCCTAATAAGGATCTCCTTGTTGCTCAGGCTATAGTTTCAACCATTTATTGAGACCCTATAGACTCTACTGGCCAGGCCAGGCATTGTGTTGTGTATTAGAGATATAACAGTGAGCAAGACCTTTCTCTTATCATGCGGTTCACACTCAGACTTTTTGTGGACCTATTCTTTGCCTGAAAAATGAAAGTTTAATAAGAAAAAAAGAAAGAAAGAAATTTTGGGTAGTGTCATTAGAAAGATTAGTGTAGATGGAGATTTTTGAGATGCTATGATGACTCTGTAAGAGGTAAAAAATATCCCATTTTTATTATGTATTTTGTTTTATGATTAAACTTAATTATCTCTTTACATTAAAATTTAAACTACACAGATGTTACAAGCGAGATCCAAAATAAGAATTGATGAAGAAATCTATTTATTTATTGAGGTTTAATACATGAATAGTGATTATTTTTCTCTTTATATGCCTTTTGATCAACATTCTCTAGTATTTAGTTTTCAGTTAGGGATATCCTCCTGAGACCATTTATAAGGGAAAATATACCTTTTTACACATACCTGCTATGCTAATATACACAGTGAAACACTTTTTATACTAAGAGATACTTTTCCCCACATGTCTATAAATATTTGAAGGAAGCATAATAAAACATGTCCACATTAATTTGCACTATCTCATTTTATTTTTTGCTTTTTATCCTTTCAAAGATACACACAGTTGGTATACAACATTTTTCTTCGACAATTGTAAGCTATGTCTCAGCACTAATAACACTTCAGTAATCTGTATTTTCAACTCTAATTCTGTTTTTGTAGGATTTTCAATTCTCCCCTTTTATTCAAATGTGTATCATTCAGAGAATATCATTGGGGTCTATCTTTTCTTGCAGGAGGTGGCTCATAATCCTCCTTGCTGGAAAGGCCAACATTTCTGCTAGGTTTCTTGCTTTCTCTAAACCGAGATTTCTGTATCTGTTTCTAGCAATCTTATCAAAATGAGAGACTTTTTGTTTTAATTTCTATTTAAAGTTTCTCTATATCTTTTATAGTTATAATGCATGCTATGATATAATGTTTATGTTGGCCAAAATTCATATGTTGAAATCCTACTCCCCAAGATGATGGCATTAAGAGGTGGGCCTTTGGGAGGTGATTAGGTCATGAGAGTGGGGCCCACATGAATGGGATTCATACCCTTATAAAAGACTCCAAAGAGACCCTTGACCCTTCCACCATTTGAATAAACAGCAAGAAGATCTATCTATGTAAAAAAGGGGGACTCTCACCAGACACTGAATCTCTCAATGTCTTTATCTTAGATTTCCTAGTCTTCAGAATTGTGACAAATTTATGTTGTTTATAAGCTGCCCAGTATATGGTACTTTATTATAGCAGCTCAAGTAAACTACAACAGTACTTCTACAATAGTATATGTGCTTAGATATGAGGTAGAGAAGTGACATTTTCTTCTCCTTTTTAAATACGTGGAGGAAAGTTCAGAATACCCTTTGTGGTTTTTGATAATCTAAAAAGAAGGCTTGATCTTTTTGTAGTGATAACCTCTCTGCCCTTTCCTTGTCTTCTTCCACAGAAAAAAAATTACAGTCAACTTTTTGGTACTTTGCTCTTAAATATGAATTGTCAGTCAATAATTATGCAAATTTATTGGGAGAGATTACAGCACAAAGAGACCAAACAACCTGGAAAGAGATTAAATTTTTATTTTTGTATTAGTTTTATAGGTACATAGCAAGAGCTGGCTGCAGTAGCTCATACCTATAACCCCAGCACTTTGGGAGGCTGAGGTCGGCAGATCACTTGAGCCCAGGAGGAGTATGAGACCAGCCTGAGCAGCATGGCAAAACCTCCTGTCTACAAAAATACAAAAATTAGCTAGGCTTGGTGGCATACACCTGTAGTCCTAGCTACTTGGGAGGCTAAGGTGGGAGGATTGCTTGAACCTGGGAGGTGGAGATTGCAGTGAGCTGTGATCAGGCAACTGTACTCCAGCCTGGGTGACAGAGTGAGACCCTGTCAAAAAAAAAAAAAAAAAAAGATATAGGGCAAGAATGTGCACATATAACATAGGAATAGGACACTATAAAAAAGAAATAATTTGAAAACATAAAAAACTTATAGGAAACAAAAGATGATAGCAGAAATTTTAAAATTCAGAAAAAAAATGATGGAAAGTAAAGCTAACAGAATATCTTAGAAATTAAAATCAAGAAGAAGGTGGAGATGTGCTTGATAAATGTGATTTTCCAAAATATATCAGAGATGGGGTAATAATTCAGATTTGTCTAACTAAAATCCTGTGATACTGCATCTTATTTGCTAGGTATATTGTCACCTGAAATACTTTAAAGAGAAATATAAAAAATTTGAGGTTTACATACCATTTTGAATTGTTTGCATCATCATTGCCTTACTTAATATGTGTGTTTGAGTTAGCTGTAGAAAGTTTTGGATTGTTTACTGTGTCCTGGAGTGTGATTCCTTTATCACTAGTACACTGCTAGTATATTGCCATTAATATTTTAGGTTGGAGGAGAAAAGAATTTTATGGGATCTTGACATGAAATAAATTTGAGCTATAAAGACAGAATATTGTTCTGCTTTCAAGTTTTTCAGTCCTTATTATTGGATTATGGAGAAAATCCCAATCTAGATGAGTCTTTTATTTATTTTATTTTGTCAAAATGTAGTATGACCAATCTAGATTAGTTTCTAAAATTCATTAATGTCCTTAGAAAAAGAGTGAAGGGGCTCATGCTCAGAAGCTATGGAAAAGTATCAAGGAAGAATTGAATAATATTATTTTGTGAATATCTTATATTTGGTATTCAATACATTATGATAGATGTAACATATATAGATTTAGAAGAATTTAAGAGGTAAACTAATGTCCAGGATTTTGGAAATGAAATGACTAGGATTTAGGAAATGCAAATTTAAAATATTTTTCTCTCTCTTTTTGTTTTCTGTGCTAATAAGTAGTGGAATGACTTGTAGACTGAGAGACACCAGGAACCTTAGGTCTTCCATACACTTTTAAGCAGCCAGGGAATAAATAAATTTGAGCTATAAAGACAGAATATTGTTGGCATCTCTCTTACTAAGCAGAATGTTTTTCTCTTCTCCCTTCTTTCCTTCCTTCCTTCCTTCCCTTTTCTTTTCTCCTTCCCTTTCCTTTCCTTTCCTCTCCTCTCCTCTCTTCTTTTTCTTTCTTTCTTTCTTCTTTCTTTCTTTCTTTCTTTCTCTCTCTCTCTTTCTCTCTTTCTTTCTTTCTCTCTTTCTCTCTCTCTTTCTCTCTTTCTTTCTCTCTTTCTTTCTTTCTCTCTCTCTCCCTTTCTTCCTTTCTCTCTCTCTCCCTTTCTTCCTTTCTTTTTCTTTCTTTCTTTTCTTTCTCTTTTTTCTTTCCTTTCTTTCTGGAATAACTTGAGATGTATCATTTTCCCAGGTACAGAGCCATCGTTAACCCCATGGACATGCAGACGTCAGGGGCATTGCTGCGGACCTGTGTGAAGGCCATGGGTATCTGGGTGGTCTCCGTGTTGCTGGCAGTTCCCGAAGCGGTGTTTTCAGAAGTGGCTCGCATCAGTAGCTTGGATAATAGCAGCTTCACAGCATGTATCCCATACCCTCAAACAGATGAATTACATCCAAAGATTCATTCAGTGCTCATTTTCTTGGTCTATTTCCTCATACCACTTGCTATTATTAGCATTTATTATTATCATATTGCAAAGACCTTAATTAAAAGCGCACACAATCTTCCTGGAGAATACAATGAACATACCAAAAAACAGGTAAGCTTAGTAGGCGTGGGTTGGTGGTGTGTGGTCAGAACAAGTAACTGCTATTTATTGTTTTATTTTGTGGGCTTTTAATCCTATGACTGAGGAGAACAGAGTTGGGCCTTCACAGGCCTTAACTAGAAGGGATATGTGGGGATCTCTAATATATGGTCATATCAGAGCCCTGCAAAGGCCTGCTTAGGTTCAGTTTATCATTTATCTGGATCTGTGATAAGGCCTGACATTCCACCATTAGAAATTAATGTATTGAAAGGCCTGTTTTACATGCAGATTTTTATTTAACAAACAACATAATAAACCAGAAAAATTTCACATATGAGCATACATTAATTTGATTATTGTCTCTTCTCCCATTAACCCACTAAGGATGGCAGGGAGTCTAGAAGAAGGATGCATCAGGAAAGGACTATAGGACACTGCCTGGGATCTTGGGATGGGATTTGGGTGGAAGTCAGAATGAGAGATGAGGGGAATAGCAAGAGCAGCAGAAAAGGAACCCAAAGGTGCAATCCAAAGGTGGGCTGGTGCTGAAGCAGTACGTGACCCAACTCAAATTTGTAACTTTCCCTACAAAGATAATACGCTCATTTAAAAATTACATCATGCACCTTATGTACTTTTTCTTCCTTCAAGAATATGCAGTACTAATTTAAGGTAAAAATCTACTGTGTTAATACACAAAGAGAAATAGTGTTCTTGTGACAAAGAGTTTCTGGTTGTACATTTGTGTACAGCTAGAAAAGAACTTCTAACGGGTTTTGCAGGTACAGAGTAGTTACCGATGCTTGTTTCCAAATTAAAGGCAAAGAAATTGAATCGCAGATCATTTAAAATTTACTAGAACATAGATGGAGCATTAGGCTGGGGCCTTGGGCATGTTAGCAACAGCAGAAACTAGTAAAGTTTTCTTGCATGGAAGGTAACCTTTATGAATTGGTGGCCATCAACATCAAAGATCCACATCGGCTTTAAAGACTTAAAAAATCACCCAATTATTGAAGGCATTGTTAGATTAATTCATAGACTTTCTCTAAATATTTGGCATCAGTGAGGCAATGTGTTCAGATCATTGGCTCACTGTGCTTTCTATTTTATATAATTAGTTCTTTTACTTGAGCCCTGTGACCCAATTTGAGCCCTGTGTATCTCAATTAGGTATTTGAGTATTTGCTTTTGGTTTCTAAAGTTGAGTTTTTCTCATATACAGAGCCCTTGCTTCACTTTTTAAATTTTTATTGGCCTTGGTCTGCCTGCCTTGTTTTTGTGAATTTCCCTATTGGGACCTATAGACTCTGGCAGGGCAACTGGGTCTTGACATCTGCTGAGAAATAATCTCAATGCCAACAGCCTGCCTGTGCACTTGAATCTCCAAGTATAGACTGCTGTGACATTCTTGCACTCATGGTCCACCTGGAAGGCATGACACTGCTTAGAAAGATAAATTTCACATTTGACTTTCTTAGGATTGATTGTTGGGTTGCCTAACTTATGCCACTGGGATCCATGTGGAACATCACATTCTGCTTCCTGGCCTGGGTTCCTCTTCAGTTTTACCTTTCTTCGCTTCCTCCATTACCACTCTATTGCTACCTACCATCAGATATGTTCCAATCCCAAACCTTTCCAGTCTTCTTTGGAATATTCTAGTTGACGACCAGTAGTATTCACTCAGAAAATATTATGATACCTACTACCAATGTCTTTCAATAAATTGGTATTCCATGTCCATGTTGGTTTAATTAAGTATTTAAACAAATTAGACAAATGTAAGGTACCCCTTGAACTACTGATGTTAGGAAATTGTTTTTAGATTAAAAAGTATTGATGTCCAATATTTGAATTTTGCCTATTTATTACACTCTTGAATACCCTCTTAGAAACAGTAAACATAATATGTAAATTTTATGGAGAAGGAAAATTTATTTTTATTTGTGAATGTGACAATATAATAATGTTTACAGGATTCACGGTTATATCAGATGCTTTTGATTTGTGTAAGTCAGGAGTTTAAATTTCAAGTTGCTATTTTGTTTTCCTGTGGAGTGGTAGTTTTAAACAGCAAGCCCTGCTTCATCAGATCAGTTTTTCCTATTTAAAACACCCTGATTTTTTTAAAACACCTAAGCTTGAATATATTCTATGGTTTATTAATTTAGTGGATTTAATACAAACAGAAATGACTTATATTTATGTTACACACAATGAGACATTAAGCAAAAAGAAAATAAATAAATAATATGAAGACAGCATTTAGTAATTTACCACTTAGTTTTGTATAAGCTGTCAAATATTTATTAATGCAAATAATGTAGAGACCAAAATAAGCTTATCAAACTGTTAAAATCCATCATCACTTTGGTGAGGAAAATAAATAATTTATGTATTTTGGATGTATTATCATGCTGTAAATTTTGCTCTTTCCTGACTTGATAAAGTTGGTATGTGGCTGGTTCCATTTTCACTTTAACCAATGGGATCAATTTCTTATATTTGCAGATGGAAACACGGAAACGCCTGGCTAAAATTGTGCTTGTCTTTGTGGGCTGTTTCATCTTCTGTTGGTTTCCAAACCACATCCTTTACATGTATCGGTCTTTCAACTATAATGAGATTGATCCATCTCTAGGCCACATGATTGTCACCTTAGTTGCCCGGGTTCTCAGTTTTGGCAATTCTTGTGTCAACCCATTTGCTCTTTACCTACTCAGTGAAAGCTTCAGGAGGCATTTCAACAGCCAACTCTGCTGTGGGAGGAAGTCCTATCAAGAGAGAGGAACCAGCTACCTACTCAGCTCTTCAGCGGTGCGTATGACATCTCTGAAAAGCAATGCTAAGAACATGGTGACCAATTCTGTTTTACTAAATGGGCACAGCATGAAGCAGGAAATGGCACTGTGATTTTGGCCATTCAACTCACTACCTGGAGAGAACTTAGTAACTGTTAAAATTCCTATTCGGCAGATCAGAACTTGCTGTTGCTTAGCTAATTTATTAGGCAATTGCATGATTGACTCAGAAAATGCAAGACATTTTTTCTCTACACTAGACTTTATTTTTTCTCTTTTCATTTCCTAATAATTAGAATATGAGAAAAGACTTTAAATCACTACATATAATACATATATGTATATATATGTATTTGCACACACACATGTACACACATGTACATTATATATATTTCACATTTAAGATGATCCCCAAACCAATGCAATATGTATAATTTAACATTGCTTTAGTATTTAGGCTGTTGCTAAAGCCAGTTCTAGCATATTTGTCTTAGGTTTTGTTTTATCTTGAAGCATGAAATAAATTTCTATATTGACTCAATGATTCAGTGAGGGTAATATTCAAACTCCTATTATTTGAAATACAAGTCAGATTGTCCTGGTGAATTTCATTCAATTCACAACTATTGCATGAGTGTGTGTGTGTGTGTATATATATATGTATATGTATATATGTACACACACACACGTCCTTCATTTTAAGAAAATAAGAAAAAATTCAAAGGTGGAGCTTAATCAAATTGGTATTTATTGTGATTCTGTGATTAATCATAATTTATAGAAATAATTCATATCTGTAATTCTAAGTATGTGATTAACAGATATAATGAAATTAATATTATGAATTATAAAATAGATATGATATGAATATAATTTATATTATGAATGTAAAATAGGTATCATATGAATATGATTTACATTATGAATGTAAAATAGGTATCATATGTCCCAAATTGCAAAGCTACAACTCACAAGTTTGCATGGCCATCTTAGTATACATTGCTAAATCCTCGAATATTTGGATGATTGTGTATAGATGTGATAAGATTTGTGTAATTCCAGTGAGTTCAACCATTTACTCATCCTCTCTTGCAATACCCAACTGACAAGTATGTGGGATCACACTTAGGCAATTTTTTTCTGCTTTTCCTGCATGATACCACAGTTTTCTCTGAACAAATGTCTTCTTTTTTTAGGAAAATGCAAATGTATTGATTACAGTTTAAAAGCTACCATTTTTAAAAGCATGTATCAATAAATCTAACATTTAAATCAATATATTTCATACTATTTCTTTCTCCAGATTTGAGAAGACTCTATTAGTATACTAAGCTTTTCCTTAAACACCCATAACTCATGCTATTTAAGATGTAACATATTCAATTGTATATAACAATTAGAAGAATAAATACAAACTAAAATATTTGATAATAATAATAATAGTGAACACTAATCATGTATTTTCTATGTTATAGGCATAGTCCTAAAGCTTTACATTTACTATCTAATTTAATCATCAATATAATCACTGAGGTGAACAAGAGAAGGATCTAATTTGGCAAGGTATGAAGTTATGCGATTGTGGGTAAGGCATCTTTATTTGAAAGAGTACACGATTTTGAAAACTTTGCAGAAACAACAGATCATGTGAACACATTGTTAGAACCCTGAACTTAGGCTTTATTAATTTCATTGTAAATTTACCTCTGAAGAAGGTCTGTTATTATCTCTATAGATTAGGAAATTGAGGCTCAGAGATATTAACTAACTTAAAAATATCGAGCTTTTCTTTTTGGAGATCCAGTCAACACTTAATAGCTCTGTTAACAAACTAAGCAGGTAGAGGATTATCTGTGAAAATTATTATTATTTTTTTAAATTTTAGATTCAGAGGGTACATGTGTAGGCTTGTTACATCAGTATACTGCATAATGCTGGGTTTGGGCTCATAATGATCTCATCACCCAAGTAGTGAACATAGTACCCAACAGGTAGTTTTTCAACTCTTGTCCACCCCCTTCCCCACTGTTGGAGTCCCCAGTGTCTGTTTTTCCCATGGTTGTGTTCATGTGGACCCAATGTTGAGTTCCCACTTGTAAGTGAGAACATGAATTATTTTTCTGTTTCTACATTAATTTGCTTAAGATAATGGCCCCAGCTGCATCCATGTTGCTACAAAAGGATGTTATTTCATTCTTTCTTCATGGCTGTGTAGTATTCCATGGTGTATATGTACCACAATGTCATTAGTCCACCATAGATGGGTACCTGGGTTGATTCTATGTCTTTGTTATTGTGAACATTGTTGTGATAAACATATGATTGCAGGTATCTTTTTGTTAGAACAATTTAGTTTCCTTTAGCTATATCCCTAGTAATGAGATTGCAGTGTCAAGTGGCAATTTTATTTTCAGTTCTTTGGGAAATCTGTAAACTGCTTTCCATAGTGGCTGAACTAATTTGCATTCCCAACAATAGTCTATAAGCGTTCCCTTTCTCTGCAACCTCTCTGACATGTTGTGTTCTGACTTTTTAAATAATAGCCGTTCTGACTGGTGTGAGATGGTATCTCATTACGGTTTTGATTTGCCTCTCTCTGATGATTAGTGATGTTGAACATTTGCTCGTGTTTGTTGGTTACCTGTATGTCTTTTTTTGAGAAATGTCTGTTCATGTCTTTGCCCACTTTTTTAATGGGGTTGTTTTCTTCTTATTGATTTGTTTAAGTTCCTTATAGATTCTGCATATTAGTTGTATTAGTCTGTTTTCACACTGTTGATAAAGATATATCTGAGACTGGACGATTTACAAAAGAAAGAGGTTTAATGGACTTACAATTCCAGGTAGCTGGGGAGGCCTCACAATCACATGTAAAGTGAAAGACACATCTCACATGGTGGCAGACAAGAAGAGAACTTGTGCAGGGAAATTCCCCCTTATAAAACCAACAGATCTCATGAGACTTATTCACTATCATGAGAATAGCATGGGAAAGACCTGCCCTCACGATTCAATTACTTCCCACCAGGTCCCTCCCACAGCACGTGGGAATTCAAGATGAGATTTCAGTGGGGACACAGCCAAACCATATCATTCTGCCCCAGCCCCTCCCAAATCTCATGTCCTCACATTTCAAAACCAATCATGCCTTCCCAACAGTCCCCCAAAGTCTTAACTCATTTCAGCATTAACTCAAAAGTCCACAGTCCAAAGTCTCATCTGAGACAAGGCGAGTGCCTTCTGCTTATGAGCCTGTAAAATTAAAAGTAAGTTAGTTACTTCCTAGATACAATGGGGATCAGGCATTGGGTAAATATAGCTATTCCAGATGGGAGAAATTGACCAAAACAAAGTGGTGGGCTACAGGCCCCATGCAAGTCCAAAATCCAGCAGAGCAGTCAAAACTTAAAGCTCCAAAATGATCTCTTTTGACTCCATGTCTCCCATCCAGGTCATGCCGATACCAGAGGTGTGCTTACACAGCCTTGGGCAGCTCTGCGTCTGTGGCTTTGCGAGTATAGCCCTCTACTGGCTGCTTTCATGGGCTGGTGTTAAGTATCTGTGGCTTTTCCAGGTGCATGTTGCAAGCTATTTGTAGATCTACCATTCTGGAGTCTGGAGGATGGTGGCCCTCTTCTCACAGCTCCACTAGGTGGTGCTCCAGTAGGGATTCTGTGTGGGGCTCTGACCCCACATTTCCTTTCTGCACTGCCCTAGCAGAAGTACTCCATGAGGGTCTCACCCCTCCAGCAAACTTTTGCCTGAGCATCCAGGCATATCCATACATCATCTGAAGTCTAGGTGGAGGTTCCCAAACCTCAATTCTTGACTTCTGTGCACCCACAGGCTCAACACCAAAGCCAAGGCTTTAGGCTCCCACCCTCTGAAGCAACAGCCTGAGCTGTACCTTGGCCCCTTTTAGTCATGGCTGGAGCATCTAGGATGCAGGGCACCAAGTCCCTAGACTGTACACAGCAGAGGGACCCTGGGCCTGGCCCACAAAACCATTTTTTCCACCTAAGCCTCTGGTCTGTCGTGGGAAGGGCTGCCTCAGAAGTCTCTGACATGCCCTGGGGACATTTTGCCCACTGTCTTAGTGACTAACATTCGGCACCTTGTTACCTATGCAAATTTCTGCTGCCAAATTGAATTTCTCCTCAGAAAATGGGATTATCTGTTCTATCACATTGTCAGGCTGCAAATTTTCCCAACTTTTATGCTCTGTTACCTTTTTAAAACTGAGTGCCTTTAACAGCACCCAAGTCACCTCTTGAATGCTTTGCTGCTTAGAAATTTCTTCCACTAGACACCCTAAATCATCTCTCTCAAGTTCAAAGTTCCACAAATCTCTAGGGCAGGGGCAAAATGCCACCAGTCTCTTTGCTAAAACATAACAAAAGTCATCTTTGCTCCAGTTCCCAACTAGTTCCTCATCTCCATCTGAGACCACCTCAGCCTGGATTTCATTGTCCATATATATCATTATCAGCATTTTTGTCAAAGCCATTCAACAAGTCTCTAGGGAGTTCCAAACTTTCCCACATTTTCCTGTTTTCTTCTGAGCCCTCCAAATTGTTCCAACCTCTGCCTATTACCCAGTTCCAAAGTTGCTTCCACATTTTCAGGTATCTTTTCAGCACTACCCCACTCTACTGGTACCAATTTACTGTATTAATCCATTTTTACAATGCTGATAAAGACATACTCAAGACTGGGCAATTTACAAAAGAAAGAGGTTTAATGGACTTATAATTCTACCTGGCTGGTGAGCCCTCACAATCATGTGGAAGGTGAAAGGCATGTCTCAAATGGTGGCAGACAAG
This sequence comes from Homo sapiens, assembly GCF_000001405.40. Lineage (NCBI taxonomy): Eukaryota > Metazoa > Chordata > Mammalia > Primates > Hominidae > Homo > Homo sapiens. The sequence goes on along the minus strand of NC_000006.12, from coordinate 142,070,936 downwards.
AGAAGAGAGCATGTGCAGGGAAACTCCCCCTTATGAAACCATCAGATGTTATGAGACTTATTCACTACCATGTGAACAGTATGGGAAAGACCTGCCCCCATGATTCAATTTCCTCTCACCTGGTACCTCCCACAATACATGGGACTTCTAGATGAGATTTGGGTGGGGCACAGCCAAACCATATCATTAGTCATTTTGTGTGCAAATTATCACATACCCACACACACACAGTATGATATTTGGTTCATATTAAAATTAGATTTTAAACTTCTGCATTTGTTGAATTTTTCATATATTTAATTTGTATACACTTGTTTTACACTTTTATATTTATAAATATTTATATTTGTTTCTGGGTATTTGAAGATTTCATTGTTCTTATTATCAAATGATAATATTAAGGCTGGACATGGTGGCTCATGCCTGTAATCCCAGCACTTTGGGAGGCTGAGGCAGGCAGATCGCGAGGTCAGGAGATTGAGACCATCCTGGCCAACATGGTGAAACCTGGTCTCTACAAATTTACAAAAAAAAAAAATTAGCCCAGCATGGTGGTGCACACCTATAGTCCCAGCTACTTAGGAGGCTGATGTAGGGGAATCGCTTGAACCTGGGAGGTGGAGGTTGCAGTGAGCCGAGATCGCACCACTGCACTCCAGCCTGGCGACAGAGCGAGACTCTGTCTCAAAACTAATAATAATAATATTATTATTAAAAGAAATAAATCTCAACATTTATTTATGAAATCACACTACAGAAATGAATCAAACTGATGATGCCTATTAGTCAGAAGTAGAACAAAAATGCCAAATATCAGATCTGTTAAAATAAACATACATAAATTGAAATAGCCTTTTGAAAAATGTAATTAATTTATTGATTTTTGTAACTCAATCTAGTAATATCTTAATCCAAGAAAATATTTCAGAAAAAATGTCTAACGTGGTAATATCTGCCATAACAGAGAAATATCCACAAAATATTATTTTTAATGTATATGCAAGATATATATGCCCTTTTATGTGAATCTCCTCTTTAAACCAGGAGTTGTTAAAAAAATACAAAAAAAAGTAACCTTGGAATACTTTGAATCAGGAACCGATACCTGTCAATCATGGCATTTGTAAAATGGATTAATAACATTGTAGAATTAAATTATGCAACACATGTAAGGTACTTACCCAAAGCCTGAAGTAAGTGTTCAGTGAAGATAGCATTTATCATTATATTTTAAAGTTATTGTTCTCATGTAACAAAGTAATAATAAACATTGATTAAACATGTCCTATGTGGCAGACCTGTGCCATATTATTTTATAGGGATGCATCATAATAGCTTATAAGGCAGAAGCTATTCTGGTTCCCATCCTATATTTGAGGCAGATAAGGATGGAAGAACTTGCTATTGAACTTTTATCTGTTTGACTTTAAATTCATATATTTTATCTACAGTCAATACTCCCAGGAGTCTGGAATTCAAGTAATTCATTAAAAGACAGGAGTATGCATGTCAACATTTTCCTCACTGAAATGCACAGGTTACCTGACAGTGGAGGACAAAAAGGAATGGTTCTCTCAGTTTGCCTTTGTCTTTCCTAGGGAAAGATAGCAGCTTAAATTCTAGGTCATGTGAATACCTGTATAAAAATAAATTTCATATATAAAAGGTGGGAGCATAATTTTTGCTCCTAAATTTCTTTCTCCCTTTTGTGCATGCTATATTAAAAAAGGAGGAAGATAATAAAAATTAATGGAACTTTTTAGATATTGAAACATATTTCATTTGACTATTTGCTTGTTAGAACAAGTTTTAAATGTTTATATCATCCTATACAGCTTTAAAATCATTAATGAGTTTTAAATAAGTATAATATTTCCATTTATGAATATTTTTTACTGGCTTCATTGCTCACTCAGAAAATATTTACACTAAGTTTCTGAGAAATGAAATATTTCAACAATTAGGCCTCTCTTAAGAAAGAGTAAGCATGTGTATTTCAACTTTGAGTAAAATAATATATATATAAGTACGTTTTTCTTAGACTTTTTCAAAACAAGTGGGAAAGGCGTGAGCAAATAGATCAGCTTCCGTGCAGAAAGTCATTTTTGTAAAGCTATAACAGAATAAAAAGAAGAGAGCAAAAGATTGTCTTGTTATAACTGCATCTTTAAATGATCATTAGAGAAAACATTACTTATACATTGCATTTTATAACATTTCATTTTCTAAATTATTTTGCCAAGTTATTCCAAGTGCTCCATTTTTTCCCATATGTTGTATCTTACTGCAATTTCAAACAGGACATATTCTTACATACAGAGCCAAGTTTTAATCTGTGGTGGGCAATTTGTGTTGGAAGTGGTATACAGCAAAACTTAACCAGGATTTCATTTCTGGGAACTAACTCTCCTTTTGGGCAAGAAAGAGATTATAATTACTCATTATTCTTCATGGTGGATGAATAATGTAAATTTAACCCACTTAGGAACCTAAAACATATTTTACAAAATATTTAATGATACTTAACAGAACTATTTGAAAGGGGAAATTCATAACCATTTGAGGTATCTTGGTGTTGTAGATAATCAAATCTGAAAAAACAAGTATGAGAATCTTCAAATTGTTTTTTTTCATATGCTGATAAAATTTAATTGAGAAACATGGGTATCTTAAAACTTTTAGTTTTCTGCTGGGTGTTAGAAATCTATCTATTTGCATCTCGTGTGTGGTATTCTCCTGGATTCTTCAAGCTAAAAAGTGTAAGAAAGTTCTCAGCAGTATAATCCATCTTATACCATTTGGAATATGTTTATTTATGTGCATGAATTAAAAGGAAGACTATATAATCATGGTCCTATGAGAGTAAAGAAGCAGGAGAAAAAAACCCACAAGTCATTTTAATATGACCTTGTTGCCTCCGTTAGACTTTCTTATCCTCGTAAGTTCATGTTTTTCGACGGGTAAAGATTCTCCTTTGCAAAGCAGAAAGAGCCTGGTCAAACAGCCATATGGCATTAGGTATATAAATAACCAAATGCAATGACAAATTGAATTTAGTGTGCATGTCTAACTTATTTTAAAGGCAGATTTATCCAAATAGCAAATTACTAATAGCAGTGTTATTATTTCTGCTAATGTGTTTAATCAAATACATCTCTTGGAATTAAGAAAGGCCATATAAAAGTGCACACTGGAATGTAGGTGTGCTTGATCTGCCTGCCTTAGTTTTGTATTTCAGCCTAAGCTATAATAAGCTGTCTAGAGTATTTAAAAATTAGAACTTGTTTTTCTTCTTTGGCAGTTTGCCTAGAAGCATATTAATAAAATGTAGTACTGTTTGAATAGAATGGTTTGACATAACTCATTGCACAGGACAAGAGAATACATTTTATCCCAAGAGAATTTATTATTAGAGAATGAATTCAAGAAATAGAAAACAGAGATAAATGTTTGAACACTTTAAATGATTTTTATTCACTTTACATTGAACTCAGTTTTAGTATACTACATTGGCTTCTTTTTAATTAATAAAATATTACTTAATAAAATCAGCGTGGAAAGCAACACACTAGAGGCCAAAAATCACAAAATTCTGGAGGCAAGTTCTACAGTACTCTTAGAGCACCATTTTGGTGTCAAGTAGAAAAGCTTCTATTTAAATTATCTCATAATTACATCCTTTCCATTTACTAACACAAAGTAATTATATAATTTTTTTTAGTCTAAGCTAGAATCCCACTAAATATTTGTGAGGAATATTTTATTTCACCTGTGCAATGATTCAAAATACCAAATCAGCAATAAAGTCACAGATGACCCAATTTTACTACCCTCAAGCCCACCTTTTTCTTTTTTAGCTTCAAATAAAGAACAATTTTCGCCATATATGACAGACTCACAGCTAGTATTATACTGAATGAAGAAAAATGAAAACCCTTCTCTTAGATTTGGAACACTACAAGGATGCCCATTTTCACCACTGTTATTCAGTATAGTACTGTAAGCCCTAGCTAGAGAAATCAGAAAAGAGAAAGAAAGAGAGAAAGAAAGAAAGAAAGAAAGAAAGGAAGGAAGGAAGGAAGGAAGGAAGGAAGGAAGGAAGAAAGAAAGAAAGAAAGAAAGAAAGAAAGAAAGAAAGAAAGAAAGAAAGAAAGAAAGAAAAAAAGAAAGAAAGAAAGAAAGAAAGAAATCCCCAAATTGGAAGGGAAGAAGTCGAATTATCCTTGTTTACAGATGATGATCTTATATTTGGATAAACCTAAAGACACCACCAAAAAACTATGAGAACTGATGAACAAATTCAGTTAATTTGCAGGATACAAAATCAACATACAAAAATCAGTAGCATTTCTGTATACCAGTAATGAACTAGCAGAGAAAGAAATCAGGAAAGTAATTCCATTTACAATAGCTACAGTTATAATAGAATACCTAGAAATTAACAAAATAAATGACCTCTACAATGAAAACTATAAAACATTGATGAAATTGAAGAGAACACACACACAAAATGGAAAGATATTCCACATTCATAGATTGAAAGAATCAATATTATCAAAATGTTCAACTTAACCAAAGCAATCTATACATTCAATGCAATCCCTATCAAAATACCAATGACATTATTCACAGAAACAGAAAAAAATCCTAAAATTTATATGGAACCACAATAGCCAAAGCTGTCCTGTGTAGAAAAAACAAAACTGGAAGAATCACATCACCTGGCTTCAAATTGTACTACAGAGCTATAGAAACCGAAACAGCATGGTACTTCCATAAAAACAGACACTTAGCCTAATGGAACAGAATACAGAACCCAGAATTCATACATCTATAGTGAGTTCATTTTTGACAAAGGTGCCAAGAACATACATTGGGGAAAAGATAGTCTCTTCAATAAATGGTGATGGGAAAACTGAATATCCATATGCAGAAGAATGAAACTAGACTCTCACCACATATAAAAATCAAATATCTCTTACTATATATAAAAATCAAATAAAAATGGATTACAGACTTAAATGTAAGACCTCAAACTATGGAACTACTATAAGAAAACATTGGGGAAACTCTAGGACATTGGAGTGGGCAAAGATTTCTTGAGTAATACCCCACAAGCACAAGCAACCAAAGCAAAAATGGAAAAAGTATCACATCAAGTTAAAAAGCTTCTGCACAGCAAAGGATACAATGCACAAAGTGAAGAGGCAACCCACAGAATGGGAGAAAATATTTGCAAACTACTCATCTGACAAGGTATTAATAAGCAGAATATATATAAGGAGTTCAAACAACTCCAGAGGAAAAAAAATTAGAAATCTGATTAAAAATGAGCAAAATATATGAATACACATTTCTCAAATGAAGACATACAAATGGCAAACAGGCATATGAAAAGGTGCTCAACATCAATGATCATCAGAGAAATGTAAATCAAAACTGTAACAAGGTATCATCTCACTCCAGTTAAAATGGCTTATATCCAAAAGACAGGCAAATGCCGGCAAGAATGTGGAGAAAGGGAACCCTGGTACACTATTGGTGGGAATGTAAATTAGCACAACTAGTATGGAAAACAGTTTGGAGGGTCCTCAAAAAACTAAAACTGGAGCTACTATATGATCCAGCAATCCCACTTCTTGGTATATACCCTAAAGAAAGGCAATCAGTGTGTTGAAGAGATACCTGCTCTGTCATGTTTATTGCAGCACTGTTCACAATAGCTAAGATTTGGAAGCAACCTAAGTGTCCATCGACAGATGAAATGGATAAACAAAATGTGGTACATGTACACAATGGAGTACTATTCAGCCTTACAAAAGAATGAGATTCTGTCATTTCTAACAACATGGGTGGAACTGGAGGTCATTATGTTACATGAAATAAGCCAGGCACAGAAAGACAAACTTCACATGTTCTTAATTATCTGTGGGAGCTAAAAGTTAAAATATTTGAACTCATGGAGTTAGAGAGTAGAATGTTGGTTACCAGAGACTGGGAAGGGTAGCAGAAGGGGAGGGGGAAGTGAGGATGATTAATAGGTACAAAATAAAATTAGAATGAAAGGGATCTGTTATTTGATAGCATTACAGGGTGACTACAGTAAATGATAACTTGTTGTACATTTAAAAATGGCTAAAAGAGTATAATCGGATTGTTTGCAAAACAAAGAAAGGATAAATGCTTGAGGTGATAGACACCCCATATAACCTGATGTGATTATTAAACATTGTATGATTATATCATACTATCTCATGTATCCCATAAATGTATACTCCTAATATGTACCCACAAAAACTAAAAATAAAAATAGAATAATTTTCTTTTATTAGAAAACAAGTTTTCAAATTTACAAAGTCAGGTGTATTTCGATTCAGTGACATACCATCCTATCGTAGAATTATTTAGAGCATTAATATTATCGTCTCAACTATATTCTGCCAATTAGATTTCTAAAGTACGCATGAGAACAGTTTGCCAGACTTGAGCCTTTGGTTCTAAAATGGTAGCTCTTCCTTTATTGTATGTTTTTCAAGTTGATAGTGGTAGATGAATGCCAACTGAAGTATGTATGAGGGAAAACAATACCATAAATAATAACCAAACCCATGTTGTGATTGTTACAATTTTTAAAACTAACATGATTTTAATTTTTTCTGTTTTTAATTAATATTCATTCCATTATTTTAAACCTTAAATAATTAGATTTTATAAGTATGGGACTTGATGATAAATTTCTTTAAATCTTTGACAATATTTGGCAACACATGGATTGTAGGATTGTGTGAAACTGTGGAATTAATAATTGTACTTGATGTATTGGCATTGCTGTCTCCTCTTATTTTAAAGAAATAATATGTTTAATTCAAATAAAATTAGAAGCAATTCCAACAGGATTTTTTCCCCCTTTCTATCTCGGAATCACGTTTTCCTTTCCATCCCAAAATTTATAAAATGAATATTCTTGAATTTATTTTGGCGTTGTGCCTTTTAATGAGTGAATCCTCACTGATAAAATAGAAGTTATTGATTGCACTTATTCTATTTATTTAAATCACATGTATTTTGTACTTCTTAATTTAATAAATAAAAAATCAGTGCAGCATGAATAATTTTTTTCTTGTAATAAACATTAGTTTATAAGTATTAGTTTATAAAACTGCATTACAGGCGTAAAATCTGAGAAGCACCTACAAAAAATTGTATTTTTTTAAAACAAGAATGCAGGTGCCATTTATTTGGTCCGTAAGTATAGTCGTTATTTGAGTTTTACAAAACATCGAATATAAATAACCTGAAACTGTAACAATACACAAAAATTGGCTTATTACACAGACATACCAGGCAGTACAAACTGAAAACTTGAGTAAATTAACATTGTTTTACATTAATATACATAGTGCCATTTAACATTTAAAAACAAGTTTTAATGCATAGCACTCGATACTTCTTTGAATCTGTTTCAATCATCTAAGAGTATGAAAATGGTTAAATCTAGGCTAAAAATAATTATTCTTCTAGCCAAAAATAAAGGCATAATATTTATAACCAGGTATCAACTTTACTAAACCACAATATTTTGAAACTATTAATGATACCTAAGGGTATTTACATTAAAAAGGCAACATGCATTGTGTTGTTTTATCTCATGACTGGTTATGCACACACTTTGTTCAAAGGGTTTTTAAAACTATATTCCCACTTTCAATACAGCATACTGCAATGTGTCTAACAGTTCTAGCAAAATGAATGCTTTGAAAGGGAGCAGAATCATTTTCAAGTCACTGGTGTCAATTTTTTCTCTTTGCAACAAAGGACCTAACAATCTGGTTCTGCCCAGATAACCTAAATAGGAAGAGGGTTCTGTTTAGAGGCATTTCTGTTCAATCTAATGCTATGACATCATCAAGCTCTTCCTTCTGTTCTATACGTGACCTCTTTGCACTGAGATTCTCTTTCTCATCTAATTTCTTCTTGCGGCTTCTCTCTTCCTCACTGACGTCGGCATTATTTGAAGAATCTTCTTCATCCTAATCAACTATGAGAACATCATCTTGCTCTTGAGCTGTGGAGGTGGAGGGCTGAGCTCCATCATCACTGCCTTTGGTTATGCTTTTGGCAGCATCTTCAGCTTGTTTGGGCCCCACTTTTTCTGGGGCATCACCAACAACTTCAAATTCAACATCCTTTCCTAGGTCTTCACTATGAAGGATGTTGATAATTGTATTTGAATGTAAATTTTTATTTGTTTACAAACGGGAGAAAAGTCACATTTAGGAAACTTGAAATCTGTAAAGATTAGAGAGAAATGAAATAAATTGAAGATGCTCTTTTCAGACACAAATGTTTTGACTGAAAAAATCCTCGGTTTGATTTCAACTGCTTATTTTATGAAAACAGAAAATCTTGTCCTTTCAGCCTACTTTTTTGAGAGAGTTTTAATTCAATGTGTGAAGTCTACTCTGCTTTAACAGTTTAATTGATGTATCATGTTTTGTCGATTATAGGAATTACTTGCATGATTTTATGTTGATGTAACTGTCTTCTGAAATGATTAAACTATTGTTAGATAAGGTGTTTCTTGGAGCGTAATTTTTAAAAACTGTATTATAGGATTTAATATATATTAGTATAATCACTCTCAAGCTATTCTAATAGAAAGGCTGCAAAAGTGGTGACAAATGTGTCTTAACTCAAGTTTCATGATGTAATTATTGCTTGGCAAAGTAAAAGATGGGTCTGGAATCTTGAAGCAAAAATTGCTGCACTTGATTGATCTTTAAAGACAATATTTCATTCCTTTTTGCAAACATACTTTATGGTAGGATAGCATTCTTGTTCTCTAGAGACTTAAAAACAATAGTATTTTGACGGAGTGTCAAAACACTTGCATAGAAAACAAAATATTCACGTATCATCTGTTTCTTAATATTTGGTGTTCATATGAAACCACTATATGGTTAGTTGAAACTTTCATCTTATCTGAATATTTTCTTGTTGATACAGGTTAAAATCTCCTATTAGATCCTAGTGGCTAGGTTAAATACAAATAAATTATTTTATTAGTACAGGTTTTATATTCTTTTCTTAATTGAGTCAGTTACCTGAAAGTATATGAAATCAATATTTTTCTTAGTGTCTCTGTCACTTGCTAATAATCATTAAAGAAAAATAAAGAATATATTTTTAAAAATATAAATAATTAAGATTTCTGCACTGAGCTCCTAGGAATAATAATAACCACTGCAAATAATAATCAGTGAAGCTTTTGTAGATCTGCTAATTAGATATAGAAGGTAAGAGACAAAAACAAGAACAGGTATAGCAAAGGAATTGCCTCTATATATACAATTCCTTGTGAAAAGGCAGAAATTGGCTTTTTTAAGCAAAAAAAAATCATAGAGTAAAAAATCAGAAATGTAACTAATGAGAGCTTATTTTATTGGGTGTTTTTCTTTATCAGGGAAGTATATGCAAAATGTTATATATGATAGCTTTTACATATTTCAAAGAGCATTCTCTTTTTTTAATATAGACTGTTAGCTGTGTTTGATGCATTCTTTTATGAAGGTTGTAGAGAACTCTAGAAACCGTTCTTTATCATTGCAGTCAATAAGTTGTTTCATAAAATGGCTCAAAACTTATGAAACAAATAAACGTGACATTGTTTACTGTTTTTATTTGTAGTGAAGACTTTGAAGAGGAACGTAAGACTTAAGTAGAATTAACCAACTAGAGATGAGTTGTGTTTGGGTCTCTCAAAATCAGTGTATAAACTAAGGGAGTCCAATGGAAGTGCACTCACCATCAGTCATTATCAAGACAACAGAGATAGGAGTGAACTCTTTTTCATAGTGTTGGTATGTTTAGGATCAACTAATGAATCATTTGAAGTCTCAAAGCTATGCTGAAATACGTTCTAGTGTCCTGAGCTGAACAGTCCAACTCTTTTGGAGTAAGGAAAGGAGGATTTCCACTAAAGGGTAAGAAAATAGAAGAGAAAAAAGGGTTGCAGTTGTTGAGTTATTGTAACACTCATTTTCAAATTATAGCTCAGAGTCTGATTTGCCCAAGAGGCAATGGGCAAGGGTGTTGGCTGGAGGCTTGAAGAGGGCACAGCTATGGTTTAGACCCGCAAATTCCTCTGTCTACTGGGACATCTGCTCTGAATATTTCAGTCATCTCAAAGTTAATGTGTCTGCAGCTAACTCATTGTTCTCAAACTTGATCCTTTCTTCTGTATTTTAGTAAATGTCATGACTTCTACCCTTTACTGAAGGAACACAAACTCAGTTCAAAAGTGTCATTTTTAGTTCCTCATTTTCTGCCTCTCCACATCTAATTTATCAGCAAGTCCTGTTGATTGACTCTACTTCCAAAGTATGCATATCCTGAGATTTTCACTATCTCCTCATTGCCATGGTTGTCACACACAAGTGACCATTTTTTTTTTTTTGGCCTAGATCAATGCAACAACATTTTAACTAATCTCCCTGCTTTCACCCAGTCCCAAATTAAATCCACATTCCACACTGCAAACAGAAATCATGATAAGCCTAAATTAGAGCATGTCACATCTTTGCTTCTCAATACACTTAGAATAAAGTGAAAACTGTTTGCTTAGTCTACACATTTTGATCCCTGACTCTCTTTTCAAATTCATTTCCTACTTAGCTCACTGGACTGCAGTCTCACCAGCACTCTTTTATATTCCTTAAGCACATAAAAAGGTTCCCACTTCAATGCCTTTACACTTGTGTCTTGTGCCTGTAGCTCTGTTTTCTCAGATATTCACATGGCTAACTTTTGCGGAAAAGGCTATCCATGATCAATTTATAGTAGCACTCTCAGATCAGTTGTAAAATATATACGTGTATTTTATTGAGACAAGGTCTAATTCTGTTACCCAGGCTGGAGTGCAGTGGCATGATCTTGACTCAGTGCAGCCTTGACCACCCCAGTCTCAGGTGATCCTCGCACCTCAGCTTCCTGAGTACCTGGGACTACAGGTGCATGCCATCACTCTTGGCTAATTTTTGTGATTTTTGTGGAGACAGGGTTTTGCCATATTGCCCAGGCTGGACTCAAACTACTGGGCTCAAGTTATCTATCCACTTTGGCTTCCCAAAATGCTAGGATTACAGGTGTGAGCCACTGTGCCCAACCAGATTATTTCATCACAGTATTTTGTCCTGATTTATGTACTTATAGCACTTATCTAGTCTCTTTACTTACTTGTATGGTCTTTCTCCTTCATCTTAAATATAAATCCTATAAGAGCAGGGTGTTGTCTGTGTATACTATATCCCCAAGGCTTACGTAGTTCCTGGAATGTAGTTTAATGTAGTTGGTGCTCACCAAGTAATTGTAAATAATATAAATAAAGTGTTGAATGGTACTGGGTTGGGAGATAAAGAGAGAACCTGAAAATAAAAGATGGAAACATTTTGTGGAATGTCTCAAGGTATTATTCTATGACCTTCTTTCTTACCTGATGTAAAACAGAAGCACTTCTTTTGAATAGAAATTAGATTTAATTGATCCAATTCTATGAAGTACTGAGTTTATCATTGTTTTATACTCTGCCTATATCCTCTTCAATGTTATACAGATATAAACATGGATTCCTCCAGGTCAGGAATCCACAGAATTTGACAGATTTGTTTTTTTGGCCTCTCAAAGCTTAAAGTTTCTTAGAATATATCATTTGGATGATATCTTTTAGGAGAAACAATAAGAGCATAAAGTGCAACTGGAATCTTTGTCCTGAAAGCCACATGAGAAGCTTGTGCCTTTAGATTTGCCTTATTCTTAAATACTTTGTGGTTTATAGTGAGAAGAAAGCTCACAGTTGCTCATCAGGAAGCAATTTTTTATGCCCCTGAAAATACTTTTTGTAGGTTAAAGCAGTCACTTTATGATGTGGGAACCATGCTTCTACTGTAGCTGGAAGGCAATTCACTGATTCCCATTATACCTGCATGAAGGTTTCCTTCCCTTTCTGTGGATTTATAACTAAAAAATGACTGTATTCTCTTCTGATAGTTTCGCAAAGTGAAAAAAAAAGGAAAAAAAGAGTTAGCATGCAATATAATCTTAGATAGTGTTAAGGTACTCACAAAATTGATAAATCTGCTTAGTAATATATAAAATTTATAAAAAACCTGTCATATATTTTCCAATTCAAATGTTTTATGGTTGAATATTGCTGACTGATTAGAATACATAGGCCAGAGACTTAGATCAGCTGTAGCGTTTGCTGTTGTGATTACTTAGCTATCCGATCTAGTTCTTGTATGAAAAACTAGGAAATTCTGAATGCTATAAGTTTCATACTTTGCACTATTTACCACTTTTTGTCACTGAAATGTGGTTCTCTTAGTCATTAGGATGCATATTACCTAAAAATGCTGGGGGATAATAAAGCGACAGCAGTGAGAACAGCTAAAATTATAATTCTTGCTTTTTAACAGATGGATACCAGATGTGTTCTTGATCTGGAGAGACTGTTTCATTAACTCACAGAAAATGAAGGTGAAGATAAACATGGCTGGTCTGTTATTCTTTTTTACTTTCTTATGTCAAGTAATAAAAAAGCAAAAATAAAGTTTCCCAGATGTAGACATTGGCAAAATACCAGTAAGGGGAGAAATAATCAACCTTGGGATAAATGTGAAATAGAACACATCAGGATAACTAGGAGCTGTCCTTTGCAAGTTTAACTTAGGTTCTCCTCTTCAGATCCCTAAATCTTGCATGGTAAAATGGCATTTAAATTGTAGCTTTGATGACCAATTTTGAGCCCAGTGGTTCCTTACAGATTCATTGCATTAGGTTTTCAACAACTGTAGTTTACTAGAATCATAATCTGTGTGAGGCTTTATCTAGCGTTAGGTGACACCTAAACCACTAGTAGGAGAACTGTGGTATCTCACCCTTAACGTCTCCATGAGAAACAACCATACAGCTTTCTTAGCAATATGCTGTAGTGTACAGCTTCAGTGTCCAGAACATTTTTCTTTTTTTTTTTTTTTTTTTTTTTGAGACAGAGTCTCGCTCTGTCGCCCAGGCTGGAGTGCAGTGGCGGGATCTCGGCTCACTGCAAGCTCCGCCTCCCGGGTTCACGCCATTCTCCTGCCTCAGCCTCCCAAGTAGCTGGGACTACAGGCGCCCGCCACTACGCCCGGCTAATTTTTTGTATTTTTAGTAGAGACGGAGTTTCACCATTTTAGCCGGGATGGTCTCGATCTCCTGACCTCGTGATCCGCCCGCCTCGGCCTCCCAAAGTGCTGGGATTACAGGCCAGAACATTTTTCTTGATAGCTCATCCTTCCTTTTCTTTTGTTGTGATCCATGTTAGAGATTAAGAACACTGTATTTTGGAACTCCAAGGTTAAATTTCTTAAGACAACATTTTTTACATTGTAATAGGAGACTCAAGTAATAAGGAAAGCATATACAAACCATACAATTTAAGCCTGTGAAATTCTTGAAAATCAATTATTACACTGCACAGTGGCCTACTATGACTACTTATATTTGATCATGTTGATTTTAATCTCAAAATCTCCAGATGATAAGAGGTCTGACTAGATGCAAAATCACTAGTTTCCTGGATTTCAAAATCTCTCTCTGCCTCAGGTTTAAAAAAGTCTTATAATGAGTTTCTTTGCCTGAACTTGTGCATAGAGTCTGTCTTCAACTATGTTCATTTGATTACTTTTCTAGGTTTTTTTTGGTGAAGTATTACAGCAACAGCTCTTAGATTTACACTTTCTATAAGAAACAGCATAAAAATCTCATTTTAACAAATATTATGGAACGAAAAGTCTACAATAGGTGCTCTATTAAAGTTTGAGTATACGGTGTAAAAAAATAGACTTGGTATAAGAATCTTTAGTTGTCAGTAACACACCCTGGCAAGCTGAAGCAGAAGGAAAATCTTGGGGAACAACATTAAGAATTTCTATATTAAATGGAAACTGGAGCACTAGGCAAGAAATATAGACAGAAGCAAATGTTAAATAGCTAAAGAGTCCAGTCTTCACAGACCTTATAAACAAGTGTGGGAGAGATACTATTACCGAAACAATTCCCAAAATATCATTTATAATTATAACATGAGACTGGTGCTTTTTTAAAAAAAATAGAGTGCTGAGAAAGAGTGACAATGTGGGTGTGGGGATGGGAAAAATGCCTTTGTTTAAATTGAGAGGAAGCATGAGAAGAAGACTTACAGTATGGCTGCTTTGAAAATTATTTTATTATCAATATTGCTTTATTCATCACTTGCACCTTAAGGAGATCTGACTGATTCCTAGGGAGTCAGAGATGGGGATGAGGGAACTGTAGTAGCTAGGAAAATGTTCCAGGTAGAAGAAGTAGTTCATGTAAAGTCTTGATGGCAAAAAACACTAGGATATATTTGATGGGCCAAAAGGAGGCCAGTGTGGCTGAGACAGTGGAAGAGGTGAAGGGTAAAATGAAATGAGGTTTGGGAGGTAAGAGTGGTCTGGTCATGATAGACTTTGGAATCTATTTGAGGTGAAGTTGGAAGTTTTGAAGAATTTTAACCAAGCCAATGGATTTTTATTATTTATACTTATTAAAGATTATTTTGACTGCAGTGTGGAGAATAGAGTAGAAAGAAATAGAGAAGTAAGGAACCTACTGCTATTTCACATGAAAATGATGTATCATTAATGTCTTTTATCTGCATGGGGGCTATGCAGGGAGAAGTGGCCAAATATAAGATATAAACGGGAGTATACATGCCAGGACTTGTTGATGGATTACATACTAGTGTTAATAGTTAACCTTCAGTTCTTGAATGGGGAACTTTTACTTATGTATGCAGTATTTATACATTATTCTAGATGTGTTTGACTACAAATGACAGAAATTTAATTAAAATGCAATTTGATAAAGAATTTACTCATAAATCATATTGTCTCATATGACTGGGAAATCTAAGGGTGGGTTAGGACTTTAGGAAAAGCTGTATCCAAGCCTATAGATGACTTCTGAACTTAGTATTAATTTCTTATCTCTGTTTCTTTTAAGAAAAATGTACTTCTATCCTTTTTTCAAGTGTCAGTTCACACAATCTCAGGCAGCCCTAGGTTAAAAACACCAGAGGAATGAGAGATATTTTCTCACCCAGACATGGTCTCTGAGAAGGGCTCTGATAAGTCCTTCTTGGGTGTCAATTATGCAATAGCGATTAAACATTATGTCTAAGGCTTGGTGCGTATACCTACCTCTAAGGGAGCAGCTGCTGTTGTCCTAACAGAGCTGTGGGGGAAAACTTATTGTGTATATTCAAACTAACTACCTAAGCCATGGAAATCCACTGCAACTATATAGAATAACCTGTGAGAAAGACAAAAATATTGCCTGACATCCAGGAGGTGCCCCTTAGCTAGACCTCAGTGTTCTTCTGTTGAACATAAACAATTTGGCAGAACATTAACATCAGAGAAGGCAGTGCTGTGACTGTGATGAATAGAGAGAAAACAATACCACGGTGTAGTCATATCTGAACACAAAGCATGCGCATTGTCTAAGCCACAGAAATTACTCCAAAGCCCTCTATCCGGGCTAAAATGAGTAGCTGCTTCTTCTTTACCAATTACAGTGTTTGTCTGGTTCTAGTTTATTTTTTTAATTAATTTTTTTGATTTTTAATTTTTGTGGGTACATAGTAGGTATATATATTTATGGGATACATGAGATGTTTTGATACAGGCATTCAGTGTGAAATGAGCACATCATGACAAAAAACCTAAATACACTCTTTTAAAAAATGTACAATTAAGTTATTATTGACTATAGTTACCATGTTGCACTATCAAATAGCAGGTCTTATTCATTCTAACTCTTTTTTGTATACATTAACCACCACCCCCCTCCCCCATCACACCCTGCTACCCTTCCCAGCCTCTGGTAACCATCCTTCTACTCTCTATGTCCATGAGTTCAATTGTTCTGATTTTTAGATCCCAGAAATAAGTGAGAACATGCAATGTTTGCTTTCAGTCCCTGGCTTATTTCATGTAACATAATGATGTCTAGTTCCAAACAAGTTGTTGCAAATGACAGGATCTCATTCTTTTCTTATGGCTGAATAGTACTTCATTGTGTATATGTACTATATTTTCTTTATCCATTCATCTGTTGATGGATATTTAGGTTGCTTCCAAATCTTAGCTATTGTAAAGAGTGCTGCAACAAACACAGGAGTGCACATATCTCTTCAATATACTGATGTGTTTATTTTTGGGTATATACCCAGCAGTAGGTTTGCTGGATCTTATGGTAGCTCTATTTTTAGTTTTTTGAGGAACCTCCAAACTGTTCTCCATAGTGGTTGTGCTAATTTACATTTCGTCAACAGTGTGTGAGGGGTCCTTTCTCTTCACATCCTTGCCAGCATCTGTTCATTTGGTATTACCTGTCTTTTGGATATAAGCCATTTTAACTGTCATGAAATGATATCTCACTGTAGTTTTAATTTACATTTCTCTGATAATCAATTATGTTGAGTACCTTTTCATATACCTATTTGCCATCTGTATGTCTTCTTTTGAGAAATGTCTATCTAAATCATTTGTGCATTTTTTGATCAGATTATTTGATTTTTTTTTCTTTTGGAGTTGTTTGAGTTCCTTATATATTTTGGTCATTAGTCTCTTGCCAGATGCGTAGTTTGAAATAAGCAAATATTTTCTCCCATTCTGTGGGTTGTCTCTTCACTTTGCTGATTGTTTCCTTTGCAGTGCTGAAGTTTTTTTAACTTGATGTGATCCCATTTGTCCGTTTTTGCTTTGGTTGCCTGTGCTTATGAGATATTACTCAAAAATGTTTTGCCCAGAACAATGTCCTAGAGATTTTCCCCAATGTTTTTGGATAGTAGTTTTATATACTGTGGCCTTAGACTTAAGTCTTTAATCCATTTTTATTTGACTTTTGTATATAGTGACAGATAGGGGTCTAGTTTCATTCATCTGCATTTGAATATCCAGTTTTCCCAGCATCATTTATTGAAGAGATGGTCTTTATCCCAATGTATGTTCTTGGCACTTTTGTTGAAAATGAGTTCACAGGTGTGTGAATTCATAGGTGTGCAGAAAATGAGTTCATAGGTGTGCAGATTTGTTTGTGGGTACTCTATTCTGTTCTCTTGGTCTATGTGTCTCTTTTTATGCCAATATCATACTGTTTTGGTTACTATAGCTCTATAGTATAATTTGAAGTCAGGTAATGTGATTCCTCAGTTTTGTGCTTTTTGCTCAAGATAGCTTTGGTTATTCTGGGTCTTTTGTGGGTAAATGTAAATTTTAGAATTGTTTTCTATTTCTGTGATTAATGTCATTGGTATTTAGATAGGGTTTGCTTTGAATCTGTAGATTGCTTTGGGGAGTGTGGACATTTTAACAGTATTGATTTTTCCAAACCATAAACATGGAATATTTTTCCATTTTTTGTTGTCCATTTCAATTTCTTTCATCAATGTTTTCAAATTTCCATTATAGAGGTTTTTCTCTTTTTTGGTTAAGTTAATTCCTAAGTATTCAGTTTCATGTATGACTACTGTAAATGAGGTTGCCTTGATTTCTTCTTCAGATTGCTTACTGTTGGCATATAAAAATGGTACTGATTTCTGTATGTTGATTTTGTATCCTGCAAATTTCCTAAATTTGTTTATCAGTTCTAACAGTCTTTAGATAGTCTTTAGGTTTTTCCAAATATAAGATCTTATCATAAGTAAACAAAGATAATTTTACTTCTTTCCTTCCCTTTGAAGTCCCTTTATTTCTTTCTCTTGTCTGGCTGCTCTAGCTAAGACTTCCAGTACTATGTTGAATAATAGTGGTGAAAGTGGGCATCCCTGTCATGTTCCAGATTTTAGAGGGAAGGCTTTCAGTTTTTCCCCATTCAATGTGACACTAGCTCTGGGTCTGTCATACATGGTTTTTATTATGTTCCTTCTATTCCCAGTTTTTTGAGGATTTTTATCATGAAGGGATGTTGAATTTCATTAACTGCTTTTTCAGCATCTATTGAAAGATCATATGGTTTTTACCCTTCATTTGGTTGATATGATGTATTACATTGATTGATTTGCATATATTGAACCATCCTTGCATCCTGGGAATAAATCCCACTTGGTCATGATGAATGATCTTTCCATTGTATTGTTGAATTTGATTGCTGGTATTTTTTGAGGATTTCTGCATCAATATTCATCAGAGATATTGGCTTATAGTTTTCTTATTTGATGTGCCTTTTTCTGGCTTTGGTATCAGAGTAATACTGGCCTCGTAGAACGAGTTTGGAAGTATTCCCTCCAGAATGTGTTGAGTAGTATTGGTATTAATTCTTCTTTAAATGTTTGGTAAAATTCAGCAGTAAAGCCATCATGATGGCTTTTCTTTACCGAGAAGCTTTGATCTTGTTACTTGTTATTGGTGTGTTCAGGTTTTGGATTTCTTCCTGGTTCAATCTTGGTAGATGGTATGTATCTAGACATTTCTCAATTGTTTCCATTATCAGTTGTTTCAAGAAAATTTTTAATTTCCTTTTTAATTTCTTCATTGACTGTCTAGTCATCAGAAGCATATTGTTTAATTTTCTTGTATTTGTATAGTTTCCAAAATTCCTCTTGTTATTAATTTCTGGTTTTATTCCATTGTGGTCAGAAAAGATATCTGATATTATTTGAATTTTTTGAATGTTTTAAGACTTGTTTTGTGACATAACATATGGTCTATCCTTGAGAATGATCCATGTGCTGAGGAAAAGACTATGTATTCTGCAGCTCTTGGATAAATATTCTGTAAATATCCATTAGATTTATTTGGTCTATAGTGCAGATTAAGTCTGATGTTTTTTCTTTTTTATTTTCTTTCTGGATGATCTGTCCAATGCTTAAAGTCTGTTGAAGTCTCTAGCTATTATTATATCAGGGCCTATCACTCTCTTTAGCTCTAATAATATTTCCTTTACTGATGCTCCAGTGTTGGGTGCATATGTATTGAAAATTGCTATATCCTCTTGTTGAATTGACCTCTTTATCATTATATAGTGACCATCATTGCCTCTTTTTATAGTTTTTGTATTGAGATCTATTTTGTCTGATATAAGTATAGTGACTCCTACTCTTTTTTGGTTTCCATTGGCATGAAATATGTTTTTCTATCCCTTTATTTTCAGTCTATCTGTGTCTTTATATGTGAAGTGTGTTTCTTGTAGGCAACAGATCAATGGGTCTTGTTTTTTTCATCTATTCAGCCACTCTATCTCTTTTGATTGGAGAGTTTATTCCATTTACATTTAATGTTACTATTGATAAGTAAGGACTTACTCCTGCCATTTTATTGTTTGTTTTCTGGTTGTTTTGTGGCCTTCTGTTCTTTCTTTTATTCCTGTCTGCCTCTAGTAAAGATGATTTTCTCTGATGATATAACTTAGTTTCTTGCTTTTTTTGTTTTTTGTGTATCCATTGTATGTTTATTGGTTTGAGGTTACCATGCGGCTTGCAAATACTATCTTGTGATCCATTATTTTAACCTGATAACAATTTAACACTATTTGCACAAATAAACCAAATGAAAACTAATAAAAACCCACCTCAACTTCATCTGTTTTTTAACTTTTTTGATGTTTTTGCTTATATATTATTGCACTGACTGCATCTTGAAAAGTTGTAGTTGTCATTTCTGATTGGTTCATCATTTAGTCTTTCTACTTAGGAAAAGGGTAGTTTACATACCACAGTTGCAGTGTTATAATATTCTGTTTTTCTGTGTACTTACTATTACCAGTAAGTTTTGTACTTTTAGGTGATTCTTTATTACTCATTAATGTCATTTTCTTTCTGATTGAAGTATTTCCTTTAGTATTTCCTGTTGGACAGGTCTGGTATTGATGAAATCCCTCAGTTTTTGCTTGTTTGGGAAAGTCTTTATTTCTCTTTCATGTTTGAGGGACATTTTTGCCAGACATACTATTTTAGGGTAAAAGTTGTTTTCCTTCAACCTTTAAATATGTCATGCCAATCTCCTGGCCTGTAAGGTTTCTACTAAAAAGTCTACTGTCAGATGTATTAGAGCTTCATTGTATGTTATTTGTTTCTTTTCTCTTGCTGCTTTTATAATCCTTTATTTATCCTTGACCTTTGGGAATTTGATTATTAAATGCCTTGAGGTAATCTCTTTGGGTTAAATCTGCTTGGTGTTCTATAACCTTCTAGTACTTGCAGATTAATATCTTTTTCTAGGTTTGGGAAGTTCTCAGTTATTATCCCTTTGAATAAACTCTCTACCCCTATCTCTTTCTCTACCTCCTCTTTAAGGCCAATAACTCTTAGATTTGCCCTGTGGATGCTATTTGGTAGATCCTGTGGGTGTGCTTCATTGTTTTTTTTTTCTCTTCTGTGTATATTGAAATAGCTTGTCTTCAAGCTCATCAATTCTCTCTTCTTCTTAATCCATTCTGCTATTAAAGGACTCTGACACATTCTTCAGCATGCCTATTGCATTTTTCAGCTCCAGAATTTCTGCTTGATTCTTTTTAATTATTTCAAACTGTTTTTCTTAAATGTATTATTCAATAGCATTCTGAATTCCTTCTCTGTGTTATCTTGAATTTCTTTGCATTTCCTCAACACAGCTATTTTGAATTCTCTGTCTGAAAGGGCACATAACTCTGTTTCTCCAAGATTGATCCCTGGTGACTTATTTAGTTCATTTGTTGAGGTCATGTCTTCCTTGATGGTGTTGATGCTAGTAGATGTTCTTTAGTGTCTGGGCATTGAAGAGTTAGGTATTTATTGTAGTATTCACTATCTGGGCTTATTTGTAGCTGTCCTTTATGGGAAGATCTTCCAAATATTTGAAAGCACTTGGGTATTATGATCTAAGTTTTTTCTGGTTTAGGTGGTACTGCAAACACAGTAACACTTTGGTTCTTGCAGACTCCTAGAGGTACCACCTTGATGGTCTTGGGCAAGATCCAGAAGAATTCTCTGAATTACCAGGCAGAGACTTTTGTTCTCATCTCTTATTTTCTCCCAAACATACAAAATATCTGTCTCTGTTCTGAGCCTCTAAAGGTGGAGGTTGAGTGACACATATACCCCTGTGACCACCACCACTACAACTGCACTGGGATAGACTGAAGCCAGAACACTGCTGCGTCTCACCCAATGCCTGCTGTAACCACTCCCTGGTTAATGCCCATGTTTACTCAAAGCCCTGGGCTCTACAATCAGCAGGTGGCAAAGCCAACCAGGTGTGTGTCCTTTCCTTCTGGGTGGCATGATTCCCTAGGCCCTGGGTGGGTTCAGAAGTGCCACTCGGGAGTCTGGTACTAGAGTTAAAAAACGTACAAGTGTACCTGGTATCGTATTATCTTGTGGCTGAGATGGTACTGAAACCACAAGATGCAGTCCTTCCCACTCTTCCCTCCCCTTTCAAATGCAGAGGAGACTTACCCAAGGCTGCTACCAGTCCTGGCCTTGAGAGTACTGCCAGACCACCACAAATGTTCTCTTAAGGACCAAGGTCTTTTAAGTCGGCTTGTTGTGAATGCTGCCTGGCCTGGGACTCATCCTTCAAGGCAGCTCCTCTCTCTGGCCCAGGGTAGTCCAGAAATGCCATCCAATGTCATGTTCTGGAATCAGGGACCCCAGGAGCCCACTTGGTGCTCTATACCCCAGTGTCATTGTTGGTACCTAAGGTGCAAGACTAATCTCCTTTACTTTCCCTCTGCTTTTCTCAAGCAGAAGGAGTTTTGCCCTGTAGCCGCCATAGCTGGCAATGTGCTGAGTGTCACCTAAAGCCAGCAAGTCTCAGAGGCTCACCTATGCCCTTGATGCAGTACCTGGGTATCACTGCTGGCATTCGGGGACCAAGGGCTCTTCAGTTAGCCGGTGATGAATGCTGGAAGGACTGGGTCCTTTCCTTTAAGGCAGTGGATTCCTTTCTGGCCCAGGGTGTGTCTAAAATGTCATCTGGGACCTACGGCCTGCAAAAGGGCCTTATGACTCTGACTCTTGCCCTATCCTGGTGTGGCTGAGCTGGTATCCAAAACAAAGTCCTCCTCACTCTTTCCTCTCCTCTCCTCAAGTGGAGGGAAGAGGTCTTTTCTGGAGTAATTAACTGTGCAGCCTGGGGCTAGGGGAGGGTTCATGCCAGCACTCCCTTAGCCTTCCCAGCTGGTGTCTCAGTACATTTCTTGCCTTCCCAGTTCACTGTCTCTGGGCTTAGCTCAGAGTTCCAGTCCATATAATCTAGACTACCTTTCAAGTTTACTTAGAGACCAAAAGCCTTTTTGCCCTGAGTGGTGACATTTGTGAGCACTCGAGTTCGGACCACTGGGATCGGCAATTCACGTTGGCTAGGACTGATTTAAATGCTCCCTCCGTGGGCTCGCATCAGCTGAGTTTGGTCTGATTTTCCTTTCTGCTCTGACAGAACAGCACGGAGTTCAGTGATTCATAATTCTTGCGTTCTCCCTCCCGCAGCACCCGGAGAGGCTCTCTGCATCATGCCACCACTGACGAGGGTGGGGGAGAGGTGGTGTTGGTGACTCAAGACTGTTTTTTTCTATCTCTTCAGTGCATGTTTTCAGTGATATGAAGTTAAAACCAGATACTATAAGTGTTCACCTGATTTTTGGTTCTTATAAAGGTGTTTTTTTCTGTGTAGATAATTGTTAACTTGGCGTCCTTGTAGAGGGAAGGGTGGAGCTTTTTATTCCACCATCTTGCTCCACCTCCCACTCTGGGTCCATCCAATCATACAATTACTTTTACTTTCTGACAGCATCTAATCCAGAGCCATCCTCCACTTTAAATCCTCATTTTTCAAGCCTCAGATGAATCATCTCTTCTGCCCAAGGTAAAAGAAACTTTCACATTTATATAACCAAGTTTATTTCCTTTATAAAACTTGTCTCAGTATCTAGGCTTTTTGTTTATTTATCTATTACCTTGTCTATGGTCTGTTTTCCTCTGCAATGTGAGTTCCGTGTGGGCACAAATCTGTTCTAGTATGTGCATAGCTCTATCACCAGTGCCTGATATGTGGACCGAGATTTAGTAGCTGCTCAAGTGTTTATAGAATTTGTGAATGAAAGGGTAAATAAAATAAATTAGGTAGCTGACTCGAATTAAACAGAGAGTTGTAATATTTTGATAAATGCATTAGAAATCTCAAGAAATATATAAATAATGAGAGGGCAAGGATTGAGTTTTCCCTGATGCTGAGTGATCAGAAGAGGCATGAAGAGCTGGTTGTATTTAAGTAGGGCCTTGAAGGATAGTTAGAATTTAATAAGTGGAGATATGGGAGATATATAATTGTTAAGCCTTGGGAATGGTGATGAGTCCGTTTTGGCTGGAGCATAGACTTCCCAAATGGAATTGAGGAAATAAGACTTAGAAGGCAAGTTGGTGGCAGAATGCATGCTTTGAAAGGGACACTAAGACAAGGTTCTGTGCTGCAAGTTAAGTACAATTGTTGACTTAATAAGAATTGTTTCTTTAGGTGACTACTATGAAAGTAGCATGTACAGTGGTTTGTAGAAGGAAGAAGTTGTGAGGAAAACAAGTTAGAGATTATTGCCTGGAACAATACAGATGATAGCTGGGAGAACCTGAACTAGGGTATTGGAGTGAGAACTGAAGAAGATGGTGAATGCAAAGGATAGTTTAGCAATAAATTGAACACACAGAGTATTCAATATGATATATAGAATTTTACTAGGTGCTTATTTTTTACTTTAATCATTGCTTGTCTATAAAATTTATGGCTGGTACAATTAACTCTTTTATTGAGAAAATCTGTGAGGTGGAAAATTACTTGAGCTGGAAAGAGAGCAAGGGCACTCTGACCAATTCTCAAATTTCAGAGAAAGAGAAACTTGAAATCAACAGAGTACAGAGAAATATAGTAACATAACCAATTGCAGAGAAATATCTTTAGACATGGAAGGTAAACAAACCAGATACACTTAACAATGGATCAGAGTTGGGGATTTATACTAGGACAGAATGTCACACTGATCATAAAGCCAAGATCAGTGGCTGATTATAATATTCCAGCTCTCCTCTTGTGGAGACAATAATCCGGGAAGAAGACTTTAAAGATCCATTTTGGTCTTTTTCAGATTTGAGACAAATAGTGGTAATATTGTTGAAATAGAATCAATAATGATGTATTACTACTATCTTTGCATATTATAATGTTACATAGTTATTTAAGTTAATCAATTATTAAGCAGATTCTAGCTCACTTTTGGGGGCAGGCTACACATAGTCTTTAATTTATAAATTAAGGTTTTCACAAAACCTTTCATTTATTCAAGTAATTATTTGTGTGCCTAATTTTGTAAAGAATAGATATTGCTACAATAAACTATTCTGGTAGAATAAACATCTGCATTATACATTTAAAATTTAATGTAATATTATGTCTGTAATAATAAGATAGTGTTGAAATATATCCAAATTCTAATTATATTAATGTTAACTCTTTTTAATCTTTGATTTGGCTGAATCTTAAAATTTTATTCTGATTATTATTTGCTATTCACATCCAGTATTTAAGTTTCTTTATCAACTATGCATACATTTTAATCAGCTCTTGTTGAATGTTAGAGTATAGTTCAATTCTATTAAATAATGCACTCTGCCATTAAATTCACCTCGCAATGATGTTGCCTGTTAAATATGGTGTTTTGGAGAAAATCCATATTACTGAACATTCACTTGTGACATGAATTATCTTCTGAAGATGGTGTTGTGATTCAAGGACATAAGTTATTTGGACAGCTCTTACGGTAACTCTGTTTTACTCTGTAACACCTCATAACTCACTGCTGTCAGCTGTAAAGGGTGGGAGGAAGTCTCCAGATCCTATATGCCCTCTTCCATTAGTCCTATTTCTGTTCGTTCCTACAAGAGAAAAACACTGTAATAGTAATCACTGGTGAAATCTCCCTTGAACTGCACAACCCATGTTTTGAATTATTTTGATTCTAAAACGATTAAATAACCCCTTGAAAGAAGCAGAAAGATTTTGATCCTTTCAGAACCCAATGTATTTCTCTTCCAAGTTTCTGGAATAAACATTTATATTAAGACATCCTCACTTCTGCATGTTCCCTTTGGGACAAATGGCTTATTTGCAAGTTGATGATGTCACCCAAGAACTGTCTGATCAGGTACTATGTCATGCTTTGTTAAAAAACAGCAGGTGAAAAAATGAGGATAAAAATCTTATGATTACAATGTAGAATTGGTACAATTATCAGTCATTTCAGACAAATGCCAGAAGATGGCAGTCCTATTTGTTCAGGACTTTATGAATTTTGCAAGACCCATGAGTGCTCTTTGGTTTCAACATGATCATAGATCATGGAGAAACCCAGAAATTAGTTTTTGTTACTATAGAAACCAAACGGAATAACTGATTTTTTTTTCTTTTTAAAGAAATGGTCTCCAAAATTAGGTAAAAACAACAAAGGGTGCTAGAAAATAAGCGCTGGTAAGTAACGCAGGAACAGAAGATGAAACACCACGTTCTCACTCAAAAGTGGGAGGTGAACAATGAGAACACATGGACACAGGGAGGGGAACAACACATACTGGGGCCTCTGCAGGGAAGGGGGCAGTGGAGGGAGGGAGAGCATCAGGAAAAATAGCTAATGCATGTTGGGCTTAATACTTAAGTGATGGGTTGATAGGTGCAGCAAAGCACCGTGGCACACGTTTACTTATGTAACAAATGTGCACATCCTACGCATGTACCCCAGAAATTAAAAATTAAAAAAGAAAGAAAGAAAGAGAAAGAAAGAAAATAAGTGCTAGGGAAAACAAAACTTTTTTTTCTGCTTATTGCTGCGTTCTGAAATCCTTGAGTCTGTTATGTTATTTTGGATAGACAGTTCCTTCTATTAGTTTTTTTCTTAATGGAAATATATAAAGTTGGTTTTTGAAATTTCCTATTGCTTTGAAACAAATTAAATTAATTTGTACTGATGTAAGTGCAATAAATATCCAAGTAATAGGAAAGTAAAATGATTTGTTTCAGTACATGAATTAGACCAAGATATTTTTCTGCTTTTTAGTTGAGTATACAGGATTTTAATGCAAAATAGTCTAAAAGAGTGCAATATATAGAAAACAACATTGTCCTGCTTCCTCCTTCCTATCAATTCAGATAAATTTGCAATTGATTTCATTGAATTTATTTACTCTGGCATCTGCAAGGTAGACTGATGATTTTTGACTACTCAAATAAATAGTTTCAAAAACATTAGGGCACTCAGACTCTCTCTTTGTATTTAGGACTTGATGGTGCCTATGGTTTATTATATTTTAGTTATACATGAAATCTACTAACCAGTGAGCATAAGCAACACATACAAAAACTGCATTTAAATAAAGCACACTTCTTCTGTGTCCTAGGAGTAAAAACTGTTTGCCTATGAACAGTGATAATACATGAGGACGAGATGTTCTGCAGGATAATCAAGATGGACTAGTTTAAATGAGCTGTAAAATTATTACTTTCTGCTTGATTCCCAGCCTCTAAAAACCTCTTTTAGCCTTACCTGGAAAGCATGACCCCTGATCCAATGCCTGGATTCATACCAGTGTTATCCATCCGGGCATTTTTGTCCTTGCTGGTGATATCCCTTGGACAATAGTCTGGGCAACTAGGTTTTCGACTTTTCTTAAAACCCATATTCATTGAATGCCCTTCTTATCTTACTTCAGCTCCTGCCTCATACCATAGCTCTTTTTTAGGTGAGCTAATATCTCTATTCCTTAATACTAAGTCACTGCATAAATCTAGCTACTGCTTTTCTAGGGAGACAAGAACCCTGGCCTCGAACCATAACGGGTTGCTAGGAGCCTGCTATCTGATGACTGATCTCCTGTATATCCATTGTGACTGCCTTTTCTTTGAGGACTGCCCCTGTCCACACCTCTCCTTGCACATCTTTTGAGACTGATGCTCCTACCGCCTTGGTTACTCATGGTCTCACTTAGACTGTGATCTGGTGTCACAAATAGACCCTTGCCTGTGGTTTGCTTATTTACTGAAAATTGCCATTGTAACTGTGACTTACTGTGCTCTTCAGTCTACCCACAACTCCTATGCAGTACTCCTATCCGGAATTTGGCTTTGCATCTTTGTGGTGGGAATGCGACATAATGGTGTGTTACTGCACATCTCTTCCGTCTTCTGCCACATCACATTGGCCACAGAGGGAGTGTTTACCCCATGTAAATTAGCAAGGTCTACAAACCAGGGCTTTCCTCTCCCCACAGAGAACAGGTATGAAACCCTTACCAGAATACCACCAGCACTCAACCTTTACATGTCCCACACTGTCCTCTCCCTGGAAGTGGTCCCTTTGCCAGCGTTATCGCAGATAATGTCAACCATTCACTCAGGTGTTCAAGCCAGAACCTTGAGAGCAATCTGTGACATTCACCTGTCAAGAGTTCTGGACTCTGCTTTTTTCCTTCTCTGCTGTCTTGTCTTTACTATAGCAACTGCTTCTTGGCATCCTCCACATTTCCTCTTCCTGAATCTATTTTCTACTCCATAGCAAAAGTGAGTTTTCCAAAGAGCAAGTCTCTCCCCTCTTGAAAGTTCTTCAGAGGTTTCTCTTAGAACAGGTTCTCAAAGTGCGTGTCTTTGAATCAATAGCATCAACATTTCCTGGGAATCAATTAAACCTGCAGATACTCTGCCCCCACCCAAAGCCTACTGTATCAGGAACTCTGGAGGCGGGTACCCACACTGCCTTAACAGGCCTTTCAGTTGATTTCGATGCACACTCAAGCTTGAGAACCACTGATTTGGGATGAAGTTCAATGTCCTTGAATGGTTACAGAGTGTCTAAAAGTCTGCTTTTGTTTACCTCTCCCCTAATCTTTCATTTATTTCTCTGAAACTTGAACTCTTTTCTTTGGTAATCCAGAAATACTTTCAGTCCCTCTATTTGGGATCATGTTTTCTTTCCCCAAGCTCTCTTGTCACTGGACCTTTGCAGAGCCCAGTAGTTAGTGCCACTACCCCACCCCATCTTCCTCTGCCTAAACATTTTTCCTTTATGCTTCAGTACTATCCATTTTTAAATCAGGGTAATCTTAATCATTTTCTATAATTCAGGGCTTTAAAGACAATTGCATGTCCAAATGTAGCAAGGTAGAATATGACTCAGTTTTATCTTATTTAGCATAACCTTTAAACTCTTGATTGTATATTTCAAATTGTAACTGTATTAATATATAATGCAGAATAACTTAAACAACTAAGAATTGCTTCATTCCAAACTAAAATAATATTTAACTAAAATGATTTAAAACTTGATGGATGCAAAATATTCTTAGCAATAATGGATAAACTTTGAGATGTGGAAACACAATTTCCCTTCTAAAAATTAATTATGTAATGAAAGAGAATCCAATTTATGTGGAAATGTAGGCAGTGGCAATATAGTTACAGAGTTATTGAATTTGTATTAAGTTATCACAATTAAAAAGAAAACAAAAAATGAACCTCGCACTTTCGGAAGTAGAATAACCATGCACTGAAAATTTTGATATGAAGAAACAAGGAGTATTATGAGAAAGAAGCATTGTCTTGTTATCATATTGGAATATTTAATATATAAGCCTTTCCAAATTTGTTGATCTATAAAATCATTGTATGTTTTGGTTAATGTCTTATTTCTGTTATGAAGTTCTTGTTTCATTATGTTTCAAAATGTACAAATACAGAAAATGCTGCTGCTTGCTGGAATATTATTTAATAATATTTTTTAAAACTTTATACTTAAAACAAAAAATTTTGAATCTCAGGAAACTTTTATATAAGAGCTGAAAGTTTAGTGGGGAAGAAAGAATAATAAGAATCACAGTTACTTAGAGGGTGAAAATATCGCTGAATGCCACTAAATGCTCTCAACATGAGCCTGTCTTTGTTCTGTCTCTTTCTCTGATATCTTAGACTGAGATCTTCTTAATATTTTCAACCATCTGGCAGAATTCAAGAAAATACTATTCCAGTCATCAATGTAAAAAATAAGTCCTGTATTAGCAGTATATATAAAATCAAGAAAGAGTAAAAAGTGAAAGGAAGGAAATTTTCTTTTTTCGTTTATAATTTCCAATGATTTATGGAAAAGTTGTTTTGATTAATGATATTGTGATTAAATTAGGTTGACGTTTCCTCTTCCTTAGCTGAGAAGCTTATAGTTCTAGCTGTATGCACCTCTTTTAAACAGCTGGCCACCTGGACCATTTCTATGGAACTCTGCATCCTGGATTTGGAGTGATTCCTGTATTCTTAAAACAAACTGGAGCTGAAGGGGATGCAAAAAGAACAGCTGCACAGAATCAGGCTTCTCATTATTGTAGAAGCATTTTTATGACATAAAGGATTCTATTCTTTTTGTTGCTTGTGCCTTTAGACACAGAAAATAAATTAATTCTTTTCTTTTGTGAACTTACTGTGTGGGTTAAATAAATTAATGCAGGTAATACATTTAGAACAGTGCCTTGCACATTGTGCTTGTTCTTATTGTTATTCAAATCAGTAACATTTATGTAATTACTTCTCCTAGCAATAAGTGGCCTGCACATCAAATACATGCCAGGTCTTTGCGGACCCCCAATGTGTAACGAATAGAACATTTACTAAAGCTGTGTATGCAGTGGAAGAGTGGTGCTCTCTATATTTGTGTCTACACAAATTCTTAGGTTTGATTGAGAGTAGAAATTAAGTGAAGGTTCTGGAACCTCTGCAACATTTAGATTTAGGCCACAATTATGAGTACTTGCTATATGTCAAGTGTTAGACAAGCACAAATATTTTGCATATAATGTCATATTTAATTCTACAGGATAGGAGTTACCATCATTACCTCACAGTGAGGAAACAGGGTAGGAGAGTGGTGTGATTTGCTCAAGATTGCACACTTGAAGAACCTGGATTTGAACTCAAAAGTTCTGACTGCAAAGTCCAAGATTCCTCCCACTGTACCACAACCACCTGGAAGTTGAACTTGTCACAACATGCTAGCGACTTTCTGTTTCAGCTCTGAAGTTCTCCTGGAACTCTAGGATAGTGACCTTACAGCCCCATGGTATTCATTGACATGAAATCAGTCTATGGAATGAAGATGAGGATGAGGAAAGCCGTAGTCACTAAAAGTAAATTATTATTGTGTATATAAATGACTAGACTATGGCAAGCATCAAAGGGAAGATTCCTGCATATAATAATAGTTTACAAGATATTAAAATGTCATATTAGGCTCCATTTATATTCCCTAAATGGTACTCCAGAAATGTATAAATGTTGTCAGTTGCTGGTTCCTAACTGTTTACCTGAGTTGGTGGAATTTGCAAGGGTAGTTAATATCACACGAGTGTTTTTAAAATGGCCTTAGAAAAAGGGAGTCTCTTTCTGCTTCATTCTGTTTGGAGCTGATTGTTTTCACACCTAAGAGTTTTAGTGTTCATTGAATTCCACTTTTTGTGCTTGAGTATTAGTTCATTGTCTTTTCATGTAATCCTTTGTACCCATTCTGTATTTCTTTGAAGTTTTGCTTCACAGCTCTTTGTGCTATTACTTAGATTCTTCCTTAAATGAAGCAAATTGGTCAGTGAAACTTATAACTCATTTACTAAAACCATTAGCTTTCAGTGAGTTGAAAATGATGAGTTCTATTACCTAAGTCTATTTTATCACTGCCCAGAAAACTGACTGTGTTAAAACCTACTATCCTTAAGCATCATTTATTAATGAATATTTTTAACAGAACACAATGAATGCACTGTAAAACTCTAAGAAAATATTAAACCATTAAAAAATTTCAATGAGTGATAACCAATTTTTGGGAAAATCCCCAGCCTCATTTTCTCCCTATACAAGCTTATCATACACTTGAAACATGTCAGACTATGGAAATATTAACTTGCAAGTTAAACATGATTGATACTTCTCTGAGAACCCATTTCACTCATAATTCTTACTCAAATGTTGCACTATTTCTGAACTTTCTGAAACATTAAGCCCTAGACTGGTTCTCAAAATACCGTGGCTCTCACTGATATGTGGAATTCATTACAACATAGTGCTGATGGTAGGAGAAGAGACTGGAGAGAGAAAGGAAATATCGTGTATGCAAGAGAAGACATTTATGCTGACCCACTGGAAAACTGCACAGTTTAATTCATATTTAATAACATATTGGTGATGACATTTCCAGAGGTAAAATCTCAATTAGTGTGGAATCATTGACTATATGATCCTGGATATATTTTTGAAAGAGATTGTTCTCATACTTACATTGAAATGTAGAAAGATCTAATGATTTTCCTCCCTTCCTCTTGAAATGACTATAGCTGAATGAAGAGTCAGCCATGGGAAGGAAAAGCATGGAAGGTACAATCCAGAGCTCTGGGGTGATTAGGGAAGGGCTTGACTCAAATAGAGAATCTATTGAGAGCCCACAGTAAAGTGGAGACTAAGATTTTATATGGCCTTTTAACAGGCCACTGTCTCTTGAGCCTGTGCGGGTGTGTGTGTGTGTGTGTGTGTGTGTGTGTGTGTGTGCGTATAAGTGGACACCAGAGAAGAGGTGGCATTAAGGAAGTAGACTGTATCTCTGCAGTAGGGATTCTGCATCATGGAGAAGAAGTATCTTCAGACCCTGCTTGACAATGCAGCTGTTGATTTTAAGCAGCTGTTACTGGAGCACCAGTAGCATATGTAGCTGTGTCTGTATTTTCTTTCCATCCCTGACTCATTCTGTTTCACACTGTAATCTGATAACATCTCTCTTAATCTGAGAAGTCTGTCCTCTTTGTTTTTTAATAAGGAAGCAGCCATGGTTATAGGCAGTGCCAGATGCTGCCCTTCGTGGCCCTCCTTCGGGATCACTTGTTTTCTCTCACCTGGGGAAGGGGGCTTATTAAATGTGCAGACCTACTGAGTCAGAATTTTAACCTGCCCTCTTGGTAAATCTTCTGTATCTTAACAAGTGAGAGCCCGGACTGTATCACAAAGGACCAACTAAGAGAATTTCATTCACATCTGGGTGTCTATTTGAGACAAACTAGAAAGTGCAAAGTCATTTCTACAATTCTATTTTATAGACTGAATAAAACCACAACAAAAGACACATAATAATGCAATGTTTCAATAAAAATAAGCTAGGAATGATGTTAACAAGAATGTTTACACTAGCATTTGTTTTTTTCTTCTTTCCATTCTGTTGGTTGGAAAGTCAAGAGAATCAGTAGCCTATAAAAATAATTGAAACAAATGGAAAAATGAATCTCAGGATTTTCCCCTGTGGAACTCCTTGCTCATGAAAAAATATGAAATTATTTTAACTTGATTAGTTTTCAGAAGATCACTAAGTCATATGGGGAGAGTCCTGAGAACTGGGATCAAACATAGATTCAGTGATAGGATGCATATAAAACTTAACAAAGTGGTTGTCACTAAATAATAATAGAAAATATCTCTACATAATATTCTATATTATGTTGCCAGGTACTATTCTAAGTGCCTTACATGTATTTAATAATTCACTCTATCATCACAGCAGCTATATGTGGTATGTATATTATTATACTCAAGTTACAGAAGCAAAACTGAGGCAAAGAGTGTTCACATAACTTGTGTAGACACACCATAGTTAAGTTTGAAACAGTTAAGTAGTTGCTGGCATTTTGTCATTATAAAACATGCATTGTAAATTGTTATTCTGTAAATGTTTATCTATGTTCTTTGGAGTGTTCCTTAACGCATATATCCAGAAACACAAATTCTGAATCAAAGCGTATGAACCTAGGCGTGTGAACTTGTTATAAAGCTAGTGTTTAATGAAGCTGGGATATATGAACCTATGCAAATTGGATTTAGAGTAGATTTTCTCAATCACTATACAAAACTACAATAAAAATAGACTTCATTGTTATCTGAACAAAGTAGCAAGTGTAAAACATTTTGAAAATTTTGAAGGGAAGAATATATAGGGTCTAGTCCTAGAAGATAATAAAATATTATATAAAACTAGAATAATTAACTGTGTAATTTAAATGATTAAACTGTTGTACTTACTGGTGAAAAATAGACTGGCAGATCAATAGGGTAGAATAGCTGTCATGGAACCAGACCCTATAACAAAATGCATGATAAATAAATCCTCGTGAATCAGGTGAAAGAGATAGATCTTTCAAAATGTATTCCTGAGAATGTTGATGAGATAGTTTTAAAAATCCATTTTGATTTCACTTCACTCCATTTTATCAAAATAGATTATAAAAGGATGAAAAAGCCAAACATAGAAAACGAAACTTTAAAACAGCAGAAAATATAGATAGGTATTTATCTAACTTGTGAGTGGAGACAAGCTTTATGAATTGGAATAAAACCAAACAGCTAAAAATAACCACTCTATCTTACTGTTTGTAAACACCTTCAAGACACTAAAGTAAAAACAAAACAAAACAAAAACAAACAAACAAACACCCAGAAACAAACAAACCTCCAAAAACCCCAGAAACAAACAAATTTAAAAACCCCAAAATGGAATTAAAAGAAAAAACACAGGAATGTATTTAAAATAAAATGTGAAAGATTGTTGGTTTTCTTAATAAAAGGGACATTAAACCACTTTATAGAGGGGGAAATACTTTAAAGTAAGCCACAGATAACTGGACAAGGCACTCAAACTATTCACAAAACCAGAAAGGCAAACGTTTAATCAAATTTGAAAGAGATTATGCTTACTAATAATTAGTATATAAATCATAACTCTAGTATACTATTTTTAGCAAATTACTAAAG
The DNA here is from genome assembly GCF_000001405.40 of Homo sapiens. Lineage (NCBI taxonomy): Eukaryota > Metazoa > Chordata > Mammalia > Primates > Hominidae > Homo > Homo sapiens. The sequence goes on along the minus strand of NC_000006.12, from coordinate 142,037,043 downwards.
ATGTAAAACATGAATTTTTGGAAACTATAATGTGTGAACATATGACCCAGAGCCTAGGTTCACATGCTTTGACTCAGAATTTGTGTTTCTGGATATATGCGTTAAGGAACACTCCAAAGAACATAGATAAACATTTACAGAATAACAACTTACAACACATGTTTTATAATGACAAAATACTAGCAACTACTTAACTGTTTCAAACTTAACTGTGGTGTGTCTGCACAATGAAATACTACAAAATCTATAGTTATGTAAAACAGTATTTTTATTATAGTTAGAAAATGGTGGTCATTTTCTAATCATTTTAAGTGCAAATTTTATGTGTGATTTCTTATTTGTAAAACAAGTTGCAAAGTAACAGAGAAATGAATCAGAAATATGGTGAGTGGTTAAAATTTCAGTAATTTTCTTCTTTTTAAATTTTTCCTTATATTTTCTAGTATATCTTTTTTGCAGTTAAGGACTATTCCTTTTCTACTCAGAAAAGATTGCTGTTTTAAAAAAAGGAAGTGAGAGGAGAGGAGGAGAAGTAGGTTAGAAAACAAGGGATAGAGTGTGTGACAATATGGAGAGAAGTGAGTATTGCCTCCTCATGGGAATGATTACCTCCTATTGGAGAAATTGTATCAAGGGAACTTGGGAAATCTAGTGAGTATTCCCAAAGATGATTTACTAGGTACCTTCGTCTGTTCTTGCATTGGTATAATTAAGTACCTAAAACTGGGAAATTTATAAAGAAAAGAGGTTTAATTGGCTCGTGGTTCTGCAAGTTTTACAGGAAGCATGGTGCTGGCATCTGCTAGGCTTTTAGGGAAGTCTCAGGAAGCTTTCAATCATGGTGGAAAGTGAAGGAGGAGCAGGCTTCTCACATGATGAAAGTAGGAGCAAATGAGGGAGACTGAGCAGAAGTGGGCGAGGTGCCACAGACTTTTATATGACTAGATCTCCTGTGAATTCAGAGTGAGAGCTTACTCATCACCAAGGGGATAGCCCAAGCCATTCGTGAAGGATCTGCTCCTAGATCCAAACACCTTCCACCAGGCCCTACCTCTAACACTGGGTACTGCACTTCAACATGAGATTTAGGCAGGGACAAATATCCAAACTATATCCCCACGTTTCAGAATTTTCTAATAAAGAAATAAATGTTCTTTGCTTGGCTCTAAAGTTAGCGCGAATAAAACTGAACATTTTCTTATAAATATTGCAAAAGTATGCACCCACATACCAAATGCCTCTTGCTAAACTATTTAAGACTATTAGATTCAAAATAGGTGTAGGATACATTCGGAAAGTAAGGTGAAATCATTTTAAAATTGTCTAATGAAGGATGAGGGCATGCTTTACTGAGACAAGAGAGGAGGACTGAGGCATAGATTTCTGGAGAATGGAGCCAGAGATGAAGAGCTAGAAGCAACTAATGAGGCTTCAGAAGTCCTTCCACAGGGCCTGGCACAGTAGCTCATGCCTGTAATCCCAGCACTTTTGGAGGCCGAGGCGAGTGGGTCGCCTGAAGTGAGGAGTTCCAGACCAGCCTGGCCAACATGGCGAAACCCCATCTGCACTAAAAATACAAAAATTAGCTGAGCGTGGTGGTGTGTGCCTGTAGTCCCAGCTACTTGGGGAGAATGAGGCAGGAGAATTGCTTGAACCCGGGAGGCAGAGGTTGCAGTGAGCTGAAAGTGCCACTGCACTTCAGCCTGGGTGACAGAGCAAGACTCCGTCTCAAAAAATAAATAAAATTAAATAAAATTAAAAAAGAAGTCATTCCACGAAGGTGGCAGCAGAAGGAAGAGCAAGAGTTAGCTCTGAAGACGGAACACAGGGATTGGGTGAATCTAGAGAAATGTTCCATGATGTTTTACTGTTGGGTTCTTCTTACATAGGTCATCAGTTTTTCTTTTTCTCCATTGCATCATTTCTAGCTGCTTATGAAAGTGTTATGATTTCTTACATTAAAAAATCCTTTTTCTGGCCAATTTTTCTGCTACAATTGGCATCTCCATTTCTCAGTCCCCTCTTACCCCAAAGTCTAAGGAAGAATGGTCTGTCCCCTAAGCATTTACCCCACCACACCATCAAAATTGTTCCTTTCACCAGTGCCTTTCACTCATATTGACAAATCCAACAGTCATTTCTCAGACCTCACCTTGCTAAACCTACTAGCACCATTTGACACAGTAGATGACTCTCCTTTCTTCTTAGTACACTTTCTTTACTTAGCTTCGGATACATAGCATTTGCCTGTTTTACCTCCAACCTCTGGTTTTATTTCACAGCTTCTTAACTTGTTCTTCCTCTGTCTCCCTCAACACTTTATTTTCTAACCATATCCACTTAGAAAGAGGTATCATCCAATTTTGAAGCTTTAAATACCACCTATATGGTATGGTCCCTCGAATTTAGAACTCCAAGCCAGTCTTCTCTCTTGAACTCTAGACTTGTTTATCCAGCCACATTATGGTCATGTCCAGTGCTAGCCCTGCTGGTCCAAGGCACAAACATCTCTTAAGTGGATAACTGTCTAGTCTCCTAATTGCTGCGACACTTTCCATTCTTAACCTTGATGTTTGCTCATGGAGCAGAAAGGGTGAATTATAAAAGAGTTAGGTTATGTCGCTTCTCTACTCAAAGTCATCCAGTGGTTTACCTTCTCAGTCACGGGAAAAAAAGAAAAAGAAGTCTATAGTACGCTAAGAGATATGATATAGTTTGACCCCAGCTATATATCCCTAATGTCACTCTGTGCCAGCCTCATTGGATTTCTGGAAGATAGGCACATAGTTTTGTTCTGAGGCTTTTGCCCTTTCTCTTCCTTTTCTTGGACCACTTTTCCTCCAGCAAGCTAAATGGCTGGCTCTCTATGCCCTTCAATTATCTCCTTGAGCATCATCTATCAGATAGGTCTTTCCCTAGCACATAGTGTTCCCTCTTCTTTCACCACTCACCAACACTTTAACCTGTTTTATTTGTCTCTAGAGTACTTATTTCCACTATATAATTTAGTTAAGAATTCCTTCTTCTCATTATAAAGTCAGCTCCATGAGGGTAAAAACTTTTTAATTTTGCTCATTTTTGTATTTGCAGAGCTCTTAACAACACCTGGCATAAAGCTGGGTATTTAATAAATATTTGTGGAGTGAATGGATGGACATGGATCCTAGTATACACTTTCAGGATAAAAACCAAGTCTTAACCTAATATAACCCAAGTAAAGGAATACTCTTTAATAACTTATCCCAAACATAATATAATCATTTCATTATTAGGCTGTATATTTTTGTGATTTCAAATTAAAGAAAATTATTTTAGAGGATGTACTTTTTCCATATCTCCCCCAAATTTAGATGGCTCTACTGTTCTTAAGGTTTTAAAATTACTCTTTTCCAGAGACACATGAAATTTTAAAACACAAAATAATATAATTTATTTACAAAAGATTTTTGATTTTGTTAATCTCTTTGTATTCAAATATAAGTGCGTCAAACACAGCTTTGAAGTTTGTAACTGTCTTCTCAAGAAAAACAAGACACCCACAATCTTCATTAACATTAATTAGTTAATACAGTTAATAAGAGCATATCATATTATTATTGTCCCCTGGTGTAAATGAGGACAGATGCTCTTACAATCTTTTTAATTGATTGTTTTACATTATAATTGATTGTATTACATTATATATTACATTATAATATAATTATTATACATTACAACCATAACTATATAAATCTCATCTCCAATTTTTTGTGACTCAAATAATTTTAGTCGACTGATTTTTCACATTGAAGAAGTGTTATTGGCTACATCAAACAAATTATCAAGAGCTAGCACTTAAAAAAAGTACCAACCAAAATTTTAAAGTGGAGCTCCATTCTTGTGAGATTTCAAGAGTTTCTGTGTCAGTCTTTGCATAATGCATGAAGAATTTGAATTCCTTAGTATTCATGCCTGAATGGGGGAATATATAAGAAAGTTATGATTTATATTTATTGTAATAAAAATGTTCAGCTTTTATCAGTTCAGCACCCTTTAGATGGGTGAGACTGAATCAAATCTCTCATTTTTTAAACTTATTTTTAAAATTTTACCTTTAACCTATGTATATAGACAAGTGCGTTATTATTGTATATTAAACCACCCAAAAAATTACAGTTTAAAACAACAATGATTTATTACTTTTTATGCTTCTGCAGGTTAAATTGATAAACTAGGCTTTAAAAAATTGTTAAATACTTACGTTCACCAAAAGGCATTGTAGTTAAATATATGTATAGGCAAGCCACAGCATGGGTGACAAGGTTTGTAAAACATATAACTGCAAAAGGACTGTTACCTAGAATACATAATAAAATGCTATAACTCAATAACGAAAAGGCAAACAATTCAATTAAAAATTGGCAAAATATTTTAAATATATAGGAAAAAAGAACATGTATAAATGTCCTTTTAGCATATGTCACACTTTTCAGTATCATTAGTCATCAGAAAATGCAAATTAAAACTATGCTAGGATACCATTATACATCCATGTGAGTGGCTAAAGTAAATAGGCTGATAACATTAAATATGGATAAGGATATTGAGTAACTGAAATCCATACATTACTGATGGGAATGTAAAATGCAGCAGCCACTTGGAGAAAGTATTGGCACTTTCTTATAAAACTCAAAATATACTTACCATGAGACCCAGCGTTTTTTTCTTTCTTTTTTTTTTTTTTTTTGAGTTGGAGTCTGGCTCTGTCACCCAGGCTGGAGTGCAGTGGTGCAATCTCGGCTCACTGCAAGCTCCGCCTCCCAGGTTCACGCCATTCTCCCGCCTTAGCCTCCTGAGTAGCTGAGTAGTTGGGACTGCAGGCGCCCGCCACCACGCCCGGCTAATTTTTTGTATTTTTAGTAGAGACGGGGTTTCATGGTGTTAGCTAGGATGGTCTCGAACTCCTGACCTCATGATCCGCCGGCCTCGGCCTCCCAAAGTGCTAGGATTACAGGCTTGAGCCACCGCGCCCGGCCGAGACCTAGCATTTTTTATCGTTGTTATTTATCCCAAAGAAATGAAAACCAAAAGGCTTTTATAATTACGATCATTCTGCTCTTTTCTGAATTGCTTTAAACTGTAAAAAAAAACCTTGGCGTACATGAATAGGAGAATGAATATGTGGTATATTAATACATGAAAATATTTTTCAACAATAAAAAGCAGCAATGTGGTGATACAGCAACAAGAATGAATCTCAAAAACATTATGCTTAGCATAAGAAGCTAACCATAAAAGCACGTACTGTATGGTTTCGTGTATATGAAGTCCTGCGATAGGCAAACCTAAGTATAGCGAGAAAAATCAAACCAAGAGAACAGGAGTTGTCTCTGGGAGTATTCAAGAGATTGATTGGGAAGGGGCATAAGGGAACATTCTGGGGTAAAAATAATATCCTATGTCTCGAAAGGAGTTTGGGTTATCCAGCTATATCCATTTATTGAAACTCAAATCTCTCCTACACTTTATTTATTTCATACTATATAAATGCAAAAACTATAAGATTAGATTAAAAAAAAAACCCTCAAGGAGAATACTCATGTAAGCCTTGAATCAAGGTGAAAAGAATGGCACAACTGGAGAAAGAAAGTATATGCAAGCCTGGGGGCCAGAGAGACTCCTGGGCACAGCTCCGCAGGGATTTGTCTCATATAACACTCTTAGTCTGTGGATTATAAGCCACCAATATGGAATGAAGAATATGAGTTTCATGAGACCGGGAAAAACTTTCCAGCTGGATCTTTTATGCTGATTAGTCACATTGCCAAGCTAGTAAACATTTAACCAGTTACACCAGGTGTAAGCGATCAATAAACAAGTTGGTCTTGGGTGTAAAGTATAAAATGGGAAAATTAAACAGCACAGTATTAATCGTTAGTTAACCCACTTGTTTTATCTTGGTCCCAGACTTTTCTAGGCATCTCCAGTTGTTAAGCACAGAGCTGTCCCAGTGTAGCTGTCACATAATGGTATGGTCAGATAATGGTATGCAGTAAATTTTAAATAAAAGAAAATAAGCTGTAAAAAAATTGCACTCTTCTTTATAATCTGCATTCAGAAGTACTTAAGCAGAAGAATATAGATTCTGTGATTTACTTTAAAACGAATAGAGCTTGATGACGGGGAGATGAGTAAATACAGGGTTAAAAATAAATAAAATACTAGTGGTAAATTTAGGAAGTGAATGTACTGGTGTTTATTTTAAATTCTTTCAACTTTGCTGCATATTTGAAGATTTTTATAAGATTTTGGAAAAAATCTGTAAATGCAAAGATTTATTAAATGTTCTATAACTAAAAATTTTGACCTAGGAAAAGGGATTGCTCCAATAAAAATATGAGTGAAACAAAGTATGTTGTCTTCTCTTTCCTACCATTCTTTGTTTCTTGCTCTTTGTGATGGTTAATCCTTTGGATTGAAGGATGCAAAGTATTGTTGCTGGGTGTCTCTGGGTGTTGCCAGAGGAGATTAACATTTGAGTCAGTGGACTGGGGGAGGAAGACCCACCCACAATGTGGGTGGGCACCATCCAATCAGCTGTCACCTTGGCTTTAAGACAGAAGAAGGCGGAAGAAGCTGACTTGCTGAGTTTTCCAGCGTTTATCTTTCTCCCGCGCTGGATGCTTCCTGCCTTTGAACATCAGACTCCAAGTTCTTTGGCTTCTGGACTCTTGGACTTACACCAGTGGTTTGTCGGGGCTCTCAGGTCTTCTGCCACAGACTGAAGGCTATACTGTCAGCTTCCCTACTTTTGAGGTTTTGGGACTCGGACTGAGCCACTGCTGGCTTCCTCGCTCCTCAGCTTGCACGCGGCCTATCGGGGGACTTCACCTTGTGAGCGTGTGAGTCAATTCTCCTTAATAAACTCCCTTTCATATATACATCTATCCTATTAGTTCTGTCCCTCTAGAGAACCCTGACTAATACACTTTTCTTTCTGCCTCTTCTTTGCTTCTAGGTACGTATGAGCTTTTTGCTCATCACCGAATATCTCTATTAAGATTTCTTTCAGAATTACTCTAAAACCAGTAAACTGAATAGGTGAATTACACTAAGGTGCTATAATTATAAACAAACTCTTAATGAGGTCTAATCTCTGCAGTTGAATAGTACTGTCAAGTATGTATCTATAGAATTATAAGGAAGTTCCATTTTTCTGAGATAATTTCAATTTAATTGCAAAAATAATGTTCACGTAGGAAAGTAATTCACAAGACGATGATGAATTTTATAAACGCAAAACTCAGTGGTGTATCCCAAACAAATTTTGTTCTAAAGAAGGTGAGAATATGCTCAACTGGGAGAGCAAGTAAAAGTTTCAAATTGAAGGTGGATCTTAAAGGATGAGTGGGCTCTCCATACACGAATATAGCCTTCTAGGCAAGGGGAATGAAATGAGAAAAAGGACAGTGGTCTGTCAATTTGCTACATATTTTTTTGAGGATAATATGGAGTTCATATTGGAGAACAGTGATTTGGCAGAAATTTTTGAATTCATTTTGGCTATATTCGAAGGCAGAATATTCAATATATCTCCAAGGAAGGTGGAAATGTAAGACTGTATCCTTGAGGCCAGTATTAGAGGGGTAAATGTCCCATGTAGCATTGAGTGTGATTTCATAAATCAAACAAGAATGTGTTTCATTACCTGATTGATGTACACCTTACATAGATTTAAAAAGCATTTTTATGGAACAAATTACTGACAGTGTATGTGATCTCACAGGGAGAACTATGTACAGAGTACGGCAGAGATACTCAGAAAAGAAAAATACATGGTGAAGAGCTAATAGCTGAAACTTGAGAGGAAATCCCCCTAAAAGCACACACCCAAGTGGTGCAACAGATAGATATTTCTGGCAGGGCAATGTTTATTGGCATCTGCATGTCAACAAATATTAATGTCACATCAGTCAGAATCGACATTATTAAAATGTCAAAAAGTAACATGGTGGTGAGGCTGTGGAGAAAGGGAACACTTATACACTCTTGGAAGGAATGTAAATTTGTTCAGCCACTATGTTAAAGCAGTTTGGAGATTTCTCAAAGAACTTAAAACAGGATGAGCATTTGACCTAGGAATCCCATTACTGAATATATATCCAAAGGAAAATTAATCGTTCTACCAAAAAGACCCCTGCACGTCTGTGTTCATCACAACACTGTTAACAATAGCAAAGACATGGAATCAACCTAGGTGCCCATCAATGATGCACTGGATAAAGAAAATGTATATATACACCATGGAATACTACACAGCCATAAAAAAGAGTGAAACCATGTCCTTTGTTGCGACATGAATGCAGCTGGAGTCCATTATTCTATGCAAAGTAATGCAAGAACAGAGAACCAAATACCACATGTTCTTACTTACAAGTGGGAGCTAAGCATTGGGCAAACATGGAGCTAAAGATGGAAACAATAGGCACTGGGGACAATTAGCAGGGGTAGAGAGGGAGGGTGGCAAAGGCTAAAAAATGACCTAAGTATTATGCTCACTACTTGGGTGATGGGATCATTTCTACCCTAAAACTCAGCATCATGCAATACACACATGTAACAAACCTGCATATGCACCCCCAAATTTAAAATAATAGTTGAAATTATTTAAAAAGCCCAAATAACTTATTTCAACTATTACACACACACATGCGTGCACATACACACACACACACACACATATTTATTTAAGTACAGGGGTACATGTACAGGTTTCTTACATAGGTAAACTCATGTCATGGGCTTGTTGTACAGATTATTTTGTCACCCAGGTGTTAAGCCTAGTACCCATTAGATATTTTTCCTGATCGTTTTCCTCCTCCCACCCTTCACCCTCAGGCCCCAGTTTCTGTTGTTTCCCTCTATGTGTCCGTGTGTTCTCATCCTTTAGCACCCACTTATAAGTGAGAACATGAAGTAGCTGGTTTTCTGTTCATGCATTAGTTTGCTAAGGATAATGGTTTCCAGCTCCATTCACGTCCCTGCAAGGCACATGACCTCATTCATTTTTATGGCTGCATAGTATTCCATTGTGTATATGTACCACATTTTCTTTATCCAGTCTAGCACTGATGGTCATTTAGGTTGATTCCATGTCTTTTCTATTGTGAATAGTGCTGTAATGAACATACACATTCATGTATCTTTATGGTAGAACAATTTATATTCCTTTGGGTATATACCTAGTAATGGGATTGCTGGGTCAAATAGTAGTTCCCTTTTTAATTCTTTGAGGAATTACCACACTGCTTTCCACAGTGGTTGAACTAATTTACACTCCCACTAGCAGGATATAAGTATCCCCTTATCTCCACAACCTTGCCAGCATCTGTTATTTTTTGACTTTTTAGTAATAGCCATTCTGACTGGTATGAGATGGTATCTCATTGTGGTTTTGATCTGTATTTCTCTAATGATCAGTGATGTTGAGCTCTTTTTCGTATGCTTCTTGGCCACATACATGTCTTCTTTTGGAAAGTTCATGTCCTTTTACCATTTTTTAATGGGGTTTGTATTAGTTCATTTTCATGCTGCTATAAAGACATACCTGAGACTGGGCAATTTACAAAAGAAAGGTTTATTGGACTTAGGGTTTCATGTGACTGGAGAGGTCTCACAATCATGGCAGACGGTGAAAGGCACATCTCACATGGCAACAGACAAGAGAAGAGAGCTTGTGCAGGGGGACTCTCCCTTTTTAAAATATGAGTCTCATGAGACTCATTCACTATCATGAGAACAGCTTGAGAACAGCACGGGAAAGACCTGCCCCCATGATTCAATTACCTCCCACTAGGTCTCTCCCACAACACGTGGGAATTCAATATGAGATTTGGGTGGGGACACAGCCAAACCATATGGGGGTTGTTTGTTTTTTTCTTAGTTGTTTTTTTTCTTATACATTTAAGTTCCTTATAGATGCTGGATATTAGACTATTGTCAGATGCACAGTTTGCAGAAATTTTCTCCCATTCTGTGGGTTGTCTCTGTTTACTATGTGATAATTTATTTTACGGTGCAGAAGCTCTTTAGTTTAATTAGATCCCATTTGTCAATTTTTGCTTCTGTTACAATTGCTTTTGGTGTTTTCAACTTGAAATCTTTGACAGGTCCTATGTCTAGAGTGGTACTGTCTAGACTGGCTTCCAGGGACTTTATAGCTTTGGGTTTTACATTTAAGTCTTTCATTCATCTTCAGTTGATTTTTGGATAGGGTGTAAGTGTTAGAGGCATTGAAACCAGAATGACTCCATCTTGAGTGAGGGCCAGGAAAATGAGGCTGGGACTTGCTAGGCTACATTCCAGAAGTTAGGTATTCCTAGCCTCTAGGTGTTTATGGTTAAGGGAGCAGATGGATAATGTTTGCTAAACAGATCCAGACTTAGGAGTGTCCTAATACCTCAATATCTTAAGAACAAAGGCATTCCTGATTTTGCTTTAAAGATAATAATACTAATTCTTGCAAAATATAGTATTAAGAAAATTAATCCTTTATCACAAAGGCTTGTATCACAGCACATCTCCCCATGATCTTTTTTTTTATCCTACATATACGAGTAGTGTACTTTGGGTGGACGCATTTCTCCTCTTACTTTCAGGAACACCCTACTCTTTCTACGGAGTAGCTGTTCTTTCACCGCTTTACTTTCTTAATAAACTTGCTTTTCCTTTGCACTGTGGACTCGCCCTGAAATCTTTCTTGCGCCAGATCCAAGAACCCTCCCGTGGGCTCTGGATTGGGACCTCTTTCTTGTAACATAAGGAAGGGGTCCATTTTCAATCTTCTGCATATGGCTAAGAAGTTATCGTAGCACCATTTATTAAATCAGGAGTCCTTTTCCTGTTGCTTGTTTTTGTCCGCTTTGTTGAAGATCAGATGGCTGTAGATTTGCAGCCTTATTTCTGGGCTCTGTATTCTGTTCCATTGGTCTATGTGCCTGTTTTTGTACCAGTAGCATGCTATTTTAGTTAACGTAGCACTGTAGTACAGTTTAAAGTTGGGTAGCATGATGCCTCCAGCTTTGTTCTTTTTGCTTAGGATTGCCTTGGCTGTTTGGGCTCCTTTTTTGTTCCATATGAATTAAAAAAAATTTTTTTTTCTAGTTCTGTGAAAAATGTCATTGGTAGTTTCATAGGAATAGCATTGAATCTATAAATTGCTTTGAACAATATGGCCACTTTAACAATATTGATTCTTTCTATCCATGAGCATGGAATGTTTTTCTGTTTGTTTGTGTCACCTCTGATTTCTTTGAGCAGTGTTTTGTAGTTCTCATTGTAGAGGTCTTTTGCCTGCCTAGTTACCTGTATTCCTGGGTATGTTATTCTTACAAACAGTAAATATTAATGGACTTATCCATCCATTAAAAGAAATGGATTTTCATATTACACCATAAACGAAACTAACTCTAGGTTAAAAATCACATCAGTGAGCAAGACAATCTAGAAAATCTGGGAGAGAAATGGGCAAATGTATTTCCAGGCCAAATGCAAATAAAAATAATGTGGAGATCTTGACTTTAAGATATTAAACAAAATGCAATTTAGTCCATCAATTATTCAAAGAAGAAGAGAAGGCCCTTTGTAATGCTAATATGAGGAATTTAAAATGGAGATATACAGAAGTAGCTGAGAAAATATAGAAGACGAAAGGAGAAAATATCCACTTACTGCAAGCGAATGAATTTACCTTTCTTAGTCTATGACAGATCAAACTGGACAAAATTTAAGGCTATGATGAAATAAATAACATAATTTTAAAAGTTCCTTTGATTGGTATGTACCAAACTTTGATCCCTGAAAAATAAGAATAATGGATTTTTTTAAGTGTCCTTGTTGCATTTATGAAAATTAACCATTTAAAAGCTCATGAAGCAACCTCAAGAAATTCCATAAAATGTAAATAGTATAGAAAATTTATCTGATTGAAATGTGGTAAAAATAGAAAATATAACAAAACCAGAAAATAAAAAGGTACTTCTGTCTGGAAATTAAAAGAAACAAACAAAGCAATAACTTTTAAACTTCTCTAGAATTAATATACAATGCAACCTGGAATTGTAGAATTCCTAGAAAACAATAAAAACATTACATTGAATAACTATGGAATTCACTGAAGGAGTGCTAAAAAGAAATGCACAGACTTAAATAGTTATATAACAATAAAGAAAATTTAAATAAAGTTATGAAGCATCCGAATCTAGAGATTATAAAATAACCCCAAAATGCATTCAAATACAGAAAAAATGTAAAATAAATATGAAAGCTGTTTGTTTTGAGAAAAAATGGGATTAATCACTATTTAATCCACTGATAAAAAACAAAATGCACTAAAAACAAGTGACAATAGGTAAAAGCTCAGAGAAACAGAGGAAAATTTAAAAACTCATTAGATACCACTTAACTCAGATCACTCCATAATAGTATAGAGAGATAATCCTCAATACAAACAGCTACTCTTTACTCCATTGTGTAGGTAGACATATTTTATTCAACTGGCCTCCTATTGACAGTAGTTTAGGCTTTCCAGCTTTTTGCTATTATAAATAGTGCTGCAATGAATTGTTTTGTGCATATGTCTTTTTATGTTTTTGCTAATAAATATCTGGTCTAGGTCTCTAGAATTAGAATGACATGTTCAAAAGGTAAAATGCACATGCAATTTTGCTAGATATTACTAAGTTCGCCTCTAATTTTTTTTGTTTTCATGAGAAGTATATGAAAATGACACCTACATCTTTTTTGAAGAAAGAAACTATACCAACTGACTCTAAATCTAATGTAAGAAAATAAACAAGAATAAATAGAAAAACTTTGTAAAAGAAGAGCAATGAGGATAGAATAAGACATATAAGATTTAAAACATATTATAAAGACTTACTAATTAAATTAATGTGATAGAGATCCATGAAATAGAATAGAAAGTGCAGAAATAAGTTATAATACTTAAGGAAATTTAGCATATGGGTAAGATTGTTTTCATTAGGGAAGAAGAAGGGTTAATCAATAGAGATAGCTGGACAAATAATAACTATCTGGTAAAAATAATGATGGATTTATATCTCACAACGTCTACTAGGATGACATCCAAATGTCTTAAGAGACTACATGTAAAAATTTGAAATCATATGTACTCAAAATAAAAGAATTTGCTAAAAATATTTGGAGTGGAAAATTTTAATTGAAAATGCAGATGGCATAAAAGAGGTTTGAAAATTTAATTATCTAAAAAACACGTGAATTGCCTTTCAAAAAATAACATAAGCAGAGTCAAAATATAAAAGATTAATTTGGAAACAGTATTTTCAGCTCTTCTATGCTGAAAACACCTGGAGAAAGACCAACCATCAGGTCTAATTTTCCACTGGAATGTGTTGCTCTGGACATGCCAGGTGTTTACATCTGGCACTTCTTCTAATTGGGCTGGCATCTTTTGCCACTGGCTGGGAATCGTGCCAAATAGATTGTTAAAATTTTTGAATGTCAAACTTTCTAATAACTCAGCAGAGAAAAGGACAAATAATATGAACAGACAGTTCACAGAAAATAATGCAAAGTGGATATTTAACATACGGGAAAATTCTCAACCTTATTAAAAAAGCTTGTTGAATGCCTATTTTTAATCTATCACGTGAGCAAAAAATGGAAAAAATCTGAGATATTTTGAGCTGGGCTCTGGGAACATGGGTTCTCTCATCCATTTCTGGTGAGGGTGTAACTTGGTTCGATCTCTGTGGATGGCAATTTGCTAATTCTTGTCAAAATTACAAAGACAAATAGAATTTGACAAACTCATTGACTTCTGGGACTTTATTGCTGTAATATACTTGCACATCCAAATGTGATTCTTAAACAAGGTTATTAATTGGATAATTATTTGTAGTTGGAAAAGCTTAGGGACAACCTAAATGTCCTCTAAAAGGGTACTAGTTATGAAATATAAGTTTTCAATACAATGCAATGATGTCCAACTGTAAAATACAACAAATTTCTGTAATATTATGGAAAGATTATTCAAATACTTTGTTAAATAAAAAGTGTAAGTCACAGGACAGTGTGCATGGCATGCTGACCTGGTGTATAAATGGTAGACAAATATAGAAAATAATGTATGCTTTTTTATTTTATATGCTTGAAGGAAATTTGGAAAGATACACAATAAAGTGGTTACCTGGTGAGGATGGTTGGGGGAGGTGTGCTGAACAAACAGAGCAGAGTAGTGGCAGGAATTCCTTCCCATTCATAACTTTTCTTTACATTTTTAATTTTTAGAAACGTGAAATGCACTAGCTATTTAATTATTAAGTGAAAAAATAAGAAGAATATAGAATAAAACTATAACTATTGAAGAAGTAGAAAAATATATCTCACTGCAGAGATTGCAATCTATTTTGCTTGCTCTTAAGATTAGCCCTGGCTTTCATCTAAATTTTTCCAGGGAGTGAGATTACTCTTTTCCCTCTGGTCACAGGAGAATCTCTCCTTTGTACAAACCATAGAGCTATTATCTACTAGTAAAAGGCATTTTCTTATCCTCATGCTAATCTCTCCCTATGAATATTTTGATATTTATAACCACTCTGGACATGTTCTTCCACCTCAACTAACTGCAGGAACTGGGTATCAAAATTTGGTTGTGTTCCATTCACTTGTTATGTCATAATTTCAGGCTCCTCTTCCTACAGCTTGCTTTATTGGATTTCATCATTGTCGATCACGTTTGCTTCCTGACCACTCTCTCTGGCTCTTGACCTAGAGTTCTTTCTTTCTTCACCAGTCCCTTGGAATTAATGATCACGTTTTTTCTGGACACCTGGGATTCTTAATCTTGATCATTGATCATCGAAGCATTCATTGGGATGCTTGATCATTCGAGCTTATCTTTAATGGGAAGACCCACTTTTTGTTTGTTTGTTTGTTTTTGTTTTTGTTTTGAAGACAGTGTCTCCCTCTGTTGCCCGAGCTGGAGTGTAGTGATCTGATCACGGCTCACTGCAGAGTTGACCTTTCAGGCACAAGTGATCCTCCCAGTTCAGCCTTTTGATTAGCTGGAACTACAGGCACAGGCCACCATCCCTAGCTAATTTTTTAGCCAGGCAGAGACAGGGAGAGAGGGTTTTGCCATATTGCCCAAGCTGGTCTTGAACCCCTGGGCTCAAGTAATCCACCCACCGTGGCTTCTCAAAGTGCTGGGATTACAGGCATGAGCCACTGCACCCTGTTTCATGCGCGTCCGTGTGAAGAGACCACCAAACAGGCTTTGTGTGAGCAACATGGCTGTTTATTTCACCTGGGTGCAGGCGGGCTGAGTCCGAAAAGAGAGTCAGCGAAGGGAGATAAGGGTGGGGCCGTTTTATAGGATTTGGGTAGGTAAAGGAAAATTACAGTCAAAGGGGGTTTGTTCTCTGGCGGGCAGGAGTAGGGGTCGCAAGGTGCTCGGTGGGGGTGTTTTCTGAGCCAGGATGAGCTAGGAAAAGGACTTTCACAAGGTAATGTCATCACTTAAGGCAAGAACCGGCCATTTACACTTCTTTTATGGTGGAATGTCATCAGTTAAGGTGGGGCAGGGCATATTCACTTCTTTTCTGATTCTTCAGTTACTTCAGGCCATCTGGGCGTATACGTGCAAGTCACAGGGGATGCGATGGCTTGGCTTGGGCTCAGAGGCCTGACATTCCTGCCTTCTTATACTAATAAGAAAAATAAAACAAAATAGTGTTGAAGTGTTGGGGCGGCGAAAATTTTTAGGGGGTGGTATGGAGAGAGAATGGGCAATGTTTCTCAGAGCTGCTTCAAGCGGGATTAGGGGCGGCGTGGGAACCTAGAGTTGGAGAGATTAAGCTGAAGGGAGGTCTTGTGGTACGGGGTGATATTGTGGGGATGTTAGGAGAAACATTTGTCATATAGAATGATTGGTGATGGCCTGGATATGGTTTTGTATGAATTGAAAAACTAAATGGAATAACAGAAGGAGAAAAACAGGTATAAAAGATCTAAGAATTGGGACAACTCAGGATATCTGATTAGAGAGTGCTTAAGGAGATTCGGCATAGTCCTGCCAGCAAAGATTATTTATTTACTTCAAGAGTTTAGAGTGGCAGTTTGGGGATAGCACCAGGAGATATCAGCTGTGATGGCTTGGAAAAACAGTGTAAACCGGCAGTGTAAACAAGAGCAGGGCATGTATGAGTAGTTGAGAATGGTGAACAGGAGTATGACTGGACAGAAAATAGTAGGGATGACAAGTTTTTTTTTTTTTCGGGGGGGCACAGTCTAAGTTGGTCTGGTGTCTGGAATGGGACTGGGGCCTAATAGAAAGGAGCGTCTATACAGGAGCTTAAATGGGCTGTACCCTGTAGCATTCCGAGGACAGGCCTGAATTCTGAGAAGCGAAAGTGGTAAAAGTATTGTCCAGTCCTTTTTAAGTTGGTGGCTGAGCTTGGTGAGGTGTGTTTTTAAAAGACCTTTAGTCCATTCTACTTTTCTTGAAGACGGAGGACCATAAGGGATATAAAGGTTTCACTGAATACTAAGAGCCTGAAAAACTGCTTGGCTGATTTGACTAATAAAGGCTCATCTGTTATCAGACTGTATTGAGGTGGGAAGGCTAAACTGAGGAATTATGTCTGACAGAAGGGAAGAAATGACTGCGGTGGCCTTCTCAGACCCTGTAGGAAAGGCCTTTACTTATTCAGTGAGTGTCTACTTAGACTAAGAGGTATTTTAGTTTCCTGACTCGGGCATGTTGAGTAAAGCTAATTTGCCAGTCCTGGGTGGGGGCAAATCCTCGAGCTTGATGTGTAGGGAAGGGAGGGGGCCTGAATAATCCCTGAGGAGTAGTAGGATAGCAGATGGAACACTGAGAAGTTATTTCCTTGAGGATAGGATAGATTTCCACGATAGAAAGGAAATGAGAGGTTCTAAGAGGTGGGCTAGTGGCTTGTACTATAGCATAGCCTGCCTTTGCTGGTGTGTGACGATTAGGCCTGGTGGAACCACCATCAATAAATCAAGAGTGATCAGGGTGAGGAACAGGAAAGAAGGAAATTTGGGGAAATGGGGTGAATGTTGGGTGGATCAGAGAGATACAGTCATGGGGGTCAGGTGTGGTATCAGGAATAATGTGGGAGGCCGGATTGAAGTCTGGGCCAGGGACAACGGTAATTGTGGGAGACTCAACAAAGAGTGAGTACAGCTGAAGGAGCCGGGAAGCAGAAAGTGTATGCGTCAGGTATGAGGAAGAAAATAGATTTTGGAAGTTGTGAGAACTGTAGAGAGTGAGTTGAGCATAGTTTGTGATTTTGAGGGCCTCTAAAAGTATTAAAGCAGTGGCAGCCGCTGCATGCAGACATGAGGGCTAGGCTAAAACAGTAAGGTCAAGTTGTTTGGACAAAAAGGCTACAGGACGCGATCCTGGTCCTTGTGTAAGAATTCCGACTGCACAGTCCTGCACTTCGGCTGTGTGTAATGAAAAGGGTTGGGATGAGTCAGGGAGAGCTAGAGTGGGAGCAGTTTCTAAAGCTGTCTTCAAGGAACGGAAAGAGGAGTGGGGAAAGGATTTAGGATCTATGGGGTCAGCTAGGTTTCCTTTTGTGAGTTTATATAATGGTTTTGTTAGGATGGCAAAACCAGGTATCCAAAGGCGAAAGTATCTAACCATGCCCAGGAAGGAAAGGAGTTGTTGTTTTGTAGAAGGGGTTGGGGTTTGAGAGATTAGTTGGACACGATCGGCAGGGAGAGCACGTGTGTTTTTATGAGAATTATGCTGCGATAGGTAACAGATGAGGAAGAAATTTGGGCTTGATTGAAGTAATGGGGGCTGTCTGTGAAGCTTTGCGGCAGTACAGCCTAGGTAATTTGCTGAGCTTGATGGGTGTCAGGGTCAGTCCAAGTGAAAGCGAAGAGAGGCTGGGATGACGGGTGCAAAGGAATAGTAAAGAAAGCATGTTTGAGATCTAGAACAGAATAATGGGTTGTAGAGGCAGGTATTGAGGATAGGAGAGTATATGGGCTTGGCACCATGGGGTGGATAGGCAAAACAATTTGGTTGATAAGGCGCAGATCCTGAACTAACTTGTAAGGCTTGTCTGGTTTTCGGACAGGTAAAATGGGGGAATTGTAAGGAGAGTTTATAGGCTTTAAAAGGCCATGCTGTAGCAGGCGAGTGATAACGCTTAAATCTTTTTAAAGCGTGCTGTGGGATGCAATATTGGTGTTTAGTGGGGTAAGGGTGATTAGGTTTTAATGAGATGGTAAGGGGTGCATGATTGGTTGCCAAGGAGGGAGTAGAGGTATCTTA
This sequence comes from Homo sapiens, assembly GCF_000001405.40. Lineage (NCBI taxonomy): Eukaryota > Metazoa > Chordata > Mammalia > Primates > Hominidae > Homo > Homo sapiens. The sequence goes on along the minus strand of NC_000006.12, from coordinate 142,018,706 downwards.
TACTTGTGGGTTAAGGTGGGGGGGATACAAGAGGAGGACGCAAAGGAGGCTTTGGATTGGGAAGAAGGGCAGCAATGGGATATAGCTGTAGTCCAGGAATAGTCAGGGAAGCAGATAATTTAGTTACAGTGTCTCACCCTAATAAGGGAGCTGCGCAGTTGGGGATAACTAAAAAGGAGTGCTTAAAAGAGTATTGTCTAATTTGGCACCAGAGTTGGGGAGTTTTAGGAGGTTTAGAAGCCTGGCCGTCAATACCTACAATAGTTATGGAGGCAAGGGAAACAGGCCCTTGAAAAGAAGGTAACGTGGAGTGGGTAGCCTCCGTATTGATTAAGAAGGGGACGGGCTTACCTTCCACTGTGAGAGTTACCCGAAGCTCGGTGTCCGTGATGGTCTGGGGGGTTCCGAGGCGATCGGACAGTGTCAGTCTTCAGCCGCTAAGCCAAGAAGATCTGGGAAGGAGTCAGTCAGAGAGCCTTGGGCCAGAGTTCCAGGGGCTCTGGGAGTGGCTGCCAGATGAGTTGAACAGTCCGATTTTCAGTGGGGTCCCACACAGATGGGATGCGGCTTAGGAGGAATCCCGGGCTGCGGGCATTCCTTGGCCCAGTGGCCAGATTTCCGGCACATGTAGCAAGCTCCTGTGGGAGGAGGTTCTGGAGGAACGCCTGGCTGCTGCAGTTCAGGCTTTTGGAACTTCTTGTGTGCTGGAGATGTGGCTGGGGTTTGTCTCACAGTGGAGGCAAGGAATTGCAACTTTTTTCTATTATTGTACACCTTGAAGGCGAGGTTAATTAAATCCTGTTGTGGGGTTTGAGGGCTGGAATTTAATTTTTGGAGTTTTATTTAATGTCGGGAGCAGATTGGGTAATAAAATATATTTTGAGAATAAGATGGCCTTTTGACCTTTTAGGGTCTAGGGCTGTGAAATGTCTCAGGGTTGTTGCCAAACAAGTCATGAACTGGGCTGGATTTTTATATTTGATGAAAAAGACCCTAAACGCTATCTGATTTGGGATAAAGAAAAAGGAGCATTAACCTTGACTATGCCTTTAGCTCTAGCCACTTTTTTAAGAGTAAATTGCTGGGCAGGAGGGGGAGGGCTAGTCACGGAAGGAAACTGTAAGCCGGACCAGGTGTGAGGAGGGGAGGTGATAAAAAGGATGGAGGAGCAGAGGCTGAGGAAGAATTGGGACCTAGCTCAGCCTGGCGAGGAGCAGCCTGGGGAGGAAGGGAGGGGTCAGATGGGTCTGTAGAAAAGGAAGATTAGAAAGACTCAGCGACGCTTGGGGTTGGTATTGAGGGGACAGGTGGGTGGGAAAGAAGGAAGATTTGGGATGAGTTGCACTGGGCACAGAGACTAGGAAGGGACTGATGTATAAAAGGATGCCTGGACGTCGGGCACCTCAGACCGTTTGCCTATTTTATGACAAGAATTATTTAGATTTTGCAGGATGGAAAAATTCAAAGTGCCATTTTCTGGCTATTTGGAACTACTGTCAAGTTTGTATTGGGGTCAAGCGGCATTGCAGAAGAAAATAAGGCATTTAGGTTTTAGGTCAGGTGTGAGTTGAAGAGGTTTTAAGTTTTTGAGAACACAGGCCAAGGGAGTAGAAGGAGGAATGGAGGGTGGAAGGTTGCCCATAGTGAAGGAAGGAAGCCTAGAGAAAAGAGGGAGTAGAGAAACGGAGGGAAGGGGTTCGGGGGTTCTCACCTTCCAGAAAAGTGGGAAAGGGTTGGGGTGCAGAGATAAGAGGTTGGGGTGCGGAAATAAGGGATTGGGGCACAGAGATAAGAGGTTGGGGCATGGAAATAAGGGATTGGGGTGCAGAGATAAGAGGTTGGGGTGTGGAAATAAGGGATTGGGGCACAGAGATAAGAGGTTGGGGCTTGGAAATAAGGGATTGGGGCACAGAGATAAGAGGTTGGGGCTTGGAAATAAGGGATTGGGGCACAGAGATAAGAGGTTGGGGCGTGGAAATAAGGGATTGGGGGTTCTTGCCCTGTAGAAAAGTGGGACTTGCCGCTAAGGGTGAAGGAGAAGGGGTTGAGGGGTACTTGCCCCTCTCCCAGAAAAGCAGAGAAGGGGTAGAGACAAGGAGAGAAGGGGTTGAGGTACTTGCCCCTTCCCCAGAAAAGCGGGACTTGCCGCTAAGGGTGAAGGACCAAGGCAGGCGTCTCTGCATGGTCTGACACCCTTGAAACGTGGGTGTATAATCAGAGAGGCGTCCCTGCAATGATTAAACACCAAGGGAAGGCTGCCTTCCCAGTCCATGACCGGCGCCGGAGTTTTGGGTCCATGGATAAAACGTGTCTCCTTTGTCTCTCCCAGAAAATGAAAGGAATTGAAATTAAGAGAAGGGAGAGATTGAAGAGTGGAAAGGAGAAAGTGGTTGAGGGACAGTGAGAGAGGTGGGAGAAGAGAGTAAGAAGAGGCCGCTTACCTGATTTAAAATTGGTGAGATGTTCCTTGGGCTGGTCGATCTGAGGACCTGAGGTCATAGGTGGATCTTTCTCATGGAGCAAAGAACAGGAGTACAGGGGATTGATCTCCCAAGGGAGGTCCCCCGATCCGAGTCATGGCACCAAATTTCATGTGCGTCCGTGTGAAGAGACCACCAAACAGGCTTTGTGTGAGCAACATGGCTGTTTATTTCACCTGGGTGCAGGCAGGCTGAGTCCGAAAAGAGAGTCAGCGAAGGGAGATAAGGGTGGGGCCGTTTTATAGGATTTAGGTAGGTAAAGGAAAATTACAGTCAAAGGGGGTTTGTTCTCTGGCGGGCAGGAGTGGGGGTCGCAAGGTGCTCAGTGGGGGTGCTTTTTGAGCCAGGATGAGCTAGGAAAAGGACTTTCACAAGGTAATGTCATCACTTAAGGCAAGGACCGGCCATTTACACTTCTTTTGTGGTGGAATGTCATCAGTTAAGGTGGGGCAGGGCATGTTCACTTCTTTTGTGATTCTTCAGTTACATCAGGCCATCTGGGGATATACGTGCAAGTCACAGGGGATGCTGGTGGCTTGGCTTGGGCTCAGAGGCCTGACACCCTGCCCCACTTCTTATTTGATGAAAATAAGGTTGCATATCATATCTGCAGGTAAGAAGTGCTGTACAACCACTCAGTTGAAAACCCAGTCTATATCTTCACCTTTATGTAAGTTGGTTGATTTAATACATATTCAGTATTTCATTTTAAATTGATGGGCTAGCACATTTTTTTATCATCATAATCCTGAAAGTAATCAGGATAGATAAAAAGAATAAATACTGTGGTAGTGCACTTTTCCCCACATATTTATTTTATCTCAAAGGAAGAGGAAGAAAATAATTTCTTTTCTTCCTACTGTAACGCCAAAGGTTCTTGCCTTAGCCACGCCAAAGAATTGGTGTGGCAGCTGCCTGCGGTGAGTGATGGAGACACAGACCAAGAGAAAAAAAGCTGTAGGCTTTATTGAACAGAGTGACAGTACAAAGCTTCCACAGCATGGAAGGGGTCCCCAGCAGGTAGCAAGGGTTAGATTATGCAGTTTCCTTTTAAACTCTTTAAGGTGGGAAATACCTGCAGGGGGAAGATGTTACCAGAGCGAGAAACAAAGACAATTAACCATTTGTGACTCGTTTTAGATCTTGAGGAAAACAGGAATTGCAACTTAGGTTTTATCTACTTTATGACCTTAACAGCAGCATGGCAAAGGAGACAGGATCTTACAGGACTTTACAAAGGATGTTTACAAGGAATTGGAATTAGGAGCATAGATAAGGTCCACTGGTCACAGAAAAATGGGCTTTTAACATTCCTTTTAGTTTTCGGGGAGAAGGAAGGGAGAGAGGGAGAGAGGACACAGGGAAGCTTACAGCAAAATTTTCGCTCTTTGTAGCTCTCTTGGGGAAGAAAACACATGCACAAATCCTGGTGTTAGGAATATTTTAAGCACATATCTTCGATATTATTCATCCAGGACCGAAGTAAGTCCTGATGCAGGAAATGAATGAGTTTCACAGATTTCTGAGCCCTTACTCGACCCAGGAAGCCCAGCTGGCCCCTCCTTTCACTACCACACGCAATTTTCCCAGCTGAGTGTCCTATTATTCCCTGAGGGGATGGACAAACATTTGGACAAGGAAGACCTTGATATTTTCCTATATTGTCATTTCTTTGGGAAAATTTTTTATGAATTTTAAATTATATCCTCTTTCTTTCATAGTTTCCTATACTTTTGTAATCAGAGTTTAAAATTAAATACCATGGGACTTTATAATGCACATCAATCATCTTTTTAAGACATTTTAAAAGACATTTATCTAACTTCTGTGCAGTCGTGGCCCATATCTGTTGGTTAACTTCTGTATCCCAGTGGCAGGCGTGTGCCCAGGCACAAAGCACAAGCATGAATGAACACACAAATGAATGCATGAGTGAATGGTCTCTGAGAATCTGTCTGGGAGGGACTGTGGATAATGATGTGGAGGTAAGAAAAAAAAGTCCTTCCCTTCTTTTAAAGTTCCAATGCCTGATCAGACTCAGGAAGCCCAATGTGAATCTTAAAACTTAGTTGAGTTTCCAGCAGAAGTGTTGTTTTGAAAATCTTGTTTAGTTGTATTCCCACCCTCGGAAGGTGTCATAGTCACAGTGGTGAGCATGAACTAACTGCAATGTGAAGGGATCCAAGACAAAACTGGAGTAACCTGTAAATAATATTTTGGTGGCAGGGTAGGCATGTCATCACATGGTCCTCAAAACCGACAGCCCTTATACTTGAGCAAGCATCAACATCTTCTGGAGGACATGTTGAACACAGATTTCAGGGTTAGGATTAAGTTTTTTTGGAGACAAGACCTGAGGATTTGCATACCACTTTCTGGGAATTATTGGTGGAAAATTTAATAACTGCTTCCTCTGTCATTTTCTGCATGTTCTCCCTTCTACCATTTCCTTTAGAATCTTGATTCCTGGCATATATATATATGTATATATATATATATCTTGCATTTGTGTGTGTGCTTGTATATATATATATATATATATATATATACAAGCACACACACATATATAGTAGTCTGGGATTCTAAAATACTCAGCTCTTTATATAAAAGAGTCCAGGAAGTAAGAAAATTTCAATAAGCCAGTTGAGTCATCTGCACAAATAGAATTATAGTTCTGAGTCATTATTCATTGTTTTATGGTTTCCCAGAATGAGTATTCTTCAAAAGTAATCTTTAATAGGGGTGAGTAATCCATTCTTGGGGCTTGGCAAATCTGTGTGTGACTTCTGAAAGGTTAGCTTGGGGGAAGAAAGTTTCTAAATTTTCCTGTTTGTGGTATATGTTTTCACTCTACTACTACTACTGTAGTTATGTTTTTTGATTATTATTATGAAACCAATGTTTAAAGGAAAGTATAAGAAAAGAATATGAAGAGAAAGGATAGAAAGAGAGAGAGAGAGAGAAAAAGAGGGAGGCAAGGAGATAGATGAGAGAGGGTCAGAGGTAAAATAATACCTAATAATTTGAGGTATCATCAAAGGATGCAAGTAGATAATGACAAAAGAGAAAATTTAAATAAATATATGAAAATATATTTGAACTCAATAATTAATAAACGTGTTAAAGACATAATAGAATTCTAGTATTTAATGTGTTCTTTAAGAAATCAGCAACAGTTTCAACAATGATGTTTCTTCATATAGTAGAGGGCACAGCAAAATAGAAATTCACAGACATTGTTGTGGAATGCATACTATAAAGAAGGTTTGAATGATTTGTTTTAAAAAGTAAATACTACTCTCTATATTATAAAGTGCCATGTTAGAGGGTCAAGTGTTCAAAAATCTTCCTGTCGTATTTATTTTCCTTTCTATCTAGATTTTGCAGTTCATGGCTGTACCCACAAGGCCTACCCTTCTAACAGGTTAGATGAAAGAATATGGTCATGGAATGGTGAACTCAAATTATGAGCTTGGTGTTGGAAGACAGTCATTAAAGTATTCTGTTTAAACAAATGCAAGGGGCCAAGATACAAATCCGGAGCCAGATTTATATTTTTGGACACAAAGAAAAGATCACTTTTTTGTGTGGCTGCCTGTCAGAGAGAGAATTGATTGGCAAATATCAGAAACATTTTACTAATTTAAACCAAATAAGACGAAAATCCACTTGAGTCAACAAAGTATGAAACGCAATATTCTTTTCATTTTCATTTCATTCAAATCTCCTCAGTTTCCCAAGCATCAGACATGTAGCTTTCCTGATGACCTCTCTTGCCTTTAAGGAACTTCAGAAATGAGGCTTCTATACTCTATTAGTACCTGTATTGAATTAAAATTTTATGTACTCAGGTGTGATTCTGCCTTTAAAATATAAGCTCCTTAAAGGCAAAGAATGCATCCTAATCATCTTTTGTATGCACAGCTTAACTCTGTAGTTGTGACTATTCTCTTCTTTCATACTATGGTAAAATCTTTAAACTTCTTTGACCATCTGATATACTCCCACAGTTTCAACCATCAGTACTACAGAGATGATTCTTAAATCAATTTTGTTTTTGTATTTTTGTTTATTTTTGTTTAGCCCTCACTGTTTTCCTAAGTTCCAGAGATATCTCCATATATCTATTTTGAAATTTACACTTGCATATCCTGCTGCTTTCTCATCTATAACATGCCATAGTCTGAACTCCCTATCTTCCTCAGAGCCTGACAGAAATCTGCTTTGCTACCTCTGATAGCTACCATAGTCAATGACATCATCATCTTAGAAAACTTAAGGAGACTTTTGCACACATTCGTTTGAGTTTCAAGAGAGTTGAGTGATACAGATAAGCAAAGACATTTACCATCACTATTTTACCATCAACAAGATCAAATCTCAAGGAAATTAAGATGTTTGCCAACAGTCATGGTGATTATAAATGGAAGAACTGGACAGGCATGGTGTCTCATGCTTGTAATCCCAGTACTTTGGGAGGCTGAGGCAGGAGGATTATTTGAGTCCAGGAGTTTGAGACCAGCCTGGGCAACATAGGGATTCTCTGTCTCCACAAAAAATTAAATAAATTAGCTGGGCATGATGGTGGATGCCTATAGTCCCAGCTATTTGGGAGGCTGAGGCTGGTGGATCACTGGTGCCCAGGAGGTAGAGGCTGCAGTGAGCTGTAATTGTGCCACTGCACTCCAGCCTGGGTGACAGAACAATACCTAATAATGATAATAATAATTATAAAAAATAATAAATGGTAGAACTGAGACTCAAACTCAGGTTTGTCTAACTTAAAAGGAATGTGATTTTTTTTTTTATATCTCTGATTTCAGAATTGTGGACATAGGCTTGACAGGGTTTGCTTACTCATTGTTTATGAACTAAGAAATGAAAAAGAAACATTTTCTCTCTTCATTCTTCTTCATTCTCCACAACTGGTCAGTTTCCAGATGCTTTTGTTTTATATCAGCAATAGTATCTCCTTTCCACATCAGTATCTCCCTTTCCTTTCAGCTCACATTTCCTTATTTCACCTCCTTATTCCTGTTAGTATTTATTACAGTAGCTTTATATTCAGTCTCTCTTACTCTGGTATCTCCTAAGTTTCAAGTCAGGGCAGTGATTTTTCATTTTAATATCTTCAGACAGACTAACCATGAATCCATAGAGTGCTTGATAGAATTTTTGAGATAATTTTTACTATTGGAACTCAAAATGAAAATATTTTGCTAGGAATAAGAAATAATTATATAATATATGATGGGTTAAAACATGGCAATATTTATTCACCTAACCTACTTAAAGGATAAATAAACTTTTTTTCTTTCAGAATCAGGAGCAGGTGTTACAATTAAAATGTAGACAGCATATTATAAAATGTATTGGTAAAATGGACATGGTCCCAGCTATTTAACTGTGTGTTGCTTATGTAAATCCACCTGCTGTTGAAGTCAGATAAGTCTTTATTTGCATGTATATTCTAACATTTACAAAGAGACATTATTTACAACATTTTGTGTATTATATCCTGAACATATGGGTATTTATTCTTGGCCGTTATACCCGTTATACATGCATATGTGGTTTTTTTAGGCCAGGGAAGAACATTAGAGAAGGAAAGAAATTTGTCTGAGATAGTGAATTAATACTAATATGTATGAGTGTTTACTATATTCTCAAAAATGTGCTAAAAGCTTAAGGATGTTATCTCATTTGATCCTCACGATAAACTTATAAAATGGTTACTCCAATCCCCATTTTATAGATGAGGAAACAGAGGCTTAGTTAAGTTCAATATATTGTCCAAGGTAATTCAACAATTAAATGGTAGAGTAGGATCTGAAAGCCATCTGAGTAGATTGCTTTCTGGTTGCAGGTCACAGGAGGCAGCAAGCATTCCCGCAGTAGAAAGTTATATTCCACTGTGGGGACTGAGTTTCAGAGAGGTGAACCCAGTCTCTAGAAGGCTTGCTAACGTCACTCTTGCCCTCCTAAATGTGGTCTAGAAGTATATGGCAAAGATTTTCAAGCTAGATGCTAAGTCCCACCCATGGCTTTTGACACAATTCTGACTACATTCATTAGTAAGGGGTTGGGGCATACAATTAGTTACTTATCATATTAGTTTTCCATTGCTACACAATGTATTACCACAAACTTAATACCTTAAGTTTAAGTTACCTTAAGTCTGCCACTTAATAGCTGACAGTTCTGTAGGTGAGAACTTTAAGCATAATATAACCCATGTGTCAAGAACATACCAGATCAAGGTTTCAGCTGGATGTGTTTATATCTGGAGCCTAGGGTCCTATTTCAAGCGCATTCATGCTGGAGAATTCAGTTCTTGTGGTTTTAGGACTAATGCTGGCTCTCTTGCTGGTTGTCAGTCAAAGCTTATCTCAGCTGGAAGAGGCCACTTTCAATCTTTTGGCATGTTTCCCTCCACCTTTGAAGCCAGCAATAAACAGTTGCTCTTATTGAGTCCCTCTCATACTTTAAATTTCTTTGGTTAAGAAGAGCCTCCTCCCCTTTAATGGCTCACGTAAATAGATCAGACTCACTGCCTCAACTTTATTAAAGTCAGCTGATCTAGGATCTAACTACACTGCAAAATTCCTTCACAGAAGCACATAGATTTGGTTTGAATAATTAGAGGAAGGCATGTATATATCAGGAACCAAGGGTCTTAGTATCTTCTCAGAACTCTGCCTGCTATACTTGTCCAGATTCCAGTATCTGAGGTGGCCTTCTGTGTATTTATATGCCACATTTATGTGAGCCATCTTTCCTCTTAAACTCTACTTTTTTTTCACCAAAAATTGTGCCAGGTCATATGTTTTTCTTTTCTCTTCATCCGTCCAGCCTATCTGGCTGTGGCTATGACATTTTGCCCAGAGCTTTACCTTGAATGCTGTTCTGCATAGAACTAAATATTTTTTCTTATAACCTTAACTGATGCCTGGAATATAGCTTTAATCTCATCACACTGCCTAAAATCATAAACACCCATTGAGTGTTGGCTACACTGCAGGCCCTGAGGGCACAGAGATAAATCCACAAAGCAATTATTTTTAAAAAGTTTATAGTCTAGAAGAGGACATAAATGGAAAATAATAGTTAGCCTTATATTTTTAATACTATAACAGAGATATTTATATGGTCTAGTGAGTAAAAGGAAAGAGCATAACCTTCAGAGAAGTCTTGTTGAAGTGCCAGGTAAACTAATTAATTGGGGTAGCGTGTTCCACTGAGACAGAGAGAGATACAATGAATGACTCATTAATGAAACTGTAAGATATTTGGTATGGCAGACACATAGGGTTAAGGAGTACTAAAGTGAAAAATTCAACTTGAAAAGTAGGTAGGTAGGACACTCATGATGTGAAGGTTTACAATTTACCATGAAGATATAGAAGTTTTAAATACCTGCATACCAAATACTATAACAAATATCCATCATAAGGCAGGAACTACATGAGATGCAAAATAAAATTTACAGATAAACTGGAATGGTAAAATATTCAAATATATCACTCTCAGTTCAAGTCAAGTCAAGTATATAAAAAATAATAAAGATCTAGACCTGTATAATATAAACAATACAGTAGATTTCACAGATATTTTTGAAATTAACACCCTAATACGAATAGGGTACTTTCTTCTCAAGAAATGTAGAAGAGTAAACAAAGCTGATCACATCTTAGGTCTTGACTTGTTATTTCTAAACTCTTGTATTGTGACATTGTGCTCTTGATCTATATAGAAGATTTCTTCATTAATACTGTTCATTAGTGGCAATACAGTTAATCAGTCTTTTTATCTGTTTTTGTGGCAATATTTTTCTAGTGAATACTCCTAATTTACTGTTTGTTTTTCCGTGTTCTCTTCTCTGTGTTCAACTTTTTTTTCTTTAAATATCCTTGGATACGCATACAATGGTCATTTAAAAAATTTCACTTGGATTTGGTAACATGAGTTTCCCCTAGATCAGCCATTTTTAAGTGATTCACAGGACTGGAATGGGGCCGGAGCTATATGAGAGGCTAACCAGAATAATTGGAGTTTTACATCTGAATACAGAGTGTTATGTCTCTCAATGCAGCCTTTTTCCTTTTTGAGTTTCACCAGTAGAATGCTCCTTGAAGAGATGTATGTCTTCCTCCAAGATAAATATGGCATGTAGAATTGCATATACCACTTATTTTCAAGAAAGGTGCTCTGTAAACTTTTTCTGAAATCCAAAGGCTTGGAGTTTGTGCTTCTGCTTCTGGGTTTTGCCATAGAATGATTTGCGGAGAGGATAAGGAGAACACCTGCCTTCTATCTCACCTTTTATAACTATAAATTTAATTTTATGACTTGGATTCCTATAGCATTTCATCCACTTTTAAATATATTTATCACTATACGAGTTGTTACAGTAAAGTATCTCACTTTTTATTAAGTAATAAGCAGACTGCTTTTTTCTCTTAATTGATAGAGATTATTTAAAAGTAAAAATCCTGGACATAAAATATATAATAGTACATTGAGATTTTATGCATAGTAGGCTCATAATAGCTATTTTGTGATAAATATATTTTCCCATATATGTAATTTAGAATAAAATAATAAATTTTAACAATTTTCTTTAATACTTATACATTTTGTTATTATATATTTATAGTGCCAAATATTTTTTATTGAAAGGAACTGGCATCACAACAATACATTTTTTTGTTTTATATGTGACACAAAGCATATTTTGTTAATTAGACTGGAAAATATTCATTCCACATAATAAGAAAGTGACAATAATTAGGAAAAATGTTAGTTTATATTTTAATCATCTCCAAATCAACATTGTCACATGTATTTATTTTGTCACAATCAAACTAGAAGTAACATTAACTAATTTTCACCTATCATAATTAGTTATTTCTTCTCATTTCTCAAATTCTCTCATTATTTAAAGATAAAGCAGTAGAACATATTAGTACATTTAAATCTCTCAGTAGACTGTAAATTCCACGTGAACAAAAATTATGTTTAGTTTACTTGTCTTTGTACTTATGTCAGGGTACTTCAAACAAAATGTGTACCATATAGTGACGTAATAAATATTTGTTTAATGAATTTATCATTTTTACAATTATAATTGCTTCTGGTTCTTATTTTTGCTACTTGACGGTGACTTTTTTAGGAAACGAGGAAAACTCCTGCCTTTATTTTGATGTTTCAGAAATAGAAATGTAATCTAACTAGTTGAATTTTATAGAACCTTATTTATTTTTAAAGACATTTATAACCATGACATTATTATATTTAAGTATTTCTTTCTGCTTCTTCATTAGTTCATAAGAAGAATCTGGGTCCCTTTTGTCTTTTTTTTGACAAAAAGAGAGTATTTAGAAATAAATTGGATTTGAAATGATAATACTTTAAGATATGACCAGTCAGAAATTTTGTTAAAAATTGAATATTTCAAATATATTGCTATTTATCTGAGAAATTAGAGGTGTAGAGATGTTATTAGAACTCAAACTTTCTTCAGCAAATATCCACTTATTCCAACATGTTATTCTAAGAAACTCTGATAGACAATAGATTCTCATTCTTTTTCAGAAACGTTGCTTAGGTATTCTTTGGTTTTTATTATATAGTTTATCCTTGTTACTTTTATTATGATGCCTTTTGGTGATTGTTCATAAGCCCTATTTCTCTTTCCCCTCTCAAGTATGAAATGGGCAAAGGTTGCTGTCATAACTCAAATCCTCTTCCAGGCTCTGCTTTTCTACATAACAACCTTTTGTTGGGTTCTTAAAAAAATTCCATCAGTTTTGAAGAATTCAGGCTGTTGCCTAAAATCTATATTTACTTTCTGCATTATCTCATGATTTGACCCAAATTTACTTTACTTGACATATATCATCATAATTTGTGATATGAGGTAGTCACTACTTCTTTGTTTTATTAGAAATGAAGTTGTCTATTTAATTTTGTTTTCATTATTTAAATATTGCTTTTAGTTGATTGCTGAGAGGTTAGGGTAAAATCAATTTTACTCTACCATCTTTCTCTGAAAATATGTAAGCAATCTAATATACAAACAGACTTTATTTTATTTCATCTTACACAGGTATAATGCAGAATAACAGAGAAGACCCATTGGAGATGTAAAGAGTAACTGCCATGGGTGTATGAAGATTAAATACGCACTGGTGATAAATTCCCCATGAATAAGCTATGGATGCACAGGACAGATATTTTGGTGGGATTCTTGTAGACTGCCACTTTAGATTATCCATAGATTATCTATAAGGTCCCATTTCCATGCTTTTATTCTATTATTTTATTATTTCTTTTTCGTGATGTTGTTAGACATAGGGAGTTCTAGATTAGTAAATGAGTAATTCAAAGCAGTCTAATAAGACATTTTCTCTTAAGTAATTTTCAGCAGAAAAACAGAAGAAATACACATCTTTTTTCTATGAACTGTGTAATAATGCAAAAATAAAAGTAATCACTGAAAAATGAAGGAACAAGTAGATTAAAAAATTTACAAGCTACATTGAGCTTTAAAGTGATGCGTAAATACTGTGCAGGTAGCGATTATTTATATAATAGCCTGGATCATTTTATCAGCGTTTAACCAGCTTTCTTCTTAAAATTGTAACTACTAAAATGAATTTATAGTACAAAGCAACTTGCTATAGATACATTCAAAGAAACTTTCTTGGAGTATTTAAGAGCACCAAACCAAACAAAGATAATTAATAAAAAGGTTCAGCACTCTGATCTCAGGGGGAAGGAAATGGGGCAGGATATACTTGTGCTCTTAAGCTATTCTAGGGAATTCTTTAGAATGTTCTGTGAGCATTACTCTGTGCTTCAGAATAATATGTTGCTGTACTAGCAACATCATCTTCATAAATTTGCACCTTTGGTGGCTAATCATAAGGCTTCATTTTTCTGAAAGTCATAACTCACATCAGCCTGCTGCACTGAGTGAGATAACATTATTTTCTTGTTCATGGAAATAAAATTCTACAAGTGATTTACTGATGTGCTAATTACCATTTCCAGGATGAGCTAGGGAATACTGTGGTTTCTCAAATCGTTTCTTGCCTAAAAATACATTTATATTTGCAATAAACTCTGAAGCATAAAATGGTGTTAGTCTTGTGGATTGTTGCCAAACATGGTAGGCAATATCCTCATAATTTTTATTTTTAAATTTTTTCAGTAAATTATCAACTGTGCTTGAGCAGAAAATGCCATAATTGCTGATTTATTTGTGTGTGTGAATAGTAATTTCTTCATAACATCAGTAATGGAAACATATCAGCACCCATGGAGGATTAGCAGATAAAATAATATATATAAATAACATGTATCATATATAAAACATGTATATCTTATATATAACATATATTTTCTATATCTCTCTATATAAAACATATATATCACATATAACATATATGTGGTCTTAGAATATATATTTTCTATATTTCCATATATATTCTTTTATATTCTAAGAATATATAGGTAATATATAAGTATATATTATTAGAAAGAATATATATTCTTTCTTTTATATTCTTTCTAAGAATATAAATATATATTCTTTCTAAGAATATAAATATATATTCTTTCTAAGAATATAAATATATATTCTTTCTAAGAATATAAACATATATTCTTTCTAAGAATATAAATATACTTTAAGAATATAAATATACTTTCTAAGAATATAAATATACTTTCTAAGAATATAAATATATATTCTTTCTAAGAAAATATATATATATTCTTTCTAAGAATATATATATATTCTTTCTAAGAATATAAATATATATTGTTTCTAAGAATATAAATATATATTGTTTCTAAGAATATAAATATATATTCTTTCTAAGAATATAAATACGTATTTCTTTCTAAGAATATAAATACGTATTTCTTTCTAAGAATATAAATAGTATTTCTTTCTAAGAATATAAATATGTATTTCTTTCTAAGAATATAAATATATATTGTAAGAATATATATTTCTAAGAATATAAATATATATTGTAAGAATATATATTTCTAAGAATATAAATATATATTGTAAGAATATATATTTCTAAGAATATAAATATATATTGTAAGAATATATATTTCTAAGAATATAAATATATATTGTAAGAATATATATTTCTAAGAATATAAATATATATTGTAAGAATATATATTTCTAAGAATATAAATATATATTGTAAGAATATATATTTCTAAGAATATAAATATATATTGTAAGAATATATATTTCTAAGAATATAAATATATATTGTAAGAATATATATTTCTTTCTAAGAATATATATTTCTTTCTAAGAATATATATTTCTAAGACATTCTAAGAATATATAGTCTTTATATATTCTAAATATATATTTATATGTAATATAAATATTATAAAATTATAAAATTTTTAATAATTTTATAAATATAAAATTATAAATTTTTTATTTATAAAAATGTAATTTTTTATAATGTAGTATGTAATAATTTATATGTAATATAAATAAATATATAAATTTATTTTTAATGTATATAAATATATATTGTAAGAATATATATTTCTTTCTAAGAATATATATTTCTAAGACATTCTAAGAATATATATTCTTTATATATTCTAAATATATTTATATGTAATATAAGTAAATATATAAATTTATTTGTATGTATATATACAAACAAAAATATTGCTGCTTAAAGATCTACAAAGGAAATAGTACTTCCATTGACTCAACTTTCCAAAACGTCTTTGTTTTAGTTGTGCCTTTTAGTCTTCTCACCTCCTTTGCTTGCTGCCATCTGGGCAGGCTCCAACTTTTTACTCTCAGCCATTTCTAAGGCATTTTGTTTACTTTCCTATCTCAATCTATACATACATGAGTCTAGTGTATCCTTCAAAGTTGCTTTCCCTGTCCTCGCTGAAATCTGCTGTAATTTCCCAGCTGGCTCTGATGTCTCATCGTGTGCCTTAATCAGGGCTCTGGTTATTAGATTTGAAATACCACAATCGATATGCTTGTTGATATGGTTTTGCTGTGTCTCCACCCAAATCTCATCTTGAATTGTAGCTCCCCTAATTCGTACATGTTGTAGGAGGAAAGTGGGAGATAATTGAATCATGGGGGTGGTTTCCCCCATACTGTTCTCATAGTAGTAAATAAGTCTCATGAGAGCTGATGATTTTATAAGAGGAAACCTCTTTCGCTTGGTTTTCATTCTCTCTCTTGCCTGCCGCCAATGTAAGACGTGTCTTTTACCTTCCACCGTGATTGTGAAGCCTTCCCAGCCACGTGAAACTGTGAGTCCATTAAACCTATTTTTCTTTATAAATTACCCAGTCTTGAGTATGTCTTTATCAGCAGCATGAAAACGAACTAATACACTTGTCTTATGTCTTTGTTGGATTGTGGGCTTCTTGAGAACAGGAGCTTTTGTTTCCTCATCTTTATATCTTCTCACCCTCAGCTCTCTGTTTGGCATAGGGTAAATAATAATAAATGTTTCTTGATTGAACTATTGACCGAATCTTTTTTCTTACTATGGACTCCTGAAAATCATTCTCATGCTTTTATTTCTAATTTGCTGGCTATTCTGTGATGTCTATTTCCTTCACTTTCTATCTCCTTCATATGTATTTCCATCATATTACTTTTCTATCTTTATTTTTGTCAAACAGAAGTCAACTCCATACGTGTATTTCTCATTTATTTATTTATTTATTTGATGGAGTTTCTCTCTTGTTGCCCAGGCTGGAGTGCAATGGAGCGATCTTGGCTCACTGCAACCTCCGCCACCCGGGTTCAAGCGATTCTCCTGCCTCAGCCTCTGGGATAGCTGAGATTATAGGCACCTGCCACCATGCCCAGCTAATATTTGTATTTGCTGGTCTTCTCCCATTTTTATAGCCTCGCTTGGTTTCATTATTCTCTTCCCAAGTACAGTAACCAGAGATGCACATGCACGTCCCATGCATGTGCACACACAAAAAAGGGCCAAGAGGAAGGACACCAATAAATTAATGCTTATGTCTGGGTAACAAAAATATCCATGTAAATATGGATTTATAGATTTTTAGGAACAATTACATTTCTTAAATACATTACGTTCATTCTCATCTTTGGGTATTAAATGTTCATGCTTCTTTCATTAGCAGTTTTCCACCGAATCTTTTGAACCAAATTTTACCAATTTTTCAAGGCCCAGTTCACATTGTGCATGATACATGGAGCCTTGTTCCAACACATGAATCTCCAATGATAGCTGCCTCCTCTGAATTTAAGACTTTTTGAGAGAAGGAAACCTAGGAACTGTCACCACGTCTTATGTGCTACATAGAGCAACTATTTGCTTGTATTGTACCTTGTGAGAATTAGAAAACAGTACCCTCCTTGGCAAATGCAACTAGAGCCTGTGGTTTAGTAAGTTTAACATGAACTAAATTTTAGCTTCTAGCAGCTCCCTCTACATTTGGCCAGATACCTTTGTACAGGGCACAACTGGCAATACACATTTTGTTCAGATCACATCTTACATTTTGATGTCATTTGACTTTTCCATTCCAAATAATGTGACACTTTAATGTAATTTCTGATAACAGAGGTGCACTTATATGCTTTTAAAAATAGATACAAATATTTGTGCTATTTATGGGGTACATGTGATAATTTTTTACATGCACAGACTATATAATGATGAAGTCTGGGTAACTGAGTTGTCCATGGCCTTGAGTATTTATCATTTCTATATATTGGGAACATTTTGAGTTCTCTCATCCAGTTGTTTTGAAAAATATAATACATTGTTGTTAATTATAGTCACCCTACTTTACTATCAAACATTAGAACTTACTTTCTCTGTCTAATGTATGTTTATACCTACTAACCCACCTCTGTTTATACCCCACAGTCACCTATACATCTTTCCCAGCTCCTGGTATCTATCATTCTATTATTTACTTCCATGAAATCAAACTTCTAGCTTCCGCAAATGAGTGAGAACATATGATATTCGTCTTTCCGTGCCTGGCTTATGTCACATACACAGTGATCTGCAGTTCTGCTCATGCTGCTGCAAATGACATGGTTTCATTCTTTTTAATTGCTGAGTAGTATTCCTTTGTGTATATATACCACATTTTCCTTATCCATTTGTCAGTTGATAGACACTTAGGTTGATTCCATATCTTTGCTCTATTAAATAGTGCTGCAATAAACAAGGGAGTGCAGGTATTCCTTTTATATACTGAATTTTTCCCCCTTATATTCAATAGTGGGAATGCTGGAGCATATGGCATTTCAACTTTTAGTTTTTGAGAAATCTCCATGCTATTTTCATAGTGGTTGTACTAATTTTTCATTTCTACCAACAGTAACAAGTTCCTCTTGTTATTAATTTCTAGTTTTATTTTGTCATAGTCTGAGAAGACAATATGATTTCAATTTATAAAAATTTGTTGAAATTTATTTTATGTCCTAACATATGGTCTATTTTGGAGAATGTTCTATGTGCTAAGAAGAATGTGTATACTATAGCTGTTAAATAAAATGTTCTATAAATGTAGATGTCTTTTAGGTCCCTTTGGTCTAATGTGCTGTTTGAATCTAATGTTTCTTTGTTGATTTTCTTTAAGAATTCCCATTTTTCCGCATACTTGCTAGTATCTGATTTTTTTTGTCTTTTTAGTAGTAGCCATTCTAACTATGGTAAGATGATATCTAACCGTGGTTTTGATTTGCAATTTTCTTGATAATTAGTGATTTGTTTTTTATATGTCTGGTACCTATTATATCTCTTCTTTTGAGAAATATCTATTCATGTATTTTCCTACCTTTTAATAAGATTATTTGTTTTCTTACTGTTCAGTTGTTTGAGTTCCTTGTATATTCTGGAAGAACAGTTTGCAAATATTTGCTCCCATTCATCAGGGTGCCTCTTCACTCTATTAACTGTTTTCTTTGTTTATACAGAAGCTTTCCAGTTTAATGTATTCCTTTTTGTCTATTTTTATTTTTGTTGTGTGTGCTTTTGGGATCTTAGCCATAAAATCTTTGCCTAGACCAATGTCCTGAAGTGTTTTCCCTATGTTTTCTTCTACTAGTTTTATAGCTTCAAGTCTTACATTTTAGTTTTTAATCCATTTTGATTTGATTTTTGAATATAGTGAGAAGTCGGGCTCTAGGTTCATTCTTCTGCATATGGATATCAAATTTTTTCAGCACCATTTATTAAAGAGGGTGTCCTTTCCCCAGTGTCCATTCTTGGTGACTTTATTGGTGACTTTATAACCCATCTTGGTGAAAATGGGTTAACCATAAATGCATGAATTTATAACTAGGTTTTCTACTTTGTTTCATTGTTTCATGTGTCTGTTTTTATACCATGCTGTTTTCATTACTATTTTTATATCCATACTATTATTGTTTTCATTACCACTGTTAGGATTGCTTTGGCTATTCAGTCTCTTTTTTTGATACCAAATGAATTTTAGGTTTTTTTTTTCTATTGTAGTGAACAATGACATTGCCATCTTGATGGAAATTAGATTGAATCTACAGATTTCTCTGGGCCATATGATCATTTTAATTATATTAATTATTCCAATCCACAAGCATGGGCTATCTTTCCATTTTTTGTGTCCTCTTAACTTTCTTTGCTCAGTGTTTCATAGTTTTCCTTATAGAGATCTTTCACCTCCTTGGTTAAATTTATTCCTAGCTATTTTTTATAGCTATTGTAAATGGAATTGTTTCCTTGATATGTTTCTCAGCTAGTTCATTATTGGGGTACAGAAACATTACTGATTTTTATCATTGATTTTTGCATGTTGATTTTATATCCTGAAACTTTACTGAAATTATTTATTAGATCTAAGAATGTTTTGTTGGAGTCTTTAGTTTTTCTAGATGTAACATTCTAGATCTGTAAAGTCAAACAATTTGACTTCCCTCTTGGATGCCTTCTATTTCTTTTTCTTGCCTAATTGCTCTGGCTAGGACTTCCAGTTCTCTGTTGAATAGGAGTCATGAAAGTAGACATTCTTGTCTTGTTCCAGTTCTTAAAGGAAGGGCTTTCAGTTTTACCATTCAGTATCATGTTAACTGTGGGTTTGGCATATATGGTCTTTATCGTATTGAGGTATTTTTCCTTCAACACTCTTGTGGAGAGTTTTTATTATAAAGAACTGTTGAATTTTATCAAATGCTTTTTTTGTGTCACCTGGCATGATCATATGCTTTTTTCCCATTAGTCTGTTAACATAATCTGTCACATTTATTGATTTGTCTATTTTCAGCCATCCTTACATTCCTTGGATAAATTCTACTTAATCATGGTGCATTATTTTTTTTTACGTGATGTTGAATTTGGTTTGCTAGTATGTTGTTGACAATTTTTGCATCTGTGTTCATCAGGCATATTGGCCTTTAGTTTTCTTTTTTGTTGCATACTTGTCTGACTTTGGTATCAGGGTAATGCTGGCCTTGTAGAATGAGTTAGGGGAAATTTCCTTCTCTTCAATTGTTTGGAATAGTTTGAGGAAAATTGGTGTGTGTTCTTCTTTGAAAGCTTGGTAGAATTCAGCAGTGAAGGCATCTGGTCCTGGTCTTTTCTTTTTGGGGAGACATTTTGTTATTAATTCAATCTCATTATTCATTATTGGTCTGTTCAGGCTTTCTAGTTCTTTCTGATTCAATCTTAGTAGGTTGTATGTGTCCAGGAAATTATCCATTTTCTCTAAGTTTTCCAGTTTGTTAGCATATAGTTGATCATAATAGTCTGTGATGATCTTTGGTATTTCTGTGATATCAGTTTTAATGTTTCCTTTTTCATTTCTGACTTTGGTTTTTATGTTTTGAGTCTTTTCTCATTTTTTTTTCTGGGTTATTCTAGCTAGAGGTTTGTTGACTGTGTTTGTTTTTTTCAAAAAAAGCTTTTCATTTTATTGATCTTTTGAATTAGTTTTTAAATCTTGATTTTGTTTAGTTCTGCTCTGATTATCATTATTTCTTTCCATCAGCTTATTTTGGGTTTGGTTTCTTGATGTTCTTCTAGCTCCTTAAGGTGCCACCATCACTGGATTATTTGTTTAGAAGCTTTCTTCTTTTTTGATGTAGGCATTTATTGCTATGAATTTCCCTTATAGCACTGCTTTTGCTGTATCCCATTGGGCTTGGTATGCTGGGTTTCAAGGTATTTTTTATTTTCATTTGTTTTAAGAATATTTTTTATTACCTCCTTAACTTCCTCCTTGACCCAGTGGTCATTCAGGAGCATGTTGTTTAATTTTAAGTGTCCGAGGTTCTTCTTGTTATTAATTTCTAGTTTTAATTTGTTGTGGTCTGAGAAGACACTTAATATGATTTCAATATATAAAAATGTGTTAAAATTTATTTATGTCCTAACATATGGTCGGTTCTGGAGAATGTTCCACGTGCTGATAAGAAGAATGTGTATACTAAAGCTGTTAAATAAAATGTTCTATAAGTGTAAATGTCTTTTAGGTCCTTTGGTCTAATGTGCAGTTTGAATCTAATGTTTCTTTGTTGATTTTCTGTCTAGATGATCTGTCTAATGCTGAAAGTGGAGTGGTAAAGTTCCAACCCAACTATTATTGTATTGGAGTCTATCTCTCCCTTTAGATCTAATAAGATTTGATTTGTATATCTGAGTTCTCTGGTGTTAGGTGTGTATATTTAAAAAATAGTCATATTATCTTGCTGAATTGACTCCTTTATCATTATATAATTACCTTTGTTTTCTACTATTTTTGACTTAAAGTCTGTTTTATATGATATAAGTATAGCTGCTCCTGTTTGCTTTTGGCTTTTGTTTGCATAGAATATTTTGTTTCGTCCCTTTACTTTCAGTCTATATCAAGCTTGTCCAATCCACAGTCTGTGGGCTGCATGCAGCCCAGGATGGCTTTGAATGTGGCCCAACACAAATTTGTAAACTTTCTTAAAACATTATGAGATTTTTTTTTTTAAAGCTCATTAGCTGTCATTAGTGTTAGTGTATTTCATGTGTGGTCCAAGACAATTCTTCTTCTTCCAATGTGGCTTGGGAAAGCCAAAAGATTGGACATCCCTGCTCTATATGTATCTTTATAGCTGAGATTAGTTTCTTGAAGGCAGCATACAGTTGGGTTATGTATTTTTATTCCATTTAACTAGCCTGTATCTTTTAAGTGGAAATTTTAATTCATTTACATTTAAGGTTATAATTGATATCTGAAGACTTATTCCTGTCATTTTATTAATTTATTTCTGGTTGTTTGTATATCCTTTGTTCCTTTCTTCTCTCATTGTTTATCATTATGGCTTGGTGGTTTTCTGTAGTGGTAACATATGAATCCTTTCTCTTCTTTATTCATGTGTTTGCATTACCAGTGGGTTTTAAACGTTCATGTGTTTTCATGATAATAGATATAATCTTTTCACTTTCAGATGTAAGACTTCTTAAAGCATTTATGGCAGGATTGATCTACTGGTGATGAATTTCCTCAGCTTTTGCTTCTCTTGGAAAGATTTTATTTCTTCTTCATTTATAAAGGATAACTTTGTTGGTTATACTGTTGTTGGGTGGCAGTTTTGGTTTTTATTTCCAGCACTTTGAATATATCATCACATTCTTTTCTGGCCTGTAAGGTTTTTGCTGAGAAACCACTATTAGTCTGATGGGGGTTCCTTATAAATGACTAGATATTTTTCTCTTGTTGTTTTTAGCATTCTCTTTGTCTTTAACATTTGATAGTTTGACTATAATGTACTATGAAAAATACCTTTTTGTAGTATATCTGTTTGGGCATCTCTAAACTTTCTGAATCTGGATGTCTAAATCTCTTGCTAGATTTGTGAAGTTTTCAGCCATTATTTTGTTAAATAGGTTTTTTAACCCCTTCATTTATCTCTACCTTCTGGGACACCAATAGTTTGGATATTTCGTTGCTTTAAGATGTCCCCTATGTCACATATACTTTATTATTCTTATTTATTTATTTTTAAGTTTATTTGTTTCTGGCTGTGTTATTCTGAAAGACCTGTCTTCAAGTTCTGATATTCTTTCTTCTGCTTGATCTAGTCTATTATTGAAACTTTTGCAAGTATTTTGTTTTTCATTCAATGACTTCTTCAGCTCCAGAATTTCTATTCGGTTCTTTTAAAAAAATAATGTCTAGCTCTTTGGTAAATTTTTCTTTCATATGCTAAATTATTTTTATTGTTTTCTTGTATTCTCTTGTATCTCACTGAGCTTCCTTAATGTCATTATTTTGAATTCTTTATTTAGGATTTTATAAATTTATTTTTTATTGAAATCTATTGCTGGAGTATTACTGTATTCCTTTGGAGGTGTCATATTACCTTGCTTTTTATGCTTTCTGTGTCTTTACATTGATATCTGCACATCTGGTATAATGGTGGCTTGTTTCAATTTTTTGGATTTGCTTTTGTATGGAAGGACTGAAGAAGTATCTATCATGCTAGGTAGGACACTTTGGCTTTGATACTGGGTGCATGCAGTAGTATACTCTCCATGTAATTCATTTTGCTGTACACAGCATCAGTGCTGTTTGTGATTTCCTCAGTAGATTAGGTTATTGCATCCTTCTCATTTTCTCTCTTATTTGTTAGTGGGGGCAGTGGAGAAGTTTTGCTGAAGACGGGGATGCCAGATGGGCCTGTCCTTGGGCTCCAGTTGTGGCAGCAGTGGGCTGAACATGACTGTTCTTGGGCTTAAGGGTGGGTACACTGGCACCAGTGTTAGAGGGTGCAGGCAGGCTTGGGCCTCCTGGAGACTTGCTCAGGTGCTGGTAGTGGCAGCAATGAGCCAAGTAGGTGGGCGGGTTCAGGCCTCTGGGCAGTGAGGGTAGCATGGGAGATGGTAGTAGCAGTGATGGGACTAACCTCTGCATCCCACGTGGTCCATACTGGTGTTGGCAGTGGCTGTGACAGGTTGCATGGGTCAGTCCCCAGGCCTACAGGTGGGTTCTTGCTGTGGTTGTGGTAGCAGGTTGGGTGGGCCTGACCTAGGACTCTGGGAGGGGTTCTCTGGTGCCAACAATGATTGCCTGGACTGGATGTTCCCCAGACCCCTCCAGAAGGCATGTTCAGGCACTGCAGAGCCAGAGTTTGGCTGGGAAGACTTTTCTTCAAGCCTACTGGTGGTGAATTCAGGCATTGGCCGTGGTATGCTTGGGTAGAACAATTCGTAGGACCAAAGTCCTACTTGGGTGGAGATGGCAGTGGCTGTGCTCCAGCCTTGTTACTGGGAAGGGAAGGGTTTCTTTCAGTGGCATCAACCATATGCAGGCAGCTGGAGAGTGAGCACTTTACAAGTGTTTTGGCCCCAGTTGTGGCAGCTTGAAGTGGCAGCTACTATGAGCAGGGACGTTTGTCCTTGGAACCCATGAAAATGTATTGCAGCTTCTCTACTGCAGACAGTGTGGCCTTTGTCAATGACTTATGCTTCAGTCATGGAGGCAGCAGCTGAAGAGTGAGCACTTTAGAAGTGTTTTGGCCCCAATTGTGGCAGCTTGAAGTGGCAGCTACTGTGAGCAGGGACGTTTGTCCTTGGAACCCGTGAAAATGTACTGCAGCTTCTCTGCTGGAGGCAGTGTGGCCTTTGTCAATGGCTTGTGCTTCAGTCATGGAGGCAGCAGTCAGCTATGGTAGTGGCTGCTGGTGGGAAATGTCAATGAGGCTCCAGAAATGTGGATATGCATGGTCTGTTGGGCACCCAGACAAGATGCAATCTGTTGGGATCTGGTCTCTCAATATGGTGCCTTGCTGTAAATGGTTAGGGCTCAGGGTGTGTGTGACACTCATTGTGAGCTTTCTCTTCAGGTCTGTCCCCAGGCACTCCCTATGTTAGTCTAGGGGCCTGAGGATCTAGGGTCTTTCCTGTGGCTAGCATGCAAGAGTCATAGTAGAAATTTGAACTACAGGAGTCACTCACTTACTCTTTCCCTACATTGTTGAGCCTTTGTAGGCTCTCAGCTGATCCTGGCCAAGCAGCCTACCTTGCTTTCCTCTTTATTTTCACTTCAAGTGTTTCCTGTCACTTTTCTGTTGAAAGTCTAGTGTTCTCTCTCAGATTATCTATTGGAAGTGTGTTTATCTACTCACTATTTTGGTTCTTCTTTGTGGAGGAGGCAACTACCAGATGCCTCTAGTCAGCCATTTTGAAGCCCCTGTGTATACTTCTTTGTGTAAGCCACAGAATCCATAGTATGCCATCAATGAATAAGTGATATTCATATTAGAACTCCTAAAGGCAATGAGATCTCATTATAACAGAATGGTCAAATTAAATTTGAGGACTTTAACAACTAGCAATAATATTTGAAATAAGTGCAAATGAAAGAGGCTTAAGCACAGGAGGCCAGTGAAATAGGTTTTTTGTTGACAATATGTTTATAGAAAGAAAAGAAGTCTTTGGAAATCCCCTAAGGAATCTTCCTAAGGAGCATAATCAGGTTTAGATAGAATAGGATAGTCCAAAAATAAAGGTAAATCAGATATTTCTTGCTTGTATGACAAGAAAAAAGAATGCTACTGTATTAGTCTGTTTTCACGCTGCTGATAAAGACATACCTGAGACTGGGAAGAAAAAGAGGTTTAATTGGACTTACAGTTTCACATGTCTTGGGAAGCCTCAGAATCATGGCAGGAGGTGAAAGGCACTTCTTATATGGTGGTGGCAAAAGAAAATGAGAAGGATGCAAAAGCGGAAACCCCTGATAAACATAACAAGAATCACCTTTGCTCTAGTTTCCAAGTTCCTTATCTCCATCTGAGACCACTTCAGCCTGGATTTCATTATCCATATCATTATCAGTATTTTTGTGAAAGCCATTCAACAAGTCTCTAGGAAGTTCCAAACTTGCCCACATTTTCCTGTCTTCTTCTGAGCCCTCCAAACTGTTCAATTCTCTGCCTGTTACCCAGTACCAAAGTTGCTTCCACATTTTGGTGTATTTTTTCAGCAACGCCCCACTCTACTGGTACCAGTTTACTGTATTAGTCTGTTTTCACGCTGCTGACAAAGACATACCCAAGACTGGGAAGAAAAAAAATGTTTAATTGGACTTACAGTTCCACATGGCTGGGGAGGCCTCAGAATTATGGTGGGAGGCGAAAGGTTCTTCTTACATGGAGGTGGCAAGAGAAAACGAGAAAGATGCAAAAGCGGAGACCCCTGATATAACCATCAGATCTCATGAGACTTATTCACTACCATAAGAACAGTATGGGGGAAACTGCCCCCATGATTCAAATTATCTCCCACCGGGTCCCTCCCACAACACATGGAAATTATGGAAGTACAATTCAAGATGAAACTTGGGTGGGGACACAGCCAAACTATATCAGCTACTGAAAAAGGAAAGTAAACATGTAAACATCGGTGGAAGAAACTAGAGTCTGGAATGTCATGTTTACATTCTGTTGAGACTTTACCTAAAGTGGAAAGCAAAAATACAGTTTTGTGAAGCCAGTACAAATATTAAGCATGTATATATTAATTTATGTCTTTGGAGAGAGGATTAGCTGAAATTGGTAGTATCCAGGAAGAATCTTCAGACTCTATCATTCTTTATTAATTTATTTGACTAGAGCAATTAAACATCAGACCTATAAGCACAAAACTTTATTTTGTATTCATCCTCTCTGAGTATGGTTATTATAAATTTATATTCCATCTTCTTAAAGCATAGTAACTCATTTTGGCTAATTCTTTAAACGATTTCTGCTAAATGACCATGTTTAGAAACCTTATCTGTTTAAAATAACACAGGCTATCAAAATATGACTTTAGAAAACATGCCTTATAGCTTATCCTAGCATAAGTGAAACTTTTGAGAGCAACACACCATATAGAACTGATTTGTCAGCAAAAAGAAAGGAGAGGATATCTCAGAAATAAGTAGAATTTTAGATTTCCAAACAGATTATGAAATGGTGTCATTATTAAGAAATATATAATTGCAAATGTAAGAAGAATCGATAAAGTAATTGAAGAATGAGTGCCTATTAGCTGGTAAATTGGATTGAGGTATTCATTTAAACAAAATATGTACAGGGTATGCATGCTGAAAGTTTCCAGTGTTGTTGGAAAATATCGAAGCCCTAAATAAATGGAGTGACAGACTGTGTTAATGGATTGGAAGATTAACATCATGAAGATATCTATTCTTCCTAAATTTATTTATAGGCTTAATGTAATTCCCATCAAAATCTCCATAAGGTGTTTTTGTAGACATAAACAAAATTATTCTGAAATAATGTCAAAAGGCTTAGGTCCTGAAATTGATAAAACAATCCTGACAAAGAAGAATAAAGCTCAAGGAATCACTCTACCCAATATTATGGCTTACTATGTAGCTACCAATATGTGAAATTGGTAGAAAGAACAGAATAGAGAACACAAAATAGGCCCATACAAATATTCAACTGATTTTTGACAAAACTGCAAAAGCAATTCAATGGAGGAAGGACAGTACATTGAAAAAATAGTGCTAGAGCAATTGGATATCCATGGACAAAAAAATAAATCTTGACCTAAATGTCCTACCTTATATATAGAAATTAACTCAAAATGAATTCTAAACTGAAATGTTGTAAAATGTAAAACTATAAAACTTTTAGAAAAAACAGAGAAGAAAATATGCAAAATCTAACGCTAGGCAAAGTGTTCTTAGGCTTGACACAAAAAGCACAATCTATAAAAGGAAAAAATTGATATATAAATTTTTTTGAAAATTAGATAGAGCTGTAAAAACCTTGCCTCTTGTGATACTGATTGTTGCTCTTTTTAGACTTTATACATTTTCCAAGTCATATCGTAATACCACCTAGATTTATTTACGTGTGAAGTTATTAAAAACTGTTATTTTGCTCAATTAAAAGCTCATTTTAAAGATTTCAAAAAAAATTCAAAGCAACTCAACATGCAACAGATAAAATAATTTGCTGTTAATTGGAGGAATTAATTAACTGTTAATTGAAGAAATTTTTTAGAAACTTTATTATCTTTAGACAGATAATATTGCTAATTTTCCACTATTAATAGATGCTGTGGCTAATGATTTCTACAGTGGTGTACATAGTCAATGTGTGAAACGTGCTCAAATGTGTATTTGATTATTTTAGTTGATGTTAAGAATCTTCTAGAATTTGCATAACTCACTGTGGTTGATCTGCAACCAACCCTAGAAACTACTATTTCAAATAGATTGCATTTTTAGGAGCTGGCATATTATTCTCTGATTAATAACATTCTGCTTTCAAGCCATTTAGCATCTGATTGAAAGGTTGAGAGAATCTACAAGAAACTTGCTTATGAGTTTGAAGTCCCATGCCTTTTTTAGGAAAACTAGCTTTACATAACCACAAAGTGTAATAACTTATTACTTCATAATGTTCTTTCTGAGTCCTAAAATGGTGCTAGTATTCTGTTTCAATTTTATAGCCCTTTGAGATGGTTGATTAATCTAGAATAGTATGGAAAACATGACAGCCAAATAGTTTTAAAACAACAGAAAAAATGTTGACTGTAATATTTTTCTTATATTGTTTTCTTTTTACAAGGGAATGTTCTTAAAAGCTTCCACACTGATAATAAAAGTCTTTATAAAACTGATGCTGTTTCTCACACTCCATTAAACAGCCCCTTTTATCTTTGAATATGATGTGAAAGCAAACTATTTATACTATGTTAACTTTAGTTTTTAAATTGCTTTTTGAAAATAAACATGAAAATAAAAATAAATATGTCTGAGACCCAAGAAATGGCCAAGCAAATGTAATTCATTTTATAAGGGTCATTAAAGCCTTGCATCTCTGTTGTATTGAAATAGCTAGCATCAGTGACAATCTAGAACATTGTAGCACATTGAATAATTAAAAAATTACCGCCGTGCCCAGATTAAGAAAGAAAAATTTGGTTTTCATCAAAGGTTAATATCCATGGAAAATCTGAAAACAAAATGTCCTTTCCTTTACTCATGTAATATAAAGGTTAATTTCAGGCTTGGAAATCATGAACATGTAGTCAATAATAATCAACTCCTTAAAACATCTTGATATGCACACCTAATAGCAACTTCTTGGAGCTGTGGAACATTCTTAACTTTCAATTCTTAATATGAATATTGATGAAATAATAAGCTATAAAAGGCCAATAGAAAGAAACTTAATGCATTTTAAAGGGTCAAATATCATCTTCAGTCACAGCAACACTAAAGGTATATCTTTTTCATTCTCAAGATCATAATATTCAACGCTTACTTATGTTAGGCTAATGATATATATTTTTGTAAAGAAAATGAATCATTTTGAAATCCTTCTGAGGTTGCTGTTTTGCTTCCTATCATCAGGACTGCCTTTAGCTTGCAGATTTCCATCAGAATGAGGAGAGAGGCCAGCTATGAAAAGAATTCTGTGAAGTCCCAATCAAAAGTGAAATGGCTTACATCAGAATGAAAATCAATGTATTGCCTCTTTCATTGAGAGTCTTGCCTCTCCCACAACACACATAATGCCAGCTATGCTAAATAGCACACTTAGTGACACAGTTGACTTATATTCTGGCTCAATGTCCTTAATGAGCATCAAGCTGTTAATAAACAGTTTGCAGCCACCAGTCAGGGATCCAGACTTTGACAGCATTGCTGCAATGGCTCATTGCTGACAAATCAATTGGTATTCAAACATCCAGGAAGCAACCAGCTACAAAAGCTGCTAAAAGTGTGCCCTCTGCTGGAATGGTGGAGGAACCTCATTCTCGTTTGGTAGTTGGGTGCTTTCTGAAATCTAATACAAGAATTCCACTGACTAATAAACTTTACTTCTGGGATCTGGTGCAAAAACATTGCTTGGGTTTTATAGTCATGCTTGTAGAACACTATTGTTGGAGCTCCACACAAGAGGAAGGTGAGGCTGGGTCTGGTTGGTCCCTTTAAAGACACCAAACCATATGCTACTTATGGTAAATGCATAAAAATTATGTTCAAAGGTCTCCTACTAGCATATTTTCTGTGTGGAGAACATGTTGAAATCCTCTGAGAGGGAACATTTCATTCTCAAATAAACAACAGAATTCTTCCTGTTGGAACTTGCTAGTTCCCATTATGACCCAATGGGGTTAGAAGGTATCTAATTATATGATAATTAATGGAAACATGGGCCGCAGAATCAGATAGAATCAGATAGCAGCAAGTCATTTCCTTTTTCCATTTTCACATGTGTGTGAATTTTAATATACATATATGACCATAAAGAACTAAGGCAAGTTAAAATGTTTCAGTAAACAAGTGTCGGAAATTATACATTAAATGAAGTATAAATAAACTTGTTCAACTGTTCTGGATAATGCCTGCTTTTGGATATTTTAAAACCAAGCAAATTTCTTATAATGGCAACTAAATGGTTTTTATAGATTTATTATCAAGTACATTTTATCCATTGACTATACTTTTCTAATTGAGTTCTTACACATGAAAGTACATATTTGTAATGTTGATTATGCTATCCCGGTAATGATTCTATTAAGATAAATTAACTATTTATAAAAATGATATTGGACTCACTGAAGTCAGAAGATGTGATTTTTATGCCCTGCTTTATCAAGTCACAGGACTAAGCTGGATCTCAGGTTACTCATTTATAAATGAGGAGATTGGCATAGTTGATATTTAAGCCTCTCCATTAAGCAATATATTGTGTGTTCACCTGGTCCACCGTGCTAGGTATTTGGAATCAGAAGATAAAATTAGAAAGAAACATTATACTTTATGAATCTTTCTCAGACTCTAAAATAGTATAATATTATAATACTTGTTAATGAATCTCCATTTTACTGCATTGTGATTTCTTTATTATCCTATGAAGTTAATTAAAAGCAATGCAAAGAATTCATTACTTTTTTTTACTTTAATGAAAGTGGTACTGAATATAGAAAGTAGAGATTTAGAGGTTAGATTTGCAGCTAAGAAAACCATTAACTCATTTTCCTCTTCTCCCTCTTTATCGTTATTCAATGAGTGTGCCTCCAAAATTAGATTTGATTCAAAATCTCTTTATCTGTTGTGTGACCTTGGAGGAAATTCTTTTACTTTTCATGCTCAGTTTCCTCATCTATAAATAGGGGAGTATAATAGAGCTTGAGGAGCATCTAGGGCAGGTGAAATAAGACATTGTTTTGAAAAGCAGTTGGCTTGAAACTGTGTACTAGGCTCCTGGAAAATAGTGTTCATCAAAATTGTAATAGTCAAGTTTCCTTTTCTTCATCCCTATTGGCTCTGACCTTATTCATTTTCTTTTGCTTGATCTCCTCAGCTCTGATCTTCTGTATTTCAATCTATTTTCACATAAACATCAGAGATACGAATATTATTATATCACATATTTTCTTAAAACCTTCCATGCCTTTCATTATATGGTTGAAACCTCTGTCCCTATGCTCATTTCCAGAAACTCCCCACCCAGGCCTTATGGTCAACAGCCCTGTACTCCTTAGCAGGCTGTTTCTCAAGCATTGCTCCTCTCTATTTTGCCTTTATGTTCACGTTTCCCAATTTGTCTGCATCTTGTCTTCCCTTCTCCAAATAAGGATCAACTACTGCACAATGTAGTAAAATACAAATATTTTAGTATAATACCTTTGTATGCCACAAGATTTGTTGGAATAAATGTGTATGACTACTTTGTTTGATTTTGTTTTCTGAAGACATAAATAAAACAAAATCAAACACGGTAGTCACACACATTTACTCATAGTCAACATTCAGGGCTTGTTGTTTGGAAGTATTTGGGGAGATATTTGATAAGGAAATT
Source organism: Homo sapiens (assembly GCF_000001405.40). Lineage (NCBI taxonomy): Eukaryota > Metazoa > Chordata > Mammalia > Primates > Hominidae > Homo > Homo sapiens. The sequence goes on along the minus strand of NC_000006.12, from coordinate 141,987,362 downwards.
CAATGTGATCAATAATCTCAAAAGCTCTAAATAAGCATTCTAAAATTTTATTCTGGAAACAGCTAGAAATTATTAAATAAGGTGCATAAACTATGTTGTCATGCTAATTGAACCTCTATGAAGTATTTTACTCTTCTGTTTTGGAGCAAAGAAAGTTAAATATTTGTTTTTCAAGGCCATTCACATTGATTTGTAAGTATGCATTCGTTTAGATGTGAGATCAACAATTAATACATTTTTGGCCACAGCTCTAAAATGTGATGGGAATGTAAAATAATTTGTCTTACCTGTATTCCTCATTCTCTGGGGGAAGGTGGGGGGAGGCCAACTATTTTTCAATTAGAGTAAACATTGGAATCAATTTCTGTATTCCTTATGCATTCCAGATTTTACTGCATTGATGGTTAAATTGTTATATATTTTTTCGAATTTCTTACTGCTAAAACTTAAATTAAAAATCCATCTTGATATTGACTGGATGGTACATATTTTCCAAATGCTCAAAGCAATAGTGATGAAGGGAGTGATGCAAAACCCCAGTGGGTCAAAGGAGCAGAGAGCCGTAAGCCAGGAGAACCAAAGGCACAGCTGTAAACCTGATTGCACCTTGCTTACAACGGTCTGACCAGGCGGTCGGTCAGTAAGACATACAAGTAGAAGCCACACATTCACATGCATTCCTGGGATTCACAAGAACACTGGAGCTTTTAGAGCAGTTCCCCAAATTTCAGTGTTGCCATGACAACCTCTGTATTCATCCTGAGGTGTGCACTGGTATCACATCTTGCCAATTGATAGGATCACATGATGCCTCTGGGTAGCTATTTAAATTATCACCTTTTAAAATAGTGACAATTACAAAACTTTCACTTCACTGTGTATTAAGGTAGCAGGCAGCTCTCAGCAGAAGCAAAGTGATAATTTTTGTAATTATCTATCCACAAAGAAACATGTGACATCTCACAACCAGGAGCTACTACATTCTTAGTTGTAGGTAATAGAAAAATAAAAACCTTTCTCTTTTGATTCCTTGAATTTTGCTTTAAATGTATGTGTGACTCATAATTTCCTTGACCAAGGAATTAAGATGTGGTGTGGGGCCGGGTGCAGCGGCTCATGCCTGTAATCCCAGCACTTTGGTAGGCTTAGGTGGGAGGATCACAAGGTCAGGAGATCGAGACCATCCTGGTCAACATGGTGAAACCACATCTCTGCTAAAAATACAAAAATCAGCTGGGCGTGGTGGTGCGTGCCTGTAGTCCCAGCTACTCGGGAGGCTGAGGCAGGAGATTCGCTTGAACCCGGGAGGTGGAGGTTGTAGTGAGCCGAGATTGGGCCACTGCATTCCAGCCTGGTGACAGAGTAAGACTTTGTTGCCCTGCCCTACCCCCCACCCCCCAAAAAAAAGATGTGGTGTGGGATGGCTTATATAAGTGACCTTAGAAGAGAACAAGAAAAGGTTTTCTCATAATGGAACCTAGGAATTTAGGTTAAAGGATTAATTGGAAAGAAAGGGAAAATGCTATGGGATATTTTCTTTTTCACATTTGAATGCTGATCACTCTCATACTTTAATTATTTTTCCCTAATTCCTTCACAGAGAAATAAGGGATACTAATTTGCAGTGATGAAATGATGCTTTTACTTTTTATGATACTAGAAATTCTGCAGTCCAGACAGCAAACACATAATTTGTAATCTTTAAAGAAAAAACTCCAGATATTAGAGATGATAATATATTTATAGAGATGTAATACTTGTCGTTATATTTTAGAAGATTAGCTTATCATAGGATTAATATTTACTTCTTTTTAACAGGTACATGTTTCATTAAATTAATGGGTAAAGTGTTCCACTTTCCTAAGAAAAGAAAAATATTAGCTCTAAATAATATGTAACTATGCACAATATAATACATTAATTATTGAATAAATTATCTCAAACTAGAGAAAGTAAGGTATGACTGAAGCAAGTAATGTCTGCACATTTTAACAAATCTTATGTTGAATATAGGTAATAACACATAGTTGAAGCTATGTCGTTCCATATTATTGTCATGAAAAGGTAGATTTTGCATAATTTTAGATAATAGTATTTTCAACATTTAGTGCTTTTCAACATAATGTCTAAAACACAAGGAGTATTCAATACATATTTGCTGAAAGATTGAGTTGGGGTCTCATTTTAATATACTAGATGGTCATTAACATAGTTACCATAGAATATTACATGTCTTGAAGTAAAGAATGGAGATAGTACAGATTTAAACTATTATATATTTTCAAACTGCTGTAGAAAAAATAGTGGGAACAGATGATCCTGAAGGGAAAGTGAAGAAGCTGCTTCTGGTGCAGGTTTGGAACGGACCTTGATCCATTTGGAGAAGTGGTTTAAGAGGATTGGGATGGGGAAAAGTAAGTCAAGTGAAATTACGAAGTATAAATTATCACCAAATCTGATCGGGAGGGCCCCTGTTTAGGGAGATCTTGGGGAAAGCAAGGTATCAATTTAGGGATTAAGAACACTTGGGTCCAGCAAAGAGGGGCACTACAGCTGGTTTACTGAAGTTTATTTTACAATGAAAATAGTTAAGAGAAACTGTCAACAGCATTGAGAATGACCAGAGCATGCCAAGGAGATAGCATTTCACAGCAGTACGTTTTTCGGGGCAGTAGGTCAATTTTCCCTCTCTCCATGCAAAACTTCAAGTCAGAAGGACAATTAAAATTGTGAAGAAGAAGGCTCTAAACAGACACAATTGTAGCTTTTCTTTTCTTCAACATGAAGAAGAAATTAGGAAAAAGTGAATTTCAAAGAATCGAACTGGAAGCCTGACAGGCTACCCACTGATTCTTTTTTATGTAGGATTTGCTTTTGCTAACTAATGGTTAGGAAAATTGTAATATGTTTAAAAACATTTTTTGTTTCTTTATTCAGCTGCAGTGAACTAAAGACTCCACTCAAATGGTCTTAAACAATGAAATATATTACTTCATATGGAAATTCTAATAAAAATGCCAACAAGGTTTGATAAAGTGTTTCTAAAGTTTTAGATAAGAAATAGGTTACTAGTAGAATTCAGTCTCAAACCTAAAGGTTAATTACCTTTGGCCATATCCTCGTCCCCAGACCCCTTGGGGAAGGTGTATCATGATGTCTACACAACTTCTTATTCTTTTTTTCTTTTTATTCTCCAAATTCTTTCTTTCCCCAGATGGTTCATCTCTGTATTCCTTCTCATCCTTCCCACCTCACCCCCCTCCACCTTTTTAAAGCTTTTCTTTGGTTAAAGCCACTTTTAAAATTTAGTCATTGAGATTTCATAAGCTTTGTCTTGGGAGAACATTCCCTGGGGGAAATAGGTAAGGCTTGAATACAGAAGGACAGAAGAGAGACAGATGGAATGAACTGATTTGTACCAGAGAAGCAAAAGGCCAGCAGCAGGCTGAGAAAAAAATACCTAGAAAAACCTAGGAGGTTCCAATAACCCATGGATTCTCAAGGGGCTTATCCCTTGGAGGATATGAAATTGAGGCAGTTCTCTAGTAAAACATGCCAGGTATGAACTATCCCTAAATGTGCATGAATCCCTGCTGTGGCTGGAGAGAATTTTCTTTGTCACAACAGATTTACTTTCCTTTCCCCTTGATATTATTCAAATACTTACTGACTCTATTGACAGCCTTGTTTCTAGTTCTGATGCTCTATGATGAGTCTAACCACCCACCAGCCTCCTGAACAGGACAGTCTTGTGCATACCCTCAACCATTTATTTCCCTCTTTCACCCGCTATTGATGTTTTCTAGCACTGAAAAACATAATTTATTTGAATCATTCACAGCCTCTTAATGAGTTTATACAAGTCAAGGTGTTTTGCTTAGTAGAAAAAACACCACCTCTGTGACAATTGTCTTCAGAATTACAAGGGAATGAAAAAGTACAAATCATGCTATTTGCTGTTTAGTTTCACTTCCAATATTGCTTCTATTGGTAATAAAAGGAAATAACATATTTAACCCAACATCAAGTTTTTACTTCTTCTTATTAAAAATAGTTTTCACAGTAGGGCAAGGAGGTCTTAAGTGAGAGACGAGAATTTATTGACCAGTGTTTTATTAACAATAAAACTTGTTTTGTTTTTCAGACACATAAAGTGACTTAGAGAAAGAGAAAAAAATCCAGCCAAAGAGTAATTTTTTCTTGCTTTTGAGAGCGCTTCTGCACTTGCCTGAGATCTAATCACTTTTCCTGATAAATAAGATCATGGTGCAAGACAGAAGGAAGAAAAAGTGTAGTGTTCTTTCTGTAATCAAACCAATGGTCAGAATTTAACATGGGTGGGTACGATTAAGAATGTTACAACTAGGGAGGGGGGAAACAAATCAATAAAGAAGACAAGAATATCTTGCTTTGCCAAGTAATAGTAAAACATTTAAAGATTGTCGTGGCCTATATATTTATCACTGTATCACAATTTGACCATATTTATAGTAGAACTATTTTCCTTTTTAAAGTTCTGTTTCAATGAGTCATGGATTCATTTTCTTATTGCTTCTTTGGATTTTTTATGCTCTGTCTTTGAGATCTGAGGTCCCCCAAAGCTTTCACTTCTAGGTAGTTATTCTTTGGATTTTCTTAACTTCATCCCTCTGTCAAAATTCAGCCATGACATTTCACTCTGTCTCCTAAACATTCTCCGTGTCTCATTGTGGCCACACTCATTTTGTCTACCTTATATAATACTATCCCTTAGGATATCTTCGACAAGGAATGATATACATTAATTACTCTACCATGAAGTCATTTCATTCTTGGCAGTTGACTGTCTTATAAGGCTGGAATTTTAGGATGCCCTGAACAAATAAGTATCAGTGAGGATAAAGGAGAGTGCTGCAACCTGCAAGGTAAATCTGTGAAAGTTGTGTAGAATTAAGGAACTTGGTAACCTAAAACAAACCCCATAAACACCATAAATTTACTTGAGGTTGGGCTCTCATATGATTACAGTATTGTGTAGATGGCATTGACATTGAACAAATATTTTGTATTGAAACTGGTATAAGAAGAAATACACAAGTATACTTTACTTACATAATAAAAATATGACTTTCTGCTGAATAGGAAAAGATTCAGTCTCTGTATCTGAATCTGTTTAAATGAAACATATTCTTATATTTTAGGATATATTGATAAATAGTATCACTTGAAGGCCCTCTTAGTCTCAGTATTCTATGTGGGGACTTTTAAAAAGGTAGTAGATAAGGTGGAAATATATATTAAAAAAGGCTTATCACAGTTTTTGTTAAGATCAAGAAAGCATCAAGTAGGAAAAGATGTAAAATTTGTAAGGCCCGAAAATGATTAAAATGCAACACTATATTAGAATTATTTGTAACTCCAATTCCTATGGTAGCCAAGATAATTGAAGTTGTAGTTGAGAATTTGGGTTTTTGCATCTGAATTTGTATACCAGCTCTGCCACTTACTAACATTTTGAACTCGGGAAAGTCACACAATCCTGCTATACAGTCCTGTTGATTAAGGAGAATGGTAATATCCAGAGACCAAGAAGTCATCTTTCACTGAGTATGCATTTATCTTCAAAGAGGTATAAATATTATATAAAGAGTGAACATTCTATCACTATGTAATTAGATGATCATATTTAAATAGAGTAAGGGAATTGACAAGTAACTGCCTGAACCAAACTTGTTAAAGTTTCTTCTTTCCCATAGTGGAAAAAGGGGATATCCCCCAGACTTGCGGACTGAAGAAGGCTGAGATTGCTCACTGAAACTTGCATTTCCTGAGTCCAGCTGCTACAGACAGGAAAGCACACTTTTAGGTGGGGTTGATGTGGTAAGATTGCATGATGGTAGTAGTTTTTCCAGTAAAGACTCTAACTTAGGCAGTAAATAGAGAAATCTTGGGGACCATTCAACCTTGGAGGTGTAGTCTTCAACTCAACACACCAGCTTATTACAAATAGCTGGTCACATGATGTCTCTTTGGCCTCAGTGCATTACCAATCTTAGCATCCTAGCTCATTGAAAGTAAACCTCTCAATGGAGCTTCCTTTAATACTGCCCTAGGGCTCTCTGATTTCCTTTCAGGAATCAGCAATACTATTTTCCTCCACTGGTAAATACTAGTAGGGGAGAACTCAGCACAATATCCCTCCTTGGGTTTACTTATTTCTGTGTTGGGGAATTACCTACATTGATTCACGTGACTCCTCTTTACATAGTACGCCAACCTCAGAGTTCCCAGAAATATATTTAATTTCACACTTTTACCAAATATCTTAATCTCCACACTAAAATGGTACTGAGTTTTCTTTTGTTTTTAATTTCTTCCTTAATTCACATTTTGGTGTTCCCTTTGCAAAAAGATCAAGATAAGCCCTGTTCATGTTGTAAAAGTACAAAGTATTGGTACTGATTAGCACATTCAAGCTGGTGCATGCATAGGTCTCTCACCATGAAGATAAGAAAAAAAATTCTTTAGAAAGGGGCATGCAGTAGATGAAGGTTGACTACCAGGACTTTTTGGACTGTGAATGTTCTCTATCACTGTGGTAGGAGTATGTGTAAGGCTCTGTTAGGTTGTTTTCAGGAACTCAACTATTCTTTGTTTAGTGGAAATTTTTTCTGAGGCCTGACAAGGCATTGATGAATATTGCTGCCTGCCAAGGAAGTTAGAAGTTTCAATTTCTTGGTGTACAGGTTTTCATCCACCTGTCCATCCTCCCTTTCCTTCTCTTCTCCTTCCCCTCCCTCCTCCTCTCCTCCTCCCCCTCCTTCTCTCCTCCCCCTCAATGAATCTTTCAATGGGAAATTTGAGGAGTTACCTAGTCATCATTTAATCTCAAAATCTCATTCATAATTTTATTATAAGGGATGGTGCCAAAGTAAATGACCTCTGTAGGCTAAATTTACTTTACTGAAATTAGTTTGAATGTGTAAACAAGTTGGTATCACTACTGAACTTAATTTAACGTTTTAATTAGATGTCACTATTCCCAAGCCCAGAGTAATTGCCTTGTGATTTCAAGGCCTTTAAACATATTTGCTTAAGTAGGCTATGACTAATCCTTCTTATTTTCCTGGAAAAATTATTTATAGCCATGATTTTAAAAAGATAAGTTTCTGTAACCTTTGTGTAAGGGACTTGAAGATGTGTACCTGTGACCTCTGTGCTCCACTAAGCACCGAGCTGATTGACTGATCTGGATGGGTATGTGGACATCTCCTTCCTTCACAGAGTTCCCTATTTGTTTCTTCTGAGAGTAAAGACCTTCTCCATTAGAGGAGTTCTGCTTTTTGATACCTCTAGAATGGAAAGCCTTTGGAAGTATAATGCTCTGGCTAAATAGATTTGCCATTTTTTTTAAAGTGTATTTGTGTGTGGTGTGTGTGTGTGTGTAGGTTGGAGGTACATTTTTAAACTCAGATAATTGTCTGAGTTTAAATTGTAAATTTATTAGAATTTACTTGACGTATTAACTCTTTTCCCTTAGTTGTTTACTATTCTATGCCAATACTGACAAAGATCAGAAAAATTATGCCAGAATGGCTCAGTGTCATATAAATTGTAAAAACAAAACTTTTAAATTTGAGCCAGAAAACATAACCTTTCCCTTGCTTTATTCTTTGTTTTGTTTTAAACATGTATAGCCCCATTTGGATATGCTTGACTTTACTTTTTATAATATTGCTGTCTTAAACTTCTCATCTGAATGATGTATCTATAATATATAGTGAACTATCACTGGCCATACTTGAGTTTCTTAGTTGGCTGATATTCAGCATATCCAAGACATGTATGATCTCTGCTTACCATCTTGTCTTCTCTAGCATGCTTTCCTATGTGCCCCATAAATTCACTAACACCCACACCTCACACTTTTGATCTTACTTCTGCATGTTTTTTATTTGTTTGATTTTTACTTTTGTGAGTGGCAGTCTCATCCAGGAAAAGAAATGTGGTATTTCCCTGGTTCATCCTCACCCTCATCAACCAATTAACGATCAAATTCTTTCACTCAGCAACTGCAGTTCAAGGTATATGGTTCATTTATGAAGATAGATAGACTATGGTATGGGCCATACAAATATCTCAACAAATTTAAAAGGATTGAAATTCTGCAAAATATCTTTTCTGATCACTATGAAATCATATATATGTAAAATTAAAAATTACTTATATATACATACTTCTAAATATTTGGAAATTAAGCAGATTATTTCTAAAGAATCATGGGTAAAGTAATAAGTTACATGGAAAGCTAAAATATTTAAACTAGATGATAATAAAAATACACATATTAAATTTTGGGATATAGCTAAAACAACTCATAGAGGAATATTTGTAATTTTTGATGCTTACATTAGTGAATTTCATGAAAGTGTCTATCTTATTCACTGGTCATTCAGGTATCTGAAGCATAATAGGTGTTTAATAAATATTTATTTATGGAATCAACCTTCTTTATGTGTCACTTCTTGCTGACACTTTATAACTCTTTATATTCATTCTTAGCAAACTTTTTCATGTTTATTTTCCTTATAAAATGTGCAAAAGTTAGAAACTATGAAATGGCTATCTCTTATTTTTGGGATTGACATTATATTTCCCAATCAAGAGAGTGATAATTTCTTTTCAAGTGTATTTCTTTTTGTTTTTGTCTACAGAAGCATATTATTTTCAAATAATTATTAATGATTCCTGTTTAGCTTTGTTTTTACATTATCTACATATATTATTATGAAAAGGGTATTTAAGGCCGGGCACGGTGGCTCACGCCTGTAATCCCAGCACTTTGGGAGGCCGAGGCAGGTGGATCACAAGGTCAGGAGATCGAGACCATCTTGGCTAACACGGTAAAACCCTGTCTCTACTAAAAATACAAAAAATTAGCCGGGCGTGGTGGTGGGCGCCTGTAGTCCCAGCTACTCGGGAGGCTGAGGCAGGAGAATGGCGTGAACCCGGGAGGCGGAGCTTGCAGTGAGCCTGCAGTGAGCTGAGATCCCACCACTGCACTCCAGCCTGGGCGACAGAGCGAGACTCCGTCTCAAAAAAAATAAAAAAATAAAAAACAAAAAAAAAGTAAAAGAAAAGGATATTTAAGACACAGGTAACAAAATTGAGAGAACAGTAAATTTTTACTAGTTTACCACAGACATATAGTTGAATAAAAATATAAGTTTTATGATAGAACTATTCTTAGAAGAATGCATTGTATCAACGTAGATTCTATCTTCTGTTAGAAAAGTGTGAATGGAGCCCTAGATCCTACTGTTTTTAGGTTAATGACATCATTCTTTTCAAGTAATAATACCTTGATGTTTGACATTGATTGACTGTAATTTGTGACTGCCAATTCTGTGTTCTTCTGTCATTGTCGTTCTCTGTAATTTTAGAGATAAAGTTTTACACACATAGTGATCTCAATAAATATTAATGTATAAATACTGAATTGGTATGATTTCAAATTGCTCAGCTCCATTTCCCATAGGAATAACTCCTGGATTATTTTCCCAACACCTAGAATAGACTTTGCTTTCCATTTAATAACTCTATGAAATAAATGAAAGTCCATAGCTTTTTCTTTAAACAAAAAAGGAAAAAAAGTTTAGTTTTAATATGGGTACTGATAAAAACCTTGGGCCGGGCGCGGTGGCTCACGCCTGTAATCCCAGCACTTTGGGAGGCTGAGGCGGGTGGATCACGAGGTCAGGAGATCGAGACCATCCTGGCTAACACGCTGAAACCCCGTCTTTACTAAGAATACAAAAATTAGCCGGACATGGTGGCGGGCGCCTGTAGTCCCAGCTACTCAGGAGGCTGAGGCAGGAGAATGGCGTGAACCCGGGAGGCAGAGCTTGCAGTGAGCCGAGATCGCGCCACTGCACTCCAGCCTGGGCGACAGAGCGAGAGACTCCGTCTCAAAAACAAACAAACAAACAAAAAAAAAAACTTGAAGAACTAATTCCCCCAGTCTGTAGCTCTAGCTCTACCTAACTTTTCTAATGAAAAATCTGTGAGGAAAGTTTGCAAAGGTGGTCTTGCTACAAGAGTCATCATGGTTGTTGCCTGGAGAGAGTTACCCTCTTCATGTTGAGAAATGCTGACATATGCTGCACAGGACAGTACTTAAAAATTAGACTCATTTTGACATTTTGACAAATAAACGTGCATGCTAATTTTTCAAAGCAGGCACAGATGACTGATTATTTCATCAAACACTTGATCTAAGATCATAAGTGGTGCCAAGCCAAAATTAATCAGCAATTTAAATGACTGACAGGTTGTTTAAAGTCTAAATCCCTGCCATACAACTTAGTGCTCTGGGATTAGTCTCCAAAGGCAAAGAGGGTAGAGAAAGAAAATATCATTTATTTGAAATATATTTCATTAGTTTGACACAAATAGAATATCTGTTGTATAAAGCATTTTTAGAAAAACCAAAAAGGGCAAGTTGGATTATAAATGGGTGTGGATTATTTAAAAACAATATTAATTTTTTAAAATAAATCATATACTAGATTAGCATTCCAAAACTGAGAATCCGAAATGCTGCAAAATCCAAAATTTTTTGAGCTTCAACATAATGTCCAGAGAAAATACTGCTTGCTTTTATTCAACCAGTGAGTACATATAATGCAAAAATTCCAAAATCTGAAAACATCTGAAATCCAAAACATTTCTGTTCCCATACATTTTGGATAAGGGGTACTCAGGCTATATTTACAGAGTAAAGTACATCAAAAGAAAAGAAAAATAGGAACAAGACAAACCACTATTTATAGTTCGATTCATTTTTTTAATCTTTTATTCTATTTAATTTTCTTTTTTCCTTCTATATTTGAACACCATTTTCTCCAAATAAAAAATTAGAGACATGTTCTATATAATATTTTACAAAGTTTTTTGGCTTACAATTAGCAATTTATTTTGGATATATTTTCCTTGTACTGCATATAACTCTGATCATTTTACTGTTATGGTATAGAGGCATTTCATTAATTTTGAATCCAGCTTCTTCTTGTTACGACTATGGTACGACAAATGCTTGTGCATGTAAGTGCAATGGTTTTACCCAATACAGTTAGAATTTGATGTTGGATAATCCAAAGAAGGTTAAATTGAAGAATTATAAGAATATAGCATAAAGACACTAATTTGTAAATGCAAAGTCACTTAACGCATTGGGCCAACACTAATCAAATTCCTATGACATCTTCTTTTGCATAAGCCACTGGTGTTTTGCATTCAGTTTGACTTTTGTAAGAAATTTCCTGAAAATGTGCACATTTAGAAATTATTGCAGAATTATCTCAGTGTTTTTTTTTTTTTTTTTTTTTTTTTTACTATATTTTATGTTCAATTTGACAGTACATTTCAGGGACTTGAGTTTTTGAGGTCTCTCCTAAACTTTCAGAAAGTTGTTTTTGACAGAAACACTTGTCTTTTTTATTGGTCTGTATAATGTAACTGCCCAACAGGTTCTTGCTGCACACTGCACAAAGACCATTGCATTGCAGTAAATAAATAATTTAATAGACATGACGCTGGTTACACCATATGGGAGATGGAGTTATTACTCAAATCAATCTCATTGAAGGCTTGTAGGTTAGGGGTTTTTCTTTTTTTATTTTATTTTATTTTTATTATACTTTAAGTTTTAGGGTACATGTGCACAATGTGCAGGTTAGTTACATATGTATACATGTGCCATGCTGGTGTGCTGCACCCATTAACTCGTCATTTAGCATTAGGTATATCTCCTAAAGCTATCCCTCCCCCCTCCCCCCACCCCAAAACAGTCCCCAGAGTGTGATGTTCCCCTTCCTGTGTCCATGTGTTCTCATTGTTCAATTCCCACCTATGAGTGAGAATATGCGGTGTTTGGTTTTTTGTTCTTGCGATAGTTTACTGAGAATGATGATTTCCAATTTCATCCATGTCCCTACAAAGACATGAACTCATCATTTTTTATGGCTGCATAGTATTCCATGGTGTATATGTGCCACATTTTCTTAATCCAGTCTATCATTGTTGGACATTTGGGTTGGTTCCAAGTCTTTGCTATTGTGAATAGTGCCACAATAAACATACGTGTGCATGTGTCTTTATAGCAGCATGATTTATAGTCCTTTGGGTATATACCCAGTAATGGGATGGCTGGGTCAAATGGTATTTCTAGTTCTAGATCCCTGAGGAATCGCCACACTGACTTCCACAAGTGTTGAACTAGTTTACAGTCCCACCAACAGTGTCAAAGTGTTCCTATTTCTCCACATCCTCTCCAGCACCTGTTGTTTCCTGACTTTTTAAAGATTGCCATTCTAACTGGTGTGAGATGGTATCTCATTGTGGTTTTGATTTGCATTTCTCTGATGGCCAGTGATGGTGAGCATTTTTTCATGTGTTTTTAGGCTGCATAAATGTCTTCCTTAGAGAAGTGTCTGTTCATGTCCTTCGCCCACTTTTTGATGGGGTTGTTTGTTTTTTTTCTTGTAAATTTGTTTGAGTTCATTGTAGATTCATTGTAGATATCTGACAAAGGGATATTAGCCCTTTGTCAGAAGAGTAGGTTGCGAAAATTTTCTCCCATTTTGTAGGTTGCCTGTTCACTCTGATGGTAGTTTCTTTTGCTGTGCAGAAGCTATTTAGTTTAATTAGATCCCATTTGTCAACTTTGGCTTTTGTTGCCATTGCTTTTGGTGTTTAAACATGAAGTCCTTGCCCATGCCTATGTCCTGAATGGTAATGCCTAGGTTTTCTTCTAGGGTTTTTATGGTTTTAGGTCTAACGTTTAAGTCTTTAATCCACCTTGAATTAATTTTGTATAAGGTGTAAGGAAGGGGTCCAGTTTCAGCTTTCTACATATGGCTAGCCAGTTTTCCCAGCACCATTTATTAAATAGGGAATCCTTTTCCCATTGCTTGTTTTTCTCAGGTTTGTCAAAGATCAGATAGTTGTAGATATGCGGCATTATTTCTGAGGGCTCTGTTCTGTTCCATTGATCTATATCTCTGTTTTGGTACCAGTACCGTGCTGTTTTGGTTACTGTAGCCTTATAGTATAGTTTGAAGTCAGGTAGCGTGATGCCTCCCGCTTTGTTGTTTTGGCTTAGGATTGACTTGGCGATGCGGGCTCTTTTTTGGTTCCATATGAACTTTAAAGGAGTTTTTTCCAATTCTGTGAAGAAAGTCATTGGTAGCTTGATGGGGATGGCATTGAATTTGTAAATTACCTTTGGCAGTATGGCCATTTTCACGATATTGATTCTTCCTACCCATGAGCATGGAATGTTCTTCCATTTCTTTGTATCCTCTTTTATTTCATTGAGCAGTGGTTTGTAGTTCTCCTTGAAGAGGTCCTTCATGTCCCTTGTAAGTTCGATTCCTAGGTATTTTATTCTCTTTGAAGCAATTGTGAATGGGAGTTCACTGATGATTTGGCTCTCTGTTTGTCTGTTATTGGTGTATAAGAATGCTTGTGATTTTTGTACATTGATTTTGTATCCTGAGACTTTGCTGAAGTTGCTTATCAGCTTAAGGAGATTTTGGGCTGAGACAATGGGGTTTTCTAGATATACAATCATGTCATCTGCCAACAGGGACAATTTGACTTCCTCTTTTCCTAATTGAATACCCTTTATTTCCTTCTCCTGCCTAATTGCCCTGGGCAGAACTTCCAACACTGTGTTGAATAGGAGTGGTGAGAGAGGGCATCCCTGTCTTGTGCCAGTTTTCAAAGGGAATGCTTCCAGTTTTTGCCCATTCAGTATGATATTGGCTGTGGGTTTGTCATAGATAGCTCTTATTATTTTGAGATACATCCCATCAATACCTAATTTATTGAGAGTTTTTAGCATGAAGGGTTGTTGTATTTTGTCAAAGGCCTTTTCTGCATCTATTGAGATAATCATGTGGTTTTTGTCTTTGGTTCTGTTTATATGCTGGATTACATTTATTGATTTGTGTATATTGAACCAGCCTTTCATCCCAGGGATGAAGCCCACTTGATCATGGTGGTTAAGCTTTTTGATGTACTGCTGGATTCGTTTTGCCAGTATTTTATTGAAGATTTTTGCATCAATGTTCATCAAGGATATCGGTCGAAAATTCTCCTTTTTGGTTGTGTCTTTGCCCAGCTTTGGTATCAGGAGGATGCTGGCCTCATAAAATGAGTTAGAGAGGATTCCCTCTTTTTCTATTGATTGGAATAGTTTCAGAAGGGATGGTACCAGTTCCTCCTTGTACCTCTGGTAGAATTCGGCTGTGAATCCATCTGGTCCTGGACTCTTTTTGGTTGGTAAGCTATTGATTATTGCCACAATTTCAGAGCCTGTTATCGGTCTATTCAAAGAGTCAACTTCTTCCTGGCTTAGTCTTGGGAGGGTGTATGTGTCAAGGAATTTATCCATTTCTTCTAGATTTTCTAGTTTATTTGCGTAGAGGTGTTTGTAGTATTCTCTGATGGTAGTTTGTATTTCTGTGGGATCGGTGGTGATATCCCCTTTATCATTTTTTATTGCATCTATTTGATTCTTCTCTCTTTTCTTCTTTATTAGTCTTGCTAGCAGTCTATCAATTTTGTTGATCCTTTCAAAAAACCAGCTCCTGGATTCATTAATTTTTTGAAGGGTTTTTTGTGTCTTTATTTCCTTCAGTTCTGCTCTGATTTTAGTTATTTCTTGCCTTCTGCTAGCTTTTGAATGTGTTTGCTCTTGCTTTTCTAGTTCTTTTAATTGTGATGTTAGGGTGTCAATTTTGGATCTTTCCTGCTTTCTCTCATGGGCATTTAGTGCTGTAAATTTCCCTCTACACACTGCTTTATATGTGTCCCAGAGATTCTGGTATGTTGTGTCTTTGTTCTCGTTGGTTTCAAAGAATATCTTTATTTCTGCCTTCATTTCGTTATGTACCCAGTAGTCATTCAGGAGCAGGTTGTTCAGTTGCCATGTAGTTGAGCGGTTTTGAGTAAGTTTTTTAACCTTGAGTTCTAGTTTGTTTACACTGTGGTCTGAGAGACAGTTTGTTATAATTTCTGATCTTTTACGTTTGCTGAGGAGAGCTTTACTTCCAAGTATGTAGTCAATTTTCGAATAGGTGTGGTGTGGTGCTGAAAAAAATGTATATTCTGTTGATTTGGGGTGGAGAGTTCTGTAGATGCCTATTAGGTCCGCTTGGTGCAGAGCTGAGTTCATTTCCTGGGTATCCTTATTAACTTTCTGTCCTGTTGATCTGTCTAATGTTGACAGTGGGGTGTTAAAGTCTCCCATTATTATTGTGTGGGAGTCTAAGTCTCTTTGTAGGTCCCTCAGGACTTGCTTTATGAATCTGGGTACTCCTGTATTGGGTGCATATATATTTAGGATAGTTAGCTCTTCTTGTTGAATTGATCCCTTTACCATTATGTAATGGCCTTCTTTGTCTCTTTTGATCTTTGTTGGTTTAAAGTCTGTTTTATCAGAGACTAGGATTGCAACCCCTGCCTTTTTTTGTTTTCTATTTGCTTGGTAGATCTTCCTCCATCCTTTTATTTTCAGACTATGTGTGTCTCTGCACATGAGATGGGTTTCCTGAATACAGCACACTGATGGGTCTTGACTCTTTATCCAATTTGCCTTTTAATTTGTCTTTCAATGGGAGGATTTAGTCTATTTACATTTAAAGTTAATATTGTTATGTGTGAATTTGATCCTGTCATTATGATGTTAGCTGGTTCTTTTGCTGGTTAGTTGATGCAGTTTCTTCCTAGTCTCAATGGTCTTTACAATTTGACATGATTTTGCAGTGGCTGGTACCAGTTGTTCCTTTCCATGTTTAGTGCTTCCTTCAGGAGCTCTTTTAGGGCAGGCCTGGTGGTGACAAAATCTCTCAGCATTTGCTTGTGTGTAAAGTATTTTATTTCTTCTTCACTTATGAAGCTTAGTTTGGCTGGATATGAAATTATGGGTTGAAAATTCTTTTCTTTAAGAATGTTGAATATTGGCCCCCACTCTCTTCTGCCTTGTAGAGTTTCTGCCGAGAGATCCGCTGTTAGTCTGATGGGCTTCCCTTTGAGGGTAACCCGACCTTTCTCTCTGGCTGCTCTTAACATTTTTTCCTTCATTTCAACTTTGGTGAATTTGACAATTATGTGTTTTGGAGTTGCTTTTCTCGAGGAGTAGCTTTGTGGCGTTCTCTGTATTTCCTGAATCTGAACGTTGGCCTGCCTTGCTAGATTGGGGAAGTTCTCCTGGATAATATCCTGCAGAGTGTTTTCCAACTTGGTTCCATTCTCCCCGTCACTTTCAGGTACACCAATCAGACGTAGATTTGGTCTTTTCACATAGTCTCATATTTCTTGGAGGCTTTGTTCATTTCTTTTTATTCTTTTTTCTCTAAACTTCCCTTCTCACTTCATTTCATTCATTTCATCTTCCATCACTGATAGCCTTTCTTCCAATTGATCCCATCGGCTGCTGAGGCTTCTGCATTCTTCACATAGTTCTCAAGCTTTGGCTTTCAGCTCCATCAGCTCCTTTAAGTACTTCTCTGTATTGGTTATTCTAGTTATATATTTGTCTAAATTTTTTTCAAAGTTTTCAACTTCTTTGCCTTTGGTTTGAATGTCCTCCCATAGCTCGGAGTAGTTTGATCATCTGAAGCCTTCTTCTCTCAGCGCGTCAAAGACATTCTCCGTCCAGCTTTGTTCCATTGCTGGTGAGGAGCTGTGTTCCTTTGGAGGAGGAGAGGCTCTCTGCTTTTTAGAGTTTCCAGTTTTTCTGCTCTGCTTTTTCCCCATCTTTGTTGTTTTCTACTTTTGGTCTTTGATGATGGTGATGTACAGATGGGTTTTTGGTGTGGATGTCCTTTCTGTTTGTTAGTTTTCCTTCTAACAGACAGGACCCTCAGCTGCAGGTCTGTTGGAGTTTGCTAGAGGTCCACTCCAGACCCTGTTTGCCTGGGTACCAGCAGCGGTGGCTGCATAACAGCGGATTTTCATGAACCCCGAATGCTGCTGTCTGATCGTTCCTCTGGAAGTTTTGTCTCAGAGGAGTACCCAGCCATGTGAAGTGTCAGTCTGCCCCTACTGGGGGGTGCCTCCCAGTTGGGCTGCTCGGGGCTCAGGGGTCAGGGACCCACTTGAGGAGGCAGTCTGCCCGTTTTCAGATCTCCAGCTGCGTGCTGGGAGAACCACTGCTCTCTTCAAAGCTGTCAGACAGGGACATTTAAGTCTGCAGAGGTTACTGCTGTCTTTTTGTTTGTCTGTGCCCTGCCCCCAGAGGTGGAGCCTACAGAGGCAGGCAGACCTCCTTGAGCTGTGGTGGGCTCCACCCAGTTGGAGCTTCCCGGCTGCTTTGTTTACCTAAGCAAGCTGGGCAATGGCGGGCACCCCTCCCCCAGGCTCGCTGCCGCCTTGCAGTTTGATCTCAGACTGCTGTGCTAGCAATGAGTGAGACTCTGTGGGCGTAGGACCCTCCGAGCCATGTGTGGCGTATAATCTCCTGGTGCGCCGTTTTTTAAGCCCGTTGGAAAAGCTCAGTATTGGGGTGGGAGTGACCCGATTTTCCAGGTGCCGTCTGTCACCCCTTTATTTGACTAGGAAAGGGAACTCCCTGACCCCTTGCGCTTCCCGAGTGAGGCAATGCCTCGCCCTGCTTCGGCTCGCGCACGGTGTGCTGCACCCACTGTCCTGCGCCCACTGTCTGGCACTCCCTAGTGAGATGAACCCGGTACCTCAGATGGAAATGCAGAAATACCCGACTTCTGCATCGCTCATGCTGGGAGCTGTAGACTGGAGCTGTTCCTATTCGGCTATCTTGGCTCTACCCTCAAGGGGTTTTTCAAAGGTAGTTTGTGGAACGGGGTGGGGATGGCTAGACAATGGATGCTTGTTGCTGTTTGGTTGGGGGGTGCAATCATAGGAGTATGGGAAATGATTCTCCTTTGCTCTGAATTACTCCTGGGTGGGGCCTCAGAAGCAGCGGGTGGGTCCAGGTTGAGTCATCATATGTATCAGGCATGCAAAAAATCTGAAAAGATATCTCAAAAGCCAATTTTAGGTTTTGTAATAGTGATGTATTCTGCCGGAGTAATTGGGGAAGTAGCGTATCTTGTGACCTCTGGAATGATGGCTGGCAATCCTCCTTCCCTCCCTTCCTTCCTTCCTTCCTTCCTTCCTTCCTTCCATCTTTCCCATTTTTTTCTCCTCAATCATTGCTGCATTCCCCTGCCACCTACTTTTCCTCCACCTCTTGGTCCTCCCCCTTCTCTTCCTCTTTCTCTTTTTCTTCAAGATTTCCATGGCTAAAATCTGTATTAGTCAGGGTTCTCTAGAGGGACAGCATAAATGGGATATATGTATATATAAAAGGGAGTTTATTAGGGTGAATTGGCTAATATGATCATAAGGTAAAGTCCCACATTAGGCTGCTTGCAAGCTGAGGAAGAAAGAAGCTGGTAGTGGCATAGTCAAAGTCCAAAAGACTCGTCAGCAGGGAGCCAACAGGGCAGCTTTCAGTCTGTGGGCAAAGGTCCGAGAGCCCTTGACAAACCACTGGCGTAAGTCCAAGAGTTCAAATTTAGAAGAACCTGGAGTCTGATGTCCAAGGGCAGGAAGGAAGCAGCCAGCATGGGAGAAAGATGAAAGCCAGAAGACTCAGCAAGCCAGCTTATTCCACCTTCTTCTGTCTGCTTTGTTCTAGCTGTGCTAGCAGTTGATTGGATGGTGCCTACCAATTTGCTCCAGTTCCCATTGAGAGTTGGTCTCCCTCTCCTAGTCCACTGACTCAAATGTCAATCTTCTCTGACAAAATCCTAACAGATACACCCATAAACAATACTTTTCCGGCTATCTAGACATCCTTCAATCCAATCAAGTTGACATCTAATATTAACCATCACAGCTATTCTTGGGAATTTTATATTTCTATGAAATTTTTTGATAAGCTTTCCATAAATAAACTATGTGAAATTTTAACTAAAATTGTATTAAATTCATAGATTATTTTGTGAAGAATTGCCATTGATATGGGTTGGCTGTATCCTCACTCAAATCTCATTTTGAATTGTATTCCCATAATTCCCATGTGTTGTGGGAGGGACCCTGTGGGAGACAATTGAATCATGGGGGTGGTTTTTCTCATACTGTTCTCATGGTCATGAATAAGTCTCATGAGATCTGATGGTTTGATAATGGGAAATCTGAAGTCTGTTTTGCCCAGCTCTCATTCTCTGTCTTGCCACCATCATGTAAGAAGTACCTTTTGCCTTCCACCACGATTATGAGGCCTCCCTAGCCTGTAAGTCCATTAAATCTCTTTCTTTTGTAAATTGCCCAGTCTCAGGTATGTCTTCATCACCAGAGTGAAAGCAGACTAATACAGTAAACTGGTACCAGTACAGTGGGGTGCTGCTGAAAAGATACCCGAAAATGTGGAAACAACTTTGGAACTGGGTAACAGACAGAGGCTGGAACAGTTTGGAGGGCTCAGAAGATGATGGGAAAATGTGGGAAAGTTTGGAACTTCCTAGAGACTTGTTGAATGGCCTTGACCAATATGCTGATAGTGATAGGAACAATAAGGTCAAGGCTGAGGTCGTCTCAGATGGAGACGAGGAACTTGTTGGGAACTGGAGCAAATGTGACACTTGTTATGTTTTAGCAAAGAGACTGGTGGCATTTTGCCCCTGCCCTAGATTTCTGGAAGTTGAATTTGAGAGAGATGATTTGGGTATGCAGTAGAAGAAAGTTCTAAGCATCAAAGGATTCAAGATGTGACTTGGGTGCTGTTAAAAGCATTCAGGTTTATAAAGGAAGCAGAGTATAAAAGTTTGGAAAATTTGCAGCCTGACTATGCAATAGAAAAGAAAATACCATTTTCTGAGCAGAAATTCAAGCCAGCAGCAGAAATTTGCATAAGTAACAAGAAGCTGAATGTTAATCCCCAAGACAATGGGGAAAAAGTCTCCAGGACATATTAGAGGTCTTCACTGCAGCCCTTTCCATCACAGGCCTGGAAAATAGGAGGGAAAAGTCATTTCCTGGACCTGGCCCAGGGTCTCTGTGCTATGTGCAGTACAGGGACTTGATGCCTTTATCCCAGCCACTCCAGTCTAAAAGTGGCCAAGGTATAGCTGGGGCCATGATGTCAGAGGGTTCAAGCACCAAGCCTTGCAGCTTCCATATGATGTTGAGCCTGCAGGTGCACAGAAGTCAAGAATTGAGGTTTGGGAACCTCCGCCTAGATTTCAGAGGATGTATGGAAATGCCTGGATGTTCAGGCAGAAGTTTGCCACAGGGGCAGGGCTCTCATGGAGAACCTGTGCTAGGGCAGTGCAGAAGGGAAATGTGGGGTCAGAGCTCCCACACAGAGTCTCTACTGGGGCACTGCCTAGTGGAGCTGTGAGAAGAGGGCCACCATCCTCTAGACCCCAGAATGGTAGATCCACTGACAGCTTGCATCGCGTGCCTGGAAAAGCTGCAGACACTCAACACCAGCCTGTGAAAGCAGCCAGGAAGG
Organism: Homo sapiens; assembly: GCF_000001405.40. Classification (NCBI taxonomy): domain Eukaryota; kingdom Metazoa; phylum Chordata; class Mammalia; order Primates; family Hominidae; genus Homo; species Homo sapiens. Next base: position 141,966,838 of record NC_000006.12, on the reverse strand, counting down.
AGGCTATACCCTGTAAAGCCACAGAGGCAGAGCTGCTCAAGACCATGGGAGCCCACCTCTTGCATCAGTGTGACCTGAATGTGAGACGTGGAGTCAAAGAAGATCATTTTGGAGCATTAAGATTTGACTGCCCCGCTGGATTTTGGACTTGCATGGGGCCTGTAGTCCCTTTGTCTTGGCCAATTTCTCCCATTTGGAACTGGTGTGTTTACCCAATGCCTGTACCCCCATTGTATCTAGGAAGTAACTAACTTGCTTTTGATTTTACAGCTCATAGGCAGAAGGGACTTGCCTTGTTTCAGATGAGACTTTGGACCGTGGACTTTTAAGTTAATGCTGAAATGAGTTAAGACTTTGGGGGACTGTTGGAAAGGCATGATTGGTTTTGAAATGTGAGGACACGAGATTTGGGAGGGGCCAGAGGCAGAATCATATGGTTTGGCTGTGTCCCCACCCAAATAACATCTTAAATTGTACTCCCGTAATTCTCACGTATTGAGGGATGGCCCCATGAGGAGATAATTGAATCATGTGGGAGGATTCTCCCATACTGTTCTCCTGCTAGTGAATATGTCTCATGAGATCTGATGGTTTGATGGGGGAAACCTGTTTCACTTGGCTCTCATTCTTTCTCTTGCTGCTGCCATGGAAAAAGTGCCTTTTGCCTTCTGCCATGATTGTGAGGCCTCCCTAGCCACGTGGAACTGTGAGTCCATTAAAACTCTTTCTTTTGTAAATTGCCCAGTCTCAGGTATGTCTTTATCAGCAGCATGAAAAGAAACTAATACAGCCATCTTTACCATATGAAATGTTTTTATACAGGAACCTGGCTGCTGTGTCAAGAATAGACTCTATGGGAGTATGGTGATGAGGGTGTGGAGGGTGGCAAAAATATAGTCATACGTATCAGTTAAGAGGCTACTAAAGTGATGTCGACAAGACTGATACTGGCCACTCACGTCAGGCTAGTGGCAACAGAGGTGATAAGTGGTCCATTTTGGATATGTTTTTTAAAATAATCAAAAAGATTTCCTGATTAATTTGATGTGATAATTGAGAAAAATAAAAGAGTAAAGAATGGTTTCAGTGTTTTTGGTTGGAACAACAGGAAGGATGATGTTTCATAAATTAAATGGAGAACACTGTGGGCAGAACAGATTCTGGGGAGCAATATCAAGAGTTAAGTTTGAAGCATGTTCAATTTGAGATGTCAGTGAAAGAAGGTGGGGAGAGGTCTGAGCCAGAAATAGAAATGTAACTGAACTCAAGTCCAGCTGCTCATCACTGGAAATCCAAAATACAAGAAGTGAAGTGTGGTGAAGGGAAAGCAACATTATTCAAATGCTGGAAGTTGGGAAATGGCTGGGCTCATACCTCCAAAAGCCATTTCAAAACTGTAGGTAAGCGAGTTTCAGAAGAGAAACTTGGCATGAGAGGTATGCAGGTGTGGAGCAGGGTATAGGGTCTCTGTGTCTGGTTCTGATGGCTATTGTAGGCAATTGTCCACCTGGAATGTGGGCTGGCACCATCTTGACAATGGCCAGGTTGTAGATTAATTGCTATGGGTAACCCTTAGATGGGGAGAATTCTGCTGCTGGCTCTTCCTGCCTGTTTTATTTCAAGATTAGCTCCTGGAATGTCTAAGCAAGCACGTAATTAGATATGTGAATGCAGTGCAAGGGAGTGCCTGGTGAGAAAGGAGAGAAACAGTTTCAAAGTACATTTGAAGGCTAAGATTAGAGAGAAGGAAAAATAATTTTTAAAATGCATTTTAAAGTCAAGCCACTCAATTACAACTCTCCACTGTCAACTTCCATTTTATTTCTTTAGAAGGTGGGTAATGTATTCAATCTAGCTACTTCCTCCTTGATGGAGATGTTCAGGGAATGTAACCAGTCTACGTGGATTTGAAAATATTCCTGAATACCTGGACTTATAGGAGAGATCTGTTGGAGGGCTCAAGAGCCCTCACATTCATACAGAATGTATGGCAATATATAATCCCCAGCAAAGAAGCACACCTATTCCTAAAATCATCGCTAGAATTATGAGCAGCTTTTTCCACCAAGAAGTTCCTGGCCCAAACAAATAAGATAGCCATTGGTCTAGTGACATCATAAGGTCAGACATAGCATTAATCCGTTTGTGCATATCCTAGAAGGATAGAAATATTCCCTTACTTACCTGGAATATATACGCAATATTCAGTTTTAATAATGGCACAAGACACAAGGTCCCCTTCGTGCAGCAAAGATATCCAAAGCCATGCAGTTCTTCAGAACAGCTTCTTGCATGTAGGTCATCCCAGAGTTTACTAAGGAGATACTTTGGAGGCTGTCATTGATAACCCACTGGGTATAATTTGCAAGGGTTTCTACATATTGGATGACATCTTCAATCCTGCTAATGGCATAAGGATTGAAGCCAAATAGTCATACCAGTGAAAAATGGATCTAGTCCGTGTCTTAATTAGGTGTGGGGGATTAGCAAGTTTTTGATTGTACTTTCTCCATTGCCCTTGCACCCATGGGAAACCTAAAGTACATTGTCCTAGTCATTCCAATGGCAAGCAAAGTGAGATATTAGGGCCATACAGCCATTCAGTGCTGTTGGACTAATACCAGTTTAAGCCGGAACACTGAGACCAATCTGTGGCAAACAAATCTGTGGCTTGCAAAATTATGATATGCTGACAGTGTTCTTGGGAAATCAAGCTCAGTATTCAAATAAGATTGGGTGATGAGTCACAGGTGTCATTTTGATGCTTCCAGTATAGAGGAGCTACTTGACTCAACTGCCCTGCAGTTGATGTCAACAAAATGAAACCATCTCAAATATGAAGAAAAACTTCTTTACAGTGAGAATTGCTAGATTTTATCTTAGGACTTAGTTGCAGATTGGTTATAGCTGTTCACATATTCTTATGTGATATTCATTGAGAAAGGCTTCCCATGTCTGGAATCACTGAGAGTTTTATTAATTGGCCAATTGATCACATTGCTCCTGGTTGTGTAAGCCATCACACCACCCTATTGTTTAAAAATTTTTGTTTTTTTGAGTCAGGGTCTCACTCTGTCACCTAGGCTGAAGTGCGGTGGTATGACTATAGCTCACTAAAATCTCAGCCTCCCTGGCTCAGAGAGCCTTAGGCTCCTGCCTTAGGTTCCTGAGTAGCTGGGACAACAGCTGGCATGCACCACCTTGCCTGGCTAATTTTTAAATTTTTTTTGTAGAGACGGGGCCTTGCCATGTTGTGTAGGCTGCACTTGAACTCTGGGGCTCAAGCAATTTTCCCATCTTGTCCTCCCAAAGTGCTGGGATTATAAGCGTGAGCTACAGTGCCTGGCATATTGTTTCAGAATTTTAATGAATGTTTTCAGATACTGCCAGTCATTTCCCTGCATAGGTAAAACCTACTAAGGCAGACCAGAGTTGTTGGAAAAGGGTTATTGACCACATATTCAGCAAATTTTCTTGTTGTAAACTGTGCATAGTGCTGTGCCTACTACAGCAAAAAATTATTAGTTTTAGCGAGCACAAAAAATGTACTTATTATGATAAAAACTAATAAGAGCTTTATATTATGAGAGCAAAGAAAGAAGTTTCTACTTATTGTCAAGGTTCTTTTAAAGAAACAATTTAGGTCTCTCTCTGATTCATAGGTCCAGGCAGGTTGGTTATCTGAGGTGGAGAAGGGGCAGCCTTCACCTGAGTATGATATATCCATGGCTTAACGCCAGACAGCTTCACTAATGAGTGGGTGGTTAGCAGTTCATTGATATCCTGTCCACTTTTCAGCAGCTGTTGGTTTTGTCCTTTGTTTTCCCAAGACTTCAGCAGCACTTTATCTCTTGGGTAGAAAGGGTGAAGAGGCTTGTCTGTGGGATATGCGGACCTGGAAAGGGAAAACTGATGCATAGTTAGTGATGTCTGCCCTAATTGTTGTTTATGTTGTTTCATTCTTGGTTCACCTACTAGACTAAAGGTGGGATTCCCAGGGAGGGATTTTGGAAGGATCACCTATAAATAATTTTTAAAGGGGTTAACCCTAGACTGCTTCAGGGCACTACTCTGATAAAGGCAATGGGTACGACCCTTTCCCAACTTAAATCCATTTCCTGATGGAGATTAGCCACTATCTTTTTCAAAGTTTGGTTTATTTTTTCTGTCTTTCCTATTGACTATGACTCCATGATGAATGCAATTTCCATTTCATCTGTAATGCTTGACTTATCTTCCCGGTAACCTCGGAAACAAAAGAAGAACCACTGTCACTTTGTACAGAGCAAGGAAGTGCAAAACGAGGAGTTATTTCATTTAGCAAAGCTTTTGCTACTTCTGTGGCCTTTACAGAATCAGTGGGAGTATGCTTCAATCTATCCTGAGAATATGTCTACAAACACTAAGTAGAAATTTATAGTTTTCACTTGCTCTGGGCCTCTGTGTGAAGTCAACCTGCCAGTCTTCATATGGACTCAGCCTTTGGTGTTGTGCTCCTTTCTCGGGTGGACTATGTTCAGTTTTGGGATTACTTTTTGCACATGGGTAGAATCCTTGTGTGATTTTCTGGATGATTCTCCAAATGTGTGGCCCTCTGAGGTAGGGCCGTATTAAGTCAACTAGGGTATCCCTTCCATAGTGGGTTCCTTCATGTAAATGTTTGAGAATTGAACAAACCAAAGTCTTGGGAGCCAAATGATCCCATGAGTGTAGTCTTCCAAGGTGAACTAGGGTCTGCATTAGTTAACCCTCAATCGTGGGCACACTCTTCATCCTCCTCAGTATAGTGAGGCTCGAGTCTGGTGAGTCCAAAGAGGTATGACAGCCCTCAAGCACCTGTGCTTCCCAGGCAGCCAAATTTGTGTCTTTGTTGGCTGCTTTGTTCCCTTTTTGATGCCCTGGGCATTGCATTATGGTGACCTGAGCAGATGGAGTGACTGCTTCCAGCAGGGCAAGGATTTCCACTGGATGCCTAATGTTCTTATTTCCTGAGGCCAAGAAGACTTGTTCTTTCCAAATAGCCCCATGGCCATATACCACCATAAAGACATATTTGGAGCCAATGTAAGTGTTTACTCACTTCCCCTGGGACAATTCTAAAGCTCTGTTGAGAGCGATCAGCTCAGCTTTTTGTGCTGTAGTGCTAGCAGGAAGGGCAGGAGCCCCTATTACCTTACCTACCTTACCTGTGATCACCATTGCATACCTGGCTTGGTGTCTATCTTCTATGAAGCTGCTTCCACCAGTGTAGAGCTCCCAGTCTGGAGTGATCATCAATTGATCTGATAAGTCCACCTCTTAGAGTAAGCCACATTAAGGATTTCTAGACAATTGTATTTCAATTCTTGATCAGGATCAGTGGCTGGAAGCAAGGTGGCTGGTTTAAGGCTGTGGTGGTTTATAAGGTGACATTTAGGTCATCCAGAAGATGACCTAATTTATTTACCCATTTCCTCTGCAGTAAGCCAGTAGCCTCACTTCTTTTCTAGCAAAGTTAGCACCTGATGAGGCACAAATATGGTGATGGACTGTCCTAGGGTAAACTTTTCTGCTTGCTGCGGAATTTTACAGGTGGCAGCCACTGCCCAGAGATAAGGGACCCATTCTTCAGTCATTTGATCCAATTGTTTAGAAAAATGTGCTCTAGGTTGCGAGGTGTCCCCCAACATTTGGAATAGCATTCCTAGCCCTATATTCTGCTTTTCATGTACAGAAAGCTTGAATGGCTTCTGGGGATTTGGCAATCCCAGATCCAGGGCTGACACTAGATTTTCTATAATAGTGTTGAATGTCTATTGACATTCGGCTATCCAGTGCAGGGTTTTCAAGTCTAATCTTTTCAGGGCTTCATACAGGGGCTTAGCCACAAGTCTGAAGCTGGGGATCAAAATTTGGCAAAAGCCTGCCGGCCGGGCGCGGTGGCTCACGCCTGTAATCCCAGCACTTTGGGAGGCCGAGGCGGGCGGATCACGAGGTCAGGAGATCGAGACCATCCTGGCTAACACGGTGAAACCCCGTCTCTACTAAAAATACAAAAAATTAGCCGGGCGTGGTAGCGGGCGCCTGTAGTCCCAGCTACTCGGGAGGCTGAGGCAGGAGAATGGCGTGAACCCGGGAGGCGGAGCTTGCAGTGAGCCGAGATCGCGCCACTGCACTCCAGCCTGGGCGACAGAGCGAGACTCCGTCTCAAAAAAAAAAAAAAAAAAAAAAGCCTGCCATACCCAAGAATCCCCACAATTGCCTCCTGTTTTCAGGGGCCTTTATGGCTGCTGTTGCCTGGTTTCCTGTCTGAAATCAGGCTTCTTTTTCCCTGTTTTAATGGAAACCCTAGGTATGTAACTTTTTGTTTACAGATTCGGGCCTTCTGAGGAGACACTTTATATCTGCATTGTGCCGGGTGGTTTAAAACCAAGATGGTGTTGGCCAGGCCCTTATCATAGCTTGAGCTTTAGCAGCAAGCCATCTACATACTGTAGCAGAACTTCCTCGTCTAATTGCAAATTTTTTAAGTCTCTTGCCAGTATTTCACTAAAAAGCTTGGGCAAGTTTTTAAAACCTTGAAGTAACACCGTCCAACAGTGCTGAAAAGTTGCTTTTGTTTCTGGGTCTTGTCATTTAAAGATAAATAGCTGTTGGGCTTTTCTTCAAATGGGATGCAAAGAAGGCATCCTTTAAGTCCAATTCTGAAAACCATCCATAGTTTCTGGGAATGGCAGCCAATAGGGTGTATGTATTAGGTGCAGTCAGATGAATATATTGGACAATTTCATTAATAGCTCTTAAATTCTGTATAAAAGGGTATTCATTCAAGTGGGGATTTTTCATAGGCAGGATAGGAGTGTTATATGGAGATCTGCAGGGGTGAATCAGCCCATTTTTAAATAAATTTTTGCAATACAGGCTGAATCTCATCAAAGACTTCTCATTTTAATGGATATTGTTTTTTCGAAGGTATTTTGACTCCTTCTTTTATTTCTATATGTACAGGCAGCACATTCTTAGCTTGGCCAGGGGTTTTGTCTGCCCGTACGCAGTTACTCACTCATTTGTTGCTTTCCAGAGGAATGGTTTCTTCTCTTTGTTGGGATTAGTGAGTAGTATCTGCAGCTGCAATGCTTGTTTCCGTGGGACCTGTAGGTGTAACTGCTGCTTTTCTGGGGAAAAAGTCACTTAAGAATTTAATTTACAAAGCAAGTTTCATTCCAGCAATGGGATAGGGGATTCTAGCATAGAAAGGAAGCTGTGCCTCAACTGCAAATCCCCCAGTTCGCATTCTAATGGTTGTAAGAAAACCTTTTGCTATATTCTACTTGCAACCCCCATCAGGAGTACTGTCGCTTTTGTGCTTTTTCCTTCTGGGGTGTTTAAAATGGAATAATATGTGCCCATATCAACAAGAAAATCAATCAGCTTCTGCCCCACTGTTGTTGTACCCAGGGATCCTTTGGGGAAATTTTAACTGGCTCTGAAAGATTTAGAGGCACTGCCATTAATTATTGGAAGCATAGGACTGTTCTACCATCTACTTCAAACTTCATTCTTAGCAACCCCTTCTTTTGTCTTTAGTTTAGGGCAGTCAGATCTCCAGTGGCCTCCTTCTTTACAATAGGCACATTGGTTGCTACCCAAGGCCATGCTCTGACCACCTCATCTCCCCTCTTTTGGCTGGCATGAGTTTTTCTCCAAAGTTTTCAAATATATTGTGGCTGGCTTTAGCCTTTTAGTTTCCCTGGCATTGTGTACGCTGAAGGCAATATCAAGTAGCTGGGAGAGTGATATGGCTTGGATGTCCCCTCCAAATCTCATAGAGAGATGTAATCCACAGTGTTGGAAGTGGGGCCTATTGGGAGGTGCTTGGGTCATGGGAGCGAATCCTTCATGGCTTGGTGCTGTCCTTGTGGTAGAGAATGAGCTCTCACATAATCTGGTTGTTTAAAGTGTGTGGCACTTACCACCTCTCTCTTGATCCTGCTTTCACTGTGTTGATGTGCCTGCTGCTGCTTCACCTTGTGCCGTGAGTAAAAGCTCCCTGGGGCCTCCCCAGAAGCCAAGCAGATGTCAGTGCCATGCTCGTACAGCATACGGAAGCATGAGGCAATTAAACCTCTTTTCTTTATAAATTACCCAGTCTCAGGTATTCCTTCATAGCAATGCAAGAGCAACCTAATGCAGAGACTTTATTCCAGTGCCCTGTCTTGTTTCCCTAGTGGACAGAGGCACTCTGTTGAATGAAAGTCATGTTTATCATTCTCAAATTTTTAGGAGCCTCTTAGTTTATATCTGTATATAATATCTGTATATTTACTGTAAGCTTTGTAAATGAGCTGTAAGAAATCAGATGGGTCTTCATTTTTCTTTTGGATAGCTGCCTGAATTTTATTCAGATTCTTCTGTTTTGACACCTCCTTTTTAAGTCCTTCCAGGATACATGTCTTATAATGATCCAGCTGGGCCACATCCCCATTTTTGGGGTCCCAGTTGAGATCCACAAATGGAGTTGCCCATCTGGGGTTGGGAATTCTGTTGGAATTTTTCTGATGTAGGTGCTGAGCCGCCTTATTTACCTTATCTATCACCAGCCTTCTCTCATCCACAGTCAAAAGTATGTTTAACAAGGCCTGTAAAGGGGGCTGGTGGGTAGCAAAGATACAGACAAAGAGATTAGTTATTTTCTGTGGGTCATCTCTAAAGGGTGGATTGGAGCTTTTCCAATTTAGCAAGTCAGAGGCAGAGAACAGGCTGTAAGTCCAACAATATCCAGCAGCCTTCCCTGTTGTTTTATTCCACCAATGAGTAGTTGGGTGGGTATTCTTTCATTGGATATTGCCCTGCCCTAGTCACAGTAAGGCCCATTGGGTGCCCTGTCAGGTCTTGGAGGGGAAGAACATTCCAATTCCTTCATTCTATTGAGGTAGGGCAGTTGCCCCTCATTCCTAGTCCAGGGCCTCCAGTGGTGACACTGAGGCAGCTTAGGCTGGAGTGGCTGCTTAAGTGGCTTGGGCTGGAGGAAGGGGATTGAAAGCATTTAAGAGGCCCATCTCCTCACTATCCTTTTCTTCCTGATTTCTGTGTTTGGCTTGAAACGGGCTTTCTTCTCATCTCTTTGTATAGTTAGCAATCTGCTCTCACCTCTCATGACATGAGTCCTGGTTATGCAATAACATGAAAGCCTGGACATAAGATATTTCTTCCCATTTCTCAAACCTCCGACAGAAGAACTCCAATTGTAATAGGGTACAATATTGAAGTCTTCAGTTCAGAGGCCAATATGCATCATCATCTAGCCTATACAGAGGCCAGATGGTATTATAATAAGAAATAATTTTCTTTCTAGTCATAGGCTTATTTTTACAGGCCTTCCAGTTGGCCAGGATATGCCCCGGGGGGTTTTCAGTTGGAGTGGAAATGTTGCCACGAATTTTGTCTCTATATTGAGTTCCTCCTCAATCAAAGGCCCAGGGGCTGGATGAACTCCCCTAGTCTGTAACTCCTTGTGTATATAATGCCATTCACAGTCTCAGTGGGCATGCTTGTATAAGCTTTGCCACATGGCCACAACAGCGAGAGACTTCAAAGACAGAGTTCCTTAAGTAGGCCAGGGGTTTGCAATGGTCTGCACAGCCCTTCCTAATAATTCAGTCTTATACCAGGTCCAAGTCCTACTGACCTGGCAATCCCAGTGAAATGAGACAGAGTGACAACAGATAAGGTGACAAATTAACCAAACAAAAAGAAAATGGGTTAGAGTGAGGATCATGCAGGGACTGGACCCAGGTGATATGGATCCTATTTTCTTATCTAAAGTAACACAGGGAGCAACCAGCAGGATTCCAGGCCCATTTAGATTGCCTGCAGGAAAGCTCACACATTTCCTCTTCCTCTCCCACCAACTGTAACACAAATGCGGGGAATACTTTGAAGTCCTAAAGAGGGTAACAAAATCAGGAGCCAGGATGGTGAGATCTGTTCTTCTCCTAACAAGGAGAGGCATGACCTACCTTGCTGCTTTCAGAAAATCAGGCTCATTTTTTCTGGTGGGACCTGAACCTGCAGATGGGATAAAGACCATACCAATCACTTTTACAAAGAGAAATAGAAACAGACATAAATCCAAATGCAGACACAAACACAATTGAATTCAAATAGAGTACTCCTAAACCAATTCCCACAAAGGGAAAAATTGAGAGAGAAGTTCTAAAATCTTGTCTCAAGCCCAAAAGGCATGACAGATGACTCATGCAAAGTCCAAGTGGCATACAAGCCAAAAATAGCAGTATGAATGACCCATGCTAGGTCCAAACAGCACAAAAAGTCCACGTAGCAGAGATAGAGGATTCCTAGGTGCATTGGGTGACTTACCAAGCCTTGAAGCCCATTGATTTCCCAGATGTCACTTTACCTGCACCAGTACAGCATTATATGCAGCTGATGCCACTGGGGGTAGGGTGAAGGAGGAAGATGGGAAGATCCCCAAGACAAAAGCATCTTGGTAGCTGCTGAGGAGCTCCATAGAGTTTCAGCCACGGAATCAGCTAGCCATGAGCAGCTGGAATTTATGAGCAACTGTCACTGCCTGGTAGCATGAGTGGGTAAGCCCTGGCACACTGCCATAGCTAGTTACTCTACTTGTTGGAAACCAGGCAGACAGTTCTTCACATGGGGAGGCTAAACCATTGTGAAAGCACAGCTCTTCACACAGGGCACCAAATTTGTAGTTGAACTCAGGTCTGGCTGCTTGCTGCTTGAAATGCAAAATACAAAAAGTGAGGTGCGGTGAAAGTAATGCAACTTTATTCAAATGCTAGCAGTTGGAAAATGGCCAGGCTCATGCCATTTCCATTGTCTTTGAAATTGTCCAAAACAATTTCAAAATTGTAGGCAAGTGAGTGGGTTTAAGAAGAGAAACTTGGCATCAGAAGTATGTGGGAGTGGGACAGGGTACAGGGTTTCTGTGTCTTGTTCTGATGGCTACCTTGAGTTATTGTCCAACTAGAGTGTGGGCGGGCACCATCTTGACAATGGCCAGGTTGTAGATTAATTGCCTTGAAGTAATCCTTAGCTGGGGAGAATTCTGCTGCTTGTTCTTCCTGCATGGTTTATTTCAAGGTTATCCCCTGAAATTTCCAAGCAAGCACATATTTAGATAAGCAAGTGCAGTGCAAAAGAGTGCCTGGTGGGAAGGGAGGGAAACAAAGAGTTTCAAAGTACATTTTAAGTCTAAGTTGAGAGAGAAGGAAAAACAAGTTTCAAAATAGATTTTAATGCCAAGCTGCTTGGTTGTAGAAATCCTCGCAGTAATATAAGCTGAACAAATTGAAAGTTAATAACTTTTCTAAGATTCATTAGAGAATTGATATTACAGGGAAAACCACTGCCCCCAAAATAAGAGAGGCAAGCAAATGCAGGGAATACTGTTTATGGGTTGCAGAATACACTGCCAGACCTGATAGTAATGCTTAAAGGATAATTGACTAATGGCTACAAGACTGAATCTAGATTAGCTTGGGAGAAGAAAATCTCCTGGAGGCCTGAGCTTTTTACTTGGGAAGGCAGAGTACCCTTTCATAAGTTTTGGCTCTAGGAACCCCATCAGGTTCTCAGAAGTGTCCTCAGAAACCCAAAGACAACAGTGGAGACAAAAACAAGGACACTAGAGGGAATGTAGCCTCTAACATGACAGCTACAGAAAATAGTAAACATAGACTAACTCCTAGGCAGATAAATACAACACCTCACATTAAGGCCTTTGAAGATCAGGGAAAAAAATGCCTCACACTTTCTGGCAGGGGGAGAGGAATAGGAGTCATTTTAAAGTAAATCTAGAGCACTTTGCTCTCCTTAACAAAGGACTGCCCTCAAAGGACACTGTTTCACCAGAGCCTAACACATTTGGGTTATACCAGATCCTAACTGACCCAGGGGAAGGGAAATATCAACTCCATCTCACTCCAGCCTTCTGTCTCACCTATGTGGGTGAAAATAGCTGAGAAGCACTTGTGAATGTCACAGCCAGGGTCATAGGCTGTGTAAAGACTGAGACCAAACATAGGATTTTAGACTGCATCTTTCCACTTCCCTGCACACCTTACTGCCACACCAATATGGTTCTTATATGATAACGAGATTACAATTTGCAGAAAGATCTGAAAGTCTCAGACCCTATTTAGGAAGAAGCCTTGGCAGAAACCCAAAGACAACAGTGGAGACAAGAACAAGAACACTGAATGAAATTTAGCTTCTAACAGCGTAGCTACAGAAAATGGTAAACATAGCCTAACTCCTAGCTGGATAAACGTAACCCCTCACATTAAGGACTTGTTTATATCAGTTATTTTTACCTGATATATTGTGTCTAGCTTTCCACAAAAAATGACAAGTGATACCAAAACAGCAAAAACAAAACAAAACAAAACGAAACAACGACAACAAAGAAAACACAAAGCGAAGAGACAAGCGTCAAGAGAAGATTCAGATGTGGTAGAGATTTTAGAAGGGTTAGACTGGGAATTAAAAATATCTATGATTAATATGCTGTGGACATTAATGAGAAACGTGGACAATATGCAAGAATGGTTGGATGATATAAGGAGAGTATATTGGTCCATTCTAACACTGGTATAAAGATAGTACCTGAGACTGGGTAATTTATAAACAAAGGAGGTTTAATTAACTCAAGTTTTGCATGTCTGGGGAGGCCTCAGGAAACTTATGATCATGGCAGAAAGGGAAGCAGGCACCTCTTTCACAAGGAGGCAGGACAGAGTTTAAGTGTGTGAGGGAGGAACTATCAAACACATAAAACCATCAGATCTCATGAGAACTCACCACTATCATGAGAACAGCACGGGAGAAACTTCCCCCATGGTCTAATCACCTCTCTCCCTCAATACGTGGGTATTACAGGTCCCTCTCTTGACATATGTGTATTACAATTCTAGATAAGATTTGGGTGGGGCCATAGAACTGAACCCATATAATTCCACCCCTACCTCTTGCAAATCTCATGTTTTTCACATTTCAAAACCAATGATGCCTTCCCAACAGTCCCCCAAAGTCTTAGCTCATCCCAGCATTAACCCAAAAGTCCAAGTCCAAAGTCTCATCTGAGACAAGGCAAGTCCTTTCCACCTATAAACCTGTAAAATAAACAGCAACTTAGTTACTTCCTAGATACAATGGGGGTATAGGCACTGGGTAAATTCTCCCATTCTAAATGGGAGAAATTGGCCAAAACAAAGGGGCTACAGGCCCCATGGAAGTTCAAAATCCAGTAGGGAAGTCCTCAAATCTTAAAGCTCCAAAATGATCTCCTTTGACTCCATGTCTGATATCCAGGGGACACTGATGCAAGGGGTGGGCTCCTACAGTTTGGGCAGCTCCTTCACAGGCTGACATTGAGTCCCTGTAGCTTTTCCAGGCACACAGTGCAAGCTGTTGTTGGATCTACCATTCTGGGGTCTGGAGAACAGTGGCATACTTCTCACAGCTCCACTAGGCAGTGCCCTAGTCAAGACTGTGTGGTAGCTCCAACCCCTAGTTTCTCTTCTGTACTGCCCTAGCAGAGGTTCTCCATGAGGGCTTCACCCCTGCATAATACTTCTGCCTGGACATCTAGGCATTTCCATATATCCTCTGAAATCTAGGTGGAGGTTCTCAAACCTCAGTTCTTGACTTCTGTGCACTTGCAGGCCCAACATCACATGTAAGCTGCCTAGGCTTGGGGCTTGCACCCTCTGAAGCAATTCAGGAGTTTTGCCTTGGCCCCTTTTAGCCATAGCCAGAGCCGAAGTGGCTAGGATGCAGGGTACCATGTCCCGAGGCTGCATGGAGCAGTGAGGGCCCTGGGCCTGGCCCACGAAACCATTTATTGTCCTAGGCTTCCAGACCTGTGGTAGGAGAGGTTACCACCAAGATCTCTAACCTGCCCTGGAGACATTTTCCCCATTGTTTTGGAGATTAACATTCAGCTCCTTGTTACTTACACAAATTTCTGCAGCCTGCTTGAATTCTCCCCAGAAAATGGGTTTTTCTTTTCTATCACATTGTCAAGCTGCAAATTTTCCAAACTTTTATGCTCTGCTTCCCTTTTACACATACGATTCAATTTCAGACCATCTCTTTGTGAGTGCATAAAACTGAATGCTTTCAGAAAAATTCAGGTCATGTCTTGAATGCCCTGATGCTTAGAAATTTCTTCCACGAGATACCCTAAATCATCTCTCTCAAGTTCAAAGTTCCACAGATCTCTAGGGCAGGGGCAAAATACCAACAGTCTCTTTGCTAAAGCATACTGTTAGTGACATTTACTCCAGTTCCCAATAAGTTCCTTATCTCCATCTAAGACCACCTCAGCCTGGACTTCATTGTTCACCTCACAATCAGCATTTCGGTCAGAACCATTCAACAAGTCTCTAGGAAGCTCCAAATTTTCCCACTTTATCCTATCTTCTTTTGAGACCTCCAAACTGTTCCAGTCTCTGCCCATTACCCACTTCCAAAGTTGCTTCCACCTTTTCAAGTATCTTTGTAGAGTACCCAACTCTCTGCAGTACCAATTTACTGTATTAGTCCATTCTCACACTGCTATAAAGATGCTACCTGAGCCTCGGTAATTTATAAGCAAAGGAGGCTTAATTGACTCATAGTTCTACATGGCTGGGAGGCCTCAGGCAACTTACAATCATGGCAGAAGGTGAAGCAGTCACCTTCTTCACAAGGTGACAGGAAACAGTGTGAGCGTATGAAGGAGGAAAGGTCAAACACTTATAAAACCATCAAATCTCATGAGAACTCACTCACTATCACAAGAACAGCATGGGGAAAACTGCCCCCATGATCCAGTCAGCTGCCTCCCTTACCATGTAGGAATTACAGGTCCCTCCCTTGACACATGGGGATTATAGTTGGAGATGAGGTTTGGATGGTGACACAGAGCCAAACCATATCAGAGAGGGATGTAACTCTAAAAAATATCAAAAGAAGATGCCAGAAATAAAAAAAAAAAACAACCTTTATCAAAGATGAAGAATGTCTTCAATGCACTCATCACTAGATGGGGCCTAGAGTTTGCATCATGAATGGGTGTGCTATTAAAAAGCCAGGGGTTTAGTCTAGATCCTGCTGGTCACCACACAGAAAGCCAATCACTGAGACAAGGAGTATTGCCAGTGAAGAAGGATTTAATCGGGTACTGCAGCTGAGGGAATGGGAGATCAGTCTCAAACCCATCTCCTTGACCAACTAAAATCAGGGGTTTATATAGCAGGGAAGAAATGTAACTATGTGCAGGAAAACAGGAATTAGGGAGGAGTAAAGAAGAGTTGTCAACAGGAGGCAGGTAATCACTTAGGCAATCATGATGGGTGAGGGGTGTGGTGTCTTATTGTCCAGATACAAACATTTGGTAAATTTCAGTTACTTGATATTATTTAGGAGTTCTGATAGCTGGTTTCCTGAGAAAGGAATTCAAATAAGACAAATGTAACTTTCTCAAGTTTTAAGACTGGAAGAGTCAATTTCTATGTTTATTCAAAATAAACCATAAACATCAGTTCTATGAGACAATTGGGCTGGTTTCTGGTGTGGAGTACTGTTAAATGCTTTTTCTGCATCTATTTCTATGAGAATATAATTTTTCTTCTTTAAAATGTTAATATGATGGATTTCATTAGTTGATCTTCAAACACTGAACCAGCCTTGCATACCTGGAATAAATCCTATTTGGTCAGGGTACATAATTTTTTTTATGCATAGTTGGATTGACTTTACTAATACTTTCTTGAAGATTTTTGCATTTACGTTCAATCAGAAATATTGGTCTGCATTTTTCCTTTCTTGTGATTTATTTCTTTGATTTTTGTATGAAAGTAATGCTGGCATCATAGAAAACAAGAGCAGTCTCTGATTCTGTTTTCTGAAACAGATAGGAGAGAATTGATATCATTTCTTCCTTCAATGTTTGGTAGAATTGACCAACAAACTCATCTGGTCTTGTGAAAATAAACATACAAAAAGATGTTTAACATTGTATGTCATTAGACAATTGAAATAAAAACAACAATGACACAGTGTTACTACTATTACAATGGCAAAAATAAAAAACACTTACGACGCTAAATGCTGATGAGGATGTGGAGCACAACACTCTCATTCATTTTTGGTTGAAAAACCCAACGGTATACTCACTTTGGACGACAGTTTGAAAGTTTCTTACAAATCTAAACTCTATGATCCAGCAGTAATGTCCTTTGGTATTTACTTAAATGAGTTGAAGACTTCTATCTATAGAAAAAAACTTTCATATAAATGTTGATAGTGGCTTTTTCATCATTCTCAAAATTTAAAAGAAACAACGATGTCCTTCAATAGGTGAACAGATAAATGATTATAGTATAATGATATAATGGAAGACTTGTCAGTTATGAACAGAAAGCTGCCAAGCGATGAAAAGATATAGAAGAACTTTAAGTGTGTATTGTTAAGTGAATGCAGCCAATCAGAAAAGGCTACATATTACACGATTCCAACTGTATGACATTCTTGAAAAGGCAAGACTATAGTGACAGTAAAAGGATGAGTGGTTGCAAAAGATTTGCAGGGAGGATGAATAGGTGGAGTACAGGAGATTTTTATGGCCCTGAAACTATTCTTTATGATATGATATTGATGAATACATGACTTTATGCATTTGTTAAAACCTGTAGAGCTGTACAATACAAAGAGTGAAGTCTAATGTAAACTATAGACTGTAGTTAATAACAATTTATCAGTATTGGCTCTTCAATTGTAACAAATGTGCCACATTAATGAAAGCTGTTAATAACAGGAGAGTCTGTGGGGGACACAGAGAACAGGAAGAGTATAGGAATTCTGTACTTTCTGTTCAGTGTTTCTCTAAAGTTAAATTGCTGTAAAAATAGTCTATTAATTTTAAAAAGCTCATCTTTATTTTCTTAGTGTTATATCAAATAAGGTCCAGTTTCATAAGAGATGTAATTGTAGAAATAGCATTGTTATTTGGTTGCTTAAAAATGTCAGGCAGTGTGTGGTAAGGGATAGAAAAGCTATAGACATGTACTTAAAAAATAATTGCTTCACTAACTTAGCACATGTGACAAAAAAAAAAAAAAAACTGCTGATGTGGAAGAGAAGGAATTATTTTGTTGGTTGGTAGCCTACCTGAAGGTCTGACTTTATAGCTTGTTGCAGTTTATTTGAATATTTTATAGTTGATATCAGTCACATAAGTAATGGAAGCTTCATTTGGTGTCTGCTTCCATTTTACAGAACTGAAGTGATCACAAAAGAGATGTAAAGACAGAATGGCTCTGATGATTAGCATCATAGATAAAAACGATTGCTTTCTGTTCATTTAGTAACTCGATAAAAAATGATTAAGGGACACATAAATTAGTCAAATTAACCAGAATAACTATATTATATAACCATTTCAGAGTTTGATTTATTTTAGGTTACCAGACAATTGATAAATGACAAGAATTTTAAGTATACTTGACTAAGCTCTGTCTTTTACTTGGGAAAATAGAAAAATGAAATCTCAAATGATACTAGATTTTATGGTAATCATTTGAACTGTAATGTAATTCTAATTGGTTTACCAGTGAATTTTCTAGGGTTCTTATACCTAGCATTTTTGATGATCAATTTCAATTTTCTTTCATATATTTCATTTCTCCTTTTATCATCTGTCTTTTAATATTGTGAACTTGGTAATAATATATTCATTTGAATTTTACGAACCC
Organism: Homo sapiens; assembly: GCF_000001405.40. Taxonomy (NCBI): domain Eukaryota; kingdom Metazoa; phylum Chordata; class Mammalia; order Primates; family Hominidae; genus Homo; species Homo sapiens. The sequence goes on along the minus strand of NC_000006.12, from coordinate 141,949,076 downwards.
AGTAAGTGTCTTTTTATGATGCCTTTTTCGTTTCTGGAGAAAAAGGCATTCCCGACCTTAGGAGGTTATTCCTTTAAGCTTTTTATAAAAGCCAGTAAAATTGCTTTAACTGTCCTGACCCCTTCAATTTTAGTCATTTTTTCATTTTACTGTCGCAAATAAAGGTACATATCAAGTTTTTAGTGGCTATCACAAGTTGAAGTACCAAAAATAAAAACTGAAAAAAATCCTATGATGTAAAAACAGATCCTATAAATGACAACATAGTATCATTGCAATGATATTATCCTCATTTGGATATAAAAGAGTGAAAAAAGGGTGTAATTTTGTGACTGTCCAGGGGTTTATATTATGACCCCCTTATCCTGTAAGTATTTTGACATATTTTACGTATTTATAATAATAGCCACCATCACTGAAGCACTTATATGAGATACCACCAATCTAAATGCAAGTGCTGGAAGATTCTGCACAGAGGATAGTAATAATTTTAGCACAGAACAAGGCTCAATAAATGTCAGCTATTCTTATGACTCTTCTTATTCCATTTTTATAACTTTCTTTCTAAACTGAAATTAAATTTATATATGGTGACATGCACAAGTGTGCATTCTAAATGTACAGTTCAATGAGTCTTGATCAATGTGTATGTCCATGTAACCCATACCAAATCAAGACATAGAATATTTTCATCCTTCTAGAAAAGTTTTTCTTGCCTCTTTCCAGTGACTTTCTCCCACTGAGTAGAGGCAACTTCTACTCTGACTTTTATTAGATTAGATAAATTGTGTTTATTCTCAAACTTAATAGAAGTGGAATTATATAATTTGTGTTCATCTATTTCTGGCTTCTTTCACTTACCCTGTTTTTGAGATCATCCATATTATATACATATTGATAGTTTGTTTCTGTTTTTAAGTAATATCTCATTGTATGACTATAACATGTTTTGTTTATTCATATACCTGTTGATGAATATTAGTTGTTTTCATCTTTGGGGCATTATGAATAAAATCAATCAAGTTACATTCAATGAAATGTAGGGAGGTCCATATAGCTGGATTTTTTAGAACAAGGGAGGAAGTAGCGAGAGTGAAAGACTTTGAATATTTTGCTGATAGAGTTTGGTTTTAATCATTGGAAGGATGTGGGACCATTGAGATAACAGTGTTTCAGATTATTTCAGAAATACTACTCTGGTGACAAAAAGTTGAAAAACAAGACTTTCTATAAACTCTACCTCTGGGGAGGAAAAAGATACTGCTCAGAATTAAAACATGGGTTAAGTATTTCAGGTGAGAGAAAGCATAAGCTGTATGGTGTGTATTTGGGGAAGGAGTTTTATTTGGCCACTGTGGTAAATGAAATAAGCAACGCCCAAGGTACCCAGACTAAGACACTTGGGAATCTCTTAACTGAAGTGGAGATCATTGAAAAATTTTAACCAGGAGAGTCATACGATCTTCTTTGAGATTTAGAAAGATTATTATTGTGTTATTGCTTGATGTATAGCAATTGTTCATTCACAGTAATGATGGTAAAGTTTGTGAATTAGGACAGTCACAGGTGAGTTAGAAATGACAGTACAGATAAAAGATAACTAAGGAGTTAGAACCAACAGAATTTAGTGTCATGTTAGATGCAGTCAGTGAGGAAGAGAAAAGAACATTGAATGACTTTTGCTTGTGTTTTTTGATGAACTATGGATACCATTAAAAATAGTACATATATAGGAGGAAGAAAGGAAAATAATTTCTAAATTTGTAAATGTTAAATTTAAGGTACCTGTGGTGTTTCTAGATGGACATGCCAGTAGTTATTAGAATATTTGTGCTTGGAGGGCAGGAGAAAAGCATTGGTCTTGAGAGTCACGGGCTTTTAGATGGTAATTGAGATCACGGGTAGAGCATGTCAACTGAAGAATGGTGGAGGCCAAAGAGGGAATCCTTTCAAATAACAACATTTTGGAGTTAAGGAGTTGAAGAGTGTCAAGTAAGGTGACAGAGAAGGACTAATGTGTGAAATATTTCACTGAAGCCAGAGGAAGAAAATGTGATTTTACATATATCTCCTCTAGGCCCTCTGATCCTTATTCCAGATGTTACTCCCTTCTGAATCTGTTAAAATCCTCAAGTTTCTTGATATTTTATGAGGTAGGATTTTTTATAGCTTATAGAGTTCTTCCTAACCTCTTGAAACTTAGAAACAAGATTCTAGTTCATTCTCTATAGTCACAATTCCTCTTAAGAACACTAACACACATGTAGATGTATGTATATATATAGACACACCACTCTCTCTCACTCTCTCATCCCCCAGGCCCCATATGTTTCCTATGTCTCTAGCACTTTCTCCACCCTTATCTGTTCATCTGATCTGTTTACCAGGTCAAAAGCACTTCTGCAGTTTCGTAACCTTTCTGACAAAATCAAATTCCTCATTATAAGTTCTCCTTAAGAGTATTTATCATAAGCACAACTTTATTCTTTTTCCCTTGTTAAGACTGTTCCTTTAAAGCTCTTTTTAAGCAATTTGATTATAATAAATGTTGATGTGGTCTTCTTTACACGTCAGGTTCCTTGAGCCTTTTGGATCTGTGGTTTGTAGTGTTCATATTCAAAAATTTCAGTTATTATTTCTTCAAAATTTTGTGCCCCCATTTCTCCCATCTTTATTTACAACAAAGGTTACAACACCTAATATTGTCCAAGGCTTTTTTCTCTCTATGCTTCATTTGGCTATTGCTGTGCCTTCAAGTTTATTGATCTTTTGTTTTACACCGTTTACTTTGTTCTTTTCATTATTATATACTTTCAGTTCTGGGATACATGTGCAGAACATGCAAGTTTGTTACACAGGTATACATGTGCCATGGTGGTTTTCTTCACCCATCAACCCGTCATCTACATTAGGTATTTCTCCTAATGCTATCCCTCCCCTTGCTCCCCAGGCCCCCAACAGGCCCTGGTGTGTGATGTTACCCTCCCTGTGTTCATGTGTTTTCATTGTTCACCTCCCACTTATGAGTGAGAACATGCGGTGTTTGTTTTTCTGTTCTTATGTTAGTTTGCTGAGAATTATGGTTTCCAACTTCATCAATGTCACTGCAGAGGACATGAACTCATCATTTTTTATGTCTGCATAGTATTCCATGGTGTATATGTGCCACATTGTGTTTATCCAGTCTATCATTGATGGACATTTGGGTTCCTTCCAAGTCTTTGTTATTGTGAACAATGCTGCAATAAACATATGTGCACGTGTCTTTATAGTAGAATGCTTTATAATCCTTTGGTTATATATCCAGTAATGGGATTGCTGGGTCAAATGGTATTTCTGATTGTAGATCCTTGAGGAATTGCCACAATGTCTTCCACAATGGTTGAATTAATTTACACTTCACCAACAGTGTAAAAGCTTTCCTATTTCTCCACATCCTCTCCAGGATCTGTAGTTTCCTGACTTTTTAATGATTGCCATTCTAACTGGTATGAGATGATATCTCATTTTGGTTTTGATTTGCATTTCTCTAATGACCTGTGATGATGAGCTTTTTTCCATATATTTGTTGGCCAAATAAATGTCTTCTTTTGAGAAGTATCTGTTCATATCCTTCACTCACTTTTTGGTGGGGTTGTTTTTTTCTTGTAAATTTGTTTATGTTCTTTGTAGATTCTGGATATTGGCCCTTTGTCAGATGGATCGATTGCAAAATTTTTCTCCCATTCTGTAGGTTGCCTGTTTACTCTGATGGTAGTTTCTTTTGCTGTGCAGAAGCTCTTTAGTTTAATTAGATCCCATTTGTCAATTTTGGATTTTGTTGCCATTGCTGTTGGTGTTTTAGTCATGAATTCTTTGCCCGTGCCTATGTCCTGAATGGTATTGCCTAGGTTTTCTTCTAGGGCTTTTATGGTTTTGGGTGTTACATTTAAGTCTTTAATCCATCTTGAGTTAGTTTTGGTATAAGGTGTAAGGAAGGGGTCCAGTTTCTGCTTTCTGCATATGGCTAGCCAGTTTTCCCAACACCATTTATTAAATAGGGAATCCTTTCCCCATTGCTTGTTTTTGTCAGGTTTGTCAAAGGTCAGATCATTGTAGATGTGTGACATTATTTCTGAGGCCTCTGTTCTGTTATATTGGTCTATAATATCTGTTTTGGTACTAGTACCATGCTGTTTTGGTCACTGTAGCCTTGTAGTACAGTTTGAAATCAGGTAGTGGATGCCTCCAGCTTTGTTCTTTTTGCTTAGGATTGTCTTGGCTATGCAGGCTCTTTTTTGGTTCCTTATGAAATTTAAAGTAGTTTTTTCTAAGTCTGTGAAGAAAGTCAATGGTAGCTTGATGAGGATAGCATTTAATCCATAAATTATTTTGGGCCATATGGCCATTTTCATGATATTGATTCTTCCTATCCATGAGCATGGAATGTTTTACCATTTGTTTGTTTCCTCTCTTATTTCATTGAGCAGTGGTTTGTAGTTCTGCTCGAAGAGGTCTTTCACATCCCTTGTAAGTTGTATTCCTAGGTATTTTATTTTCTTTGCAGCATTTGTGAATGGCAGGTCACTCATGATTTGGCTCTCTGTCTTATTGATATATGGGAATGCTTGTGATTTTTGCACATTGATTTTGTATCCTGAGACTTTGCTTAAGTTGCTTGTCAGCTTAAGGACATTTGGGGCTGAGATGATGGGGTTTTCTAAATATACGATCATGTCACCTGCAAACAGACAATTTGACTTTCTCTTTTCCTATTTGAATGCACTTTATTTCTTTCTCTTGCCTGATTGCACTGGCCAGAACTTCCAATACTATGTTGAATTGGAGTGGTGAGAGAGGGCATCCTTGTCTTGTGCCAGTTTTCAAAGGGAATGCTTCCAGCTTCTGCCCCTTCAGTATGATATTGGGTGTGGGTTGGTCATAAATAACTCTTATTATTTTGAGATACATTCCATCAACACCTAGTTTATTGAGAGTTTTTAGTATGAAGGGGTGTTGAATTTTGTCAAAGGCCTTTTCTGCATCTATTGAGATAATCATGTGGTTGTTGTCACTGGTTTTGTTTATGTAATGGATTACATTTATTGATTTGCATATATTGAACCAGCCTTGCATTCCAGGGATGAAGCTGACTTAATTGTGGCAGATAAGCTTTTTGATATGCTGCTGGATTCAGTTTGCCAGTATTTTATTGAGGATATTTGCATTGATGTTCATCAGGGATATTGGCCTGAAATTTTCTTTTTTTGTTGTGTTTCTGCCAGGTTTTGGTATCAGGATGATGCTGGCCTCATAAAATGAGTTAGGGAGGAGTCCCTCTTTTTCTATTGGTTAGAATAGTTTCAGAAGGAATGGTACCAGCACTTCTTTGTACCTGTGGTAGAATTCGGCTGGGAATCAGTCTGGTCCTGGGATTTTTTTTTGGTTGGTAGGCTATTAATTACTGCCTCAATTTCAGAACTTCAGAATTCCAGAATTCTGAAGAATTACTGTCTCAATTTCAGAATTTCAGTCGATTCAGGGATTTGACTTCTTCCTGCTTTAGTCTTGGGAGGGTGTATATGTCCAGGAATTTATATATTTCTTCTAGTTTTTCTAGTTTATTTGCATAGCAGTGTTTATAGTATCCTCTGATGGGTAGTATTTCCATGGGATCTGTGGTGATATCCCCTTCATTGTTTTTTATTGTGTCTATTTGACTCTCCTCTCTTTTCTTCTTTATTAGTCTGGCTAGCTGTCTATTTATTTTGTTAATCTTTTCAAAAAGCCAGCTCCTGGATTTATTGATTTTTTGAAGGGTTTTTCTTGTCTCTATCTCCTTCAGTTCTGCTCTGATCTTACTTATTTCTTGTCTTCTGCTAGCTTTTGAATTTGTTTGCTCTTGCTTCTGTAGTTCTTTTAATTGTGATGTAAGGGTGTCAATTTTAGATCTTTTCTGCTTTCTCCTGTGGGCATTTAGTGCTTTAAATTTCCCTCTAAGCACTGCTTCAGCTGTGTCCCAGAGATTCTGATACATTGTGTCTTTGCTCTCATTGGTTTCAAATAACGTATCTATTTCTGGCTTAATTTTGTTATTTACCCAGTAGTCATTCAGAAGAAGGTTGTTCAGTTTCCATGTAGTTGTGTGGTTTTGAGGGAGATTCTTAATCCTGAGTTCTAATTTGATTGCACTGTGGTCTGAGAGACTGTTTGTTATGATTTCCATTCTTTCGCATTTGCTGAGGAGTGTTTTACTTCCAATTATATGGTCAATTTTAGAATAAGTGTGATGTGGTGCTGAGAAGAATGTATATTCTGTTGATTTGGCGTGGAGATTTCTGTTGATGTCTATTAGATTTGCTTGATCCAGAGCTGAGTTCAAGTCCTGAATATCTTTGTTAATTTTCTGTCTTGTTGATCTGTCTAATATTGACCTTGGGGTGTTGAAATCACCCACTATTATTGTGTGGGAGTCTAACTCTCTCTCTAGGTCTCTAAGAACTTGCTTTATGAATCTGGGTACTCCTGTATTGGTTGCATATATATTTAGGATAATTAGCTCTTCTTGTTGCATTGGTCCCTTTACCATTATGTAATGCCTTTCTTTGTCTTTTTAAATCTTTGTTGGTTTAAAGTCTGTTTTATCAGAGACTAGGAATCGAACATCGGCTTTATTTTGCTTTCCATTTGCTTGGTACATATTCCCCCATCCATTTATTTTGAGCTTATGTGTGTCTTTGCATGTGAGATGGGTCTCCTGAATGCAGCACACCAGTGGGTCTTGACTTTTTATCCAATTTGCCAGTCTGTGTCTTTTAATTGGGGCATTTAGTCCATTTACATTTAAGGTTAATATTGTGATGTGTGAATTTGATCCTGTCATTATGACACTAGCTGGTTATTTTGCCCGTTAGTTGATGCAGTTGCTTCATAGTGTCAATGGTCTTTACAATTTGGTATGTTTCTGCAGTGGCTGGTACTGGTTTTTCCTTTACATATTTAGTGCTTCCTTCAGGACCTGTATTATAAGGCAGTCCTGTGTGGTAACAAAATCTCTCAGCATTTGCTTGTCTGTAAAGGATTTTAATTCTCCTTCAATTGTGAAGCTTAGTTTGACTGGATATGAAATCCTGAGTTGAAAATTCTTTTCCTTAAGAATGTTGAATGTTGGCCCCTATTCTGTTATGTCTAGCAGGGTTTCTGTAGGGAGATCTGCTGTTAGTCTGAAAGGCTTCCCTTTGTGGGTAACCCGATCTTTCTCTCTGGCTGCCCTTAACATTTTTTCCTTCCTTTCAACCTTGGTGAATCTGACAATTATGTGTCTTGAGGTTGCACTTCTCAAGGAGTATCTTGGTGGTGTTCTCTATGTTTCCTGAATTTGAAAGTTGGCCTGTCTTGCTAGGTTGGGGAAGTTCTCCTGGACAGTATCCTGAAGAGTGTTTTCCAGCTTGTTTCCATTCTCCCCATCACTTCCAGGTACACCAATCAAATGTAGGTTTGGTCTTTTCACATAGTCCCATATTTCTTGGAGGCTTTGTTCGTCCCTTTTCATTCTTTTTTCTCTAATCTTGTGTTGACATTTTATTTCATTAAGTTGATCTTCAGTCTCTGATATTCTTTCTTCCGCTTGATCAATTTGGCATTGATACTTGTGTATGCTTCACGAAGTTCTTGTGCTGTGTTTTTCAGCTCCATCAGGTCATTTATGTTCTTCTCTAAATTGCTTATTCTAGTTAGCAATTCCTCTAACCTTTTTTCAAGGTTGTTAGCTTCTTGCATTCGTTTCGAACATGCTCCTTTAGCTCAGAGGAGTTTGTTATTACCCACCTTCTGAAGCCTACTTCTGTCAGTTCGTCAAACTCATTCTCCATTCAGTTTTGTTCCTTTGCTGGCAAGGAGTTGTCATCCTTTGGACAAGAGGTGTTCTGATTTTTGGGATTTTCAGCCTTTTTGCACTATTGTTTCTTCATTTTCGTGGATTTATCACCTTTGGTCTTTGCTGTTGGTGACCCTCAGATGGGGTTTCTGTGTGGTTGTCCTTTTTGTTGATGTTATTCCTTTCTGTTTGTTAGTTTTCCTTCTAACAGTCATGCCCCTCCGCTGCAGGTCTGCTGGAGTTTGCTGGAGGTCCACCCCAGACCCTGTTTGCCTGCGTATCACCAACAGAGGCTGCAGAACAGCAAAGATTGCTGCCTGTTCCTTCCTCTGGAAGCTTCATCCCAGAGGGGCACTTGTCAGATGCCAGCGGAGCTCTCCTGTATGAGGTGTCTGTTGACCCCTGCTGGGAGGTGTCTCCCAGTCAGGAGGCATGAGGTTCAGAGACCCATTTGAGGAGGCAGTGTGTCCATTAGCAGAGCTCAAGCACTGTGCTGGGAGATCCACTGCTCTCTTCAGAGCCTGCAGGCAGGAACGTTTAAATCTGCTGAAGTTGTGCCCTCACCCGCCCCTTGCCCCAGGTGCTCTGTCCCAGGGAGATGGGAAGTTTATCTATAAGCCCCTGACTGGAGCTGCTGCCTTTCTTTGAGAAATGCCCTGCCCAGAAAGGAGGAATCTAGAGAGGCCGTGTGGCTGCAGTGGCTTTGCCCATTTGCAGTGGGCTCTGCCTAGTTTGAACTTCCTGGCAGTTTTGTTTACACTGTGAAGGGAAAACTACCTACTTAAGACTCAGTAATGGTGGATGCCCCTCTCCTCACCAAGCCCGAGCATCCCAGGTTGACTTCAGATTGCTGTGCTGGCAGTGAGAATTTCAAGCCAGTGCATCTTAGCTTGCTGGGTTCTGTGAGGGTGGGGTCTGCTGAGCTAGACCACTTGGTTACCTGGCTTCAGCCCCCTTTCCAGGGCAGCGAATGGTTCTGTCTCACTGGTGTTCCAGGCGCCATTGGGGTATGAAGAAAAAAAAAAACTGCAGCTAGCTTTGTGTCTGCCCAAATGGCTGCCCAGTTTTGTGCTTGAAACCCAGGGTCCTGGTGGCATAGGCACCCGAGGGCATCTCCTGGTCTGCAGGTTGTGAAGACTGTGGGAAAAGCATAGTATCTGGGCCGGAGTGCACTGTTCCTCACAGCACAGTCCCTCACGGCTTCCCTTGGCTAGGGGATGGAGTTCCCTGATGCCTTGCACTTCCCGGTGAGGCAACATAACCCTTGCTTTGTCTCGCCCTCTGTGGGCTGCACCCACTGTCTAAGTAGTCTCAGTGAGATGAGCCAGGTACTGCAGTTGGAAATGCAGAAATCACCTACCTTCTGCGTTGATCTCACTGGGAGCTGCAGACCAGGGCTGTTCCTGTTTGGCCTACTTTGTTCTTAATTCCTTCTAGCAAAATTTTTTTCTTTTTTATTGCTTATCTCTGTAAGTCCTGGTATTAGTCCATTTTCATGCTGCTAATAAAGACATACCTGAGACTGGGTAATTTACAAAAGAAAGAGGTTTAATTTGACTTACAGTTTTATGTGGCTGGGAAAGCCTCACATTCCTGGCAGAAGGTAAGATGTGCAAGAAAGAGCAAGTCACATCTTACATAGATGGCAGCAGGCAAAGAGAGAGAGCTTGTGCAGGGGAACTCCTCTTTTTAAAACCATCAGATCTTTTGAGACTTATTCAATATCACGAGAACAGTGTGGGAAAGACTTGCATCTAGGATCCAATTACCTCCCACTGGGTCCCTTCTACAGCGAGTGGGAATTCAAGATGAGATTTGGTTGGGGACACAGCCAAACTGTATTAGTCCCCTTTAGGTATTTACTTGTTTAATATCTTTCATTTCTCTTTTCATTTCATTCATATGTTCTTTTATATCCTTGAACATTTTTATAAGATTGATATTAGATGTTTTAGGTCTTTTTCTACTAATTACACCATGTTTGTCATTTCTGGGTCCCATATTGCTCCTAGGTGTGAATCTTATTTTCCTGCTTTTTACTTATTTCCTGGTAACTTTTGGCAGTATGCAAAATGCTGTAATTTTACATAGTTGATGGTTGGATTTTGTTGTGTTTCTTTAAAAACAATTGTGTTTTGGCACAAGATAAAGTTACTTGTGAATCTGTTGGCACTTTCAAGGCTTGCTTTTGATATTAAATATAGCATATCCAGAAAATTATTTGTCAAGTACTAATTTAATTCCACTAATAAAGTATGAATCTTCCATAGAGGAATGTCTTTCCCATGACACTCTGGCAACTTTGCATATCTCCCCGTAGATCATGCAGGCAAAGGCTGGAACTTCAGTTCATTTGAAATTTGGCAGAATGCCTTATGATTCTTCCAGCAAATGAGAGGATGGGAGGCCTATGAGGAGCTCCTAAGTACTATCACCTACTCCCCTCCCCATCTCCTCTGGGTGGCTGTCTTGAGAGAGGGTTTCTCATTGTCTCCTAAGCTCTGATGGGTCATGAGGCTTTCTGCCTTGGACATTTTAGGATGCAGCTGCAGACTATAAAACTTCTTGGCTATAGTCTACAGTTTGCTATTCAGCCATGGGGTACCATGCAGCTCATAATATTGTTACAAAGCTCCTTTTATTTCATTGCAGCTTTTTTTTTTTTTTTTAATCAGTGGGGCAGGAATTATGAAGAGCTGGCATTTTGGCTACTCTTCATTTCACTCTCCATATAAGTAATAAACTATATGAATCCAAGTGTGGCTCATTTTATTTTATTGGTAGAGTTAGTAGGACCTTGTCCTTGGCCTTGCCTTGTTTTGCATGTGTTTGACACCTTCTGAGGACTATCCAAATGCTGTCTTCTGCAAGGTCAACATACTCTTGGCTGGTGGGATCAAGAACTTTTCCCAGCCCTGTGTGAGCTCTAGGAGTTGTTCAGACTTTGGATTTCTGATGATTTTTTTCTTAAGTCTTATGGACTTTTACCCCATGCATATACAGATCAGTACTCAGCCAAGAATTCCAGGAGATCACCCTGCTCTGGAGTTTTCCCTCTGGGCAGCACCCTCCTCATACACTGCTACACAAATTCCAGCACCTCAGCATCTCCAAATTCCAATCTCTTTCTTCTTAATCTATGAAGACTGCCATCCTCTGCTTGTGCCCCCTCTCCCCATTTGGCACGTGGAAATGGACTCCAGGCAGAAAGCTTAAGGAGAAGTGGTGTATGGACACAACTAAGGAGCAACACACTCCCCCTAATACTCTTTCATAAAAAAAACTGGTTAACTTACTTTATATTCTATTTTGGCTCAAACAGCAGATCATTTTGATTTACAGTAATTTATTAATATTATTTAAATTGTAAGCTTTGTATTTTTTAAATTGTATTTCATTTTTTATAGAGGGTTTTCTTGACTCTCTTCCCATCCCTGTGTGTTTTGACCATTTTAACTAAATGCATCTCATTTACCCTTAGCTGTCATCTTGCATGGCTCAATATCAGTTCCTGAAGCCCAGTCATTCTTAGTTTTATTTTGGGATAGTCCCATAGACTAGCCCAACTAGCCTACCAAGTAGAATACTGAGTAGTCTTTCTCACATCTACTCTTGTCCTAATCTATTTCTTATTATTGTCAAAATTTATCTTAATAAGGCAGAGCTTTTACCAAGGATTGCCTTTTAAAAATATGTGTCACGGTAAGCCATACTTTAGTAGGTGAACTCCACATCCTTTAACTTGGCATTTAATTCCTCTGTTTTTCTCACCATGCCTCCCAATTTTTCAAGTACATATTTCACTATATCTTTACACAGGCCTTATTCCAGTTGTTCTCAAATGTAGCCAACGTTCAGAATACCCATGCTGCTGAAGATTGAATCCTAGGTTGCATCCCATAGCTACTGAACCAAAAGCATTGAGGGTGGAACTCACAAATCAGAATCTTTAAACAAAAATATACTTTGGTGATTCTGATATTCTACATATTTAAAAACCACTGTCATAAGTGTTCCAACATGAAACAGACATCATATATCCTTTCTTACCTGATTCATTTCACCTGGAGTATCCTCCTCCTTTTCTAGTCAATTAACTTCAATTGAAATTTTAAAATCTAGCCCCTAATTCCCTCATGTTGAAGTTCCAGATATTATGCTAAGTACTATGCTTACATTCTTTTATTTTATTTTTAAACATTTCTAGAAGATAGAAACAACTGATGCAAAGAAGGCTGTCCAAGATTGTACACTCCAGACAGCCACAATGTCAGGATGTGAACTAAAGCTGTCTAAATCAAAAGTCTTAGTAAGGGCAGATGATATTTTTTTGGGACTTAAATCAATTATGCAAATCCAAGACAATGATTTTGTGCTAGCTTTCTTGAACCATGATTTTCTGATCTCCTAGAAAATTTCTCTTTATTGAAATCTGTATCTTTTACATTTGACTTAGTTTCAACTGTTTTGTTTTAGATTGGCTGCTCTGTCACTAAAATCAGCAAGGAGGAAAATAATTACTGAGCTCAATTTTTCAATCTATAATTGAATTATGATTAATTTGATTACCAAACATATAGATCCATGTCCTCATATGTATCTAAGATCATACAAAATAACAAAATCTTGTTATAAGCAACACATTATAATAAATGGCAGGGGCTCAGGAAGAAGAGCCCTGGGAAGGGCAAAGGGCCCTGGAAGGTGAATGATTCAGTTTCTCAATGTATAAGGTAAATGAAAACGGTTTTTATTCATGCATCAAGGGCAGAGAAACCATTTTTCCCTTACCTTTTATCTTAGATACATATTGAATCTGAGTCCTTGCTCTAAACTTTGGAATAGAAATCGCTCTCTCTAGGGTTTAAGCCCAGTCTCCATTTTCCCTGAGTAGGGCTTTCTAGGGGTATTTACTCAATTCTGGGGTTCATCCTGTTTAAGTAAGTCTTTGTTTTCTTATAGTTATAAAAATTCTTAGACTTGTATATATTCCTGTTTGAAGTCACTGGGCTAATTTTCCAGCACTGCCTTAGAAACACATTTCCAGTCATGCTATATTTTCTTAAGATTTGTTTTTATGTTTATACGAGCATTGGCTGTTTCTTAACTGATGAATGAAGCAAACACTTCTTTCTGGGAAGCAACAATAACACCTCTTACTTGTCTTCCCTGACATTGTCTCATGCAGACTTCTTATATAGCATTCCCCACAAGCACATTATCATCAAAGCAAGCCAGTGAGATACAGAGAGATGATACTTTCACTCCCACATACAAATGCTAAAACTGATATACAGAGATGTCCAAAGATTTGTCCTGGTAGGATACTGTTGTGGGGAGGAGTGAGTCAATAACTTAGCTCTCGTGTTGTTCTACCCATTAGTATTTCTTTTTTCACTATAAGATTTGACAAATAAATATTTTGAACATGACAGAATCATTACCCCTGAGAACTAAAGCAGAAGCAAGTGAGCTGACCCACCTCCATCTGCATCCCCTCCTTCCCCTGCCGCCTCAATATCTTAACCTGGGTGAAGAAAGTGAATAGAAACTAATCAGGAAACAAATATGTAGCCCCATGAAAGCATCTTGAAAATAAAATTCACATAATGATTCTGGGAAACAAACGTTTTATTTTCATAGATAGAAGAAACTTTATCTAGATTGAAATGAGAGAATAATGTTAGATAAAAGAACCAGAATAAAATAATATATTCATTTTATCTCCCAACTTAGGATCTGACTAATAACATTTCAGCATTGATGTGAATTTAGTAATTTACTTCGTGGTACCCTGTTATTTAAGGAATTCTTAGGAATCATGTGTATTAGTCTGTGCTCACACTGCTAATAAAGACATACCCAAGACTCGGTAATTTATAAAGGAAATTACATGGCTGGGGATTCCTCACAGTCATGGAGGAAGGCAAAGGAGAAGCAAAGTCATGTCTTGCATGGAAGCAGGCAAGAGAGAGAAAAAGAGCACATGTGCAGGGGAACTCCCCTTTATGAAAGCATCAGATCTTCTGAGACTTACTGTCACAAGAGCCACATGGGAAAGACCTACCTTCATGATTCTATTACCTCCCACCAGGTCCCTCCCACAACACACAGGAATTATAGGAGCTACAATTCAAGATGTTATTTGGGTGGGGACGCAGCCAAACCATATAATTCCATCTCTGGCTCCTCTGAAATCTCATGCCCTCATATTTCAAAACCAACCATACTTTCCCAACAGTCTCCCAAAGTCTTAACTCATTTCGGCATTAACTCAAAAGTCCAGAGTCCAAAGTCTCATCTGAGACAAGACAAGTCCATCTGCCTATGAGCCTGTAAAATCAAAAGTAAGTTAGTTACTTCCCAGATACAATGGGGGTACAGGCATTGGGTAAATACAGCCATTCCAAATGGGAGAAATTGTCCAAAACAAAAGGGCTACAGGCCCCATCCAAGTCCAAAATCCAATAGGGCAGTCATCAAACCTTAAAGTTCCAAAATTATCTCTTTTGACTCCTGTCTCATCCAGGTCACGCTGATGCAAGAGGTGAGTTCCCATGGTCTAGGGCAGCTCTGTCTCTGTGGCTTCACAGGTTGGATCCACCCTCCTGGCTGCTTTCACTGGCTGGTGTTGAGTGTCTGTGGCTTTTCAGGCACGTGGTGCAAGCTGTTAGTGGAGCTACCATTCTGGGGTCTGGAGGATGGCGGCCTTCTTCTCATAGCTCTGCTAGGCAGTGCCCCAGTTGGGACTCTGTGTGGGGGCTTCTACCCCAAATTTTGCTTCTGCACTGCCCTAGCAGAGGTTCTTCATGAAGTTCCCACCCCTGCACTACACCTCTGCCTGGATATCCAGGACTTTCCATACATCCTCAGAAATCTAGGCAGAGATTCCCAAACCTCAATTCTTGACGTCTGTGCACTCGCAGGTGCAACACCACATGCAATTATGGGAGCTACTATTCAAGATGAGATTTGGGTGGGGACACAGCCAAACCATATCATCATGAAATAAATTAATTCACTGGTGATTGTACAGCAGACAGGAGTCAATCATTTTTACTAATTAAATCTACTAATTGATAATATGGAAAAAATATCAGACTTGTGAAAATCACAATACTATAAATGGCTAATTTTGTTAGAACACGGTATGTTTTTCTTGTTTTGAAGTGTTGTACATAATTAGAGGGTATTTAATGAAGAGGAAAATGTAGTTGTGTATTTATCTCTTTTCTTTGAATGTTCCCCCACTTCTTTTGGTATCTTATAGCACTTTGTACAATCTTGAAGCACTTGTAACAAATTATATTACTCTATAGTTATTTATAGTTCTTTCTACATTCTTACTGAATGCAAACTCTTTTGGCCTGTAATACCTTGCTCACTGTCTGGTTAAAACATATTTGTATATTGAAAATTTATTAAAAATAAAGAATAATAAAAACTTTCTCAAATTCCTTTCTTCAAAGTCTTAACCTCATAGGATTTTCTAGGAAGAAGCAGAAATTTGACAGCACAATTGTGTAAATTTTGCACGATTACAGGATAGAATCAGTCAAGTGTGTTGCTACCTAGTATCCTTCTGTAGGATGGAGACAGCTTGAAAAATTGTTTTCCTTGCTTTTCTAAAATGTGGCTTTTACTTTTTAGTGTTTAAGTATTGTTAGTAAAGTTCTTCTCTTGAATTTTCATTGTAGCTTTTGAAATATGTTTCATTAAATGTTACTCAAGTTAACTTGAGATGTGTGATGAAGTTCGGTGGATGAGGGATTCGAAGAAAGCTTTTTAATATTCTATAGAACTATAGAAGTAGAATTCTACATAGCAATGTATGGAATTCTGTGTAGAAATGTGTGGCCTTGCACAAGGTTGGTAGTACACACTACTCTATAAAATATTTTAATGAATTTTTGTGGGTGTATCAAGGATGTTTATCTTAATAATCTGTAATAAAATGTAAATGTACTCGCTACTCCTTTACCAGCTGAAACCCAAGGGATAAGTTTAAATGCTAAAGAAATTAGCTTTGAAAGTGTAGCACAAGCAAAGCAAATATTAGTCAGATTGGAGTATTAAAAAAGGCTCAGTGAAGAATCTCAGATCTTCATAGGAGATATGGCAAGAAGTAAGATATAAAGTTCACCTACTTCACAATCTTACTGCTGGCCTGGCTTGGATACCTACAAGCATTTCATTTGTCATTAGCTTTCCTGTCTTAGCATTCATTCTCATTTCTTGAGAAGAGACCATATCTTATAATGACACTAAAGCTGCTTTTCCTGTCATGGAATCAGTTTTAACAATAGCATATCCCTTTTGCAATCACTGTGAGTGGCAAGGCAAGACCGCCCTCCATTCTGATGCTGTCTCAAAATGTTCTTCCGCATTCTGCTAGCGCTAGGTTCATCTCAAGCCTCTGCTCACTCATTGTGTTGCTTTTAGCATTATATCTGCTGCATGGCTATGAAGAGATAATATCAAGTAATGAATATGTATTCTAAAAGTACAAGCAAAAAAAGTAAGATTATCTTTTTATTAGAGTAGAATCTATTGAATCAAATTTACACTTGTCAAAAGATTCTAAATGGGTTTTGAAAAGCCATGGCAGAAGAGCTTTCCAAGTATAACTGAAACCATTTAGTAGCTGGAAAGGCCAGAAATATCAGCCAAGGTAAAAAAACTTGAGAGAATTACATTTTATCTTTTGCTTTTCATGTGAACAATGATTCACCCATCAGATACTCTGAAAGAGGCTGTATTGTGTATGACTCTTAGATTAGTTGATATTATCTGACTTCATATTAATTTCCTTGTTTGCTGAAATCAACTGGACAAAACATCTTTCTGTTTAAAGCTGCAAAATGCTATCTAAATCATTTGTATATTTATGAATGCATCATCTCGGCTAGATCCATGAATAGAGAGTTGTGAATCTGTGTTATTTTTTAAAATTTTCTTTTTGGAGTGAAGGTCTTGGCATTAGTGAAATTTCGAAGAGTTCCTATATGAATCAATGTCACAGTAGGAAACATATGGGATACACAATTTGGGACACTTTGAGCAGTTAGAAATAGAGGACTATTTATAAGGTGCGGATAGAGTGTAAAGAAATCATGTTGAATAGCACAATATCTTTGGGCTTGTACCAAATAAAGCACTAATCCCCCAAGCCTGCAAGTGGCAAGGAGAGGAAGCACCCAGAATTAGAAACAGAGGCCTGCGCAGAGAGGGCTACCTGCAATCTGAAGGTCGCAGCTGTGACCTTCAGATAAGAAATCCCACAGTGGTCTCTTCCCCTCTCCACAAGGTGGGGAGCGGAGTATAAATATTCTGATCTCATTATCCTTCCACCTTTTGTTCTCTTGCTCATATCCTAATTGGCAGAACCCAGGAATCCAATGGGCAAAGAAGCTTGTGCTGCTTTCAGCCATTTAGAGTTGTCTCCAGGGCATTGAGAAAGATAGAGTAAGGTGGGAAATGAAGAAAAAAATATGTATGTGTGTGTGTATATATATAATATATAATTATATATTATATATATATAAAATTTTATGTATATATAGCTCAGTTCCACCACTATAACAAGGTTAAGTTTTACCCTATTGACTCTCCTTCTTTTTGTAAAGTTGAGATGTGTATGTGTCCTTGTAACTTTCACATATTTATTCCAATTCTAATTCCTGGATCTCCAGAGTATGATTTGATATGCCTTAAATATTTCAGTGTACTCATTATTTTTCTTCTAATATTTATCTTTAGTCTTAACTCTCCCAGTCTTCTCAAGAATTTCTCACATAACATCTTACCTGGTGGTTTAGATTCTCAAGGTAGCAAAAGGTTGGAAGTGAGCCTAGTTGAAATAAGATAAAATTACACTTGAAAATTCCTTAACTTATGTTTACAACATGTACACATCTCTTAGTGTGTGAGATATTAAATTGAAGGCCCATGACAAAAGCAACAAAAGTAAAGTTTATACACAGATGTCTGGGCATTCAAGCTATTTTTCCTAAGTTCAGATGCATAGTAGTGAATGACGAATGAATGGAAAAGTCTAAAGTGTTCCTAATTGCCCACACAGGGTTTACTTGTATATGTTTTAATATCAAACTCCTATAAGCTTAAACTATCTATGTTTGTTTCTTCTTGTAAAGATTAAATGAGTGAGTGAAATCATGTCTTTGGGGAAGATGAATTAATACATAAGCTAAATATGTATATGTTATATTTCTTGCATTTCTATCATATATGGTATTTACTTTCCTCCTAATTCTAATAAACCTCTTATTGGGACTCTTCTTTTCCAATATTCCTTTTACAACAATTCCTATTTAGGCTTAGTCATGATACCCTGGTTGTGAATTCTCCACATAAGAATATGTTGAGAGTAGTATTTCAACTTATTGAAATCTAATGGAAAGAAATGAGATATATAGGAAAAAGTCTTCAAGCATTGGATAAATGATCATCTCCATGGGACAATGTTGAAAAGAGTCCTTCATTGCACAGATGTTGGAATTAATGGCCACAAGGGTATTTTAATTCACTATAATCAACAAATATTCATTTATTATCTGCTAGGTGACTAGCACCATAAAACAAAGTCATAATTACTAAGTAATACATGATCACTTGCCTCAAGGATTGTGCACGTTAGTAGATGAACAAGTGTGCCAGAGTTAGAGGTGAGATTTGAAAAAGATGAATGGTGGTACAGAAGAACTGGTGTAGTTACTCTTCCTTAGACACGAAGGTAAGGTATGTGCATGTTAGAAATTCTTCACAGAAGTTATAACACTTAAGAACCTTGAAGGAAAGGAGTGAACAAAGGCCTCTATGGAGAAAAAGAGTTACCAATATTGTCATATGCTTAAGGTTGAAAAAATACAATGAAGTCATTAAACGACTCACTGAACTTAATGATTAGGTGTCCATGGTAAACTTTTCCAGGGAGGTATCAGTGGTGAAATTGTGGCAGAAGTTCCACAGTGCACTAAAAGGTAATTGTGGGCTGGGAAGACAGACGGTAGTCGTAAGTGTAAACTGTTCCTTCTAGGTGCTTTGCTTTGGACAGAAGAGAGGCAGGATCAAAGAGTCAAGAGAGTCTATGTTGTTGTGCATAGACGGGTGATCACAAGGAGCCAACAAGAGGGAAAAAGTTACAAAAGCAAGAAACGGAGTACCAGTGGAGCATGTCTTGGCATGAGAGTGTGAAAAGTCAGATAATGAGCATAGGAGGAGGAATGAACCTTCCATAGAAAGGCAACGTTTTTGAGAACAGGAGAAATAAGGGAGAGTGGATTCAGCTTTAGATAAGTTTGTAGGTACGAATGCTGAAGAAGGTAACTTCTGATAGCCTAGCTGTTTTCTGTTAGTTTTGGGATATTGAGTATGGTTGCAATTGTTATTATAGGAATGGGATAAGAAGTTGATAAATGAGATAGAAAAGGTTGCTGGAGGCCTCTGAGTTGTTTTGAGCAGAATAGTGTTTCTTGTGTGAACAAAGGTGAACCTGAAAGAGCCAATCCTTCAAGATGGATCCTCAGTGGTAACTAGGCCTAAATTTAAAACAGAGTTAATTGCCCATTTGCCAAGTAGAGGTCACAGACATACTCTGAGCTCCCCTAAATCCCACACCGTTTTAACCTTGGGACTTTTAGAGTTCACTGGCTTTGGCCAATCAGTACTCAGCTGCATCAACCAGTCAGAAGTCAGCTGCATTTACTAGTTAGAGCTAAGCACTTGCATTCTTCGTTTGCATAAACAGACCTGGTTGGGAACCTGGGAAAGAACTTTCGCTATAAAACCTGAACCCTCTTTTTGTTCATCATCTGTGGAATGCACCTTCCTTTTATACTGAAGGCTGTTGTGCAAAGTATTCACTGTGAAAAAAAGTCTCTTTCCTCCAGATTCTTTTTCAGAGAACTTTTGTTCACACCTAAAAATTTCATGTGGAAGTAATAACCCTCCAGTACCATAGAATGTGACTGATCTGGAGATAAGGATATATACAAAGGTGATTAAGTTAAATTGAGGTCATTTAAGTGGGCCGTAAACCAATAAGACTGGTGTCCTTATAAGAAGAGGAAATTTGGATGCCGATACATATGTATCTGTATACATACCTAGAGAGGGAAGATGATGTGAAGACACAGGAAGAAGACAGCCATCTGTAAGCCAAGAAGGGAAATGGAATGAATTTTCCCTCATGGCCTTCAAAAGAAACCAACTCTGATGATTTTAATTTTGAACTTCTAGTCTGCAAAACTGTGAAAAAAATATACTTTTGCTATTTAAATCAGCCAGTCTGTGGTACATTTTTATGGCAGCTCTAGCAAATAAATACAAGGGTTAACTAAAAATAAAAGCATATTTTTGCAGTGATGTATTGTTTTTTCTTCAAGATTTGGTGTCCCAGAGATGCAGAAAAGTTACGTTCTGTGTAGTGTGTAGCATGCTATTTAAAGAAATAAGATATGTGTCTGTTGATTGACTTCACAGGGAAAAAGACAAAATATCAAGATGATGTCAAGTTTGGACATATCCATATACATATTTAACCTCATTTTGCATATGTACATATAAATATAGTTATATATGTTATATATGATATATCTAGATAATGATGGTCATTTGTTATTTCATCTATTACCTATGTATATAAGTTCCCATAATTAACAAAATTTAAATTGCACAGAAGAAAGTTGGAAAAATAGAAAGAAGAGTGACAGAAAGGCAGTTAAATAGGAAAGAAACAAGTAGATATTTATTGATGGCCTATCCTCAGACAGTATGTTAAGTGCTTTCACATACATTACTACATTTACTACTTAAAATAGTTGCTTGGTTTCATGTTGTCATTTTTACAAATGGGGGAATTAAATCTCAGAAAAAGATAAGTAACTCATCAAAATCATATAGCTATTACATATCAGAGCTGGGATTTGAATGTAACTCATCAGCTTTAAATAAGTGTATAAGAGTTATCACAATGGACTACATAATTAATTGCTCAATGAATAATTTATTTTCCTGTGGCTTCCCTGTTTGTTTTCTGTGAAAGCAAATAGTTGCACAACAACATTAGGTTAAAACAAATTCAGACATTCTTTCAATTCATTTTAATTATTAATAGACAACAGGAAACCAATTGAGGCTTCCAATAAGTTACTGTGTATTAAACCATGGTTGAAAACTTCAAGATAAGATGCGATTCTTAGAAGCAGCGAAATAAAAAACAGATTATGTTAGATTACACTTTATATTATCTGCTGTGACAGTTACAGAAATATTAGTAAAAGGTCAATCAAATCAAGTCTTGTTGTGGTTGTTAAAATGAATAAACTTATAATAGATGTAGTAAGAAATTTTTATATCTAGGGAAACATACGAATTAAGTTTAATATACACCGTCATCATTAAACATCTATGAAATATGTTTTTGAATTACAATAATAAGAGCCATGTACATTCTTAAAATATTTTGGACAAAGGAATAGTACAATAGTAAAGTTGCTTTTCCCTCTTGGGTAATCACTATGTAGAAGCAATATGATGTGTTCCAGTGAATCCTCTAAATTTCCAGAAGGAACGAAGTCATTTACCTCTTGTCTTCATTAGGTAGCAGCACATTATAGCATCATGAACACTAGGGACCAATAATCAATGGCTCTTGTCAGTATAGTAACTCCTTTCTTTGTCTGCCAGTCTGCCAGCATGAAGATCCCAAAATGACCATGCAGCTGCTCAGTTTGGATTTGGTGGAACCTTTAACAAGGATGCTGGTAGAATAGCTTTCCCCACCCCTACTCCAGGAACTGGGACCTTTAGTCCAGAAAAGCCTAAAGTTGTAGTAATGAAATCACTAATTCTCCCACAGATAACTGCAAATTATAATTAGAAATGCTAATCCTAATTTCACCATTTCAGTCCCAGACTCATGTTTTCTAACTGCTAAGTACACAGTCTTATATAATGGCCATTAGTTAAATAATATACTTTACCTTGAAGCCTTGAAGGACAATGTCCCCATCTCAGAGATGTCACTTCCAAGTTGGTGC
Source organism: Homo sapiens (assembly GCF_000001405.40). Classification (NCBI taxonomy): domain Eukaryota; kingdom Metazoa; phylum Chordata; class Mammalia; order Primates; family Hominidae; genus Homo; species Homo sapiens. The sequence goes on along the minus strand of NC_000006.12, from coordinate 141,927,161 downwards.
TTAGCTCTGCCCTCAGGAGACCACATGATGTATGGTAGAAACAGTACATTCCTTGGTTATTTATCATTGTCACCCCTCCTTCTAAAAGTGTGACCCTTGGTCCTAGGAGATGTTTTTCAAGATTTATGAACCTTTGAGTGGTGGTGCTTTGCAAGATGCTGTGGGAAAGACAGAGAGTTCTATGCCAAGAATAATTCAAGTCGGGGCAAATCACTACTCCTTTTAGTAGGTAAGTGGTCTGATGTTTTCAACTTGCCTCCAAGTGGCTAGTTGGTCTCTTTGGTGGATGGTACCATCATCCGTCAAGTGCTCAACATTGATCTCTGCTTTTGACAGATCTGATATTCAGTAGCAGCAGTACATAGTACTGATTAGCACGAGGGAGCCCATGCTATTTGGCCCATGTGCATTTTTATTATGACACCATAGCTTTTTTATTTTTGAGTTCCGTGCTCAGGCACTGGAGTGTATGAGTACAGAGGCTGACTGAGCTTCCCTTGATGAGTCATCTAGAACCCTTTTTCTCTAATCTTCCAATATTGCTAGTTGCTCTTACCAACCAGCAAAGTCATTTACCACTGTCCGCTATACATTATTCCTTGAGGAAAGTGTCCAGGTGTCCTGTTAAAAGTTCTGCCAACATGGAAGATTTCTCCTCACCATTGTCTGTCAAGGGCTACCCCGAGAGAAAATGTAACGTGAAAGCAGTCCATATTTTACTCACTGAAACTATTATGACTCATCCATGAACAAAGCCTAAGGTTTTTTCCCTCTCTATTGGCCAATTATGAGGAACTTTCTTAAAATGTAGGTGTAAGCTAACAGATGCTGACATGACAGAGGTAAGAAGGCAGTCTTGTGCCCTTAGAACATCTCATGCCTTACCTTGAATATGCCATTTCAATTATATAATTTGGTCGATCTGAATGTAACCAGCTTATTAAAGGTGGTGCTAGTTACATTATCACTTAACATCTTTTATGGTCAGGATATCAGCCTTTGCTAGGGCCATATAACATGTAGCAGTTGCTTTGCTAATGGTGAGTAGATCTCTGTTGCAGACAGCTTTGCTCCAGGATCTTGGAGATCCATGATGCAACTCTCTATATAGGGCTTGTCAGAAACTGCACATAAGTTCTTATCTAACACAAATAACTTTAGAGCCAGGCGATCTTCTGGGTTACATGTACCAAGGGACAGGTGTGCTTGTATTGTGTTTTGAACATGTTAGAGAAATTATTTTTGCAGTGGGCTCCACTCAAAACTTATATCCCTTCAAGTCATCCAATAAATGAGATGGAGCAGTATTTCAAGGTGTTGAATGTGCAATTTCCAAAGTCTAAAGAGGTCTACTAAATGCTCTATTGCTTTTTTAGTTGTAGGTGTTTCAAAGTGCAATCATTTCTCACTTCCCATGGATGATACGGTAGCTTTTAAAAAGCTGCAACTTTTTTCGCTATTCCTTTCATTTAGAGATTGAATCAAATTGTCTTTCTTTTGAATTTGGGCTGGACTTAGTTACTTATTTAATCAATGTAATGCAGCAGAAAGATGGGGCTTTTGACGCCAAGTGATAAGTAGTCTTGTAGTTTTTTTCCCAGGCCTCTTGAGACAACTGCTATTGGAATCTAGTTGACATGTTATGAGAAATCCCAAGAAGCCTCAAGGAGAGCTCCATGTGAAAAGGAACCAAAATCTACAGCTGACAATTTCAGCTGAGTTCACAGTCAATCAGCAGCCTAAACTTGATAGCCATGTGAGTGAGCTTCCAGCCCAAGGTGATGCTACATGGAGCAGAGATAAGCTGTTCTGGCTATTTCCTGCCTGAATTTCATATTCATGAACAAAATAAATGATGGTTGTTTTTCTAAGTTAAAAAGTGGTTTAATATGCAGCAATGGATAATTGGAACAGAGAGAATGTCTTAGCATGTCTCATAGTACAGGATTGCTAAATATTTCAACAATGTGGCAGGCACTTGAATGCTTTTAGCATTTATTTGCCACTCTCTGCTACACATGTGGCTTACCATGATGTAAAGAATACATGAAAGTTTCTGCTTACACTTCTGATTAATGTGATGTTGTGTGTGTCATGGACCAATGTGATGTTTAGCAGAATGTCATGCAGTCCAACTGGGAAAGTACAGTATCTTAGGGAATTAACTAAAAATTAACTAAAATTAACATTTTCTGTTAGGACCCTGGAGAATGTATCTGGGAACAGATCTTGGGAATATGGAAATGGAGAGGGCAGAATATAAAAGTGGATACTAGAATTTTTTTTTTTTAACTATAAAGCCACTCTCACAGACCTCATGATTTAATAGCTACCATTGATACCTGGAGGTGGTCCTCATACATTGGTGGGATCACTTCTTGGAGCTTGGATGAAACAATGGCCTATGGTAAAAATATGGAGGTACTGAAATATACAATCATATATAGTAAAATAATTCATTTACAAATAATTTAAAATAAGGCAAAACTAAGTAAATAGTGGTTAAGTGTATAATTCTTGAAACTAATAGAGAGTTGGATATATGGACGTTTAATTTTCTTTTTTTAAAAATTATTTTAGTCTATGTCCTTTTGGTAGTGTTCTCTTTATCTGCAATGTTAGAATAAACCAATTTTTGCTCCTATGCAATTTTCCAAAGAGATCCTTCCTTTGATTTTTTAGAATATTTCACTCTGAAAAGTAGTAAAGAAAAGATGTTAGTATTCTGTAGGCTTTAGAATGGTTCATAAGAAAGAAATACATATTCAATGCAGTCATGATTTTGTTTCATTTCCTATTATGTCTGCATTTGGATCTAAAAATATTAATGTTATTCTATATTCAAAATCTTCAGTAAATGATGAGAGAATTCTCATTTCCATGCATTATTTGTACATGGAAATATATTGAAAATTATTTTTAAAACCAGGCATTAAGTTGAAGGAAATGGAAATGGAAATTAGCAGACTAAAGGAAAAGAGAAACCCAAAACCAGGAAGACATCCAGGAATGAAATCTTTCTTTAGTTAGACATCTAAAGCATTCATTCACTCATCCATCATTTAGTCATTCATATAGTCATATATTTTTTCAATAAATACTTATTGGGCATCTCCCAGACACTGAAGATTTACCAGTGAACAAAATCTGCATGCTCCCTCCTTTCATAAAGCTATAGTCTAGCAAAAAGAAATATATTAAAAAGTTACAAAATGAATTATTTTATTAGAACTGTGTAAGTGTTATAAGAAGTGCAAAGACAGCAACAGAATTTTAAGCAATCTTCCTACTTCTACCATTGCCCTCCAATAATTCTTATAGTCTTTTCATACCACACCACACATGTGTGATCCTTCAACACATGTCATACCTCTGCTCAGAATCTTACAATAGCTTTCAATCTCACTTAGAGAAAATCCTGTTTTGATTAGGTGTTGCAGAGTAACAAACCACCCCAAAACGTAGTGGCTCAAAATAACAATTTATTATGTCAAGGGTTCTGGGATTGGCTGCATTCAGATATGTGGTTCTTACTTAAAGTCTTTCATGTGATTGCATTCAAATGCAGCTAGGGCTGGATTCAGAAGGCTTGCTGAGTTTATGGAACTGGACATCCAAGGTGACTTCTTCATTTACAGATCTGGTGACTTAGCTGTGATAGCTAAAGCAGCTGAGGGCTGGCTATGTTCTCTCCCAACATGTGGCTTTCCTCTTGGCTAGCTTGGACTGTCTCAGAATATGAAAATCTCAAGGTAGACTTCTTACATGTGGTTAGCTTCTCCAAGAGTGAGCATTCCAAGAGACACAGGTAGAAGCAGTATTTTCTATAACTAAGTAATGAATGCCACACTACTAGTTACACAGGGCCAGGCTAGGTTCAATGCAGAGAGGAGCTTCACAAAAATGTGATTACTGGGAAGGATGGTTCACTTTGGAACTAACTTCTACAAATTTGAAACCCTTTAAATGATGGACAGGTCTTGAAATTTTTGGTTTCACTGTTACTGAAACACCAGGGGTTCTGGCTAGGTGCTGCTGCTCACCACACAGAAAACCAATCACTGAGACAATGATTATTGCCAAGGAAGAAGGCTTTAATCAGGTGCTGAAGCCAAGGAGGTGGGAGATCAGTCTCAAATCCATCTTCCTGACAGACTAAACCTGACAGGTTTATATAACAGGGAAGAAATTTGGGAGGGGTAACGAAGAAATCATGATGAATAAGGGGCCTGGTAACTCATTGTCTAGATGCGATGATCTGGTGAGTTTCAGTTCTTTTTTTTTTTTTTTTTTAATTATACTTTAAGTTTTAGGGTACATGTGCACATTGTGCAGGTTAGTTACATATGTATACATGTGCCATGCTGGTGCGCTGGACCCAATAACTCGTCATCTAGCATTAGGTATATCTCCCAGTGCTATCCCTCCCCCCTCCCCCCACCCCACCACAGTCCCCAGAGTGTGATATTCCCCTTCCTGTGTCCATGTGATCTCATTGTTCAATTCCCACCTATGAGTGAGAATATGCGGTGTTTGGTTTTTTGTTCTTGCGATAGTTTACTGAGAATGATGATTTCCAATTTCATCCATGTCCCTACAAAGGACATGAACTCATCATTTTTTATGGCTGCATAGTATTCCATGGTGTATATGTGCCACATTTTCTTAATCCAGTCTATCATTGTTGGACATTTGGGTTGGTTCCAAGTCTTTGCTATTGTGAATAATGCCGCAATAAACATACGTGTGCATGTGTCTTTATAGCAGCATGATTTATAGTCCTTTGGGTATATACCCAGTAATGGGATGGCTGGGTCAAATGGTATTTCTAGTTCTAGATCCCTGAGGAATCGCCACACTGACTTCCACAATGGTTGAACTAGTTTACAGTCCCACCAACAGTGTAAAAGTGTTCCTATTTCTCCACATCCTCTCCAGCACCTGTTGTTTCCTGACTTTTTAATGATTGCCATTCTAACTGGTGTGAGATGGTATCTCCTTGTGGTTTTGATTTGCATTTCTCTGATGGCCAGTGATGATGAGCATTTTTTCATGTGTTTTTTGGCTGCATAAATGTCTTCTTTTGAGAAGTGTCGTTCATGTCCTTCGCCCACTTTTTGATGGGGTTGTTTGTTTTTTTCTTGTCAATTTGTTTGAGTTCATTGTAGATTCTGGATATTAGCCCTTTGTCAGATGAGTAGGTTGTGAAAATTTTCTCCTATTTTGTAGGTTGCCTGTTGACTCTGATGGTAGTTTCTTTTGCTGTGCAGAAGCTCTTTAGTTTAATTAGATCCCATTTGTCAATTTTGTCTTTTGTTGCCATTGCTTTTGGTGTTTTGGACATGAAGTTCTTGCCCATGCCTGTGTCCTGAATGGTAATGCCTAGGTTTTCTTCTAGGGTTTTTATGGTTTTAGGTCTAACGTTTAAGTATTTAATCCATCTTGAATTGATTTTTGTATAAGGTGTAAGGAAGGGATCCAGTTTCAGCTTTCTACATATGGCTAGCCAGTTTTCCCAGCACCATTGATTAAATAGGGAATCCTTTCCCCATTGCTTGTTTTTCTCAGGTTTGTCAAAGATCAGAGAGTTGTAGATATGTGGCGTTATTTCTGAGGGCTCTGTTCTGTTCCATTGATCTATATCTCTGTTTTGGTACCAGTACCATGCTGTTTTGGTTACTGTAGCCTTGTAGTATAGTTTGAAGTCAGGTAGTGTGATGCCTCCAGCTTTGTTGTTTTGGCTTAGGATTGACTTGGCGATGCAGGCTCTTTTTTGGTTCCATATGAACTTTAAAGGAGTTTTTTCCAATTCTGTGAAGAAAGTCATTGGTAGCTTCATGGGGATGGCATTGAATCTGCAAATTACCTTGGGCAGTATGGCCATTTTCATGATATTGATTCTTCCTACCCATGAGCATGGAATGTTCTTCCATTTGTTTGTATCCTCTTTGATTTCCTTGAGCAGTGGTTTGTAGTTCTCCTTGAAGAGGTCCTTCACATCCCTTGTAAGTTGGATTCCTAGGTATTTTATTCTCTTTGAAGCAATTGTGAATGGGAGTTCACTCATGATTTGGCTCTCTGTTTGTCTGTTGTTGGTGTATAAGAATGCTTGTGATTTTGTACATTGATTTTGTATCTTGAGGCTTTGCTGAAGTTGCTTATCAGCTTAAGGAGATTTTGGGCTGAGACGATGGGGTTTTCTAGATATACAATCATGTCGTCTCCAAACAGGGACAATTTGACTTCCTCTTTTCCTAATTGAATACCCTTTATTTCCTTCTCCTGCCTAATTGCCCTGGCCAGAACTTCCAACACTATGTTGAATAGGAGTGGTGAGAGAGGGCATCCCTGTCTTGTGCCAGTTTTCAAAGGGAATGCTTCCAGTTTTTGCCCATTCAGTATGATATTGGCTGTGGGTTTGTCATAGATAGCTCTTATTATTTTGAAATACGTCCCATCAATACCTAATTTATTGAGAGTTTTTAGCATGAAGGGTTGTTGAATTTTGTCAAAGGCTTTTTCTGCATCTATTGAGATAATCATGTGGTTTTTGTCTTTGGCTCTGTTTATATGCTGGATTACATTTATTGATTTGCGTATATTGAACCAGCCTTGCATCCCAGGGATGAAGCCCACTTGATCATGGTGGATAAGCTTTTTGATGTGCTGCTGGATTCGTTTTGCCAGTATTTTATTGAGGATTTTTGCATCAATGTTCATCAAGGATATTGGTCTAAAATTCTCTTTTTTGGTTGTGTCTCTGCCCGGCTTTGGTATCAGAATGATGCTTTCCTCATAAAATGAGTTAGGGAGGATTCCCTCTTTTTCTATTGATTGGGATAGTTTCAGAAGGAATGGTACCAGTTCCTCCTTGTACCTCTGGTAGAATTCGGCTGTGAATCCATCTGGTCCTGGACTCTTTTTGGTTGGTAAACTATTGATTATTGCCACAATTTCAGCTCCTGTTATTGGTCTATTCAGAGATTCAACTTCTTCCTGGTTTAGTCTTGGGAGAGTGTATGTGTCGAGGAATTTATCCATTTCTTCTAGATTTTCTAGTTTATTTGTGTAGAGGTGTTTGTAGTATTCTCTGATGGTAGTTTGTATTTCTGTGGGATCGGTGGTGATATCCCCTTTATCATTTTTTTATTGTGATTATTTGATTCTTCTCTCTTTTTTTCTTTATTAGTCTTGCTAGCGGTCTATCAATTTTGTTGATCCTTTCAAAAAACCAGCTCCTGGACTCATTAATTTTTTGAAGGGTTTTTTGTGTCTCTATTTCCTTCAGTTCTGCTCTGATTTTAGTTATTTCTTGCCTTCTGCTAGCTTTTGAATGTGTTTGCTCTTGCTTTTCTAGTTCTTTTAATTGTGATGTTAGGGTGTCAATTTTGGATCTTTCCTGCTTTCTCTTGTGGGCATTTAGTGCTATAAATTTCCCTCTACACACTGCTTTGAATGTGTCCCAGAGATTCTGGTATGTTGTGTCTTTGTTCTCGTTGGTTTCAAAGAACGTCTTTATTTCTGCCTTCATTTCGTTATGTATCCAGTAGTCATTCAGGAGCAGGTTGTTCAGTTTCCATGTAGTTGAGCGGTTTTGAGTGAGATTCTTAATCCTGAGTTCTAGTTTGATTGCAATGTGGTCTGAGAGATAGTTTGTTATAATCTCTGTTCTTTTACATTTGCTGAGGAGAGCTTTACTTCCAAATATGTGGTCAATTTTGGAATAGGTGTGGTGTGGTGCTGAAAAAAATGTATATTCTGTTGATTTGGGGTGGAGAGTTCTGTAGATGTCTATTAGGTCCGCTTGGTGCAGAGCTGAGTTCAATTCCTGGGTATCCTTGTGGACTTTCTGTCTTGTTGATCTGTCTAATGTTGACAGTGGGGTGTTAAAGTCTCCCATTATTAATGTGTGAGAGTCTAAGGCTCTTTGTAGGTCACTCAGGACTTGCTTTATGAATCTGGGTGCTCCTGTATTGGGTGCATATATATTTAGGATAGTTAGCTCTTCTTGTTGAATTGATCCCTTTACCATTATGTAATGGGCTTCTTTGTCTCTTTTGATCTTTGTTGGTTTAAAGTCTGTTTCATCAGAGACTAGGATTGCAACCCCTGCCTTTTTTTGGTTTCCATTTGCTTGGTAGATCTTCCTCCATCCTTTTATTTTGAGCCTATGTGTGTCTCTGCACATGAGATGGGTTTCCTGGATACAGCACACTGATGGGTCTTGACTCTTTATCCAATTTGCCAGTCTGTGTCTTTTAATTGAAGCATTTAGTCCATTTACATTTAAAGTTAATATTGTTATGTGTGAATTTGATCCTGTCATTATGATGCTAGCTGGTTATTTTGCTCGTTAGTTGATGCAGTTTCTTCCTAGTCTTGATTGTCTTTACATTTTGGCATGATTTTGCAGCAGCTGGTACCGGTCCTTTCCATGTTTAGCGCTTCCTTCAGGAGCTCTTTTAGGGCAGGCCTGGTGGTGACAAAATCTCTCAGCATTTGCTTGTCTGTAAAGTATTTTATTTCTCCTTCACTTATGAAGCTTAGTTTGGCTGGATATGAAATTCTGGGTTGAAAATTCTTTTCTTTAAGAATGTTGAATATTGGCCCCCACTCTCTTCTGGCTTGTAGGGTTTCTGCCGAGAGATCCGCTGTTAGTCTGATGGGCTTCCCTTTGAGGGTAACCCGACCTTTCTCTCTGGCTGCCCTTAACATTTTTTCCTTCATTTCAACTTTGGTGAATCTGACAATTATGTGTCTTGGAGTTGCTCTTCTCGAGGAGTATCTTTGTGGCGTTCTCTGTATTTCCTGAATCTGAAAGTTGGCCTGCCTTGCTAGATTGGGGAAGTTCTCCTGGATAATATCCTGCAGAGTGTTTTCCAACTTGGTTCCATTCTCCCCATCACTTTCAGGTACACCAATCAGACGTAGATTTGGTCTTTTCACATAGTCCCATATTTCTTGGAGGCTTTGCTCATTTCTTTTTATTCTTTTTTCTCTAACCTTCCCTTCTCGCTTCATTTCATTCATTTCATCTTCCATCGCTGATACCCTTTCTTCCAGTTGATCGCATCGGCTCCTGAGGCTTCTGCATTGTTCACATAGTTCTCGAGCCTTGGTTTTCAGCTCCATCAGCTCCTTTAAGCACTTCTCTGTATTGGTTATTCTAGTTATACATTCTAAATTTTTTTTAAAGTTTTCAACTTCTTTGCCTTTGGTTTGAATGTCCTCCCGTAGCTCAGAGTAATTTGATTGTCTGAAGCCTTCTTCTCTCAGCTCGTCAAAGTCATTCTCCATCCAGCTTAGTTCCGTTGCTGGTGAGGAACTGCGTTCCTTTGGAGGAGGAGAGGCGCTCTGCGTTTTAGAGTTTCCAGTTTTTCTGTTCTGTTTTTTCCCCATCTTTGTGGTTTTATCTACTTTTGGTCTTTGATGATGGTGATGTACAGATGGGTTTTTGGTGTGGATGTCCTTTCTGTTTGTTAGTTTTCCTTCTAGCAGACAGGACCCTCAGCTGCAGGTCTGTTGGAATACCCTGCTGTGTGAGGTGTGAGTGTGCCCCTGCTGGGGGGTGCCTCCCAGTTAGGCTGCTCAGGGGTCAGGGTTCAGGGACCCACTTGAGGAAGCAGTCTGCCCGTTCTCAGATCTCCAGCTGCGTGCTGGGAGAACCACTGCTCTCTTCAAAGCTGTCAGACAGGGACATTTAAGTCTGCAGAGGTTACTGCTGTCTTTTTGTTTGTCTGTGCCCTGCCCCCAGAGGTGGAGCCTACAGAGGCAGGCAGGCCTCCTTGAGCTGTGGTGGGCTCCACCGAGTTCCAGCTTCCTGCTGCTTTGTTTACCTAAGGAAGCCTGGGCAATGGCGGGCGCCCCTCCCCCATGCTCGCTGCTGCCTTGCAGTTTGATCTCAGACTGCTGTGCTAGCAATGAGCGAGACTCCGTGGGCATAGGACCCTCCGAGCCAGGTGCGGGATATAATCTCGTGGTGCGCCGTTTTTTAAGCTGGTCCGAAAAGCGCAATATTCGGGTGGGAGTGACCCGATTTTCCAGGTGCGTCCGTCACCCCTTTCTTTGACTCAGAAAGGGAACTCCCTGACCCCTTGTGCTTCCCAAGTGAGGCAATGCCTCGCCGTGCTTTGGCTCGTGCATGCTGCGCGCACTCACTGACCTGCGCCCACTGTCTGGCACTCCCTAGTGAGATGAACCCGGTACCTCAGGTGGAAATGCAGAAATCACCAGTCTTCTGCGTCACTCACGCCTGGAGCTGTAGACTGGAGCTGTTCCTATTCGGCCATCTTGGCTCCGAGTTTCAGTTCTTTAATACTTTTTGAGAGGCCTGATGGTCCTTTCCTGAGGAAGAAACTCAGATAAAACAAATGTAAGTTTCAAGCTTTAAGATCAGAAGGTCAATTTATATGTTTATCGGGGGGAAAAAAACAAACAAAACTAAACAAAAAACCACGAAACAGTCTATGGGACTATTAGGTTGGTTTTAACACTTTCCCATTACCTCTCTGTCTTAATTCTGTGCTCTTCCTCCCTTGATCATTAAATTCATCCATACCGGCCTCCTTATTGTTTCTTGAAAATGCTAGGTTGACTCACATCTCAAGGATGTGGTTTTCTTCTTTTAAGAACTCTCTCTCCCAGATATCCACATGACATTTTCCCTCATTTAAATATTTTTGCTTAAAAAGTCACCTTCTCAGTGAGACATTCTCTGATTATCCTATTTAAAATAGTTACCAGTACTGCCAAACCATGTTCCTCCTATGGCATTTTGGTCTTCATTTTTAGCTTCATTTCATTCCATTTAATCAGCATGATGTATTATACATTTTTAAATAAAATTTTTGAAGTACCGTATACATATGACAGTCACAATCTATAAATATAACAGTCACAATCTATAAATATACAGCTCAATGCGTACACCAAAGTGAATCAACACTTATAATCAGAACCCAGAACAATTAACAAAATATTATTACCACCCCAAAATCTTAATTATCCCCTTCTAGTCACTGCCATGCCAGCCAGTGGTAACCACTATCCTGATTTCTAATACTATAGACTAGGTTTTTTCTACCTTTAAACTCTATATAAGTGAAATAAGACATAAGATTCATATTTTCTTATTTTTGTATTCAAATATTATACTTGTGAGATTCATTACTATCGATGCAGTTGTACTCTGTTCAATTTCGTTGTTGTGTGGTGTTCCATTGTATAAATTCAAGACAATATATCCATTCTAATGAGCATTTGGAATTTTTCTAGTGTGGGGCCAATAATATTGCTATCAATGCTGCTGTATTTTTTTGATACTTGATCTTATATATTTGTGTAAACACTACCATACGTGTATTTGGTATTACATATTTCTGTTTATTATGTATATTCAGGAGTAAAATTGCTGGATTTCTAATATTCTATTTATTTGATTTGTTTATTGTCTGTTTTTCAAGATGTGAGTTTAATGAGTACGAAGGTTTTTGTCTATAATATCTAGAGTTGGGGTAGAGAAGACTTTCTCAGAGAAGCAAATTTGGGTTGAAATGTTAAAGTTAAGTAGATAGTTTATTATATAAGAAGGTTGGAAAAAATCTTTTCTCAAGCAGAAGAAAAAGCGTGTTGAAAAGCTTGGAGGTGGCAGAGTATATGCATTTGAGAAAATGAAAGACGTGTGTGGTGTTTAGGGAGTGAGGAGGTCAAAAAATGAGAGCATATTTTAGAAGATTCTAAAGGCTTTTATCAAGTCTTAAAATATTCTCACAGTTTTACTCATTATATTTAAACTAGTGGAAATGTGTTGCTTATAGGATAACTCATAATCGTATTTTCATTTGAAACAAAAGCCGTGGCACAGAAGTGGGGTTATAAGTGGGGAGATAGAAACTGACTAGGAGGATTTTTAGCAGGGTTAGTAAAAAAACAATCAAGGTTGAAGAGAAAAGATGTTTTGAAAGGTATTTAGTATTTAAACTGTTAATTAATTGATCATGGTGGCTGAGATATTTTTCTAGGATGCTTTAGGCTTTTTTTTGGGGAAAAAAAACCAGATTAAGATGTATTTAAGACATTCAAGGGAAGATGCAGATGTATGTACATCTCCAAGGAAGAGTATCAGCTGAAGATGTAACATTGGGTATTATTTGTAATATAGTAAATAAATATGATATCTTATTTGAAGATGCCTAATACCCAAGATCAAGTTTGGAGCATTTTCAATGTCTATATTGTGTCTAGGGGAACACAGGCCAGCACATGTGCCTAAGAAAAAAAACGTCCAGAGATGCGGAAGAACAGCTAGGTAAATATAGAAAGGGAATGTTCCAAGGGAGAAAACTCAGTGACTAACACCATTATCATCACACACTTACCACTATCTGACATTATTTTTGTCCATTTGTTTGATGTTCATTGTCAGTCTCCCACTTACTAGAATGTAAGCTCCATGAGAATAGGCACTTGCTGCTTCTGTTCATTTCTGCATTCTTAGTGCCTAGTACAGTGGTAGGTACTCACAAGTATTTGTTAAATTAATGTCAATGAAACAGTTTTCTTATTATGAAATTTCATATTTTCTTATTTTTGTATTCAAATATTATACTTGTGAGATTCATTACTATTGATGCAGTTGTACTCTGTTCTATTTCATTGTTATATGGTGTTCCATTGTATAAATTCACTACAATGTATCCATTATATCCACCTTTTTATATAATAAACTATCTACTAAACTTTAACATTTCAGCTCAAATTTGCTTCTCTAAGAAAGTCTTCTCTACCCCAACTCTAGATATTACAGACAAAAACCTTTGTGCTCATGTCCATTCAATTTAGCGATATGGTTGTTTCAGTGACATTTTCAAGAACTGTGCACTAGTTGGCTCTGGCTGTGAGAATAAAATACCGCAGGGTGTGTGGCTTAAACAACAGAAATTTATATTCTCATAATTTTGGCCATAGAAATCCCAGATCAAGATGCCAACAGATTCAATTTCTGGTGTGGCCCTTCTTTTGAGCGGGCAGACAGCCACTTTTTTATTGTGTCCTCATGTGGTGTTTCTTCTGTGTTTGCATGTATGGAGTGAGAGAGGGAGCCCTCCTGTGTATCTTCTAGCAATATGAATCCTATTATATCAGGGTTCTACTCTTACGACTTTATTTAACCTTAATTACTTCTTTAGGAAGAACACCGTCTCCAAACAGAGCCACACTGAGGATTAGAGCTTCCATATAGGAATTTGGTGGAGACACAAACTTTCATTCCATAACTAGCTGTGTAATAGAGAAGTGGAAACTCAGTTGGGCAGAGTTGGAGTGAATGGTGGGTCAGGAAGTGAAGTTAACGACTTTCCTGATGACAAGTTTGCGTGAGAAGGCATAGAGTAGGAAAAGCAACTGTTGGGAGATGTAGATTGGAGGTGGGTTTTTGTTCTGTTTGTTTATTTGTTTATTTTATTTATCTAGTAGGAAACATGAGATAAAGATAGCAAAAGAGAGCAAGGACAATAAATAGCATGTGTTTTCTGAGAAGGCTGAGGGGAAGAGATTCAGAGCACAGAGTGCTTGGCTTTAGGTACGAAGACGTGTGTTTTGTAACAATTAAAATGCAGGAGAAATTGGGTGCAGATACATTGAGGTTTAGAGGTCGAAAGAGTAAGACTTCCCATCTGATATTTCCATTCTTCCTCTATGGAGGAGAAGGCCTGGGCTTCACCCAAGTGTTAAGTGTTACAGATTCAATCGTGAGAAAAGGGTTTAATCAAGGAAACATATTAACTTCATAGGAAAACTTGTTTCAAGTGCATGCAATTATGCACTAAAGATGATCTCAGTTTGATGCTCCGTTATGCGATTTATTCTCAAGGTATCCAGCTTGGCGAGTAGAGATAAGAGAAAATAGATGGTTTCTACAGAGTTGTTACTTGTGGATTTGTTTACTAATTCTTATATGTTGTATTTTGTTTTGAGACAGGTTCAGAAAAGAGAGGAACAACTTAATTAGGAAATTAGAGTAGCAGTTAAATATGTCTATAGGGCTCATATAGTTTCTGGGCTTTAAAAAACTATCCAGGGTATTAAAAATATCTAGGAAAGAATTTTGCCTTATGTTTCAAAGAGCATAGAAAAGACTAGCTGCATTTTAAAATGTCTTCTCTGTTATTAGCTCATAGCATCCCATCCTTTCCCTTCATAATAATTAGTACTAATTGCAATATATGTATTTATTTGTGTATTTATTTGTTCAATGTTTGTATCTTTTAGTAGAACATGAATCCATAATTGTAGGGATCTGTCCCTCTTATACTGTTGGTGCTCAAGGATATTTATTATGTTGAATGAATGGAGCTCATATGATAATTTCCTCCTATTAGCATAAAGGTTCTGTTCAAGTCCAGAATTTCTTCTTGTTATGTGCTAATTGTTTTCAAATTGGTGTTTAATGAAAAGAGAGTAGGCTTTGGAGTCTGAGTAATCTTATGTAAGTTGCACAGTCTCAGTTTTCTCATTTGTAGAAATGATGCATCAGAAAAGAAAAGGTTGCTATCTAGAGAAGAAATAACAATTGAAGTCACACTACATTTCATGGATGATGGATAATTTAATCTAAAATAACGAGGTTATAAGAGATTAGCTCTATGTAGTCTTAGGGAAAAAAAGTTGAGAAAAAAAGAATTTAATTCTGCATAATAAAGAACTAAGAAATGGTGAGCAATATGTTAGTTCCCAGTAGAGTTGTTTTGGGGAGGCTCAGAAAGACATTTGGCTGGAAGAAATGGAGTCTTGGAATTCTGGTGTCAGACTAGGGCTGTGGAACCTCATAGCTGGTTAAAAACTCCCTTATGGAAGTGATAAAAATAATAAATGACGTGTGATATTTGATTTTAAATAGTTGCTGATGTGTTTTGTAATTTATCTTCCTCATCCAGAGACCTTGATAAGTTTGTTACCAATAGCTTGTGTGTGATTTACTGCCTTAGGTAACTCAGATGAAAAGGTCATGATTTCCTATGGAGCAATATGATGTTGTGAGATGATAGTAGTCACAAGACTGGTGGAGAGACAGCCAGAGTAATACACAAAATTCTAACCAAGAGATTATCACATCAGCTGAATACCGGAATCCAAATACATATTGAGGCCTCTTGAGTTTTCACAATTAGGAGGATGGGATAGGCTCATATTGTTTTACTTGACTACTTAAAGAATAATCCATGTCAGAATGTTTTAGGTTACATGGAATTCATAACATCTACATTGTAGGATTCGTTGCCAGGAATAATAGATAATGCCAGCACAACTGTTAGCATGTGCAGCAATTTTGTGCAGATTAGCAAAAAAAAAAAGCATCCTCTTTTGGTGGATGAATTAGAAAAAGGTACCACTTTGGGATAGATGCATCCTGCTGTAAAGAGCATAACCCTAGCTAGACTATGTAGGTTTCCCTGCCTTTGTGGCTGGTCACTTGTGAACAGTCCCAAAACTGCACAGTCTTAGCATGGTAGCCTTTGGATAATGTAAATGCCAGGTATAGAGTAGACACACAACAGAAATGGTAACAACTAAAATTACTCTGGATTACATTAGACCGTGATTTAATGCATATTTCTGGAAATAATAACGATATGCTGACTATAAAATGATTTTCCATTTTTTCCTGCAATAAATCTAAGTTCAAGTATGTGTATGTGTGTGTACTTACTTGTGTATGTATGTGTGTGTGTATCTATGCGTGTGTGTATCTTTGCATGCATGTGTGTATAAGCCTGGCTACAAAGTAGATTCATTGTATTTCTTTGAACTTGCTGATGTAAAATACATGTAGAATAGACACTTTGACTCATCTCCACTAACTTCTGCAAATACAAATGCATTCTACATTGGTAATAGATGTTTTAATAGAGTTCTTTTAGAGAAGAACTCACAAAGTATTTCAATTTAGTTTTAATTATCACTCTAGGATAGCTTTTCTTCTCACTACAATCTGAGCTATAAAGACAGCTCAGACTTCTGGAATTGGGGTGACCGTGAGATCAGGCTTTGAGCTTTGAATGTTTTGTTACAAGCCAACCTCCTGCAGATCTCTCTGCAGTGCTATATTGACTTTTGTGAATAGATCCTCAGATGCAGTTTTGACTTTTGTGCTTCTGTGACCTTGGAGCACACCTGGAGAGGTGCAGCTATGCACTTTTTTTTTTTTGTCTTGCACCTCTCTATCCGAAATCCACATGATCTTACTGGTCTATAGTTAAGTATCTTAGACATAATGTGGCTACATAAATCCTGTATAGAACTAAGGGTGTTTTAAGTGAAATATTACATGATTTGACATTATGCTTTCCAATTTCTTCTTCTAGAATTTATTTACAATTCTCCTAATTACTTGGTAAACTGAAATTTTTCAGAGTAAAGAATTAAAACAGCTTTCTTAATAGATAGTGCTATAGACTGCATGTTTGTATCCCCCACCCAAAATTCATATGTTGTAGCCTAATCCCCATTGTGGTGGTTTTAAGAGGTGGGGCCTGTGGGAGGTGATTAGGTCGTGAGAGTGGCACCTTCATGAATAGGATTAGTGCCTTTATACAAAGAAATATGAGAGAAATTATTTCTGTCTTGGCCACATGAGTATATGTTAAAAAGGATGCTGTCTACAAGCCAGGAAGCAGGCCCTCACCAGATATAGACTCTTCTGGAGCCTAGACCTGGGACTTCTCTGCTTCCAGATGTGTGAGAAATAAATGTCTCTTGTTTAAGCCACCAAGACTATAGTATTTTTGTTATAGTGGCCTGTCCTGTCAAAGATGGATAGCATCAGGCATTATTTATGTTTAACCTTCTTGGGAAGGACATAGATTTAGAAAATGAGTTTTGTAGTCAGTTTTGATGGGAAATATGCTTCTGGCTACATATAAATATGCATCTAAATTCATCTAAATTCTCATCCTGTAAGGTAGTAGAAATGACATTTGTTAATTTAACTTGAATAGTAAATAATGGAATCACAGCATTTAAAAACATTAAAAACAAAGCTGATGACAACATTACACAGTTCAAACAAGATAAACAGGTTCTTTGTACATAATAATATGGTGTTATTGCAATTGTTTACCCAGCATTGATTTCCTTTTTATTCTTTCTAACAGAATGCTGACTTGGTTTATGTATCTATCTCTTTCCCACACCATCTATGCCTCAGAGAAATCTTCACAAACTCAGCTTCAAGGATGGGTCAGAGCCTTGGAAACTGCATCTGCCTGGTCAGTGATCAGCTCAAGTATAATCTTGAGATCCAATGTTGTCCAGTGAAATGTGAGATTAGTTTTGCTTTTAGGAATGTTTTGCTCAGGCCTTAAGTCAGTGAACCCAGCTCTCTCCCTGTGGCTAAATATGAGCAAGGAGATATAAAGTTACTGGCAGCCATTGTACAATCTCATTTACCCCTAAATCAAACAACCGAAGTCCGACCTACCTCTGGATTTGCTCTCAAGTGAGCTAATGTGTTTTCTCATTGTTAATCAAGTTCAGTTCACTGGGATAAACACTAAAGGAATGATAGTAAAAACATTGTCGCCCAAATCTATGCAGAGATAAAAACTGATAAACATTATGAAAGCAAAACAAAGCAAAACTAGATTTGGGGAGGGAATTTAGAATGGGCATTAGAGAAGGCCTCTTTGTGGAGATCACATTTAAGTCGAGATCCAAAGTATAATTTTGTTAGGTGAAGAGCTGGGGAATGAACATTTCATGCAAAGACTCTGAGGAGGAAAATTTGGTGACACTTTTGAGGAACTTAAGAACACTTACCATGCTATCATTAAGGGTAAGGAGCAGGCAGGGCAACAGGAAATTGGTATAAAATCAGGCTAGGGATATAAGCAATAGACAGACATGACAGGTCATTTAGGCATCCTAAAAAATTTTGGAGAAATAATAAATTCAATCAAATATTAAAATATTTTGTAAGTTTAATTGCATATAGCTCTTTCAAGTTGTCCCTGGGCCCATATTAATAACCACAACAAGGGGAGGGTGTTGGAAGGCAAATGTGTGAACAAGCAAGGTGTACATCCCACTTGGTTCCACTGTCCTTCCATTTTCTTTCTTTGTTGCTGGTGTTACAATGACCACATATTTTGCTGTGGAGTTTTATTTCTTTTATTTCCAATTTAATTAATTCAATTCTGAAATATGAGAAAAAATTTATACTGCCCAGTTTTTGGTTAACCTAAACGAAGAGTTCTGTTCAATTTCTGTGGGTTGGTTGGATAAAGATGACAAAGATTTATGCTCACTTACAAGCTTGTATGTATCTTTCTTTTTATTATAAGCATGGGAAGGCATTTAGTTTGTGGCTTACTATGATACCATACATATATAACTCTTGAATAAAAACCCAGAAGAACAAGTAACTCAGAACAGTGAACCTGCCTGCTGGTCCTTCTTTATCCTTGCACTCATGAGTCTATCATGACTATGACAGAATCTCAATAATCTCAATAATCTCATACTGGTGGGAAAACAGAGAAGCAGAACTTATCAAGACTGGACCTAGAAAATCTTATGAGGTAGGAGGTGGGACACAACTCTGCAGGCAGGGCTTAGACACCTGACCAAATTGAGGACTGTCTATTAATGGGGAAGGGGTGGAAGCAGCTTTCCATAAGATATGCCCACTAGTGTGCCATGTCAGTCTACCATTGCCGTGGCAACACCTGGAAGTTACTGCCCCTTTCCGTGGCAACAATCAGGAAATTTCTGTATAATCTGCCCCTTAGTTTGCATGCACCTAAAAGTAGGTATAAATATGACAGCAGAACTGCCTTTCAGCTGCTACTCTGGACACACTGCCAATCGGGTATCCCTGCTTTGCAAGGAACAGTGCCTCTGCTGCTGTTGCTGTACATGGCTGCTTCAATTAAAGTTGCTATCTGACACCACCAGCTTGCCATTGAATTCTTTCCTGGGTGAAGTCAAAAACCCTCCCAGGATAAGCCCCAAGTTTTGGGCTTGCCTGCCCTGTGTCACTTATACAGGTGAATGGCTCTTCCTTGAGTGAGATGGCTAGTAGGAGTCTAAATTATAGGGTCCACTGAAGAATAATATTTGTTCTTCATGTGACAATTGAAATATAAAAAGTCTGTATCTGAGATACAGTTGTCAGATTTTTCAAAATTAAGTAGAGAAGAATTTTATACTTTAGTAAGAACCATATGGATTATGGAATAGAGTTCCCCCTCCTAAGCCCTTGCCAAAAATAAAAATAAAAATTAAAAAAAGCAAAGGTATTGTCAAAGGCTAAAAAGAATAAAAAATAGGTTGGCAATCAGCCAAGACTTTAAATCTAGTGGTAGAAATGGAGAGATGGTGAAACTCTGGAAGATGGCCAATTGAAAATAGAACAGGAACCAGTTGTAATATTTTACTGTTTTTTTGATTAACAAGTTAAATAAAATACATGTTCAAAAATGTAGCTATAACAACACAACTGCAATGATAACAAAAACTACTAAAGCTGTTACTGCTACCATTTATTTATGCTAAGCACACTGTATAAGTATTGTTTCTCTCACAATAGAGCTACCCCTGTCAGGTAGATGAGTAAGTAGTTAGCCATTATTCATTGGAGGGGAAAGAAATCTAAAGTAAATTATTCTTTGAGGAATGTCCCTTATTACCTTACTGTGATCAAATTCACATACTTTAAATATGTTATATATCTGCCTTTTTTACTTGAAAGGCAAAAGAATTGAAAGTTTAACTGTGTTTCTATATATCATAAATAATAACTCCTAGAACTTGTCCCACAAATTCCAAATACTGAATTAACCTGAAGGAATTATCACTGCTGTGGACCACAGGCCCTGTGTTGTTGAGTACAAAGTGTTTGATAGGGATTTCATACAGCTTGACAAAATTCATTCATTACCAACTGACTAAGGGTCACTAGGCACAAAGAAATTAAGGAATTTCCTCAATATCATAATTGGGGGATACCAACAATGATTACATATTTATAGAGGGTATTGGAAGAAAAATGAGAAAAACATAAACAATATTTTAGATAGTAATGAGTACTCAAAATCTGTTAATTAGTTGTTAAAAATGAATTTCCCAAACTTAAAATCTTTTTAAACAAACAGTTCATTTATAAAGGGTATTTAAGAAAAATGAAATTATTCACAAAGCAGGGATGCAACCTGAATCCAATAAACTAAATAAATTGCTGGCACCTGAATCCATGACCAAGCTGTTTCTCATTTATGGTTTCTGTTTTTCTTGGCCTCCCTTTCTATTCTGGCAAAATGTGGTGTTGACATTATAATTGCAGATGAAGCTAATAATAACATGTTTTGCAGAAGCTCTTTCTAGCAAGGTGTAAAATACCACATTGGTCTACCTTGTTAGAGTCAGTGAAAGCCAAAAATAATCAATATGACATGAAAGATAACTGCATTTCCTTTCAAATTTGCATAATGTTAGGGGAAAAGAGTCAAACTCATTTTCACATGTTTTCTGGTTGGGAAAATATATATCAAGACTTTTTGACTGAATTGTATAGTGATAGTGCATAACTTAATTCTGTTTTGAATAGAGGACTTTGCTCTTTTTCGGGCTCAGCAGAATACTCTAGTTGGTTAGGTTGGCTTCAGAAATATATTCAGCAACTGACTTGTGGATGATTGTAAATAATTTAATACAAGGCATCCACTAGTTTTATAAATTACTTAAGTGCCCTTAACATGGATGAGTGGGCATACAGTAGATGTTAAAGAATAAGTACTTGTTGAAAGAATTAAGACAACTTGCATAAAATTGAGATTGTTTATTTATTTACATGTATTCATTTATTTATTTAATGATGCCAACAGGCTAAAAAGCCATCTGTGAATTAGGGCACAAAGATGCTAGTGAATTTTATAACATAAAGATAGAATCCTGTTTTGTTAATTCACCTCTGTCCATAAAAATTATGTCGTTTAACCTGGAAAAGATGATTTATTTCATGCCAAAAGTAGATTCATTCTAGTAATGTAACAAGATTAGGATATCATCAAGGCTTCTTTACTTCATATTCAGTTATAACCTTTTAATAATTAAGAGCAGGCACTCCCTAATATAATAATAAAATTTTACATTTGTATAGTACATGACTCTACAGGTATACTTACTATTTTAATTTTAGTATTATCAGGAACAATTGGCACAGAAAGACCCTTTGACGTACTTAGTTTTAAAGAAATAGACAATTTCCTGTCATTGCTAATTTCCCATTGTAAATCCTTGGGTACAGGTGCCTGTATGACCTGGAGCCCTTTGCTTGTGCATTTATCCTCTGGAATGAACTCTCCCTTTCTCTATTCTATATGTGACCCAGAAGATAAATGCAAAACTGCTTAATTAGGAAAAAGCCTACCATAGTTGCTAATTCTTTCTTTTTAATAACACTATTTATGGTGTGATAGTCTTTCTGAAAACCTCTTTAAATGTTATTACAGTTTTTTTTTTTTTTAAGATGGAGTTTTGCTCTGTCCAGTCTCTCTCTGCCCAGGCTGGAGTGCAATGGTACAATCTCGGCTCACTGCAACCTCCGCCTCCTGGGTTGAAGCAATTCTCCTGCCTCAGCCTCCCAAGTAGCTGGGACTACAGGCATGCACCACCATGCCTGGATAATTTTTTGTATTTAGTAGAGATGGGGTTTCACCATGTTGGCCCTACTGGTCTTGAATTTGTGACCTCAGGTGATCCACCTGCCTTGGCCTCCCAAATTGCTGAGATTACAGGCGTGAGCCACCATGCTCAGCCCTGTTATTATATTCTTAAATTTGTATCTTCTGCACTTCATATTGTGCTAGGTTTAAATTTTATTTTAAAATTTTCCTTGGAAAGATACCTATGTATTTGATTACAGAATAATTTTCAGAACAGATTGTTGTCAGAAAAACGTATTTTAGTTTCATATGAAAAAGAAAAAGATACAGGAATGCTTGATTTATTTTATGCTTCGTTTGTGTGAATAGTGTAATTGTGTTGTCAGTAGTGCTAATATGATCTTAGGTTACATTGGTAGAAGTGGGATGTTTAGAAAAAGTCCAAGGTTTATTGGTTATTCCATACCTCAGATGCTGAAGCAGCACAGCACATACTTTATAAAAACACTTTAAAATCACATTGCCCAAGTGTGACTTTTGGATTCTGCCCATACTAGTTATGCAAACTTTGATAGGTTACTTAGCAAAAATCCTTAAGACCCAGTTTTCTCATTTTTGAAGTTTAGATGGTGTAATAATACTTTCTTTAGAGTGATGTTTAAGAATTAAATGAGATATTTATTGGTATGTTTATTCATTAATTTATAAGTATTAACATAACAAGTAAAAGAGTCTCTTACTTTTTTTTAATGGCCTATGAAAAACCTATTCCCTGAAACAGACACCTTATATAATCAATTTATTAATGGAATGCATTCTGTACAGTATCTTCAATGAAACTTGACTTTTCACTGTAGCCATATCTGTGAGGTTGACTGGTTTTCTACATTCTGTGAGTCCTGTGGCATAGAATTCTCATTAAGTGCTGTCCTTACCATTTAACCCTCATTGAAAAACTCCCATATCTGAGAGTTTTGCATTCTTGCTATACTACCTTATAGCTATTGTTCTGCAGTTATATAACCTCTTAATAATGACATTCTCATCCTTTGAATAAGGATTCTCAATCACATGACTGAAATCTTTCTTTTGAATCTGTCTCTTGATAGTTGAATAGCCTGTGAAATGTAATGTAAGTTCATATTTTATTCTAAAGTTATTAGTCTATTTTCATTTTAAGGATATTCTTTCATTTTCTTATTTGTTGTAACAAAGATAAATACAATATAAAGTAAACCTATTTAGTATACTGAGAATATTGTTTTGGTCAAAAAATTCAAAAATAATTGACTATCTTCATCAAATAGTCTATGATAATCTACATATAAACAAGATTGAGAGCCAGATTTATGCACTGTTCATTCATAAGTTTTCCATTTAATATTTCCTTTCTTATCTGCAGGATTTAATGCCCTTACAGCAATATATTACTTGCTAATCACAACATGTCCAGTCAAATATGAAATTACTTTGTTCATATTTCTTTTACATTAATATACTTAAAATTTTAGATGTATGCTTTCAGGTAAAATTGTAAAACTTTAAATAAATGCTTTTATAATTCTACTGTGAACAGGTTTAATAGGCAATAATATTGCATTTTAATATTATAAAAAGTTGAACTATTTGTTTTAATACTAATGGAGTTCACATACTAAGAAATACAGAAGTTAGGAAACACAATATAAGATATACAAAATAGAACTGAAAGACCATAATCAAAATTAAGGTCTGACAATGTATAAAAATTTAATTCCAAAATGATTGAGATTTCCAGACTTAGAAACTTAATTACTCCTTGCATGTTTTATATGAGTCTGAATTTTTTATACAAGCAACTAAGACACTTGCCTTTTGGGTTTCATGTGTGAACTTTATTCCTCTATCCATTTTTTACCACTTTAAAATATTTTCAGAATTAGAATATCTAAGTCATTTAAATGTAAAACCCAAAACTACAAAACTCTAGAAGAAAACCTAGGCAGTACCATTCAGGACATAGGCATGGGCAAAATCTTTATGAGGAAAATGCCACATGAGATCTAGTTAAACTAAAGAGCTTCTGCACAGCAAAAGAAACTATCATCAAAGTGAACAGGCAATCTATAGAATGGGAGAAAATGTTTGCAATCTACCCATCTTACAAAGGTCTAATATCCACAATTTACAAGGAACTTAAACAAATTTACAAGAAAAAACAACCCCATCAAAAAGTGTGCAAAGGATATGAACAGACACTTCTCAAAAGAAGACATTTATGCAGTTAACAAACATATGAAAACAAGCTTAACATCATTGATCATCAGATAAATGCAAATCAAAAACACAAAGAGATACCATCTCATGCCAGTCATAATGGTGATTACTAAAAGTCAAGAAATAATAGATGCTGGTGAGGCTGTGGAGAAATAGGAATGATTTTACACTTTTGATGAGAATGTAAATTAGTTCAACCATTGTGGAAGACAGTGTGGTGATTCCTCAAGGATCTAGAGCCAGAAATACCATTTGACCCAGCAATCCCATTACTGGGTATATACCCAAAGGTATAGAAATCATTCTACTTTAAAGACACATGCACATATATGCTTATTGCAACACTATTTACAATAACAAAAGCATTGAATCAACCCAAATGCCCATCAATGGTAGGCTGGATAAAGAAAATGTGGTACATATATACCATGGAATACTATGCAGCCATAAAAAGGAATGAGATCATGTCTTTTGCAGGGACATGCATGAAGTTGGAAACCATCATCCTCAGCAAACTAACACAGGAACAGAAAAACCAAACACCACATGTTCTCACTCATAAGTGGGAGTTGAACAATGATAACACATGGACCAGGGAGGGAAACAACACACACCGGGACCCATCGGGGACTGGGGGGCAAGGCGAGGGATAGCATTAGGACAGATACCTAATGCATGTGGGGCTTAAAACCTAGATTACGGTTGATAAGTGCAGCAAACCACAATAGACTCTACAGATATTAAAATGATTTTAAAGTAATTAATACCTTATAAATGTGGCAACATGAATCAAATGGACAATTCTTTGAAAGGCACAATCTATCATGGTTCACTCAAGAAGAATAGGTAACCTAGGCCAAGCACGGTGGCTCATGTCTGTAATTCCAGCACTTTGGGAGGCCAAGGTGGGCAGAGCACTTGAGGTCAGGAGTTTGAGACCAGCTCAGCCAACATGGTGAAACCCCATCTCTACTAAAAATCCAAAAAAAAAAAAAAAAAAAAAAAAAATTAGCCGGGCTTGGTGGCGGATACCTGTAATCACAGTTACTCAGGAGACTGAGGCAGGAGAATCTCTTGAACCCGAAAGGCAGAGGTTGCAGTGAACACTCCAGCCTGGGTGACAGAGTGAGACTCTGTCTCAAAAAAAAAAAAAGGAGTATGTAACCTAATATTATATCTCAAATATTATAGTATATCTCAAATATTATAGTAGATAATTACATATATATGTTATGTATATATTATGTATTCATAAAGGTGAATACATACATGCCATTATATACCATTAGATAGTATTTTGTAGTATATGTTACTGCTATAAGTATGTATGTTAAAGTAATTAAATTTGTAGTCAAATACCTTCCCACAAAGAAAATTACTAGGAAATTCCTACTAACGTTTCAGTACAAAATAATAATTCTACACCAATTTTTCCAGTGACTGAAGAGAATACTTTCCAACTGACTGTATAAGGTCTAAATTACCCTGATATTAAACAGACAGACATTAAAAGGAAAAGTACAAGTCAATATATGTCACAAATATGTATGCCAAAATTAAAAAATATATGGTAAATTCAATGAAATAATACAGAAGAAAGATAATTATGACCAAAGCATATAAAATCAATCTGTATAATTAATCATATTAACAAACTCAAGAACGAAAAAAAGTAAAATTATGTGATTAACGTAATAGAAACAGAAAAATTAATTGATAAAATCCAAGATACATTTCTGTTATAAACTCTCAGCAAAATATAAATATAATGAAATTTTCTAGACATGATAGAACTGATAAAAGATGTTTATGAAAAACATAGTTAACATCACACATATTGGTGAAAGTCTGAAAACTTTCCCCTTAAGATCAGGAAAAAGAGAGGACTATGTGCTTTCACTACTTCTATTCAACTTTGTACTGAAGGTTCTAGCCAGTAAAATAAGGAAGAAAAAAATAAAAAAAACAGAAGGTATGCAGATAGGAAAGGAAGGAATAAAGCTGTCTTTATCCAGAGACGACATGATTGCCTATATATCTGATGACATCTGCAAACAAAATTTACTGGGATTAATAAGTGAGTTTAGCAAGGTGATTTATGGTTCAGAATATTCAATCTTATTAAGATGTCAGTTTGTCCTAAAATGATCTACAGATTAAACACAACCCCAGTGAAAATCCTACATTGTGTTTTTATAGAAATGGACAATTTGATTCTGAAACTCATTGAAAATGCTATGGCAGCCAAAGAAGTTTGAAAATGAAAAACAAAATTGAGTGATTAATACCACCTCTAAATAAGAAAAGAAGAAATATAGTAAATTCAGCCCTGTCCCAGGAGCCTGTGTTTAAGTTTGACTTTAATTTCCCATCTGTTTTTTATTGTTTATTACTCAAAGTCCTCAGGTAGTTGCTTTTTGAATTCTATCTAGAGGTGTAATCAGTAGAAGATATAGAATGTACTAATGAGTTTATAATATCTAGGCTTTACTAGCCTTCCTTAAAATTTTTGTAAAAATAACCAACTTCTGATATTTTTGGTCCTCTCCTTTGTAGGTTTGTTTTACATTTTATTAAGTTGTTTTCATGTTTATTATTCATTTTCTTATTCTTTCTTTGAATTTAATGTCTACGTGATGTTTTGATGCTAACAAAAGTTCTAGATGTCAAAATTTAATAGGACAAATCAAGTCCTTTAATCTAGCAGCACACAACTTGAACAAAGTCTATGAATTTATTTTTCCATCATCGTCCTTCTGATAAAAGACACACATTTAGTCCTTATTTCCAGAAATTCTTCTCATTTTGTTTTCTTTTGTTTTGGTCATTGTGTTAGGCTGTCATTTTCTGCAAGTGCTGGTGTAATTTCAAGATTTGCTTGCCAAATGCATTATAGCATACTGGACAAAAACAAGGACTGCTGGGTAAGTTAGACTTGGATTTAAATTTGTAATGTATCACATACTGTATCAGCTGTATGGATTTGAAAATAATCTCTTACCCTTTCTTTGAGTTCTTTATCTATAAAATTGTGGTAGTAATATCTAACGGATATGGTATGTAAGGTTTCTAGCATGTGCCTAGCATGTGGTAAGCATTCAGCTAAAAGTAGCTGTTTATTAACCTTAAGCCAGTGAATGCTTTTAATTGATGACCTACTTATTCTGATGGTTTATAATATTAAATGATGTTTATTTTCTAAAGTTTTTTACATTATTGATTTTAATCTTGTGTAACATCTGATTGGAAAAATTAGAGGAAAACACTAGTCAGATGTACAAGTTGGTATTCTACTATGTGGAGAAATAATATATGCTCTCCCAATGAACAAGACATGCAGTGAAGAAAGAAACTGGCATTTGGTAACTTCCTTGAAAGGTCCCATGTAGAGAAAGAATATTGCTGGATATCTTAGTCCTGCCTAGGTTGTGAAGCCAAATATGCCTCCTCTGTTGTTATTTAATGGACCTGATTCACTAGATGCTTCTCCGCATGGTAAGCATTAATTTAGAAAGCTGATAAACATCACATGTAGAGCATATTAATTGTGAAGGAAAACAGAACAAAGTTTCTGAAGTGAACTGATTGCAAATGTACTAGTTTGAATTAGTGTTTGCTTCACTTAAGGCCTGTTATATGTTCTAAGATCATTACATGTGAATAAAGAATTGATTTTAATTCTTATGTTTGAAAAGAAATGAAACAAATTCAAGTTTGGACTGTCTTCAGATTTTTCAGCTTTTGGAAAACTTAATTTGTTATAAATGTAAATAATAAAAATGAAATCTGAAAGTTAATACTAAAGGATGGTGTAATAAATGACTCTCTTACTGATCAAAGGCTTAAAGCCCAATCTACTGCAGAAATGAAACAAAATATCATTCATTTTAAAGACACAATAACTATATAGCTATATTATAAAGTTCTAAGGTAGCAAATAAGTTTCTTAAGCTAACACACACAATAACCAATGGTGTAAAACTGAATGTCATATGATATAGTTCATTGTCTTACTGTAAGTCATGTTACTTGAATTTTTCTTCTTTATATTTTCAGTCTAAAATGTATAATTACTGTAACAAATCATAACAGTTATGAAATTCAGCAGTGCTTCTTTGGTGATTTTTTTGCAGGCATTTTGCTTTTATTTTAAACTAGATTCTAAGTGACGTCTCATTATACTTTGAGAAATTTATTCTTGTTTGCTGGCTTTCTCTCAACTACATATTTTTCTAAACACTAATGGAATTAAAAATTAAGCCATTATTCAGCTTTTAAATAAGAATTGCTTTCCTTTTTTGAATTGCCTTCTCATTAATATTAAAAGATTCAATTTTTTAAACTAATGTTCAGTGTCTACCTGCTCTTAAAATTGTAGAAGGCTTTTGCACATGCTATTCTTTTCCTGTTGCTATATTTCACTTTCAAGACTCAATTTATCTTGGATAATAGGTTGTGTCATACAGGGTTTTTGATTTTGCTTCAGAGCAGGGGTCAGCAAACTGCAGCCCAAGAGCCAAATTTAGCCCATTGCCTCTTTTTTTGTACAGCCAGTGGACTAAGAATGGTTTTAACATTATCAAATTTTTGAGAAAATCAGTGCAAAAAATCTTCATGACAAGTAAAAATATGAAGTTCAAGTTTTCGTATCTATAACTCCAATTTTTAATTAAAATATTAAGTATTTGTGAACATCTGCTTTCTCTCTTTTTTATACAAGTTCCCACATAATATCCTTAATTTTGCTTCTGGGGCTGCAAAATATAAATATTTACTATTTGGTCCTTTACAAAAACACTTTGCTAACCCTTGCTGTAGAGAAATAGATTATATTGCAACTCTTAGACTGTGCCATGTTTTTTTTTTTTTCTTGCCTGGGATATGGAGATTGTCCTATAGAGATCTACTTATCTTTTCTGACTGCAAAAGTGCCAACACTCAAGATTTCTTACCCTACATCTCTGGTAAAACTGAATTTGGGGCAGTATCTTTGGGGAGCAGGGAGAGCAGTTCTTCAGAGTTCTGTACCAAAATTGCTTCTTTCATGGTATTCGTCAAGCTGTAATGTTTGAATTTCTTACCTTTCTTTCTTCCAACTAAGAGGAATGTTTTAAGAAGATATGACTGCGATGAATCTCTCTGTAGCCTTATGGATCTTGCCTTGCCGATTGTGTGCACCAACCCTAAAGGTTTTTTGTTCGTTTGTTTGTTTTTTTTACAATTTTTGTGAAGTTGAAAGCTTTCCAATAACTCACAGAGAGTGGGTCTCTAGGAGATGTAGGGATGGGCATTTTGTAGGAAAGTACATCTGAGAAAAAAATGTGGAAGTTTTATGCAGTGCTTGTCAAAAGCAGAATAGAATAAATGTATGAATTCACTTTAGTTCTACTGTGTCATGAATTGATAAAATTGTAGTAACTGGGTGAGCATTTATATTGACATTTCCAGAAATCAACGACTGACTGTATGTGGGATTTTATATAGCAAATTGTGCCCAATTTTTGAATTGAGAGTCTTCATGGAGTTTTGCACTCATGCATTTCCACTAAGATATGTATGTGTACACACACACACACACATACCCATATTCATATACATATGAAGCCACTGAGGGTTACATTTTTAAAAAATTATTTTTGATTTTTTTCTTTGTGCCTGATAAATTATTTTTTTGCTGGTGATGGAAACAAAACACGTAAGGGGACTGCCATAATTCAAAATCAAGGTCTCAAAGAATAGCAGTGAAGTAAAAAAACACATTTGTTGAGACTCATTCAACCAATTGCTCCAATTGAGTGCAGTCAACATTATTTACATTAACAAATGCTCTATTTTGCCCTCTAAGAAACTATTTGTCAATGTTGGAAAGTCATTTTGTATTAACTACTGTATTTCATGAATTGTGTAATTTTTTAATAAATTGTTTTTAACCTAAGTAGTTATTAAGGACAGCATCTCTAGACTATAATAATAAAATCATAGCATGGTAGATGGGACTGATGGGTTTTTGTCCAGGATATCCACAATTACATACCAAATTAGTTGTAAAAAAAAAGAATCCAATTTATATTATATGCTGTTATTATAAGTGCATTCAAATGGCAGTTCTTCAATATTGTTTCTCTTCAATTGATATTATAATCTAATTTGCAGTAAACTAATAGAAATAAGCCACTAAAATTTAAGGATAATATTCAAATAAATAAACATTTTGGGATCTAAAGTTGTCCCAATTCTACTACAAAAATCTAATATCTTATAATGATGTATTATAGCATTGTGACCACCTAACCCTTTAAAAGAGCTATGATACATTGATTTCTGTCCACAGGTTTACTCTGGAACTTATCTTTTCTAATATCTTCTTCTTTGTTTTTAAATTTTACTTTAAGTTCTTGGATACATGTGCAGAACATGCAGGTTTGTTACATAGGTATACATGTGCCATGATGGTTTGCTGCACCTATCAACCCATCATCCAGGTTTTAAGCCCCACATGCATTGGGTGTTTGTTCAAATGCTCTCCCTCCCCTTGCCCACAACCCCCCAACAGGCATGGGTGTGTGTTGTTCCCCTCCCTGCATCCATAGGTTCTTATTGTTCAACTCCCACTTATGGTGAGAAAATGTGGTGTTTGGTTTTCTGTTCCTGCGTTAGTTTGCTGAGAATGATGGCTCCCACCTTCATCCATGTCACTGCAAAGGACGTGAACTCATTCATTTTTATGGCTGCATAATATTCCATGGTGAATATGTGCCACATTTTCATTATCCAATCTATCATTGATGGGCATTTGGGTTGGTTCCAAGTCTTTGCTATTGTAAATAGTGCTGCAATAAACATACGTGTGCATGTGTCTTTATAGTAGAACGATTTATAATCCTTTGGGTATATATCCATTAATGGGATTGCTTGGTTAAATGGTATTTCTGGTTCTAGATCCTTGAGGAATCACCACATTGTCTTCTACAATGGCTGAACTAATTTACACTCCCACTAACAGTGTAAAAGCATTCCTATTTCTCCACAGCCTGGCCAGCATCTATTGTTTCCTGACATTTTAATAATCGCCATTCTAACTGGTGTGATGTCTTTGTTTTTAATTGGGTCAACTTCTATTAGATGAACAGAATCCCAAAGTCCAAATTCCTAGGCTTTCTAATAATGTAATTCATAAAGTAATATTAGAATGCTTTTTACAATAGATTGGTTTAAAGTATGATATTTTATTGCATTAGATTATAAATATGAAATTAATATGCATAATTTAAAAAGAAGAATACATAATTAGAACAAATTTTTAAAAATATAAATACTTAGAT
This sequence comes from Homo sapiens, assembly GCF_000001405.40. Taxonomy (NCBI): domain Eukaryota; kingdom Metazoa; phylum Chordata; class Mammalia; order Primates; family Hominidae; genus Homo; species Homo sapiens. The sequence goes on along the minus strand of NC_000006.12, from coordinate 141,895,924 downwards.
ACCATTAAGCATCTTTCATGTCAGACATAACCAGTTTTAGGTACTGATTATGAAATTTAATCTCTGTCAGACTCAGACTTTCTTAATATTGTTTATTTATAAAAACACTACTTTATTGTATACATTGTGTTTTAAGCAACACACTTAAATAACAAAGATTATGCGCCACTTGTTCATTTTTTTCTAGGCAGTTAATTTTGAAAATTTTTGTTTGAATAGGTCAACACATCTGTTTCTTAGAATAATAATTGTTTTTATTTTCTTTTCTTGCTCTCCTGTCTTTTTATGAACTTTAAAAGAATGTATCTGTCTATATCTAATCTATCTATCTATCTATCATCTATGTTTCTATCTATCTTGCATATTAAAAAGTATTGAGATAATTTGTCCAGGGTTCCCACAATTAAACATTCATTTGGCTATAAAGAAGAAAATGCCATTTATTTTTCAGTTTGTTGTAGTGATTATAATTGTACATGATAATGATATATATTTATGATGATATATATTTATGATAATGATATATATTTTTCAATAAAAACTTTTTTCAATGTTTTTCAATAATACATATCCTTATAAAATTATTATTGAAAAAAGGGTTTGCTCAACTTCCAAAATTTAATTGAGAAGAAAGAATTCTTAAAGCACAGACCTAGTGCTTACAACAAACTCCAATTCTGCTAAGAAAATGTGTGAGCATGCACTTTCTCAGTGTATGTTTGGAAACTGTGTATGCTTTCATTCAATTTAAATTTCTTTACCCACACCTTTCTCACTCAGGTGCTTCCAAATTTATAGAGACAAAATATTGGGGTGTTTCTTCTAATTGGCGTTGCAAAATTATTATATAACATATGGTATATTTGTTTCAATTAGTTGATTTTTGTATCAAAAATTATTCAATAATTATTTTGATTGCACATTTTTTTAGTTATTGGCTTTTTACACCAGAACCTCTTCATCCCAAGCAATTTATACTGTTTCATCTCATGGTCTTCTAAAGTACATCAAGCCATAATTGTATTTTATTTTTTAATTTTTCTTTCCTCCTTTTGTTCTAATTTTTCTCTTTCTTTTTTTCTCCCTTTTCTCCCTCATCCTCAGGCTCTCATCAAGTCATCATTTTAGAAAAACGCATTAATTATATGCTTTCTGAGAATTTCTAAGTTGACATCTTCTAGGTGTGTTATAATTTTATATACCACAAAGAAAGAAAGAAAAGGATTCTACCCAATAAACTCTGGCATGACATTGATCCAGAGCATACACTAATCTTAACCAAGTTAAAAACCTGAAAATAATTTGCATTCTAGAGTCAATGATGAAATTTAGCTGAAAACATCTTCCTTACTTTTCTGTGTGTGAAGATCAACCTGGATATAGAATCCTTTGGGAGGTAGCACAGCATAGAGTTTAAAAGCACAGAATTTGTCCTCAAAACCCAGCTCTGCTGTTTATTATTTGTGTGACCTTGGAGAAGGTCACACTTTGCTTCAGTTTTCCCATCTTTGAAATAGGGCTAACAAAATGAGCTAGCTCATAGTGTTATAATAAGCATCGAAAGAGTTCCTATTGGAAGGCAGTTCTCTTAAAACAGTATGGATCATATAAATGTTAGTAACGTAAATAACAAATAAATAAGATTCTCAAACTCAGTGAATTGTCCTCTGACATTGTGCGTGGCAGAGAATTTTAAAGCCAGGTAGGTAATAATTTGCCTCCCTTAGTACTGTTAAAATTTCCCAATTTTTAATATTGAAAAAAAAAAACACACACACTGGTACTTGTTGGGCTGCTTAAGATGATTTTCTATTTAAAGCAAATTTCATTAGACATTCCATGTTCTTACATTCAGGTTAATGTCTGCTGTTGCGTCTCTCTTTTTGGTGCTATTTCTCCTGTAAAGGAGAAAAGGAATTCCTGTAATTCCTTTTCCTGCTTTTCTTCCCCGGCCTCCACCTGCTCATCTTTTGTCTTCTTCTTCCTTTTTCCCTTACCTAATGTGGTTGCTGCTGATGTTGTTAAGGTTTATAATACACTGCATTTGTTGCCATTAATGCAATAACTACTCTAAGGAGAGATTGGCTCTCTCTCCTCTTTCTTTTTGCTTTTGCCTTCACAATATTTGTGTTTTATCTTTAGAATCTTTGTTTTGGGGAAGTTTTCTTCAATATACAATACTTATCTTCTACTTGCAAGTTATCAGATAAGTCTCCATCACAATTTTAATTGGAAATTTTATTCTTTGTATTTCTTAAAATAATTCCCTTTTTATTTATTTATTGAGACAGGGTCACCCTCTGTCACCCAGGCTGGAGTGCAGTGGCACTATTTCTGCTCATTGCAACCTTCGCCTCCTGGGTTCAGGTGATTATCTGTCTTAGCCTCCTGAATAGCCAGGACTACTACAGCTGTGCACCACCATGCTGGCTAACTTTTGTATTTTCAGTAAAGACAGGGTTTCATTGGCCTGGCTGATCTCAAACTCCTGGCCTCATGTGATCCACCTGCCTCGGCCTCCCAAAGTGCTGGTGTTACAGGCATGAGCCAAGGTGCCCAACCAAAATTATCCCTTATTTAAGTTAACTTCTTGTATTTCAAATTAACTTGTGGTCCCTGGTAGTTTGTTTTTGAGAATATTTATAATTACCAATTCAGTTTCTTTAAATGTACAGGTATATTCAGATGTCCTTTTTCTCCTTGTGTTAGTTTTGTTATTTAATATTTTTTTCTAGGAATTTTTCCATGTCACCTAAATTTTTGAAGTTTTTGGCATAAGGATATTCATAATGTTCTCTTGCTATCTTTTTAATCTCTATAGCATTTATAGCTATGTCATGCCTTTCCTTCCATTAATGTCTATCTGGATTCCTCTCCTCCTTTTTCCTCCTCTTCCTCCTCCTCTCTCTTATTTCCCCTTATCCACCCCAATGAATCTTGCCAGAAATTTGTCAGTCTATTGGTGTCACTTCAACAGAGACACCATTGTCTATCATTCCATGCCTCACCCATGTGTACACATTATTTAGCTCCTACTTATAAATAGGATCATGAAGTATTGCTCTTTATGTGTCTGACTTGTTTCACTTAAAACAGTGGCCTCAAATTCCAACCATGTTGCTGCAATAGACTTCATTTAATTTTTTATGGCTGAATAGTATTACATGGTATATACATTTACCATATTTTCCCTATCCATCATCCACTAATGGACACTTAGGTTGATTACATATCTTTGCTATTGTGAATAGTGCTGCAATAAACATACAAGTTCAGGCATCATTTGATATAAAGATTTCTTGTCCTTTGGGTAGGTAACCCATACAGGGAATGTTTGGATCACATGGTAGTTCTATTTTTAGTTCTTTGAGAAATCTTCATACTACTTTCCACAGGGACTGTACTAACTTACATTCCTACCAGCAGCATTATAAAAGCTCTCTTTTCTCTGTATCCTTGCCAATATCTATTACTTTTTGTCTTCTCAGTCACAGCCATTCTAACTTTGTGATTTTGATTTGCGTTTATCTCACGATTAGTGATTTGCACATTTTTTCATATGTCTGTTGGTGATTTTTATGTCTTCTTTTAAAAAAGTCTGCTTTTTTCAACTTTTAGTTTCAGTGGTACATGTGCAGTTTTTTTATATAGGTAAATTGCATGTCACGGGGTTTGGTGCACAGATTATTTTATGCCCAATAGACAGTTTTCAATCTTCACCCTCCTCCCACCCTCCACCCTCAAGTAGGCTCTGTTGTCTGTAGTTTGTGTCCATATGTACTCAATGTTTAGTTCCCACTTATAATTGAAGACAAGCAGTATTTGGTTTTCTGTTCACTTAGAATAATGGCCTCCAGCTGTATCCATGCTGATACAAAGGACAAGATCTCATTCTTTCTTTTGGCTGCATAGTATTCTGTGGTGTATATGTATGTGCAACATTTTTTATCCAGTTATCATTGATGGGCATTTAGGCTGATTCTATGTCTTTGCTATTGTGAATTGTGTTGCAATAAACATACACATAAATGTGTTTTTATGGTAAAATTATATATATTTCTTTGAGTACATACTCAATAATGGGATAGCTGGGTTGAATGGTAATTCTGTTGTAAGTTCTTTGAGAAATCACCCAACTGCATTCTGCAATGGCTGAACTGACTTACATTCCCACCAGCAGTGTATAAACATTCCCTTTTTTCCACAACCTTGGTAGCATATGTTATTTTTTGACATTAATAATAGTCATTATGACCGACGTGAGATGTTATCTCATTGTGGTTTTGATTTGCATTTCTCCAATAATTAGTGATGTTGAGAATTTTTTCGTATGCTTTTTGGCCACATGTATGTCTTCCTTTGAAAAGTGTCTGTTCGTATTCTTTGCTCACTTTTTTTATGGAGTTATTTGTCTTTTGCTTGTTAATTTGTTTATGTTTCTTATAGATTCTGGGTATTAGAACTTTGATGGATTAATAGTGTGAAAATACTTTCTCCCATTTGTAGGTTGTCTGTTTACTCTTGACAATTTCTTTTTGCTGTGCAGAAGATCTTTAGTTAAATTAGAACCATTTTTCAATTTCTGTTTTTGTCGTAATTACTTTTGGCGTCTTAATCATGAAATTTTTGCCAGGCCTTATGTCCAGAATGGTATTTCCTAGGTATCTTCCAGGGTTTTTGTGGTTTTAAAGTTTGCATTTAAGTTTTTAATCAATCTTGAGTTAATTTTTGTATATGGTGTAAAGAAGGGGTCTGGCTTGAGCCTTCTACATATTGTCATGGATCCTTGGGGTGATGCTTTTCTGGCTGGAAACCCCTGTGGCTAGTGGCACCTTTGCCCAAGTTTTGCTTGGGCCTGCTGGGCTTGTTCTGCCCACTTGGTCTGGCAGGCTGTGCTCAGTTTACACTACTGGCCTGCATCCTATGCCTGCCAAGGATGAGTAGAGTGGCAAGGGTTGTGTGAGCAAGTGAGTGTGGGATCCAACCATTGTGCACAGCCAGGCATGCTGGCTGCAGTGGGGCAGGCAGCTCCAGGCGCTGGCCCTGGTGCTGGCTCCCTGTGAGGCTGCAGTTGGAGCAGGTATACCCCAAGCAGCTTCCACGGCTGGCACCAAGGAATGCAGTGATGCCTGGAAGCTTGGAGATGCCAGGAACTGCAGAGCCCCAAAGAGGGTGTCACACCCCTGGTTCAGAGAGCTCCTAGGTCTGGGCTTCCTGAAAGGCCACAGCTCTTCTCTCCTTATTTCTTTTCTCCTTTTTGTCACCTGCAATGTAGTGAGCAAGGGGCATGTTTCAGCCCCGTTTGTGTTACAGCTCTTTTAGCCCTGCCATTCGGCAGATCCTGAGTTCTTGTCCTGCATCCAGGAAGAATGAGGTACGTGGACTACTGGAGGGCGAACAAGGTGAAGAGGAGCTTTATTGAGCGACCAAACAGCTCAGAGGATACCTGCATTGGGTAGATCCTCTCTGCAGGCAGGGTGTCCCGGTGAGTGTTCATCTGTCAGCAGAGAGGAGACCCTGGAGTGGGTAGCTCCTCTCTGCAGCTGGTAGTCTGACATCTCCACAGCTCTCAGTGGTAAGGTCCCCTTTATCATTTCTGATTGTATTTATTTGGACCTTTCTCTTTTTTTATATATTAGTCTAGTGAGTGGTCTACCTATCTTATTTATTCTTTCAAACAATCACCTTCTAGATATGGTGATCTTTTGTATGTTTTTTCCTGTCACAATTTCCTTCAGTTCAGCTCTGATTATGGTTATTTCTTGTCTTCTGCTAGTTTTGGGGTTGGTTTTCTCTTCTTTCTCTAGTTCTTCTAGGTGTAATGTTAAGTTGTTAATTTGAGATCTTTCTAACTTTTCAATGTGGGTATTTAGTGCTATAATCTTCCCTCTTAATACTGGTTTGGCTATATCCTAGAGACCGTTGTATGTTGTGTCTTTGTTCTATTAGTTTCAAAGAATTTTTATATGTCTGCCTCAATTTCATTATTTAACTCAGAAGTCATTCAGGAGCAGATTGTTTAATTTTCTTGTAATTGTATGGTTTTGAATAATTTTCTTAGTGTTGATTTCTATTTTTATTGTGCTGTGGTCTGAGAGTGTAGTTGGTATAATTTTGTTTTTTTAATTTTTTTGAATTTGCTCAGGATTGTTTTTATGGCCAATTGTGTGGTCAGTTTTAGAGTATGTGCCATGTACAGATGAGCTGAAGAGTCCCTTCAGCTCACTGGTCCATTTGGTCAAGTATTGCACTCAGGTCCTGAATAGCTTTGTTGGTTTTCTGCCTTGATGATATGTCTAATACTGTCAGTGGGCTGTTGAAGTCCCTGACTATTGTTGTGTAGTTAACTAAGTTTCTTTGTAGGTCTCTTAAGAACTTGTTTTATAGATCTGGGTGCTCCTGTGTTGGGTGCCTATATTTTTAGGACAGTTAGGTCTTCTTGTTCAATTGGATACTTTACCATTATGTAGTACCCTTCTTTGTTGGTTTAAAAGTCTGTTTTGTCTGAAATTAGAATAACAGTCACTGTTTTCCATTTGCTTGGTAGATTTTTCTCCATCCCTTTACTTTGGACTTATGTTTGTCATTGGATGTGAGATGAATCTTTTGAAGACAGCATACCATGGATTTTGTTTCTTTATCCAAATTGTTGCTCTGTGCCTTTTAATTGAGGTTTTTAGCCCATTTACATTCAAGGTTAATATTAATATATGTGGATTTGATCCTGTCATCATGTTGTTAGCTGGTTGACATTGTTTGCGTGATTGCTTTATAGTGTCAATGGTCTGTGTGCTTAAGTGTTTTTTTTGTAGTGGCAATGGTCTTTCCTTTTCATATTTAGCACTCCCTTCAAAACTTTTTGTAAGTCATTTCTGGTGGTAACAAATTCCCTTAGCATTTGCTTGTCCAAAAAAGATCTTATTTCTTCTTCACTTATGAAGCTTAGTTTGGCTGGATATGAAATTCTTGGTTGAAATTTATTTTCTTTAAGAATGCTGGATGTAGGTATCCAATCTCTTCTGGCTTATAGGGTTTCTGTGAAACATTGACTTTTAGCCTGATAGAGTTCCCATTGTTACCTGACTCTTCTCTCTAGCTGCCTTTAACATATTTTCTTTCATTTCAACTTTGGAGAATCTGATAACTATGTATCCTGAGGATGGTCACCTTGTGTAGTATTTTGCAGGGGTCCTCTGCATTTCCTGAATTTAAATTTTGGTCTCTAGTGAAGTTGGAGAACTTGTCATGGATGATATCTTGAGATATGTGTTCTAAGTTGCTTGCTTTCTGTCCCTGTCTTTAGGGATACCAGTGAGTCATAGATTTGGTCTCTTTACATAATCCCATATTTCTTACAGGTTTGTTCATTCTTCTTTAATCTTTTTTCTTTTCTGAGCTGAGTGAGTTATTTTGGAGAACCACTCTTTAAGCTCTGAGATTCTTTCCTCAGCTTGGTTGATTCTGCTGTTAATATTGTGAGTTTATTCTAAAATTCTTGATGTGAGTTTTTCAGCCTTGTCAGATCACTTTGGTTCTTTCTTAAGATGGCCATTGTTTTTCTTTCATCTTCTATATCATTTTATTGTATTCCTTAGAATTATTGGATTGGGTTTTGACTTTCTCTTGAATTTTGATAATCTTCCTTTCTATTCATATTCTGAATTCTATTTCTGTAATTTCAGCCACTTGAGCATGGTTAATAACCATTTATGGGGAACTAGTGTGGTTGTTTGGGGATACGAATATTCTGGCTTTTTGAGTTGCAAGAGTTCTGTTCTGTTTTTTTCTCATCTGTGTGGGCTGATATTTCTTCAGTCTTTGAAGTTGCTGTCCTTTGAATGGTATATATATATTTTTTTGCTTGTATCTTCTTTGATGCCCTTGGGTTTAATAGTGGTATGATGTGGGTTCAGCCAACTGGCTTCCTTTTTGGAAGATTTTATGGGGCTAAGACTCAGCTTAACCATCTTGGGCTGCATGCTCTATTTCTGGACGGTTGATATTGGGACTCTGGCTTTGTTCTCTGGCCCCTCAAGGTTAGGAACCTGCTGCACTGGAGGGAATGAGGTGTTCCTGAATGACTGTCCACAACACTCCAATTGGTGGTGCTGACCAAGTCACTTCATCAGGGTGGTGGCATTGGGATCCATTCTTGTTCACACATGCCAGCAGCTGTGGCAGCATGGCAGAGTGCATCATTGTTAGCTGGGCTGGGGTGGTGGCAGACATGGGACTGCTGGTATCTGTGCATTTGTTTGAAGTGGTGGTGGTGGTGGTGTGGGGCAGAGGGCAGGGCCACTGGCATCTGTATGCATGTTTGTATTGGCAGTGGTGTTGGCATGGGGGAAGGGAACTGTCAAGCATGGAGCTACCAGCCTCTGTGCATTTGGACCAGCTGCATTGGTAGTGTGGAGTTGGTGGCAGGGCCACTGCCATTCATGTACCTATATACACCTTGGCAATGTCAGCATAAGGGCAACATGCTGCCTGGCATGGGGCTATTGGCCTCCATGTTCACATTTATGCTGGCAATGGCAGCTTGTTGAGGGGTGCGCACTCACACCAGCAACAGTGGTGTGGTGGAGGGGAGGTGATATCCTCCCATGTGTGTGTTGCAGCAATGCAGTGGGGGGGTGTGATATGGTTTCAATCTGTGTCCCTGCCCAAATCTCCTGTCAAGTTGTCATCCTAGTGTTGGAGGTGGGACCTGGTGGGAGGTGAATGGATCATGGGGGCAGTTTCTCATGAATGGTTTAACACCTTCCATCTTGGGTCTGTTCTCATGACAGTGAGTGAGTTCTCATGAGATCTGGTTATTTAAAAGTGTGTAGCACCTACCCCTGCCTTCCTCCTGCTCGAGTCATATGAAGTGCCTCGCTCTTCCTTTGCCTTCCTTTATGATTGGAACTTTCTGAGGCCCCACCAAAAGCAGAAAGTGCTATGCTTTTTATACAGCCTGCAGGAACATGAGAAAATTAAACCTATTTTCTTTATAAATTACTCAGTCTCAGATATTTCTTTATAATAGTATGAGAATGGACTAATACAGCATGGCTATGGGCAAGTGTGTGCCATCAAAGCAGCATGGGGGAGGATGCAGTGAGGTGAGTGCAAGGATGGGCTTCTGCATATCAGCAGGGGCTGCTCTCCTGGAGCTCTTTGATAGTCAGGTGTGGTTTGCTGGTGAAGGAGCTATGATGTGTGCTTCCAGGATTCATCACAGTTGGGTGTCTGAGGCTGCACTGCAAGTGGGCATGGCCAGACTGGTCCTATCTCACAGGCAAAACTGCCCTGCTGTGTCCAGGTCCGACAGTATCCCTAAGGCTAAAGTCTCCCAGGGGAGCATGGTAAGCCTTAGGGAATGGGTATCCTTCCCTGTGCTTCATTGCAGATATTCCCACACCAAACACTCTGGGCACTGCACAGGTTAGTCCTGCCCCTACCACTTATCTAAGCAGCCCTCTCTGCCAGCTCAGTGTCTGAGGGTTGTCAGGTCTCCTTCTGTCAGAATTTCAGAGGTCCCCAGCAAGAGCGGGTTGCTTCTCACCTGTTCAACTCACCTCTTTCCCAGGAGTTTTGGGGGCCAGGAAAGAGTCCTGATGCATGGTAGCCAGTGCAGGGTTCCCAGCTTCCTTGCCCTTCAGCCCAGAGTGTGTATCCTCCTTCTGTCCACTCTCAATGCCTTCTTTCTCAAGACCTGCTCAGAGTGCACCAGTCTTCCTGATGTACTGGTGTCTTCGTGGCAGATGTTCCTCCTGGCTGCTTCTAGTCAGCCATCTTGCCAGTTAACCCTACTTTGTTCTTAATAATCATCTGTCCTCAATCTTCAGTACTACTCTGAAATTCCTTTACTAACTTCTTAGATTGCTCATTAATATTCAGCAATTCCTTTCTTTCTAACATTTATTTATAATATGTACATTCCCATTCAAGTAATATATATACTAACTGTACTGTAGGACTTTTCCTAAGTTTTTTTTTATAATTAAGTTTAGTTCTATTTTTTCTGATTTTTTTTTCTTAAATGGGTACATAAGATTGTGGGTTTTAAAAAAATTTCAGAAACATTTTATTTACATTTTTCTCATTAATTTCTGATTTCATGTTATTTTCGAAGAATGTGATCTGTGTTATATAAATTTTAAATTTTTTGAGAATTGTTTTACAACTCAATATGTGATACTTTTTTCAAATGTTTTTTCTTTACTTCAAAAATATGGAGCATTTTTGACCTTTTTCTTTCTCTCATACTCCACAGGTTGTCTATCAGTGAGTACAGAAAATATTCATAATCATTCTACTTCATACTCATGCCCAGATATATAAAACATGTAAAGATGTATGTTGAAACTTTAAAAAAAATCTTTCTTGTTTCTAGCCTCTCTAATTCACTCTCTCATTTCTTTCTGTCTCATATTGTCCATATTCTTATCACTTTTATCACTCTGTGTTGCAATCTAGATAATTTCTTCAGATTTATCTTCTAGATCACTATCCCTCTCTTCTGCCTTGGTTAGTTGTTTAAGTCATTCATCAAATTTCTAACTTTAGTTTTTTTCTGCTTGTAGAAAGTATATTTGAATATTTGGTTGTTTAATTTAATTTTATTTATATTAACATATTATAATGGAATCACTTATGTGCTGTCTTGGACTCTTTGGTTTTACTAATCTTCCAATTCTTAGCCATTAGTTCTCACTCCCATAATATTAATTATATTTGTCTTTCTAACATCAGTTGTATAGATAAAATTCATTAATTTTGAGTGTATGATTAAAGAGTTCTTACAAATGTGTATAGCTAGGTAAGCATCACCATACTTATGATACAGAACATTCCATCGCCTCAAATTTCCCCTCATAGCCTTTGTCGTCTGTCAATCCTCTCTCCCATCCCAGGTGTTAGCAACTACTGATCTGCTTTCTGGCACTATAGTTTTACATCTTCTATAATTTTATATAAATTGAATCATACTGTATATAGTCTTTAATTTTTGTATTGTTTTTTATTTAGCAGTTTTTGTGATTCAGCCATTTTTTGTGTGTCAGAATTTTGTTTTTATTAATGAGTAATTTTCCATTGAATGGACATACCACAAATTTTAAATTCTTTCAAAACTGATGAATTTATTAGTTTCCTATGGCTGCTTTACCAAAGCGTCACAAACTGGGTAGCTTAAGCAACAGAAATTTATTGTTTTACAGTTCTGGAAGCTAGAATTATGAGATCCAGGTGTTGGCAGGGTTCATTCCTTCTGAATTCTGTGAGGGATAATGTTTCAGGCCTTTATCCTTGCTTCCAGTGGTTTTCTGGTAATCTTCAGCTTTCCTTGGCTTGCAGATATATCATTCCAATCTCTGTTTTTATGTTCCCATAGCATTCTCTCAGTGTGCATATCTGTCTCCAAATTTTCCATTTTTATAAGCACATCAGTCATATGGAATTAAAGCCCACTCTAATGTCCACATCTTAATTTGACTACATGTGCAAAGACTGTATTTCCAAATAAGATGTTATTCTTGAGGTACTGAAGGTTAGGGTTTCTACATGTCTATTTTGAGAGAAAGCAATTTAAGCCATAACAAACATTTGCGTTAGTCCTATTTTTGGCTAAATAAAATTGCATTGAACATTTAAACACAAATCTTTGAACATATGTATAAATACTTAAGAGTGGGAATGACGAATCATATGGCAAGTGTATGTTTAACTTTAAATGGTACCTTCCAATTGTTTTTAACAATTTTAATTCTTTTCAGAAATGTGTAAAATCTCCAGTTGCTCTATAGCCTCATTAACACTAAGTATTTCCAATAATTTTACTTTTAGCCATTCTGGCATGTATTCAATCATATAACATTGTGAAAAAGCTTTCTTTTTTCAAATGATGAATGAATGCCACTGAGCATCTTTTTATGTGCTTGTTTGAAACTTGTATATCTTCTTACATGTGATGTATATTTAAATATTTTATCCATTTATAAAAAGTGTTGTATTTATAAAAGTGAATTTTAAGTGTTTATTGTATATTCTGCACACAAGTTGTTCAGACATAGATTTTGCAAATATTTTCTCCTATTCTGTAGGCTGCCTCTTAGTTTTCACAAGGGCATCATTGAAAGATCCTAGTCTCCAGACTTGCCAGACAATAAATTTCTGTTGTTTTAAGCCACCCAGTGTATGTTACTTTGTTACAACAGTACCAGGAAACTAAAACATATAAATATTTTTAATATACTTTGTCTTTTATTCAGTTCAAGATACTTTTATTATTTGTTTTTAAATTTTATTTTAGATTTGGGGGTGCATGGGCAGGTTTGTTACATGGATCTATTGCATACTTGTGAGGTTTGGGCTTCCAGTGAAGTCATCACCCAAATAGTGAACATTATACTCAGTAGGTAATTTTTGAACACTCATCTCCCACCCACTCTCTCCTCTTATGGAGTCTCCAGGGTTTATAATTTCTATGTCTGTGTATACCAATTGTTTAGCCCTCACTTATAAGTGGAACGCATTTTTTTTTTTTTTTCAAGACAGAGCCTCGCTCTGTCACCCAGGCTGGAATGCAGTCGCACAATCTCTGCTCACTGCAACCTGGTTAAAGCAATTCTAGTGCCTCAGCCTCCTGAGTAGCTGGCATTACAGGCATGTGCCACCATGCCCAGCTAATTTTTTGTATTTTCAGTTGGGGCAGGGGGGTTCCCCATTGGTGTGGTTTGGCTGTGTGCCCACACAAATCTCATCTTGAACTGTGAACTCTCACAATTCCCACATGCCATGGGAGGAACCTGGTGGGAGGTGATTGAATCATGAGGGTAGGTCTTTCCTGCACTGTTCTCATGATAGTGAATGAGTCTCACGAGATCTGATGGTTTTAAAATGTGAGTTTTTCTACATAAGCTCTTTTTGCCTGACACCTTCCATGTAAGACATGACTTGCTCATCCTTGCCTTTAACCTTCACCATGATTGCGAGGCCTCCCCAGACATGCAGAACTGTAAGTCCAATAAACCTCTTTCTTTTGTAAATTGCCCAGTCTCAGATATATCTTTATCAGCAGTGTGAAAATGTACTAATACAACCATGTTCGCCAGGCTGGTCTTGACCTCCTGACATAAGGTGATTCACTCACCTCGCCCTCCCAAAGTGCTGAGATTACAGGTGTGAACTACCATGCCCAGCCCAATATTTTAATTTCTATTTCTTAGTTATTTCACTTAGGATGATGGCCTCTAGCCCCAGCCACGTTGCTGCCAAGGACGTAAGTTCATTATTTTTTTATGACTAAGTAGTATTCCATGGTGTGTACATAGAACATTTTCTTTATCCCAGCAATTGTTGGTGGACACTTAAGTTGATTCCATGACTTTGCTCTTGTGAATAGTGCTATGTTATACAATAAACATACGAGCACAGGTATCCTTTTGATATAATGATTTCTTTTCCTTTGGGTAGATATACAGCAGTGGAATTTCTAGGTGGAATGGTAGTTCTGTTTTTAGTTCTCTGAGAATGCTCCAAACTGCTTTCCACAAAGATTGAACTAATTTACATTCTCACCAACAGTGTATAAGCATGTCAGCATCTTCACCAACCTCTTATTATTTGCCTTTTTAATAATAGCTGTTCTGACTGGCATGAGATAGTATCTCATTGTGGCTTTGACTTGTATTTTTCTGATGATTAGTTATGTTGAGCATGTTTTTTCATGTTTGTTGGCCACTTGTATGTCTTCCTTTGAGAAATGTCTGTTCATGTTTTTTGCCTAATTTTAATGGGGTTATGTGTGTTTTTCTTACCAATTTGAGTTCCTTATAGATTCTGGATATGAGTCCTTTGTCAGATACATAGTTTGCAAATACTTTCTCCCATTCTGCAGGTTGTCTGTTTATTCTGTTGATAACTTCTTTTGCTGTGCAGAAACTGTTTGGTTTAATTAATCCAGGTTTTCTGTTTGTTTTTGTTGCATTTGCTTTTGAGGTCTTAGTCATAAATTTTGCATCTAGGCCAATGTTCAAAATACTTTTAAAATTGCCTTATAATTTCTTATTTTACTTATAGTTGACTGATGGTTACATTGTCTAATTTTTCCAATATTTGATAAATTTCCTTTTGTGATTGATTTTTAGTTTTAGCAATACATTTATGTAACTTTTGCTTTCTAAATCTTAGATACCCTCAGTGTGTTTTACACTGCTAGGACATCTGTATTTGTCCTAACAAGGATTTCAAATGTTCAACAGCCATGTTTGGCTAGTGGCTACTGTATTAGCACAGTCTATGTTTTCTCATTCTTGTACTTTTAGTTTATCCAGGTACAGATGTCCCCCAACTTATGATATATAATTTATGATTTCTCAACTTTGCAATAGTACAGAAGCTATACACATGAGTAGAAACCATACTTCCAGTTTCCATACAGCAATTCCATTTTTTACTTCAGCATGGTATTCAGTAAATTACACAAGATCTGTCTTTTAAAATTTCCTTTGAACCTTTTTTTTGACCCATAAATTATTTAGAAGTGTGTTACTTAATTTCCACATATTCAGAGATTTTACTATCTTTCTTTTACTAATTTCTAGTTTTCGTTTCATTATAGTCAGGTAACATACTCTTATGATTTTAACTGTTTTAAATTTGTTTTATGACCTAAGATATGACCTATCATATCAATGTACTATGGATACTGGAAAATAATGGGTATTATGCTGTTCTTATATAGAGTTTTCTATGTAGGTTCATCAAATCATGATGTATCATTTTATTTTTCACCTTCATTTTTAAAGACTTTCTTTCCTAGAATTTGTAATTTTTTTTTTTTTTTTTTTTTTTTGAGACGGAGTTTCGCTCTGTCGCCCAGGCTGGAGTGCAGTGGCGCAATCTCGACTCACTGCAAGCTCCGCCTCCCGGGTTCACGCCATTCTCCTGCCTCAGCCTCCCATGTAGCTGGGACTACAGGCGCGCGCCACCATGCCTGGCTAATTTTTGTATTTTTAGTAGAGACGGGGTTTCACCGTGTTAGCCAGGATGGTCTCGATCTCCTGACCTCATGATCCGCCCGTCTCGGCCTCCCAAAGTGCTGGGATTACATAGAATTTGTAATTTTTAATGGTTATTTGGTTTCAACACCTTGGACATAAAATTTTACTCCCTTTTGGCTTTATTCTTGCTGTTAACTATCATTTGAATTGTTGTTATTTTATTAAAGTAACCTGTATTTTCTGTCATTTACAAGAAATACATTCAGAAAGAGAAATGCTTGTGATTTTAGATTGTTGTGCATCATGCATGAGCTCTTATGCTCCTCTCTGATGGCAACCCACTTTCTAATTAGGCAAATTCCAAAACAACACTATTAACTGATTAAATTTCAGCATATTTTTGAATTAAATCACTTCAATTCCAAATAAGTTAAAGAAATTCTGGTGTCAAGAATATGGAATCACTATACATTTTTATGAATCTCTACAAACCTTCCATCAAATTAATAGAGATCAACTAGAGATCAATAGAGAACAAAAACAAAAAGACAGAAACAAACAAAAATAAACAGCAACAACAAAATCCAGTGCATCCATTGGCATCAAGACCATTGGCTGTGTAACAATAGTTGTACAGAGAAGTGTGGAGAATCCTATCGGCAGAGGAGTGCGGAAATTATTGAGCGTTCTTACCAGCCAAAACAGTGCTTCTTAATGAATGAGAACTTAGGTGGTAAACCAGGAAACTCTGAGAAACCCTTATACCTTCCAGTGTCTGATGAGTCCTGTCAGACTTCACTTAAACACTTAGCGGCCCATGAGGAAATTTAAACAGTTTTGAAACAACCTATGCTTGCTAGAGCCTCAAAAATATTCAACATATAGTCCCTTTTAGAAGGGATTTTAAAAGTCTCTTTTAGAATTTTGACCTGGAAAAAAAATCCAAAAAACAAAAAACCCTGCTAGAAAACAAGTATAACTGGGCAACGTATAAAAACTGAGAATCTCTGAGATTAAAACAAAAGAATTCAGCCAGGCACGGTGGCTCATGCCTGTAATCCGAACACTTTGGGAGGCTGAGGCGGGCGGATCACCTGAGGTCGGGAATTAGAGACCAGCCTGACCAACATTAAGAAACCCCATCTCTACTAAAAATACAAAATTAGCCAGGTGTGGTGGCACTGCCTGTAATCCCAGCTACACAGGAGGCTGAGGCAGGAGACTTGCTTGAACCCAGGAGGTGGAGGTTGCAGTGAGCCAAGATTGCGCCATTGCACTCCAGCCTGGGCAACAAGAGCGAAACTCCATCTCAAAAAAAAAAAAAAAAAAAAAAGAGTTCATACACTGAGTGGAATGGACAGATGTCTATAAAAGGCAGAGTTTTAAGAGGCTAGCAAAATATATATACAAATTTTTTAAGATGACACCATTTTGGGATGTAAGGCCTTTAAAGCATGGACAATTTAGGAGTAAAAACAGTAAGTTTTCATAAGACTTTCTGTTTCTGAAAGACAAGGAATTGCCTAAACAAGTGGCACATTTTTGAAAATATAGCAGCTTTGACAGAAGAGAGATTTATGGAGTCATGAAATTGGAAAAACTACTCTAACTTATCTTCACCTCCTACAAATGAACCAACTGCAAGGAGTTTAGGAAAACCAGTCTAATATACAACTGGGGTGGAAAGGTTAATAATAGAACTGAAAACATAGATATTACAAGGAAAAAATGTATGAACATGAATTGAGTATATTCCAACAAGATGAAAGTGTACCATAATTAAGTCCAAAAAGAGGATGAAATATATTTTTTCTCACCTACCACCTAAACCCACATGTAGTTATTAAATACTTGTTAAGATCACTCACTATTTCACCATGCCTTTGCAGAGTGTCAATACAATTTAGTAGTAACCAACCAATGTTGCTGTCCTTTTAGGCATTCCCTTTCTCCCCATGTTTTCTAGGTGCCTGTATTTTTGCACATGCTGCAGCATTTCCTACCCCTGGACATTTTTCCAGGTCACACTGTCAAAAGCTGTAACAATGAGTCATCACCTTGTGACAGAATGGCATCTTCTTCTGTGTCAGGGAAAGGAGTGAGCCATCCCCAAATTACCACTTGCATTCTTGGGCTACTCCTGGTATCAGTGGTGCTAGTCTTGGGTCTTGGTCTTCTGAGATGTAGACACCAAAGCAGGTAAAGATTTTATTGGGGGAAACACCTCTGTGAGAGAAAATATGGAGTTAACCTGAGAAGGCTGGAAGAAATGACCAAGACAGCCTAAACATTCCCCTCAGCTTCACTACACTTTAAACATCTTTCTTCCTGACTATAGGTCCCTGTCCTCCATTTTCTTAAAAATTTACTTTAGAAAACTTAAAATTGTAAATGCTTCTGTCTTTTTGTGATATAAATCTTCTCCCAGCCTCTTGCCACTTCCAAAACCCAGGAATGTCTTTCTCAAATACCTGGGAACCAGCTCTTTGAAATATAATCTTCAAGAAAGGTAGTGTCTCTGTCTCTCCCAGTGTCTGTGCTAGGGTAGAAGCCTGACCATAATAAGGGCCAATTAGCAAACACAGATGCCTAATCACATTGACCATCCTCTTCCTAATGTCCTCCAGCACTTTTCCACTAGCTCACCCCAGGGCTAAATAACTCTCCCAGCTTTTCTTTCAGAGGAGTTGAATTTGATCTCTCTCTTTCCCATTGCAATCTTGGAAAAAAAGTCTTCTTTGACCATTTAACTCTGTCCAGTGAAATTTTTCTTTGAGAGAAGCACTAGACTTGATAAAAGTCTAGCCCTGCTTGAAGGAAAGGGAGGAAAGGTTGGTGAAAGCCCCCTAGATTGCCTTATAGTCTAAAGAATGTTTGGTAATTCTATCATGGAGCCCTTAAGCCAAAGCTGTCTCTCAAAGGAGTCCCATGTTTCCCAGGAATAAGTGTACCTTACTTACCATTCCTCTGGGGTTCAGTTACTGGTTACCGTCAGTCTGTAGGAAGCTTGGTTTTGTTGCAAATGCCGTCATGGATTTCAGAGCACTGTAGCTGGGGTCCTTGGTTCATCTTTGTCACTGTAGTTGGAGCCCTGCTGCAAGTATATTCAAGGCAGCTACCCCATGTAACTTTACTAAAACTTTCAGTTCAGTGTTCAGTGAGTTCATTGCTGGGCACTTTCCTAAAGATACACTGCAACTGATTGGACTAGTGTCTTTCATTCTAGAGAAGGCATGAGTTTGTGTTTATTCTCATGAAGGAAAAAAACAGATTACCATATTGGGAAAAGAAAATAAAATTTCAGGACCTTCCAAACTTATTATGCCAAGGGGAAAAATTAAGCCCTGGAAACTGGGTTATGTAACATGGGTGTTTATCTTCCCTGGTGCATGACCATTGCTTCCTGACCTTTGTGTTGAGATGTTGTACATTAACTGGACTCCTTATTCTTCATCCAAACCTGGACTAAATTATATTGTAAATAGAGACCCTTCTGATTGTTACCACTTTACAATAGTATGTTAAGCAATCTCTTTGGAGTGTACTCAATAGAAGCCAATCAAATCTTATATCTGTATGTTAGCCTTTGAATGGAGAATGTTGTAATCCTGTTCAGCACCTCTGTTTTTGCATATATAAACAATTTTTACTAGGAGCAGTGGTTAGCATTCTTTGGCAACCATGTTTCCCAGACAGCCACCCTCACATTTTGCACTTGAATAAACTCTTTTAACTAGATTTTTAGCCTTTTTCTTATTTTAGGTTGACAATATTTTGCTATAGAAACCAGATATAATTAACAGGAGTGTACAAATGTAGCTGAGAAGACCAAGAAGTAAATTAGAGTTGACACTTGAACAACAGGGGTTTGAACTGCATGGGTCCACTTATACACAGATTTTTTTCAATAAATATATTGGAAATTTTTTTGGAGATTTGCAATAATTTGAAAAACTTGCAGAAGAACCACATAGCTTAAAAATATTGAAAAAAATGAAGAAAAATGTCCGTCATGAATGCATAAAATATATATATAGATAACAATATATTTTATTATTAACATAAAATATACACACATCTACTATTTAAAGTTAAAATCCATCAATACAGTCACACACATATTTACAGACCATATATGGTGCCATTCATGGTTGAGATAAATGTAAATGAATGTAAAAATGCCTTATTAAATCATAACCATAAAATTAACTATAGTACATACTATACTACTGTAATAATTTCATAACCACCTCCTGTTACTATTGGAGTAAAGGTCAAGTGTTTGTACATATCCCCTTAAAATGCTGTATGATGCTAATCATCTCTGCATGAGCAGTTCATTTCTCTGGTAAATTGTATATCTCTGTAAAAAGTGATCTCTTATATTTCTCATGTATTTTACATAATGTTTAATGCAATAGTGTAAAGTTTGAATAACACCACGGGACCTATAGGAAGTGCCATTAATGATGCTGGAAGTGCTCCCAAGAAGCAGAGAAAAGTCCTTACATTACAAAAAAAAGTTGAATTTCTTGATATAAAGTCTAGATTGATGTCTGTAGCTGCAGTTGCCTGCCATTTCAGAGAGTTAATTCATCTTGTAAGCAGATAACATAAACTTATGGTATCAATGTATACAATATAGTACTGTAAATATATTTTATCTTCCTTATGATTTTCTTAATAACATTATCTTTTCTCTAGTGTACTTCAGTGTAAGAATACAGTATATGATACATATAACATACAAAATATGTGTGACTATGTAATTGGTAAGGCTTCTGGTCAATAGCAGGCTATTAGTTAAGATTTTGGGGAGTCAAATGTTACACACAGATTTTGATTGGGCATGGGTTGGTGCTTCTAACCCCACCATTGTTCAAAGGTCAACCATACATATGATATAGTTTAGCTTTGTATCCCCACCCAAACCTCATCTTGAATTATTATCCCCGCGTGTTGAGGGAGGAACTTAAGGGGAGGTGATTGGATCATGGGAGCGGTTTCCCCCATGCTATTCTCATGATAGTGAGTGAGGTCTCACGAGATCTGATGGTTGTATAAACGTCTGTCATTTCTATTGCTCTCACTCACTTCTCTCAGTGGCTGCTATGTAAGACGTGCCTGTTTCGCCTTCTGCCATGATTGTATGTTTCCTGAGTCCTCCCAGCCATGCAGAACTGTGTGCCATTAACCCTCTTTTCTTGTTAAATTACCCAGTCCCTGGTATGTCTTCACAGCAGTGTGAAAACAGACTAATACAACACAGGAATCCAATTTTGTGTGCGTCCTCAGAATTTCCTCAGCAACTTGTTCATTCTGAGAATTTTAATGCTTCCCATGCATAACTACTGCCATTTTCGGCACCCTTATGGAGACCTCCTAGCTAAATAGCATCTAAGAGGAAGTCTAGCTCTTGCATATCTCTCAATCTCAAAACACTCAGCCGTATTTGAGCTAAGTTATCCTGACACATCCAGACTTGGATAAAATTATCCATTGCAGAGCACAGGGTCTGACTTCTGACCAGCCTCTTAGAAATGTATTATGCAACCTGCAATGTTTGGTAGTCGTTAGGAAATGGGGAGACCTTAACCAGTGAGATACTCGAGGAGAGAAGGAACTGAGTGGATAAATGATCCCACTTGTGGGTTACACAGAAGTGAGATTTTTCTTTTCAGGCTTTCCACAGGTATATCCCCTGTGCCCAGTGAATGGACCTGATAGAGGACCTGCAGTTTCTATTTTTGTTTTTGATACTTCCTGGAGCAGTTGCTTGTGTTGCAATACACCACATGCAATTGCATCGCATCCTTTCTCCCTTAACCTCATTTCATTTTTTGTTTCATCACACCCTTGGCATCTTTTGGGTTTTCAGCTTTCAAGTGAAGTGTTAACATTTTAATTATTGCCTCATATTCTTTTTTCTAGAGAGCCCTGACTAATACTGACTCTAAGATAATTCACCCTGTCGACAGATCTAAAAAAACACAAAAACAAAGAGCAAAAATTGTATAGTCCTTCCCATAGATATTTAAAAAAGCATTTCGCACACACAGACACACACATACACACACACATACTCCAGCCAGAATTCTATCCTACATAGTGGAGAAGCGAACACAGGTATTCCTGTTAAAGCAAGGAAGAAAAGCATGCCCACAATCACTACTTTGTAACATTGTGATGGGGGGAGTAGTCACAGTAATTAGACAAGAGGCATAAGAATATAAAGGGAACATGCAAAATTATTACAGATGATATAATGTTTAGCTAAAAAAACCCTGAAAACATAAGAGAATTTAGTTAATTGGGAGAATTAAATAAATATATGAAATTATAAACAGGGCCGGCACAGTGGCTTATGCCTGTAATCCCAGCACTTTGGGAGGTCATGGCAGGTGGATCACGAGGTCAGGAGTTCAAGACCAGCCTGGCCAACATGGTGAAACCCTGTCTCTACTAAAAATACAAAAAAAATTAGCAGGGCATGGTGCCGGGTGCCTGTAATCCCAGCTACTCGGGAGGCTGAGGCAGAGAATTGCTTGAACCCAGGAGGCAGAGGTCGCAGTGAGCTGAGATCGCGCCACTGCACCCCAGCCTGGGCAACAGAGGGATACTCTGTCTCAAAATAAGTAAATAAATAATAAAAATAAATAAAGAAATAAAATTATAAACCTTATGTAAAAATAGGCAGATCAAAGTTATCATGGAGGAAAAGATCATATTTACAATGTCAACACACTGATAACATACCTAGGCATAAAAATTAAAAAAATGTAACATTATCTAATAATTTTAAATGTGTAAATAATCACAGTTATAGTATCAACAATGTTATATCTAGGCATAAAAATTATAAGAAATATGGTAACATTATCTAATAATTTTAAGCTCCTGAAAGAAACAAGTTTGTTTTTCTTTTTCTGGATCTAGGCAAGCTGTTTTTAAAATAAGAGGACATAGGAAAAGTAAATAAGCAAGAATAATCCTAAAAAAACCCTAAAAATAAAAGCAATACATTTGAAATAGTCTTAGAAGTTATTAAAACATATTGCAAGTCTATCTAATTAAAAGTGTGATATTTTTATAGAAATAAACTACAGAAGGAAAAGAACATAATAGAAAAATCAGCAATTAAACAGAAGGGCACATGTAAATTTAGTATATGATAAAGATACTTTCTCAAAAAGAACAAAAAACTATTAAGTAAATGATATTTGGATAATGTGAAAGTAATTTGGAAAAAGAAAAAATTGGATCATTTCCTTATGTCACACATTAAAATGAATTTTCAAAAGATCAGAGATCTAAATAAAAAGGTGAAGTTGTACAAAACTAACAGGTGAAACAATAATAACAGAAAGATAAATTTCTTTTTAACTGTCAATAGGAAAGATATTCTTAACCATGAATCAAAATCTAAAAGTGAAAAAAAAATCCTGTGGCATTCAACATGGATAATTTTTACTACATAAAAATTTAAAATAAGTACATGCAAATAAACATCACCAGAGTAAAATGGAAAATGAGGAAAGATATTTGCAATAGCTGTAACTGCCCTTATATATGAAAAGATTCTAAAAATTGAGAGAAAAAATGTAATAACATGATAGAAAAACAGGCAAAATATGCAAACATGTATTTCACAGAAAATATATAAGCAGGGTGTAAAATGAAAGGTGCATAACATCCTGCATAATAAGAAATTAGGCAATTAAATAAATAAGTGCAAGTTAAATAAACTTCAGATACAATTTCTCCACAATCAGATTGATACAAATTCAAAAGTTTGACAACATACTTTGTGGTAAGGCTTTGGAGACCCCATCACTCTCATACAGTGTTGTAGTAATGCAAAATTACCAACCAAAGATGACAGTAAATTTAGAATATTTAGGAAAATCATATATACATTTATATTGACAATGAGCAATCCTACTTCTATGATATTATCAAAAAAGATAGGGTTACAAAAAATTAATTAACATATGCATGAATTTCTCGTTGTGACAATGTTTGTATTAACAGAAGCTTGGAAATAACATGAATGCCCTTCAGAAAGAATTAGATGAATTCACTACAGTAAATGCACATAATGCAATGAAAACCACACAGGTGAAAAAAAGAATTGATGACACCAGGGATTCGGTCTACATTCTGCTGCTTGCTGCCCGCAAAGACAAACACTGAGACGATTATTACCAAGGAAGAAGGCTTTAATTGGGTGCTGCAGCCGAGGAGTTGGAAGAACAGTCTCAAGTCCATCTCTGTGACTCACTGAAATCAGGGGTTTTATATAGCAGGAGAGAAATATAATGATGTGTAGGAAAATAGGAACTTGGGAGGGGTAAGGATGCAGTCATGGTGAATGAAGGGACTGGCATCTCATTGTCTGGATGTGATGATCTGGTCAGTTTTGGCTCTTTGATATTTTTGAGAGGCCTGGGGGTCCTAACCTGAAGAATAAAATCAGATAAAACAAATGTAAGTTTCAAGCTTTAAAACCAGAAGGGTCAATTTTTGTGTTTGTCCAAAAACACTGTCTGTGGGTCTATTGGGTCGGTTTCAACAGTAGTAGCAGAAGTAATTCCTTAATGTGTTCTAACAATGTGTTTCAAAAATGTTTCAAGATTTCAAGACTTTTTCACATATTTTAAAATTTTCTCTTCACAGTATTACTTTGAGTCTGGTAGACTCAATATCTCCATTTTAGAGATGAAGAAACTAAAGTTAACAAAGTTTAGTTATTTGCTCCGGTTTATTCAGTTAGTGAATGAAACAAATTGGGATTGAAATTCACATCTTTCTGAATTGAAAGCCCACAGTCCAAAAACTATTCCCACTGCTTGATAATATGCTTTTAAAGTATGATGTTGCTTTATTAGTATTAAATAATTATTTTTGTTTTTCCCAAATGATCAGTGATTTTGAAAGAAAAAAGATGAATTTGAGAAAAAGAAAATAATGTAATTTTATTAATTTGTCTTTAGGAGTTTCTCATATATGGCAATTATATGGTTTGGCTGTGTCCCCACCCAAATCTCATCTTGAATTGTAGCTCCTATAGTCCCCACGGGTCATGGGAGGGACCTGGTGAGAGGTAATGGAATCATGGTGGTGGGTCTTTCTCTTGTTGTTCTCATGATGGCGAATAGGTCTCACAAGATCTGATGGTTTTATAAAAGGCAGTTCCCCTGCACACACTCTGTTTCCTGCCACCTTGTACGACATGCCTTTGATTCTCCTTAGCCTTCTGCCATGATTGTGAGGCCTCCCCAGTCATGTGGAACTGTGAGCCTATTAAACCTCTTTTTCTTTAAATAAATTACCCAGTCTTGGGGTATGTGTTTATTACCAATGTGAGTACAGACTAATACAGGCAACATGCTGAAAGTTAAGCTACCAAAATATAGAATATTCAGCAGAATAAATTAATCTGGGCTATGAATAATCCCATTTAAGAAACTGCTAAAAGTTCATAGTTTTCTGGATGGAATAGATTAGCATTGTCCATAATTTGGTAAATATATGTGTGACTGACTTGCATGCTTTTAATAATTAAATTCAGAACATGTCTCTGCAGTTTTCTGAATATATGGATGAGGCATAAATTTTCCTAAAGATACAATTTAATTTTAAACAATAGCCTTCTTTTGCATAAAAGATATGTATAAGAATCCCATAAAAATGTCCATGTCATGGTGCAGGTTATTTTTAAAATATAATGTATGATCATAGTAGCACTGATATTGCGTCACTGCAAGAACTGAGAAGGGAAGACCTTCTGTGTACGAGAGGGAATGATTTAGGATATAATCCTAAGGAAACTATAAAGCACTAAAAAAAAAAAAAAAAGAAAGAATGGGTGAATAATTGTTGAAACCTTACCCTGTATGTAGAAAAATATTAAAAACATTATTATCTCATAAGTTAAGACTTTTCTATGAGACATAACTTTAGAGACAATTTTTTGAAAATGATAGAAGAAATTCTAGATTGCCTCCCTCCTGAACAATCTGGGAGATTGTGAAATTTGATGTCATGAAATTATAATATGAAAAATTATGTACTAACCAGAGAGCTTTGAATATCATAATAGGGCACACACTTGGCAATTTTTTGATCGTTGGGAGTCTATCCCAAAGTAACACTGAAATTTATATTTATTTTACTGATAATTTGTATGTATGTATGAGTGTAGGTGCATATATGCACACCCACATGTACACACATATATATACATAAAATATTATTTATTGAGCACTACTACCTCTAAGTTCTGGCATGTATTAATATTATTTTACATATTGTTAGGAATCAAATATTCACTATGCTTATATTCAATCAGAAATTGAGTTAAATCAGGGCTTAGTGCTTTTGATTCTCCTCTCAGCCTCCTCCAGCATTTCATTCTGCTTTCTCAAAGCTCTTTAAAAAAAAAAAGATTCATCTATTCAACTGATGGTTGGAGAGTCAGATGGCATTTTTCTCTGAAATTTGTGATTGTGACCTAAAAGCTGCATAGAAGGAAGGTGAAGAACATACTTCTCACATCTCATATTTACATAGGGCATAGGGCCACAGGAAGTCTGTAGTCAGTGGTTAGTGCGTGTTATAGAGTGGCATATGCCTGTCCTCTGAAGGAAAACACTCAAAAATTTCCTTCATTCCTCTTTAATTCAGTTTAGAAGATATAAAAGTTATTATGATAGCAGGGGGGAGGGGACAGAATTGCAAAGCCATTAGAAAATACTGGAATGTAGGCTGGGGACTCAAATCAAGTGCTTGCGAACACTCCCAGTTTAGGCTAGACTTGGATATTTAATATTCTTTAGATGTCTTGAGCACCACAGGATTCATGTAGTTTCTATTATTCTGTGAGCTGGGTGACTTCAGCCCCATTTAAGGACCTGGCTGCTAATGATGGGATACTATTCCTCATAAAATGTAGACACATAAGAACTAATTGTACAAGGTCCTGTTTTGCTAATAAAGAATTGATTCTCAAAGAGGTTAAGCTACTTGAGATGGGATTTAAAGATTATAATCTTATTGCTTTCTAAATTCAAACAGTGCTCTTGGACGCTATTATGAAAGCACTCAATTCTGAAATATGAAAAATCTGGTAAGCAGCTCAACATTGCAGATGTGATGCCTGAGGAATGTTAATGGTCTCAATGCTGCTTATATTTTATTTTATTTTATTTTATTTTTTCTTTTCTTTTTTTCTTTTTTATTTATTTATTTTATTTTATTATTATTATACTTTAAGTTTTAGGGTACTTGTGCACAATGTGCAGGTTAGTTACATATGTATACATGTGCCATGCTGGTGCACTGCACCCACTAACTCGTCATTTAGCATTAGGTATATCTCCTAAAGCTATCCCTCCCCCTTCCCCCAACCCCACAACAGTCCCCAGAGTGTGATGTTCCCCTTCCTGTGTCCATATGTTCTCATTGTTCAGTTCCCACCTATGAGTGAGAACATGCGGTGTTTGGTTTTTTGTCCTTGCGATAGTTTACTGAGAATGATGATTTCCAATTTCATCCATGTCCCTACAAAGGACATGAACTCATCATTTTTTATGGCTGCATAGTATTCCACGGTGTATATGTGCCACATTTTCTTAATCCAGTCTATCATTGTTGGACATTTGGGTTGGTTCCAAGTCTTTGCTATTGTGAATAGTGCTGCGATAAACATACGTGTGCATGTGTCTTTATAGCAGCATGATTTATAGTCCTTTGGGTACATACCCAGTAATGGGATGGCTGGGTCAAATGGTATTTCTAGTTCTAGATCCCTGAGGAATCGCCACACTGACTTCCACAAGTGTTGAACTAGTTTACAGTCCCACCAACAGTGTCAAAGTGTTCCTATTTCTCCACATCCTCTCCAGCACCTGTTGTTTCCTGACTTTTTAATGATTGCCATTCTAACTGGTGTGAGATGGTATCTCATTGTGGTTTTGATTTGCATTTCTCTGATGGCCAGTGATGGTGAGCATTTTTTCATGGTTTTTTGGCTGCATAAATGTCTGCTGCTTATATTTTATGTCTTTACATTTTAGTGTATGGGTCTTTCCTGTCACCCTCCATTCTAGATATACCTTACTTAGGAGACTTCAGGAAGCTGCTCTCCATCCTCAGGAGAGTACAGATGCCTCACTACATATGATGGGGTCACACACATCTCAGTAAGTTGAAAATATGTCAAAACTGCTTTTAATATACCTACACTACCAAACATCATAGCTGAGCCTAGCCTACCTTAAATGTGCTCAGAGCAACAGGAACAAGAGTTGAGCAAAATAGTATAACACAAAGCCTAGTTTATAATAAAGTGTTGACTAACTCATGTAATTTATTGAATGCTGTATTGAAAGTGAAAAACAGAATTGTTGTATGGGTACTTGAAGTATGGTTTCCATTGTATGTGTATTGCTTTCACAGCATCGTAAAGTTGAAAAATCCTATATTCAACCATCATAAGTTGAGGTCTGTCTGTACTGTATTTTGTTGTGGAGAATGATAATTGCTTTATTCTTCCTGATATTTTCACTTGTAGATTCACCTGCCCATGGGGCCAAGTTCTCTTCTTTTTCTTCCACTGCCGTGTGGAAGCTCAATAGAGCAGTGATGATCTGTCATCTGTGTAACAAGATGGACAAATTGCCAAATTCATCTAGAACAAGGCAAGAAGGCGTGGTGAATGGAGCTAAACACTTAGCTTCTACGTATTTAAATAGACATCCCCCTCCTTCATGCTTTACCTGTCAATTTTAGAATGTTCAAA
The DNA here is from genome assembly GCF_000001405.40 of Homo sapiens. Lineage (NCBI taxonomy): Eukaryota > Metazoa > Chordata > Mammalia > Primates > Hominidae > Homo > Homo sapiens. The sequence continues at coordinate 141,868,135 of NC_000006.12, read as the reverse complement.
TCTTAGTTAATAGTCATGTCCTCTGTTTCTGCCCTTAAAGTTGAGTCTTCCCTGGTTGAACTCTCACTACGCTCACATGTGCATGTGCTCACAAACAAACACACACACTTCCAGGTTCCGCGGAATGCTTTTAGTGTTTGCTTCTTGTCATCTTGTTCTTCACAACAATAAAGTGACAGGTATTAGACTATGGAAGAGTAAGCTTGTTTTCCGGAGTTCCCAATCACATTCCACACATTCAAAGCACTGCTACCCTCAGGTATATTTGCTAAATGTATTAATCTCTCAATAAAGCGATCTGTTTATGCTTTTAGCAATACGTTAGAGGCAGGAGAGGGATTAGATTAGGCACTCCTGGGATTCTGATCTGATCCGTGCATGCTGCCTCAGTTACAGAAAGGAAAACAATGAAGATTTTCTGTTGAATACTTGGTGGCTAATTAGACTTTCTATTATCTAAAGACTAATTGGTTTCTTATCCATTCTATTCATTTAAGGTGAAATACTAATTAAATGTTTTCTCCCCATGATTTTTGTGAAGACAACAAAACAGCTAATGAATGGAAGAGGGAGTTTCAGCATTTTAAATGGATATAAATAAATATATACAGGGAGTTTGTATATTTTATTGGGGATTTTAAAATACAGATGGACCTTACTCTGCATAGATTTACCATTATCAAAAATCCCTAACCTTTATAACAGGCTAAATATGCCATAATGGGAGAAGAGAATTAAACCAGTGATGTATTAGAGTGAGGCTCCTTCTACATCCTCCCTGTTTCCTTCATGCTGCCTTTCTCTTGCTTCACTACATTACAGTGCTTGAAAACCCAGCAGGCTTAAGTCTGTTCCTGCTGTGAGTGTGTGTGTGAGTTCAAGTTCCTTCAGGAGGCGAAGTCACACTAATAATAATTTTCTGTTAGTGGCAATTTGGAAAAGTCTTATGTTACTAAAGACTGCTGCATGACTACACAAAGAACTATTTATTGAAGTAGCTAGTATTTAAATGTGTTTTTGTGAAAGGTGGTCAGGCTTCCTTAGAAGGAAAAAAGTGATTTCTGAATACTTGGTTAGGCCCTTTTTTTGCATAATAAGAGAAATAAGCAGAAGAGTCTAAATTTTTTTGCTTAACTTTTTATCTTGGAACAGTTTAAGACTCATAGCCAGCTGCAATCGTAATACATAGCTTATCCTTGGACTTTCTACTCAGCTCTCTCCAATAACAACATCTTACATAAGCACAGAACATTATCCAAAGCAGGACACTCACATTGATACTATACTGTTAAGTAAACTACAGACTTTCTTCAGATTTCACCAGTTTTTACATATATTTGTTTTATTTTGTTTTTGGTTTATAGCATGATACATTTTTTTTGTCAGATAGATAGATAGATAGATAGATAGACAGACAGACAGACAGACAGACAGATACAGATCCATATAACCACCACCACAATCAGGACACAGAACCATTCTATCAACACAAAGAAAATTCCTAATCCTAGCTTTGTCACAATGACATCACAAATGACAATAATTTTGTCATTTGATAATATTATATAAATGGAAATATACAGTGTGTAACTTTTTATGGTTGACTTTCTTCACTCAGCATAATGCCCTTGAAATACATGCAAGTAGTATAGTATATCACTAGCTCCTTCCTTTTAATTGCTGACTAGTAGTCTATATTATGGATATTTATTTATTTTTATTCATTCACCCATTGAAGGACATTAGGGTTGTTCTCAACTTTTGGCTATTACAAATAAAGACATTCTGAACATTCATGTACAGGTTTTTGTATGGACATAAATTTTCATTTTGTTGAAATAAATACCCAGGAGTACAATTGCTGGGTTGTTGTATTATATTAAAACACCATAAAAAATAGAAACAGACACAACAGGGAAACTTCTAGAGGTGAAGGATATGTTTATTACCTTGATTGTGTGATAAATGTAGCTTTAGTTCATTTCCTTGATCTGGTATGTAGGATTCCATTGCATGAATATAGTATAATCTTTTTGTGTGTGTGATCACAGACATTTAGACTACTTCCATTTTTAAAAAACATTTATTTTAGTTTTGGTGGTACACATGCAGGTTTATTATATAGGTAAACTCGTGACACAGAGTTTGTTGTACAGATTATTTCATCACGCAAGTACTTAGCCTAGTACCCAATAGTTATGTTTTCTGCTGTTCTCCCTCTTCCCACCCTCCACCCTCAAATAGACTTCAACATCTGTTGTTCCCCTCTATGTGTCCATGTGTTCCCATCATTTAGCTCCCACTTTTAAGTGAGAATATGTGGTATTTGGTTTTCTGTTCCTGTGTTAGTTTGCTAAGAATAATGGCCTCCAGCTTCATCCTGTTTCTGCAAAAGACATGATCTTTTTTTTTCTTTCTTTCTTTTTTTTTTTTTTGGAGACAGGGTCTCACTCTGTTGCCCAGGCTGGAGTGCAGTGGGGTGATCTCGGCTCACTGCAACCTCTGCCTCCCGGTTTCAAGTAATTCTCCTGCCTTAGCCTCCTGTGTAGCTGGGACTACAGGAGCATGCTGCCACACCTGGCTAATGTTTTGTATTTTAGTAGAGATGGGGTTTCACCGTGTTGCCCAGGCTGGTCTTGAACTCTGGAGTGCAGTCAATCTGCCTGCCTCGGCCTTCCAAAGTGCTAGGATTACAGGTGTGAGTCATAAGTCATCATGCCTGGCTGATTTTTTTGCTTTTTTATGGCTGTATCGTATTCCATGGTGTGTATGTACCACATTTTAAAATATTTAATCTGTCATTGATGAGCATTTAGTTTGATTCCATGTCTGCTTTTGTGAACAGTGCCACAGTGAGCATTTGCATGCATGAGTGTTTACTGTAGAATGATTTATGTATCCTCTGGGTATACCCAGTAATGGGATTGCTGAGTTGAATGGTAGCTCTGTTTTTAGCTCTTTGAGGAATCACTGTACTGCTTTCCAGAGTGGTTGACCTAATTTACACACCTATCAACAGTGTATAAGTGTTCTCTTTTCTCCACAACCTTGCCAACATCTTTTATTTGAAAACAAGCTCACTGCAACCTCAATCTCCTGGCTACAAGCAGTCCTCCTGCCTCAGCCTCCTGATTCACTGGGAACACAGGCACATGCCACCACACTTGGCTAATTGAAATTTTTTTTTTTTTTTTGCATTGATGAAATTTCACTTTGTTGTCCAGGCTGGTCTTGAACTCCTGGGCTCAAGCAATCCTCCTGCCTCCATTTCCAAGGTGCTGGGATTACAGGAGAGAGTCACAGCACCCAGCCCTCCATTTCCTTTTTTTTTTACAACCAGAACTTCTAAGAAAATTCTTATGTATGTTTCTTTGTGTTTGTGTGCAAGAGTTTCTCTAGAGTTTATAACTAAGAGTAAGATTATTGAGTCTTAGAGTTAATATAAATTTTTCTATACGGTGGGGCAAATTATTCTCAGTTTGGTTTTATATAATTAATTTCTAGCAACGTCAGGTGGTGTTTCTTATTGCTCCATGTCTATAAATGCCTGATATTGATACACTTTTTACTTTCTGCCAAACTAATGAAAGTAAAATTTAGACCTCTTACTGAGCTCTTACTAGTGAGATTCTTCATATTTTCATATACGTATTGTTCACTGGCTTATCCTTATTTATTTATGGACAGTTGATATCTTTGTCATATTATCCCATGGAGTTTCTGGTGTTTTTCTTTATATATTTGGTATATTAACACTTTGTGCTTATATTTCCTCTATATATCCTACCTAGTTTGTGATAATTTTTTCTTATGATTTAAAGAACAGTACTCTGAATATGAATGTACATGAATTAGCAATATTTTATGTACTGTGTTTTTTTCTTTTTGATCTTGTTTAATATATTTTAAACTATTGTGAGAAAATAATATATTCTTATATGGTTTCTTTTGAGAGTTCTAAAATGTTTCTTTTTACATTGAAGTGCTTAATGCATGAGGAACTGATTTTGATATCAACATAGAGATCTATTCCCAACCCCACCATTGATAAGTATTATATTACAAATTATTAAATACTATTCCATCCTTTTCTGAACTGAAATGCCAATTCTGTCATCTATAAAAATTCCATAAACTCATATCTGTGATTTTTATTCCAACACTATCTTTGTTTAATACTTTTACCGAAGCCAGTGTTGCAAATTTTTGGCTATTCTTAGCTTTTTGCATTTCTACATATATTTTAAGTTATACTTGTCAAGTTCCTCCAAGTACTTCACAACTACTGAGATTTTGTTTAGAATATTGTGAATTTATAGAGTAATTGAAGATAATTGATATTTTAAAGATACTAACATTTCCCATATATCAATGTGGTATATAGATATATGTTTCTATGTAATATAGCTCAATAAGATTTTGTAATTTGCTCTGTAAAGATTGTGCTCACATTTTATCAGAGATATGCCTGTGGTACACACCCATACACATACACAAAGCATGAAAAGAAAAAGAGATTGAGTTGAAAAAGTCAGTTGAGTTGAGATTCAGGAGAAAAAGGAGTTGCTATGGAAAATAGAATCCTTGCAAAACTATGCTTTTTTCACTTTTGTTACAGACAGAAAAACATTGATTTTTGTATATTGATTGCATATTTACTGAAGTTACTAGATTTCTGCATTATTTATAAAAATTTTAGATTCCATTGGGTTTTCTATACGGATAGTAACATACTTTGTGAATACAACAGCTTTTTTTTTGTCATTTTCAATCTTCATAAATTTATGTCTTTTTCTTGACATATTATAGTGATTGTACCTTCTTTTATTCCTCATCTCTTTCCGAAAAATGACACTGGTTTCTTTCCTGCTTTACTGGCAGCTTCTTCTCACTTTACTCTGCTTTTCCTTTTTTAATTTTTCTCACCTCTAAATGCTGGATGCTACAGCAATCAGGTCTTTGACTTCTTTTTCTTATATTTGCTTTTACAATTTTATAATTTTATTTTTTAAATTATAAATTGGTAATTTATAATGATATACATTTATGGGGTACAAAGTGATGCTATGTTTCGTAAATACAATGTGAATTATTATGTCAAGTTGGTTAGCAAATCCATTATCTCAAATACTTAACTTTTTTTTGCCGTGGGAGGATTAGAAATTTATTCTCAGCAATTTTGAAATGTATAGTACTCTATTATTAACCATATTTACCATGCTGTGTAATAGAACTAAAAAATATATTCCTCGTTTCTGAGATTTTTTACCCTTCGGCCATCATTTCCCCATTTCTCTCAATCTGCAGCGACTATAACCACCATCCTGCTCTCTGCTTCTATGAGTTCAATTGTTTTAGATTCTGCATAGAAGTGAGAACTTGTGGTATTCATCTTTCCGTGCCTGGCTTATTCCACTTAGCATAATGTTCTCCAATTCTATCTATATTGTCACAAGTGACAGAATTTACTTCTTTTAAAAGGCTGAATAGTATGATTGCATTGTGCTGTAGAGCATGTTTTCTTTAGATATTTGAGTTCTAATCTTCTGTATCTATGTATATTCTTTAAGTAAACTCAGTTTCATTGCTTTTAGCACATAAGAACACTAATGTTTCTCAGGGTTATGCATCTAGGTTAACAGTCTTTCTTGAACTCATGACTTGCATGTAACATTTTTTTATTCAGTACCTCCAATTTATATGTATATTAAGTATCTCGAACTTACCAGGTTTGAAAATAAAGCCTAAATACGAGAGAGCTGGACAAGTTGAAGTATAAGAGCAGGTAAGGGCCATTCTGTGAATTTCATAACAGTCATGAAGAAATTTTGTCTTTGTACTAAAACAATGAAAATTTATTGATGTACTTTAATAAAGAAATAATAAGTTCAGGTTTGTAATTTTCAAAACTCTAGCCATAGTATGTAGAATAGATTGAAGAGTAATATGAGTAGATAAAAGGTGAGGCTCAGAGACTTTATTAGGAATCCAGGTGAGAAGTGATGGTGGCTGAGATCAGGGTAGTGGCTATGGAAATGGAGAGAAAAAATGTACTGGAGAAATGAGTTTTGTATGATGACCATACTGAATGCTTACATATTGTTGGCTCTGTTTCTGACTTGTGTTTTGTTTTCCATTAATTTATCTCCCTATTCTTACATCAATACCACACTGCTTTAATTACGGCGGTTTTTATGTGTTTTAATATTTGGCAATATACTTAGTTTTTTGTGCTTTTTTTCTTCAAATAACAAGAGCTATTTTTATTCATTTACTTCCTAGAACAGAGGTTGAAAAACAACAAATATTTTCCAGCTAATTTTTAATTAAAGCAATATTTTAAAATTAGGATATTTCATATAAAAATTGGATTTTTTTCCTACTGAAAGATCAGAAAATCCAGTGATGCTGAGACTGTTTCTTATATGGCAATAATTGGCACATGCTGAGAGACTGCTCTTGAGAGAGAGGATAATAATAATTATATATATATCACATATATATCATATGTATTATATATACATATATATCACATATATAACATATATATATTTTATATATATATATATAAAGTACAAATATATATACACACATATGTTCAGATTTGCATGGGATGGTATGGGTTGTAACTCTTACCTAGACTAATAATTACTCTTATAGAGTCCAAGTTAGGAAAAAAAAATCAGGTTTACCCTATCTTTGCATATTATAAATGCCCTTTCATTTGACTTGATTTTGTAGGTTTAACTACTTTGACCTTATAAACATTTGAATTTAGGGATACTTTTCTAGATGAACATTAGAACAAATTTGTCAAGTTCTCCCAATACCACTTAATTTAAATGCCTATACGGTAAATAATAACTAATTTGGAAAGTGTGTACAGCATTTTATTTTTATTTACAACCTCACTTCTATTATTATTCTTGAATAGTAGCCAAGAAATTTGGTTTCCATTCCAAAGGTAGCTCTTTATTGGCTTAAATTAATCAGCATCTGGCACTTTCTTCATTGTAGTGACTAGCTAAGAACTGGCCACATAATTTAAGGTTGGCCAATTAGAATGCATTTCAGGATTTTTGTTTGAAGTTTGTAAGAGATATACAGCTGTCTTTCTTTCCGCTTATCTCTCCATGCCCTGCCCCAAATTCCCCACCATGTGAATGAGGAATATTCTAGCTCAGGGAAGTTTTGGCAATTGACTTGCAATCAGGAAAAAAGTCAATTTTAGATTTAGAATAAAGCTAAAAACATGCCAGGAAGAAAAAAAAATGTTTAAAAACAAATAGATTTTAGACATAATTAAGTCAATAAATTAAGCCAACCTTGAATTTCACTTTTCTTTTGAACTTCCATACACATGATTGAATCAACACTCTCATCCACAGTGCCAGTTTGACTTGGTTTTGTGTTATTTTTCACATAAAGTGTTCCAATTATCACAGAGAGAAGTAAAGTTTGCATTTCATCTTCCCAGTCAGGAAAGAAATGTGGCTTTCATTTGTTTGTATTTTCTCTACATGCCTCAGTAAATGTTTGTTTGCTTTTAATATATCTCCTGCCATCTTTATTACGTTTATTCCTAGGGATTTTCCTAGAAAGGATTACTATATTAATTAAATTTGCAGCACTATTTGTATCTCTAATTCTATGTACATTAACTTTGCATGCAAAAGAGCAAAGGAAGGTTTTGTTTAGAAATTCTTTAAAAATTCAAAATACAGGTAATATATAAGAAATAAATGAAGCGCAGTATATTTTCACTTCTGAATGATACAGATATGAGAAACAATTTCTTACTTGAAAAATTGGAGAAGGCATCTTGGTAGTGATACATGGCTTATAACATAAGTATTATGTTGCAAATGATTCAAAATATATTAGCACAGACTGAACACTGTAAAGTGATGCTTAAATTTAGGCTACAGGTGAATAAAATAGGCTTTTATGAATACCAAATATATTGAAAGGAAATTTAAACTTTCCAATAGCCCTTAGCTTTTGTCAAATACATTTCTTAAACTGCTACTACAAATACAAATTGAAAACTCTGTAGAAACCTTTAAAATATATTAAAACAGTGTGAATTGATGAGAAATTCATGCATTCTTAAAAACATTGCTTTACTAAATTAAATAAATACAGCAAACAAATCTTTTGTTGAATTGATCATTTGCTGAAGTGATCATTTGATGCATATTTTGCAAAGTGCGTCATTTCTGCTGCTAACAAACAACATTCTCCTCTCTCTAAAGTTTACTGTAAAAATTATTTTTGTCTTTTTCTCTGTGTTAATATCCAGTAACTTTGTGTTTGATATTTGTCAATGAAAGTGCAGTAGAAATAAATTGCATTTGCTTTATGAAATGCCTATCAAGCACTCAATGGTCCCTAAACCATATCTAGCTTATAAAGGAAGAATAAACAATCCTGAAGTTTTGCTGTAGATGTCTAGTTCTGGAAGTAAAGCCTTCCTTTCCATGTGTCCTGTGTTTTTTCAAGTCCACCATAAATATAAAGATTTAACTTACTTTTAGAGCCAAAGTCTACAAGCTTCAAGCTCAACGTTTCAGTGTAATTAAAATTGGCTTCTGAATTCTAGAGAACGCTAAACTACAATTTGGCCCAATTCTTAGCAGACGGATTAATTATACTCAAGAGACTAATTACTTTTCCCATTTTGATGTTTTAAAATTGTAGTGTGGATTCTGTGCCTTGGAGTAATTAAGCAATTGTTTAGTTTTGAGGAATAACCCAAATGACTTACATCAAAGGACTATACACTGTGAAAAAATAGCTTTAAAGACAATAATACTAAAATACTAAAATCATTTCTTTTTTATATTAATCATAATATTTAATTAACTAAAACATAGAGACGTAACAATTATGACTAATTTTTAGTTTTAACACAAATGTTAGAGAAATGTCCAGTTTAAAAACTGATATTGATCTTAATGTAAATAAATCAGTTGAACAGTTTTATTTCAATTAAGTTCATTTGGACTGCTCAAAATACTCTCCCACATAAAGTAATGGGCAACCAAACTTAAATTTAAAATTAATTTATCTATCTATGTATATTTTTATGACTTATTTTTATGAAAAGGATATATAAAGATAATAAAATATGATATCTTTTGTTTGATTTTATCTTTTGAATCTTGCCTCATTCCTTTAAAATTGCACATGTGAATTTCTCACTTTGTATTCTTTTGAAAGTTGTATTATCTTGACAGGATGCTAAACCTGTATTTATATTCTAACTATAATAATAATGTAGTGACATTATTCAACAGCTTATCTTCAAAGGGCTCAAAGGCTGTAGATAACATGTTATCACACTCATCACAGCATTCTTATGAATTCTGAGGCTTTCTTTTCTTTTCTTTCTGTTTGAATTAAATAACTCCAGCATAGGGTGTTGAGATGAAAATCCTTCATTTTGGAAGCATTATGAAGAGCACGGTTAATTATTTTCTTAAAATCTAAAATGGAAAATTTGAATTTTTTAAAAGTTTATCAAAAGTTTCAAGATATTTAATTCACAAAGATATTCCAGTTAATCTAATTCAACTTCTGTCAGAAAGCAGAATAACCCTTCCCATTATTCCATACATAGTATCACTCTGTATCCTTAAGTTCTTCTATGTAATTAAATAATATCTTCTGGAATAAAGTAGTTCTACTTCCCTAAAATACCTTTTAAGAATTGAGCTGAAATTGGTCTAAATGTAAATTTCACTTTTAGCTGTCATCTTCCCCATACAACAATACACAATCTCTGTTACAGTAGGTAGTCAGGCAAGAGACACCCCCCACCACCAATTAGGAATGTCAGGTGACCATCAAGTGATAGTCAGGTGGTTGTTAACTGTCTCTCTCAAATAATAACTGGTTGCAGCCAGCACCAAGGAAAGGCATTGTCCCCACAGGTAGAAAATAACTGAAACAAGCCAGGCGCGGTGGCTCATGCCTGTAATCTTAGCACTGTGGAAGGCTGAGGCAGGCGGATCACCTGAGGTCAGGAGTTCAAGACCAGTTTGGCCAACGTGGTGAAACCCCGTCTCTACTAAAATACAAAAATTAGCTGGGCATGATGGTGGGTGCCTGTAATCCTAGCTACTAGGGAGGCTGAGACAGGAGAATCGCTTGAACCCCAGAGACAATGGTTGTGGTGAGCCCTGAGATCACGCCACCGCCCTCCATCCTGGGCAGCTGAGCGAGACTCCATCTCAAAAAAAAAAAAAAAAAAAAAAAGAAAAGAAAAGGCCTGAAACTAGTGATAAGCAGCTTCTGGATAAGATCTCAGGAGTTGAGTGGGTGTGCTCAAGCATGTGCATTAAAAGGCAAAATGGTGGAGTTTAACAGGTACATGATCTTCCAGGGGCATTCCACTGGTAAGGGAAGAATGCCTCAAGTGAGCATGCATACAACTCCACTAAACACACTAACACACTGTGCGTGCTCCCCTCCACATTTGCATCCCTCCACAAGGCCATTGCACATGTGGACAACCCACCCCAAGGGAAGAATCAGGGGAGAAGAGACACAAGATTCTGGAAGTACGCTGACATCCAAAACCCCAAGTCAAAAGGTCAAACCCCACATTTGTCCTCCAAGATGCCCACTTGGCCCTCTTCCAAGTGTACTTTCTTTTCATTCTAGCTCTAAAGCTTGTTCATAAACTTTCACTCCTGCTCTAAAACTTGCCTTGGTGTCTTATTCAGCCTTATGCTTCTCCATCCAATTCTTTCTTCAGAGGAGGCAAGAATTGAGGTTGCTGCAGATCTGTAAGGATTCACCACTGGTAACTCAGATATGTGGCACCACTAACATCTCTAGCCATAATCCCAGGATTGAAGTGTTTCAGTGAACAGATCCAGGGTTAATGACAGATATGAACTGTGGAGGGATTTACACTCTCCAGGCTTTTATAGACTACAAATAGCCAATATCTTTTGAGAATGGGGAAGGTTTTGAAAAAAGAATATTGCATTAAGATAATAAATTGGATTGGAAAGAGCTTGAATGTAAACAAAAGTTTTACATAATAACCTAGAGAAAAGACATAAATACCTGAACTAGTACAATAATAATAATGATTGAGCAAAGGGGAGGGGTTTGGAAATTTTCACAGTTAGTTTAGATCTGGTGACTCACTAGATGTGGGGCAGAGTAGTATCAAATTTTGAGCCTGATTGACATCAAGAATTATAATGATATCAATAGAATAACTCATTTACTCAATAGTTACCCCTCTAAGATAGCAAACAAAAGCATAATCAACCTTTGTGAGGAATTGCAGAGTTTAGTGCCACCCTTAAATACCTAAAAATACAGGAGTGTGGTCCCAATTATATCCCCATTTAGTTCACCAATGTTGTCCTTACAAAGACCAGAGAAATCGTGGTAGCTTCAGTGGTATCATCCTACCAATCCAATATATTCATGACCTCAAGAAAACAAAACCAGATGAGCAGAAATTGTCAAGTTGGTTGAAGGCCTTGGTAAGAAATATATTCTCTGTAGAATGACAGCTGAACCGTGAAGACTCGGTTAAGTATTTAAGGATCCAGTAGTCCTGGTATACCATTATATCTCTTCTAAAGTACAGGACAGATTTTTGCATCTTGCTGTACCACATGGTAAAGAAAATGCAATGCCTGACATGCTGCTAGGTCATGAAGACAACTTAATCCATACCCAGAAATACAGTTCCTGCTTATACAATAAGTGAAATGAAATGCCTTTCAATTCACCAGCTTCAGTGGTTCCCAGAGCAAGAAAGGCTTTGCATCAGGCTCAGGCTGTGGCTTATGTAACAGTACCACCACTTGATTCATATAAACATTATCATAAAGAATACCCTATAATATTAGCAGTATCTGAAGAAACATACAGGAGTAGTTTTATAGCAAGCCCTATGTAGACACTTCAGATTCTGAAGCAAGGCTGTGCAATTTTTAGTGGAAAATTAATATACCTTTTATAAAAGAGCACCTGATATGCTGCTGAGTCTCCGTTGAGAATTGGAATGCCTGACCATGGTTCTTGATATGACCATGAGGCCGTAATTGCCCATTCACATCTGGATTCAGTCAACTACAACAAGTCACAAAATTGAGAGGCCCAGCAGTAAACCATCGTAACATGGAAGTTGTTAATCTTGGTTCAGACACAACCATGGCTGGAAGAAATAAAAAAGTTGCATCCTCGTATGACCCAGATATCCACCTTTCAGTTTATGTCTAAGACCACATGGGATGCAGATCCCTTATGACCAGCTGACAGGCAAGGTGTGATGGTTAATCTTGAGTGTCAACTTTATTGGATTGAAGGATCCAAGATATTGTTCCTGGGTGTGTCTGTGAGGGTGTTGCCAAAGGAGATTAACATTTGAGTCAGTGGACTAGGAGCGGCAGCCCCACCCTTGATCTGAGTGGGCACCATCTACTCAGCTGCCAGTGTGGTTAGTATAAAAACAGGCAGATGAACATGGAAGGACTAGACAGGCTGTATCTTCTAGCCTCCATCTTTCTCCTGTTTTGGATACTTCCTGCCCTCAAACATCAGACTCCAAGTTCTTCAGATTTTGGACTCTTGGACCTATACCAGTGGTTTGCCAAGGGCTCCTGGGCCTTTGGCCACAAACTGAAGGCTGCACTGTCGGCTTCCCTACTTTTGAGGTTTTGGGGCTTGGACTGGCTTCCTCACTCCTCAACTTGCAGACAGCCTATTATGGGACTTCACCTTGTGATTGTGTGAGTCAATACTCCTTAATAAACTCTCTTTTATATATATTCTATTTGTACTGTCCCTTTAGAGAGAACCCTGACTAATACAGAAGGAAATTTTAAAAAGACTTTGGTTCACAGATGGTTCAGTTCATTATGTGTGTGCAATCTAAAACTGAAGTTGCACTTTGGTTCCACTCGGGGTAGTTCTGAAAGACAGAAGTAAGAGGAAATCCTCCTCAAAGGCACTACAAATGGTGAATTTGATTGTCAATTTTGGGCAGAAGAGTAGACAGCTGAGAGTATACTCATGGGTAAAAGCAACTGCTCTGGTTGTTTGGTCTAGGGGCATGGAAAGAAAAGATTGGAAAATCAGAGGCAAGGAGGTAAGGAGTAGAGGCACGTGGACTGGTCTGCTGGCAAGGCATGGCATGGACAACGTCTCATTGTCTACCAGGTAGTATTCATCTCAGAAGAGGCATTCAATAACACAGTAGACAGCATGATTCTCCTAGTGGCCCTAACCTAGCTTCTGCATCAGCCACCCCTGTGCTGATATAATGGGTGTCTGAATATGGTAGATATGGTGGAAGAGATGGGGCCTAGCCATGGGCCCAACAGGCCAGGCTCCCATTCACCATAGCTGATAATTATACTGACACTGTTAAATATTCACTTGCCAGCAAATAAGCCCAGCACATAATCACTGATGCAGCACCTCACTGGAAGAGATTTACCAGCCTTTTGCTGGCAAGTTTACTCCCTGGGGCCCCTTTTGCCATGAAAAGTGCAGCATTTTCTTTTGACTGGAACTGGCACAATTCTGAATACGGGTTTCCCTTTTCTACACATAGTTTCCCAGTTACCATCTTCTATGCAAGTGCTCAGTGTGCTTGTTCCACTAACTTAGGAGTCTCACATTGAATTACATTGATCAGGACAAGAAATCCAATGAACAGCTAAGGAGATGCAGAAATGGGCACATGATCTTGAGGTTCACTGGTCTAATTACATCCTGCATCTCAAAGAAGCTGACAGCCTATGAGAGTGATGGGATGGCCTATTGAATGCAAAGCTGAGACTCAGATTAGAGAATATACACTGCAAGCATGGATGGTTATCCTCCAGAATGAAGAGTACACTATCAATTACCATTCTAAAGTGGAGAGTCCTCAAATAATAAAATACAGGGTCTGGGAACCAGGGGGCAGAAGTATGAGCAGCTCTGATGACTGTTGCCTCTGTTGTCTTATTTGAGGAAATTGCTTACCTCACAACATCAAGCTCTAAGTATCAACATTCTTAATCCCCAGAAAGGGAAAACTTACATCAGGGGACACAAGAGAACCAGTGAACTTTCTGTCATGGCTGCCAACCAGGAACTTAATTAAGCGCTTTGTGTCAAGGGGCTGGCAAGCAAGTTAGGAAAGCCAGCATTCTGGCAGGGATAATTGACTCTGATCATCAGGAAGAATCAAGGCTGCTGTTAAAGTTGAGGGAAAAGAAGAATATGTGTGGTCCCCATGTGATCCATCGACCCATGTAGGTGACAATAAAAAGTCAACTGCAATAGACAGCCATAGAAGAGCAAGGCGAGTGGAAGCTCAAACCCCTCAGGTATATAGGAAGGCCACTTAGACCAACAGAATTACTAGCTAAGGGTGAGGAAAATAGAGAATGTACAGTAGAGGGAATTGATGATATTTAGTTATAGCCTTGAGAACAGCTGCTGTGGTGGGGGATTGTCCCATTAACTTTCCTTTTCTAAGTTTCCCCCAGGGAAAGAGGCCCATTGGAATCCAGGTGGAACTACTCCCAGAGCTTATGTAGAAAAGTAGAACTAAAAGGCACAATGAGTAAATAGTGGATGATACCACGTGTTATCCCATTTCTCCTCTTCAGAAATGAAGTACTTACGTCCCCGGTTGTGAATGCTATCTGCTGCCAGTCCTCAACTTCCCAGAACTGCACTCTCTCGGAATTGCCTCTACTTAAGAGAGCTACTTCCTATGAGTCCATGCGTCTTTTGTTGTTCCTAGGAACAGGCTTCTTCCAATGACTGTTCATTGGAGGAGTACAAAGGTCTAGCCTCTTGCTCCAACTTGGGGTAACTCTGATGGACCATTCCAGCTTCAGATCCACTCATGGGGAATTCACATGAGATTTTTGCTGTTTAAGCATGGCTGTCTAATGCCTCCCCTGACAAATCTGACTCATTTTCCCTTTTCCACACATGTTTAGCCAAAGAGCCCTTCTTTAAACATGCGACATTTTAGCTTCCACCTCAAAGTCTAATTCTCAGGGAAAATGACCTACAACATCAGATGTCTAATGATGTTGAACAACTTTTCATGTGCTTATTGCTAATATATTTTTTGTGAAGTGTCATCAAAGTCTTGTCTTTTTTTGAAAATGTCTTGTTTCTCTTTTTTAGTACGGTTTCATTGCAGTTTTTAAAAGATATTCTGGAAGCAATTCCTTTGTTATGTCCATACGTATTGTGAATAATTTCCTTTCTTAACTGTGAGTAGCTGTTTTAAGTTTTAATGTTCAATTTATCAGTTTTTTATTTTATGATTACTTTTTGTGTGTGTGTGTCCTCTCTAAAAAATCTTTGCCCACCTCAATGTGGCGAAGATTTTACCTTAACATTTTTTCATAAAAAATGTATAGTTTTTGTATGTTGAGCATTGGGGTTTGAGGTACATTGTTTTTTATTCATGTTGCGGCACCATTTGTTGAAATGGCATTCTTTTTAAAATTAAATTGTCACAGGACTTTGTTGAAAATCAATTGACTTTTCATGCATAAGTCTATTAATGAACTCTCTTCTGCTCCACTGAACTATTTGTCTCATCATATTTTCATACTACATTGTTTTGATTACTGTAGCTTTATGGCAAGTCAACTTCCATTGCTTTCTTCTTTAGTAAAGATTGTTTCAATGACTATGTCTTTTTAGCACTTTATATAACTTTTAGAATAGACATGTCAATTTTTAAAAGTTGAAATTTTGAATGAGATTGCATTAACCATATAGATCAGTTTGGGGAGAATTTATATCTTAATAGCATTGTCTTTCAGTCTATTATCATTTATATCTCTCTCTATTTAGGTTTTAATTTCTCCCATCAATGTTTTATAGTTTTAAGTTTAGAGTTTTCCACATCTTTTGTTAAACTTATATTTAATATTTTATTTTTATTATTATGGTACATTATTTTTTCAAAATCATTCTCCAATTGTTTGGTGCTAGAAAATAGAGCTATCCACGACTTTGTATATTGATATTTTACACTATGTCTTTGATAAATTCACCTTCAGATTTAGTCTTTTGGTTGTGTATTACCCAGATTTTCTATTCAAATTTTGTCATCTGCAAATAAAAAAAGTTTTACTTTTTTCTTTTTGATTTTCATGATGTTTATTCCTTTTGATTGCTTTACTACACTTCAGACTTTCTGTACAGTCTTGAAAGGGCATAATGAAATGGGACATTCTTGCCTTCTTCCTCAATTTATGTGGAAAATATGTAATCTTTTATCATTTAGTATCATCAGAACTTACATAAAGATTTGTAGATTTTTCTGAAGGAACCTTTTCAGAATGTCGCCTCCTACTTTTTGTTAGCTGATGGTTTGCATCATGATTGGGTGTTGAGTTTTTTCATTTTTTCTTTTTCTTTTCTTTTTTTTTTTTTACAAATGATCATGGAATTTGTTCTAATAATATGATGAATATGTATATATGTATATAATTTGTTATATAAAACTTACTACTGTAAGGAGCAATGAGTTCTAGGCTTAGGATACTCTCAAATTATTCTCCAAGGTAGACTGTTAAATGCTGTTCTGCTATAGGCAGCAAATTCGATGCACTCCAGCCCTTGCCCATTCTCATCCATTTTAGCCCTATTTCAACTCAAACTTTAGTTCACGCATCAGACAATATTTGCTATATTTTAAGTGCAACAATATTTCAAACAGTGATTGCACTTACCAACTTTTTTGAAGGGTTGGAGAAGGGGCTCTTCTCTGAATCTCCAGCACTGATTCGCAGGACACACCACAGAACTGGTCGACTGAGGAAGCTGCTACCACCACTACATTTAAGAAGCTAGGGAATCAGACAGCTGCTGTCCAACTGCTGCTTACCACATTGCACCACTTTAGCCTTGATCTTAGGATCAGAAGTCTGCTATGAATATTTCTTCCAGTTCTATATCAACAAAATGAATGGCTTGTATGCAATGTCCTCTTTTCCTGCCTACTCACTCTCAATACAAGTTTTGAACAAGTGCACTTCATTTGTGAAAATAAAGTGTTAGCTTTCCAGCATCTGTGGTATAGGAATGCACACCAAAATAGGAACAGATGCTGGAAAAGGTATCCTGTCATACTCATTAGAAGAATTTCCTCCAAAGCTTCAGCTGTCCCAACCAAATGAGAAAAAGGTGTGTTTGGTGGAAATGTGGAAAAAGAGCAGTATCTTGTCTTCTCTCAGTGGATAGCTTTTCACCAAGAATCGAGCTTTTGTGTTTTGTCTTTCTAAAGTTTTACTTGGAAGATTCTTTTTCTGCCAAGAACAAACCCTGGTATATATTTTATATTTAAATTAAGAGCCATTAACTTGAACTTTGTTTTTTTCTGGCCGAGAATGTATTTAGAGTATATATTTTAATATAATAATATAATTTAAATTATAATGTAATATAATTTAAAAGCCTATAATATGAACACAGAAATAAATAATATAATACAGAACACAGAAATAAATAATAACCCAGGTAACACAAACCTAGAATGCTGAGATCACAGTGCCTGTAGTAGGATGACTCACAATGCTTTATGTTTATCAATTTGCAACAAAACCTGTTTTTTTTTTGCTAAATAGTTCTGTCAAAATAGATAAATCCAAGCTTTATTAGACTTCGTCACTTTGGTTGATAGAAGAGTACATTCTTTTTTTTTTTCAAACAGAGACATGATTTAAGGAAGTAAGGCTTAAGAACTAATAGATTTAGTTTTTTATTGTGAGGACTTATTGCTCAAAAATAAACAACATATCCTCCAGAATATTGCATAATACCTTAAAAAATGAAGTATCGGAAATCATGTGGGATCAACAAAGGTAATTAACTTCAAGGATTTGAAATAACAGGGAAATAAAACTGCTAGATTTTATAAAGCAGGGACATATTAACTTACATAATAGACATCTCTATTTTGTGTTTTTGAGGATGAAATTGAGATTATGAAGCTCTTGAGGTAAGAACATTGGTCACAAATCGATGAAACTAATTGTAATCTGTTTTCAACCTCTTCAGAGTTGGGCCTTTTGCATCACATAATTGTGTTGAGCTCAAAAAGAGTAAAAGGAGTAGTTTTATTTTAATGTTTTATGATATAAACAGCATGTGCTTCAATAAAGCACTTAACGTTCTAAATATTCTTTAAAATATGTAAAAATATTTTCCAAGAGTTCTCATTTTTACAGATGAAAAATAGAATAAACAGAAACAGAGATATATAAGAAATATTTTGGGAAGAAGAAAATATGTATATCTTCATTCATTTGAATACTAGTATCCCCTTTACTAATATTAATTATCCACAGTAACAAAATAATGCCCCTAAAAACTAGGCTCGTTCTAGATGTATGAAATGAGACATTGTTAAACATATGATTCTTATTCTACTGGGTTAGTGAAGTTAGCAGATGCTCTTCTCACAAAACAAATATTACACTGCTTTACTTTGCTGCTGTTGCTGCTATTAAAAGCTATTTGGAAGAAAAGTTTTGTCTTTTCCCCACCAGTTGTTTTCTAAAGACCACTTTGTCACTATCATTGTTTCAATGAATATATTAGAAACTTTTATTGGCATCATGAGAAATGAAAAAAACATTGATGTGAGATTTATCTTATTTTAACAGGTATAAAGAAGAAAACTTTCACAAATACCTTAGCAGAGAGAATATTAAAGTGTTCTCTCTACCTTCTCTCATACTTACCCCACTGCATCACCAGAACAACCCATCACCTACAGTAAATGTAAAAAAGGGACAGACAGGGATGTTTTTATAGGGAGTCTAAAGGATATCCTTTTTAATAATCACAGTTTACCACCACCAACTATGTCACAGTTCTGGAACATTCAGGAGCTGATATGTGTTTCAAAGGCTTGAAGTTCTTTCTATTTTATATGTCAGAGGGGAAATCTAGATTTATATCAGTGAGCTAGAAAAATTTATCTACAGAGAAATGTAAAATGTTAAAGAGATGTAAGGAAGCGAATCTTTTGAAAGGAAGACAAATATTTATGTATATATCAGGCCATTTGATTTGTGCTATTTCTCCCTAAAGTAGGACTCTGATACAAACAATGTAGAAACAAGGAGGAAGGGACAAAATAAAAAAATAATTTATTTTATCTCTCAGGGTTTAATATTAGCCTTCTATGTAGTTCAACATTAGTATCATCAATACATTCAACTCCATGAACACTGTCTTTCTGTAGACCTCTTTTTCATTCCCATGATTCACTTAATGAACCTAGCAATAATGGTGATATTAACAACAAGTAGTCAAATGAGATGTAGCACCTGACTTTGGAGGGATGTGGGGTCAGATGATCAGCATTTGAGGTATCTTTGTTCACTTGCTTTTACCACCCTGACCACAGGCATCCTGTTTTCTCACTGAGGAGGAGGGCACTGCTCTGGTTGTATTACAGAGCAAAGTTTGGCCCACATTTTTAATGGATGGAATCACTATTTCATACAAGGACAAGGTTCATGGGTGTGGCTTTCTCTTCGTTTTCTCTCTTCTACAGGATGGAATAATAAGGGCCAGAGACTGCTCTTCCATGGAAAAATGTTGAGATGTCTCACAACCCCCAAACCCCATATAATCTACTTGGAATTAGTCAGTGGTGGTGATGTTGGCACCACAGTTCAACTTTTCATCTCTTGCTCTATATCTCCGGTTCTATCTCGTCGATGCTGGGCGAATGTTCAATTTTAAAAGACAGAGATATCTTTATGATCTGTTTGAGCTTGAAACTATTTAGGCCTAAAGTATTATAGGACAAAGTTACATAGTAAAGGAAAGCTCACTAATGTTTCATAGGTTGAGTTACAATTCTCAAGCCTGAGATCTTTTGGTGGAAATTGCAACCTCTGCAAAATAGTATGTTTGAAGACCATATGTGGGGTGATAATTGTAGTCTAAGGGACAAGATTCCGAAAATCCTGGATTTCCTAGCTGTAATGTTTAATAGCCTTACAATTTCACCCCTTATTTTACACACCTCAGAGTGTTATTTTAAACCCTTTGGTTTTTATTCCTACATAGAACTCTTAAAGAACCTTGGCTTCTGGGTCAGAGAGTAAGAGAGATAACAAAAGATTCAGAAGAAATAAAAAGTACCCTATAAAAGGATCAAAGGAGTAAAATACAGGTCTGAAGATGCATTGCAAAACAATTATTTAGGTGTTGTCAAATTATAAAATTATCTTTCAAATGTAAATATAGATCTGGTGCTATAATTAATATTGGCAAGTCTCCTTTAAGATGTCAAGCTTCAGCATTTAATTTCATAATGGACCTTTCAAATGATGATATTTACCTTATAAAACAAACTAAAAGGCATTTAGGATAAAGTTCAGAATGTGACTTACAAGGATGTCAATGAGAAATGCCTTTACACTGTTCCAAATATAGAAAATCACATGCATGTTTTGGTGAGAAATTTTGAATAACTTGGAGGATATATAAGTCCTGATACTCAGAAACAGTAGTTTTCATTGTGATTTAAATTTTTGAGACTTTCCCAGCTATTCCAAGAATTATTTAAAGCAAATATGATAATTATGCACAGCACAATATTGTTTTGGCCTGATTAAGCAGTGATAGTTTATACTGCCTAGATGTCATTAATAAGTTATTCCTCTTCTAAGTCCCCAAATCCAGCTACCCAAACATGTTACTTCTACCTCCAAATTGTCTTCTTTTCTTTTAGAGTTCCCATGCTAATGACATATTATGTTGATGCCACTGCAAAAGCCATTTTTGGTTGCTAACTCTAGTTCCATTATCATTCAGAATTATCTTAAATAAACACAATTTGAATTTTAGGATTTTTTTCTTTTGTAATTGAAGGCAAGCAAGCCAGAAACAGAAACAGGAGGAAGGAGTGCACTTAATCCATATTAGGAACTGCAGCTCAAAAAGATATGCTGCTGAATTGTTATTGAGGAGATAAGAAAAAGGAAGTAGAATTTAGGTGAATAGTATCCTTAATTAATATGGAAGAGTCTGGAACATAAGCTGTTTTAGGGGCAAGAGAGATGGAGATGGTGAATAAAATAGGACACAGAATTCAGAAATGGACATGCCTGCTCGACATTTGGAAGCTTATGTTAGAATGCAGGAAAGATGTTTTACAATTAATCAGTGGAAATCATTCCCTTGCAGTTGTCTCTTTGGCAAGGTGTTTGTGATAGTGCCAGTGTTAGAAGAGTCAAACAGAGATTCATCGAGAAAATAACTAGTTCGTTCGTTTCAGTTTTGTTTGTGGTGTGATGAGGTGATATCTGAGCCATGTTCTCTACCCTAATTTTTTTAAATGCATAATGTTACCATAACTCCTCACCTGTTTAAAGTTCTTCTCCATTCTTCACTTATTTTTGCCTAATATAGATGATGATTAAAAACCTAAGGTGTGAGTGTTTTTATGCCATTAGAAAGGTGAGAAATCCCATTTAACACTTCTGCTGTAGCCTTCTGATTACACCTAGAAAATTGCTGGATTGCTGCTATCTTACAAATTGATGAATGGGATCGGGTATACGAACAGCAGGATTATTATTTGTTCCCCTAACAAGTGAATGACATGTCGGCCTAAATGATATGCCAGCAACGTAAAGTAGTTAAAGCCTCTTCCCCAGAATATTGAACATTGCAGTGCTTATTCTGTCAGCTAAACTGAAGTTGTTTCAGGAGGTGGCTTCAAGGGTGAGTCCCAAGGACCTCTCCTAGTTATCCCACAAGCACTATTATTAAACAACTCAACAGAATATTCCCTTTGTTCTGTCATTCTTTAAATTAAAGCTAAATGGTAGTGGGACTTTATACAACCATATTGCATCCCTATCCACACTAAGAAGAGATTGCTTGCAAACAGCATAAACAACTCTCTGAATCCCTCTGAATTCTATGAAGTAATAAGATATCTATGATGGAACGCAAAGTAATTCCTGACAGAGAAAATCAGTGATCCTCTGTTGTGTATCCTGAGTTTAAAATCAACTGATTTTTCTAAGATTCCTGGTTAGGAAAGATGGGTTCATTACGAAAATTAAAGTTAAAAGGTAGCAGATCCTGTTAGGAGAGAAATGCCTACAAGACTCACCTTGTTTTAATGAAAATATTTTCTGTTTGACAGCTCAGGTTGAGAAGAAAATGATAATTGTATAAACAAAGAAGAAATAAGTGTGAGTGTACATTCACATCCATTTTCTAATGCTTATAGTACAGTCTTGTGGCTTTAAAATAATGAGCTTAATGGGCTTTGTCATCAAAGAAAACATTTTTTACTCAGCTTTCCCACTGCTATAAAATATAATTATTTTGTGATAAGGTATAAATATAACTTTGACCTATATTAGTGAAGGCTAAAAAAAAATCTAAGATCACCATAGAAGTATGTATTCAATTTCCCTACTTTCCACATGAATCTTTCTCCTTGAAATTTTTAGTGGACAGAGTAGAATATAAATTCTAAAATCATAATGTTTAAACAATATAAATGTCAACTGATGCATAGATCCTCTGTCGCTGGCTGTTTGGGGATGTTGCCATCAGCTGACACCAAGATAATAATTTCAGAGGATAATTTGAAGGATTAAAGTGGAATTCTTCCCAAAAATTCTAAGAGGGGAATGTTGGCACAGAACAGATTGGAGTATTTAGCCAAGACTTGCATTAAAAAAAAGGTTAGCTTTTTAGATCATGTTTCCTTTGAAAGCGCAGAGGGCAGGAGACAAGAGGGAAGGAAACAGAGCAATGGCTCCTCTTTAATGGTAAGAATAACTATTTGGGTGGTGCAAAAGTAATTGTGGTTTTTGCCTTTGAGAGTAATGGCAAAAACTGCAATTACTTTTGTACCAACCTAATACGTGTTGTTGTTATAAGTTGACTCTCCTAAAACTTCCACAAACTCCCATTTAGAAATACGAATGACACACTGCCTCTTCTACTTAAGCTGTTCAGGAAATCTTGAAAAATAGCATTCTCCCACTGTGTGGCTAAATCTCTAGCTGGCTATTGTTCAAGGAAGTTCTGGAGGTGAAAATAATCGGCCTCTGGAGAATCCTCAGGGAAGAAAAACAAAGAGCAACATCATAAAGAGTAGATGACGCTCTTGATAATCTATAAAGGTAATGTTATGGTTGCAGTCACTTGTGTTCATTATGGGCATTACAGCTTAGTCATTAAGAGAGAGGGCTCTAGCTCATGTTACCTGGTTCTCAATTTCTGCTCTACAGTTGACCAGCCATGAGACCTCAGACATAGTTACATAGCTTCTCTGTGTGTCAATTTTTATATCCTTATGGTAAAAATAATAGCTACTTCATGGATGATTGTGGGGAAGATGAAGTGGGTTTTTCATATATTGCCTTTATTATGTTTAGGTATGTTACTGTTATGCCTGGTTTTTGAGTTTAAATCATAAAGGATGTTGAATCTTATTAAATGCTTTTTCTGCATCCACTAAGATGATTATACGTGTTCTGTGCTTTATTCTGTTGATGCATTGTATTACATTTCTTTATTTGCATATGTTGAACCATCTTTGCATCCCTGGGCTAAATCCCACTTGATGATGGTGTATTATCTTTTAATGTGTTTTTGGATTGGGTTTGCTAAAATTTTATTGAGGATTTTTGCATCTGTGTTCATCGGGGATATTGGCATTTAGTTTTCTTTTGTTGTTTGTGTCCTTGTCTGGTTTTGGTATCAGGGTAATGATGGCCTTATAAGATGAGTTAGGAAAAATTCCTTCCTCTTCAAATTTTAAAATATAGTTTGAATGAATTGGTGTTAGCTCTCCTTCATATGTTTTTTGTCATTTATCCTTATATGTTTCTACTGGAAAAAAGTAGGAAAATGTTTCAGGGCATTGGTCTAGGAAAAGATTTTATGGTTAAGACTTCAAAGGTATAGGCCATAAAATTTAAAAAAATAGACAAATGGAATGGGACTGTATTAAACTAAAAAGTTTCTGCACAGCAAAGGCAGTCATCAATAGAATGAAGAGACAAGTTGTAGAACGTGAAAAAGAAATATTTGCAAACGATTCATCTGATGAGGGACTAATATCCAGAATATATAAGAAACTCAGACATTCAACAACAAAAAATAATCCCATCAAAAAGTGGGGAAAAATCTAAATAAACATTTCTTAAAAGAAGAAATAAAAATGGTCAACAGACATACGAAAAAAGTTCTCAACATCAGTAATCATCAGGGAGATACAAATCAAAACCACAGGGATATATCATCTTAGCCCATTTAGAATGGCTCTTATTAAAAAGACGAAACAATAACAAATGCTGGCAAGAATGCAGAGAAGAGGGACTTCTTATACATTGTTGATGGGAATGTAAATTAGTACAGTAATCTTGGATAATGGTATGGAGATTTCTCAATAAACTAAAAATAGAACTACCATATGATCCAGCAATCTCACTACTGGATATTTATTCCAAGTAAGGGAAATCAGCATATCAAAGGGTACCTAAACTCCCATGTTTGTTGCAGGACTATTCACAATAGCCAAGATATGGAAACAAGCTAAGTTTTCCACAGATTAATAGATAAGAAAATGTGGTATGTGCATAAAATGGAATACTATTCATCATAAAAAGAATAAAATCCTGTCATTTTCAGCAACATGGATGGAACTGGAGGTCATTATGTTAAGTGAAATAGGCTAGGGACAGAAAGACAAATATCACATGTTCTTGCGCATATGTGGGACCTAAAACATTAATCTCATGGAGAATAGGAAATAGAATGATAGTTACCAGAAGTAGAGAAGAGTGAGGCAGAGAGGATGAGGTTGATTAATGGATATAGTCATATGGTTGGATATATGGAATAAGTTCTAGTGTTTGATAGGACGGTAGGGTGATTATAGTTAACAATAATGTATTGTATATTTGAAAATAGCTAGAAGAGTTGAAATGTTCCCAACAGAGAGATATTCTGAATGTTTGAGGTGATGAATATCCTCAGTACCCTGACTTGATCAACACATATTGTATGCATGTATCAAAATACCACATATACCCCAGAAATACATATAAATACTGTGTATCAAAAATATTGCCTGGCAGATAGAAGACACCTCATAGACACTATTACAATTAGTATTAACGTAGCTGTTATTGAGCCTTTGGTAGGTTTTTACAAATTATAAGCCCATTAAAGGGAGAACTGGAGAGAAAATATTTCTGTAATGTTTCCCCAAAATCAAGGAAAATATATACGCCTCCTCCCTTCCACAGCTGCTATAAGAGTTACACTGACAAACTAATAAATGTATATCTATTCTCATAGCAGTATTAAATATAAATATTACACATATCTCCCCTGAAATTTCTTAGAAAAATTATATATATATATATATATATGTTATATATATGTTGGTTTCACAACAGTTGGTTTCACAAACTGTTAGTCACAGAGAGGTAAAATATGCCCCATAGACATGATGTGAAAGAACTGGAATATGATTTTGCAGCCTGAGAAATTGTCTTTAGATGTTGTTACCTCAAAAGACGTATGTTCTTGGGCATGATTATCATATAAGAAGTGGTTCATTAAGACAGACGTCAGCAACACAATAGTAATAATTATGGAAGTAAATCATGAAAGTATGCCAATTTTGGTTTTTGCTTTTATAAAAGGGTATGTTTCTATTATTTCAGATTTATATTTAATATGTAAATTTATACTCTGGAATTTGGTAGGTTTAAAAATACAAATATAATAATAGTAGCATTCTAGAATGTTGAAAACAACAATTTTACTTGGACGAATGAGGAAATTGTAATAGGGAAATCAACATATATTTTATTATGTTATAGCTGTATTTAAAAGTTCATCTGAGAGTTTGCCTTATAACATTTTGTTTTTGCATTGGAATCTCTGATACAAAGTAAATTTGGCTTGTAGGACAAAGTAGGAAAGGGTTTCTCATATATATTTCTTACCCTTTTGTCTACCATTCAGTGACATGGTCACACAACCTCTAAGAATTATGTACATAAGATTGTGAATAGCAACTAAGGAAAAACTGAAGTTTTCCCATCTCTTACTCTTTTGCTACCCTAATAAAAATGATTATCTTCCTTTTTTCTAATTACTTATTATGTTAAATTTTAAATGTGATGCTTAATTAAGTCATCCACAAAAAAATTTCAGTTAAAATGTAGAGAAAAGATTGAAATGCCATTTCACTTTACCTAATCAGATTTTTCCTGCCAATGAGCAGGACTATTCATATTTGAAATATATCCTTCTAAGACTTTTTCTAACATCTAAGTGTGTACATGTATACATACCCGTATTAGTCTGTTTTCATGCTACTATAAAGATACTACCCGAGACTGGGTAATTTATAAACAAAGGAGGTTTAACCGACTCACAGTTCCACATAGCTGGGGAGACCTCAGGAAACTTAAAATCATGGCGGAAAAGAAAGCCAGCACCTTCTTCACAAGGCAGCAGAAGAGAGTGTGAGCATGTGAAGGAGGAACTGTCAAACACATAAAACCATCAGATCTCTTGAGAATTCACTCACATGAGAACAGCATAAGGGAAACTGCCCCAATGATCGAATCACCTCCCACCTGATCCCTCCCTCGACATGTGGGAATTATGAAGATTACAATTCAAGATGAGATTTGGGTGGGGACATAGAACCAAAGCATATCGATACTGAACTGAGCTCATATTCTCCATTATATGCTAGACCTTTATTTTCTAGCATCACTGTATATAGTCAGTTTGTTCATGCCAGTACTTATAGTTTTATTTAATTCTTTTTAACAATAGTATAGTACTTTATAATATAGTTACAATTTATTTACTTATTTGTCTCTCTGTTGTTAAATGTCTATGATGTTAACAATTGTTATTATAAGCCATGTTTCAATATTCAAAGAAGAAAAAACTGTAATGGCTGGTATATATAAAATAAACACTCAATATGATAAAGAACCACAGAGATCTAAATAAAAAATCATATACACACAAGACTGGCAAAAATAGAAAATTCTACCTACATTAAATGTGGATGAAGATGTGGAGTTATATAAAGTTACAGGTACTGATGATGTGTAACTTGGGACAACCATGGCGAAATACTGATGTGTTGCCTATGTTGCAGCAATTATTTTCATGGACATATAGCAATTCCTATGTATCCTTAGAAGTTCTCCTAAGTAGGTAATTGAGTAATTCTCAACCTAGTGTGTGATTTGGACATGTATTATTGGTAGTTGCCACAATGATTGGAGAATGCTACTTGTATTTAGTGGGCAAGACCACAGAAGGTAAACATGCAGGAATACACAGGATAATCCCATACAGCGAAGAATTGTTTTGTCCACAATGAGGTTTTCTTTCAATTGTCTTCCAAGACATTCACCTAGCTAAAACGTCTGTTTTAAATAATCTGAGTCCAGCTATACCTTCATTTTATATTAATAAAACCATTATTTTTATATGGTTTAATATAAGCTGAATTTTCTAGAAATGAATTTTCTTTCGTTTGTAAATTTATCATGCTGTTGTGTACCATTTTGAAACTGCCACCACCAGCAGAATAGCTCATGATATTTAAGTCGCCATTATAAATGTCCTATATCAGTATATATTTACAACATATTTACACTCCATATTTACCTCCTATGCCAATGTATATTTTCAACATAAAAAATGTTTTCTTTTTACAATATGATTTTTTTTCACAGATGGGTCATATACGTATCTCCCTACTTCATTATGTCTTCAAGCATAGTTAGGTCTGAGTAGTTACATATGAAAATACATATTTATTTTAATTTATTTTCCTTTTATTTCTGTTTTTTTCAGATGTATATATAGGTATATTATATTACCTGAGAATATTATTAAGGGAGAGTAAATGGCATGTGACTAAATAGTTGCTATAAAAAGGGAGTCTTGCATTTGACCAGATTGAGAACCACTATCATGTAAAAATTCTTAAATATGTGCACAAGGAATAATAATCATTAGTGTTCATTCTAGGGTGACCAAAAATTTGTAAATATCATAATATCTCTTCACAAGAAAATAAATTGTAGTCATTTAATACCAGAAACACCATTAAACACAATGCAGTTATTAAAAGAAATGAATCTAAGCCATAAGTATCAACCTACATATCTCTCAGAACAATATCCAATGCCAAATAGCTTGTATATTGATATTACCATGTGGAATAATGTATATAAACTTTAAATACTGAAAAACCTTATGATATACTATTTATATGTTTATATATATGTCATACACTATAAAAACATTTAAAACAGTAAACCCTAAATAATAGTATTGGCTCCACTGGAGAATATAGCAAAGAGGAAAGGGCTTAGGAATGTCTATACATAAGAGGCCATCATTCTATCAGAAATGTTTTTATTTCTTAAGCCAGATGAGTATGGAAGTGTTATAGAATTATCTTTAAATTTTGGTTGGTCTAAATATTTTATAATAACTTTAAAATTGAAAACATAAGACAAGGAACAATTCTAATGCTAAGTTTCAATACATATTATTCACTTTAGAATAAGGGTTGGTAGAGAATAAAATATAGTTATGTAATTAATTCTAAGCCAGTGCTATGTTTTAAATATCAAAGTTAAAGAGATGATTTTTCTCATATTCCAATAATTTTTTCAAACCATACAATCTTAAGGTTTATATTTGTACCATGCTTTTCTTGCCTGATGATTTTTCTCTTGAATTTTGAATTATGTTTCGTTTTCTTACTGAAAGAAGGGCAAATGAAAGAAACTCATTTCTCCATATTATTAATAGTTTCCAGGTCACCATACTTGATAAATGGCCTGGCATGTACTAAATTATTTCTAGGCTTACTTCACAATTATTATTTGTCATGCTCCAAGTTCCTTTTGTTATTCTTCCAGAATTATTATAGGTCCATTATATCTCCGATACCATGTCCTGCTCGCCCCTCTTGCCTCCAGCCCCATGTTTTATTGTTGTTTCCTTAGGCATGGAAATGTTACATTAAAAATATTTTTCCCTTAAAAACTTGAAAACTTAGCTGATTATCTTCTAGCATCTAATATTTAAAAAGCTGTTTTGGTATTTTATCTGCTCTTTGTAATTATTTTGCTTTTTGTTCTCTGTATCACTTTATGCTCCTCATTTTTTTCCTTGAAGTTTTATGAATATAAGTTCTTAAAAGAAATCCTATTTGCTATTTTGTGGATTTTATTATCTCAAGGCTTGTGCCTTTCTCCAGACTTAGCAAATATACAGCTTCCCTCCACTTTTTAAATTTTTTTTGATGCATCTCTCTGGTACCCTGTTAGATGATATTGACTTTCTGAATTGATCTTCCATGACTTCTAGCTTTTTTCACATATATTTTATTTTTTCATCTTTTGACCCTAATTGCTGGATGATTTGCATGGCATTTTCTCTTAATCTTTATTTAAATGTTTATGTTGGCAAACTTTCTCTAGATTACACCGAGGTAACAAATAGCTCTAAAATCTTAGTGACTTACAAACAGTGGTCTACTTTTGGTTAAGTGTTACATGTTGGCTCTGGTTCTATGTGTCTTGTTTCCTTCTGGACCCAGGATGAAGATACAGCCAGTTATCCGAGATCTTCTGTTTTCATGGCAGTGTGAGAAGAACAATGGTGGATTCATGCAATAACTCTTAATGCATCTTCTTAGGCCAAGCCTAATATTAGTGAGGTGGAAGCAGGCCAGACAGTACCTAGTGAAGCAAATATTTTGATCTTATACTATACAGAAATATTTTGAGCCTAGAATATGGCTATTATATATTTTTATCTTCTTTTTTTCTTTAATTGTTTTGTTTTTATATTATTCTGACTTCTCTGATTGATTGCATGATTTTTAAATCTTTCTGAGATTTACTTAGATTTTTCATTGTTCTTGCCATTTCCTTCTTTTCAGTAAAATGTTTAAATGTATTTCTTAGACAATTTTTCTTTCCTTCCTTTCCTTCCTTCCTTCCTTCTTTCCTTCTTTCCTTCTTTTCTTTCTTTGTTTTTCTTTCTTTCTTTCCTTCCTTCCTTCCCTCCCTCCCTCCTTCCTTCCTTCTCTTTCTTTCCTTTTCTCTCTCTCTCTCTCTTTCTTTCTTTTGAAACAGAGTTGCACTCTGTCACCCAGGCTGGAGTGCAGTGGTGTGATCTCAGCTCACTGCAACCTCTGCCTCCGGGGCTCAAGCGATTCTCCTGCCTCAGCCTCCTGAGTAGCTGGGATTACCGGCACAGGTCACCACGCCTGACGAATTTTTGTGTTTTCAGTAGATATGGGGTTTCACTATATTGGCCAGGCTGGTCTCGAGCTCCTGACCTCAGGTGATCTGCCCACCTTGGCCTCCCACACTGTTGGAATTACAGAAATGAGCCAGTGTGCCCGGCTTCTTTGACAATTTTTCTATCGTTTATGTTGATTATTTATATTTTTGCTGGTGGTTTTCCTCATTTGCCTGATGATACCTGATCATATTTATGAATAATGATTTGTTTAATTAATTAAAGCATTAGGAATCAATTTCCTATACAATTAACAGATTAATTTTTAATAATTATTTAGAGTAGTTTTAGATTGACAGTAAAATTGGGAAAAGGGCACAGCGGTTTTCTATATACTCCCCTTAATTGCCCCACTCAGGCATAGCCTCCTCCATTTCAACATCCGCCACCACAACAGTACATTTATCACAATTGATGAACCTACACAGACACATCATAATCACCCGAAGTCCATTGTTTACATTAGGGTTCACCCTTGGTGCTGTACATTCTGAGTTTGGACAAATATGTAGTGACATATATCCACATTATAGTATCATATAGAGTACCCTAAACATCTTTGTGCTCTGCCTATTTATACCCCAACCACTGGCAACCACTGATCTTTTCATTGCCTGTTTTGTTTTGACTTTTATAGAATGTCATAGAGTTGGAACCATACAGTGTATGTAGCCTTTTCAGATTGGCTACTTTCCAGATTCATTTTTGAATGAGGAGATTAGTGTGTGTGTGTGTGTGTGTGTGTGTGTGTGTCTTGACAGGTTATACTAAACATAAGCAAAAGTCAAGAAATTCAAGAGAATGGACTTTCAGCTCCAAATGCCAAGCTTGGATGTAACATCAACCCTGGCTCTGGAAGTCCCAGCCTCCACTTGTCCATTGCCAACAGTTGGCTTCATTATATAGAAGTTATTTTACTGCCTTCAACTGGAAGTAAATGCTAATAGTGGAAGGACAAGATTGTGCATAGTAGATGTGTGTGTTGGGGGCCAGTGAGAGAGAAATCCTACATTGATTCTATAGCCACTTCCCCAGCCCCTTACTTTGGCTGCCAGTGCCCTGGTGCTCCATGGAGGCTCTACTGAGTTTCAGCTTTATCTTTACATGCTCAGTGCTCCATCCACCTGAGCTTTGAGTTAATCAATTTTGTTGCACTAATTCTTTGTTTTACCTAAAGTTCATAATACCTGATTTGCTGAGGTATCTTTTATTGTTTTCAGTACCTTTATACATTCATTCCTTTTTAAGACACCTTCTCCTTTTGATATAAATGATACTTTTAGCAGGAAAGAAAAGAAAGCATGAGAGCTCCCTGTCATCTTGAACTAGAATTGGCTATTGTTGGGGCTTAAAAATGGATACCCCAAAATATAAAACTAAAAAAGCATCTTCGC
The DNA here is from genome assembly GCF_000001405.40 of Homo sapiens. Classification (NCBI taxonomy): domain Eukaryota; kingdom Metazoa; phylum Chordata; class Mammalia; order Primates; family Hominidae; genus Homo; species Homo sapiens. Next base: position 141,836,366 of record NC_000006.12, on the reverse strand, counting down.
CAGGCGCATGGGCTCACGCCCGTAATCCCAGCACTTTGGGAGGCCGAGGTGGGCGGATCAACATGTCAAGAGATCGAGACCACCCTGGCTAACACGGTGAAACCCCGTCTCTACTAAAAATACAAAAAATTACCCGGGTCTGGTGGCGGGCACCTATAGTCCCAGCTACTCAGGAGGCTGAAGCAGGAGAATGGCGTGAACCCGGAAGGCGGAGCTTGAAGTGAGCGGAGATCGCACCACTACACTCCAGTCTGGGCGTCAGAGCAAGCCTCCTTTTTTTTTTTTAAAAAAAAAAAAAAAAAAAAAAAGCCTGAAGGCCTGAAGGCCTCTGACCATCCTCCCATTACCCCATCTCTCAGTCCATACTGTCTTTCCCAAAGCATAGGATATTCTCTGAAGTTCCCTTACCTATGTAGAAACCAGATCCTCAAAGAGAAACACAATTGCCTTAGATTCCTTCCTTAAAATTTTATTAACCGGAGAAGATTAAAACTCATGTCACAGAGAAAGAGACTGAAAAGTAAACATCACATCAAGAGCTCAGACAAACTTTGTCCCAAACCAGTTGTTTGTTCTCCGGTCCCATTCAATTCCCGAAGAGAATTATCTCCTTAACATTATCTGACAATTGGGTCTACTCATTCCCCCTAGAAATCATTTACTTTTATACACCCCATCTCCACTTCCCCTATGATAAAGGGCATATAAGCATCTTACCCTGTGGGTTTATTGGGTAATCATTCTCCTGCGATTCCTCCATACTATGACTGTTAAAATAACTGTGCATGCCTTTTTCTCCATTTAATCTGCCTTTGTCAATTCACGTTCAGTGAACCTTCAGAGGAGGAAGGGGGTAGTTTTCCCTCTTTGCTCCTATTCTATGCATATTTTGAGAAAAACTGCTAACTTCTCCATCCAAATAATTGTATTAATTTTCTCTCTCAACATTCATGTGTAAAGAATGACAATTTCAACACTTGCCAAGAGGGGATTTTACAGAATTTTATAATTATTGCCAATGTAACAGGAGTAACACGTTATCTTTTTGTGATTTCAATTTGCATTTTCTTGTTAGTAGTGAGACAAAATATGTTCATGATGTTCATTTAGACATTTATGTTTTTTCTTCTTTTAATTATCTACTCATTTCCTTTGCCAAAATATTTCATATTTAACTTTGTTATGGATTTTAGAATCATTTTCTTTTTTTCTTATTCAATATTTATTTTTTAATGTTTTGATGATGTACTTTGTCACATAGATTTCTGAATATACTTGAAATCATCTATCCTTTATGATTTTTGTTTCATATACCTTTAGAACATTTTATCTAACTGCAGATTAACACATTTTATTTGTATTTTCTTTCTTTTACGACTTTTAATGCCTTTAGATTTTTTATATGTTTATGTGTGCGCATGTTTATGTATACATATATAAATCTTAGTTTTCACATGGTTACTTTATTTCATTTTTTCTGTATATTTTTTCCAACACCAACATCATATTGTTTTATTTATAATTACCCTTAGCATATTTTGATACCTGATAATTAAGATTTTTTTAAAATTAATTTGGTTTAGTACTTTGTAAGCTCTTTACTTTTAAAGACTTGTCCCTTATGCTCGTCTTGAAAACTTGGTAAATTAAGAATTTCACTATTCTTTTAAAAGTGCTTTTTTACTCTTCCTTGTACATTTCCTCTTCCAAATGAAAAGTAACTTTTCTAGTTTGAGAAATTCACCTCAAATGGCATTTTTGAAATATTCTATTTTTTTTTTTTTTGAGACAGAGTCTCGCTCTGTCACCTAGGCTAGAGTGCAGTGGCACGATCTCTGCTCACTGCAAGCTCCGCGTCCCAGGTTCATGCCATTCTCTGGCCTCAGCCTCCTGAGTGGCTGGGACTACAGGTGCGAGCCACCACGCCTGGCTATTTTTTGTATTTTTAGTAGAGATGGGGTTTCACCCTGTTAGCCAGGATGGTCTCGATCTTCTGACCTTGTGATCTGCCCACCTCGGCCTCCCAAAGTACTGAGATTACTGGAGTGAGCCACTGCACCTGGCAGACATATTTTATTTTTTAAAAAAATGTGAGAAAGAAATATTTCTTACATTGACTATTTTAATATATTAATCTCACGTTTTCCAATTATTCAGCTTTCTTATATGTTCCTCACTACAAATTATTCTTTACCTTAGGCTTGGGCATTTCAAATAAGGGTTATTACTAGATGATCTACAGACTTTTATTGCATTTGTAAACCTTCTTGTTCTTTTTTATTTACATTATTCTATTAATATAGATGAATAAGAAAACTTGAGTTTATATGTTGAAATGTCATTTAAGAGATAATGATTTTTCAACTAATGTCTTGTTTCTCTGTAGATTGTTGTATAAGTACATATTACAATGATTCCTTTCTTTGTTTCCAATATTTAAAAGTCCTATTATTTATTCTGTTTTATTCCATTGGAAAGTACTTACAAAACAACCTAGATATTGAATGGTTCTTGCAAACATAGAGACTTTCACAAATTGGGAGAATTTGCAAAAGGCATATCTGATAAAATACTTTGCTATCCAAAATATAAAGATAACTCTTAAAAATCAACACTAAGAAAATGAACAACTTGATTAAAAAATGAGGAAACGACCTGACAGACACCTCACCAAAGTAGATACATAGGTGGTAATGTTGGACGACTTTCTCCTCAGTTCAGCTAAAAAAAGCTGGGATCTTGTCACACAACCAGGAAAGATTAGGTTCGTAGACACATAAATGGCTGAGGAAAATGGAATTCATTGGGTGAAAAGGAAAAAGACTCCCAGCAAAGTGAGGGAGTTCCTGTTAACAGACCCCCATCTCACAGACTGAATTCCGGGTCACCACTCAGGAACCGGAAAGACCAGGCTCCTCCCGCCTGCAAAGAGCATGAACTTCCTGAAGCTCCACCCTCTCCTTTCAGTGTGCAGGCTGGTTGGAAATTCTACAGAGAACTCTTTTTACTTGGCTGTCTCATTCCTCTCTCTAAAGAAGTACATCTAATTGCTGTTAAAATAAGTATAAGGATAAGGATGAAGACCAATTTAACTGCCTCCTGCTGACAGGCACGCTGTTTTGAAAAAAGAGCAGTCAGAGTTCCCTCAGAGGCCTATGTAAGGGACCCCAGCAAAAGGGCCCATTGTCCAAAGCTCCAGTTGCATGACCATTTGGAGTTTCATGTCCTGAAGGCAAGAAGAGACAGACCGGTTTATTAGAAAACATATATCACAATTAAACAAGGGGTGGGTAAGGACAGCTCAGAAATCCCGAGGCCTTTTACCAGTTTGCACAGGGAGAGACAGGCCAAAAGCCCAACTGGTAAAAAAAAAAAAAAGTTTACCATTTTGCTAGCATGTCAGGCTTCTGGGTTGCCTTCCCCTGAGCCCAGTCCTATGCCTACCAGTTTAAGGTTTGGGAAACTAACTCTTCCCAGTTTGGAGGATGCATCTGAGGGGAGTGGCACACAGTATGGAGACACAATTACCTATTTGTGAAGAGAGGACAGAGGAGGAAAAAGAAAAGGCATTTTTTCAAAGGAGTCCCAGGGGTTTAGGATGCTTTCAAAAGGAGTACAGATAGAAGATAAATGACTACTTATCTAGAAAGAGGGAAGCAGGGGTCCCTGTTTCCTTTCTCTTCCTAGCAAATACCTGAGGTACATGAGGGAGGGAATGTAAGGCATTCCTCTTTCTCTCCTCCATCCTTGTATTCCTGAGTCCCAGTGAACACGACAGGGTACCACCCATGAGTGTTAAAGTGGCTTTCACCTGTGTTAACAGGGGAGCCTGGGGGGTGGGAGTATCCATTCTTATCTACATGCGCCCTATCTCCCCTGAGATATGGTCAGTATCCTTGAATTCCCTAGACCTCATTTATGCCATGAATATTAGCATGACCTTTATCCATGGAATGAGAAGCTTGGCTTAATTGGCAGGAATCAGCCATGCTCACCTGCACTGTGTTTCTTAACTTCTGTTATTGTCTGCCTTTGGGTACCTCAAATCCAGTTTTCTTTCCTAGGGCTTTGACCCAAAGCTTGGAATTCAGTTTGGGACAAAAATGTGTCGGGTTGCGGGAGGCATTGCATGTGCTCCTTATCATAATCCTAATGCTAAGGTGAAACTGTGGAATTGACTCTTCCTCCAACAAGGGAGAGGAAAGGATGTCTTGTGACATATGCCCCCAAAACATGTGGCTGTACTTACGCTTGTTAAGATTGTGGTGCATGGTGCTTGGCTTTTGTTAGCTCTCTTGGTCTTACTTTCCCCAAAGGAAACCCCTGGGTGATAGGCACCCTATTTATTCCCCTTACCTGGCAGGATTTGCAGGATAATTGCTCAGAACTAGAATACTGATCCAGATTTCTACATTACCCATCCTTTTTGTTTTTTCTGAGCCACATCGAGATTGCTGGTTGGTTCACAGGAACAAGAAGGGTTACTCTAAAAATGTATGCAAAAACTTAAAATAACTAATGAGCTTAGAATTTAATGACAAAGGTATGATAAGTTTTGAAACATAACATCTCTCTCTCCAGTCCTTATTTTTGTTAAAAAAAAATCATGGTAGGACTGAGTTGTTTTGAGTTGTTTGCAAAATAGATTTTAGACATATACTTGGCCTTATTTTTGCATAAATTGCAGAAAGAATAACTATTTCTTCTTTCTATATGACTAGGAGGGTCAATTTCTACATTTATCCAAAAAATGGTAAACGTCAGTTCTATGGGACAGTTAAGCTGGTTTCATTTTCACCTATGAAGACCGTCTTGGTTGTTTCCAAGTTTTGGCAATAATGAATAAAGCTCATATAAACATCCATGGGTAAGTTTTAATGTAGACAAGTTTTTAACTTCTTTGGGTAAATAACAAGGAGTGTGATTGCTGGAAGGTATTGTAAGAATCTGGTTACTTTGGTAAAAAAATGTCAAAACTGTCTTCCAAAGTGGCTACACCATTTTGTATTTCGACCAGTAATAAATGGGAGTTCTTGTTAGTCCACATTCTCATCGACATTTGGTGTGGCTGGCATTTTGCATTTTGGCAATTCTAATGGATGTGTAGTGGTATCTTTTTGTTGTTTTAATTAGCATATTCCTAATGATATATGATGTGGAGAATCTTTTAATAGCCTTCTTTACTGAGACAGTCAAGTATAAAGGGCTCCCTGGAGAATGTCCAACTGGCCTGTGCACTGGGAGGATGGGAGGGTGCCTTGGGAAGTTCATGCTGTTTGCAAGAGGGAGGAGCCTGGCCTCTCCATGTCCTATATGATAATCTGGGATTCAATCTGTGAGAAGGGGGCCTGTTAACAGGAACCCTTCTCACTTTGCTGAGAGTATTTTTCCTTTTCACTCAATAAATTCAATTGTCCTTATCCTTCTATGTGTCTATAAGCCTAATCTTTCCTGGTCATGTGACACGAACCCAGGTTTTTACTGAACTGAAGAGAAAGTCCAACATTTTGAGGCCCAATGTGGGGCTTGAGAAGGATAAGTGAGATGCAAATCAAAAAATATTTTTCTCTTTTGCTTCTAAACTTGAAACATTCATTTGTCTTATCTGAGTTCCATCCCCTGAAAGCTGACCTCAGGCCATGCAGATAGTATCAAGAAATGAAACTCACCAGTTACCACATCCAAACAATGAGATGCCAGAGCCCTCATACATCATAATTTGTTTACCAACTCCTCTTCCTTACCTTTTCCTAATTTCTGTTTTCCCACATGCAGTTATATTGCTTCCCTGCTATGTAAATTCATAATTGTATTCAGTTGGGGAGACAGATTTGAGACTGATCTCCTGTTTTCCTTGGCTGAAGCACCCAAATAAAGCCTTCTTTGGCAATACTTGTTACTGAAGTGACTGGCTTTCTGTGAGAGCAAGCAGCAGGACCTAGTCCAAACCCCTGGCATTTTTGTAACTGTTACGTGCATCCGTTTGAAGAGACCAGCAAACAGGCTTTGTGTGAGCAATAAAGCTTTTAATTACCTGGGTGCAAGTGTCCTGAGTCCGAAAAAGGAGTCAGCAAAGGGAGATAGGGGTGGTGCAGTGTTATAGGATTTGGGTAAGTAGTGGAAAATTACAGTTAAAGGTGGTTTTTCTCTTGCAAGCAGGGGGTGGGGGTCACAAGGTGCTCTGTGGAGAGCTCTGAGATTCATTGTCCAGGAGAAGGAATGTCACAAGGTCAATTGATCAGTTTGGGTGGGGCAGGAACAAATCACAATGGTGGAATGTCATCAGTTAAGGCAGGAATTGGCTATTGTCACTGCTTTTGTGGTTCTTCAGTTACTTCAGGCCATCTGGATGTATACATGCAGGTCACAGGGGATATGATGGCTTAACTTGGGCTCAGAGGCCTGACAGTAACAAATTTTGATTCCCTGATTAGGATTGTATTACTTATAGCTCAGCTGCCAAGGGCCAGGAGTTTCAGAAGCCCTCCTAAGCAGCCGCCTCTTTTTTTTTATTTGCTCAGAGGTGGGCTTTGATCTCTCTCTCTCTGTGGTCCACTGCCTCTGGCCTCAGCCGCATTCCTGATTGCCTAGGAAGAACAACCTTTGACATTTGACATCTGCATCTGAATGGGTGAGTGTCTTTTGTGGGTACCAGACAACAAAGTCTATTCCTCTTGATTTGAGGAATTCTAAAGGAATTTCCATCTGCAATTTGAAGAAGCCCAACTGAATGAAAGAGGAAAGCACTTCGTTTCAGTTTGGACACTCTTGGGCTTATTGGCTGCAGCAGTTGGATTATGTTTGGTGGTTGTTATTGTATGTGTCCTGTTGATTGGCAAAGTGGGATGGAGTTTCTGCATTCAGGCTTTTATGCCACTGTTCTAAGCACTGTCCTGCCTGGTCAGTATGTGATGTTCTTTTGTGGTGTTTGGCCCCAGTGTTCTTTTGAGTGTGAAGAGATTTGGTCTTAAAAACTCAAACTGCCATGGAAACTGCTTTACCCAAAATTTTGGTTCACAGCTTTATTTGAATTACCTATTGTGGCAAACAAAGTTTATCCAGGTGAACATATTTGTAAACCAGTGAGTTCGTATTGCTATCTCATGGCTAGAGATCTGAGATAAAAGCTATTGGATCTTTGTTTGTGTATACATGTTTAGATGTGTTTATGTGTATGGACATGAATAATGTTGTGTCTACCAAATTGGTTTATAAATAAAATAATGCTCATAAATTAAGTAAATATGTTGAAGTGCTTTTCAAGGGCATGTGACTTGAGTAAATCTTTAATAAACAAGCAGTCTTTAAAATTAATGGTAAGATTAAAATAGAATTGTCTTTGGAATGGTCAGCATACATTTTTGTCTAGGTTTTATATTTGTCTCTGCTAGATATTTTAAGGTGTCAGGGTTTGACACAGAAGGTTATAAAACTACAAACCTAGCCAAATCCAAAGTGATCTTTGTGTGGTCTTTTTGATAAACAAAACTAACTTAATGTTGTTAGTTTAATGAAAAAAATTGAATCTTCTGAGTGACTGGTGAAAATACCAATGTACTTAAGTTTCTGACATGGGTGAATACCTAATATGCACAGGGTATAAAAATGGTTAGCAAGGAGATAATGACTAGCTTTGTCTAGTATCTGAGTTCTCATAAGTAATCTAGATAAACGGTTAAAAATGAATGAAATGTAGATGGGGTAAATGCTGTTGGTAAACTTTTTGTGTAGTTTAAAATCTTAAAATCATTTTGGATAGTCACTAGATATCTAGGTCACTTCCAATTAAGAAAGGGTTATGATATGGGGAAGTATTTTTAAAAATAGTGGAATGGTCTTCATCTATAAAATACTAATATCTGATAAGCAGCTCAGGATTTCTTGCTTCCTAGATTTTCACTAAAATTTAAGGTTTCTAAGAATAAGAATTATAGTTAACATATAATTCTGTATATAAAATGTGCCAAAGAAGATGTGTTCTTATTGAGAAAAATAATAGTTTTGTCTAATTCAGAAGTTATGTAAAGATTGATTCAAATTATGGACTTGAAAAGATTGTTTATGAAACAAGGTAGAAAGGAACCGGTAAATAGGAGAGAGACATGTGAAGAAAGTTATGGATATAAAGATGTATTTTTGGTAAGGAAGGTTATAAAGAAAGAGAATAATTTTATGTGAGAAAATAAGTCCTGTATGGTAAACAGGCCAGAGTGTGGCCTGTTAAATGGCAAAGGAAATTCCTTTGAGTCACAGGCAATTCTGTAACCTCACTTTTGGCTTTAAGTTTTTGGCTCTTTTGTGGCTTAAATGATTCTAAGTGTTAAAAAGTGTCTGCCCACCTCCATTCTTATCTGGTCTAAAACATAATTAGTTATAAATCTTTTGAGTATTTTGGTGATTTAGGTTCCCATGGAGGGACAGGATGGATCTGGGGCAGGTAGCCACACCACTCCAGCAACAGTATGGGACAAAATAAAATCCTAAGCCCCGCACAGACTGAATGGACCCACTTGTGGTCAAGGGGGCCCCAGTTGCCAAGAGACAAATCTTACCTGGGAAAACAGCTTGTCCCTTGCCTTGCTGACAATATACGCAGCCCCAAGAAGTTGGTTAGCTCTTAGCCTTTTTGAAATGCGTGGAAGACTATTTTCTCCAACACCCTGACTCCCTGACACTTGAGGATATTTTCTTCCCCCAAATATAACCTAGATCACATGTAAAACAATTAGGAAAATATTATTAATAGCTGGTCTCTCTGAGTTTGTTTCCAACAGGCTCTAGTTTACTAAAGTTGTTCCTCTCAACTCTTTGAAACTAGAGGACCATGTCCTGCTGAAAACCTCAAAATCCCACCAGACTGAAGACCAAAGGCAACCACAAGGGTTGGTTTTTTTGAGGTGTTGCTGACCACCCACTCATCTATCAGGTTAGCCCGTGCTAAGCTATGGATTCACCATATTTGGGTAAAACCAGTGCCTCTGGGATCCCTTCAGAGGAAACAGTTATAATCTGTGAACTCTAGTATGGCCTTAACTTAAAACTCAAGACCCAGCAAAAGACCGTAGATAAGAAATCATAAGGGCAACATGCAGTTCTCTTGGATTCCTCAAAGGATCCACTCTATATTCTTTTGGCATTTTAAAATTTGGGTTATTTATGTTATTAATCATCCTAGTCAATGTGGCTTAAAATATTCTAAAACCATTAATAAAAGTACCCAAGTCATGGTGCTCCAACAAGCCAGATGCCAACCAGGTATCCATAAGTACTTCCAACTACAGGGATAACGTTTTCATTCCTCATCCCATGATGCCACTCCTGACCATGAAGCAGTCAGAAGTATCCACAACCAGATTCCCTGTGGTTGAGGAATTAATAAATGGAAAGTTAGGGGAGTGGGTGGGTGCTGCAACTGGTCAAACTGTCCCATAGAAATGATGTTTACTGTTTGTTGGAAAATCATAGAAATCGACCCTCCTGGTCTTAAAGCTTGAAACTTAAGTCTTATCTGAGTTATTTCCTCAGGAAAAAACCCTCCGTCTGAATAATTGTAACTCACCAGATCACTGCATCCAGCCAATGAGACACCAGACTTCTCATTCATCATAATTCCTTACCTCTCCTTGGCTTTCTCTGTGGCAAACAACAGGACCCAGACCAAACTCAGTAACAAATGGACAAATAAACTGTAGTGCATCCAGATAATGAAATGTCAAGCCATGAAAAGCTATCAGGACATGGAAAGTCATGGGGGAAACTTAAATATATATTAGTAAGTGACATAAACCAATATGAAAAAGTTATATACTGTATGATTCCATCTATATTATGTTCTGGAAAAGGCAAAACTGTGGAGACAATGAAAAGATCATTGGTTGCTAGGGGTTGTGGGGGGAGGGAGGGATGAAAAGGCAGAATAGAGAGGATTTTTAGGGCAGTGAAGCTATTCTGTTTGATACTATAATGATTGATAATATAGTAAACATTTGTCTAAACCCGTAGAATGCACAAACCAAGAAAGAGCCTTGGTGTAAGCTGTGGACTTTGGGTGACAATGATGTGTTAGTGCAAGTTCATCGGCTGTAGTAAATATAACCCTCTGGCGGGGGATGTTGTAGTGGAGGAGGCTTTGCATATATGAGGAAGGGGCATATACAGAACCTCTCTATATTTTCTAATTAAATTTTCTGTGAGCCTTAAAAATACTCTAATAATTAAAATGTGTAAAAAAGACAGAATTTCAGTAGTGATGGCAAACAGAGACTTCTCTTTTTTTCTAGACTGTATTTAGAATATTTCTGTATAAGAATAACATTTATGATGCTTGCTTTTTAGGTTCTGGTAGGTAGTTAAGTATGTTCTCTTAGCTTCTGTCATTATTTTTATTGTTTTTTAAAGGTTATTAAATTTTGAAGAAGCTCGGAATAAAAGGAGGGCTTTTTTTTCATGATTTGGCATTTTTAGAGCATTTGAGCTCATTAGAATCTCTATCAAAAATAACATGCACTTAGATTTATTCATTTTTATTTTTTAAGGCTGGATAATATTCTTTTGTTTATATCTGCCACATTTTGTTTTTATCTATACATTCATTTATAGGCACTTCAATTTTTCTTGGCTATTGTAAATAACGCTGCAATAAACATGACAATGCACATAACTCTTTGATATACTTATTTCAATTACTATATATATATATATATATATATATATATATATATATATATATGTATCCAGTAGTGGGATTACTGGTAGTTATACTGTTAGTATATGGTATATGTATATGATAGTTATATACATATATGTTAGTATATGGTAGTTAGTATATGGTACAGTATACGGTAGTTATACTATTAGTTTTTTGAGGAAACTCCATACTGTTTTCCATAATGGCTGTACTAACTTATATTCCAACCAATGATATATAAGGGTTCCTCTTTTTCTATACCCTCATTAGCACTTGTTATCTTTCATCTTTTTGTTAATAGCCATTCTAACAACTATGAAGTGTTTTTTTGTGGTTTTAGTTTCCATTTCCATGTGATTAATGATGTTGAGAATTATGCTAAGTGACATAAACCAGACATGGAAGGAAAAATACTAGATAATCTCACTTGTATGTGGAATCTAAAAAGCCTAACTCTCAGAAGTAGAGAATAAAATGATGTTTGCCAGAGGGTGGAGGGGAGTTGTGGACTGGAAAAGGAGAGATATTGGTTAAAAGGTACAAAGCTTTAGTTAGGAGGAATAACTTCTGATGATCTATTGTACAGCATGGTGACTATAGTAATAATAATGTATTGCATATTTAAAAATTGCTAAAAGAGAGCATTTTAAATGTTTTCACCACAAACAAATTATAGCTATGTGAAGTGCTAGATATGTTATCAGTCTGATTTGATCATTTTACAAGGTACATATGTATCACATTATGCATTCTACCCAATGAATATATACAATGATTATTTGTAATTTAAAAATATACAAAATGGCACACAGTGTTGAATATTGCCAAAATCTTTTTGATTTAATATTTACTAAGCAACATGTAATATGCAAGAATAGATTATACAAAATTTGGTGATTCTAATGAAAACTGGGAAATTCAAAGGAAGGATTACAATCCATTGTGTTGCAACATTAAAATTAATGATATTTTGTATTGATGAAACCAAACATGTATGTAGTTTATTGGACAGGAAAGGGTTAACTCAGCAGGCTTGGTTGGCTCACATCCTGCACATTCTAAAGAAAGATCTATCTTCAGGACTGGCCCTTAGCCAACTACTTGGAGATAACCTTCAACCCCTTACAGTATTCTGCCTGATAACAGTGTTTTTGTATCCTTGAGGCCTTAGGCGATGTTGTACCAATTTGACCAGATGTGTTTATCCTAGCTGTGTGATATGTGTTGAATGTCTGTTTTTCCTTTAGGGTGAGAGGCCTGGAGTCTGAGAAGCTGAGGTCTGTGATGTGGGCACTGCACATCCACATAACTGACTACCAATAAAAACTCTGAACATCAAAGTTCAGATGAGCTTCCTGGTGGCAAGACTCTACATGTGTTTTCACACAGTGTTGCTGGGAGAGTTGTGTCCCTGTGTGACTCCATTGGGAGGTGACATCTAAAATCTTATACCCAGCTTCTGGACTTCACCCCATTCATCTTTGTTTGCTGATTTAAATCTGTGTCCTTTCATGGTAACTAACCATAACCATGCATCTAACGGTTTTTTATTGAGTGTCTTGCGAACCCTTCTAGTGAGTCTTTGAATCTGAGGGTATTCTTGTGGACTCCTTACACATTTATGTATGAACATTCCCAAGGTTTGTCAAAATGTCAATTATAGTGTATTCCTATATATATTTCAAAATGTGGTTGTGAAAAATATCGTCATGGGAAAGCTGTGCTTCAAGTTATTGCATATAGTCTAATAACTTTGGTTTCCCAAACCATAGCTGTATAAAATTTGCCAGATATGGATGCAACCAAAATTGACTAATTTTTGAATAGGAAGTTTACTTTCACTTTGCAGGGTAGGTTTATCAGAGTTAGAATGAAAGAGTTTGAGGGAAGGGTGGAGATTTATTTAGGATTAGAGAACAACAGATCACTGTCATTACTTTTATTTTGGAAAATACTGTATCTCCTTTTTTGACACTTTACATAAAAATATAACAATTTTTATGTTAAAAATAAAGTTTCATCTAGTTTATCATACATTTTTAATCAAGGTGATATTGGACACTTTACAATGCTATTCGTATGTTACACAGAGTAGCTAAAGAACATTTTAAAATGTTGGATCACCCTTCAATTACTGGTATAATCATACTTGATTATAATGTTATGCTTTTTACGTCTGATTATTTGCTCACAATATATTTGAGATTTTTACAAGTAGAGTCAAAATAAAAGTAATCTTTCTTATAAATTTTTCCTGGAAAAATTTACCTAATGGAATTTACTCATACATATATATTTATGTATTTAGTATTCATTAATTTCCAACTATGTACTATTAGAGTGGCTACAATTGAGAAGATGGACAATAACAACATTTGACAGGAAAATGAAAAAATTGAAATTTTCATGCATTTCTGGTATGAATGTAAAATGGTACAGGCATTTTGGAAAACAGTTTGGTTGTCCCTTAAAAAGTTAAACATGGGCTGGCATGGTGACATGTGTCTGCAGTCCTAGCTACTTGGGAGGCTGAGGCAGGAGGTTTATTTGAGCACAGGAGTTTGAGGCTTCAGTGAGCTGTGATCATACCACTGTACTCCAGTTTGGGCAACAGAGAAAGACCCTGTCTCAAAAAGAAAAAAAGGTAAACATGAATTTACCATAAACCCCAGAAATTCCAATCCTAGGTATCAGCCTAGAAAAATAAAAACAACAACAAAAAAACTTCCACACAAAGACATGATGTGAATGTTCATAGCAGCAACTTTCATAATGGCCAAAAAGTGGAAACAATTCAAATGTCCATTTAGCTGGTAAATGAATCTATGAACTGTTTTATATCAACACAATAAATACTATTCAGCAATAAAAAAGGGAAAAAACATGATTACATAGTACAACATTGATAAACCTCAAAAACATTACGCAAGTGAAAGAAGCCAATCACAAAAGACCATGTATCATATGATTTACATTTATTTGAAATGACCAGAAAAGGCAAATGTACAGATACAGAAACCAGACTAGTTGTTGCCATATCTGGGAAAGGCATAGCTTAAGTGTAAAAAGGTATAAAGAAATATTTTGGAGTGATGCAAATGTTCTAGAGATGGATTGTTGTGATTGTACAATTCTATAAATGTATTACCTATTATACAATTGATAGATTTATTTTTATGTAAATAAGACTTTAATAAATCTGTTTTAAAAATTAGATCAGATTCAGCAGAAGTGGGGGATAGTAAACTAAAGATAGGATAGTTAAAATATTTAAACTGAGGTTTATGGGGGTATGAACCATACAAACTTGGGTAGACAATGTAATATAGCCAGTGTAATATATATACATATGTGTATATATTATGGAGCAGAGGATAACATAACATGTATTATTGAAGAGAGAAAGAGAAAGGAACAGATGAGACACAGTGAAAGTTTCTACTATGCATGTATATGAAGTACAAGAGAGGAAAAATAATGAAACAATATTTAAAGAACTATTTCCTTGGAAGGAAATGGCATAGGTAGAGATAAATAATGTTATTAAAACAAAATTAACAAATTCAATAGCAGAGGCAGAAAATAGATTAATTTAAATGGAACAACAATATGAATAACTATTGATCTTTCAATGTAAATTATGAAAACAGATGATATTTAATGGCATTTGTGATATGCCAAGAGAAAATGTATCCATCTAGAATACTATAACCAGCTGAAATATCCTAGAAAATGAAGGTGGCCATTATGAATACTGGGCTATAAACATATTTCTTTATGTCTTGTTGAACTTTCTTGGAAAATTTACATCAGAAAGAAAAATTTGTTTAGCTTTTCTAGACACTGTTAAACAATAGAAGTTAGCTGTTATATCAGTTTACAGAATCAGCAGCAATATGTGAAAATTCTTGTTTTTTAATATCCTTACCAATATTTGGCATTACTTTCTATTTTCTGCCATTCTGTATAGTGTGTTGTGGTATCTCATTGGGTTTTAATTTACATTTTATTAATGACTAATTATTTTGAAGACTTTTTTACATGTCTATTGACCATATGGAAATCTTATTTTGTAAATACTCAATATTTTTTTTCACATTTTGAAATTGACTTAGCTCATTTTTTTTCTGATTTCCATGAGCTTATTTGCAGCAAATGCCATTAATAATAATGTTACTGACACCATTCTTTGAGTTCCAAATTAGAAACAACCCAAATGTCCATCAACAGTATAATAAATAAATAAAATAGAATATCTTATACATGGAATACTACATGAAAATGAAAACAAATGAACTACCAGAACATACAACAACATGAATGAATTTCACAACCATATTTTAAAGTACAAAAAATCAATCACAATGGAGTATACAGCTTTCTGCAGTAGGCAAAAAAAAAAAAATGTACCATGAAGGCTTAGAAAACTGTTTACCTTTATCAAGGAACATTAATAAATGAATGTAGAAATGAGGGAGATTTTGTTTCTGGAAGTATTCTACTTGATCTGGCTGATTATTACATGGCTATGTTTATCTTATACACATTCATCAAAGAAGTACATTTATGGTTTTGTCTTTTTTGTATTTTTTAAGAGTTTACCCTAACAAAACAGAGAATGACAAAACATATGGGGCTATTTTAATGCCTCAGCTTAACTTTCTGACTAATAATACAATCCAAATTTGACAAGGCAAATAATAGAGGACTATTCAATTGATTCAGTCAATAACAGATTTATTTTATAAATGGTTTACTGATTACTCATTAAAGTTTTCCACAACCCGTTCAAGTTATTTTTAATTAATAAGAAAGTGAGTTTTTTTTCTTTGCTTTCTTTTTTTTTTTATTATACTTTAAGTTCTAGGGTACATGTGCACATTGTGCAGGTTAGTTACATATGTATACATGTGCCATGCTGGTGCGCTGCACCCACTAACTCGTCATCTAGCATTAGGTATATCTCCCAATGCTATCCCTCCCCCATCCCCCAACCCCACCACAGTCCCCAGAGTGTGATATTCTCCTTCCTGTGTCCATGTGATCTCATTGTTCAATTCCCACCTGTGAGTGAGAATATGCGGTGTTTGGTTTTTTGTTCTTGCCAAAGTTTACTGAGAATGATGATTTCCAATTTCATCCATGTCCCTACAAAGGACATGAACTCATCATTTTTTATGGCTGCATAGTATTCCATGGTGTATATGTGCCACATTTTCTTAATCCAGTCTATCATTGTTGGACATTTGGGTTGGTTCCAAGTCTTTGCTATTGTGAATAATGCCGCAATAAACATACGTGTGCATGTGTCTTTATAGCAGCATGATTTATAGTCCTTTGGGTATATACCCAGTAATGGGATGGCTGGGTCAAATGGTATTTCCAGTTCTAGATCCCTTAGGAATCGCCACACTGACTTCCACAATGGTTGAACTAGTTTACAGTCCCACCAACAGTGTAAAAGTGTTCCTATTTCTCCACATCCTCTCCAGCACCTGTTGTTTCCTGACTTTTTAATGATTGCCATTCTAACTGGTGTGAGATGGTATCTCATTGTGGTTTTGATTTGCATTTCTCTGATGGCCAGTGATGATGAACATTTTTTCATGTGTTTTTTGGCTGCATAAATGTCTTCTTTTGAGAAGTGTCTGTTCATATCCTTCGCCCACTTTTTGATGGGGTTGTTTGTTTTTTCTTGTCAATTTGTTTGAGTTCATTTTAGATTCTGGATATTAGCCCTTTGTCAGATGAGTAGGTTGTGAAAATTTTCTCCTATTTTGTAGGTTGCCTGTTGACTCTGATGGTAGTTTCTTTTGCTGTGCAGAAGTTCTTTAGTTTAATTAGATCCCATTTGTCAATTTTGGCTTTTGTTGCCATTGCTTTTGGTGTTTTGGACATGAAGTCCTTGCCCATGCCTATGTCCTGAATGGTAATGCCTAGGTTTTCTTCTAGGGTTTTTATGGTTTTAGGTCTAACGTTTAAGTCTTTAATCCATCTTGAATTGATTTTTGTATAAAGTGTAAGGAAGGGATCCAGTTTCAGCTTTCTACATATGGCTAGCCAGTTTTCCCAGCACCATTTATTAAATAGGGAATCCTTTCCCCATTGTTTGTTTTTCTCAGGTTTGTCAAAGATCAGATAGTTGTAGATATGTGGCGTTATTTCTGAGGGCTCTGTTCTGTTCCATTGATCTATATGTCTGTTTTGGTACCAGTACCATGCTGTTTTGGTTACTGTAGCCTTGTAGTATAGTTTGAAGTCAGGTAGCGTGATGCCTCCAGCTTTGTTCTTTTGGCTTAGGATTGCCTTGGCGATGCGGGCTCTTTTTTGGTTCCATATGAACTTTAAAGTAGTTTTTTCGAATTCTGTGAAGAAAGTCATTGGTAGCTTGATGGGGATGGCATTGAATCTGTAAATTACCTTGGGCAGTATGGCCATTTTCACGATATTGATTCTTCCTACCCATGAGCATGGAATGTTCTTCCATTTGTTTGTATCCTCTTTGATTTCCTTGAGCAGTGGTTTGTAGTTCTCCTTGAAGAGGTCCTTCACATCCCTTGTAAGTTGGATTCCTAGGTATTTTATTCTCTTTGAAGCAATTGTGAATGGGAGTTCACTGATGATTTGGCTCTCTGTTTGTCTGTTGTTGGTGTATAAGAATGCTTGTGATTTTGTACATTGATTTTGTATCTTGAGACTTTGCTGAAGTTGCTTATCAGCTTAAGGAGATTTTGGGCTGAGACAATGGGGTTTTCTAGATATACAATCATGTCGTCTCCAAACAGGGACAATTTGACTTCCTCTTTTCCTAATTGAATACCCTTTATTTCCTTCTCCTGCCTAATTGCCCTGGCCAGAACTTCCAACACTATGTTGAATAGGAGTGGTGAGAGAGGGCATCCCTGTCTTGTGCCAGTTTTCAAAGGGAATGCTTCCAGTTTTTGCCCATTCAGTATGATATTGGCTGTGGGTTTGTCATAGATAGCTCTTATTATTTTGAAATACGTCCCATCAATACCTAATTTATTGAGAGTTTTTAGCATGAAGGGTTGTTGAATTTTGTCAAAGGCTTTTTCTGCATCTATTGAGATAATCATGTGGTTTTTGTCTTTGGCTCTGTTTATATGCTGGATTACATTTATTGATTTGCGTGTATTGAACCAGCCTTGCATCCCAGGGATGAAGCCCACTCGATCATGGTGAATAAGCTTTTTTGATGTGCTGCTGGATTCGTTTTGCCAGTATTTTATTGAGGGCTTTTGCATCAATGTTCATCAAGGATATTGGTCTAAAATTCTCTTTTTTTGTTGTGTCTCTGCCTGGCTTTGGTTTCAGAATGATGCTGGCCTCATAAAAAGAGTTAGGGAGGATTCCCTCTTTTTCCATTGATTGGAATAGTTTCAGAAGGAATGGTACCAGTTCCTCCTTGTACCTCTGGTAGAATTCGGCTGTGAATCCATCTGGTCCTGGACTCTTTTTGGTTGGTAAGCTATTGATTATTGCCACAATTTCAGATCCTGTTATTGGTCTGTTCAGAGATTCAACTTCTTCCTGGTTTAGTCTTGGGAGAGTGTATGTGTCAAGGAATTTATCCATTTCTTCTAGATTTTCTAGTTTATTTGCGTAGAGGGGTTTGTAGTATTCTCTGATGGTAGTTTGTATTTCTTTGGGATCGGTGGTGATATCCCCTTTATCATTTTTTATTGCGTCTATTTGATTCTTCTCTCTTTTCTTCTTTATTAGTCTTGCTAGCAGTCTATCAATTTTGTTGATCCTTTCAAAAAACCAGCTCCTGGATTCATTAATTTTTTGAAGGGTTTTTTGTGTCTCTATTTCCTTCAGTTCTGCTCTGATTTTAGTTATTTCTTGCCTTCTGCTAGCTTTTGAATGTGTTTGCTCTTGCTTTTCTAGTTCTTTTAATTGTGATGTTAGGGTGTCAATTTTGGATCTTTCCTGCTTTCTCTTGTGGGCATTTAGTGCTATAAATTTCCCTCTACACACTGCTTTGAATGCGTCCCAGAGATTCTGGTATGTTGTGTCTTTGTTCTTGTTGATTTCAAAGAACATCTTTATTTCTGCCTTCATTTCGTTATGTACCCAGTAGTCATTCAGGAGCAGGTTGTTCAGTTTCCATGTATTTGAGCGGTTTTGAGTGAGATTCTTAATCCTGAGTTCTAGTTTGATTGCACTGTGGTCTGAGAGATAGTTTGTTATAATTTCTGTTCTTTTACATTTGCTGAGGAGAGCTTCACTTCCAAGTATGTGGTCAATTTTGGAATAGGTGTGGTGTGGTGCTGAAAAAAATGTATATTCTGTTGATTTGGGGTGGAGAGTTCTGTAGATGTCTATTAGGTCTGCTTGGTGCAGAGCTGAGTTTAATTCCTGGGTATCCTTGTTGACTTTCTGTCTCATTGATTTGTCTAATGTTGACAGTGGGGTGTTAAAGTCTCCCATTATTAATGTGTGGGAGTCTAAGTCTCTTTGTAGGTCACTCAGGACTTGCTTTATGAATCTGGGTGCTCCTGTATTGGGTGCATATGTATTTAGGATAGTTAGCTCTTCTTGTTGAATTGATCCCTTTACCATTATGTAATGGGCTTCTTTGTCTCTTTTGATCTTTGTTGGTTTAAAGTCTGTTTCATCAGAGACTAGGATTGCAACCCCTGCCTTTTTTTGTTTTCCATTTGCTTGTTAGATGTTCCTCCATCCTTTTATTTTGAGCCTATGTGTGTCTCTGCACGTGAGATGGGTTTCCTGAATACAGCACACTTATGGGTCTTGACTCTTTATCCAATTTGCCAGTCTGTGTCTTTTAATTGGAGCATTTAGTCCATTTAATTTAAAGTTAATATTGTTATTTGTGAATTTGATCCTGTCATTATGATGCTAGCTGGTTATTTTGCTCGTTAGTTGATGCAGTTTCTTCCTAGTCTTGATGGTCTTTACATTTTGGCATGTTTTTGCAGTGGCTGGTACCGGTTGTTCCTTTCCATGTTTAGCGCTTCCTTCAGGAGCTCTTTTAGGGCAGGCCTGGTGGTGACAAAATCTCTCAGCATTTGCTTGTCTGTAAAGTATTTTATTTCTCCTTCACTTATGAAGCTTAGTTTGGCTGGATATGAAATTCTGGGTTGAAAATTCTTTTCTTTAAGAATGTTGAATATTGGCCCCCACTCTCTTCTGGCTTGTAGGGTTTCTGCCGATAGATCTGCTGTTAGTCTGATGGGCTTCCCTTTTTGGGTAACCCGACCTTTCTCTCTGGCTGCTCTTAACATTTTTTCCTTCATTTCAACTTTGGTGAATCTGACAATTATGTGTCTTGGAGTTGCTCTTCTCGAGGAGTATCTTTGTGGCGTTCTCTGTATTTCCTGAATCTGAACGTTGGCCTGCCTTGCTAGATTGGGGAAGTTCTCCTGGATAATATCCTGCAGAGTGTTTTCCAACTTGGTTCCATTCTCCCCATCACTTTCAGGTACACCAATCAGACGTAGATTTGGTCTTTTCACATAGTCCCATATTTCTTGGAGGCTTTGCTCATTTCTTTTTATTCTTTTTTCTCTAAACTTCGCTTCTCGCTTCATTTCATTCATTTCATCTTCCATCGCTGATACCCTTTCTTCCAGTTGATCGCATCGGCTCCTGAGGCTTCTGCATTCTTCACGTAGTTCTCGAGCCTTGGTTTTCAGCTCCGTCAGCTCCTTTAAGCACTTCTCTGTATTGGTTATTCTAGTTATACATTCTTCTAAATTTTTTTCAAAGTTTTCAACTTCTTTGCCTTTGGTTTGAATATCCTCCCGTAGCGCAGAGTAATTTGATCGTCTGAAGCCTTCTTCTCTCAGCTCTTCAAAGTCATTCTGCATCCAGCTTTGTTCCATTGCTGGTGAGGAACTGCGTTCCTTTGGAGGAGGAGAGGTGCTCTTCTTTTTAGAGTTTCCAGTTTTTCTGTTCTGTTTTTTCCCCATCTTTGTGGTTTTATCTACTTTTGGTCTTTGATGATGGTGATGTACAGTTGGGTTTTTGGTGTGGATGTCCTTTCTGTTTGTTAGTTTTCCTTCTAACAGACAGGACCCTCAGCTGCAGGTCTGTTGGAATACCCTGCCGTGTGAGGTGTCATTGTGCCCCTGCTGGGGGGTGCCTCCCAGTTAGGCTGCTCGGGGGTCAGGGGTCAGGGACCCACTTGAGGAGGCAGTCTGCCCATTCTCAGATCTCCAGCTGCGTGCTGGGAGAACCACTGCTCTCTTCAAAGCTGTCAGACAGGGTCACTTAAGTCTGCAAAGGTTACTGCTGTCTTTTTGTTTGTCTGTGCCCTGCCCCCAGAGGTGGAGCCTACAGAGGCAGGCAGGTCTCCTTGAGCTGTGGTGGGCTCCACCCAGTTGGAGCTTCCTGGCTGCTTTGTTTACCTAAGCAAGCCTGGGCAATGGCGGGCGCCCCTCCCCAGCCTCACTGCCGCCTTGCAGTTTGATCTCAGACTGCTGTGCTAGCAATCAGCGAGACTCCGTGGGTGTAGGACCCTCGGAGCCAGGTGCCGGATATAATCTCGTGGTGCGCCGTTTTTTAAGCCCGTCGGAAAAGCGCAGTATTCGGGTGGGAGTGACTCGATTTTCCAGGTGCCGTCCATCACCCCTTTCTTTGACTGGGAAAGGGAACTCCCTGACCCCTTGCGTTTCCCAAGTGAGGCAATGCCTGGCCCTGCTTCGGCTCGTGCACGGTGCATGCACCCACTGTCCTGCGCCCACTGTCTGGCACTCCCTAGTGAGATGAACCCGGTACCTCAGATGGAAATGCAGAAATCACCCGTCTTCTGCGTCGCTCACGCTGGGAGCTGTAGACCGGAGCTGTTCCTATTCCGCCATCTTGGCTCCTCCCTCCAGAAAGTGAGTTTTTAATCATTTAAAACTTTGATTTTTAAACATAGGCTTACAGGAAGAAAATAATTTATTTGAAACAAAAGATAAATTTCTGTTTTCTGGCATAAAACTTTTGCAATTATGACAAAGAAGGTAGGTCACATCTTAAAAACTTTTGAAACTATTTTACTCCGTGAACTTATGTAGGAATTTTTCTTTCCATCAATGTGCTATAGAAGTGTTATTTGATTCAAATATGAAATTGCATTGCTTCTTAGCACCGCTATCATGCTTCACTTAAAATGTGTCTCAAACTTGTAATATCTTTTTAAAATTTGTATCTTGCAGCTAGTTGTGGCGTTAATTTAAAATGATGTGCTATTTGTGCACAGCAGTTTTGATACTCAGATAATTTCTCTACCTAAAGGAGCTTCTAAGTTGTTGGCATAAAACTGTGTGTGTTTCAATGGCATGGGAGGTTTTATTTTATGAAGGTTCAGAAGAAATTAAAACCCAGTAAGTTGTACTACAAGCATATGGAAAATTAAGATAGAAACATATTTATTATATTTTCTTTGGGAGGAAACAGAGGTAGACACAGTTATACTTTTCCATTTTTCAACATACATTAGCTTGCTGCATCATTATTATTTATAATATGAAAATCGTTTGCCACATATTTAAAATTTACATTATCTAAAATAAGAAAACATTATACTAAACCTTACATTAAAAATGTAGAGGGGATAAAGATTTAAATGTATGGAGATCGCTACACCCAGATAAAGAACAATGACAAACAACTGAAATATGGGATTTCATCTTGAATGAATGTTTTGCTTAAATATTGAAAAGATTAATTTCTACTGTTTATTAGTTTTATGGACGATTTCATGTCAGTGTAAAGATCTTCCAAGAACTTCAGATGTTGTTTTCTTTTTAAAGCGCCTGAACTGAACTCTTTTTGGAGACCATGCCTGTTGGTGTTCACCACTTTGCATAGTCCCCTTCCACATTGATTCTGGACTTGCCATGAGATATAAGTATGATCCAAACACACCAAATAAAAACACACATATTGGGACATGCTGTGTTCTTTTAAAATTCTCATACTTAATATCCAGACACTATATAAAGTAACACAAGATAGATATATGAAGATGCTTCATGGAGAGAGAGAGAGAGAATGACAGAGACAGAGAGAATGACAGAGAGAGAGCTTATGAGGGAGAGATAAATTCTAGTCTTCCAGCTCAAAGGGCCTATTTTAAAAAGAAGGAACCATTTCCATTTTGTTCATTCTTTGTCACAATTATATGGTGAAGTCTCTGTAAGAAAGAATGCATGCATTATTAAAACAATGGACACATTCAAAGCAGAAAAATAGACTATAACTGGATTTTTGCTTTATATTCATAAGGAAATAAAGAATAAAAGATAATTGTCTTTAACCTATTTTTTGAAACAAAGAAATAAAAATTAACCAAAGACTTGACTTTATACTCTGAAGCTTGTGCAGACTCCAGAAGTTCTATTATAGTTACCCTTAAGAATTAGACTCCAAAGATGAGTTGGTGTATACTTGGTGGTCCCTGGAAAAATCATTCCTACAACCCTCAGGATGTGTGTCTCAGGAAATGAGGAAGATAGTTAATTAAAAATATGAATATGGTTCAGAAAGGGTACTTGAGACTTTATAAATAAATTTATTCCCACATGGAGCTGATTTCAAATTACAGATTGAGTCATAAAACATATTTTGTTTCTTTGACTATAAAAAATTGTTAAACTGCCTTTGAAAGTTGCTGTACCATTTTGTATTTCCACCAGCAATGAATGAGAGCTCCTGTTGCTTCACATCTTTGCCAGCATTTGGTGGTGTCAGTGTTTTGGCCATTCTAATGGGCATGTAGTGGTATCTCATTGTTATTTTAATTTTCAAATTCTTAATAATATATGATGTTAAGCATCTTTTAATATATTAGGTATTTTTTTCAGGAAAATAAAATGAAGTCCTAGTATTTTGGTTAAGTCAATTTATATAACACAAATGCAGGTAAAAAATAGCAATAGCATAAAAAATAATAAAGTGGTATGCGAAAGGAAAGTGGAATTGGGCCATGACCCCATTTGAAAATGTTCATGCTGTTCTCACTACAATCTTTATGGGCCACTTGTAAGTAGGAAGTTAAAATATTGAGTGCCATTTGTTGATATGCAGCAAAAGGTGAGCTGTTTGCAATTGGTGATAACATCTAAAAAGTTTGATATAATCATAATCTAGAATATGATTTATGAAGATTATTTATGGATGAGTTGTCGAAATAAAAACAACTTGAAAGTTGTAACATATTATAAGACACACACACCCCTCTGTCTTTCTATCTCTTAAAGTTAATTTTCCAAGATAACAGAACATTAAAATGCTGTGACCTTTTAACACTTTGTTTTCCTAAATAGTTAAGTATGAGATAAAGCATGGTGACAGTGTCTAACAAATGATTAATTTGTGTCCCACTCCTTCCCTGGAGATGTTAGAAAACATAAAAATAAGTTCTCTCTCCCTCATTCCATTCAAGCATAAATCTTTTAGTTAATAATTGCAAACTTGGTTTGGGGGTTCATTTTGAGTAAATCTCTCTCACACTAAATTCTCTTCTCTGTTTTCCCCCCTTCACTCCTCTTTACCTATTTTATATTTTCTTTCCCAAGAGGAGCATGAAGAATTAACTGAAAAATAGTAGCTTAAAATTCATTTGTAGACCTTCAGTTTAAACAGGATGAAGTATTCACACTTTGATTCATCCCCTCTGCTTCAATCACAGAAGTGAGCTTGCCATGTAGGGAAAGAATGTAAAGTAGTGAGAGAGATGTGTCTTCAGGCTTATGGACTGTTGGGAAGCAGTCAGAAGCAATCTGAGAATTTGTCAAGGGATGAAAATTTGCCCCACAGAAGGTGAAGTACTGGAGCTGATCCCACTGCTACAAAAATCATGTGTTGGGATAGATCTAAATACTGCCTGAGGATTTGAAATCTGTAAAGCTGCGGATCTAAGAAAGGAAGAGTACACAGAATAGTCACCAGAGATGAAATGTTTCCCTCCTGTCTCAGATTTGATTTGGCAATTTATTCTTGTTGTTGCTATTGTTATTGTTCCAAAAGCTTGTAAGTACACATATATGTCTTGGATTTGGACTGATGTCCAGTAGTTTGGCTGAAGAAAAGAACAAAATAGTTTGCTAGTTGGAGTGTAGAAAAGAAATAGAGATAGAGATGAAAAGAGAGATAGGGAGAGAGAGAATCAAAAGAAATCTACATCTTAAATTTTCAAAACTAGTGATGAATATAAATGCTATGAAGAACTACCCATAAAATCAAGAGTTTTATGATAAACTTTTTCAAGATGAAATTAAAATAATAGAACAGTTTTATAAAGATGACAAAGTAAGTTTATTTAGAAAATTCAAAAAGATAAAAATATAACATATTGTAAAAATTGTTTTAGTTTTCTATGGATGCATATTAAATTGCCGTGTTTTAGTGGCTTAAAACACTTGATTATTGTCTCAGATTCTGCAGGACAGAAATTTAGGTATTTTTCAATTGGGTTCTTGATTAAGTATTTCAGATGGCTGCCATCATTATGTTAGATAGGCTGGGCTCTTCCCTAGAGGCTTAATAGAAAAAAAATCTCTTTCCAAGCCCATTTGGTTGATGGCAGATTCAGTTTTTTGGAGGCTTTAGGATCGTAGTCCCTATTTTCTTGTTCATTGTCAGCTGAGTACTGCTTTCAGCTTTTAAAGGTCATCCTCAGATCCTTGCAAATTGGCTTCCACTATAAGCAGTTCACAGCATGACTGCTTCTTCAAGGCCAGCAGGAGACTCCAGGTTCAAATCTCAAACTCTAGGGAAGGCCTGGACCCTATTTTATAGAGCTTACATGATTAGGTCTGACCCATGACAATCTCTCTTTTGATGAACTTAAATTAACTGATTATGAACTATAATTACATATGCAAAATCTCTTTACCTTTGCCATATAATGTAACCTCAGCACAGGAGTGAAATCCCATCATAGTCATGAGTCCTAACAAGAAGAGGGGATTATTCAGGTGTGCATACAGTGTGGTGGAGATTTTAGGAACCGTCTTAGAATTTTACCAACCAATCAGCTTTAACTAAAAGTCCAGCATATACTATTTGGCCTAAAAATCTTTTATATGTCTTTTTAGTTTGATTTTAAATTAGCACATTTACTAAAAATGAGGGCAGATATAAGAGAATTAGACCTTTCATGCATGATATCTTAACTGAAACTATAATAAGATGTGTAAAATCAAAGACCTGCATAAGGTATAAAATCTATAGCTTCTCCAGTGTAAAATCTAATGTGTCATATTGCCTCAAATGTTTGCAATATACTAACAAAAACATCAAAGTTATAAGCTGAAACCTCAGGAGAATCAGATAAATCCCTTCCAAGTTATGAGCTGCATTAGGGTCCCAAAGCTGCCATAACTAAGTGCCACACACTGGGTAGCTTAGAACAACAGAAATTTATTGTCTCACAGTTCTGGACAATGGAAGTCTAAAATCAATGTGTCTGCAAGACTGTGCTCCCTCTGAAACCTGTAGGGTAATACTTTTTCATTGTCCTTTTCTAGGTTCTGGTGGTGGGTTGCCAAATTTTAGCATTCTTTGGCTTGTAAGTGAGTCACTTCAGTCACACAGCTGTCTTCTTCCTGTGTGTCTTTACATCATCGTCCCTATGTGCATGTTTGTCTCTATGTCCAAATTCCTCCTTTTTATAAGGGCACTAGTCATACTGGATTAGGATCCATTCTAGTGACCTCATTTTAACTTGATAATCTCTGTAAAGACTTTATTTCAAAATGCAGCCAAATTCTGAAGCATTGAGGGCCAGAACATCGATGTATCTTTTTTGGGAGACAAAACTCAACCCCTATAATGATCATCTTTAATCTTAGCTATTTAGGTACTGCAAATGTTCACTGAGTTTATACGCTGTGTCCATGTCCCTTCCTCTAGCATGGTGTCCCAGTTCTCAGGTGAAACATAATCTTGTCACATCAACTTTACTCTTAAATATCTCTCAATCCTTAACACTTTTTTCACTCCTACTACTATGTCTACACTAAACTTCTATCATCTCTAACTTACACTATTAAATTGTAACTGGTCTTACATCCACTCTTGACCTCATACAATCTTTTCTTCTTTCCCCACTGCTATCAGAAGCGTCCTTCAAACAAGTCACATCAACTTACCCACTTGTTCAAAACTCTTCTAAGACTCCCATTGTTCTAAGGCTACAGAACAAAGTCTTATCTTTTCTAGTAAGACAAAGTGAATTGGTTCCTGCCTACCTGCCTCCTCGGTCATATTCTACTGAACATAGTCATATTCTTGCTCTCTCTTCATCAGCTACTGAGGCCTTCTCATAATATGTTGGGTATACAGTCTACCACAGAGTCATTGTATGTATTGTTTATTTCCCAGGAATGATGTTCTCAACTTCTCCTTCTTCCTTAAATTGACAAACTTTGATTAATCCTTCCAATCACGTCTCTAACCTCACTTCCTCAGAAAAACTTTCCCTGACCTTCCACAAAAATATCTTCCTTTCCTTCTGAGTTTTTCTCAGTTAGGAAATTATACCTTAATTGATGTGATTATTTGAAACATATTCTTTGTTCCACGAAATTGTGTACTTTATGAGATCAAAGACTGTGCCCTTATTTTCTGCCATAGGCATAGTGTTTATCAATTAGTAAATATACATATTTGTTGGATGAACAAAGGATTTCACTCCATGACACTATTTGTGATCACAGTGTGGGCCAAGTTTAGGCACACAGCAGCAAGGAAAACAAAGTGCTGACCTGGATCAGTGCTTTCTGTCCTGGGCATTAGAAACCTGTGGTATACTAGAACTCTGGAGTAGTTTGCCTTGAGCTGAACTGATCAAGTCATTCTAGTTACATGCCTGAATGCCTTAGGACTATAGTGTTCATAGTGTTCAGGCAGAGGAAACTAGTCTGCAGGAGAGAGAAAGAAAGGAAGCAAGAAGGAGAGAAGGAAGGAAGGAATGAGCAATAGGCCTTTCAAAAGAAACAGAGATTCAGATGACATGGTCACCGAGAAACAAAGAAAAGCTTCGGTTTCTAGTTTTTCTATTCCCAGCTCCCATGCCCTTAAGCTGTGTTTGCTGCATTTATGTTGTGCAAAATTCTCCTACTTGTGCATGCCATGAACTTCCAATTTAGAATAAATCTGTTTGAGTAGTCAAATATGCCTTCACTCCACCAGTTCATATTTTAATTTTAAATAAAAAATGACTGTAAAATAAAACAAAGGAATAAATATAAGCAAATTATTTCAACTACAATAATATTAAGGACCTGGTGCCATAGTCTTGTTGTGTCTAGGATTATATTTTTATAACAAAGGACAGAGCAGAGCTCATTTGAGCATGATTCACAAAGGATTAGAATTTTTTTAAGGTTTAAGTTTGAATAAAGAAAACTGTATTTTTAATAAGTTCTTCCTCTCAGTATGGTTTAAAACTGCTCTGTAAATTTATTTTGAATGCTCTGAGATGCACATGATAATTCTTTAAAACTTTATATTTTTAGTGAAACATTATTTTGATTTTGGTGTTAATGATACTCAACTGTTTATCTCTCTCCAAATGTACCCAAAGAACCCTTCCATTGGCGTCTCCCACTGAGCACAAAATATGCTAATATAGTCATTAGTGTTTCTAATTTAAATCCATTAAGAAGGGGAAGATAATATTGAAGATGTTACCAATTTGCAAAATAACCTAATTTATATGCATTTTCTACTCTATTTCTCAACTCTAGCTATGTTGGCAGAGCAGTAAGATGAATTTAAAGTGTTCTCTCAAAATATCCTGAGACCATTTAAAGTAGAAAGACACTGGTGATTCAACTATTCTGTAGAGCTAAAAGAGGAAATGTTGGCAGTTTCCCACAAAATTAAAACATAAAAGATGCATACATACATACAGGTATAGCATAATGCTCTCCTTCATAGGCTTTCTTAAATCACCATTCCAAGTTATTTATCTCCTAAAACCCTCCATTTGTACCATATTTATTTGCTTTATGTTCACTCCAGTGATGTTGTTGTTTAGATTACAAACTTTTTGTCAAATATATTTTTGAGAATGTTTAAAGTTGTTTTGAGAATGTTAAAGTCAGGTATTAATGGCATTTGAAAGATTTTACAATTTTCACTCATGTAGATAATAGGTAGACAGAAACTATACAGAAGAAACAAAGCAATATGCTCTAGAGATTGTGAATTTTTGGAAGCATTAATTCCAAAAAATAGAGTATGGCCTGTGACAGGCATTGATTTACCTATGTTATCGTTTTACACCAGGGGCTATAGTCTCTGACCCCAAAAGCAATCTTTATGCTTTCTAGAACCAACAAGTTTAAAAATCTTGTTGTAAGCTTATTGCATTTCTGATTCTACCCTTAAAAATATGCTGAATGACCTTGGAGGAAATTGCTTATGTTCTCCAGTCTTATTTATTTTCTAGGAAAACAATACATGTTATTGTGACTAGATTATTTTAAAAATTACCTGCATGTAGGTGAATGCAGTGGCTTCATTTTGTTATTTATGATGCTGCCTCAATTTAGGATATGTTTAGAAATTTTTTCTTTTTCCCAGATGAAAATGTATTATGATGTTTATGTGATGTTTGAATGAGACACAGCTTTATTTTGGATTTCAGTTTAACGTATGACTTATTCCCCTTCCAAAATAGATTGAAACCCACACCAGGGACGTCATGCAGCTTACCATAACATTGGAAACCATGCACCAATTTTTTGTTTCTGTTATAGACGTTTAATGCATATGGAAAATAGGATGCCTTTTATATAGCTTAGTTCTTCTTCCTTAATGCTTGTGAAATGTATAATTGACATGTGAGTCAATTTAAAAAATTGATGAAAAACATGAAAAAACAGTTTTTTTAAATAAGTAAATTGACCTGTGAAATGCAGAAAAAATATTTGAGAGTATAGAAAGATAGTTTTTGTCTTATTTTAGTCCTATCCTATTTAATGAAGCCACCTTATGTAGCACCTTGGTTCAGATTGAAAATGACTACCGAGGAGGTTCTGGGGAGAACGGAAAGAGGGAGAAGCTGCCAGGAATGCACTTTAAAAGAGACAGGGGAGGGGAAGCCTGTTCATTTCATTCAGCATAGCATGATGCTCTCCTTACATAAAATGCCATTTCTTTTTCTTTTTCACCTATCTAAAGTCTTCCTCTGTAATTCCAGATCAAATCTCATCTTCTCCATAAAAATATGTCTGGATGCTTGGTATCCATATCCATATCCATATCCATATCTATATCCATATCCATATCATATGATATTGGTATCATCATAGCAATATTTACTTCTGACATGATGTGCCAGGCATTTTTACAAGCATTTTCAAAATAATAATTTACTGAATTCTCACATCTAACCTAAAAGGTTTCCATTTTACAGATGAGGGTGTGGAGGTTTCTGGAAGGCAAGGATTTGACCTTTAGCTTCATAACTAGAAACTGTTAAAATTGGGATTGGAATTCACAGAGCACCCAGAATGAGTACACTTAATTCATATGTTTACATTCCATCTTTTTCTTTGAAGTCTTAGGGCACCTTTCTATTTTAAACTTTTATTCTTTTTTTATTTTATGCTGCTATTTATCTTTTTCATACAATTATCTGTACTTAAGGGTGTAGAGTGTAAATTTCTTGAATACAAGGACACAGAGAAGAATCCTGTAATGATACTGAAGGAGCTGCTAAGTTTCTGCTAGATTAATGAGACTGAAAAAACCTCAGAACCTGTTGGGCATCTGGTCTCCTTCAGTACATTTCCATAATTTACAAGAAGTTTTTCAATCGTGGTGCTGCGGTCTTTTGGGGCTGGATAATTGTTTTGGGCTGTTGGCTGTATACGTTGTTGGATATTTACTAGCATCTGGAGCATCTACATGCTAGGTGCCAGTAATGCTCTCTTCTCCCATCCAGAATTGTGAGAACATGTCTCCAGACTTAACAGTGTTACATGGGACACAAAATCAACCTTGGCTGAGAACCACTGCTTTTGACTTTTCTTGTCTATTATGTGAAAAAATTTTGCAGAATTGTAAAACTACACAAATTCTGCTTCTGTCACCATTTGACTAAGTTCAACTTTCCAGATAATGTACATTCTGTCTCTTCATTTATTTTCATGGGAACTTGTGAGCCATTTCAGTACATCACTCAGGAGTCTCCCTAGACTTACTTCCTCTTAAAGCCAAACACAAACCATTTCTTCAACTTTTTAAAAGAGAATATTTCCATACCTTTCAACATCTTGCTTTCTCTCTTGTTTAGGTTATCCAGATCATCCATGATTACTGTAAAATATGTAACTAAATCTAAAGTAGTTGTTGGACACCTGTTTTCTGTCATTGGAACATTTAAAGCCTGCGTCTGCAATAAAATGTTGCATTAAAATTATTCTTTTCACAGATCTTTTTTTAGGTTAAAAAATTACTTTGTAAGATTAATATATGGATGTAGAAATTAGTGATAAATATTTAAAATTGCTCCTGTAAGTGATAAGTTCAGTTGTTTCTACAGTAGTCCTCCATCTGTGGTTTTGCTTTCTGCAGTTTTGGTTACTCTCTGACCAAAAATGTTAAAGTGGGAAATTCCAGAAATAAACAACAAGTTTTAAATTGTATGCTGTTTTGAGTAGTGTGATGAAATCTCTAGCTGTCCTGCTTCATCCCACCAGGATGTGAATTATCCCCTTGTCTGGAGGAGCTATTCTGTATATCCTGCCCACCTGCTAGTTACTCTGTAGCCATCTTAGTTATCAGATTGACTGTCTCGGGAATGAAGTGCCTGTGTTCAAGTCACTCTCTTTTACTTAATAATTGTCTTAAGTGAAAGAATAGTGATGCTGGCAATTCGGATGTGCCAAAGAGAAGCTGTACAGTGCTTCCTTTAAGTAAAATGGTGAAAGTTTCTGACTTAAGGAGAGAAAAAACCACATATGCTGACGTTTCTAAGATCTAAGGTAAGAACAAACCTTCTGTGTGAAATTATGAACAGCATATTGTCATAATTATTCTATGTTATTATTTTTAATCTCTTACTGTGCCTAATTTATAATGAAAATTATTCATATGTGTGTATATATAGGCAAAAATGTAGTATATATAGGCAAAAATGTAGTATATATAGGACTCAGTACTATCTGCGGTTTCAGACATCAACTGGGAGTCTTGGAACACATCCCCTACAGATAAGGGTGGACTACTGTATATTTTAATACTGTATCTTTTAAGGTATATATATATATATTTTTTTTTCCTGATGTATTCTTTCATTTCCAATGACCTGCACGACACCTGACAAGTAAAGTGCTGGTTTAAATTCCGGGCAGTGGCTGTCTGGAATTTTGAAATGACTTTATAAGTTTAGTAATTTCTACGAGATCTAAAATTAAAAAGCAGATATAGGATGTGAGACTCCATTAATTAAAAACCCGTGGTAGCTGGATTATTTGGATGACGTCTTCATCAGTTCAATAGGCGATAACGTAATGGGCCATGTATTAGTTTTTTTACCCAAAATAACTCTAGTAGCTCCTCTGCCTTTGGAAAGGGGAAGAAAGTGTGGGAAGGACTGTGGCTTGTGGTTTCAATGCCAGCTTAGCTACAGGAAAATAGAACAGCAGTTAGAGTTCTTTGACTTTTTACTCAAGGCTTTGACTCCTGGATGGTACCTCAGTACGAACCTGGGGCCTGGGGGACCTCACCACCCTGAAGAGAAGGACACAGACCTGACTGGCTTTGAGACTGGTTGATTGTAGAGCCACAGGGCCTTGAGCAAACATAAGTAGTAGCCAGGGAGTGGTTACAGCAGGCCTTGGTGGGAACTTAGTGTTGTACTGACTGTAGGTCTGACCCGGCACAATTGTAGTGGTGATGGTGGCCACAGGGGTGCTTGTGTCTCTCCACCCCAACCTTTAGGAGGCTCAGAACAGAGAAAGTGAGAGAGAGAGACTATATATATTTTGAAAAAGGAAGGGAAGAGAACAAGAGTTTCTGCCTGGTAATCTAGAGAATTCTCTCAGATCATGTCCAAGACCCTCAAGGCAAGACCTCTATGAGTCTGCAAAAATCACAGCATTACTGGGCTTGGGGTGTCCCTTAAATAAAAACAGCTTAGATCTCAATACCAAGTCTTTGCAAATATCTGAAAAGCCTTTCCAAAAAGGACAGGTACAAATAAACCCAGAAAGGGAAGACTGTAATAAATACCTAACTCTTCAACGCACAGATACTAAAGAACATCTACAAGTATCAACACCATCCAGGAAAACAGGACCTAACCAAATGAACTCAATAAGGCACCACGGACCAATCCTGGAAAAACAGAGATATGTGAACTTTCAGACAGAGAACTCAAAATAGCTGGTTGAAGAAACACAAATAAATTCAAGATAACACAGACAAGGAATTCAGAATTCTAACACATGAATTATTTATGGGTTCTAAAAATCAAAATAATTGAACTCATGGATATAGAGAGTAGAAGGATGGTTATCAGAGGCTGGGAAGAGTAATGGGGCCTGGGAGAAGGATTATTAATAGGTTAAAAATAGATGAATGAATAAGTTCTACCATTTGATAGCACAAAAGGGTGAGTATAGTCAATAATAACTGTACATTTTAACATAACTTAAAGAGTGTAATTGAATTGCTTGAAACTCAATACATAAATGCTTAAGGGGGATGGATATCCCATTCTAACGATGTACCTATTTCACGTTGCATGCTTATGTCAAAACATCTCATGTACCCCAGAACTATATACAGCTATTATGTACCCATAAAAATAAAAAATATAAAAAGAAAATGTCCTTCAATTTAGGATATTAGTCTTTGAAATTTTATTCACAAATTGACCCAGTTCCTTTTCCTCTCTTCTTTGAAGTTGTCTTTTAAAGTATTCTACCTCATAGACTAGTATTATTTTGTATTTTATCTTATCTCTTTTGTTTTAGTTTTGCCCATGAGTAGTTGTTCTCAAATTTATCTTCCAAACCCTCTGGTGAAAAGTAAATTATTTTAATCATATTGTGAGTTTGCCAAACTCTATTTTTGTTCTTGCTGCTACTTGAATGAAATCCACTTTCTCTAGTCAGCTACATCAATAGCCACTGTCTCTCTATTTTTCAGTTTTCAGAATTGTGTTGCTGCTTTTTTCTTTCCTGTTCTCTTTACTGTGAAGAGTTAGCCAATTTAAATCTTATTTTTAAAGACAGACTTTACTTTCAAAGCAGCTGTATGGTCACAGAGTAATTGATTAGAAGGTACACAGATTCTCTATATACCCGCTGTACCCATATATGCAAGCTTCCCCTACTACCAACATCTCACATCACAGTGGTACATTTTTTTACAACTGATGAACTGACATTGACAAATCTTAATTATCTGAAGTCCATAGTTCATATTAAGTTTCATGCTTGATGTACATTCTACATGTTTTGACAAATGTATAATGACATGTATATATCATTACAATATCATACAGAATACTTTCACTGCCCCCAAATCCTGTGCTCCACTCACTTATCTTCCCCTTCCCTCTAACTGCTGGAAATCATTGCTTTTTAAATTATCTCTATAGTTTTGCCTTTTCTAGAATGTCATATAGTTGGAATTATGCAGTATGTCATCTTTTCAGATCAGCTTCTTTCACTTAGTAATATTTATTCAAGTTTCCCTCATGTCTTTTCATGGCTTGATTGTTCGTATCTTTTTTTTTTTTTTTTTTTTGAGACGAAGTCTCGCTCTTGTCCCCAGGCTGAAGTGCAATGGCACAATCTCGGCTCACTGCAACCTCCGCCTCCTGGGTTCAAGTGATTCTCCTGCCTCAGCCTCCTGAGTAGCTGGGATTACAGGTGCCTGCCACAACGCCCGGCTAATGTTTGTATTTTTAGTAGAGATGGGGTTTTATCATGTTGGCCAGGCTGATCTCGAACTCTTGACCTCAGGTGATCCGCCCTCCTTGGCCTCCCAAAGTGCCAAAGTGCTGGGATTACAGGCGTGAGCCACCACGCCCAGCTGCTCGTATCTTTTTAATACTGAATAATCTTCTATTGTCTGGATGTACCACAAGTTTTTAGAAATCCATTCCACTACTGAGGAACATCTTGATTACTTCCAAGTTTTGGCAGTTATGAATAAAGCTGTAATAAACACTCATATGGTGATTTCTGTGTGGAAAAAACGTTTTATACCAAAGGTCAACTAGATTTTTGTTTATCCTCTATATTATATTCTAGGAGATTTACAGTTTTGCACTTCACATTTAGGTAAATAATTCATTTTGAGTTAATTTTTGTGAAAGATAAAAGACCTGTACCTAGATTTATTAATTTTTGCATGCAGATGGTTTCATTGGTCTGTTTTCATGCTGCTGATAAAGACATACCTGAGACTGGGAAATTTACAGAAGAAAGAGGTTTAGTGGACTTACACTTTCACATTGGTTGGGGAGGCCTCACAATCATGGCAGAAGGCAAGAAGGAGCAAGTCACATCTTACATGGATGTCAGCAGGCAAAAAGAGAGCTTATGCAGGAAAACTCCCCCTTATGAAACCATCAGATTTCATGAGACTCATTCACTATCATGAGAACAGCATGGGAAACACCCACGCCCATGATTCAATGACCTCCCACTGGGTCCCTCCCACAACACATAGAAATTCAGATGAAATTTGTGGGGGGACACAGCCAAACCATATCATTCCACCCCTGGCCCTTCCTAAATCACATGTTCTCACATTTCAAAACCAATCATGCCTTCCTAACAGTCCCCTGAAATCTTTACTCAGTTCACCATTAACTCAAAAGTCTGCAGTCCAGAGTCTCATCTGAGATAAGGCAAGTCCCTTCCGCCTATGAGCCTGCAAAATCAAAAGCAGGTTAGTTACTTCCTAGATACAATGGGTGTACAGGCATTGGGTAAATATAACCATTCTAAATTGGAAAAATTGGCCAAAACAAAGGGGCTACAGGCCCCATGCAATTCCAAAATCTGTGCAGTCAAATCTTAAAACTCCCAAAATGATCTCATTTGACTCCATGTCTCGTATCCAAGTCACACTGATACAAGAGGTGGACTTACACGACCTTAGGCAGCTCTGCCCCTGTGGCTTTGCAGGTTATAACCCCCCTCCTGGCTGCCTTCACAAGCTGGTGTTGAGTGTCTGCAGCTTTTCCAGGCACACGTGGCAAGCTGGCGGTGGATCTACCATTCCGGGGTCAGGAGTATGGTGGTCCTCTTCTCACAGTTCATACTAGGCAGTGCCCCAGAAGAGAATCTGTATGTGGACTCTGACCCCACATCTCCCTTCTGCACTGCCCTAGCAGAGGTTCTCCATGAGGGCCCTGCCCCTGCAGCAAACTTCTGCCTGGGCATCCAGGTATTTCCATACATCTTCTGAAATATAGGCTGAGGTTCCATTGTCAGGCTGCAAATTTTAAAACTTTTATGCTGTTTCCCTTTTAAAACTGAATGCCCTTAATAGCATCCAGGTCACATCTTGAATGCTTTGCTGCTTAGAAATTTCTTCTGCCAGATACCATAAATCATCTCTGTTAAGCTCAAAGTTCCACAAATCTCTAGGGCAGGGGCAAAATGCTGCTAGTCTCTTTGCTAAAACATAACAACAGTATCTTTGATTAAGTTCCCAACAAGTTCCTCATCTCCATCTGAGACCACCTGAGCCTGGATTTCATTGTCCATATAATTATCAGCATTTTTGTCAAATCCATTAATGAGTCTAGGGAGTTCCAAATCTTCCCACATTTTCCTGTCTTCTTCTGAGCCCTCCAAACTCTTCCAAGTTCTATCTGTTACCCCATTCCAAAGTTGCTTCCACATTTTCATGTGTCTTTTCAGCAGCACCCCACTCTACTGGTACCAATTTACTGCATTAGTTCGTTTTCACACTGCTGATAAAGACATGCCTGAGACTGGGCAATTTACAAAAGAAAGAGGTTTAATGGACTCTCAGTTCCACGTGGCTGGGGAGGTCTCACAATCATGGCAGAAGGTGAAAGGCACGTCTCACATGGTGGCAGACAAGAGAAGAGATCTTGTGGAGGGAAACTCCCCTTTATAAAACCATCAGATCTGATGAGACTTTTTCGCTATCATGAGAATAGCACAGTAAAGACCCACTCCCGTGATTCAGTTTCTTCCCACTGGGTCCCTTCTACAACATGTGGGGATTGTGGGAGTTACAATTCAAGATGAGATTTGGGTGAGGACACAGCCAAACCATATCAACACAACTTGTTTAAACAATTATATTTTCTCCATTGTATTGCTTCTGCCTTTTAAAAAAAGTCATTTGACTATATTTAGGTGGGTATATTTCTGGACTCTCTGTTCTACTTCATTGACCTATTTGTCTATTTTATTTTATTTTGTATCAACAATACAGTGTATTGATAGCTTTAAAGTAAGTCTGAAGGTGAGTAGTGTCAGTCCTCTGACTTCGATTTCCTTCAATATTATGTTGGCTATTCTGGGTCTTTAGTCTCTCAATGTAAACATTATTGGTTTGTCAATATCCACAAAGCAATTAGCTAGAATTTTGATTGAGATTCCATGGAATTTATAAATGAAATTGGGAAAGACTAACATGTTGACAGTATTGAAGCTTCCTATTTATGAACTAGAATGTCTCTCCATTTTTTAGTTTCTATTTAATTTTTTTCATGAGAGTTTCATTGTTTTCTTCATATAGATATTTAGATCTTATATATATTTTGTTAGATTTTTAACTAAATATTTTCCATTTCAAATTCCATTTGTTCATTACTGGTAGTTAGGAAAGTGATTGACTTTTGTATATTAACTTCGTAACCTGAAACTTTGCTATAATTGCTTACTAGTTCCAGTTTTTTGCTATAAAAAGCTTACTAGTTTTCTTTTCTTTTTGGTCAGTTCTTTCAGATTTTCTAAATAGACATTTATGCCATCTGAGAACAATGACAATTTAATTGTTTTCTTCTCAATCTATATATCATATATTTTATTTTCTCATTTTACTAGCTAGAGCTTCCACGACAATGTTGAAAAGGAGTGGTAAGACGACATTCTTATATTTTCCTGGTCTTAATAGAAAAGTTTTCAGTTTTTCATCATTAAGTAGGATATTTGCTGAGGTTTTCAATAGATATTCTTCATAAAGTTGAGAAAGTTCCCCTCTATTTCTACTTTTCTGAGAGTTTTTATCATAAATGGCTGCTGGGTTGTATCAGATGCTTTTCCTGTATCAACTGATATGAACATGTGCCTTTTCTTCTTTAGCTTGTTGATGTAATATGTTACATTACTTTCTTTTTGAACCTTGAACCAGTCTTGCATTGCTGGGACAAATACCAATTGGTTGTGGTATATAATTCTTTTAATGCATTGCTGAATTCAGTTTTCTAATATTTTGTTGAGGACTTTTTTATCTGTCTTCATGAGAGACATTGTTCCATAGTTTTCTTTTTTTGTAATATCTTTCTTTGGTTTTGGTATTAGGGCAATACTGAACTCATAGAATGAATTGGGAAGTACTTCCCCTGTGTCTATCTTCTGGAAGAGACTGTAAAAGGTTGGTATAATTTCTTACTTAAATACATGGTAGAATTCACCACTGAATACCTTTGGGTCAATTAAACCATTATTGTAAATCCATTTATTATACTTTTATAGAATTCATGGGAGTGATATATTAAAAACATTTGATCTGCCATGTCTACAGAGAAATACAACAATTATGAAATAATTGATATAATAGAACCATTTTTGCAGGAGATTTTCATTTTGACAGTGGGAAAAACTAGAAGGAAAAGAGACAGGTGATTTGGAAATAAGATAAGAGGTTTGCTAAGTCTCCAGATGACAGATCATAAAAAATCTGAATCAAGGGGAAATTGTAGAGAGAATCAGGTGCTCATTGTGTTTCCTAATCCAAGAAAGGATAAAGATTTAAAAATGTTTAGCCAACCATACATTTGATTCATATAATAGACTGCTGTTTTTAACATCCAATTCTTATTGGAGATTATGACTTTTAAATTGAATACGTGCCAAAGATACAATAATAAGATTTTGTTAGGTGATTTTGAGAGCAGTGGAGATTGGCATAGACTAAGTATCAGAATAGAAATTGAAAATATGGTTACTACTGCAGGATAACTTTGGCTGATATTCTAGTTGTTAATTACATGTGAGCAACTGCATAAAAATTTCCAGAGATGACAGAGAGTGACTTTGAATGTGACTAGAAATTATTATATGAGTAAGTAGGGTTAGAAACCCTTTTTGACAGGATTATAGCTACTACCATTAACCTATTTTTACCTCCAGCGAAAAGAAGCCTTGGAAAAACTTAGGCACATCTCAATTATTAGCTTTATTATAATCATATTGTCCCCTTTGTAATGAACTTCAAATCCCCTTTGAAAATACTCTGACATAAATATTTTATATAACTTACTATTCAGATTGAGTAAATTGAATCATATAGTTAAATATTTTCAGGTTAGAGAAAAATGGGAGGTCTTATTTGATAATGTTAATGATGTACTGATCTCAGGGATATATTTTATTGTAAAAAGTCAAATGAGGAATGCAGAATGGAATTTTCTAATATTTGATAGCATGGTAGTATTTCAAATTGTAGATTAAATATTTAACAGGTAAACTGAGAAGAAAAGTGTCATGGAAAGACTATAAGGTATATTTAGAAATTAAATATACTACACTATAGAAGAGTTAATACTCAAAATACATGTATTTTTTAAACTACTTGATTCAAGATTAACATAAATTTATTGTAGTCAAGAAAATGTAGTATTAGTAAAAGGATAAATACATTGATAGATTGAATATGAGAGAGAAAATTAGAAATACAACCAACAACAACATCATTTTCCACAAATGGCACTGAGACAATTAGATATCCACATGCAAAAAAGAACTTCAATTCATACCTTGAACTAAATTTGAAACTAAATTGAAATGAATCATAGGCATCAATTTAAAACCTAAAACTGTAAAACTTCCAGGAAATATAAATATTCATAAATTTTAGTTTCTTAGGCCACAAAAAGCATAATTCATAAAAGAAAAAACTAATACAATAGAGGTCATCAAAGTTTAAAAATTCTGGGCCGGGCGCGGTGGCTCACGCCTGTAATCCCAGCACTTTGGGAGGCCGAGGCGGGCGGATCACGAGGTCAGGAGATCGAGACCATCCCGGCTAAAACGGTGAAACCCCGTCTCTACTAAAAATACAAAAAATTAGCCGGGCGTAGTGGCGGGCGCCTGTAGTCCCAGCTACTTGGGAGGCTGAGGCAGGAGAATGGCGTGAACCCGGGAGGCGGAGCTTGCAGTGAGCCGAGATCCCGCCACTGCACTCCAGCCTGGGCGACAGAGCGAGACTCCGTCTCAAAAAAAAAAAAAAAAAAAAAAATTCTGATTTTCAAAATACACTACTTTTTCCAAAGAAAAAGAAATGACGAGCCACAGACAGGTAGAAAATATTTGCAAAGTACAGAGGTGACAAAGGACTGATAACCAAGTTATGTAAAGAACTTTCAAATCTCATTACAAAGAAAACAAACAATCCAATTAAAGGGTGAATGTTTGTAACAGTATTTTACTGAAGAAGACATACAACTAGTAAATAAGAACATAAATGTCATAAGTCATTAAGGAAATGGAAATTAAAACTCCAATAGATAGTACCACGCACCTATTAGCATGGATCAAATAAATAAAAACTGACACTAATAAATGCTGTTGAAGATGAAGAATAACAGTACTCTCAGATTTTGCTGGTGGGAATGCAAAATGTTACATCCATATTGCAAATCGGTTTGACAGAGCCTTTCTTATAAACTTATACATTACCATCCTACCCAGAAATCCTCTCCTAGGTACTTAACCGAGAGCAATGAGGACACATGTTCATGTAAAACCTGTATGCCAATATTTAGAGCTGCTCTATTGATAATATCACATACTAGAAATAACATGAACTGGTGGATTGGTAAGCGATATGGTTTAGATTTGTGTCCCCATCCAAATCTCATGTTGAATGATAATACCCAGTGTTGGAGGTGGGGCCTGGTAGGAGGTGATTGTGTCATGGGGGCAGATCCCCCCTACCCCATTGCTGCTATTGTGATAGTGAGTGCTCAGTTTAAAAGTGTGTAGCACATTCCCTGCCCTCTCTTCCTCCTGCTCTGCCCATGTAAGATGTGGCTGTTTCTCCTTCACTCTTTTGCCTGGCTCATTTCACTTAACATAATGATCTCCAGTTCCACCCATGTTGTTGCAAATGACAGGATATCATTTTTCTTATGGGTGAATAGTACTCCATTGTGTATATGTACCACATTTTATTTAACCGTTTATCTGTTGATGGACACTTAGTTTGCTTCCAAATCTTGGCTATTGTGAATAGTGCCACAATAAACATGAGAGTGTAGATATTTATTCAATATACCATTTTTTTTTCTTTTGGATATATACCTAGGAGTAGAATTGCAGGATCGTATGATAGCTCAATTTTAGTTTTTTGAGGAACTGCTAAACTGTTCTCCATGGTGATTGCACTAATTTCCATCTCTAGCAAGAGTGTACAATGGTTCCCTTTTCTAAACATCCATCCTCTGCAGCATTTGTTATTGTCTGCCTTTTGAATAGAGGCCATTTCAACTGGGAAGTGATAGCTCATTGTACTTTTGATTTGCATTTCTCTGATGATCAGTGGTGTTGAGCACCTTTTCGTATATCTCTTTGCCATTGAATGTCTTCTTTAGAGAAATGTCCATTCATATCTTTTGCACAGTTTAAAATTAAATTATTATATTTTCCCCATAGAGTTGTTTTAGGTCCTTATATATTCTCATTATTGAACCCTTGTCAAATGGATACTTTGTAAATGTTTTCTCCAACTCTGTGGGTTGTCTGTTCACATTGTTGATTGTTTCCTTCACTGTGCAGAAGCTTTTTAACTTGGTGTGATCCCGTTTGCCAATATTTGCTTTGGTTACCTGTGCTTGTGGGATATTACTCAAGAAATCTTTGCCCAGTTCAATATCCTGGAGATTTTCCCCAATATTTTCTTATAGTAGTTTCATAGTTTTAAGTCTTAGACTTAATTAACTCTTTAATCCATTTTTATTTGATTTTTGCATACGGCCAAAGATAGGGGTCGAATTTCGTTCTGCATATGGAGACTCAGGTTTCCCAATACCATTTATTGAAGACACTGTCCTTCCCCAATGCATGTTCTTGGCACTTTTGTTGAAAATGAGTTCGCTGTAAATGTATTGTTACGTTTCTGGGTGCTTTATTCTGTTCCATTGGTCTATGTGTCCGTTTTAATGTCAGTACCATGCTGTTTGGTTACTACTATACCTCTGTAGGAGAATTTGAAGTCATATAATATCATTTCTCCAGTATTTTTTTTCTTTTGCTCAGGAGATCTTTGACTGTACTGAATGTTTTGTGGTTCCATATAAGTTTCAGAATTGTTTTTTTCTATTTTTATGAAAAATGTAATTGATATTTTGATAGAGATTGCATTGAATCTGTAGATTGCTTTGGGTAGTATGAATATTTTGACATAATTGATACTTCCAATCCGTGAACATGGAATATCTTTCAATTTTTTCTTGTCCCTTTCAATTTTTTTCATCAATGTGTAAATATTTTCATTACAGAGATATTTCATTTCTTTGGTTAAATTAATTCCTAGGTATTTTATTTTATTTGTAGCTATTGTAAATGGGATTATTTTCCTGATGTCTTGTTCCAATTGTTTGCTCTCTGGTTATAGAAATGCTACAGATTTTTGTATGTTTATTTTGTTTCCTGTAATTTTACTGAATTTGTTATCAGTTTGAACCATTTTTTTCAAATATAAGATAATGTTTTCTGTAAATAAGGATAATGTGACTTCTTTTATTTCAATTTTGATGCTCTTTATTTCTTTCTCTTGTCTAATTTCTCTAGGTAGGACTTCTAGTACAATGTTGAGTAACAGCAATGAAAGTGAGCAACCTAATGGTATTCCAAATGTTAGAGGAAAGGCTTTCAGTTTCTCACCATTCAGCATAATATTAGCTGTAGGTCTGTCATATATGGCTTTTAGTATGTTGATATATTATTTTGTTGTTTCTAAACCCAGCTTTGTGAGGGTTTTTATCATGAAGGGATGTTGAATTTTATCAAATGATTTTTCAGCATCAATTCAAATGATCATATGGTTTTTATCCTTCATTCTGCTGACACGATGTGTCACATTGAGTAATTTGCATACGTTGAAAAATCCTTCCATCTCTGGGATAAATCTCACTTAGTCGTGATGAATGATATTATTAATGTGTTGTTGATATAAATTGCTAGTATTTTGTCGAGGATTTTTGCATCAATGTTTATCAGAGATATTGGCCTGTAGTTTTCCTTTTTGATTTGTCTTTGTCTGGTTTTGGTATCAGGGTAATACTGGCCCCATAGAAGGAGTTTGGAAGTATTCCCTCTGCCTTTATTTTTTGGAATAGTTTGAGTAGAATTGGTATTAACTCTTCTTTAAATGTTTGGTAGAATTCAGCAGTGAAGCCATTGGGTCCTGGGCTTTTCTTTTCTTGGAGACTTTTTAGTATGGCTTTGATCTTGTTACTTGCTATTGGTCTGTTCATGTTTTGGATTTCTTCATGGTTCATTTTTGGTAGTTTGTATGTGTCAGGTATTTATCCATTTCTTCCAGGTTTTGCAATTGATTGACATGTAGTTGCTCATCATAGCCTCTAATGATCTTAGAATTTCTATGGTGTTAGTTGTAATGTCTCCTTTTCCATCTCTGATTTTATTTATTTGGATCTCCACTCTTTTTTTTGTAGTTACTCTGGCTAAAGGTTTGTCAATTTTATCTTTTTAAAAAAAACCCAACTTTTTATTTTTTTGATTTTTTGTATTGTTTTCTTTGTTTCTATTTCATTGATTCTGCTCGACCTTTATTATTTCTTTTCTTTGACTAACTTTGGGTTTGGTTTGGTCTTGCTTTTCGGTTTTTAAGATGCATCATTGGGTTGTTTATTTGAAATTTTTGTTCTTTTTTGATATAGGCACTTAGAGCTATAAAATTCCTTCTTATTGACACTTTTGATGTATCCAGTAGGTTTTGGTATATTGTGTTTTCATTGTAATTTGTTTCAAGAAATTTTTCAATTTCCTTCTTTATTTATTCATTGATCTACTGGTCATTCTGGAACATATTCCTTAATTTCTATGTGTTTCTATAGTTTTCAAATTCTCTCAGGTTATTGATTTCTAACTTTATTATATTGTGGGCAGAGAAGATATTTGATAGTGTTTTTAAAATATTTTAATACTTTCTTTGTGGCCTAACATATGGTCTATTGTTGAGAATGATCCATGTGCTGAGGAAAATAATGTGTATTCTAAAGCCACTGGATGAAATGTTTCATAAATATATATTAGGTATGTTTGGTCTATAATGCGGATTAAGTCTGATGTTTCTTTGTTGATTTTCTGTCTAGAAAATCAGTCCAATGCTAAAAGTGGGGAGTTGGACTCTCTAGCTATTATTGTATTTTGGTCCATCTCTAATAATATTTACTTCATATATCTTGGTCTTCTAGTGTTGAATGCAAGCATTTTTATAATTTTTATATCCTCTTGAAGAATCAACACCTTTATCATTACATAATGACCTTCTTTGTCTCTTCTTATAGTTTTATCTTGAAATCTATTTTGTCTGATATAAGTATACCTAATCCTGGTCTTTTTTGGTTTTCACTGGCATGGAATATTTTTTTTCCATCTCTTTATTTTCAGTGTATATATGTCTTTATAAGTAAAGTGTACTTCATGTAGGCAACAGATTATAGAGTTCTTGTTTTTTTAAATCTATTGAGCCACTCCTTGTCTTTTTATTGAAAAATTTAGTTTATTTACAATAAACGTAATTATCATTAAGTAAGGACTAACTTCCGCCATTTTCTCATTAGTTTACTAGTGGTTTTGTGGTCTTCTCTTTCTTCTTTCCTTTCTTCCTGTCTTCCTTTTAATGAAGGTGTTTTACTCTGGTGGTATGATTTAATTTCTTACTTTTTGTTTGTTGTGTATCCATTGTGTGTTTTTTTATTTCAGGTTACCATGAGGCTTGCAAATAGTTTTCTATAACCCATTATTTTCAGCTGATAACAAACTTAAC
Organism: Homo sapiens; assembly: GCF_000001405.40. Taxonomy (NCBI): domain Eukaryota; kingdom Metazoa; phylum Chordata; class Mammalia; order Primates; family Hominidae; genus Homo; species Homo sapiens. The sequence goes on along the minus strand of NC_000006.12, from coordinate 141,791,440 downwards.
ACTGCTTACATAAACACACAAACTAACAAACAAGCAAATTAAAATCTAATAAACTCTACACTTTAACTTTGTTTCCACACTTTTAAACTTTTTGTTCTTCCTACTTACATCTTATTGTCTACATCTTGAAAAGTTATTGTAGTTATTAATTCTGATTGGTTCATGTTTTATACTTTCTACTTAATAGCAGTTTACACACTAGAGTTATAGTGTTATTATGTTTTGTGTTTTCCTGTGTACTTACAATTACCAGTGAGTTTCTTACCTTAAGAGGATTTCTCAGGGGAAATTAACATCTTTTTCCTACTGATTGAAGTACTTCTTTTAGCATATCCTGCAGGACAGGTCTGGTATTGTTGAAATTCTTCAGCTTTTGTTTGTCTGGGAAAGTATTTCTCCTTCACAATTGAAATGTATTTTCACAAAATATACTATTTTGGAGTAAAATATTTTTCTTTTCATCACTTTAAATATGTCATGCCATTCTCTCCTGGCTCGTAAGATTTCCACCAAAAAGTCTTCTGCCAGGCATATTGGAGCTCAATTGCATATTATTATTTTTCTTTTCTCTTGTTGCCTTCAGAATCCTTTCTTTATCCTTGACATTTTGGAGTTTGATTATTAAATACCTTGCAGTAGTCTTCTTTTGGTTAAGTCACAGTGGTGTTCTATAACCTTCTTTTCCTTGGATATTTATATCTTTCTCTAAATTTGGAAATTTCTCTGTTATTATTCCCTTGAATAAACTTTTTATTATCCCTTTCTCTACCTCCTCTTTAAGGCCAATAACACTTAGTTTTGCCCTTTTAAGTATATTTTTTAGATCTTGTAGGTGTGTTTCATTTTTTAAAAATCTTTTTCATTTTGTCTCTTCTGAATGTATATTTTCAAATAGCCTGTTACTCACTAATTCTTTCTTCTGTTTGATCAATTCCGCTGTTAAAAGTCTCTGATGAGCCTGGTGCAGAGACTCACACCTCTAATTCCAGCGACTCAGGAGGCTGAGGTAGGAGAATCACTTGAACCTGGGAGATGGAGGCTGCAGTCAGCTAAGATTATGCCACTGGACTCCGGCCTGAGCTGTAGAGTGAATGAGACTCTGTCTCAAAAGCAAAAGAAAACAACTCTGATGCATTCTTCAGTAGGTCAATTGCATTTTCAACTCCAGAATTTCTTCTTGATTGTATTTAAATATTTTAATCTCTTTGTTAAATTTATCTGGTAGGATTTTGAATTCTTTCTCTGCATCGTGTTGAATTTCTTTGAGTTTCCTCAAAATAGCTATTTTAAATTCTGTGTAAAAGATCAATTATCTCTGTGTCTCTGAGATTTGTTCTTGGTACCTTATTTAGTTCATTTAGTGAATTCATGTTTTCCTGGATGTTCTTCATGCTTGTGGATGTTTGCTGGTGTCTGGTCTTTGAAGAGTTAGGTATTTATTGTAGTCATCACAGTCCGGGCTTTTTTGTATCCATCCTTCTTGGGAAGGTTTTCCAGGTATTCAAAGGACTTGGGTGTTGTGATCTAAGCTTTGGTCACTGAAGCTGTATCTAAATTAGGGTGTACCCAGAGCTAAGTAATGCTGTAGTTCTTGCATACTTGTAGACGTACTGCATTGGTAATCTTGGATAAGCGTCGCTAGAATGCCCTGGATTACAGGCAGAGACTCCTGTTCTCTTCCTTTACTTTCTCCCAAACAAATTGAATCTTCCTCTCTCTCTATGCTGAGTTGTTTGGAGCTATGAGAGGGGTAACACATGCACACCTTTGGCCACCACTACTAGGACTGCACTGGGTCAGACCTGCGGCCAGGTCAGCATTGAGTCTCGCCCAAAGCCCATTGTAACCACCACTTGGCCACTGCCTATGTTTGCCTAATGACCTAGGGCTCTACAATCAGCAGGTGGCAACACCAGCCAGTCTTGTGTCCTTCCCTTTAGCATGGTGAGCACTCCCTGGTCCTGGGTTTGTTCAGAGATGCTATCTTGGAGCTAGAGCTGGAGTCAGAAACCTCAGAAATCTACTTGGTGTTCTATTCTACTGTGGCTAAGCTGGCACCAAAATCACAAGACAAAGTCCTTCCCAATCTATCTTCCCTTTTCTCCAGGCAGAGGAGTTTCTCCCCATGTTCACCACCACCACAGGCCCGTGGGGAGTACTGCCAGAGTACCACAGGTATTTACTTAAGGCACAAGGTTTCCTCAGTCAGCTTATGGTGAATTCTCCCAGGCCTGTGACTCATTTTATAGGGCAGTGGGCTCCCTTCTGGCCCAGGGTGCATACAGAAATGCTGTCCAAGAGCAAAAATTGGGAATCAGGGAACCCAAGAACTCACTTCCCCACTGTGGCTGAGCTGGTACCTAAGCAGTAAGACAAAGTCCCCTTCATTCTTCACTCTATATTTCTCATACAGAAGGGATATCTCTCATTGCCACTACAGCTGTGTATATGCTGGGTCACACCTGAATCCAGTGTGTTTCAGAGTCTCACCCAAGGCTCATGGTTTGTATTACCTGGTTACTGCTGCTGTTATTCAGTGCTTAAGGGCTCTTTAGTCAGCAGGTAGTGAATTCTGCCAGTACTGGGTCCTTCCCTTCAAGGCAATGTGTTCCCTTCTGGCCCAAGTTGTGTCTAGAAATGTCAACTGGGGTCTAGGGCCTGGAAGGGGGGCCTCCCGGCTGTACTCCGTGCCCTATCATACTATGGCTGAGCTGATATCCAAGTTGCACTTCAAAATCCTCTTTATTTTTCCCCCTCCTCTCCTCAAGTTGAATTAAAAGGTATTTTTTGGAACTGTGAGCTGCGCTGCCTGGGTTTGGGGTAGGGGTGGTGCAAATACTCCCTTAGCTGCTCAGGCTGGTATCTCACTAGGTAATATGCCCCCCAAAGCCACTGGCTTTGAGCCCAGCAGAGCCCTAGGACTTGTCTAAGAGTTGCATTCCTTGTGTCCTAGACAGTCTTTCAAGTTTATTTAGGACCCCAGAGCACTTTTTAGGCTGCCATGGGAAAGCTCACAACCTAAAGTTCTGACTGCTGGGATGGGCGATTCCGCTCTTGCTAGGGCTTGTCTGAATACTCCCTTCATGAGTGTTTGCTGATTTCTGCCTGGTGTTGGCAACCCTGAGTTCCAGTGCAAAGTCCCACAATTACTATGCTCTCCCTCCCACAGGCACACAGATTCTCTCTTTTTGCCCAGTGTCTTCTGCTGGGGTTGCGGGGATGGCTGACTTTGCCAGTTCAAGATTGTCTTTCCTACCCTCTTCAGTGCATCTTTCAGTGATGTAAAGTTAAAATCAGGTACTGGCATCAATTACCTGATTTTTGTTTCTTATGAAGGTGCTTTTTTTTCTGTAGATAATTGTAGAATTTGGTGTTCCTATAGGGAGGACAATCAGTGGAGGATTCTATTCAGTTGTCTTGCTCCACCTCCAAAATCCAACAACAGTTTCTTCTGAATTTGTTCTATATTTCTAGTTATGTATTATAAATTGGGATATATATTATAAATTGACATTATATAATGAAATTTACAGTGAAATATGTATACCTTATGTTTATAGTTTAATCGACTTTGACAAGTTCTTACACATGTGTAACCCACAACACTATTACATAGAAAATTTTCATCACTCCATAAAGTTCCATTGCACCCCTTCTTAGTCAATCCCCACCCCTACATCCTGAGGCAAATTTGGGCTTTTATCACTATAGCTTTGTTTCACTTGTTCTAGAACTTCATATAAGTAGAATCATATGATATCTAATCTTTTGTGTCTGGTTTCTTTAACCTTAATAATTTTGAAATGCATTCACTGTTGGTGAGGAGTGTTCCATATTATAATTGTTTGTTTATCCATTTTCTGTTCTTAAGTATTCTGGGTTTTGGCTAGGATGAATTCAGCTATTGTAAATAGTTTTGTATGAACATTTTATGTACATATATTTTAATTTATCTTGCACTCTACATAGAAGAGGAATCACTAGATCACAGAAGAAGTAAATATGCATTGTTATAAGAAATTATTAATTTTCCTGTTTATTTTTATTATGTTACTCAACCACTACTAATTAGAAAAGCTCCAGTTGCTGTATATTCACGGTAACCTTTGGTTTTGTCAGTCTTTAAAAATTTTAGCCATTTTAGGAATGTATAGTAGTCAACTATTTTGATTTTATGCTTCCTTGACAACTAATAATGTTGGGCACATTTTTATGTGCTTCTTAGATATTTTGTCATTCTTTTTCATACATCTGTTCTAAATTTTGACCATTTTTATTGATTTTTCTTTGTATTTCTTATGTACAATTCTTTATCTAGTCTGATTATGAGTCCTTTATCTGATATATGGATTGGAAATAATTTTCCCCACTCTATGGCTTGCCAACTCATTTTCTTAATGGTTCTTTTGAAAAATAGAGCATTAATTATGCTAAATTTCAATTATTATTTCTTTCTTTCATATTTTTGTACTTTTATACTAGTTCATATATTTAATGTCAAATAAAATACCAAATAACAGGATATGCTTACCAACAAAGTATATATTTTGATGAGAAACTTTTCATAGGCTCAGTAGAAAAAGCACAGGTGCTTATTCAAGTATAAAGCCATTGAGAGGGCAAATTGAATCTATCTACTATGAATAGCATTACAAATGTTATTACATGCCATGAAATATAACTTAGCCAAACACTAAAGATAAAATATTAAAGAACAATTGATATTCAGGTTATAGCAAAAGACAGCAAGGACCCAAAAGAACGTTTAAGTAGCATGGATGAAAAATATTCTATTCTGTCCAAATAAAAAAAAATGAAGGAATGAAATAACTTGAGGGTATTATGTGATCAGAAATAAAAAATAATTTTCCCAGAGGTTCCAAATCTTAAAGTGATACATATTTTAACTCACTCCATTATTTATTCCCATATTCCCTGAATTTGATCCATTCATTTATTCAAGAAATATTTATTGAAGAGCTACTGTGAACTTTGATTTGATCCAATAATGAAGAAATGCTAAAGTAAAGCCTCTGAGTTAAATCAGGAGAGGATACTATTTGCTTCATTCTGTTACTTCATTAGGTTTTTAAATTTTTTATTTTTTTAAATTGACATAAAATTGTATATTTTTAGTGTACACAGTATGGTAATTTGAAATGTGTATACATTGTGGAATGGCTAAATCAAGCTAATTAACATACTTTACCTCATGTAGTTATCATTTTTGTGATGAGAACACTTAAAATCTACTCTCAGCATTTCTCGAGAATACAGTATATTGTTGTTAACTACAATCATTTCAAAGGTTAATATTTAAATAAGAAAAGGGAGGAAGAGAAAGAGAAGGAAGAAAGAGGAAGGAAAACAAGACAGAGCTAATTATTTCTGAGTCTACCAGAGAAACATTTAAGAACTACAGTTTCTAGGCTGGGCGCAGTGGCTCATGCCTGTAATCCCAGCACTTTGGGAGGCTGAGGTGGGCGGTCACTTGGGGTTAGGAGTTCAAGACCAGCCTTGCCAACATGGTGAAACCCCATCTCTAATAAAAATACAGAAACAAAAGTAGCTGGGCGTGGTGGTGGGCATCTGTAATCCCAGCTACTTGGAAGGCTAAGGCAGGGGAATCGCTTGAACCTGGGAGGCTGAGGTTGCAGTGAGCCCAGATTGCACCATTGCACTCCAGCCTGAGTGACAAAGTGAAACACTATTTACAAAAACAAACAAACAAACCAACAAAAAACTATAGTTTCTAGTCAATTGACTTGGCAACATAAGCTAAACAGTGGCTATTTTATTTTGTTTTATTTTATTTTACCAAATCTACCTAAGGAAGGAATATTTCTAATTTGGGGATTTCATTGGCTCTGTTTGTTCTCTATAATACTTTCCTTTCATGTAGATCATAGTAGGTACTTTATAACTTATATGTATAGACTAGGCAGACAATTAAAGGACCCTGAGCTGTAAATGAAAGAATGATTTAAATTAGTGACAAAAGGAACGTATAATATGATGTACTTCTCATTTCTGGACCACTTGGCTCCTAGACATTTCAATATTTTACAAGTATTTATTTGAGAGTAGGCTGCTTAAATTATTTCTGAATTTATCATCTTTATGACTTTTAAAGCAGCGGTCCCCACATGCTGCGTCGCGGACTGGTACAGGTCTGTGGCCTATTAGAAACTGGACTGCACAGCAGAAGGTGAGCAGCAGGTGAACCAGCATTACTGCCTGAGTTTTGTCTCCTGTCAGATCAGCGGCATTACATTCTCATAGGAGTGTGATCCCTATTGTCAACTGCGCATGTGAGGAATCTAGGTTGTGCATATTTTTATGAGAATCTAACTAATGCCTGATGATCTGAGGTGGAACAATTTCATCCCCAAACCACCCCCCTCATCCGTGGAAAAGTTGTCTTCCATGAAACCAGTCCCCGGTGCCCAAAGGTTGGGGACTGCTGTTTTAAGGAATAAGTACACTAAGTCAAGCTGCTATGAAGTTGTTACAGTTTAAGGGACATTCTTAAGAAGGAATTACTTAAGTATATTACTCTTCTCATTTTCAAGGACATGAAAAAGTAAAGGATGTTCTAGCACTATTTTATATTTTTTTGACTTGTACTGAATATATGTACTTTGAGGTTTTACATCTATAACTAGAAAGTATACTAATCCAAGGTCTGGTTATTAGGCCAGATTCTTGCTCAGTTATTTTTATCTCTGTCAAAAGTTAAACTAATGTTGTCTCCTTTTTAGTAAGATTCTACGAAAGTTTTTTAACTATTAAAGTTATTTCTTAAGGAGTAGCTCTTACATTTCCTCTACTCTCTTTTTCAGTTTCCATAAAAAGCTGTTTTCTTAGCTATTACTCCAAATAAAATTCTTTGGTTTGCAAAAAGAAAACAAAACAAAACAAAAAAAAGAATAGGTAACGGCCGTGAGCGGTAGCTTACACCTGCAATCCCAGCACTTTGGAAGGCCGAGGCAGGCGGATCACGAGATCAGGAGATCGAGACCATCCTGGCTAACACGGTGAAACCCCGTCTCTACTATAAATACAAAAAATTAGCCGGGTGTGGTGGCAGGCGCCTGTAGTCCCAGCTACTCGGGAGGCTGAGGCAGGAGAATGGCGTGAAAACGGGAAGCGGAGCTTGCAGTGAGCCGAGATCATGCTGGGTGGCAGAGCGAAACTCCGTCTCGAAACAAAAAAAAAGAAGTAATTGCATTGAGAAAGTTCTGCATTATTCTGAGTCATATTCTTCAATCTCAATTTATTAATAAGTTTCATTTTAGAGGTAGGTGATGTGATGGCTCATCTTTAGATATGCTGTCATATTTCTGAAATATTTACAATAACTGTCTTAAGTTTCCATTATATAGTTTTGTACTCCAATTATTATGTAAGCCATAATTCCCACTGTTTAAAGTGGGAAAATGATTGTTACAAATGTCATATTATTTTAGAAGACATTAGACAGAAAAGATTCTTTCCCAGTTGAGTAGAAGTTCTTACCGCCCCCCTCTCAATGGATTTTATTGTTTTTTTCCTCAGGGAACATTTGCAAATCTGGGCATGGACTGTGGACCAGGCTTGCCTAAGTAGGAAGAGTCTGCTGGGCTAAAGATAAACCAGTGGAGCTTTTGATTGCTGCTTTGGCTAGTGTGACAGTTTGGAACCTGGAAAGGCCTAAATATAGGGCTGCCAATTTTCTCCCACTGGACTTTAGCTGAATGCTGAGGCATTTAAGGATTGGATAGAAACATGCAATGAAGTTCCGTACAGTTGAACAGTGCTTAAAAGTCATAGTCCTGGCAGATGGAAAGATGTTTAATAACATCAGACAAGTTGTGCCCTTAAGATCTTTGAAACCAGAGTGAAAATGAGGTAAATGCAAGCTGTAACCCATCCCTGAGATGCTTATTTCTTGATTGGATGAAGGTGATCCATCCATCACTCTGGCTGCCTGTACAAGAAAAAGGCTTGATATCTCTGGGGAAATACACATCAAATTCAGCTTTTATGTCATTTTAGGAACAGTCTGGCATTGAGACTAAATTGGGTAGACATATTAAGAAGCAATAATATGTGACCCAGTGCATATATTATTGAAAAATAGAGCCAATAAAACCATATATTTACAAGATTTATATGCTAAATGAACAAAAAGAGCTTTAATATTACTACTATAAACATGTAAAACAGCATGAAGAGAAGCTTAATTATATTGCATAAAAATTAATAAATTTACCAGAGAAATGATATGCATTAAAAAAGTACATAAACTAACACTGAAAAATCCAATATTTGTAAGCATTCACTGGATGTGTTCAGCATTAAAAACAAACAGCTAAAGAAAATCAATAGAACCTATTAAAACTAAAACTTAGAGAAAAACAGTGAAAAAAATGAAAAACAGAGTAAAACAAAACAGCATGAAATACATAAAGAGACACTGTAAAAGATTTTACCATATACACTTTGGAGTTCTAGAAGAAAAGGAGAGAAAGAATATGGCAAGAAACTATGGTTCAAGAAATAATTATATATATTTTTTCAAAACTGATGAAGGTAATCAACTACATGTTAACGAATTGTATTACATTTCAAGCTGGGTGCGGTGGCTCACACCTGTAATCCCAGCACTTTGGGAGGCCGAGGCGGGTGGATCACCTGAGGTCAGCAGTTCGACACCAGCCTGGCCAACATGGTGAAACCCCGTCTCTACTAAAAATACAAAAATTAGCCAGGCATGGTGGCACACGCCTGTAATCCCAGCTACTCGGGAGGCTGAGGCAGGAGAATTGCTTGAGCCCGGGAGACAGAGGTTGCAGTGAGCAGAGATTGTGCCACTGCACTCCAGCCTGGCCGACAGAGCAAGACTCTGTCTCAAAAAAAAAAAAAAAAAAGAATTGTATTACATTTCAAAAAGAATTTTGGAATTAGTTTTTAAAACACATCAAAATCAAATTGCTGAAAATGAAAGATCAAGAGAAAATCTGGAAAAAATAAAAACAAAAAAAACCCAAAACCAGTCAGGGGAAAAAAAGATAAATTCTTTCCAAAAGGGCAACACTGAACCTGACAACAGACTTTCTAACAGAATTATGAAAGTCAAAAAACAATAAACGGACACCTTTAATGTGATAAGCAAAAAGTTTTGCTGACTAGACTTCTATAACCAGCAAAAATATACTTGAAACACCAAGGTGCAATATAAAGATTTCAAAAAAACACAAGTTGAGAAAAATTGTCACCAACAGAGTCATACTACTATGGATACTAAAAGATCTTTGAACAGAAGTTTAATAAAGATCCCAGGTGGAGGCAGGAAAGTTAAAGACAAAATAAATAACAACTAAAATAGAAAAGTATGCCGATTTCCAGAAATGATGTCAATAATTTATTAAAGGAACAATTGTGATGTTTTATGGATTATTTATTTTTTAAAAATTCTTCTCAAAATAATAATGGTAATACACATTTTTTGTATGTTTTCTATGAGTTTTTGAAAATAGATTCATGTAACCATGACCACAAATAGGTTACAGAGCAATTTCTCCCCAAGCGTCCTTATATATTTTACAGTTCTTTACATATTCAGGATTGAATCCTATTTTGAATATGTGGTTTCAAAATATTTTCTCCCAGTCAGTTGCTTCTCATCAAACAGGTGGAAGATACTTGACAAATTATGTACAAGACCTGTGTGCTGTAAAGCATAAACCATGCATGATGGTTAGTTTCATGTGTCAACTTGACTGGATGATGGGGTGCCCACAGACTCAGTTAAAAATGATTTCTGAGTCTATCTGCACAGGTGTTTCTGGATGATATCAGTATTTGAATCAGTAGATGGAGTAAAGCAGATTGCCCTCCCAAATATGGGTGGGCATAATCCAACTCACTGAGGGTCTGAGCCCAACAAAAAGCCAGAGGAAAAGAGAACTCACTCTTTCTACTCGGCTACTTGAGCTGGAACTTTTGTTTCCTGACCTCAAACTGGAGTTTATATTATTGGTGTCTCAGGCCTTTGGCCTTGGGCCAGGGCTACACTTTCAGGTTTTCTTGGGATCCAGATTGCAGAAGGCAGATCATAGCACTTCCTAGCCCTTCCATAATCACAGGAGCCATTTCCTTATAACTACACACACACACACACACACACACACACACACACACACACACACACACACAGACATGTGCACACATATATATGTCCATATCCTACTGGTCCTGTTTCTTTGGAGAACACTGACTAATGCACCATGTTTATAGAATTAAAGAGACCTAAATGGAAAGATTTATTATGATCATGGATTAGATGACTCAATATTGCTAAGCTATCAATCATTCCCAAAACTGATTCACAGATTTAAAATAATTCCAAATTTCTGGCATCTTTTTTCTTAAAAATTGACATGCTGACTAAATTATTTACATTTGAAAATGCAAAGGAAAATAAGTAACCAAAAGAAATTTTGAAAAAGAACAAAGTTGGAGGATTTCACTGTCTGAAAAAAGTCTTAGTAAAAAGCTGTTGCATTCAAGACAGTAGGGTGTTGGCATAAATAAACACATATAGCTCAATGAATTTCTCCAAAATAGGGGATCTACAAGTACACTCATTATCTATCTATCTATCTATCTATCTATCTATCTATCTATCTATCTATCCATCCGTCTATTATCTATCTGTCTATCATCTATCTATCTGTCTACTTATTATCTATCTATCTGGCAAATTGATTTTCAACAATGGTATCAAAGTAATTCAATGTGGAAAGGATAGTCTTTTGATCAAGTGGTGCTGAAACAATTAAATATTAATTAAAAAATAAACCACACCGTCTTCTTCACACAAAATACAAAAAGAGGCTTTTGTTTCTATTTCTTTATGTCAGTATATCTTTGAGATTGATCCATTTTGTGATGAGTCATTGCAGCAGTTCATTCTCTTTAATTGTTGTGTAGTAGTCCGTTTTATTATTGTAACAGCCTGTTCTTTTTAACAGCTTTACTGAGATAAAGTTCACCTATCATTAAATTCACTCTTTTACATCGCTAAGTTAAAAGGTTTTTAGTATATTCTCAAGAGTTGTGTGACTATCATCATTATTTAATTTTAAAACGTTTTCATTGCTTTTTCACTTCATTTTTATTATTCTGAGATAGTATAATAAAAATAATTATACACTGAAATGTGGAGGTAAAACATAAAAATGTAGAAGAAAAAAATTAGAATGGTATAGACGAAGATTTGTTAGACAGGACGCAGAAAAAAGTACTATATATAGAAGAAAACATAAAGTTAACTTGATCCAAATAAAAATTTTCTACTCTTCAAAAGTTATCATTAAGAAAATTTAAAGGCAAGTTACATGTATTGAAATAAAACAGATTATGCATATATGTTCTAAAGTCTTATGTCATGAATATATAAAAAACTCTTACAACTCAATATGGAGAAGAAAAACAATCCAATGAAAATAATCGAGTATTTGAGTACATGTTTCACAAAGGAAGAGTAACAATTAGCCAGTATTTAAATTACTGATGTTTAATATCAGTAATTATCAAGGACATGTAAATTAAATCTATGATGTAATTCTACTATACAACTTCTATAATGGTTAATATTAATAGTACTGACAATACCAAGTATTTTAGAGATTATGGTACAATTTTAATATACACCAATTATACATGGCTCTCATATATTACTAGAGATATTGAAGAATTGTACAACCAATTTGGAAAAATGTTTAGCAGCTTTTAGTTGTACAAGTTTACAATTCATGTAACCCAGAAATTAATGTAAATTATGTCAAAGAGACAAGAATTTTCATAGCATTTTTCATAATGGCCCCAAACTGGAAGCAAATGAATGCCATCAATGGGTGAATTAATAGGTAAACTGTGGTACAACTTGTTTTACTTCATTTATTTGAAATGTCCGGAATAGACAAATTCATAGAGACAGAAAATAGGTGAGTGGTTTCCAGGGGCTGAGGAGCAAAGTTATGGGGACTGACTGCTAAAGGGTTTGGAACTTCTTCTTAGAGCAATGAAAAAGTTTTAAAATTAAATAATGATGATAGTTGTACAACTCTGAGAATATACTCAAAACCTTTTAAGTTAGTGATTTAAAAGGGTGAATTTAAAGGTATGTAAACTTTAGCTCAATAAAGCTGTTAAAAGAACAAACATAATAATAAAATGGACTACTACACAGCAATTAAAGAGAATGAATTGCTACCATGACTCATCACAAAATGGATCAATCTCAAAAATATACTGACATAGAGAAACAGAAAAAAAAGAGCGCATCCTGTTTTACTTCATTTACATATTTTTCTTCTTCCGCTTTTTTTTTTTTTTTTTTTTTTTTTTGAGACAGAGTCTTGCTCTGTCGCCCAGGCTGGAGTGCAGTGGCGCGATCTCAGCTCACTGCAAGCTCCGCCACCCGAGTTCACGCCTTTCTCCTGCCTCAGCCTCCCGAGTAACTGGGACTACAGGCTCCTGCCACCATGCCGGGCTAATTTTTTTGTATTTTTTTTTAATAGAGACGAGGTTTAACTGTGTTAGCCAGGATGGTCTCTATCTCCTGATCCGCCCACCTTGGCCTCCCAAAGTGCTGGGATTACAGGCGTGAGCCACCGTGCCTGGTCCATTTACATATTTTTAAGAAGATGTAACATATAGGGATGATCACAGGTCACAACAGACAGGTTAGTCTACAGTAAGAATAACTGGAGGTATTCTGGAAGATGGCATACATGGAAAAGCGTCATCTTAGTGCATGCATGGAAAAGCATCATCTTAAGGAAATGTTTTATGTCTTCATCGGTTTGGTGATTATATAAATGTATATATTTATATGTTAGCATCTCTGAGACACACACAAAGGATTGGTACACTTTATGCAACTTATTGTATATATAATGTCTTGTAAAAAGAGCCCAATTTGTTGTTATATTGTGAAATTTTATCACAAACTGTATAAAGTAGTCCATTTTTTTATAACTAAAATGGTTATATAAAAATTACTCTTTATTATTCTTTCTGTACTTATCAATAATGATTTAACTGCAAATAATACAATGTCTCACTCTTTTGTTGTCTCAACCTTGATGGGATTATGGGTAAGAAAAAGCTTATTGGGCAAATATTGAACAGCTTCAGGTTTTAAGGATATAATTTGTTGCTCTAATACTCTTATGGTGACCCCATTTGTAATTCCAAAAGAGAAAAAATATAATGTTGAAATGATGTGTAATAAACTATGCTTAGAATATTAAAATGAAAAATATTTTGCAAAATACCATTGGATGAAAAGGCAGGGAGATATGAATTTGCAGTGGTATGTTAAAAAATATATATATATATACTAATTGGTGATGGGTGGAATTTTTCAGAAAAAATTTAAATGCTAATGTATCTGGTCAAATCGTTCAGCTGGGAAACAAGTGGGCCTGTTTTTGTTGTTTGTTCTCCCAGCTTCCAATTTCTGTCTATCAAGAAAAATCATTTTATGAATTAATAAAAGCTTTCCAGAATGAAAATAAAAGGATATGCGATATGCAGCTTAATGGCTAGAATGTGTTGCCAGGATTTTGTAATTTATACAGTTTGTTATGACTAGAACAATGTTCCAATGCACTGAACTTTAGTGATGAAATGTCAGCTTCCTACTGAGCAGTTCAGGAGACAGGCCCACACCGCCTTGCTTCCAGAAGAGTTGTCATTTATATCCACCTCCAGCAAGCAAAATTGTGAAGCTGGTGTGATGATATTAGGCACTGTTCATCTTCGAAATAAAAATAAAAAGCATTTACAAATAAAACCTTTTGAAATGTTCAATACTTCAATTTTCTTCAACACTGAAGAAAAGGGTGGGGGAAGATGAAAAAATCTGGTGAGAAAGACCCAGATGAATCTTTTTATTTTATCTTGAATTTAAGCCCTTTCAAAACAATGTGTTTACTGTTCCTGACAAAAATCACAATTTTTTAAGTCATTACTTTTCATGTTGACCCATGAGTAATAGATGCAGTCCAATTCAGTGACTAAGGGAGACCAAATGTGGCTTGATATTAAAGTCAAGCTACCAAGAATAAAAGGCTTTCCATGTCACCACCTAACAAATAGTATCTTTAAAGTTCTTAGTTTATCCATGAGATACTAGAATAATTACTTTGATTAATGAGTGAACTGTTATTATCAAGAGATTTGTATTAAGTAATTCAAAGCAGGATTATGGCTTTTACCAAGTTAATCACTACTACCTGTGATATCCTTTCCTTTTTATTCACTTGTTCTTAGAAACTAATTTTGTAGAAAATAAAAACTCAGACAGGAAACATATCTTGAGAGAATGGGGACACACAGGACACCTGTCATTGGATCCTACCTTGTGAACCCACAGTGACTGGACTTTTGATTCAGACCTAGATGTTAACTTAAAGTATACACGTGCACACTCTTACCAATTTTTAACATGAGTCCATTGATACTTCCCCTTGATATTTCTTGTGTGTGCTTATCCATAATATATGCCATTTCCAGTGTTATTTTTATTTAGAGGGGAGTGAGAAATTAAAAGGAGTTGCAAAGTAATTCTTGGCATTATCATTCATTAATTTTATAAATCATTTCCAGTTTTATACATTTGTTCCTAAGTAGTGCATTTTTAAAAATTTATTTTAGGTTTGAGGATACACGTGAAGATTTGTTAAATAGGTTAACACAATTTGTTAAATCATCAAATTGTGTCATGGGGCTTTGTTGCACATATTATTACATCACACAGGTATTAAGCTCAGTACCCAATAGTTATGTTTTCTTCTCCTCTCTCTCCTCCTACCCTCCCCTGTCAAGTAGACCCCAGGGTCTGCTGTTTCCTTCTTTGTGTTCATAAGTTCTTATCCTTTAGCTCCCACTTATAAGTGAGAACATTCGGTAGTTGGTTGCTTGTTCCTGCATTAGTTTGATAAAGATGATAACCTCCTACTGCATGTTCCTGAAAAATACATGATCGTGTTCTCTTTTTTTATGGCTGCATAATATTGCATGGTGTATATGTACCACATTTTATGAAGTCTGTCATTGATGGGCATTCAGGTCGATTCCATGTCTTTGCTATTGGGAATAGTGCTGCAATGAACATTGGCATGCATGTGTCTTTATAGTAGAATGATTTATATTCCTCTGGGCATATGCCCAGTAATGGGATTGCTGGGTCGAATGGTAGTTCTGCTTTTACCTGTTTGAGGAATTGCCATACTGCGTTCCGCAATGGATGAACACTCCCACCAACAGTGTATGAGGGTTCCCTTTTTCCATAACCTTAATAGCATCTGTTATTTTTTGACTTTTTACTAATGGTCATTCTGACTGGTGTGAGATGTTATCTCACTGGGTTTTTCATTTGCCTTTCTCTAGCAATCAATGATATTGAGCTTATTTTTCATATGCTTGTTGGCTGCACGTATGTATTCTTTTGAGAAGTGTCTGTTCATGTCCTTTGCCTACTTTTTAATGGGGTTGTTTGATTTTCTCTTGTAAATTTGTTTAAGTTTTTTATAGATGCTGGATATTAGACCTTTGTCCGATGCATAGTTTACAAAAATTTTCTCCCATTATGTAGGTTGTCTGTTCACTTTGTTGATAGTTTCCTCTGCTGTGCAGAAGCTCTTTAGTTTAATTAGATCCCATTTGTCCATTTTTGCTTTTGTTGCAATTGCTTTTGGTGTCTTTGTCATGAAATCTTTGCCCATTCCTATGTCCAGGATGGTATTGCCTAGGTTGTCTTCCAGGGTTTATATAGTTTTGAGTTTTACATTTAAGTCTTTAATCCATATTGAGTTGATTTTTATATATTGTGTGAGGAAGGGGTTCAGCTTCAATCTTCTACATATGGCTAGCCAGTTATTCCAGCAACATTAATTGAACAGAGAGTCTTTTTCCCATTACTTGTGTCTGTCAGCTTTGTCAAAGATCAGATGGTAGTAGATGTGTAGCCTTATTTCTGGGCTCTCTATTCTGTTCCTTTGGTCTGTGTGTCGGTTTTTGTACCAATACCATGCTGTTTTGGTCACTGTAGCCTTGTATAGCTTGAAGTCAGATAATGTGATTCCTCCAGCTTTTTGTTGTTGTTGCTGTTTGTTTTGTTTTGTTTTTGTTTTTGTTTTGCTTAGGATTGCCTTGGCTATTTGGGCTCTTTTTTCGTTCCATATACATTTTAAAATATTTTTTTCTAGTTCTGTGAAGAATGTCATTGGTAGTTTGATGGGAATAGCATTGAATCTGTAAATTGCTTTGGGCAGTATAGCCATTTTAATGATATTGATTCTTTTTATCCATAAGCATAAAATGTTTTTCCATTTGTTTGTGTTTTCTCTGATTCCTTCAAGCAGTGTTTTCTAATTCTCATTGTAGAGATTTTTCACCTCCCTGGTTAGCTGTATTCCTAAGTATTTTTTTTCTATGTGTGGCAATTGTGAATGGGATTTAAGTAGTGCATTTTGAATTACTGTTTTCTGGTGCTAACAGGTAAGGACAATATTGTCTCAAATACTCAACTTAGTTTCCTTCAAACAACTATCCTTTTCTATTCATATTTACTTATTTTATACATTTTTAACAAAGCTATGTAGTCACAGCAACTTGACATAAAGGTGTAGAGTTAGTGGAAACAGAAGAACATAGGTTTATGGGAAAGTAAGGCATCATGGTTTAATGTCTCGTGGTTTCTTAGCTGGTGTTCAGTGAGGAACAGATAGGATGAACTTCTTTGTTAAATGATTAAGTGAATGTTACTTAAGAGAGGATCTACTGTATAAAATGAAAATAAAATCAACTATATTCATTCATTCTAATACCTGATTAGATATGAAATCTCAGATGTGATTCTTAACCAATAATTTGAGGAAGTTCTAAAGTGGGGTTGGCTATTATCCTGAATAAAATCTACTTATTTAGATATAAACTGTCTGGGAACTTCACAGGGAAGATGTTCAAATAGTGTTTAAAAGAGAAGAGAAGATAGAAGAAGGAGCAAATAAACATGGCTGGTCACTTTAAATTTGCTAGAATGCTTCACTTTTACAGGTTCATTGGTGTTTACTCTTGCTCCCATTTCTTTTCCTGTAATCATGTCTGATGGAATATGTCCAAAGATCTGCTTATCTAATATGCAAAAAATACATTTTTCATTTGTTTTATATAAATAGTATGGTATAGTACTCTCTATAATGCCTTATCCTCTCACCGTAAGAAAAGTGCAAGATACAGACCATTTTAATGTCCTGATTTGCTACCTCTAAGCTTAGCTGAAGAAAGCATAGAAGTATTACATACTTTTAGGTTTGTTTTAATATTATTTAATTAATTACATATAATTAATTCCCTCTGTATAATACATAAAATTGATAATAGTAACCATTTTAATGTGTTTTACATGTTTAAACTTGTAAGTGGAGATTTTGAAGATCCATGTTCTTGTGTTAGAAGGTGAAGAAAGATAAAATGTAACTACAGAGTATTTTGAAGGGCATGTTTTAATGTTACATAAGTAAAATAAAAACCGTAATGCATAGAGTAGTAAGGAGATCCCAAAAAATGCACTGACCAACACAATAAACACAATACATAGTCCAAATTTAAATGATATTTTAGCAGATTTTAGGAAAATCTCAGCAAGTACTATGGTTTGAATATCTGTGTACCTCCAAAATTCATGTTGAAAGCTAATCTCCAATGGAACAGTTTTTAAGAGGTGGGGCCTTTAGGAGGTGATTAGACCATGAGAGATCTGGACACGGTGTTCATCCCTTTTTCGCTCTTCAGCCATGTGAGGACACCTAGATGATGTCATTTATGAGGAAAGGGCCTTCATCAGACTCTGGTCCTGCTGGTGCCTTGATCTTGGACTTCCTACTCTCCAGAACTGTGAGAAATAAATTTTTCTTTTTAAATTATCTAGTCTCAAGTATTTTGTGATAGCAGCAAAAGCAAATAAAGACAGCTAGTATGAGAGCTCTAGAGCATGGGAAAGAAAATAGCAAGAGGAAAGTAGTTTAGATTTGAAACTTTAGTCTGCCCAAGAATTACATGGGTTACTCATTAAATATGCATATCTCTTGTTTCCAATAGATCTCTTTCAGTAGCTCCATGGTGATGTGCAGGGATCTACATTTTTAAGATTAGACTGTTAGATCTACTAAAATGTAATCTCTGTGAAAGTAGGAAAAAGTGATTTGTAACTTGTCTTCTTCATTGATATATCCTCAAAAGCTAGGACATTTCCTGAAATACAGTATGTTTTCAATAAATGTTTGTTGAATAAACAAACTTATAAGATAACAATAGTACAGGCCGAAAACTAAAGAAACTTTGAAAAATACTCTTATCTTAGGCACATCATTAAAATATCAACTTTGGCAGAGACGTGGAGCAAGATGACTGCATAGAAGTTTCTACTGATCATTTCCCACCGCTTCCACGGGAACACCAAGTTTGATATCCACACAAAGGGAGCACCTTCAAAGGAAGCAAAAATCAGGTGAGCACTGACAGTGCCTGGTTTTGAATTAATATTTCTGAAAGAGGCACTGAAGAGGGTAGGCAAAATAGTCTTAAACTGCTAACATTATCCCTCTCCCATTCCCCAGCAGCAGCTGTGTGGCATGGAGAATTTGTGCACTTGGGAGGGAAAGTGCAGTGATTGTGATGCTTTGCATTGAACTTGGTGCTTCCCTGTCACAGTGGAAAGCAGAACCAGACTGTACTTATCTAACGCTTTCCTACAGAGGGAATGTGTGGACAGAGCCTAGCCAGATGGGAATGGTCCATCCCAGTGGTCAGAGTTTGAGTTCCAGCAAGCCTAGCTCCTAAGTGCTGAGCTGGTCTCAGAGCCAGTGGACTTGGGGGATATGCAACCTACTGAGATACCAGCAAGGGTGCTAAGGGAATGCTTGCATCTTCCCTTTCCCAACCCCAGGCAGCACAGTTCACAGCTGCAAAAGAGACCCCTTCCTTCTACTTGAGGAGAGGAGAGGAAAGAGAAAACTGGACTTTTTCTTGTATCTTGAATAAAAACTCAGCCACAGTAGATTAGAGCACCATAAGGCCTATAAGCCCCATTGCAAGCCCTAGCTCCCAGATAACATTTCTAGACACACCCTGGGCCAGAAGGGAACATACTGCCTTGAAAGAAAGGATCCAGTACAAGCAGAATCCATCACCTCCTGACTAAAGAGCACTTGGGACCTGAAGAATCTCACAGCAATACCCAGCTGTGAGACTTGAGTGAGACTCAGAGACATGCTGGCTTCAGGAAAGAACCAGCACATTCCCAGCTGTGGAGGCTATGAGGAGAAACTCCTTCTATTTGAGAAAAGCAAAGGCAAAAGCAAAGGGGACTTTGTGTTGCATCTTAGGTACCAGCTCAGCCACAGTAGGGTAGAGCACCAAGCAGGCTCATCAGGTCCCCAGTTACAGGCCTTGGTTCACGGCATTTTAGGACCTACCCTGGACCGAGGGGAGACCACTACCATGAAGAATGAGTCCCAGGCCTGGCAGCATTCACCACAAGCTGACTAAAGATCCTTTGGGCCTCAACTGAACATTGGCAGTAGGCTGTTAGTACTTCCCATGGGCTTATGATGGTGGAGCCTACGGGGTGAGGCTCCTTTGCCTTTAGAAAGGGAGGGAAGAATGGGGAGGACTCCATTTTGTGGTTTGAGTACCAGCTCAGCTCCAGGGGAACAGAATGCAAGGTAGATTTTTAAAGTTTTTTCTCCAGTACCTGGCTCCTAGATGGCATCTCTAGACCCACCCACGACCTGGGGGAACTTGCTACCCTGAAGGGAAGAACACAATACTGGCTGGCTTTACTACCTGCTGATTGTAGAGACCCAGAACCTTGAACAAACATAGGTAGTAGCCTAGTAGTGGTCACGTTGAGCGTTGGGCAAGACCTAGAGCTGTGCTGACTTCAGTTCTGATTCAGCAGTGTCCCAGGGGAGGTGGCTACAAAGGTGCTTGTGTTATGTCATCCCCAGCTCCAGGAAGCTCAGCATACAAAGAGAAACTCCATTGGTTTTGGAGAAAGTAAGGAAAGAGAACAAGAGTCTCTGCCTGGTAATCCAGATAATTCTTCCAGATCTTATCCAAGACCACTTAAGTGGTACTTCTGTGAGTCTACAAGGACCACAGTATTGCTGGGCTTGGGGTGCCACTTAATGCATATACAGTTTAGATCACAACACCCAAGTCCTTCTGAATACTTAAGAAGCCTTCCCAAGGAGAAAGGGTACAAAGAAGCCCAGATGGCGATGACTATAATAAGTACCTAACTCTTCAATGCTCAGACACCAAAGAACTTCCGCAAGCATCAAGAACATTCAGGGAATATGATCTAACCAAATAGAGTAAATAAGGCACAAGGAACCAATCCTGGAGAAACAGAGACACGTGACATTTCAGACAGAGTATTATTATGAAAATAGCTGTCTTGAAGAAACTCAAAGAAATTCAAGATAACACTGAGAAGGAATTCAGAATCCTATCAGGTAAATTTAACAAAGACATTAAAGTAATTAAAAGGAATCAAGCAGAAATTCTGGAGCTGAAAAATGCAATTGACATATTGAAGAATGCATCAGAGTCTTTTAATAGCAGACTCAATCAAGCAGGAGAAAGTATTAGTGAGCTTGAAGACAGGCTATTTGAAATACACAGTCAGAGGAGACAAAAGAAAAAAAGAATAAAAATAAAGCATGCCTTCAGGATCTAGAAAATGCATCAAAAGGGAAAAATCTAAGTTATTGGCCTTAAGTGGGAGGCAGAGGAAGGGATGGAGTAGAAAGTTTATTCAACAGGATAATAACAGAGAAGCCCAAACCTAGAGAAAGCTATATATATATATATATATTCAAGGACAAGAAGGTTATAGAATACTAATGTGATTTAACCAAAAGAAGACTACCTCAAAGCATTTAATAATCAAACTTCCAAAGGTCAAGGACAAAGAAAGGATTCTGAAAGTAGCAAGATAAAAAACAATTAACATACAATGGAGCTCCAATATGTCTGGCAGCAGACATTTCTGTGGAAACCTTAAGGTCAGGAGAGAGTGGCATGACATAGTTAAAGTGCTAAAAGAAAAAAAAAGCTTATACCACAGAATGGTACATCCAGGGTATATATTCTTCAAACATGAAGGAGAGATAAAGACTCAGACAAACAAAAGCTGAGGGATTTCATCAACACCAGGCCTGTCCTCCGAGAGATGCTAAAAGGAATATATTAATCACAAGAAAAATAGATGTAAATGAGCAAAAAGAAATCATCTGAAGGTACAAAACTCACTGGTAATAGTAAGTACACTGAAAAACACAGAATATAAAAACACTGTAGCTGTGTTGTGTAAAGTATCCTTGCCTTAAGTAGAAAGAATAAAACAGGAACCAATCAAAAATAATAACTACAACTTTTCAAGACATAGATTGTACGATAAGATATAAATAGAAACAACAAAAAGTTAGAAAGTGGGAGAGGAAGTTTAAGTGTAGAGTTTTTATCAGTTTTCTTTTTGCTTATTAGTTTGTTTACATATGCAAGCAGTGTTAAGTTGTTATCAACTGAAAATGTGTTATATTATTTGCAAGCCTCTTGGTAACGTGAAATCAAAAAACATATAATGTACACATGAAAAAGAAAAAGCCAGACATTAAATCACACACCTGAGAAAATCACTTTTACTAAAAGGAAGACAGGAAAGAGGAAAAGAAGGAAGAACAGACCACAAAACCACCAGAAAATAAATAACAAGATAGTAGGAGTAAGTCCTTACTTATCAATAATAACATTGATTATAAATTGACTAAACTTACAAATTAAAAAATAGAGTGACTGAATGAATAAAAAACCAAGATCCAATAATCTGTTGCCTAGAAGAAACACATTGCACCTATAAAGACATACAAAAACTGAAAATGAAGGGATGGAAAGATATATTTCATGCAAATGAAAATCAAAAAAGAATAGGAGTAGGTATAGTTACATCAGACAAAATAGGTTTCAAGACGAAACTATAAGAAGAGACAAAGTAGGTCACTATGTATGAATAAGGGGTCAATTCACCAGGAGGATATAAACATTATAAAAATATATGCACCCAACAACTGGAGCACTTAGACATCTAATGCAAATATTATTAGAGCTAAAGCAAGAGATGGACCACAATACAATAATAGCTGCAGACTCCATTACTCCACTTTCAGCACTGGACAGATTTTAGACAGAAAATTTAAAAAAATCAGACTTATCTACACTATAGATCAAATAAACCTAGTTAGATATTTAAAGACCATTTCATCCAAGAGCCGCAGAACACACATTCTTTTCCTTAGTACATGAGTCATTCTCAATAATAAGCCATATGTTATGTCACAAAACAAGTCCTAAAACATTCAAAAAATTGAAATACTGTCAAGTATCTTCTCTGAACACGATGGAATAAAACTAGAAATCAATAACAAATGAATTTTGGAGAATATAAAAACACATGGAAATTAAACAATATGCTCCTGAATGACCAGTGGGTCAAAGAAGAAATTAAGGAAGAAATTGAAAAATTTATTGAAAGAAATGATAATGGAAACACAACATACCAAGACCTATGGGATATAGCAAAAGGAGTACTAAGATAGAAGTTTATAGCTATGAGTGCCTATATCAAAAAACAAGAACAATTTTAAATAAAAAATTTAATAACGTAAATTTAATAACAACTTAAAATACTAGACCATCAAGAACAAATCAAACAGAAATTAGTAGAAGAAAAAAAATTCAGAATAGAGATACATAAATTTAAATGAAGAAAACAATACCAAATATCAATGAAACAAAAAGATGCTTTTTGAGAAGATAAACAAATTGACAAACTTTTAGCCAGACTAAGAAAAAAAAAGATCCAAATAAATATATTCAGAGATGAAAGAGGAGACATTACAACCAATACAATAGAAATTCAAAGAATCCTTAGTAGCTACTATGAGCAACTATATGCTAATTAATTGGAAAATCTGGAAGAAATAAATTCCTAGACACATACAACTTATCAAGATTGGACCATGAAGAAATCTAAACCTGACTAGACAAATAATAACAAGATTGAATCCGTAATAAGTCTTCTAGTAAAGAAAAGTCAGGCAGGAATCCAACTGTTTTACACTGAATTCTACCAAAATTTAAAGAAGAATTAGTACCCCATCCTATTCAAAGGATTCTGAAAAATAGAGGAGGAGGGAATACTTCTATTCTCATACTATGAGGCCAGTGTTACTCTGATACCAACCTGAGACAGAGACATCAAAAAAGAAACCACAGGCCAATATTATTGGTTACTATTAATGCAAAAATCCTCAACAGTATATTATTAAGACAAATTCAACAACACATGAAAAAGATCATTCATCACGACCAAGTAATATTGATCCCAGAGATGCAAAGATAGTTCTACATATGCAAGTCACTCAGTGTGATGCATCATGTCAAAGAATGAAGGGAAAAAATATAGGATCATTGCAACTTACACTGAAAAGGCATTTGATAAAATTCAACATTTTTTCATGATGAAAACACTCCAAAATCTTGGTATAACAGGAAATACCTCAACATAATAGAAAGCATATCTGACAGACACACAGTTGTCATAATATCATATTGAATGGGGAGTATCTGAAAGCCTTTCCTCTAAGATCTGAAACGGGATGCCCACTTTCAACATTATTATTTAATGTGTTACTGGAAGTCCTAGCTAGAGCACTCAGACAATAGAAAGAAATAAAGGACATCCAAATTGGAAAGGAAGAAGTCAAATTTTCCTTCCTTGTTTACAGATGATATATTCTTATATTTGGGAAAATCTAAAGACACCACCAAAATCTATTAGAACTGATAAACTAATTCAGTAAAGTTGCAGAATAAAAAATCAACATACAAAAATCAGTAGTACTTCCATATGCTAACAGTGAACAATCTGAAAAAGAAATCAAGAAAGTAATCCCATTTGTAATAGCTGTAAATAAAATAAAATAAAATAAAATACCTAGGAATTAACCAAAGAAGTGAAAGATCTCTATAATGAAAGCTATAAAAAATTGTTGCAAGAAAGTGAAGATGCTACAAGAAAATGCAAAGATATTCCATGCTCATGGGATTGGAAGAATCAATATTTTTTAAATGTCCATACTATTTAGAGTAATGTACAGATTCAATGCAATCCCTATCAAAATGACTATGATACCAATGACATTCTTCACAGAATTAGAAAAAGCAATTTTAAAATTTATATGGAACCATGAAAGATCCAGAGTAGTCAAAGCTATCCTAAGCAAAAAGACCAAAACTGTAGGTATCACATTTACCCTGATGGTATTACTATGCACTATATGACTATATCAAAATATGTCAACATATACTCCTCTGTGTACCTACAAAATTTTTAAAAACCAACTTTGTCGCTAGGAACTAGACCACAAAGGACAAACACACACACAGGAAAGAGATCAAACATAGCATAAGAAATTAGAGAAAGTAAGAAAAAGAATGAGAAGAAAATAAAGAGGAAAATGAAAAAAAAAGCTTTCTAAAAATGAGGCCGCAAATGAAATTCCTAAACATAAGTAGGTACGTAAAGATATCTAAAGCTAAGACAATGAAAAAATCAACAATAAGAAAATAAATTTCATCCAGATGACATTGTTTTTAGAGTAGTCTGACAAAGATTAACATATATTTGGATTAAGCTAGAGAACTGAACACAAACATGTATTTTAGGTCAATAGTGAATTTACAAGTAAGTTACAGTAAATTGAATTTTTAAGGTATAAAATCACAAAGAACAGAATTCCAAAGACAACAAAATTTTGCCTTTAGAACATTATCTTCAGCTGCTTCTTTCTGCTCCAGATATGGCAAAAAAAAGTTAATGAAACGATCTTACAGGCTCGAGAAATCACTAGCAGTGATGGAAATGCACTTTCTAGAAAGTCAATGAAATATACAAGACCAATTCTCTAATCTCTTCTTTGCTGAACTGCATAGAACAAGGCTCATTCAAGCTAATATGGCATAAAAAAATCCCCATAAATAAAACATAGTTTAAATATATTCCTGCTGGAATAAAGTCTTCTAACTAAAATCATCATCTTTTTAATCCTATCTAATATGTGTTTATAATCTCCCACAACTATTGCTGAATTGGAATACCAAATAATTAATCAAAGCTACAATGGGAATTTCAGTGTTTTGTACATTTTTTCATTTAATATTGTTTCATAGTAAACTGACCAATGGTACCTTTTTCCCATATTTCTGTCTTCATACTATAACAAAATATCACTCCTGTAAGAAAAATTCTGCACATGTATGATTACTCTTTTTTTCTCTATGAAATGATAATTTCTTCATCCTTGATTATGCCATCTGAATTATTCTGACAGAAGTGCCACCTTCATAATCATTTAGCTTTAGAGCCATTTTTAAAAATCAGAATTATATTTATCAGAAGTTATAATGATTGCAGGGTATATTTTCTATCTTTGTAACAGAGCTGCTGGCTTTATGTATACTTTGCTGCTGGGTAAGTCCTCTTTTCTCCAAAATTATAAATACAAGATGTTGAAAGCGTTTTTCAAATACACACACACACACACACACACACACACACACATATACACACATATGTGTGTGTATTGTGTATGTATACATATATATTTAATAAGCTTATAATCACTCAAAAACACATCAGTGTCAGGGTGACAGATGCTTTGACAGTAAGCCAACATGGAAAGACAGAAAGAGCAGAATAAAAAAATTTAAAAAAATGTATCAATGTATCTGTCGAAGGAACTGGAGGACATGAACCAGTTACCTAAAACAATCAGCTCTGACAATTTTTGAAGTCTACGTTATTCATATCTTCAAGTATATTCTGCATTTGTTCCCAGAGATTGTGACTAGCATTACAATATGAGATACAGACTAAAAGACAGTAATGAAACTCTTGAATGTAAATATATGCATCAAATTATAATAAAATTTATCCTGTAAACTTGTTTTGAGGAAGTTCATGTAATGTTCCTTGCAAAATTGTGCACCCTCCTGGGTTAATGTTTATACCTTCTTAAAGTCCCGAAAGGATGAAATAATGATACCAAACAGCCAATATTTAATGATACATGTCTGTAGCTGGGTTTTCAATGTCCATGGAAAAATGCTTAGTATAATTCAGATAAAATATTCAAGACAAGTGTGTAGTCTATTAAATAATCAGTGGAAAAATCTTACCCGGAAAAAGGCAAACGTGAGTGGAATAAAGATCTCAAGCTATAGAACATTGTTTACAAATGCAGATAGATCCACAAACAAATTTTGCCATGTTCAAAGTCAGATTCAGGGAAGTGAATATAAGCGAACATATTTAAAGAAGAAAGTATACCTTCAAAATCAATCTCATTGATGGATTTACTAGTAATGAAAAGCATATTTGAATACTAATATCAACATTTTAAAATATTAATTTCTGAATTTAGAAGTTTTAGAGTTTTCTTTTTGGATTAAGAAATTCATCTGTTCACTCAGATTAATAATCAGCTTTTCAGGCTGTTTCCCCCTAAGGCTGAAATATAAAATTAATCACTTCCTCTTTGCCATCAACATTATGTAATGTTCATATTTTAGTATAATCCATACCACATTCTAATTCAATGATTTGTTTCTACTATTTTTTCTCTTCATATGCCTGTGAGCTAACTCTGCCAGCCTGTTTTGATTAACTTTGTATCCTTAGTAATATAGACTGATGTATTAGAGAGTCAAATGTTTAAATTCCTGAACAAATCATGTCAAAAAAGAAATAACATTCTCAGTGTGTTTTCCATAACTGGCACATTGGTAAAATAATTCTAGCATCTGGCACTCATCTTTTTTTTAGGATTAGCTGGATTTTAAAAATGCACACATTATATCAATTAATTTGAGGTTATATGTCCAAGACATAACTATTGCCTCTAAATCAGCAGAATTAACAAGTGGAATTTTCTTTCAGTTAAGTTTAGAAAAAAATAACATCAAAACAAAAACAAACTCAACCTGGGTCTATGAGCACTTTTGGATGCAAAAATGGAATATATAATTTAAGTTTTTCCTGAATTTTCCTTTGATAATGATATTTTAAAAAATCTATTGTACTTGTGTATATAAGGTTGTTATTATGGTCTAATTATGATATGTATCTCTGTTTTATAAAAGAGAGCAAATACAATATGTTAAGAAAAAGGAAATGTGATATAGCAGGTGGATTGTGGTGTTTGGGAACAGATAATCAGAATCTCCTATATGATTTGGGTAAATTGCTTAAGGTTGATTATATTTCATATCCTCATTTTAAGAAGTAGATTTAACAGTAAAAAGAATTATGAGGGTTGAACAAAAATATATATAAATTGGTAACTGGAAGGTAAACCTTCTATTTGTATTTTTCTATTCTACATAAAGCTTTAGTTTGGTATGTTAACAAACTAATGAAGTCTATGTGTTACTTGGCCATCTTAAACAAATATATGTATATCTATGTATTGGTGTGGCACCTGTTTTTCTGGATCCCTCTTAAACGTTCAGCTAAGAAAGCCAAGGTCAAATTAGAGGGCTGAAATAAAATCAACTGATGGCAAAACACACAAGATGGGAATGGTGTGGAGAGCTGCTATTGGCATTCTAGTTCCTATTTCTTCTGTTAAATGAGGACTATAATTTTGAAAAATAATAAAACACTTCTGTATATGCAGTTTTTTGCCTTGGGGTCAAACAATCCACACCTACAGTCACCAAACTAATTTTCCAGTTAGTTATATACATGTTCACAGCTTTTTATTATTAAATCAAATTCATTGAGGTGTATTTTAAATATACAGTTCTATTTTCTACTTCATTTATTTATATGTTACATTTTTATATTTTCTTTCTCTACTGAATTTGGGTTTAATGGTTTTTTTACCCTTTCTTAATGTGATAGTGTAGGTCATTACTTTTTATATTACTTATTTTTAATACAGGCATATCTCAGAGATTTGCAGGTTCAGCTCCGGATCACTGCAATAATGCAAATATCAAAATGAAGAGAGTCACACAAATATTTTCGCTTCCCAGTGCACAAAAAAGTTATGTTTACAAGATATTATATTTAGTGTGCAATAGCATTATGTCTGAAAAACAATGCTCTTACTTTCATTTAAACACACTTTATTGCTAAAAAATGCTAATAATCTTCTGAACCTTCTTTTTGCTAGTGGAGGGTCTTGATTCAATGTTGATGGTTGCTAATTGATTAGCGTGGTGGTTGCTGAAAGTTGGGGTAACAGTGGCAATTTCTTAAAATAAGATAAGAATGAACTCTACTGTATCAATTAACTCTTCCTTTCACAAAAAAATTCTCTGTAGCCTGTGATGCTGTTGGATAGCATTTGACCTACAGTGGAACTTCTTTCAAAATTGAAGTCAATCCTCTGAAACCCTACCACTGCTTTATAAATTTAGTTTACGTAATATCCTACATCTTTTGTTGTCATTTCAACAACATTCACAACATCTTCACCAGAGGTAGATTTCATCTCAATAAGCCACTTTCTTGATCTTCCATAAGAAGCAACTTTTCATACATTCAAATTTTATTGGAGATTGCAGGAATTCAGTCACATCTTCAGTCTCAACTTTTAATTCTAGTTCTCTTACTGTTTCCACCACATCTGAAGTTCTTCCTCCCCTAAAGTCTTGAACCCCCAAAGTCATCCATAACAGTTGGAATTCACTTCTTTTAAGGTCATGATAATGTTGATATTTGACTTCCTCCCATGAATCACAAATGTTCTTAATGGCCTTTAGGATGGTGAATCTTTTCCAGAAGATTTTCAATTTAATTTGCCCAGATATAGGAGAAATGCTATCTGTGGCAGCTATTGCCTTAAGAAATGTATTTCTGAAATAATTAGACTTATAAGTCCAAACTTCCTGATCTGTGGGCTGCAGAATGGATGTTGTATTAGTAGGCATGGAAACGACATGAATTTCCTTGTATATCTTCGGGTGGCTAGATGCATTGCCAATAAGCAGTAATTATTTTTAGGCATTTCTTTTTCAACTTTTATCTTAGGTTTAGGGAGTACCTGTATAGGTTTGTTACATGAGTAAGTTACATGTTGCTGAGTTTTGCTGTAGGAATGTCCCCATCATGTAGGTAGTGAGCATAATACCCGATAAGTAGTTTTTCAACCCCCACCCCTCTCCAACTCTCCCCCTCTGGTAGTCCATAGTGTCTATTGTTCCCATCTTTATATCCATATATTCTTAATGTTTAGTTCCCACTTATAAGTGACAAGATGTGGTATTTGGTTTTCTATTTTACATGGTACCATTTTGAAAGAAACCTGTTTTTCTGAGGATTAAATCTCAACAGTGGGCTTAGAATATTCGGTAAGCCATGCTAAAAACAGATGTGTTGTCATACAGGCTTTGTTATCCCATTTATAGAGGATAGGTGCAGTAGGTTTAGCATAATTCTTAAGGATCCTAGAATTTTTGGAATGATAAATGAGCATTAACTTCTATTTAAAGTCACCAGCTGTCTGAGCCCCAAACAAGAATCAGACTATCCTTTGAAGCTTTGGAGCAAGGCATTGACTTCTCCTTTTTGGCTATGAAAGTCCTAGAAATCGTCTTCTTCCAAAAGAAGCCAATTTTATGTGCATGAAAAATCTGTTTAGATTTTCACCAACTATCTCTACTAGATTTGCATAACTTGCCGCAGCTTCTCTATCAGCACCTGCTGCTTTACGTTTCACCTTCATGCTATGGAAATGGCTTCTTTCCTTAAACTTTGTGAACCAAGTTCTGCTAGCCTGCAACTTTTATTCAGCAGCTTCCTCACCTCTCTGATCCTTCATAGAATTGAAGAGATAGGGACTTGCTCTGGATCTGGATTTGGCTTAAGATAATGTGGTGGCTGATTTGATCTTCTGTGCTGACCACCCATCTTTCTCCATATCAGCAATAATGCTTCTTTGCTTTCTTATCCTTTGTAAAGATTTAGACTCCCACACAATAATAGTGTGAGATTTTAACACCCCACTCACAATACTAGACAGATCATGGAGGCAGAAAATTAATAAAGTTATTCAGGACCTGAACCGAGCACTGAATCAAATAGACCTGATAGACATCTGCAGAACTCTCCAATGCAAAACAACATAATACACATTCTTCTCATCATCACATGGCACATACTCTAAAATCAGTCACATAATTGGAAGTAAAACACTCCTCAGCAAATGCAAAAGAACTGAAATCATGAACAGTCTCTCAAACTACAAGGCAATCAAATTAGAAATCAAGACTAAGAAATTCACTCGAAACAATACAATTACATGGCAATTGAATAACCCACTCCTGAATGACTTGTGGATAAATAATGAAATTACAGCAGACATAAAAGTTTTTTGAAACTAATGAGATCAAATATACAACATACTGGAATCTCTAGGACACAGCTACAGCAGTGTTAAGAGGAATTATATTTTTTGATCTGGGCATTTAGTGCTACAAATGTTTAGCACTATAAATTTAGTGCTATAAATGCCCAGATCAAAAAGTTGCAAATATCTCAATGTAACAACCTAACATCACAACTAAAAGAACTGGAGAATCAAGAGCAAACCAGTTCCAAAGTTAGCAGAAGACAATAAATAACCAAAATAGGAACTGAGCTGAAGGAAACTGAGACACCAAAAAACTTTCAAAAGATCAACTAGGCCAGGCGTGGTGGCTCATGCCTGTAATCCGAGCACTTTGGGAGGCCGAGGTGGGCGGATCATGAGGCCAGGAAATCGAGACCATCCTGGCTAACACGGTGAAACTGTGTATCTACTAAAAATACAAAAAATTAGCCGGACGTGGTGGTGGGCGCCCGTAGTCCCAGCTACTCAGGAGGCTGAGGCAGGAGAATGGCATGAACCCGGGAGGCAGAGCTTCCAGTGAGCCGAGATCGTACCACTGCACTCCAGCCTGGGCGACAGAATGAGACTCCGTCTCAAAAAAAAAAAAAAGATATGCCACTATCTAGACCAATAAAGAAGAAAATAGAGAAGATCCAAATACCAAATAAACACAATCAGAAATGACAAGTCGGATATTACTATTGACCCTCAGAAATACAAATAATCATCAGAGAATATTACAAACACCTCTATGCACATAAACTAGAAAAGCTAGGAGAAATGAAAAGAATTCTGGACACCCTTCCAAGACTGAACCAGGAAGAAATTGAATTCTTAGACAGACCAATAATGGGCTCTGAAAAAGCCCAGGACCACACAGATTCACAGCTGAATTCTACTAGATGTACAAGAAAGAGCTGGTACCATTCCTGCTGAACTATCCCAAAAATTGAGGAGGAATTCCTCCCTAACTCATTCTTTGAGGCCAACATCATCCTGATACCCAAACCTGGCAAAGACACAAACAAAGAGAAAACTTCAGGCCAATATCCTGATGAACAGTGGTGCAAAAATTCTCAACAACATTCTGGCACACTGAATCCAGCAGCACACCAAAAAGCATCCACCACAGTGAAGTAGGATTTATCCCTAGGATGGAAGTTTGGTTCCACATACACAAATCAATAAATGTGATTCACCACATGAATAGAACTAAAGACAAAAACCACATGATTATCTCAATAGATATAAAAATTGCTTTTGATAAAATTAAACACCTGAATGTTAAAAACTCTCGGCAATCTATGTATAGGAGAAACATACCTCAAAATAATAGGAGCTATCTATGACAAACCCACAGCCAACATCTTACTGAGTGGGTAAAAGCTGGAAGCATTCCCCTTGAAAACCAGCACAAGACAAGGATGTCCTCTCTTATTGCTCCTATTCAACATAGTATTGGAAGTCCTGGCCAGGCAATCAGGCAAGAGAAAGAAATAAAGGACATTCAAATAGGAAGAGAAGTCAAACTATCCCTGCTTGTAGATGACATGATCCTATATCTAGAAAATTCCAGAGTCTCAGCCCACAAACTCTTTAAGCTGATAAACAACTGCAGCAAAGTCTCAGGATCCAAAATCAATATGCAAAAATCACTACACTCCTCTACACCAACAACAGTCAAGCCGAGAGCCAAATCAGGAATCCAATCCAATTCACAATTGCTACAAAATAATAACACCTAGGAATACAGCTAACCAGGGAGATGAAAGACCTCCACAAGGAGAACTACAAAACACTACTCCAAGAAATCAGAAATGACACAAACAAATGGAAAAACATTCCATGCTCAAGGATATTGTTTTCATGTTCCACTATTAAGATGTTAGCTGTAAGTTTTGTTTTGTTTTGTAGCTAGACTTTGAGTTTGAGAACGTTCTTTTCTGTTGATAGTGTGAATAGTTTTTGCCTTTAATGGATGTTTGATTCTATTAAATGACTTTCTCTTTCACTTGTAAAATACAGTCTAAAAGTATCACAAATGCACATAAATATTTTAAAGATTAAGTGTTATGTAATTAATATTAGTTAAACTGGTGTTCAAGTCCAAGTTCAGCTACTATAAGAAAATACCACACACTGGGTAGTTTACAAAGAACAGAAGTTAATTTGTCTCACTCCAAAAAAATAGCACCAGCAGCTGGACAGTGTAATCCCATGGCAGAAGACATCACATGGTGAGGAAGCATGGGCACATGCCCGCGAGAGAGAGAGAGAGAGAGAGAGGAAATGAGAGAGGAAGAGAGAGAGACAGAGACAGAGACAGAGAGAGAGAGAGAGAGGAACAGGGCCAGGCTTATCAGGAGCATACTCCTGTGAGAACTCACTTACTCCCGTGATAATGACATTAATCCATTTATTAGGTCATAGCCCTCATGGTCAAATTACCTCTAAGACCCCACATCTTAATACTATTAAAATGGCAAAGTTTCCAACACATAAAATTTTGGGTGACACATTCAAACCACAGCACATAATAATTGTAATGGTGATGAATTATAAGTGCTATTGAGGTCATCACTTAATTTTATTTTGTTTTACATTTAGACCTTGATCATGTTTACAAATTATTTCCATGGATGAATATTTCAACCTGAGAGAACCATCCATCTTTATCACTTAGAAACATATTTTTTTTTGGAAAGAAAAAGACTATTAAGCATGTTTTTATTTGAAGTTGTATTGTATTATTTCATCACAAATAATCAAGGATTCTTTACCATGGTTTTCCCTACCACCTGCACTCCATATCTGCTTCCTTAGTTGGCAAACTGTACTCATGCTTCACAATCTAATAAATAGCCATGAATCTGTGAAGTTATTTGTAAATCTGCTTCAGGCACAACTGAGGTTGTCTCATATGTGCTTCCAAGGCTACTTCAGATATCAAATCAAACCACAGGAATCACAAATCTTGCCCATACCCAACCTGCTAATGACTCAAACAATATAGGAAAATTGCCATAAATAAAACATTTATTTTCTTAAGGAGTGTAAAACGGTCATCCACGGCTCCTTGGAAATACCCTTTCTCTTCTGCACCAAGTGTATTTTGGTTTTTGAATAACAGACAAGTTGAGAATTTGTGTAACATATATAGAAATATTATTCTGCCTTTTTGGTGTTTTTACTGTCCACTGCACAGACAGAAAATTGCTTACATGACTAACTTATTTTTTCAAACTGCTGTGCCCCATATATTCATATTCCAGACTTATTTACAATAAAGAATTTGGACACATTTGGTATGTTTTACCCAAATCCTTTTACATATAGAAACTTTCTGTTATCTATGCCATTAGCATGTTTACAAAGACTCTTAGGGGAGGACGTTCAGATGATGTATTCACTTGGACCTCCTTTGGGGTATAAGTTATACATCAACTTACCATTAACCTTTTTTTTTTTCTCTCCAATTTGCACCATAGATTAGTGGTTGGGAGCGTTGGTTTTCTTGTCGAATAGTGTTGTATAAAATATAAACCCTGAAGACTTTTTAACAATCTTGAAGAAGCTTCTTAACCTCTGTGTGTTTCAGTTTCCTCATCTATGAAACAGATAAAATATTTGTCTGTATTAGACTTATTTTGACAAATATGATAAAGTAAATAAAACTCCAGTTTATAGTTGCCTATTAATACAGCACAGATCACACTGAATTGTATATATTTATAAATATATGTCTTTCTATTTTCTCCTCAAGTTACTAGCAAATTTTACAAAAAGGAGAAACATAGCATCTTTTTATTCTTTTTTCTAAGTATTGGTGCAATGTCATTTACAAAATAAGTTAGCTTAAAGTCTAAGTGGAAGAAGGTGAAACCTATTGTCTGTTAAGCTTTAAGCTTAGCAACTCAAGAAACCCTTGATATTGTGAAATTGATAGATTTTTACACAGTATATTTAAAATACAGTTTTGTTATAAACGTTTAAAAATCACGTGATGCCAATTGTGCTTATTTCTTACATATATATTTCTTAATGCTTTTTTATTTTAAAATATAGGTTGCTCACATTGGAAATAGAGACATAAATTTATACCTTCTATAGATGACCATTCATCATTAACAACTAGTGGTTTATTAGCAAGAGCTATATAAATGCTTATTATAAAGAATCAATTGGCAGGGAAATAAGTCTATTTTACTCTTCATCATTTATGTTTACCAAAGTGCAATAATTCTTTATTTCATACTTAATAATTTCCTGATATTCATTTGGTATATTTTTAGTTAACTATTATATTTCTCAGGAATATATGACATTGAAACTTCAAAATCTAGGACAAAGAAATATTCAGTAGCTTTGAAATATCCAGTATTTATCTGATCCATTCTGTATCTTTCTATCAAAAATATTTTTTAAAAATCAGAATTTCTGTCAAAGAAATTCATTGGAAACCTGTTTCTGCTTAGGTGGGGCATAAAAGAAGACTCTTAGGATTTAGTTAGAAATCCACAGCTAGCATCACCCTATGGAAGTAATTACTCTTGCTAATATTACCAATGATTTATAGAGAAACACATTGAACATTTCTCTGTGTCTCTCTTATTTGACTTTTCTCTATCATTTCATACAGTTGTCCACTAAACAGTGGAAATTTATTTTGTCAGTTGGGTTCAAACTGAGAAATAGCTCATTCTTATTGCTTGGCATGTAAGTCTCCACTTCATCATCAATTTCCTTTTTTTTCTCTGCTTATTTTCAGTGTTTCAGGATCTTTCAGTTCCTTCTGTGCTTTAGATATTTGATTTTTCAAAGTTCTCTTTAGGCTTAAATTTCTTCCTGTCCTTTTGCAATCTCATCCATGTCCATGGCTTTAATTACTACGTATATGTCAATGATTCAAATCATTCAATGACACATTTATAGGGAGATTTTTCTCTCTGAGCTCACATGCTCTCTCTCTCTCTCTCTCTCTCTCTCTCTCTCTTTCTCTTTCTCTCTCTTTCACACACACACACACACACATACACACACACACACACTTGATACCTACTGGTATTACCTTCTGTGCATTTCCACTACCTACATCACAAAACATTCAAATTCAGCTTATATGAAACTGATCTTACAGTCCTTCCATCTCAATTTACTAACCTGATGGAAAGCTGGGTTATTTACCTAAATAATAAGACTATATCCTTTTTCCCTTTCCTAAAACCTATCTCCAAAAAATTACTAAATCCTATTTTTATATTTTTCCTCTCTAATACCCTTTTCCATTACTGTGTATCATACCTTATGTTGGCCCTTGTCATTGATGTGGTCAACATCTTCTATCTGGCCTTTTTGTATCCAGCCTTACCTTCCTTCTTTACCATGGTACCAAATGGATTTTTCTAAAATACAAATGCATTTATGCTATTATGTCTATATGCATATTTCAGTGTTTGTCACTTTTAGGATAAAATCTAACACCATTAGTCATCTTCGATCAACTAGTACCAGCTCTTTAATCAAACATCTCCAAGGTGAACTTATGCTTCTGCTGGCTGTCTGCTTACCTAATGAATATATTCAGGTTGTCTTTGAATAATTCCTCACTAGGAAGCAGCACATTCTTTAACTTCATGATGCCATTTAAATCCACGAATTCTAAACAATAAAGTGAAAACTGAGATGAATTAATTTTTAAAAATCAGAATTTTAATAATATGAGAAGCAACATAGAGTAGTGATTAAGGACACAGATGTTAATCAAACAGATAAGAAAATCTGATTTGCCCTTTACTTCTTGGGTTACCTTGGACAAGCTACCAAAACTCTTTGCAACTCAGTTTTTACTTCTATAGAGTGGGTAAAAATTGTAAGCAAAATGATTCCTTTAAAAGAATTTGCTAAAAGCCAACTCCTGAAAATAACATTTTCCAAAGAGAAAATTTGTTAAAATTAATTTGGGAAAAATCAACTTGCAAAAATACCATTACATGGATGATTTAACAGATATAATTGGATTGTTTATCTATGTCTCATTAACTTTAAATGGTTTAATGCCCCTTTCTATTTTTTCAAATCTGAGATGTTTAGTACCATCCTTAATTTTATTTCTCATAAGTAAAAATATACATCACAATTAAGTTAAATTACCTGGGATAAACCAGATGTATTAAAATTTCATGCCTCTATCAGAGTGCAGTTTGAATATGCCAACTAGAAGCCTTTTACAGGTAAAAAAGAAACTGTTAAATGCAGGTAAAAAAATGGCAATATGCTATCTGTTTTCTAGTTCAAATTTGATATAATTTAATTACAGATAGAAAATAAAATAAT
The DNA here is from genome assembly GCF_000001405.40 of Homo sapiens. NCBI lineage: Eukaryota > Metazoa > Chordata > Mammalia > Primates > Hominidae > Homo > Homo sapiens. The sequence continues at coordinate 141,754,544 of NC_000006.12, read as the reverse complement.
AAAAATGCAGTTAAATCATAAAAATGACAAAGTTGGTAGATAAAGTTTGGCAAGACTAAGTGATACAGAGGACTAAACATAATTACTGACTAAAAATTCCCATAAAAGTGATTTTTAAAAATGATGAAATATATTTATTATAAATAATATTCTTAAATTTATTATTTCAATATCTCATATTGCTTATAATTATATTTCATATTCTTGCTGTTGTATCTCTAGTTTTTGTTAAGACCATTTTTGGTAAAGTAGTAAATATTTTAATTTAACAAATTTGGAAAATTGAAAATCTACAAACTAATCATTAGCTAATTGGGTCTTCAGCAAATTGGTCACTTGGCAAATTGAATATTGGAGAGTTTGTTATCAGCAGTGTGAGATAACTTAAAATCATACATATAATTCATGTTGTCATGGTAAGGAAAAATGTGATTATGCATGCAAATTTTTGCCACGTAATATATATCCAGCATTAGTAACCATTGATACAGATTTCTCATAATTATTTGATTTTCCATCATTATTTTTGTTAGCACAAGTGATTGTTATATTCTTGTCTCTGCCTAACTTTGCAACCTCACTTGTTACCATGTATTAAATTTTATGAGCTGTCCAGAAGATAGTTACAATGGAGCAGATCTTCTTGACTTGAATAGAACAACTTTATTGGACCTCATTGTGCAAATATGTAAGGTACCTAAAACATTCCATCTTGAGGGAGTGTTACATTAGGACTTGTTCTGGTGTTCAGTAAAAATTGCCTGTCATGATATTCTTAGGGAAGGGGATAGAACATTTTGCATAAGAAGCCAATTTACTCTTTGTGAAGGAAGTGATCAAAACCAGATACCCAATGCTTTATGTTGAAAAACAAAGGGTGGCCCTGGATAAGGCTTATTGGAAGAAAAGGGGAAAATGGACATCAGTGGTCCCAACAAGAACTCATCAAGATGGGGGCTAAGTTTTGAACTGATGAACAGAACTCAACACATAGACAGACGGATTGGATTGAAATGGAAGATTTGGGCACATCATATGTTAATGCTGCAGATCTAGCACCCTGACAGAGTGACATGATTTAGAAATAGTGGCAGAGCTTGTTGGAAAAGCAAACTAACAACTTGCACTAACCAACCCAATTGATCTCTTTCATCACGTAGCATTATTAGAGCATTACAGAGTGAGAGGGAGATTTCCTCCTGGAATGTTCAAATCAAGATAACAAAACAGATGAAAGATTGAGTCATTTTCTGTATGTTGACTAGGAGAAACAACTTTATCCCTGGTTTTTGTAACCCCCGACAATCATTGACAGACTTAATTTTATAAAACTAGTATTGATTCATTATGAACAGATTACTAATATCCTTGGTAAACTCATTTACTTTAAAGTACTTGCTGTGTGTGTTCCTGTGTGGGTGTGTGTGTGCATGTAATTTGGTAATAACAAATTTCTGAAATTTGTACTTCCTGCAATAAACATTTAAAAGTATTTTTTTCCTGAATCATTTTTTTCTAATCTTTATTTTACAGATACATTCCCATTGAGGCACGAAAATGGATCTAGCCACAGCTCTGATGATATTGCTTTGCCTTTAACAGTACCTCCCATTAGTCTCTTGCACCAAGATGCACATTTTTCAGTTTACATAGTGGATTTCATCATTCTACTAGAAAGCCTCCACTTTGTTTCTGATTCAGTTTCAGTTTCCAAACCAGGTGCTTTGTCCCTCACTGACTGTTTTGGATGACCTCTAGTTTTTCCCCAAGGTTCTAAATTTAGTTTGGCTTTTATTTGGCCATCATTTTAATTCCCACTTTTTGTTTTGGTGCTGTTGATTGTACAATCCAACCATCTCTACCTTTCAATATTTGCAGGTTTCTTTTTTCCTGTTTGTCTTGAACATTCTGATTTTTCCTAACCTTTGAGTCACCTGCCTCTGTTTTACCATGTCATTGAATTATGGTTTAGTCAAGTGGAAAGACAAGCTCCTGTCACTGCCTATAGCACTGCCTAGTTTCCTTCCAATTATCAATAAAATTCTTTGTTATTAGGTTTCTTCTGTTCCACTATAAGCTCAAGTAATTCACAACAATAAAACAAGACAAAAATAATTAACATTCACGAGAATAAAGAGCAGCCATTAAATCATGAAGTTATCAGGGTAAGTATGCCTTTGAGATGGTCTGTGCCTCTCTGACCTTCTGTTCTGGAACTGATGTACCCAATCAGTCAATTTTACTGATGTACAACAAATTATGTTCTATATATTTTTTCAAACCATTGATGAAATTTGAACACTGAGGCTACCAACTTCTCTCTCTGTACTTTTTGCTTAAACTGGAAAAAAATAATATTTTGCTCTTCTCAAAAAAGGAAGATAATTTTCCTCTTTCTTACAACAATCTTTATATTTTTAGTTCTTTCTGAATCTATATGTTGCTATTTTTTTCTATCTTTATTCTCTTTCATTTTTGGGTAATTTATATTTATTAATTGGTCAACACTTTTTTTTTTTTAATTATACTTTAAGTTTTAGGGTACATGTGCACATTGTGCAGGTTAGTTACATATGTATACATGTGCCATGCTGGTGCGCTGCACCCACTAACTCGTAATCTAGCATTAGGTATATCTCCCAATGCTATCCCTCCCCCCTCCCCCCACCCCACCACAGTCCCCAGAGTGTGATATTACCCTTCCTGTGTCCGTGTGATCTCATTGTTCAATTCCCACCTATGAGTGAGAATATGCGGTGTTTGGTTTTTTGTTCTTGCGATAGTTTACTGAGAATGATGATTTCCAATTTCTTCCATGTCCCTACAAAGGACATGAACTCATCATTTTTTATGGCTGCATAGTATTCCATGGTGTATATGTGCCACATTTTCTTAATCCAGTCTATCATTGTTGGACATTTGGGTTGGTTCCAAGTCTTTGCTATTGTGAATAGTGCCGCAATAAACTTACGTGTGCATGTGTCTTTATAGCAGATGATTTATAGTCCTTTGGGTATATACCCAGTAATGGGATGGCAGGGTCAAATGGTATTTCTAGTTCTAGATCCCTGAGGAATCGCCACACTGACTTCCACAAGGGTTGAACTAGTTTACAGTCCCACCAACAGTGTCAAAGTGTTCCTATTTCTCCACATCCTCTCCAGCACCTGTTGTTTCCTGACTTTTTAATGATTGCCATTCTAACTGGTGTGAGATGGTATCTAATTGTGGTTTTGATTTGCATTTCTCTGATGGCCAGTGATGATGAGCATTTTTTCATGTGTTTTTTGGCTGCATAAATGTCTTCTTTTGAGAAGTGTCTGTTCATGTCCTTCGCCCACTTTTTGATGGGGTTGTTTTTTTCTTGTAAATTTGTTTGAGTTCATTGTAGATTCTGGATATTAGCCCTTTGTCAGATGAGTAGGTTGCGAAAATTTTCTCCCATTTTGTAGGTTGCCTGTTCATCCTGATGGTAGTTTCTTTTGCTGTGCAGAAGCTCTTGAGTTTAGTTAGATCCCATTTGTCAATTTTGTCTTTTATTGCCATTGCTTTTGGTGGTTTAGACATGAAGTCCTTCCCCATGCCTATGTCCTGAATGGTAATGCCTAGGTTTTCTTCTAGGGTTTTTATGGTTTTAGGTCTAACGTTTAAGTCTTTAATCCATCTTGAATTGATTTTTGTATAAGTTGTAAGGAAGGGATCCAGTTTCAGCTTTCTACATATGGCTAGCCAGTTTTCCCAGCACCATTTATTAAATAGGAAATCCTTTCCCCATTGCTTGTTTTTCTCAGGTTTGTCAAAGATCAGATAGTTGTAGATATGCAGCGTTATTTCTGAGGGCTCTGTTCTGTTCCATTGATCTATATGTCTGTTTTGGTACCAGTACCATGCTGTTTTGGTTACTGTAGCCTTGTAGTATAGTTTGAAGTCAGGTAGTGTGATGCCTCCAGCTTTGTTCTTTTGGCTTAGGATTGACTTGGCGATGCGGGCTCTTTTTTGGTTCCATATGAACTTTAAAGTAGTTTTTTCCAATTCTGTGAAGAAAGGCATTGGTAGCTTGATGGGGATGGCATTGAATCTGTAAATTACCTTGGGCAGTATGGCCATTTTCACGATATTGATTCTTCCTACCCATGAGCATGGAATGTTCTTCCATTTGTTTGTATCCTCTTTGATTTCATTGAGCAGTGGTTTGCAGTTCTCCTTGAAGAGGTCCTTCACATCCCTTGTAAGTCGGATTCCTAGGTATTTTATTCTCTTTGAAGCAATTGTGAATGGGATTTCACTTATGATTTGGCTCTCTGTTTGTCTGTTGTTGGTGTATAAGAATGCTTGTGATTTTTGTACATTGATTTTGTATCCTGAGACTTTGCTGAAGTTGCTTATCAGCTTAAGGAGATTTTGGGCTGAGACAATGGGGTTTTCTAGATAAACAATCATGTCGTCTGCAAACAGGGACAATTTGACTTCCTCTTTTCCTAATTGAATACCCTTTATTTCCTTCTCCTGCCTGATTGCCCTGGCCAGAACTTCCAACACTATGGTGAATAGGAGTGGTAAGCGAGGGCATCCCTGTCTTGTGCCAGTTTTCAAAGGGAATGCTTCCAGTTTTTGCCCATTCAGTATGATATTGGCTGTGGGTTTGTCATAGATAGCTCTTATTATTTTGAAATACGTCCCATCAATACCTAATTTATTGAGAGTTTTTAGCATGAAGGGTTGTTGAATTTTGTCAAAGGCTTTTTCTGCATCTATTGAGATAATCATGTGGTTTTTGTCTTTGGCTCTGTTTGTACGCTGGATTACATTTATTGATTTGCATATATTGAACCAGCCTTTCATCCCAGGGATGAAGCCCACTTGATCATGGTGGATAAGCTTTTTGATGTGCTGCTGGATTCGTTTTGCCAGTATTTTATTGAGGATTTTTGCATCAATGTTCATCAAGGATATTGGTCTAAAATTCTCTTTTTTGGTTGTGTCTCTGCCCGGCTTTGGTATCAGAATGATGCTGGCCTCATAAAATGAGTTAGGGAGGATTCCCTCTTTTTCCATTGATTGGAATAGTTTCAGAAGGAATGGTACCAGTTCCTCCTTGTACCTCTGGTAGAATTCGGCTGTGAATCCATCTGGTCCTGGACTCTTTTTGGTTGGTAAGCTATTGATTATTGCCACAATTTCAGATCCTGTTATTGGTCTATTCAGAGATTCAACTTCTTCCTGATTTAGTCTTGGGAGAGTGTATGTGTCGAGGAATTTATCCATTTCTTCTAGATTTTCTAGTTTATTTGCGTAGAGGGGTTTGTAGTATTCTCTGATGGTAGTTTGCATTTCTGTGGGATCGGTGGTGATATCCCCTTTATCATTTTTTATTGCGTCTATTTGATTCTTCTCTCTTTTTTTATTAGTCTTGCTAGCGGTCTATCAATTTTGTTGATCCTTTCAAAAAACCAGCTCCTGGATTCATTAATTTTTTGAAGGGTTTTTTGTGTCTCTATTTCCTTCAGTTCTGCTCTGATTTTAGTTATTTCTTGCCTTCTGCTAGCTTTTGAATGTGTTTGCTCTTGCTTTTCTAGTTCTTTTAATTGTGATGTTAGGGTGTCAATTTTGGATATTTCCTGCTTTCTCTTGTGGGCATTTAGTGCTATAAATTTCCCTCTACACACTGCTTTGAATGCATCCCAGAGATTCTGGTATGTTGTGTCTTTGTTCTCGTTGGTTTCAAAGAACATCTTTATTTCTGCCTGCATTTCGTTATGTACCTAGTAGTCATTCAGGAGCAGGTTGTTCAGTTTCCATGTAGTTGAGCGGTTTTGAGTGAGATTCTTAATCCTGAGTTCTAGTTTGATTGCACTGTGGTCTGAGAGACAGTTTGTTATAATTTCTGTTCTTTTACATTTGCTGAGGAGAGCTTTACTTCCAAGTATGTGGTCAATTTTGGAACAGGTGTGGTGCGGTGCTGAAAAAAATGTATATTCTGTTGATTTGGGGTGGAGAGTTCTGTAGATGTCTATTAGGTCTGCTTGGTGCAGAGCTGAGTTCAATTCCTGGGTATCCTTGTTGACTTTCTGTCTCGTTGATCTGTCTAATGTTGACAGTGGGGTGTTAAAGTCTCCCATTATTATTGTGTGGGAGTCTAAGTCTCTTTGTAGGTCACTCAGGACTTGCTTTATGAATCTGGGTGCTCCTGTATTGGGTGCATATGTATTTAGGATAGTTAGCTCTTCTTGTTGAATTGATCCCTTTACCATTATGTAATGGCCTTCTTTGTCTCTTTTGATCTTTGTTGGTTTAATGTCTGTTTTATCAGAGACTAGGATTGCACCCCCTGCCTTTTTTTGTTTCCCATTTGCTTGGTAGATCTTCCTCCATCCTTTTATTTTGAGCCTATGTGTGTCTCTGCACGTGAGATGGGTTTCCTGAATACAGCACACTGATGGGTCTTGACTCTTTATCCAATTTGCCAGTCTGTGTCTTTTAATTGGAGCATTTAGTCCATTTACATTTAAAGTTAATACTGTTATGTGTGAATTTGATCCTGTCATTATGATGTTAGGTGGTTCTTTTGCTGGTTAGTTGATGCAGTTTCTTCCTAGTCTCAATGGTCTTTACAGTTTGGCATGATTTTGCAGTGGCTGGTACCGGTTGTTCATTTCCATGTTTAGTGCTTCCTTCAGGAGCTCTTTTAGGGCAGGCCTGGTGGTGACAAAATCTCTCAGCATTTGCTTGTCTGTAAAGTATTTTATTTCTCCTTCGCTTATGAAGCTTAGTTTGGCTGGATATGAAATTCTGGGTTGAAAATTCTTTTCTTTAAGAATGTTGAATATTGGCCCCCACTCTCTTCTGGCTTGTAGGGTTTCTGCCGAGAGATCCGCTGTTAGTCTGATAGGCTTCCTTTTGAGGGTAACCCGACCTTTCTCTCTGGCTGTCCTTAACATTTTTTCCTTCATTTCAACTTTGGTGAATCTAACAATTATGTGTCTTGGAGTTGCTCTTCTCGAGGAGTATCTTTGTGGCGTTCTCTGTATTTCCTGAATCTGAATGTTGGCCTGCCTTGCTAGATTGGGGAAGTTCTCCTGGATAATATCCTGCAGAGTGTTTTCCAACTTGGTTCCATTCTCCCCATCACTTTCAGGTACACCAATCAGACGTAGATTTGGTCTTTTCACATAGTCCCATATTTCTTGGAGGCTTTACTCATTTCTTTTTATTCTTTTTTCTCTAACCTTCGCTTCTCGCTTCATTTCATTCATTTCATCTTCCATCGCTGATACCCTTTCTTCCAGTTGATCGCATCGGCTCCTGAGGCTTCTGCATTCTTCACGTAGTTCTCGAGCCTTGGTTTTCAGCTCCATCAGCTCCTTTAAGCACTTCTCTGTATTGGTTATTCTAGTTATACATTCTTCTAAATCTTTTTCAAAGTTTTCAACTTCTTTGCCTTTGGTTTGAATGTCCTCCCGTAGCTCAGAGTAACTTGATCGTCTGAAGCCTTCTTCTCTCAGCTCTTCAAAGTCATTCTCCATCCAGCTTTGTTCCGTTGCTGGTGAGGAACTGCATTCCTTTGGAGGAGGAGAGGTGCTCTGCGTTTTAGAGTTTCCAGTTTTTCTGTTCTGTTTTTTCCCCATCTTTGTGGTTTTATCTACTTTTGGTCTTTGATGATGGTGATGTACAGATGGGTTTTTGGTGTGGATGTCCTTTCTGTTTGTTAGTTTTCCTTCTAACAGACAGCACCCTCAGCTGCAGGTCTGTTGGAGTACCGGGCCGTGTGAGGTGTCAGTGTGCCCCTGCTGCGGGGTGCCTCCCTGTTAGGCTGCTCAGGTGTCAGGGACCCACTTGAGGAGGCAGTCTGCCCGTTCTCAGATCTCCAGCTGCTTGCTGGGAGAACCACTACTCTCTTCAAAGCTGTCAGACAGGGACATTAAGTCTGCAGAGGTTACTGCTGTCTTTTTGTTTGTCTGTGCCCTGCCCCCAGAGGTGGAGCCTACAGAGGCAGGCAGGCCTGCTTGAGCTGTGGTGGGCTCCACCCAGTTGGAGCTTCCTGGCTGCTTTGTTTACCTAAGCAAGCCTGGGCAATGGCGGGCACCCCTCCCCCAGCCTCACTGCCGCCTTGCAGTTTGATCTCAGACTGCTGTGCTAGCAATGAGGGAGACTCCGTGGGCGTAGGACCCTCTGAGCCAGGTGTGGGATATAATCTCGTGGTGTGCCATTTTTTAAGCCCGTCGGAAAAGCACAGTATTCGGGTGGGAGTGACCCGATTTTCCAGGTGCGTCCGTCACCCCTTTCTTTGACTGGGAAAGGGAACTCCCTGACCCCTTGCGCTTCCCAAGTGAGGCAATGCCTCGCCGTGCTTCGGCTCGCGCACGGTGTGTGCACCCACTGACCTGCGCCCACTGTCTGGCACTCCCTAGTGAGATGAACCCGGTACCTCAGAGGGAAATGCAGAAATCACCCGTCTTCTGCGTCGCTCACGCTGGGAGCTGTAGACAGGAGCTATTCCTATTCCGCCATCTTGGCTCCTCTGGTCAACACTTTTAATACATTTACTACATTTAAGCGCACCTAATTCAAAGATCCATATTTATTATTAACAGAGGGAAACTTTGTAACTTTAAAAAAATTTAGCTTTGAAAATGGAGATCTCTGATTTCTAACATAAGAATCTGCCTGATTAAAATAGCAATTGTAAGGATCTGGCTGAATGTGTTTTTGAATAAGAACCTAAATGATACAAAATTGATTGCTTTTGGCCTGCCAAGAGCTTTATCATCTCTCAAGACAGTTGAAGGGCTCTGAGTGCACAAGATTTCCTCTCTCTCATCTCCAAAGTAAATAGAAAATCTCCATAGAAATACATAAATATAGCAAATACATATGTGAGGAAATGTTTTATGTGCTGAAAATAAGATGTAAATAAATTTAATTTTGAAACTTCAGCTTGACCTACAATGTAAATGAACAATTACTAAAGAAAACAACTACAGTATAATGCAGTTTATAGAAATTCAGTTCTAAACTTCCCCAGATTTCCACAGCTTACTCTAAATTTTAAGATTCATCTATCCTATGAATAGAAAATATTTTCTGAGCAAATTACTGTAACTTTCTCTGTTGTTTTACTTATCTATTGCTACTTAGCAAATCACTCTATAACTTTGCAGCTAAAAACACCAATTTATTATGTTTGTTGGGTCTGCATGTTCACTGGACTTGGCAGGTAGTTCAAATTTTTGGTGTCTCAGGAAATCGAGGTCAGATGGTGGCTAGGGCTGCAAATAGCAGAAGGCTCAACTGAATAGTTTTTTCACATGGCTGGCAGTTGAAGCTTCCTGACATCTGGAAGTTCAGCTGGGGCTTTTGGCAGGAACATCTATACTTGGCCTATCAAATGGCTTGGGCTTCTTACGGTTTCACAGCTGGGTTCTGAGAGGGAATATCTGAAAAGCAAGTGTTCCAAGAGGCGCAGTGGAAGTCAGAAGGCTTGTGACCCAGACATGGAAATCACACTGAGTCTCTCCCACCACATTCTATTGGTCAAATCAACTCACAAGCCCAACCCAGTTTCATGGAGAGGGGAAATAGATTCCACTTCCCAATGCAGATGTTGCAAATCAGTTGTGGTCATATATAATAAACCACAGTCAGCCACAAATTATTTGTGTTCCTCATGCATGGAGGACACTTATCTCCTCTCACAGTCCCTAGAAGCTTCATCTATAATATTAAGACCAGACTTGAGGGCCAGCAGCTCATCATCTTAAGCCCAGATATGGATGCAATCCCTCAGGTAGGGTTCTTCAAGTGCAGATCCTTGAACCAGATTACTCTCCACTGTGAGTCATCCTTTCTATTTATAAGAAATGGTCGACTTTTCACAGCTGCGTGTTGAAGGTTCAGGAGCATGTTTTCATTTTGAACTATCTCTGACTCTTTTCAGTCTAAGCTGACAGGCAGTGTTTCTACAAGTAAAACACTCTTAGAAAGGTTGTGAGTTTCCTAAGGATCTTATTGGGATTCACTCTCTTTTATAAAAGCCATTGCCATAAATCTCTGAGACAGTTCTGTGTCTTGGGAGAGAGGGTGCTGTGAGATCATAGCCTTAAAAACTTTTAGAAGACCTTTGGTTTAGCAAAAGTCAAGAGGGCACATAGTTCATATTCTTAGGAGACTTTTAACTAGCTGAGAAGGAATAGAGGGTATACAAGAGTCTCAGAAATTTTTTGGTTAATTGTCATAGTCTAAGAGTGCCTTAAATCTTTCTAAAACCTTAACAAAACATGTTACAGCCACACTTGGATCAGGGATTTATCCAAAACCACATTTTACTGATGACCCCTTGGATTTGATTTTTGTCCTGTAAAACTTGAATTTTTCATAATGTTTTGGTCTCCGGGTAGTCTTATTTATTACATGGCAGCTAACTTCGAAGAGGTGGCACAAGCAGGGGACATCCTAAGAACAAATATTTCAAGAGGCTTGGAGGGAAACTGAAAAACAGTTGGTGACTTACTCTCAGATTTCATACAGCAAATGTGGCATGAAAACTTTTTGGCCTGATTTAAAGTAAAAGAAAACAGAGTAACAATGAATTTATGACCATTTCAATCTATCTCTTTTATAAAAATAAAACTAATAGTTATTACACATTACAAAGCCTTTTAAATGTAAAAAAACCTCTGATTAGATAACAGAAAATGATAAAGTGCATCCATAAATTTAAAATATAAGAATTTAAGAATTTTGAGGAAAGGAAAAATAACACCTCTTGCTTTGGAAATTCTGGATTGTTATGAACGCTTTAGACACTTGCTGAAGCAGTAACTCAGAGAGCAAATGGCAGTTTCGCAGAGAAATAGCTAAATGAACATGGCTGTTAAGTAATAAGGAGTAAGTACATTTGAAGTGATATTAGGCTAGTAAGTGGAATGTGAAAATGCAAACAGTGGTTGCTAATCAAAACAATAATGACAATTATTTTAAAAATTGTAAATTCTATCTATCTATCTGTCTATCTGTGTTGATCTGTCTCTATATATCCTAATATGTGTGAACCCTTGAACAAATTAAATGAGTTTAAACATTTTCTCTTAAAATCAAGTAGGTAAGTTTTCCCTGATTGCATAAAATGTAAAAAAAAAAAAATAGTATTAGCATAATACTATAATTTACAAAGGTAAATAGTATAATTTACAAATAAACTTCAATTTATTTTCTTATCAAATTAATTTAAATTATGTCAATTTCCCCAGTTAAATTTTTGGCTAAGTTTTGTTGGTTGTGGTATTTTTTCCCCACAAATGGTTTAAAGGTATAAAAATGTAAAAATAATGTGAACAATTTAATTAAATATTATTATTTGGTATCTTCCAAAAGCAGTAAGCTCTTATGGACTTCAGGTATTGCTGAACATTATGTAAGTTACTTATTCCACTTAAAATATCTAACTGAAATATTTATGAACACTTACAATAGTAGTAGTAATCTGTGTGTTTTTTGTATGGTGATATGCATCAGATTAAATAAAGTAAATTATTAGATTAAATTACATATCTAAATGGATACATAGGAGAAAATCTAAGTGACCTTAGGTTTGGCAATAAATTTTTAAAACAATACTAAAGGCATTATCCAAGAAGAGAAAAACAACATAACTATTAATATTAATAAATAATGTATTAATCATTAATTATTAACTTGTAATTTATCCATTTATTATATAATAACCATAAAATTTAAATTGGTCTCCTGCCGAAGATGCTATTAAGAGAATCAAAACACAAATCAACAAAGAAAATATTTTCAAACCATGTATCTTATAAGGGACTTTTATCTAAAATCTAAAAAAATAGGACTCTTAAAGCCAACAATTTAAGAACAAAACTAAAAACAATTGAGAATGGGCAAAAAATTTGAACAGATAGCCCACTAGAGAAAATATATAGAGGGCAAATAAGCATATGGAAAAATGTTAAACACTATTGGTCATTAGGGAATTGCAAATCAAAACAACGATGAGATACTACTCACAACAAACTTTTTTCTTCAAATTTTATTTTAAGTTCCTGGATATATGTGCAGGATGTTCAAGTTTGCTACATAGGTAAACGTGTGCCATGGTGGTCTGCTGCACAGATCAACCTATCACCTAGGTATTAAACACAGCATCCATTAGCTATTCTTACTGATGCTCTTCCTCCCCATTCCACCATGACAGGCCCCAGTGTGTGCTGTTCCCCCACATGTATCCGTGTGTTCTCATTGTTCAGTTCCAACTTATAAGTGAGAACATATGATGTTTGACTTTCTGTTCCTGCATTAGTTTGCTGAGGGTAATGGCATCCACCTCCATTCAAGTCCCTGCAAACAACATGATTTCGTTCCTTTTTATGGCTGCATAGTGTTCCATGGTATACTTGTACCACATATTCTTTATCCATCTATAATTGATGGACATATGGGTTGATTCCATGTCTTTGCTATTGTGAATAGTGCTGCAATGAACATATGTGTGCATGTATCTATAACAGGATGATTGGTGTTCCTTCGGGTATATACCCAGTAATGACATTGCAGGGTCAAATGGTATTTCTGCTTCTAGATCTTGGAGGGATCACCACACTTTCTTCCACTGTGATTGAACTAATTTACTCTCCCACCGACAGTGTCAAAGTGTTCTTTTTTCTTTGCAATCTTGCCAGCATCTGTTCTTGCTGGACTTTTTAATAATCACTATTCTGACTGGCATAAGATGGGATCTCATTGTGGTTTTGATTTGCATTTCTCTAATGATCAGTGACGTTGAGCTTTTTTTCATATGGTTGTTGGCCACATGAATTTTTTTTTGAGAAGTGTCTGTTCATGTTCTTTGCCTACTTTTGAATTGGGTTGTTTGGGGTTTTTTTGTGAATTTGTTTAAGCTCTTGTATACTCTGGATATTGGACCTTTGTCAGATGGATAGATTGCAAAAATTTTCTCCCACTCTTCATTCTGTCTCTTCATTCTGATGATAGTTTCTTTTGCTGTGCAGAAGCTCTTTAGTTTAATTAAATCCCATTGTCAATTTTTGCTTTTGTTGCAATTGCTTTTGGCATTTTCAGCATGAAATTTTTGCCTGTGGCTATGTCCTGAATGGTATTGCCTAGATTTTCTTCTAGGGTTTTTTAAGTTTTGGGTTTTACATTTAAGTCTTTAATCCATCTTAAGTTAATTTTGTAAAGGTGTAAGGAAGGAGTCCAGTTTTAATTTTCTGCACATAGCTAGCCAGTTCTCCCACCACCATTTATTAAATAGCAAATCGTTTCCCCATTGCTTTTTTTGTCAGATTCTATAAACATTTTTGAATGGATAAAATTTGAAACAACAGCAACAACAATACCAAGTGCTGGGGAAAATGTGGAGCAATAGAAACTCTCATTCGCTGCTGTTAGGAATGCAAAATGGTTGAACCACTTCGGAAATTTCCTAAAATAGTTTTATCATGTGACACAGCACTTGAGCTTCTAAGTATTTACCCAGTTGATTTGAAAACATAAATCTACACAAAGTACTGCATATAAATATTTATGGCAGCCTTTTTCATAATCATCAAAAGCTGTCAATAACCAAGATATCCTTCAATAGGTGACCGGATTAAAAAAATAATAATAACTGGAATACAGCCATGTAAGGTAAAGTTATTCGGTGACAGAAAAAATAGAGTTTTTAGGACAGAGAAAAACAGGGAAGAACCCCAAATGCTTCTTGCCTCAAAAAAGCCTGAAAATGCTATATACTATATGCTCCTAATTTTATGAAATTCTGAAAAGACAAAACTATCAAGACAGTAAACAGATAACAGTGGTTGCCAGGGGTTCGGATGAAGTGGGAGAGAATAAATAGATGAAGAATGAGAGTTTTCACACAGTGAAACTATTCTGTGTGTCGCTAGATACATGGCATTATGCATTTGTTAAAACCCATAGAGTTTTAGAGCACAAAGGTGAACCTTAATATATGCAAGTTTTAAAACATCATTTAGGAGGTCAGGGGATTCCAGGAAGGAATGCAGACTGTGATGAGTAAATTTATCTGTATCACACATGTATGTACCAACCTCATTGAATGGGATATGGAGAAAAGTGATGACCTAAGTCAGTCTGGAAATGACTGGGGTCTGTAGGACTAAAGAGAAAAGAAATTGCACAAACGTGTATTCTAGCTGACATTTTTTCCATGGAGCTAAAGGTTAATAGTTCTGATATTGCTTCACATATATGTATACTGCAGTTGAACAATTAACCAAATGAATGGCAGATGGTTGCATTCAGGTTTCTAACTGTTGGAGTGGGAATCCACAGATAAGGGGAACAATCTCGAGTGAACCATGTGACAATAGATCAGAGTTGGAACAGCTGTATGAACTCATGTTTAGCTTAACACAAATAGATATCATTACATACAGAAATACTTATAGACTTGTGCCTATACACAGGTTTTTAAACACACAGACGTAACATTGATTTGTCAGCTAAGAGAGCATACAATAAAAGATACCTGATTATCAAGGAGCACACCTAGATCCTAGATCTTGCTTTCTAATACTGTTTTCCAATTAAAAGAACCAAGACTCCTTGGAGAAGCGACTGCATCTAGGACTGGGATAGGAAATATACAAGATGAGTCTGAAGCATCTCGTAATTTATAAGGAGGTGCTAAAAATCCCAATATAATAGGGGCATGTAGGAACGATACAGGAGCAAATTGAAAGAGCTCCCAATGGCCAAAGTTGGAACAATTTGAGCAACAAAATAAATAACAAAAGTAGTACCGGATTATAATCCAAAGCATAAAATACATATCTATTATTCTATACCTATACAAATAAATGAGTAAATAAATATATGAATGGGGGAAAAGAGGTAAACACACATGCATAAGAATTCTTCATAATTTGTATAGATACTCCACCCTTAAGGAAGGACAGCATAACTACCCACTTCATAATTGGAAGCTGCACATAGTAACTTTCTTCCAAAAAATACAGCATGAAATGAGGAAAAAAGAATAACTTCACAGTGGAGAAATCTGATAAACACTAGCTTAGTTAGGTCGTCAAGGCCAACACCAACAGAGGTATGTCAGGTTGATAGAATGTATCTTTGATTTGATGTGATAAACATGGTGGTCTTTTTCTCTGTCATCTTCCTCTCAATAACTCGTAACCACAATTTTATTATAAGAAAAGCATCAGACACATTCCAAACTGGAGCGTCTTACACAATATACCTGACCTGTACTCCTCATATCTGTTGAGGTCATAAAAATAATAAAAGTCCGAGAAACTGCCACAGCAAAAAGGAGCCTAAGGAGACAGAATGAGCAAATATAATGTAGTGCCCTGAATGGGATGCTGGAGACACACACACAAACAGTCAAACACACACACACACACACACACACACACACACACACACACACAGCATTAGGCAAAAAGTACGGAACTCTAAATAAATTATGGATTATAGTAAATAACAGTATATTAATACTGCTTTGTTAATTATCACAATTGTAACATACCAGTGTAAGATGTTAAGGAGAAACTGGGTATGAGGTATTTGGGAACTCTCTGTACCATCCTCTCAACTCGTATATACATATCGAAATGTCCTAAAACGTAAAGTCTATTAATTTTTTTTTTAAAAAAGGACATGTATGCCTATGGAAGGATTGCCTTACAGGAGATATGTGGATTTGCTAAGGTACAAGTGGATGACAGTTCACCTTTAATTACTTCCACAGTTTTTCAGTGTCTTAATGGGAACAAAATTTGTATACCTAGGTTCACTACGCTAGGTATAATAATTTTAAAGAAACATGAATGTATACATAAGATAATGGATGTATTTTATTTGTTGAAATATTTTGTTCATATAAATAAGTTCTGTCTTAAAAAAAAGTCCTGTTGTGCCAGATTGTGAATATGTATATAACATATATAATATATACATAATACACATATATAATTATATGTAATACATATATAATCACAAATCTGAAAGACAAATTTTAAAAGAAATATATTAAAGGCCGAAAAGGTGGGCAAATTTTTATAGATTGTGAATAATGCAAAATTTTATGCAGGTTCTATGCAAAAAAGTGAAATAATTTTTTTCTTGCCTTTAAAAAGACAAATATATCCTGCTGTTTACATGAAAATGCAAAAATAAAAAGGTATTCGATGATTAGATGGATGAGGTTCCTAATAATGCCCAAATGCCCTCACTTTAAAGCCTGTTACTTTATGTACCTCTTTTTTCATTTTTTAAATTATTAACAAGTATTTTTCACTTTTGAAAGGATAGATTTTCTAATAATTATTACTTCTTGTGTTCACCTTAAGTATTGTCACTTTACATCAAAATTGAAACCATTTATTCTCTTTAGATACTAAAGATTATTATCTTGTCTTGTATTTTCTAACACATGTTTTTGATATGGGTTTTCTTAAATCAAATTTAAGAACTCATTTCTAAATAATAAAACTGTTAGACTTCTTTATACCCAGAATACCTTTGAGATTTCCTAGAAAAGTAATTGATCCCAAGTTCTTTTCCCTCATATAACTACAGAAGGGATACAAAAAGTTTATGTATTATTGATAGTCTCTGTATTGTATTTTTAATTAGCTTACAATATACAGACAACTGTACTGGTTTTAAACCCTTCATTATGGAAAGTATTGACAAACCAAAAGGAGAAATTAAAACAGTTTCTCTCACTTGAACCTGGGAGACGGAGGTTGCAGTGAGCCGAGATCGCGCCACTGCACTCCAGCCTGGGTGACAGAGTGAGACTCTGTCTTAAAATAAATAAATAAATAAATAAAAATAAAAACCAAAAACAGGTTCTCTAGGTTAAAAAGATATTAGGGGCATGTTAAAAAATATTTCAGGGTTTGTGTCCCTTTCAAGACGGAAAAAAGCACAATCATGCTCATGTATATAGAATGTCAGTAACTGCCATCAAGTTGATTTATAAGAGTATTTTGTAATCTCTCGTCAATTCATGACCAGCACAACAAACACTTTCTTAGATGAATTAGATGTTTCTGGAGATTTGTCAATACTTCACTGTTCACAATATTTTCTTACTGTCAGGATTGTCATTGATTTAATCGTTATGAACTGAACATTATCTCAGTAAAGCATTCCATTCTCCTTCATTCTGAAATTGCAGTATCTTGCATTAAATTAACCAGAATCTTATAATCTGATTATTGACAGATAGTTTCTTCACTTCCCTTACCCTTGTTTACAGGCTGCTGTATAACTATTCTGAAAAAAGGTCAAAAGAATAACTCAGTACATAACACTCACAGTTAGTTTTTACAATTAATATTTCAGGGCATACACCCATGGACAGGCTTCTCAAGTTCAAACAGATATTTTCACTATAAAGAGATCCTTTTCATCTTGTGAAACTGAGTTAAGATTTCCAAAGCTCTCTTATCCTAGTAGCTGACAACTTCATGCATGAATATTCTTAACTACACCAAGATAATCACAACAATAATTAATTTCTTAGGAGCTAATAAAGTGGATTTATTATGGCCAAAGTTCTGTTTTCTAATGGACATAGAGAAACATCCTTTTCTTTTCTACCTTAGCTATAATAAACGTAACAGGTTATATTTGTATAAACTTTAATGAAACCTTATCTAGTTTCTTATTCAAGTTGGCCCTACACGATCCAGAAAATATAGCTTATAAAAATTCTTAAGTATAAGATACTAAATCATTAGGAAAGGTTAAAGGTAATGGATCTACCGAGAGTAGAAATATAGACATACAGATTGAATAGACTTACCTTGCCTACAAAATTACTCAGAACTATTGTTATATATGGAACAAAGCATACTGACAAGGTTCCTCACTATTCATGACCATGTGGTTATTTACAAAGTTTATTAAGAACTCATGTTTTAGTTAGGACTGTACTTCATTTGTGTATTTGATGCCTAAGTGGTCTCTCACAAATTAGCATAGCATGTATTCTATAGCTAACGGAAATCTATCCTTATGTGCTGTAACAAATGTTTCTTCCTCACAGATCAAGTATATTCAAACATGTGCTGATTTTACAAATAAATAACTGGTTAAATAAAAGATACCCTTGGATTGATATGTCCTGCTGGCCACCCCGGTAGAAATGAATCATATCATTATTTTCCTAGCCTCAAAGTGGTCAGGATGAGATCATAAGGGCAATAAAACCTATTTCTGGCTATAGGTGTGATTGAATTGCGATTCTGTAATAGGTGCTTTGGAGTACAGTACCTAAAGGAACATTAATTCTTAAGCCTTAGGATAATCAAGTATTGTACTCACAGTTTTGTTAACCATAACATGGCGTTTTTATATATTAATTAATGTATCTTGTGGCAATCATGGTAAAGGAGAAACACAAAGCATAAAATTTCCAACATTAAACAGAAAATTACTTAGTATAATTAAATGCTGAAATCATGCTTTAGAGGAACCTAAATACAAGGATAAAATGAAATAGCAGATTGACACTGTGCCTTGCTGCCATAATTGGTAAACATGTACATTACATCCACCTGTCAAAAGCAAAAGCAAAAGCAAATAACAAATAAAATTTTGAAAACTCACGTTATGCCTTGAGATAAACAATTGTAAAAACAGCAACTAAACAAAAACAACAGGTTTTTCTCATACCTGGAAAAATAAAAGAGTGGTACCCAGTATTTCAACTATCAAATGGTAAGTATTGCTAATATTTTTCAAAATGGTATATTATCTCCCTAAAAATTTTTCCTCTATGACTTTACCAGGCTTTTCTCTATTTATGTGAAATCTTTCCTCTTCTACAAAGAAGTTGGCAGCTTCTCTTTAATGCTTCCAGTGTATCTTGTGCATACCTTTATTAACATGATCAGCATTGTTATGTAAACTCCAGCTTCTCAGTTTCCCTCATTTGATTATTAACTTCTTGACAATTATACCTTATTAACATATGTGTTCAGTGAGTGACATCATATATAGCTCTCAATAGATGTTTGTTGAATTATCCATTGGTAGATTTATAAAAATAATCTTTTATTTCTCAATTGTTCAGAATATCTTGTTTATTCATATAGAACATATGATAGTCACTGACACCATCTAAGAGGTCTTTCTACTCACAGTGTTATTACATATACTTTTCTCAAATTGTTTACCTAAGCAAAATAAATTCATAAGATGGACTCTGTGATAGATGATAAATTATTGCCTTTTATCCACTTGAAAACATAACTGAATGATAAAATATTCCTTTTCAAGAGAGAATGCAGATTTCTATATAAGACTGTTTATGTTTTCAGATGAGGAACACACTGGAATTTTATTTGACTTAATTTGTTTAAGCTTGGATACATTTAATTATGCATCTGTGGTTTAATTATCATTAGGAAGTTAAAGAACTTGCAGTAGTATTGTCTTGCAACAAAAGTATAATTGAGAAATGAATGGTAAAATACCCTAGAAAATCTTCACTGCGAGGATTCCAGGATGTGCACTTAAAAATGGCATAGATTGGGCTGAGGAACAATAAAAAGCAAACAAATAAAACTTCAGGTGACTGCTGAGAAGTTGTTGTCTTCCAAAACCAGTGCTTTAGAGCACTGGTTTTTGAAATTGTATCAAAACTGGAATTGTAGCAAACAAATTTCCAGTACACTCTGAAACAGTTAATTATTTATACAATTCATAAAATAAATATCAGTAAAACTTCAATTAATGCATATGTCCAGGTTTCATGTAAAGTAAATGACATTTGGTTGCCTAATTAAATCTTTTACCCATTTACCTATTAAGTGGAGTACAAAAACTGCACTGTATACTCTATGAGTATATTAAGAGGAAGTGGAAGTGAATGTAAGCTTGCTTTTCACTCTTCTGATAAAATGTTATGCTTACTAAATAATCTATGAACTCTTTAATATTTGCTTTGCATATGCCATTTCCGCCACCTGAACTGTCTCCTTCTCCCATTCTATTCCCCCTAATATCTTTTGCTGCTCCAATGCCAATTAACAAAATCCTACTTTATCCCTCAAGTTTTGGCTCAGACATTTGTAACTCAAGCATAGTGTCAAACAAGCCTATAATCTATATTCTGCTGCAAGATTATTATGCATTCTGAGGGTTTTTATTCTCCTGTCCCTGGGGTATCTTGATCTCACTTGTTTCTCACTGTCTGGCTGTGGTATTTTCTTTCAGCCATCCCACGCTGTCCCATATTCTTGATTTACACACACACACACACCCCTTTATACTGATATATTATTAGACATTTCCTTATTACATTTTTTTCACCTATTATGTACCAGAGCTTCAGTCTGTTAATATATTGCCACTCTTAAATTTTATTTTATTATTTTATTAATTTGAGACAGGTCTCACTCTGTTGCCTAGGCTGCAGTGCAGTGGCATGATCATAGCTCAGTATAGTCTTCATCTCCTAGGCTGGAGTGATCCTCCTGCCTCAGACTCTCAAGTAGCTGGGACCACAGATGTGTGCCACTACACCTGGCTAATTTTTTACTTTTTTAAAGGGATAAGGTCTCACAGTGTTGCCCAAGCTCATCTTAAAGTCCTGGCCTCAAGCAATCTTCCTGCCTCAGCCTCCAAAAGTATTGGGATTACAGGCGTGAACCATTGTGCCTGATCTCAGTAGCCACTCTTACTTGCTCCTGCTACTTGCTAGCAATTACAAAATCATTATATTCTTGTATTTTTGGTACCCAGAATGGAGGAAGTGTTTTATTCATGATGCATCTCAAACATCCTTCACAGTGCCTCATACAACAAATCAAAAATCCTAGCTGAATAAACACATATGTGTGTCTCTAAATCACAGGTTTTCCTAGAAGCCATTTGTGGAAAATAAAAATTTAGTATGATTCATTTTATTATATTTTTCTTGAATATAAATAAATAATGATGCAAAGCTCCAAGTTACTGGTATTTTTCTCGCATTTAGTTTTAATCTCCCAATGTACAAATTATCCTCTAGAAAAATAGTGTAGCATTGGAAGTCTAAGAATGCTTTAATAACCTTTAATATCAGTGATTTTTTACATTAATTCAATGATCTGCTTTATAATACCTAGGCTGACTATAATCTTACACAGCTGGAAAATACTTTTTCCCCATTGTACATTCAGAGAGCATCTGTCCAGCTTGTATTTTACAAGTTCATACCTATGGAGGTTTATCTAGACTCTATGGATATTACTCTTCAAAATATCAGTGAAAAAATAAATATTTAATGAAACAATAGGTTCTGTATTCTTTAAGTTTAGAGGAAAAGTGCTGAAGGAATTGTAACTGTAATAATGACTGATAAAATAGGTTGAGATGAACTATAAACTCTTTGCACATTGAATATTTTTAAAGAAAATAAGCCCAATATTCTACAAAAAAGGTGATCACAGAACAAAAATAATGAGGCAAATTGTTATTTAGTTTTCTGCTGTCCCATCTATAGCTGTCATATTTTACACTGGTGTTTCTTAACTCTTTGCCAGACTTCAGAGTCCACAGTTTATCAAGGTTTATCATGATATTTACATAAAGACATAGTATTACATTCCCACATCACTGTGAGTAAAGAAAGCTTCATTTTAATTCAAAATACATAAACAGGCAATATCTATTTTCAAATCTCTTTTAGCTCTGATG
The DNA here is from genome assembly GCF_000001405.40 of Homo sapiens. Classification (NCBI taxonomy): domain Eukaryota; kingdom Metazoa; phylum Chordata; class Mammalia; order Primates; family Hominidae; genus Homo; species Homo sapiens. Next base: position 141,732,821 of record NC_000006.12, on the reverse strand, counting down.
CTGACAGTTGCAAATTTATGGGATTCATAGTACCTCTAATGTGGGTAAAATACCTTCTTTTAAAGATTTCTCAGAAAAATTAGGACTAGTTTATATGAAAATAAAAAACTGGCAGAGCTTGTGATTGGCCACCTGATCTGCCCTTTCTGTGCCCTTTTAGTCTCTTTCTCTCAGAAGTGCTGTCATCAGCTCCTTCTGTCATATATTTATGTATATATATTTACATTTTAAATTTTGATAACTTAGAATAGAGAATGTGGATATTGTGCAGAGACCGACAATGATGAGCTGATAAGAAAAATTTATCTGAAGAAAAGTGACTTTCTCACTCCAGGTCTTATTCTGGAAATTGAGAAAAGAAAAGGAGGATCATACAGTGAAACACTACCCAATAGGAAATTACTTCTGGAAAAAAAAAAATCAACATATTTATCACAAAATAAATACATCTTATTATAAAATGGAAAATTTTGAATGAATAGGGAGCAAATAAATTAGTCCAAATGCCAACTGGCTTAAAAGCAAAGACCTTGAGTGAATATGACTAATTATATATACAATTAAAATTCATATTTGTGAGCTATACTTCATTTATGATATTATAGATTGGATTCATATCGCTATGAAATTTTAGATTTTAAAAGATTATTTTGCCAACATTTAAAATACATATTTGTTAAATATGTAGTACTTAAAACATGATTTATCAAGTATGTATCTTCTTATAATTGCTTCTTTTTTATTCTTATTCTATGTTTATGGCCATTTTGCAATTTATCTATTCTAAGCTAATTATTACACATGCAATATTTTACCATTTGGATTATTTTATTAAAATTTATTCTGAAAATAAGATTACTAGTGGAAATTATATGAATATTTTTCATGGCTTGCTGTCCTTTAAAGTTGCTAATGTAATTTTTGTGATGTTTTTGTTTACCAATTGGAGTCAGACAATTCAACAAATAAATCTTAAAAAAAACAAAACGAAACAAAACCTTGTGTAGGTGAACAATTTCTGAGCTCCCTCCCCTCCCTATATTAGTTTAAATATTTTAAGCAAGCCCGGAGTCACAGAAGTTTCCACCACAAAGATAGCCTATGCAGATCACAGGCATCTTCGACAGAGGATGTTTTCAGAAAAACCAAAATAAGACTCCAATAAGTATAATAAAGTCCTGCAGCTATCAATTATCTTTGTACAAAAGTTTCTAAGTCTCCTTATAAATAATAGTGCACCTCAGAATAAAATTCTTAGGTATAACTTCTACAAAATATATTCAAGACCTATAAGTAAAACTATAAAATCTGGAAAAGACATTTTAAAAACTAAGAAAATAAAGAGATATTCCATGTTCATGAGTAGTAAGACTCAATATTGTCAAGACATCAGTCTTGCTAAGTTGGTCTATAGATTCTCAATATGGATCTATAAATTTCATGCAATCCAAATCCAGTAAGTTATTTTATAAATATCAACTGATTCTAAAGTTTTTGTAAAGAGGCAAGTGACCCAGAATAGCAAACATGAAATGTTAACAATCTAATTTTGTTGAAGATTTTAGCATGTATGTATATGAAAGATGGTGGTTTTTGGTTTTCTTGTAATGTGTTTTTCTGATTTTGGTATTAGCACAATATTGCCTTATAGACTGATTTAGGAAATATTTCTTCTGAAATCACTGGTAGAATTCACTGGTAAACCCATCAGGGCCACATGCTGTTTTAGAAACTTATTAATTAATGATTCATTTTATTTAATATATATAGGCCTGTTCACATTGTCTATTTCTTGTTGTATACATTTTGACACATTGTGCCTTTAATGAAATTAGTCAATTTTATCTAATTTACCATATTTGGGACATAGAGTTGTTCATATTATTCCTTTATTTCCTTTTATTGTTCTTGGGACCTGTAGTGATATCCCCTCTTTCATTTCTGATATTAGTAATTTGTTTATCCTTTTTATTTTCCATAGTTAGCTGGTTAGTTGCTTATTGATTTTATTATTTAAGAAAAAAGCAAGGTTTTGTTTTTGTTGATTTCTCTGTTTAGTTCCTGTGTTTTATTTCATCGATTTCTGCTCTAATTCTTATTATTTCATTTTTTTTTCAGTTTACTTTGGATTTAATTTGCTTGTCTTTTTCTATTTTTCTAAGGTGAGAAGTGTATTACTCATTTTACGTCTTTATTTATTTATAACATATGCACTGAAAGCTATAAATCTACCTTTAAACATTACTTTGGCTGCAGTCCATAGATTTTAGTAAGTTGTATTTTTTATTTTCATTTAATTCAAATTATTTCTAAATTTCTCTTGACAGTTATTTTTTGATACACGTGTTATTTAAAAGTGTGTTGTTCACACACTGGGGCCTGCAGGGGTTGGGTAAGGGGAGAGAGAACATCAGGAAGAATAGCTAATGCATGCTGCACTTAACATCTAGGTGATGGGTTGATGGGTACAGCCATCCACCGTGGCACCCATTTACCTATGTAACAAATCTGCATATCCTGCACATGTATCCTGAAACTTAAAATAAAATAAAATTTAAAAAGTTAATTAATAAAATGTGTTGTTTAATCTCAAAGTATTTTGAGATTTCCTAGCTCTTTCTGTTATTGGTTTCTAGGTCGATTCCCATGTTTAATTCTGTCATTAATTTCCTTGTTTCCCAGGTAGATTCACATAGAAAATCTATTTCTGAAATTTAATATGGTAATTAAGGATGTTAACTGAGATATGGAGAGCTGAAACACTGGAAGTAACCAGCTCTGGTTACAGCATTTGCAATGTCATATGATCAGTCCTGGAGCTGTCAAAGAAAAGTTACAGTGGACAGAATTAAACAGAGAACGAGTTCATTGAAGACTATTCCAATAGGGGTGAAGACTAGTATTATAGAAAAGGGGAGAGAAACTGAACACCACTGAAACCAAGGTGGAGAGTTTTTGTTTTTTGTTTTGTTTTGTTTCTTGAGACAGAGTTTCTGCTCTTGTTGCCCAGGCTGGAGTGCAATGGCGCGATCTCAGGTCCCGGGTTCTGCAAATTCCACCTCCCAGGTTCAAGTGATTGTCCTGCTTCAGCCTCCCGAGTGCTGGGTTACAGGCATGCGCCAGCACGCCTATCTAATTTTGTATTTTTAGTAGAGACGGGGTTTCTCCATGTTGGTCAGGCTGGTCTGGAACTTCCGACCTCAGGTGATCCACCCGGCTCGGCCTCCCAAAGTGCTGGGACCACAGGCGTGAGCCACCGCGCTGGCCAGTGGAGAATTTTTAAGCATAGAGGTGAGCTAATGGGAAAAGTATTGGATGAACTTAGTCGGGGGGTTGGTCATCTGCATTTGTTAATTAGAGCTTATTAAAATTAGGTTCCTACCCTCCCACAGAGACTGGAAGATAAGGGCACTTTCTTGATGATTACATTTCGAAAGGATGGCTCCCAGGTCCTTGAGAAATTTATTTCTGGTTGTGAAACTGTCAAGAGGCTGTAAGAAGATTCACAACTTAAAGAGGCAGAGAAAGAATATACAATTACAAGTTTTTTAAAGTAAATGTCAGAAAAGGGACATTAGGGGCCTATAGTCAGGAAGAAACCTTTCAAAAATTTCATCAAGTTGAGAGGAATGTTAAGACTGTCTTGTCAGGGTAAATTCCAGATACATAAAAACTGTCTCCATAAATTGTATGTCTTAGATAGCAAACACATATATAAGCCCCACTGATATTTTATCAGCCTATGCAGATATGTTTTAAAAAATTACTAACATTTTAACTTAGTGCTTGGCAAAAAAAGAAAAATCTGACTATTTCCTTGGCTAAACCTACCTACAGTTTTGCCTCACACTTCTTTGGTAGTTTGGTTTGATATAATTCTAGGTTCAAACTCATATTTTTTTTAAAGTATGAAGAATTTGCTCTATTTGTTTATAACATATATAATGGCTGTTAAGAACTCTGACCTGATTTTTTTAAAGGAGCAGTTTCTTCTTTATTTGTTTTTATTTGCTTTATGTGTAATGTCTAAAACTCACGGTGATGTGGCTGACTTTTATTTATATATTCTGCTCAGCATTCAGGGAACACTTTCAGTATGAAAAATCCCATTTCTTTAAAATTTTTATGGTTTTCTATTCTCAGTTTTAAAGTTTCTCTTTTTGTGGATAGTGTGAAGCAGAAGAATAGGGTCTGGAGGCAGGGAACATAAGGCCGATTCATGCTGACTTCCTAGAACTAAATCAAATGGAAACACTGCCTGCATCTATGACAGGAAATATCTACATAGGGCGTACACCAAGTAAATGATTTTGTAACTTTACTTCATCGTCTTCATTTACATATGGCATACACCAGGTATCCAGTGGAAACCTCTAGAGGGTGTTTAAACTGCAGAAAATTCTGTAATGGGGCTCTTGAGCCCCTATTCTTGGCCCACTCCCATCGTGTGGAGTGTGCTTTCATTTTCAGTAAATCTTTGCTTTTGTTGTTTCCTTCTTTCCTTGCTTTGTTTGTGCATTTTGTCCAATTCTTTGTTCAAGACACCAAGAATCCGGACACCCTCCACTGGTAACAAGTGAACCTCTTTATTTTATATGTTTTTGTTTTTCTCACATTTTCTTTCTGCCTTTTAAAGCAATGTATTGAAAATTTGCATGAATTTATCATACAAATTAATTAGTCAACAACATACTGTTTTATGACTGCAATATACATATAAGTCACACCAACTCTGCAGATTAAGTGTGTTTTTTTAATATTCCCTAGTTTGTTGAATTATTCTTTTATCTCCTGCAATAATGTTTCCTGTTATTTTATTCTGGTCTCTTTACATGGTCATTCTTCTCATCTTTTTGTGTTGACTTCGTTGTTCATTCATATTTTATAATTAAGAACTGGTTTGGATAATTCATGTTTCTAAAGTTGTTTTTCTGAGCAGCCCCTCCCAGACATAAGGAAGCTCTCTGGGCATGTACATGCGGGATAGGACCTTGACACAAAGAATGCAAGGTGTTATAGACTGAATTGTGCCCTCTTCCTAATTCATATGTTGAAATCCTAATGCCTAGTATCTCAGAATGTGGCTGAATTTGGAAATAGGATCTTTACAGGTGTAATCAAGTTACAATGAATTCATTAGGATGGGCCCTAATTCAATATGACTGGAGTCCTTAAAAGAAGAGGAAATTTGAACACAAACATATGCAAAAGCAAGGCCATGTGAAGATATAGGAAGACAGGGATCTGCAAACCTCAGAGGAAGTCTTCAGTAGAAATCAACCCTGCTGACATCTTGATCTCAGACTTTTTGCCTCCAGAATAATGAGAAAATAAATTCCTGATAGCTCTAAAAATAATGATTAATTCTACAAATTTGAAATTATGCAAGTAACATTTGCCATATAAATATGCAGTATGATTAAAAACCAATTACAAAAAGTAAAGTCTACCTAACTGGAGATAAGAATCCTTTAAAAAATAAATCTTGAGTCAAAAGAAATATACAAATCAAAATTATAGAATTTCTAGAAAGAAATGCTTATAGAAACTATGTTCACATTTTTAGGAAATAGTTGAAAGAAAATAAAAGCCATAAACATACAATTTAAAAGGTAAGACAATAGACAAAGACATTAAAAAGTCAAAATAAGAAAACTAAGAAATACAAGTGGAAAAGTCAATAAATTAGAATAGAAAAAAAAAGTTTTTTTTTTAAATCCAAGTTATTTAAATATAATGACAAAGGTGACAACCCAGTAACTAGAAAACAGAAGGAATGAAAAATGGAGAAAGAATATTCAAAATAAGAAGTGGTAAGAAGAAAATAACCAAACCTCAAATAGAGAGGTTTTTGATGTTTGTAAGAAACCACTTTTGCAACTGTGTGCCAAAGAAATTTGAAGCCTAGAGGAAATGGATAATTTTCTAGGAAAAATATAAGTTACCAAAACTGATCCCAGCACAGAATTGTAAACAGCCTAGTTTTTACAGAGCCTATCATTAAAGACCTGCCCCCAAATAAGCACTTGGCTTCGGTGAGGATTCAAAGACCAGATAATCCCAGGGTTACCCAAACTGCCTTAGTGAATAGGAAAAACAAAACAAAACAAAACAAAAAAAGAGGAAATCTTCTGAATTCCTTTTATGCAATAAGCTATCCCAGTCATTTCCATGTTCTCAGATCTGTTTCTGCCCTTTTGTGATCTAGTCTGTAGGGCAGGGTCGGGGACCCACAAGCTACAGTTCCCAGACAACCATACCAAATAAATGATCTCCAGTTGGGTTCGGCAAATGAATTGCACTCATGAGTATTAGACAGGATTAGGAGGGAAGAACTGATTCTGTTCCCCTTCTGTATGGCATGGCATTTCTGGCTGCACGAATAGGAGCAGCAACAACAGTGTTCACAGTGTTGGGAATGACAGCTGCAGCCACAAACAGGAACATAGGCCTGGGAATGCAGACTCCTTAACCTCCTGCTCAGGCAGTGTGGTTCCCAGCAAAGATAGCTCTGGTCTAGACATGGCACTGATAGGCTCCCTTTTAGGAGGATTTGACTTGCAGCAAAAGCCACTTTATACGTGTGCCACAGAGATCTTGGGCTTGCAGCATCACTGTTTACTGGTTTGCAGCAATTTGATTTTTAGTAATGTTATCTTTACTTCTGCTCCTCTAATCTTTTCCAAATGTGTAACTAACTTATCCATAAATTGCTTCTGTTTGGAATACCTACTGTGGTGTCTGATTTCCAGATAGAACATAACAGATGCACAGGCAAAATATTAATATTTAAATCCAATAATGATTTCACATAAAGTATAACTGCAGATCAACCTCATCTGTACAAATACTGTTGATGATATTTGAAATAAAGTAATATTAATAATAGAGGTAGTAGCACATTAAAATTAATGAATAATGATTAAGATTTATTGCAGTAATCCAGAGATGAAAAAACTTAGAAAATCAATTAATATAATTCATGTTATTGAATAGATAGAATGAGAAAAAATTATACAATTTCCAGGAAAATTTTTACACAAAATTAAATATCTTTTCACAGGTAAATACCTAATTCACATAAAATTAAATAAAAATGCTCAATAGAAGAGAAATTGATTGGATGTTTCTTATATCAAAATAACTCATATATTAAATCATAGGAAAATGTTGAACCAGTGTCTATTAAATTCAGAGAAAAGGTAAATGAGGCTCATTATTGCTACATTTTTAAACATTGTGTTGAAATTATTAAAAAATAAAATCAGACCAGAAGAAAATGATTATGCTTTCTAACATAATCATGTTATGAAAGCATAAAGCATAAAGGTAAAATTAGAAAGCATAAAGGTAAAATTATCTCTATTTGCAGATGCTGTGAAAATATATCTGCAAAACTACAGAAAATCAAAGAAAAGGAGATGGTGGAAGGGGGGAAGATATCTCTCTCTCTCGAGAGAGAGATGAAATAAAGATTAAATATTTGAGTAAGTAACAGGATATGGATATAAAATTAATATTCTAAGAGTAAAGTTTCTTGTGATGGTTAATTTTATGTGTCAGCTTGATGGCCAGGCCACAGGGTCCAGATATTTGGTCAAACACTATTCTAGGTGTATCGGTGGAGGTATTTTTAGATGAGATTAACATTTCAATCAGCAGACTTTACGTAAAGCAAGTTACTCTATATAATATGGGTGGGCTTCATCCAATCAGTCACATTTTTAATAGAAAAAAAAAGACCTCTCCCGAGAAAGAGGAAAATGTCAGCAGTCTACCTTTGGTCTTGAGGTGCAGTACCAGCTCTTCCTTGGGTCTCCAGGCTGCTCATCTACTTTGCAGATTTTGAACTTATCAGCCTCTCCCATCATGTGACCTATTCTTAAAATGGATCTCTCCCACCACCCCTCCCACTCCCACCCCCTGACATGCACATCATTTCTGTCTTTCTGGAGAACTCCCACTAACAGTGTAATTTATAGAAGGACCCATTATAACTAAAAGGTTGTATCTGTAGGTAACAGTCCTATGAATAAATGTATCAAGAAAAGTACAAAACCTGACTGAGGAAAACTATAAAACATCTCAAAAGGAAAGAAGGAAAGCCCATGTAGTCGGATGAGATGATACATCATGGAGATGGTAATTTACCCAAGTCAATTAAATTTAATATAATCTCAATATGTCATTTCATCTTTTGTTCAGAGAGCCCCCACAAAAGTCGTTCTCAAAATGACCATTTCTAAATCAACATTAAAACCTATAGTTCTTAACATATAATGGAGTTATATTAAATAAATCTGGCATGTAACTCTAAAAAAAGGAAAACATATATGTAATAGAAAAAATGGGTGAATTTCTGTATAATTTAGGAGTCTATAAACCTATCTCACTATGACTTAAAATCCAAAAGCAATAAAGACAAATATCGATAAATTTGACAATATAAAATTATATATATATATATATATATATATATATATATATATATATTAGATATGATCCTCCTGGCCATTAGACCAATGACTAGGTTTAAGTCACAGCATAATCAAGCTAAGGATATGCTGGTTATGAAAAGAAAGGAAAAGAAGTACTACCTAACAAGGGGGCCACTTATGCTCCATCACCTCTTCTTTTTCCCTATTAATCTGCAGCTAATAACTTATAAAACTGAATGCCTCATCCATTGAGGCCTTGCAACTCTCTGACATTTTCATTTTAGAGTAGGTCAACTTGGAGTCAATGACTGATAAAGCAGGATGGGTCCAACAGGCCTTGCTGGGCAAATGGAGATCATATTTCCAAGAACACAGCAAGTCTGGCCCTGTTAGAACTTTTGATTGTTAAACAAGTGGTACTTTTCACTGTAGGGAATCATTATCCCTCCCTTCAACACCCCACACAAAGTTACTGGCTCCCAGCAACATGGATTTATAGAGGTCTCCCTGAATGCATGAGAATGGTTCATTCATGATTAAGGTGACAGCAATGAATGGTTGGCAGCATTCATGAATGCCGTCATGTCATGGTTAAGGTGACAGAACCATGAAGGTTCATTCATGATGAAGGTGTCATTGGCCCATCCAGGGCCAGTGACAACTCAGGGAGTTTGACTTGAATAAGAAAGTCAAAACAAAGGGCTGAATTGCCATAGACAGTGCTCCCAAGGGCCAGCATTGTTATATTTTTATCAACTTTTAGGCTGTTGCTGATGGCCCAACCATCTGGTCTGCCACTTACTTGAAAGACTGCAGATGACCAGGTTAAAGATAGCCCTCTTTGGGGTGTGAACTGTGGCAACAAATTGTAATGGTAATCAGTGTGAGCTACTCATGTAGATGCTCAGGTAAGAGACTTAGTGGAATTAGGATGCTGATCAAGACTGTACTGTCTAGCATCACCATGGCCACCTGGACTTCCATTGCACCAGGCATGGCCCTTGTGCAATGAAATCTACCACACAGATTGTCCACATAATAAAGGACTATGCATTTGTTATGAAGAAGCTACCACTGTATACTAGGCACATGATTCCTGTCTAAAGTTGGCCCATTTGTCTTGCAGTGAAGGAGGCCATATTGCATGGGACACTGACTCTAATGTGCTCCCAGAAAATTGACTATATTTGAACTTTGACCCCTTGTTGAAACTACCAGTGTTACCTCACAGCTGTTGGCACATTTTTAGGATATGATGTTGTAATAGTCTTTTCTTTCACTGCTATAAAGAAGTACTTGAGACTGGGTAACTTAGAAAGAAAAGAAGTTTAATTGGCTCATGGTTCTGCAGTCTGTACAGAAAGCATGGCTGGGGAGGCCTCAGGAAACTTACAACCATGGCAGAAGGTGAAGGGAAAGCAGGCACCTCTTATATGGCCAGAGCAGGAGGAAGCAAGAGAAGGGGTGGTGGAGGGTGCGGGGGATGCTACACACTTTCAAACAAGATCTCATGAGAACTCATGAGAACAGCAAGGGGGATCTCTGCCCCCATGATTCAGTCACCTCCCACCAACCCCCTCCTTCAACACTGGGGACTACGATTTGACATGAGATTTGGGCTGGGGACACAGACCCAAATTATGTCAGATATTATTTCAATCTGATGAGCATCCTCTGGTCACACTATGGTAGCCCATCAAACTAAGGTTTGCCATGTTTTCAGTGTTTTGGACCATTTTCAGTCCGACATTGCTATGGCTTTTGTTGAGCAGGCCACTTATAATGGACTAATAATCAACGTACTTGACAGGCAATCCACATTCCTTATAAGCTGCAGACATCTAGCATTATTGAAAAGCAGAATTAACTCCTCAAAATTCAAATCAAAAGGATATCTTGCTCTACCTCTCCCCTCTCTCTCTTTGCTCCATGAGCCTTACGCAGTTTGATCATTGAATGTAGCCATGCCCAAACAGGATTCTCTTCTTGTTGATTACTCCCCAGTTAATGATCAAATGAAAGAAGTGGAGGATTATGTAGACTGATTTTGAAAATTTTAATTACACCTTGACCATTCTGGACATGATGATTTTTTTTATTCTATCAGCAAATACAGGCCAGTGTGATCTGTACACCATGTGACATCCTACCCAAAATGGGGCCTACTATATGCAAACTTAATTTTGGTTTAGCCACCTGAATTCTTTTGTTGGATTGACATGATCCTAGATCATTGAAATAATGACAACTTGCTTGAGTACACTGGTAGCCAAGAACGATATAGTGACCCATGTAGGCCAAGGCAGAATATATAATGAGTCTCTCTGTACATTGTATAAAACTGTCCATGTTCCTCTTGCACTTGAGCTGCCAGATGAAAGGTCTGGGCATAAGTAGGAGGTAAGTGAAGAAGGGTGAAGCTGTAGCTACTAGGATGAGACACACTTGTTTTGTGAACTTGAAAGAACAGTAACAACCCCAGAACCTAAGGAAGAGATACCCACATTAGACCCTGAGAGGTTCAGGGAGTGGAAAACAATTAATGTTCTTTGTCCTTTAGATCCCAAACCACAGCTTGGCAAAACAATCATTAAGCAGTAGTTGTGACTTATAACTGACCTACTGCTGGGTTATGAAAATAGATGTAAAGTCATGTGGACGTGACTAGTCCTGAAATGTTCTGATGCCTCAGAAGCCATCAGTGGTAGCTCCTAACGTGGAGTTCCACATCCCTGCCCTATACATGTAGAAGATGTATAGGCCAGCACTAACTTGCTTCAGGCTAATGGATACAAATTTATATTCTTTTTCTGATACTTGAGTGGCCTCAGCTTGTGCCATAGTGGCAAGAGAGGCTGCAACTATTTGGTCATGGCTCAAGTGGCTTAGTCAAATCAATGTAATGATGATCAAAGTGAGGTTTAACAATAAACCCTGAACTGGAATGACCTGTGTCGCTTCAGATTATATGTTTATATGTTTAAGAGAGCTGGCCATGGAGCATCTTTTCATTAGGGATGGGGTTGCTTTCTGGCCACTCTGTGGGCAGTAATTATTGGCAAAACCCCCAAGTCAGAAAGTCCATCTAGGTTGTGAATTGAAATAAATAAAAGACTGGTCTTAGGCTATATCCTTGCTGCCTGAAATAAGACCTACTGGCCCCCTCTAAGACTTATTTATGTTTGGTCGAGTCTGTGATTCTGGGAGGCCCAGTTTCAGTCAATAATACAAATTGGTTTTATCCTAATGCCTGGATTCTGGTTACTAGTAGTCTTAATTAAAAATTTCATAAAAATTAAACTGATTTGTTCTCACCCTCTGCTGGTAAGATTATTCCAAATGGCCAACCAATTGGCATACTCATAAGGAAATTTGACTTCAGCCAAGAATGTGTTAGCAGCAGAGTAGATTGGTGGGAGAGGCAACTCACCAAAGCCCTGAGTATCCATCCCTGTACTTTCTTGCTAGAATCCCAAGAAAAGAAGGTCTCGGCTGCTCTTTATTCGGGCTATTTCTCAGGGTTTGAAGGTAGTAACACTAAGAGATGAAGTAATATTTCTGTTTAGTACAAAGAACAGTCTTGTGTAACATCTATATGGATCATATCGTGCCACTCCTGTGGGACTTGGGGGCAAGGGAAACTGACATGAATGTGTTGATGCTCATGTCGCTCACTGTGCTGTGAGCAAGAAAGTCCCTTGTTTCTGTCCTGGAAGTCTCATGTCTTCTTCCAGCATCAATGAAAGGGTAATGGATTAAGTTAATAGCTTGTGAGATAAAGTTAAATCCAAGATCTGACATTAATGTTGACCTTTTAACTGATAGACTTTTTTTTTTGGTCAGCTCCCCATCCTCATTGTTTTGGAAATTTTTCACTCTATTTCTCACTTCCATTTCACTATAATGGAATTTTAATTCTATTATATGGTAATTTTGTATAAATTTTGTTATGGTTTCCCATGGTAATTTCCCATGTAAATTCAATCCCAGAGTCTTATGAGAACAGTTTTTTGGTTACAAATTCTCTGAGGAAAGCATTATCATTATCTTTTTTCCACCTTGAGCTGGCCAAACCAAATAGGATTCCCTGATGAGTTCTCTTTCTAACTGATCGACTTTTTTCCAGTTTACCCTTTCAATGAGGATGCAATCTCTTTAGAATCTTGGCTTTATGACAGCCAACACTGCCTTCTCCATTTTCTATTCTCAGTCCCCTTTACCATGCTCATTAAAAAAAAATAAAATATACGTATTTTCAACATAACACGTGATACACATTTTTATTTAACAAACACTTATATGATGCTTAATATATGCTGGACACTATACTTAAATCTTTATCATGTTATATCATTTAATTTTCCTAATAATCTTATGAAGTAGATACTATTATCTCTGTTTTATAATAAGGAAACAGGCACCAAGAGTTAAGAAACTTGTAAAAGTCCCAGAGCGAGGAAGTTGATGGGCTGTGATATGAACCTAGGCAATATGGTACCAAAGCTCATCTCCTAAACCCTATATCATGCTCCTCCTTTTTATTTGTTATATCTATTTTTGTCTTTCCCTTGAGGGCAGGTATTTTTGTCTGTTTAGTTTATCGGTGCACCTAAGGTGCCAAGAGTGGTGTCTGGAGCTTATTAGGTGTTTAGTTAATACTTGATCTATGATTGTGAGCCAGGTAATGTAGTATATTACGAAATCTGAAGTTTCCTCAGGTCAGGGGAGGGAATGAAATCACTGTTAAATGAGTAATCTGAGAAATAAATGCCTAGATGCGAATACTGACAAGTACTATGGAGGAAAACATCGAGTGCCATGAAAGGGTTTAACATGGGCATAATTCAGGCTGCGGGATCTAAAAATATCTTGATTTAAAAAAAAATGAAATAAAGACTTGAAGGATTGAGTACATACACATACATATAAATACACATACACTTGAATTGTGTGTGTGTGTGTTTGTGCATGTACACATACACATACACATAAACTGGAAAAAAATGAGTTTTTCAGAGATTGGAGACAAGATATGTTAAATCTAGCAGGTGAAACTCTACCAGAATTTAAGAATTAAAATTTCAGTGTAACTGAAAACTATGGTTATAAGGTAGCTAGGAGTTCCATTGTCAAGGAGCTTAAAATTCATGTTAACGTGGTTGGATTTTATCTTAAGACGGTGGAAAACAATTAGAATTTTAGACAGTGAATTACATAATTTGATTTACTTGGATATCTGAATTCATTCAAATAATAGATTAAAAGCAAGAAAGAGAGAGGGTAAGGAGGCAATGTTGGAAGCTGCTAAACAATATAGAGATCCAGACAAGAGACTATAGTGTTTTAAACTAGGTTTGGGAATGGAGACAACTGTGGAGATATGCAGGGGTAGAATCTGTTGGATTCACCTGTTGATTAGATGTTGGAGATGAAGAAGGGAAAGGAATAAAGGAAAATTTCCTAGATTCTGATTAAAACAATTGGTTTTGCTGACACTTAATAACAAGAAAATTAAAAAATATGGAAGAGTACGTTTTAGGAAGTAAATCCTAAATTCAATTTTGGGTAGATTAGGCATATCTATGTGAGGCTCTGGAGAGGGATCTTGGATGGACACAGAGATTTGTCATTTCTTGGCATATAGAAACTATTACTCCCAGTTAACGTTATTGGAGGAAAATAGAATGACTGGTGAGAGACTTCAAGGTGAGAATAAAAGATTATCTAGAAGAATGAGTGCCTTTATGATGACAATCAGAATTTTAGATATGGCTAGAGCAAGAAAAGTGCAAAACACTAAGAATAAATGCAAAATATATGGGAATGCTTATCACATTATTGTTTATGGTAGTAGGGAAGTGCTATCAATCTAAATGTTCATCATTAAAGGGACAGATAAATATGTTGAAAGCACACTATGTATTACTATGCCTTCTTAGAACATTAAGATAGATATACATATGGATAGGGGGGTTGATTTTGCACTAAGTAACAAAAGAATATAGAATAAGATAAATAAGATATCACCACTATGTAATTAAATATGCATGTGCACATACACACAAACACTATATATTCTTAAGTATATTTTATATACATACACAAAATATTAAATATACTATATATATGTAGAAAGAAATATAAAAATCATAAATTTAAAAAGGGAAAATAGTATGGGATCTTGTATAAATGTTAATCATGTGTCTTTGTCCTGAAAAATAGGATTAACTTAATTTTCTGCACTGGAGTTAAAAAGTAAGAGACATTTAAGAATATTGTCAACAGAATCAACTGCTTTCATAATATTAAGGAATGTAAGAATAAGGATGTACTTACTGGCATTAGTAAAATGGTAGTTATTAACTGCCTTAAAAATGTGTGTACGATAAAAAACAAGGCAGAGCCAGATTCGTGACTTACTAGGAATCTGGCTAATCTTTGGAATCAGTCAAGAATAAGAAAAAATATGCCATTCTTTAAAATTAAGTAAAGAAAAGGCATCCTTATTAGACACAAGAGCACAAATGTTTGCCATCTTCCTGGTGCAAATGGTAGAAGAACAGTGTCTTGCAAAATATGAAAATTCAAGATTTTACCACAAAGGCAGTTCAGGTCTAAATTCAAAATGCCCACTTGGTTGAAACACACAACTTTGAAAATTATGATTAACCTTGTCTTAATCTGGAGAAACATGTAAGGCTTCCTAAAGTGACTAAAACACAAACACATTAGGAACACTTTTACAATTCAGGGAATACAGGAATTTCAGGGAAAACCAAGTCACTACGATGAGTTAAACCATGCAAAACTAAAAATAAGACCCCTTCCTCCCCAAACCGAAGTAGATGAGCAAACAAATCATTATTTGGGGAAGTAAGTAGATACAATGAACTAAAAAACCCTGAACTACTGCAACTGGTTTAAAATCTTCAAGGATACAGAAAGAGAGAGAGAGAGAGAAAAAAAAAAACATTTAGACAAAAATAGCACTTAAAAAAAAAAGACTATTGAATGAGAAACAAATACAAATTCTAGAGAGGAAACATAGCAATAGAAAAGTGTTAGAATAGACAAATATGCATAAAGATACATAAAAGAAGAGAACAATATGACAGAATTAGTTATATTAAAGTACACATGAGATAGAAAGATGGAAACATAAAAGGGACACTGAAGGAGGACTAGAATGACTCATTTCTAATAATACATCCAGAAAAAAAGTAAGTTCAGATAGGAAAGAAAAAAATCATAAAGATTGCAGATGAGAAATTTTCAGAATTGAAGAACTGATAAATCTATAGATTGAAGAAGAACAGAGAAGCCTGAGAGGAATAATAAAAGCAAGTATGTCAAAAACATCACATACCTATTTTAGGACAATAGGACAAAGAGAAAAACTGAAAAGCAACTAATGAGAAAAAAATCACACAGAAACAATACATATATTGCATATATGCATATATTGCAATACATATATTGGTGTTGATTGAGAAGTTGACTTCTCATCAACACCAAACATACAAGAAAATTCTAAATGAACATCTTCAAAATACAGAGAAAAAAGGACTGTCAGTCCCAATTCAAAAACTATTGAATTTATCATTCAAGAATGAGGCAGCATAAAGATGTTTTAAAATATGCAATTACTGAGAAAGTTTATTGTATAATGATTTTTATATGAAAAAGTAGACAATTAACAATTTATATACTGGGAAGGAGGGAGAATAGAATTAAAAAAACGCAAAAAGGGAAGTTAAAATAGGGTATCCATTTGTAATAGAAACAAAGGCAAAAGATTAAAGTGACTAAGTATTCAAAGACTAAAATTGCCCCAAAAAGACATGAAGGAAGCTTAAATGCATGAGACGAAAGAAGCTAAAATGAAAAGACTACACATTATACAGTTTCAACTAGTTGATATTCTTGGAAAGGCAAAACTATGGAGACAGTACAAAAATTAGCAATTACCAGGGGCTAGGGAGGATGGAGGAAAGATTGAATAGGTGTAAGAGAGGGGATATTTTAGGGCAGTGAAACTAGTTTATATGATACTGTAATGGTGGGTACATATCATTATACATTTGTCAAAACCCACAGAATGTAGAACACCAAGAATTAACCCTAATTTAAATGTTAATAATAATGTATCCATATGTCTTAGTCCATTTTATGCTGCTATAGCAGAATACTATGGATGCAGTAATTTATTTAAAAAAGAAAATTTATTTTTCACATTTATTTATTTATTTATTTAATTTTTGAGACGGAGTCTCACTCTGTCGCCCAGGCTGGAGTGCAGTGGTGTGATCTTGGCTCACTGCAAGCTCAGCCTCCTGGGTTCACACCATTCTCCCGCCTCAGCCTCCCTAGTAGCTGGGACTACAGGCGCCCACCACCACGCCCAGCTAATTTTTTGTATTTTTAGTAGAGATGGGGTTTCGCCACTCACAGGATGGTCTAGATCTCCTGACCTTGTGATCCGCCTGCCTCGGCCTCCCACAGTTCTGGGATTACAGGCGTGAGCCAGTGCGCTCGGCCTCATCTCTTAAAGACCTCATCTCCCAATGCCATTATTATGGCAATGAAATTTTCAACACATGAATTTTCGGGGAACATATTCAAACCATAGAACTATATTTGCTCATCAGTCATAACAAATGTACCAAACTGCTGCAAGGTGTTAACAATAAGGGAAACTATGATGGGTGTGATGGTTAATATTAAGTGTCAACTTGATTGGATTGAAGGATGCAAAGTATTGTTTCTGGGTATATCTGGGTATTTCTGGGTGTTGCCAGAAGAGATTAATATTTGAGTCAGTGGACTGGGAGAGGAAGACCCACCCTCAGGAAGACTCACCCACAATGTGGTTGGACACCATCCAACCGGCTGCCTGCAAGTCTAGAAAAAGCAGGCAGAAGAAGGTGGAAGAAGCAAACTTGCTGAGTCTTATAACACTCATTTTTCTCCCTTGCTGGATTTTTCCTGCCCTCGAAGATCAGACCCCAAGTTCTTTGGCTTTTGGACTCTTGGAATTACACCAGTAGGTGCGAGGGGCTCCCGAGCCTTTGGCTACAGACTGAAGACTGCACTGTTGGCTGCCTACTTTTGAGGTTTTGGGACTTGGACTGAGCCACTGCTGGCTTCCTTGGTCC
Organism: Homo sapiens; assembly: GCF_000001405.40. NCBI lineage: Eukaryota > Metazoa > Chordata > Mammalia > Primates > Hominidae > Homo > Homo sapiens. Next base: position 141,715,228 of record NC_000006.12, on the reverse strand, counting down.
TCAACTTGCAGATGGCCTATCGTGGGACTTCACCTTGTGATCATGAGAGTCAATTCTCCTTAATAAACTCCCTTTTATGAATACATATATCCTATTAGTTCTGTCCCTCCAGAGAACCCTAACTAATACAGTGGGTATGGTCAGCAAGCAGGATGACTTGAGGGAGTATATGGGAACTCCGTGAAATTTTTGCTAATTTTGTCTATAAATCCACAGCTGCCAAAAAAGTCTATAATTTACTTTTAAAATGCTGAAATTATTTAAATGAATTAAAAATAAAACACAAACTTTATTCTAACCATATTCTGTTTTAAAAGGTGAAAGTTAAACATTATAATAGAAAATTGGAATACAAGAATAATGAATAAAATGTATACCAGGAAAATTCTAAGCAAAAGAAATCAGTTATAAAAGATTTTAAAAACAAGAATATTAATAGGTATTTTTGCAAGATTATTAGTAAAAGAAAAAACACAAAATCAACAAAGACAGTATGCAAATATAGCATCTATATTCACCTAATGACAGAGCCTCAACATGTATAGAGCAAATGACAGAAATACAAACAGAAATAGAAAAAGCCACATACTTTGTATTTAATTCTATATCTATCTAAAATAAATAAATAATAATATGACAGAATATTTGAACAACAAAATGGACAAACATGATATAATTGACATAAATAAAATCCTACACTCAAAACAGACGCTGTATTCATTTGTAGCTGAACTGTCCTAGGCCAAAACAGGAAGTCTCAACAAATTCTAAAGAATTTTTATATGTCATAAGTTCTCTCTATTAATCTGTAAAATTAGAAATAAACAATAAAATAGTTGAAAAATTAATACATTTGTGAATGTACCAATGTAATTCTAAATAATTCATAATTGACAAGAAACAATAATGGAGATTTTAAAATAATTGAACTTTATATACTAAAGAAATCAATACATATCAAACAATTACAAGATCGATAAAATGGGAATCATAAAGATGTATATTTCAAATAGATGTATTTGTTTTTATTTAATAAAAGATTGGAAGCAAGTGCTAAACAAATGTAGTCGTATGTCATATTTCTGGAGATAAATTGTAAATAAGATTAAAACATCAGTTTTCCAGAGAATAATATACTTATGTTCTGCAATTCTAATTTAAATTTCGGTGCTTTTAGATTTGGAACCTTAATTTTCATATGAAAAAATAAAAGTCTGAGACTTCTCACATAATTCAAATAAAAGCAAAATAGTGGGAGCACTTGTCATATCTGATATTGAAACATATTATGATAACAGTTCAATAAAGAGAGGACTAGGTGTATATCATTGGAATAGAGTCCTTGAAAATACATGCAGATATATAAAAGCAATTGAACATTTGGCAAATGTTGAATTTTAATTTACTGGGAAAAAATGGTGATGTAGAAGTATACCCTTACTGTAAGAGACTTAATAAATTCAATATGGATGATAAATATCAACCATAAACTATAAAACAATAAAAACATAATACAATTTAGGATAGTCTATATTTATTCTATAGTTAGTAGAAATTGCTTTGGTCAAGACGAGATACACAAAAATTGTGGAATAATCTATATATTTGATTTTTTAAAATTATACTTACTGTAACAAACAATCTTTAAATTCAATTGCAAAAATATTGTCTACACATAAGAGACAAAGTATTAATATTTTTGTACTTTTGAGGGGTGTTCCTGTGGGTAAATAATGTCATGAACATGTGAGTTCTGTTTTTTTCATCTGAAGTATTAGATTGGTGCAAAAGTAATTGTGGTTTTTGCCATTACTTTTAATGACAAAAGCCATTAAAATGGAAAAAGTAAATTTTAGTGGCAAAATGCCATTAAAAGTAACGGCAAAAACTACAATTATTTTTGCACCAACCTAATAACTTTCCAATATCCACTCTCCAGCTGTCCAAGAGGCAGTTGTGTGTCAACTTCTTTCTTCTAGCATAGAACCAGTAGCCTCAGAGAGAATAGCTTCTCTAATGGCCAGCTCTGTATTGTTCTGTGAGCCATTCTGGATGGCCCATCCAAGGACCCAATTCTTTAGAAAATTCAATAACCTTTAACACCTAATTCCTCTTCTGATTAAAATGCCTAGAGTAGGTTAATCTTTCTTGCAGAAACTGATGTCTGAACACAGGGTAGAGATTCTTGGCAGAAAAAAACCCAACAGATGTCCACACTAAGCCACTACTTGCCTGAGAGGCATCCATATCCCTTCTTTTACCCTTACATATAATTTCAAAGATTCGAATGATCATGGATTGAAGGAATTTTAAAGAGAATGATGACTGTGCTATCTACTGGCTATGAGAAACTAAGATCGTTAAATCTAAAATAAACAGAAACAACTGTTGTGTTTCCTTTTACAAATTAATCCAAATCCTAAGGTTATATGTAAAATTAGGCTATATTTATAACATATTTTTCTGGGAGCAGCTACTTATTTTATGTTCTCTTTTTGAAATCCAAAGAAATGAAGAAGAAATGTTGATTGTAGGTACTAACGTAAAAGACAGAATGTATGCTTGTGTATATGTCTGTGTGAAGGTTAAGTTATACTTGCACGTCCATGAGTTTCAATGAAGAGTGCAATTTGCTAGACTTTAAATTTCATTACTGGACATTTTACTTGATTATAGGGCACTAAATCTGTTAGAATAATATTCTGGCTTCTCTCATTTTGAGGGCATTTGCAGATTTAATAACTGAGCCAACTGAATGCATTTTCAACTTTAATTTCTCCCTAGAAAATGTACTAAATAACATTTATTGACATAAGTACAATAGTTATTAAAATGTCAATCAGATTCTTCAAATTATACCCAAAAGCAGCTGGTGAAGCAAGTAAATTTATGTTTATGAAAAACATATGTTATGAAAAACAGCAACTGATAATCAGATCAATAGCCTGTGTTTAGAGCCACAAAAATGTACCTGAAAAAAGGCTGCTTTGGGTGATTTCCAGATAATTGTTTAAATCAAACTAGTTAGGGTGAATTGTTTAAATCAAACTAGTTAAGATGAATCAATAAATTCAAAGGAAATTGGTTCTAAGGATCAATTTCTAATCACTGTCTAAAACAACAGGCTCCCATTTCGTCCTCAGAGAATGACTTCCACATATTATTAACAATAAGAACTTCGGAAAGGCACTTGGTATAAAAATCTGTATTTCATAGTAGATGTGATGAAATTCATGTCCAACAATTGAAGAAAAAAAATCACTCATAATCTGTTTATTTTTTTAAGATCTACCAATATGAGAAAAAATACTTGTAAAAAATTTATTTTTACTATAGTGATGAAATCTGCTTGGAAAATGAAGAAAAGTTGGAGAGCACTATCTCTGTAACATAATCCACAGTTCTTAATTTCTGTTCTTTCATGTCTCCATAAAACATGTGTTGTGTTCCCTTGAAATCTCTAAGATGAATTCCTCTGACTCTCTGGTTTTTTTAATTTAATTTAATTTTTTACTCTGGGCAGTATTATAGGAAAAGTTCCAAATTTAAATATTTATAGAAACAGTTTTACCTAGATGTAATTCATATACCATAAAGTTCACCCTTTTACAGTGTACAATTTAGTGGGTTTTAGTAGGTTTACAAAGTTGCATCAATCACTATAATCTAATTCCAGAACATTCTTCATCTTCCCCAAAATATCCTATACCCATTAGCAGTCACTCCCTATTTCCCCCTCCTCCAGCTCTGGCAACCACTAATCTACTTTCTGTCTCTAGGTTTGCCTATTCTTGATATTTCATGTAAGTAGAATCATACAATATGTGGCTTTTTGTATCTAGATTCTTTCTTCAGCACAATGTTTCCAGGTTCAGCCATGCTGTGGCTTGAATCAATACTTTTTCTTTTCTTTTTTTTTTTTTGAGACGGAGTTTTGCGCTGGAGTGCAATGGTATGATCTTGGCTCACCACAAACTCCACCTCCTGGGTTCAAGTGATTCTTCTGCCTCAGCCTCCCGATTATCTAGGGTTACAGGCATGCGCCACCACTCCTGAGATTTCTCCATGTTGGTCAGGCTGGTCTGGAACTCCCAACCTCAGATGATCCGCCCACCTTGGCCTCCCAAAGTGTTGGGATTACAGGTGTGAGCCACCGTGCCTGGCCCATTTCTTTTTATGGTTGAATAAGATTCCATTTTATAAATGATAATACCTTATTATTCTGGTTAGTTTATCTTATACCTCTTCATCTAATTCTTTTTCTGATTTTTCTTTCTAATATTTTATTTCCACAAATTTCTCTCATATTTCACACACTTCATGGATTAATTATCAACATGCTGGAAGCAATCTCTGATCAATACTTGTTCTGTTTTGTTTGTTTGTTTTTTGTGTTTCTAGACCACAATCACATGGATTTAATCATTCCCAACATGGAAAATGTCATTGAATTTAGTAGAAAAGTCCTGCTTTTTTATCTTCCTTTTCAGAATTTTCTTATTGATTTATTTTACTCTACTATTTTTTGCAAAGTTTGGACTGATTTTTTGGAATTTTTCCTTCTCCATTGGTAGTTTTTCCATCCACATCCCACTCCCTTCTCCCCACTCTACTGATCTGCAATGTCTATTGTTACCATTTTTATGTCCATGAACACCCAGTGTTTGGCTTCCATTTACAAGTGAGAACATGCAGTATTTGCTTTTCTGTTCCTGTGTTAATTTGTTTGGGATTATGGTCTCCAGCTGTATCCGTTTTGCTGCAAAAGACATACTTTTGTTCTTTTTTTGTGGCTACATAGTATACCATGGTGTATATGTATACATTTTCTTTATTCAGTCTACCACTGATGGACACTTAGGTTGATTCCATGTCTTTGCTATTGTGAGTAGTGTGGCAATGAACATATAAATACACACGTCTTTTTGGTAGAATAATTTATTGTTGTTTGGGTATATACCTAGTAATGGGATTGCTAGGTAGAATGGTAGTTCTAAGTTCTTTAAGAAATGTCTAAATCGCTTTCTGCAGTGGCTGAAGTAATTTGTATCTCCATAACAGTGTATAAATGTTCTCTTTTCTCTGCAGCCTCCCTGGTATCTGTTGTTTTTTGACTTTTTAATCGTAGTCATTCTGATTGGTGTGAAATGGTATCTCACTGTAGTTTTGATTACATTTCTCTGTTGATCAGTAATGATGAGCATTTATTCGTATATTTGTTGGCCTCTTGTTTGTCTTCTTTTACTAAGTGTCTGTTCATATCATTTGCCCATTTTTAATGGGGTTATTTGGTTTTTGCTTGTTGATTTAAGTTCCTTATAGATTAGGGATATTAGACCTTTGTTGGATGCACAGTTTGTGTATATTTTCTGCATTCTCTAGGGGTTCTGTTTACTTTGTTGATAGCTTATTTTGCTGTGCAGAAGCTCTTCAGTTTAAGGAAGTCCCATTTGTCAATTTTTGTTTGTTGCAGTTGTTTTGGGGGCTTAGCCAAAAATTATTTGCCAAGACCCATGTCAAGAAGGGCATTTCATAAGTTTTATTCTGGGATTTTTATAGTTTTACATTTAAATGTCTAATTCATCTTGAGTTAATTTTGTGTAGGTGAAATTTAAGAGTCCAGTTTTATTCTTTTGTATATGGCTTGCCAGTTATCACCACACTATTTATTGAATAGGGAGTCTTTTTTCTGTTGCTTTTTTTTGTCATCCTTGTTGATGATCAGATAGATATAGGTGTACAGCTTTGAAACTTCAGTTGAAGTTTTATTATATTTATAGATCAGTTTTGGAAAAGTACTATGTTTACAATATTACATTTCTAACATTTACAATCCAGTAACATCATTTACCTCTCCAACTTTTTCTTTTCTTACTTCAATTACATTTCTAAAATGGTATTTTGAACTTCTGTTTAGCTATCTACTGTTCAGACTGCTATAATAAAACATCACAGACCAGATGGCTTAAATAACAAATACTTACCTTTCACATTTCTGGAGTCTGGTAGTCTTGAGATCAGGAGGCCAGTATGGTTGAGGGCTTGATGAGGGCACTCTTCCTGGTTTTCTGATAGCTGCCTTTTCACGGTATCCTCACAGGGTGGTGGCAGGGCGAGACGGGTAGGAAGAGAGTGAGCATGTACACAAATCTTCCCAGTGTCTCTACTTATAAAGGCACTGATCTTATCGTAAGGGATTCACCCTTATGACCCAATAATACTTCCCAAAGACTCAGTCTTCAAATATCATCACTTTGGGGATTAGGGTTTCAACGGTGAATTTTGGGGGGGATCACAAACATTAAATTCATAGCATCTACGAATTATTTATAATTGCTATGCTATTGTAAATATCTCTTATTTCTGACTTAAGTTTTCAAATTAGATATTCCTCATGTTAGAACTGACACCTCCTGTGATGTCCAGATGCTTCAGCCCATTTACCATGTCATGCACCCAGTCCCAGGCTTATAAATGCTTGGCTGCTATGGGGTCACCCCTGGGACTTTTAGAGGGCTATTCCTCCTCTCTGGATGGAGAGCTTACATTGTCTGTTTTACCCTACTCTCATTTTTCTATGTAGATTGTAGCCAATAACTGTCTAGAGTAAAAGTTCACGACCAAAATGGGACCAACTCTGTGATATAATTTAAAATCTGTAAGTCATTGTGGGATTAGGTTGAAGCTGTGACCGCTCATGTTTTCATGCACTTCTTATTGACTTTTTCCACTTTCCTGACCTGATTCCATCACTTGCTTTCTCATATCTTGTAGAATAGTTCCTTGAAAAATCACTTGTGCCTGATCTTTACAGCAGGATCTGCTTCTATGAGAATTTTAACTAACAGTGCTTCATGGGAGCGGTGTTGATTTTTTAATATTCATCTTGTATCCATTAGCAATGTGGAGATTCCTTAGTTTTAATAGGTAGTCTGTAGCTTATTTTAGATTACCAAAGAGAATTGAAAATGATAAGAAGTTGGTCCAGGTGCACTCGCTCACACCCATAATCTCAGCACTTTAGGAGGCCAAGGCAGGAAGATTGTTTGAGGCCAGGAGTTCAAGACCAGCCTGGGCAATGAGGTGAGACCCTCATATCTACAAAACATAAGAAAATTATCCAGGTGTTTTGGCATGCAACTGTAATCTCAGCTACACAAGAGGCTGAGGCAAAAGGACAGTTTGAACCCAAGAGTTAGACGTTGCAGCTGTGAATCTTCATCATGCCACTGCACCTCAGAGTGTGGTTGATGGAGCAAGACCCTGTCTCTAAACCAAAAGAACAAAAACAAGAAGTAAGTGAGTTGGGTCCCAAGGAAACATACACCACATAATTACATGTGCACATTTATTAGACCTTAGTAGGTAGCTCTTGTTCTATATCCTTGTAATAGAATCCCAATTTATTTTAGTGATTTTTTACTGACTCGTTCATTCGAAGACATAGATGTGCTGTGTTACTCTTGTTATCAATCTATTCATAAACCTGGCAGCACATGTATCAGCAAAATTGAGGTCAACTCAGTCAATCATCCTGGCTCTAGTACTGACTTGCAACATATTGCCCCTAGCCTGCAGTACTTATTTTGCTAAAGTGGATCAATTGTGGGAACGTCACACCAGGTGGTTGAGTTTCAGGGCAATGCATATAGTCTTATGCAGCCTTCTTTGCTAAACATGTTTGTTTTCCTCATTTCTGGAAGTGACCAGGGAGTTCTGCTGAAAACAACAACTACAATAAGGTTGGGCTTCCTAAATAGAAACTTCTGGCCTGACATGATAGTTCAGCACAAAGTTAGGAAGAAACAAGTGTGAAGGCAACACTGTCTTTCCCAACCTTTTCCTGTTCAGAGCCATCATTTCTCCAATCACATGCCTGAGTGTTTATCATAATTTACCCTCATGATTAAATGTGACTTTACAGTGAATCAGATCTGTCGTATGTTTTATGGCATGATTTGAAAACATCAAGGAAATTACCTGTATCTTATCTTTAGTTTAAAACATTTTGGCGGGAAAGATTGTTAAAAGTTTGTACTACACCTTGTTAATTGATTTGATGTATAGATTTTACAAAACTAAGGATAGGATGGGAATAGCTACAGCATTTTTATAGCCATAGTGAATGATTTGGAAGGGGCGAGTGTCACATGGATAAGGCACTGATTGTTGCAGAATAAGTTATTAATCTTCAATGGGGAAATACATATTTGTGAATCCTAAAAATCAGGCATTTAATCCTATAATTTCCTTTCTTAATAGTGGATGAACCACGGCTGTATTAGTGAGGATATGTTAGATTATATTGTGGTGACCAATGACCCCCAAACTTCAATGGCTTACAAAGCCAAATTTTGTTTTTATTCAGTCTACATGTTTATAATATGTAGGGTTGCTAGAGAAAATGCTCTACATCAAATCAATCTTAAATATCAGATAAACAAAAGTATATCTTTTTAGTGTTACTATATCCCATGTAATATTTAGGAATTACTTATACTAAAAAAAATTTATTGGCTGGGCGTGGTGGCTCACATCTGTAATCCCAGCACTTTGGGAGGCCTAGGCAGGCGGATCACCTGAGGTCAGGACTTTGAGACCAGCCTGGCCAATATGGTGAAACCCTGTGTCTACTAAAAATACAAAAATTAGACAGGCGTGGTAGTGCACGCCTGTAATCCCAGCTACTCCGGAGGCTGAGACAGGAGAATCGCTTGAACCCGGGAGGCAGAGGTTGCAGTGAGCCGAGATGGCACCACTGCACTCCAGCCTGAGTGCCACAGTGAGACTCTGTCTCAATAAAAAATAAAAAGAAAAAAATATTATTTCTATGAAATTCAGATTTAATGGGTAGGCTGTATTTTTATTTCCTATATCTGAAAACCCTAATTGAAATCCATCTGGGAGCACTACTTATCACTGTCAGTAAAGAACCAGGTTGGTAAAGTCTCCATCTCATCACACGTATCACAGTTGTAGAGACAGGAAATGGAGGAAGAATGTGTCCTCTGTGTCTGTGGGGAGGGTATCATAATTTCAGTTTTTGACATGTTACTCAGAGGTTTCAACGAAATATCCAAGGGGGAGATACTAAGAAGCAGCTTGATATACCCATCTGTAATTCTGAAGAAAAAAATAGTATTTATGATTTAATTTGGAAGGAATCAGTGAAATACCTGGATTTTGAATTAGGGCAGAGGTAGAAAGCAACATTTATGCTACTTTTAAATGGCATCCTTCAATCCATTTTTTTATCTGCATTGCACTTTTGGTCATTTATGCCATTTCTCATTTGGTTATTTTACTTAATGTATCCAACTATCTATCTTCCTGTTTATTTAAATTTAATAATAATTTTGAAATTATTTTATTAATTTAATGTTTGTTCCTATGGATCCTTCCTAAATACTGGTGTGTTTGGTGGGAAAAGATTTAGAGATTTTTGCATTCCCTGGCCAGGCACTATGTGATATTATCAAACTCTCAGGTTATTCCTCTGTAATGTGATTTAAGTAAGTAAGGGAGGGCGTGACATAGTAATGACTGCCCATAAATGAAACAAGAGATGAAAAATGCAGGTCATGAGGAGTGGCGTGGTTGATCAAAGAATGACATTTTTCAAGTTGTGAACATTTTGAGCACATTGAAATACTAATGGCAATGACATAATAGAATGAAACTGGAGATACAGAAATGAAAAGGGCAACTAATACTATAAATATCCTGTGAATATGGGTATGGATTGACTCTAGAGAATCGGTAAAGATACTACCTTTTAGGGGAAAGAAAGAGAAGTTTGTAAATGCTGGGTTGATGCAGGTGGAAAATTTTCTGTTTTTCTGCAAGTGGACGTGGGAAAGAAGGGAAGATAAGTCTGGGGTTTGAGAAGAATGAAAAAAGTTAGCAGTATATGTTACAGTACTTAGAAAGTAAATTCATGACCAAAAGGTAGTGAGATTGTCTGGAAATGTTAATATGGAATCATAGTCACTCTCAGCTAAATTAATGAAAACTCAAACTATATGAGTAGTACAGTAGCAGAAAAAAGATTTTTTGAAAGATCTTGGCAATAGCCTGATTACACCCTCCAGCCATCTTCGTGAATAATACTTTGTTCCAATTCAGCCAACTCTATCTGTTTATCTGTCCTTCTGAATTCAGGCCTTCAGGATGATAACCTTATCTTTAAATAGATGCCTACAAAGAATTCTGGCTCACAGAACCTTCAAGCCACTCAGGAACCTCTAGCATCCCATTACCAGCACTGATGATCAGGACTCCAGGTCAAAGTTACACATTCTTATTGTGTCAACTGTTTATCTTTGACTCCAGCCCCACATTGTCCACAATGGGGTGACAACGTGGGGCTCAGGGCTCTAACCTGGATCTTCTACCTTGCTTTCTGTCTTCTCTAATTTAGCATTTCCTATACGAGGCCTCGAAGGCATGTTTACTCCTTTCTTGCTTCCCTAAACTCCCAACTTTCCTGTTTCAAAGTGCATACCTGTAGAGTTCTCTGTGTATGCATTCCTCTTTCTAAATTCAATTTTGCCCTGCTTTAACGATGCTATTTTACTATTTTTCCCATGACAGGATCTCATCAGGCCTCTACTGGATCAATAAAATAAAAACAAACAAGTGTGATTTGTAAGTACACTGTCTTTTCTCTATAAAGTAGTATGCAATGATTTTCTGAAAGGAAGAAAGCTGAAGAGGGGTTTGGGCCTGTTTTAATTTACATTTAATTTTAGCCTCAGAGACTCTTAAAGGCAGTGGTTATGTCTGCATGTGAATAGGGATATTTAATCAGTCCGGGCTGTCAGGTTGATAGTAGTGCTTATCAAGAAATTAGAGAAAAATGTGCTCCCTAGTCCATCCTCCTGCCACATAAGGAGTAACAATTCAGATAAGGAAAGTCAAACACTATGATTAAAAAGCTCATATTCCCTAGGGAGTCTTTCATATATTTAATATTCAACTTGGGTGTACTACTGTGCAGACAGCCTTTTCTGTGTCTTAGCAGTTTTAATTGCAATGCCTCCTCCATTGAAAAGGCAGAGGTTTTTTTTTTTTAATTCCTTTTAAGTAACACTACTGCTTAGTAATATTTTAAAACTATTGAAGGGCACAGACACAGAAGTGTTGGAGGAAATTTTTGGTGATTTTTCAAACAAGTGTCTTTTACTACGCACGTGGTGAAGTGTCACCTAGAATATCTATAAAATGTTGATATTTCACTGTGCCACCATATATGAATGTTCTCCTTTCAAAATGAATTTTGCTATTAAAGGTATAGCTATGAACAGTAACAACTGTGATTTACGATACTTTACAAGGATGAGTATTTTCAGATTCTCTGAATAGTAGAAAAGCAGTTTTTACTTGCCCTGACTCTATGATTTTTGTTTGTTTGTTTTGTTTATTTTGAGATGGAGCTTCGCTCTTGTCGCCCAGGCTGGAGTGCAATGGCGTGATCTTGGCTCACTGCAACCTCCGCCTCCAGGGCTCAAGTAATTCTCCTGCCTCAGCCTCCCGAGTAGCTGGGATTACAAGCGCAGCCACCACACCCAGCTAATTTTTGTGTTTTTTTAGTAGAGACAGGGTTTCACCATGTTGGCCAGGCAGGTCTTGAACTACTGACCTCGGGTGATCCACCCGCCTCGGCTTCCCAAAGTGCTGGGATTACAGGCGTGAGCCACCTTGCCTGGCCGGCTCCATGATTTTGAGAGCATCAAGTTGCATCTGAGCCTGGCCTTTTTGTGAGGATTCTGGGGGCTCCATGAGTAAGCCTTAGTCTTTTTGTGACGTTCTCCCAAGTCATGAACTACGGATAAAACCTGGCTGTGTCAATTAGCCTTTATGTATTTGAGCACTTAGAACCAGTATTCCTGCCCAGGGAATCCACTGGCCAGTGTCTAGAATGCCCTTGCTGTCTTAGCAGGCAGAAGACTCCAACCATCAAGGTCCATGATATCTTTTCTGTGAGGCACAATCTGGTTGTTTTCCCAGAACTTGGAACTACTAAGGCAATGGCTTCTTTGTCTAAGATATCTGTTTCATATTCACTAAATAATATCTTCTGCATTGTAATATGTACTAAACCTCAAAGATATCAGTATTTCCCTTCTTTAAAGCAAGGAACTACTGGTTTGCTTCTTCTACCTTTATACCAGGACCGTATTAGCCAGTGTTTTCTAGAGAAAAATAACCAATAGGACATATCTATGTCTATATCTATATTTATACCCATATCTGTATCTATATCTATATCTGTATCTATCTATCTATCTATCATCTATCAAGATAGATTTATTTTAAGTAATTGGCTTGGCAAGTCCAAAATTTGCAGAACAGGCTGTGTCAGGCTAGATATACTGGTAAAAGTTGATATTGCAGTCTTGACTCTAAATTACATAGGAAATCAGTCTGGAAACTCAGAATTTCTAAGTTACAGTTTTGAAGATAATTTCTTCTTTAGAAAACCTGCTCTTAAGACTATCAACTAATTAGATGAGGCCCATCTAATTAAAAAAAGTAACCAGCTTATTGAAAGTCTGTTAATTTAAATATTAATCACATCTAAAAACTACCTTAATAGTAACACTTAGACTGATGTTTAACCAAAGAACTGGGCACCATAGTCTAGCCAAGTTGACGTGTAAAATTGACTACCACTAGAACGTTTTACTTTGTAACCTCCTACCAACCAAATCTGAAAATAATGTGAAATATTTATGGAAAAAGATATAAGAAATAGAGATGTACAGGAGAAAAAGGATAATGTTGTGATCAACTTGTTATTTTTAGTTTTTGTAACAAAGAACTCTAGATGTCTCTTCTAAACTGTCTGTTAAAGAAGGTGTGCAGTATGTACTTACTGAGCCAAAGAAAAAGAAAATTAATTTATAAAAATCAGCAAAAGATCTTCACAAAAAATCAAGTCAAATATCAGATACAAAGATGATGAGATGTATATGAATATATGTACATGATTACATGACATAGATTATATTGCCCTTCTTGCTGTAATTCCTCACTCCCTTGCTGGCTTTGGGGAAGTCATCGGTTATGTTAAATAGTCCCATGTGGCAAAAACCAATGGCAGCCTTTAGACAGCCAGCAGGAAAATAAAACAACTAGTCTTAAAGCTACGGTGAAATGAAGTCTGCAACAAACGGAATGAGCTTGGAATTAAATATTTCCCCAGTCAAGCATTCTGATGACACCCTCAAGCCCAGGCTCACACCTTAATTAAAATCTTGGGGAGGACACTCCTAAACTGTGCCAAGATTGCTGACACATAGAAAATGTGAAAAAAATAAATGTGTGGTTTTAAGCTGCTAAATTTGCAGTAATATTGTTATGCAGCAGCAATTGATAGCTAACACAATTCAGGTAAGATGTTGATCCAGCATTTTCTGATTGTCTTGCAATCAAACTCTCTCCTTTTAAGTAAAATTTAAAAGTGTGTGTGTGTGTGTGTGTGTGTGTGTGTTTTAATCCAAACAAAATGAAATAAGAAATCAGGAACAGAAACTTATGTGGAAAATGTTCAAATATTTGGAAATGAATCAACATACTCATAATTAACCTTAAGTTGAATTTTTAAAAAATTCACAAGAGACATTAGAGAGCATTTTTAAATAAACGACGGTGAAAATGAAGCAGATCAAACTTTGTGGAATGCAGTATAAACTCTTATTAGATGGACATTTATAACATTAAATACTTATTTAAGAAAGAAAAATATGAAAAAATGAACAAAACAGTTTTTAAGAAGTTGAAAAAGTAGTAGATATCTATATCTATCTACATATCTGTTTAATTATCTATACTGCCTGCCTACGTACCTACCTACCTACCTACGTACCTATCTTCATCTTATTGTTTCTGAGCAAAGGCCTAAACTGTTGAAAGAATATTCAGAACAATAGCTATGCCAGTCCATTTCCTCTGATTTTTCTTTTGTAGAAGGCATGTGGCACGCTTTGTCTTCAAAAGAATGAGTGCTATTTTGTTAATTTCAATGCAGCTGAATTTTATTCCTGAATTCCAAGGGGCCAAAATATCAGAGAATGTTATTTCATGATTAGCCTTTCCTGTAATCCCTCTAGTAAGCTTTTCTGTAGCAAGCAAATCATGTAAACATTCCATAGCTGGCAGGCATTCAGCTTTCTTCCTTGTGCTTCTAATTTATTGAACTGTATCTTCTTCGGCAACACCTTATGAAAGCTCCAGCATAAATCAAAGCTGCCCTGTCAGAGACTCATGCCAACAGAATTTGTTCAGCATTGTTATCAACTCTTGTTTTATGGGAGATAAGAGATAATGTTTTTCAGAGCTCTGTGATACTGTAATTTAACCGAATATAAAAACTATAACTGTCTCCAGTCTTCAATCATTTCTTTAATAATCCTAGTTAAAAAAAATTATTATGGCCTATGTATCCAAGCTACACATCAGAGCTGTTGTCAGGCACATACGGAAGTTTAGTAGATATTTTTAAACAACTTAATATTGGTTTTATTTAAGTTACTGCTTACTGTGTTCAAACGTTGAAACAGTTCAATCATGCTAATCTTGGGTGCTATCTCCGTAGCTTTTGATACAATGATCAGAAAATTATTTCGCTCTATATATTTAAGACCGTGGTCACACTGGATATAACAGTTACAAGGACACTTGCTCTGAACTTTATGAGAGATAATAGTGCCTTCACTAATGTAAGGCATAATTGTTGTCAGGAATATAATTGAATGAATCCCTATATATGACATATGTTAATATTGTATTTTGGTATTAAAATCAACGGATAAAGTAAAAATATATTGCTACGAAGACTTTTTAAATGTGCTTGAGATCCAAATAAAGTTAATAGTTACAGTGAAGGAATTGAGAAAATTAAAAGCTTTGGAAGAAAAACATAGCGGAGTTTGCAAAACATTGTGGTAAGCTTAAAAAAAAAAACTCACAGAAAAAAAAGAACCTATAAGTTAAAAATGACCCAGAGTTTCTTGTTCATTGCTCATTAAATTTTTTCTTCATCATTATTTATAAACTAATGTCAGGAAAAATTTGAAGCAGTAGGAAATATCATAAATAGAATCAGTAGGTTTCTCATAAACAAGATGCTAGAAAGCATTCAGGAGTTTGAGACCAGCCCCAGCAACAAAGCAAGACCTTTTCTCTAAAAAACATTAAAAAAAAATAAGATTAGAAAACAAAATTAGCTGGGCATGGTGGAATGCACCTACAGTCCCGCAACTCTGGAGGCTGATGTGGGAGGGTCATTTGAGCCCAGGAGGTTGAGACTGCAGTAAGCCTATCATTGCACCACTGCACTCCAGCCTGGGCCACAGAGTGAGACCCTGTCCCAAAAGATAAATAGATAAGTAATAAATAAATAAAATCCAGTGGAATTTTGCCTACATTGTGATGTAATTACTGAACACTGGCAGTGGGTTATTTCCCAAAAGCCTAGTAACAGATAATGATGTGTAGTGTAAGTGAAAGTAAACCAACAGTTCTTGAGTACTTCTACATGTCAGACTTCATGACTGCAATTTGCACTTAGTAGTTCATTTAAAATATGTTCATTTTCTCATTTGATTCTCTCAGAGAACCTAATATGTGGCTAATATTATGCTTATCTCATGAATGAAAAAATGTGAGGATCTGCAGGAGATTAGGGAAATCTTCAAGGTCTCATAGCTTGTCAAGAAATCTGATATCTTTATTTAAATTTATTTTTATTTCAATAGCTTTTAGGATACAAGTGGTTTTTGGTTACATGGATGAATTATGTAGTGGTGAATTCTGAGATTTTTAGTGCACCTGTCACCAGAGTAGTATACATTGTAATCAATACGTAGTTTTTTATCCCACATCCCCTTCCCACTCTCCTCCTTCAGAGTCTCCAAAGTCCATTATATCACTCTATAAGATTTTGTGTACTCATAGCTTAGCTCCCACTTATAAGTGAGAACATATGGTATTTGGTTTTCCATTCCTGATGTTTAAGCTTTTTCAATCCTGTAGTTTGGTGAGGGGGAGGGTGTAGTGCCCAGTGGCTTCTTCTCTCTCATTGTTCCGCAAGCAGGAAAGAGTGTTACAGCTCTTTTACTCCCACAACCCACAGCTCAACAAGCAGGAGCGTTACAGCTCTTTCACTCCCGTAGTTCAGCAAGTTCCAGGTTCTTGTTCCATGACCAAGGTATGCAGACACCAGAGAGTGAGTAAGGCAGAGTAGAATTTTATTGAGTGACAGAAAGAAAACTCTCAGCTGTGAGAGGGGACCTGAAAGTGGGTAGCCATTTGTGAGGCTGAGTCCAGGGTTTTCATGGGATTGGAATGGGAGAGTGTGTGTTTGATTGGTCCATGGGTGGTTTTGTAAAAAGTACCATTTGATTGACTAAAAGGATCATTCAGAAGGAACCAATCAAGAGAGATTGAGTAAGACGAGGATAGAAGTTCACTCTTTCGTCGTGGACTCATGTAGAACTGGCGGCTCGGTTTTCAGGCTTTAAACTACCCTTGGTTTGAGAGTTGGGTTTCACAGGTTACATTATTCTTTTTATTTTTATGTTTTATTTTTTTTAGAGAAAGGATCTTGCTTTGTTGCTGAGGCTGGTCTCAAGCTCCTAAATGCTTTCTAGCATCTTGTTTATGAGAAACCTACGGATTCTATTTATGATATTTTCTACCGCTTCAAATTTTTCCTGACATTAGTTTATAATTGTCCCTGTCTACCTAGGAATTTATCTATCTCCAGTTGCTATCACTGAGTTATTTCATTCAGAATAATTGCCTCCAGCTCCATCCAAGTTGCCACAGGGGACATTATTTTGTTCCTTTTCTGGATGAGTAGTATTACATTGTGTATATAATGCCATGATTTCTTTAACCACTCATTGGGCAATGGGCACTTAGGTTGGTTCCATATCTTTGCAATTGTGAATTGGGCTGCAATACACACATGTGTGCATGTGTCTTTTTCATATAATGACTTATTTTCCTTTGGGCAAATATAATACCTTAATTAAAAAATACTTTTGCCAGTGATCATCCAAGGCTTCAGTGAATTATAATCTTTTTGCTGGTGGAGGGCCTTGCCTTAATATTGATGGCTGCTGATTGACCAGGATGGTGTTTGCTGAAGGTTAGGGTGGCTGTGGCATTTTTTAACAATGAAAGCAACAATGAAGTTTGTCACATCGATTGACTCCTCCTATCATGATAAATCTCTCTGTAGCATGCATTAATGTTTGATAGCATTTGAACTACACTAGAACTTCTTTGAAATTGGAGTCTGTCTTCCAAACCCTGCCTCTGCTTTTTAAACTTAGTTTATGTAATTTATTAAATCCTTTGTTGTCATTTCAACAATGTTCACGTAATTTTCAGCAGGAGTAGTCTCCATCTCAAGAAACCACTTTGCTTGCTCATCCATAAGAAGCATTTTCTCATTTTTTTAAGCTTTATTATGAGATTACAGGAATTCAGTTACATCTTCAACCTCTACTTCTACTACTAATTCTATTGCTATTTTCACTACATCTGCAGTCACGTCCTCCATGGAGGTCTTGAACCATGCAAAGTTATTCATGAAGATTGTAATCAACTTCTCCAAATTACTGTTAATGTTGATATTTTGATCTTCACCCACGAATCATGAATATTCTTAATGACATGTGGAATGGTAAATCCTTTCCAGAAAGTTTTCAATTTACTTTATCCAGATCTATCAGGGGATTCACTGTCCATGGCATCTATAGCCTTACAAAATGTACTTTTTAAGTAACATGACTTGGAAGTTGAAATTACTCTTTCACTCATGGGCTGCAGAACAGATATTGCATCAGCAGGCATAAAAACAACATGTTCATGTATCAGAGCTCTTGGGTGAGTAGGTGCATTGTCCATGAGCCATAATATTTTGAAAGGAATCTTTATTTCTGAGTGGTAGGTCTCAACAGTGGGCTTAAAATACTTAGTACACCATGCTGCAAACAGATGTGCTGTCTTTCCGGCTTTGTTCTTTCATTTATAGAGAATACATATGGTAGGTTTTGTATAATTCTTAAAATCCCTAACATTTGAATATTGGCTTTAATTTAAAGCCACTAACTGCATTAGACCCTAAAAAGAGAGTCAGCTTATCCTTTGAAGCTTTAAAGCTAGGCGTCGACTTCTCTCTAGCTATAAAAGTCTTAGATGACAGCTTCTTCCAGTAGAAGGCTGTTTTGTCTGCATGGAAAGTCTGTTGTTTGGTGTTGTTACAGTTATCTCAGGTAGATCTTTTGGATAACTGCAGTTTCTACATCACCACTCATTGCTTCATTTCACTCTTTTATGTTATGGAGATGACTTCTTCCCTTACACCTCATCAACTTATCTCTGCTAGCTTCAGCCATTTCTTCTACCACTTCTTCATCCTACTCAGCCTTCACTGAGTTGAAGAGTGTTAGGGCCTTGCTCTGGATTAGGCATTGGCCTTAAGGAATGTTGTGGTTGGTTTGATCTTCTATTAAGACTACTAAAACTTTCTCCATATAAACAATAAGGCTGTTTTGTTCATGCATTCACTGAAGTGCACTTTTAATATCTTTTAAGAGAATTTTCCTTTGCCTTCAACTTGGCTAATTACTAGGCTCAAGAGGCCTAGCTTTCAGCCTATCTCAGGCTTTGACATATCTTCCTCACTGAGCTTAGTAATTCTAGTTTTTGATTTAAAGTAAGAGATGTGTGGCTCTTTTTTCACTTGAACATTTAGAGGCCATTGCAGGGTTATTCACTGACCTAATTTCAATATTGATATGTCTCAGCAAAATGGAAGGTCCAAAGAAAGGGAGAGAGACAGGAGAAGGTGTGATCAGTGGAGCAGACCAGAACACAATTTATTGACTAAGTTCACCATCATATACAGTTGCATTTTATGGACTCCAAAACAGTGACAATAGTAACATCAAATAATATTACCATAACTGATATAATCATATTGAAAAGTTTGAAAAATTGTGAGAATTACCAAAATGTAATACGAGAATAGGAAGTGAGCACATGGTGTTGGAAAAATGGTGCCAATAGACTTGCTCAAAGCAGGGTTGCCTTAAGCCTTCAATTTGTAAAACACACAGCATACATAAAGAAAATTGCTCAAATTATAACTGTACAGAGTGATAAATTTTTAACAAGTAAACATACTCATAAAACTAGCACCCAAAATAGTAACAAAACATTACTGTTCCCTAAAGCCTGCTTTTGTGAACCCTTCTGTTCACTACCTTTCCCAAAGATATACACTATCCTGCATTCTAACACCATAGACTTCTGTGTGGCCTAATTATAAAAATTATGTAGATGAATCATAATTGATATTTTGTTGTATATGCTTTCTTATATTTGTGAGATCCATCTAAGTTGTTGTATGTAGTTACAGTTCATTCCTTTTCAACTGGTCATGGTAATACATTGTATGGATAAAACACTATTTATTCTAGTGATGTATGAAATATTGAGTTGTTCCAGGTTTTGCATCTTACAGATAACACTGCCAGAACATGTATTTTGGTGCAGATTGTACTCATTTTGGTTTGTTTTTATATAAAGGGAAAATTTGTGTGGTGGATTATGCATTTATTTAGCTTTTATAAATAGGTTTAAAAAAAAGGTTGTAGCAATATAAATTCCTAGAGTGGTGTATGAGAGTACTAATTACTCTATTTTCTCACAAGACATTTTTATCTGGCCATTCTGGAGGATATACAAAAGCCCATTGGTGATTTTAATTTGTAATTACCTTATATATTTACTCATTAATTTGAGAATATTTTGATATATGTATTTCATTTTTTAGTGGAATGCATGCCCACTAAAATCTGCTTCTTTTTTTTTTTTTCTTGAGATGGAGTCTTGCTCAGTCACCCAGGCTGGAGGGCAGTGATGTGATCTCAGCTCACTACAACCTTTGCCTCCCGGGTTCAATCTATTCTCCTGTCTCAGCCTCACAAGTAGTTGGGATTGCAGGCACCCGCCACCAAGCCTGGCTAATTTTTTGTATTTTTAGTAGAGACGAGGTTTTGCCATGTTGGCCAGGCTGGTCTCAAACTCCTGACCTCAAGCAATCTGCCTGCCTCCACCTCCGAAAGTGCTGGGATTACAGACATGAGTATCTGACCTAAAATCTGATTATTTTGCCTAATGTCTACCAGGTTCCTGTTCTTTTCCTTTAGATTTTTAGAGTTCTTACATATTCAGGATATGAAATCTTCCTTTGTTAGAAAACTATTAAAATTATCTTTTCCTCTTTGGCTTTATTTTAACCCTAGCAATATTTTCTAGTTTTTGTAATAAGCCTTTTGTTTTTTTAAAAAATCAGTTTGCAGAAAAATTATAACAGTGTAGAGAATTCTCGCATATTGCTTATTGTCTCAATTTTTCCTAATATTAGCATCTCACATCACTATGGTGTATTTGTCAAAATTAAGAAGCCATCATTGGTAAATTTTTATTAACTAAGCTTCAGACTTCATTTGAATTTCACCAATTTTTTCCATTAGTGTCCTGTTTCTCTTCCAGGATCCAATGCAGGCTACCATATAGCACTTAACTGTCATGTCTCCTTAGTCTCCTCAGGTCTGTGACAGTTTCTGTCTTACCTTATTTTTCATGACCTTAACAGTTTTGCATACTGGTCGGGTATTTCCTAGCGTGTCTGTCAAAGTGGGTATGTCTGATTTTTTTCATTATTAGACTGAAGTTATGTTTCTTTTTGAAAGAACATCACAGAGATGAAGTATCCGTCTCTTCACAGCACACCAGGAGGTACATAATAACCACATCATATCACTGGTGATAGTAACTATAATATTGTCTTTTGATTAACTTGTCTTAATATTAATGCAATCTAGTTTAGCAAGCTTGTGTCTTTTTAAAAAATATTTACATATCAAAAGATAATGAAGATTTGCTTCTATATTTTATTCCAGAAGTATTATAGTTTTACATTTTGAGTTTAGATATATAACCCACTTTGTCTCTATTATTAGAGATAAGGTTTCAAGATTTTTTTCTATATGAATATTAAATTTAATCCAACACCAATTAAAAAGATAATTATTTCCATATTGTTGCTGCAATATGCACCAATGCATTCATAAGTCACATGACTGCCTGTGTGTGGATCTGTTGTTACACTCTCTGTTATCATTCACTGGTAGAATTATCCATGCTTGCACCAAAACCATGTTAAATTACAGTTGCTTCAAATAAGCTATGATGTCTGGTGATACAACTGCTTTTACATTTTTAATAGTCTTTATTTCTTAAAGCGGTTTTAGATTCACAGCAAAATTGAGGAGAAAGTACAGATTTCCCATATACCGTCTTCCCCCACAGACTCACTGATTCCCTCATTGTCAGTATCCCCCACCAGAGTGGTACATTTGTTGCAACTGATGAACCTCCCTCTTATGTAGTCTATGGGTTGGACAAATTTATAATACCATGTATCCACCATTATAGTACCATACAGATAATTTTCACGGCCCTAAACAATCTCTGTGTTCTGGCTTACCATCCCTCCCTGCTTCCTAACCCTAACAACCATGGATCTTTTTACTGTCTCCATAGTTTTGCCCTTTTTAGATGTCATATAGTTGGATTACGCACTATGTAGCCTTTTCAGATTGGCTCCTTTCACTGAGCAATAAGCATTTAAGTTTGCTTCATGTCTTTTCATGGCTTGACAGCTCATTGCTTTTTAGCACTGAATAATATTCCATTGGCTGGATGTACCACAGTTTATTTATACATTCACCTACTGAAAGACACCTTGATTGCTTTCAAGATAGCAATTATAAATAAAACTGCAGGGTTTTTTCGTCTATACAAATTTTCACCTTCCTTTTTGGCTAAATACCAAAGAGCATGACTGCTCGATTGTATGGTCAAAGTATTTTTATTAATACTTTTCTAAGAAGCTGCCAAACTGCCTTTCAAAGTGGCTATACTATTTTGCATTTCCAATAACAATGAATGAGAGTTCCTTTTGCTCCACATCCTTGCCAGTATTTGATATTGTCAGTGTTACTGATTTTGGCTGTTCCAATAGGCATGTGGTGCTATCTTGTTTTTTTTTGTTTGTTTTTTTTTTGAGACGGAGTCTCGCTCTGTCGCCCAGGCTGGAGTGCAGTGGCGGGATCTCGGCTCACTGCAAGCTCCGCCTCCCGGGTTCACGTCATTCTCCTGCCTCAGCCTCCCAAGTAGCTGGGACTACAGGCGCCCGCCACTGCGCCCGGCTAATTTTTTGTATTTTTAGTAGAGACGGGGTTTCACCGTTTTAGCCGGGATGGTCTCGATCTCCTGACCTCGTGATCCGCCCGCCTCGGCCTCCCAAAGTGCTGGGATTACAGGCGTGAGCCACCGCGCCCGGCCGGTGCTATCTTGTTTTAATTGGCATTTCCATGATGACATATGACATGCAGCATCTCTCTATATGCTTATTACACACACACACAGACACACACAAACACACGCACACACGTACGTCTTCTATGATAAGGTGGCTGTTAAGATCTTTGGTCCATTTCTAATAGTGTTATTTTTGTCATGATAATTTCAGTTTTGAGAGATCCAATCCCTTATCGCATGTCTTTTGCAATATTTTCTTTCAGTGTGTGGCTTGTCTTTTCATTCTCTTGACAATGACTTTTGTAAAGCAGAAATATTTTATTTTAATTAAGTCCAGCTTTTTAATTCTTTTATAGATTGTGCTTTCATTGTTACATCTAAAAAGTTACTGACAAATTCAAGGTCATCTGGATTTTTTCTCCTTTTTTATTACCAAAGGTTGTATAGTTTTATGTGTTACATTTAGGACTTCGATCCATTTTGAGGTGTTTATTTTTGTCAAGGGAGTACAGTCTGTGTCTATGTTCATTTTCTTTTTTTTTTTCATGTGGGTATCTGGAAGTTTCAGCACCATCTGTTGAAAAGAATATCTTTTCTACGTTGTATTGCCTTTACCCATTTGACTATATGTGTGTGGGTCTACTTCTCATTCTCATTTCTGTTCTATGTATTTATTCCTCTTACTCTTATTTATTTATTTATTTATTTATTGAGGTAGAGTCTCGCTCTGTCCCCCAGGCTGGAGTGCAGTAGCAAGATGTCGGCTCACTGCAACTTCTGCCTCCCGGGTTCATGCCATTTTCCTGCCTCAGCCTCCTGAGTACCTGGGACTACAGGCATCTGCTACCATGTCTGGATAATTTTTTGTATTTTTAGTAGAGACGGGGTTTCACTGTGTTAGCCGGGATGGTCTCCATCTCCTGACCTCGCGATCCGCCCACCTCAGCCTCCCAAAGTGCTGGGATTACAGGCGTGAGCCACGGCACCTGGCCTTCCTGTTACTCTTTTACCAATAACACACTGTCTTGATTATTGTGGCTTTTTAGTACAGATGTTCCTCAACTTACAATGAGGTTACATCCCAATAAACACACAGCAAGTCTTAAGTTGAAAATCCATTTAATTCCTTAGTAAACCCATTGTAAAGTTGAAAAATGGACCATCCTAAGTTCAGATGCCCCTCCATTTATGATGTTGTTATGTTCCAATAAGACAATCATAAAATAAAAATACCATAAGTCAAATCATCGTAAGTCAGGAATTGCCTGTAAATCTTGAAACTGGGTAATGCCATCCTTCAACTTTATTTCTTCAATATTGTTTTGGCTATTCTGGGAGTTTTGCTTCTCCATGTAAATTTTAGAATCAGTCTGTTGAGGCCAGGCATGGTGACTCACACCTATAATCCCAGCATTTTGGGAGACTAAGACAGGCAGATCACTTGCAGTCTGGAGTTTGAGACTCGTCTGGCCAACATGGTAAAACCCTCTCTCTGCCAAAAAAAAAAAAAAAAAATTAGCCAGGTGCAGTGGCACACACCTGTAGTCCCAGCCACTTGGGAGGCTGAGGAATGAGACTTGCTTGAGGCTAGGAGGTGGAGGTTGTAGTGAGCTGAGATTGTGCCACTGCACCACCGGCCTGGGTGACAGAGTGAGACTCGGTCAAAAAAAAAAAAAAAAAAAAGTCGATATCCATAAAATAACTTGCTGAGATTTTGATTGAGATTGCCTTGAATCCATAGATCTAGTTGGCAGGAACTGACACCTTGACTATGTTCAGTCTTCCTATCCATGAACATAAAGTATCTCCCCATTTATTTGGTTCCTTGATTTTTTTATCAACATTTTATAGTTTCCCTTATATAGAACCTCGTACATATTTTGTAATATTTATACTTAAGTATTTTATTTGGGGCATTATTTTGTAAAGAGTACTGATATTTAATTTCAAATATACTTCTTCATCACTGCTCTATAGGAAAGCAATTTACTGCTTTGTCTTAAGCTTGTATTCTGCAACCCTGCTGTAACTGCTGCTTAGTTCCAGGAGGTTTTCTGCCTATCCTTTTGGGTTTCCTACGTAGACAATAATGTCTGCGAACAAAGACAGTGTTATTTATTTCTTCTCAATCTATATACCTTTTATATATTTTCCCAGTTGTTTTCCAATAGCTAAGCATGTCTTTACTTTTCCAAGTTTGCCTTGGTTGATTTAACTAAATGCATTTCTATATAAATTTTAGACACAGCTTGTCAATTTCCACAAAATAATTGACATAAATTTGTGGAGAAATGCTATCTATTCAATTTTTATATTTCTATTTTATGAACAAAGTAAAGTTCTCATTGCTGTAGATCTTCTATTATCACACACATTTCTATAGATTTATTTCCAGGTACCTTATATAATTAATGTTAAATAATATCATTTATAAGATTTCATTTTCTGTACTTTTTAGTGTTTTGTAAAAATACAATTGACTTTTGTATTTTTACATTTTGTTAACCTTGATAAATTCATTCATTAAATCTAAATGGCTTATATATAGACATACACAATTACGTTATTTGTGAAAAAGAAAATTTACTTTCCCTTTCAATTCCTACCTTATACTTACTTTATTTTATTTTATGTGTTGCCTGTTTATGCTGGCTGTGACTTCTCTTGTGATGATAAACCAAAAGTGTTAATATTTGGCATTCTTGCTTCTTTGTTTTTTTGTTATATTTGTTCTATTTTATTATTAGGTACTGTTGTTAACCTTTTACTGAACTTAATTTATTAATTGAACTTTATGATAGATAATTTAGGAAAAGGCTTAGGTTATTTTTGATCTTAGATGAAAAACTTTTTGTACTTGTATTAGTCTGTTCTTGCATTGCTATGAAGAAATATCTGAGACTGAGTAATTTATAAAGAAAAGAGGTTTAATTGAATCACTGTTCTGCAGGCTGTACAGGAAGCATGGCACTGGCTTCTGCTTCTCAGGAGGACTTCGAAAGCTTACAATCATGGAGGAAGGTGAAGCAGGAGATTGCACATCACATGGCAAAAGCAGGAGCAAGCGAGAGTAGGGGGAGGTGCCACACACTTTTAAACAATCAGATCTCCTAAACACAGATATAATTTTCTTCATTGCATTCTGTATTAGTTTGTTCTCAGACTGCTATAAAGAATTACCTGTGACTGGCTAATTTATGAAGAAAAGAGATTTAATTGACTCACCGTTCCACAGGCTGTACAGGAAGCATGGCTGGGAGACCTCAGGAAACTTACAATCATTGTAGAAGGTGAAGGGGAAGCAAGCACATCTTACCACGGCAGAGCAGGAGAGAGAGAGAGAGAGTGAAGATAGCCATACACTTTTAAACCATCAGGTCTCATGAAAACTCACTCACTATCAGGAGAACAGCAAGGGGGAAATCCACCCCCATGATCCAGCCACCTCCCACTAGTCCCCTTCCCTGACACAGGAGGATTAGAATTCAACCTGAGATTTGGGTGGGGACACAGAGACAAACCATATCACAGTCCTAAAAGTTTCAGTTACAAATTTGATGTATTTCTGTTTTTCCCTTGAAAAAGAGAAAAGACAGTGGGTCAACATGACCTACTAGTTTTCTTTGGCTTCATAACATATGAAGCAGCTTGAAACAACACAGATTCATTCTTTTCCAGTTTCAGTAGACCTGAAACTCAGTATACCATGACTGAGTATACTCAGTTCTCTGTTCAAGGTCTCACCAGGCTAAATATGCAGTGTGGGGGTTTCTTCTTCAAATTTCACTTTCTTATATTTTACACACGGTCCTTTTGATCTTCAAGCATCAGTGACATATCAAGTCTTTCTTGTGCTTTTAACTTCCCTCCCCACTGGCTGAAAAATTCTCCGTTTTAAGGTCTCAGGTGATTATATTAAATTCACCTAAATAATCTATTTTTGGCTATATAATGTAATGTGATTATGGGAGTGACACAAGGTAGTTCTGCCCACTATTAATCTGGTTAATCTAATTAATCTGGTTCTGCCAGATTAGTTTTCTGATTGATACCATTCATGGACGTGAAAACATTATGTTGAGAAAAATGTCTACGCATATATGAATTTGGAAGGGACCCACCTACATAATATAATTAAATATGTGGTACAGAAACGACAACTTGTTGTTCACAAAGTAACCTTCCTTCCTTCCCCACCCCATCTGACCTAATATAATCCAATAATTCTCTCCACTTGGCCTCTGGGACATTTATTTATTCACTTGCTTACCAAGTATAAACCACACTACATATCATAAATAACATAGGTAAGAAAAATAGTATCATGTTAAATGTTGTACTGGGAAACACAAACATTAGCTAGCTGTTTGAGTTATCCAGGTCTGTTAGATGGATTAAGCTACTTGAAGTATGACCTTATAGTTCTAACTTCTGCCTAGCATGCAACATGGAAAGCTCCATTTTAATAAAAAGTACAAACCAAGGTCAAATTTTCTGCATTGAGAACCACAGTCCTCAGTAATTAGTAATCTTATACAACAAAAGGATAACTCCAAGTACAGATTTCTAGCTGGGTGGAAGTGGTATGTTCTTGAATGTAATGGAGGAATGGCAAAATGAGATGTTTGAGATTAAACCTTAGTCACTTCACTTTTCTCTCATGTGACAACCATACATATAGTAATTTATAAACACAAGCATTCTTATTGATTAACAAGTGTGAGAAATTAAGAATTTTAGAACCGAAAACTGAGAACCTGAGTAGTTCTATAGGGTTCTTTAAAAACAAGACTTAACTACTATATTTTTGATGCAAAGAATTTAATAACTTTCAGTTTCTAGTTCATACATTTTAGTTTCAAATTACTTAGCATTTTCATGCTTGAGATAAACCTAAATTAAGTGTTAATAAGTATAAGTTTGCTAATATTAACTAATATTAGTTTAGTTGTGAAGAATTCATGGATGAATACCCCAAATAGACCTTAATTTATTTTCATTACATAATTTTAAAATTATTTCAAGACTTACACGTAGCCTATAAAAATCATTTTAAAAATTCACAATATTTAGGAAATATAACTATATTTATAATGGCAATTACTATTTAACTTTTTTACATTTTAGTTCTTGAAGGACTAGGTTGAAACAGTAAGTTCTCCTTAATATTGCAAGTATGACTTCCAAGTTACTTCTACTTGCTAGATTAATAAAATTTGTTTATGTTTGTATGACAAAGAATTAATATTTTACTGGTAAGAACATGAAAACATAAACTATAGACTGGGAGAAATTACTTGCAAGTCATATTTCTAATAAAGCACTTATATCTTGAAGATATAAAAATTCCTATAACTGTAATTCAATATTAACAAGAAAATTCCTTTAAAAAACACATTTAAAGAGAGACTTCTTCAAAGAAGATATAAAAATGGGCAGTGAGCACATTGAGAGATGCTAAGTATAGTTAGTTGTTTGAGGGATACATATATTAGGTTGGTGCAAAAGCAATTGAGGTTTTTGCATTGTTGAAATTTGTCATTTGATATTGGAATACATTCTTAAATAAATGTGGTTATGTTATACATCATTTCAATGTGTGTTTCTCACTTTATTCTTTTTTGCTAATGACTTCTTACTTGCTGTTTATTTTACATTTATTTTACACTTTTGAAATGATGCCAGACAAAAAGGAAATTTGAGCGATTTTCTTATTTGAGTTCAAAATGGGTCGTAAAGCAGCAGAGACAATTCGCAACAACAACAACGCATTTTCCCAGGAACTGCTAATGAATGTACAGGGCAGTGGTGGTTCAAGAAGCTTTACAAAGGGGATGGGAACTTTGAAGATGAGAAGCACAGTTGTCGGCCATCAGAAGTTGACAATAACCAATTGTGAGCAATCATTGAAGCTGATCCTCTTACAACTATGCGAGAAGTTGCCCAAGAACTCAACATCGACCATTCTATGGTTGTTTGGCATTTCAAGCAAATTGGAAAGGTGAAAAAGCTCGATAAGTGGGTGCCTCATGAGCTGACCAAAAATCAAAAAAGTCATTTTGAAATGTTTTCTTTTATTCTATCGAACAATGATGAAGCATTTCTCAATCGGATTTTGACGTGCAATGAAAAGTGGATTTTATATGACAACCGTGACAACGGGCGACCACCAGCTCAGTGGTTGGATCGAGAAGCTCCAAAGCACTTCCGAAAGCCAAATTCGCACCCAAAAAGAGTTATGGTCAGTGTTTGGTGGTTTGCTGCCGGTCTGCTCCACTACAGCTTTCTGAATCCTGGCGAAACCATTACATCTGAGATGTATGTTCAGCAGATCGATGAGATGCATCTAAAACTGCAATACCTGCAGCTGGCATTGGTCAACAGAAGGGGCCCAATTCTTCTCCACGACAACACCTGACCACACATCGCACAACCAACACTTCAAAAGTTGAACGAATTGGGCTACAAAGTTTTGCCTCATCTGCGATATTCACCTGACCTCTGACACACCGTCTACCACTTCTTCAAGCATCTCGGCAATTTTTTGCAGGGTAAATGCTACCACAACCAGCAGCATGCAGAAAATGCTTTCCAAGACTTTGTCGAATCCCTAAGTACGGAATTGTACACTACGGGAATAAGCAAACTTATTTCTTGTTGGCAAAAATGTGTTGATTGTAATCGTTCTTATTTTGATTAATAAAGATGTGCTTGAGCCTAATTATGATTTAAAATTCGCAGTCCAAAACCGAAAATGCCCTGCTACTTTCCACCCTCTGTGATGGCTATAATCAAAAAGACAGACAATGGGAAGTGCTGGTGAGGATGTGGGGAGATTGGAGTCCTTAAATGTTGCTACTCATTAAGTAAATTGACACAACCATTTTGGAAAATACTTTGGCATCTACTTAAAAAGTTAAACATTTACCATACAGTCTACCAATTCCACTCTTGGGCATCCAACCAATAAAAATTAAATTAATATATTTCCACAAATAAACTTGGATGTTAATGCTCATGGAAATATTATTCTTAATACCATAACTGGAAACAATTTAAATGTCCATCAGCACACTATAGCTTATCTGTCCAGTAGAATGTTATTCAGCAATGAAAAAGAGTAAAGTACTGAAACATAGCACAGTATGAATTATCTCAAAAATATTTTGCTAAGCTACAGAAGTCTGTTACAAAAGACTTATGCTGTATGATTCAACTTACATGAATTTCCCAGAAAAGGCAAATCTGTAGAGACAGACTCAGATCAGTTGTTGCCTGAGACTGGAGGTGAGAGCAGGAATTCACTTCAAATGGGCAGAATAAATTTTGGGGGGTAATGGAAATGTTCTAAAACTTGATGTTCGTGATAGTTGCACAACTCTACCATTGTGTTAAAAGCTAGTTCTTTACTTGCAATAAGTGCATCCTTATAGATGGAAATAATACTTTGTTATATAAAGTTATTTTTTAAAATATTGAATCAATTTCTCTCATATTCAGCTGGGAAACAGGTGCTCCAAATTTTTCATATCTTGGATCTTTGGCTAAATCCTCTTATTTGGCAAAGCTGTAGTATTTAATCAGGTAAAAACAAAACAATTTTCTCAAACGTCAGCGTCACCAGATGACAATGATATGAACTACACTTTCTTTAAATATAATTTTTTTTTTCCACGAGAAACAGTTTTTTTTTGTTTTTTTTTTTTTTTTTTTTTTGCTCTGCTCTGTATTTTGGGAGATTAGCTGAGAAGACCACTGTTTTCCATGCCCCGTAGATTTCCTTTTGAAGTTCTAGTCCCAGAGATCATGTGTGTATGTACGTGGCATAAAAATAAGAGTTGCTAATCATGCTGGAATCTGATCGAGGTGATAATATTTCTTTTCATACATAGCATATAGCAAATGATATTGTAAAAATATGGCTTACAATTTAAATCAAACAGAATTCTGGAAGATAGATAACCTTGCTAAAGTTCACAATCTTTGTTTAATTTAAAAAAATATTCATCCTATGAACATTTTAAAAACTAACTTCTACAATGGGATTTTTTAATAGCTTTCTCTAGGTTCAGTATTTTATTTTTATCACTATTTTTATTTGCATAATATAATATAATCAGAAATTTAAATTTCAAGTCCATAAACAAATAATTTGTAAAAGTTTAACAACCAATTTAACTTCCTATGTACAACAAATCTGTTAGTATTAAGAAGAGAAGTTGTAATTCATATTTACAAATTCGGTTACCTTTCTGACAAAATAAAAATAAAAATTCATTAACAGCTCTTATTGAGCAACAGTCTGTGGGCATCATCTATGTGCCAAGCCCACTCCTGAGTATTGGAGTTACAAATATTTCCCTTGTTTCAGTCCATGTGAACATAAGAGGAGTCAAGCAATTGTGCATAATGTGCAACCTTCAACTTCCAGCTGGCTTTTTACCTTCTCAATCAAACTGTCTTCTCCTGATATTCTGGATAACATTACTTTTCAGAAATTTAAACAAAATATATTTGGGAACACAAGAAAGCTCATTTAATTTAATTCCTTATAACTTGAGTTAATCACCAACATTTTTGCTTGCTGGTTATATGTGCTAAGTCTAAAATACATTACATTTTACATTCAAGAATATAAATATCTTACCACTCTTACAATGTACAGCTCATTCTAGTTTTTAATAATTAGATAAAGTTAATAAAATTTGGAATTACTTAAAATTAAAAGGCAATGACAGCAGGAAAGTGCAAATTGATTATGTAAAGAATATTGAAAGTACTTATTGGAGTAAATCTTTTAAATAAATAGGATCTATGAGCTGGACATATATTAAGCTTTCTGAAAACATGGTTATGTTTTCATTTCACTATAGTTTGGTTTCCTCCTAAAACAGCTTTGAATTCAAATAGGTTTGAATAAAACAAAGGCTTCATAATCAAACATGTAACAGTTATATTTATGTATGCAACAATGTCTTCGTTTCATGGAACACTGAAGAAATAAATAAATGTTTACCTTTCAATTCAGAAAGAATGAAACAAAGTGAAAACATATATAATATTTAATTAAGCTGGAAGAAAGCTTTACCAACATAACTTGCTTTTCTCCCTTTTCTCAATGCATAATATTTTCTAATTAAACCATAAAGTAAAGTTTCTTTATTTTATCAAGGGCCTTGTTCAGTTGTTCAGTTTATTTTCATTTCTGCTTTTATTGCTTGGCCTTAGGCCTATTTCTAAAATGCTTTTTTGAAATTAATAAAAAATATTTTTCTATCTTATAGTTTTTTTAATTCTAGTTGCTTTTCTGGATTGCCTTTTAACCAAGAATACTGTATTATCCCTGTCTATAGGAGATATATATATTAGCTTGCTCTGTTGAGAGTTTTGAAATTCATTGTAGTAGCAATTTCACCTGCCACAATGCCCTGCAACTTCAGAAAATGTCAGAAAACCTAATTAGTCTGATTTAGGGGCTTGTTAAAAGAAACGACCTTATTTGGTTTAAAATTATATGAAGATGTGAAGAGTTGACAATAGACAAAGAGATAATGTGAAAAATGTGCAGACCCTAGATGGAGATGCACCCAATAGCAACCCAATCAGATTGCCAGGTGTTCTGTGGTGTCAACTGATCAGAAATCAATCAAAATTTCTGAGAAAACATTTACAAAATCATATTTTGACAAATATAATATTATCCATTAATCTATTTCTGTGTTTTTCTTGAGAACAATGGATCAGAAAAGTAATAGATGTGGGAATATTATTATTCAGAATACCTTTTCACCAAACTGGAACAATTTAAAGTTTTCTCTCTTTTGTTTTCTTCAAATAATTGGCAAATAACTGTAATTGCTACAGATAATATATTACATCAAAATAGGAGTATATTTGATGCAAGAACCCATTTCAACTTATCATAGATTTTTTATGGCCCTGGAGGAAGTTATCACCTCATGGCAAGTTTTTCTCTTCCCTCCGCTTGCTCCTCCCTTGGTAAGAGGAATGAATGAATGATCTGCTTGCCAATGAGCAGAGACCAATATCACCTGAGCCATACAAATAGGCTAATACATAACTTTTTGAGCACATAAAACATAGACAACATAGTCTATAGGTGCTGTCTCTCTCTTTTCCTTCTTCCTTGTTTCATGGATTTTAAGAAGGGATCAGGCTGGCCCTTGATTTCCTCTAGTGGTTAGTAAATAGGCATGCTTTGGCAAGCCATTTTTTTCTCCAGCTTCCCTGGTTATTACTAAATTGATGAATCAGTGTTTGGTAGATCCCTGGGCTAAATTTGGCTATACAGGAAGACAACTTTGCTAGTATTAAAGATGGTAAAATATTTTGATCCAATGTTAATACCTTGCTCTCAATTATTTACAAATACTAAGTGTATAAATAATTAGTAACCCTAAACAAAGACAATTTAAGAAAGCTTTTCCGGAACATTCCACATCATTCTAGATACTTAAGAATATTTAATAAAAATTTTCAAAAAAGTAGATGTACTGATGGGTTATATTTTATAGCCTGACATGAATTATGCACTTTTTCAGAATTTAGTAAAGTTTATTTTGAACCTCAGTTAGTGTTCAGAATATTTGGCTCCAGATCAAAATTTCCCATATGTCATATGCCATTCAGTGCTCAAACTTACCTCCCCCACCAGCCCCCACAGAAATGATAAAGTGGAAAAATATGCTAACAACATTTGTGAAGTGCAGTGAACAAAATACGGTCATATTTTAAATATTTTAACAACTTTTTGATAAGTCAGAAATAATTTTGAAATACAATATTTAAAAAATGCATATTTTTGGATTCATAGCAGCCATGATGACTTCACCTGATGACTGCTACACTGATTTTTCAAGATAAGAAGAGACATTTACAATTTTTAAAATTGAAATTAAAAATTAAAAAAATTAAAAATAAAATACAAATAAAAAATAGACAAAACCAAAAAACAAAATACCTTACAAATATTTCTTATTGAATAAAAACAGCAATAATTTATATTTTCAAGATTTCTAGTATACTGTTTGAAGTTATTTGGGGAACTTTGTGATTCAAAATAACTTTTAATTAAAAACTAGTTGTTTTGGTGAATTAGTATTTTGGATAATTTAATATTTACCTTCTTTTAAAGAAGTCATTACTTTATAAAGTGAGATTCTGTGTTTCACTTTTTGAATTGGAATATTTGAGTAGTTATAAAGTTATGTAGGATCACACAAGATCATATGACAAAACAACTTATTACCAGAAGGTATTGCCCAAACCAAAAATTGAGTTGATATATTTTCTTTAAAATATCCTATATCCTATATTGTGATGGAGTAGATAAACTGAATAACCACGGAGGGCCAAAAACCAAAGCTTGAATGCCTTTATACAGCAGCAATTTATTATGAATCCAATATCTTTCCATTTTGATGCTGTTATTTGTGATGTGACTACACTCCTAGAATGGAAATTTGAAAGATAAATTACAAAATGTCAGACAGAAAATAAAATCAATAGAGAAGGCTTTTCCTTTTGGGTTCATTGTTTGTTTCTAATCAGAGTCAATTACTTTATAGTGCTCTTTTTGCTCTTTATCTTTTCTCATTTAGAAAACATCAGTGTAGCAGGTAAAGTCACCATGGCTGCCATGGATCAAAAATATATGTATTGTTTAAACATTTTATTTTGAAATGATTTCTGACTTTTTTTTCGTTCATTGTTTGTTTGCTTTTAACCAAAGTAAATTATCTCATAGTGCCTCTTTTTGCCCTAGAGGGGCAGTGTCATTTGATTATGTTACAATGAACCGTGACTTCTCATATTCTTTTTGTTCATATGCCCAATGATAGCATTGGATTAAGCCATCAGTTATTCTTGACATATATAACTTCCTCATTTTCTGAATGTTCTACAAAACTAACCTGAAAATAGCATATTTGTGTTATTTCAAATAAAGTATATTCCACATAAATATCCCTAATTTTCAAAAAGTCTGACATTTTCTAGGATGATATCCAAGGCGTAATTTCTCTAAGCCCTCTGTTGTTTGCAATTTAATAATCTTGCAATAAGTATATTATATAACACAGAGATTTAAAATGAAATAGATGGAAAAATATTGGATACTTTCACTACATAAATAATTCCAGTTTCAGAAATAATGACAGAGCACCAATAGTAGTCTCCTGTGAATTTTGAGTTGAATTACTGACTTAACAGTGTTTAATATGTCTAGTTAATATTATAAATGTCTAATATTTATAAGAAGTATTATGAATGAGCATTTAACACAACTGTATCTTAGTCATTTTTCTTGTTAAACAGAAATACACAACTCAGGATATGTACTATTATTAAATCATTAATTTCTAAATGAAGTTAAAATAATTCATTATATTCTGTTTTCATAGTTATTTGAGTTATGAGTACATAAATATCATTCAGATTAGAAGACATTCTGGATAATAATTTCTTTCTTAGAAGTTATGAATATGCTTTATATGATGCAGATAAAGTACTTAACACAGTATCTGTAACAGAGAAAGTGCCCAATAAATAGGTCAATATTTATTATTTTTATCTTATTACAAGTAAAACTTTAAATATTAGGTTGTCTTCAGGAAAATCTTAATGTACAAGCGTTCTTGTACATTCATAGCAGAGAAATGTAGATAAATGTTAAGCATCAAATAATTATAGTTGTAATTTAAATTCCACAGTGTAAACTTTAACATTTTGCATGAAGAAATAAATGCTTATTGTCAAAAGATGAAAACACTAGACATCCTCTGTTTGAGAAGTATACATATAGATTTTTAAAAATTAATTAACAGACTGTCTTCTGAGCAGTTTTAGGTTTACAATAACATTGGGCAAAAAGTACAGAGTTCCCATGTACTTCCTTCTTCATCATCCCTGCCCACAGTTTCCCCTGTTGTTAACCCTTTTTCCGTTAAGAAAACAAAAATGCATCTTGCTGCCAGTGCTCATTTAATTTTACATAAGCACACTCTTTGAGGCTGAAGCAATCTGACTGATTTTCCATGTGAAAATAAAATATAAAAACTATCATTGGAGTGATTTCTAAACAGAACTAATATCAAAATTGTCTGAATCATCAGAATTATCTATTTCAGAAAAATCAGATTTGTCAAATTAATCTTCAGCCAACAACTCTTCAGGAGTGATGCTAACATCAAGGGTAAGAATGCTACGTTTTCTTGCGTGTGACATTTTCTGCAATCGAAAATTACTATATTTTGTAAATAGATATACAACTACTAAAAACAAAATGCTATAAATAGAATGATATAGAATGATATCTTTTGTTTCCAAAGCCTATATAATGGAGGGATGTGAAAATAATAATAAAAGTGAGATATTACATGGATATTTCTTGGGGAAAACATGGCAGCTGCAAGAGCCCTGACAAGCATTCTCAGGGCAAATGGGAAAAGGGTTAGCATCTTGCATTGGTGTGGCACACTTTTTATAATCGATAGACTAATATTAATGTATTGTCATTAACTAAAGTTCATAGTTTACATTAAGTTTCACTCATTATGCTCTATGGTTTTTGGCTTTTGACTAATTCATAGTATCATGTATTCACCATTACAGTATCCATACAAAATGTTTTGCTGCTCTCTATATTTTTATTTTTCTTCAGTTCTTAGTGCTTTATTCTCTAAAATCAGCTGGGTCTTACTGTTGGTCCAAGAAATATGTCGTTTTCCTTTTTGAAATCTTCAAATAGTTAGAAATTCTGTCTACTGAGGCTCATCCATACTCACTGTACTTACATGTCAGCAGCATATAACTGTAATTTTTCACAGTATTACACTGAAAGGTTTATAGGTACATAGATCAGTAAAGATGTGTGTGAAGGAGATATTGTGCTTCTGAAAATTAAGGAAACACTAATAACCAAAGTTAAACCATGAATTTCATTTCATATTCATAAAATCATTGATACTCTCACAACCATAAACACATCCACTATTTATTAAGGAATTAATATTTTCCAGTTACTCTGGTAGGTATTTTATATTTATATGTGTGTATATATATTATATATACATATATTATATATATTATATATACATATATTATATATTATATAAACATATATTATATATATTATATATACATATATTATATATTATATATACATATATTATATATTATATATATTATATATACATATATTATATATTATATATACATATATTATATATAATATATATACACACACATATATATATATTTTTCTAAAACTCTTACAATCTTGCAGCATGTGTTTCCAAATTTACAGATTAGGAAATATTTTTTCAATTATGGTGCTCATAAAAGTTAAACATTTCATCCAAAGACAGAAAAACCGAAAAATCAAACTGAAATATGCCTGATTCCAGGGCCTCTGAACTTTGCATTATATCCTGCAACCTAGGAAAAACACAGTTATAGAAACGGAGAGGTGAAAAAGAAGAGGTGGAAGAGGAAAAGGAGAAGAAGGGAGAGAGCAACAAAAATATAGAGGAAAAATCAAAAGAAGAAGAAAACGACAGAGAAAAAAAAAAAGGAGAAGGAAGAGGAAGGAGAGAAAGAAGTCC
Organism: Homo sapiens; assembly: GCF_000001405.40. Classification (NCBI taxonomy): domain Eukaryota; kingdom Metazoa; phylum Chordata; class Mammalia; order Primates; family Hominidae; genus Homo; species Homo sapiens. The sequence goes on along the minus strand of NC_000006.12, from coordinate 141,678,194 downwards.
AGTAATACACATTGATTATACCCATATTTCAGAAAAAACCTTTAACTTTATCCGAATTTATAAAAACATGTCTGAATCCATAACATCATTTATGAGTATACTGCTCATTTGCATTGGCTATAAAAATTACCTCCTGAGTACCTATGCAGTCTGTTGAGTTTCCTGCAACATAGTGTAAGTAGGCTGCAAGACAAACCAGAACTCAGTAATTCCTCTCAGAAATACTGGCTTTTTAGTTTTTATTTCATAAAAATGTGGAGGGAGAGGAGACGGAGAGAGAGACAGGGAGAGAGAGAGAGAGAGAGAGAGGATCTTTAAAATATGAAATGGCATTTTCACATTTTAAAAAATGTTATGTCCTTATTCCTTCCTTTTCCCTCCCTTACTGAGCCCCCTTGTGGTAGTATCTGTAAGTTGTCCCTTTGGGACAGCTTTTTAAAGGGTTTCAAGTCTTTGTTTTCCTGCATGCACCATACTGCACTTTATAATTCAAATAATAATTCACCGCTAAAGGAAAAAATAATTCATATTATTTTCTTTTAAAATTATATTTATCTTTTTTTTTCTTTGAGACAGAGTCTCGCTGTGTTGCCCAGGCTGGAGCGCAATGGCATGTTCTCTGCTCACTAGAACCTCTGCCTCCCGGGGTCAAGCGATTCCCCTGCCTAAGCCTCCTAAGTAGCTGGGATTACAGGCTTGACCCATTACACCCGGATCATTTTTGTATTTTTAGTAGAGACGGGGTTTCGCCATGTTGGCCAGGCTGGTCTCGAACTCCTGACCTCAAGAGATCCGCCCGCCTCGGCCTCTCAAAGTGCTGGGATTACAGACATGAGGCACAGCGCCCGGCCTTATCTTTTAAATATATAAATATACCTGGCATTTTAAAATATATATGATGGTTCTGTTGTTGAAATTCACATATAAACATCTATGTATACGTATATATATGCACACACACAAACACACACATATACTCACAATTTTAATTTAGTATTAACTATCAATGAAATGAAAAATACCATTGGAAAGTGTTAAGGCCATAAGAGATTCAGCTAAAATACAAGTATAAATTAGGTACGTTTGGCTAGAATTTATAGCAGGATAATAATTTTCCTCAAGGTTGTATTTTTTGTGTTGTTATTAATGGTTTCTTAACAGACATCAAAAGCATCACAGACAGCTTCATGGTATAATTTATAGAATGGCCTGGGGAAATTTTCCTCTTAGCAAACATAAAGACTGAGAGAACCACCACACAAAAAAACAAGAAAAAAATATATATTGCTAAGTATTGCATTTGCTAGCAAGTAGATCTAGTATCTTTCAAAGTTCCTTGACTTCTTTTCCTTCTTCCCTTCCCCTTTCACCAACTAGGTTCCATTCCCAATGGGACTTGCTTACAAATGCCAATATCTTTAATTTTTTTACTCATGGCTAGAGATTTTAAAATATTTTGAAATATTTCAAAACTTAAAAACTATGATCATTAGGGAAAGAATTTTGGTACTCAAGAAGCTGGTATGCTTTGTGCATTTATCAAACATCTTTTAATTAAAAATTTGGCACTGTCCAAGGTCTTCATATAATGTATACTATATGAGAATGCAAAAGTGATAGAACTTGTTCCACAAGAAGGCCGAAAATATGAAATAGGATAGAAAAATGAAATATTAAAGTTTACTGCACAATGTTAAGTTAAAATATTGTTTTCTGGAATTTTATTTCAACTGTGTGTATGTGGGTGCATATGCATGTATTATGGGTCACAATAAAAAATTTTTACTACAGGTCATTTTCAAAATATTTGAATATCAGTGCAATGCACCCTAAGTATATAATAATACTGCTCCATATTAGACAAAAAGCAAAGTAGTTACTTGAATGGCTAACGTTATTAGTCAAGATTAGAATGGCTCAGAGACATGGTATAGCAGCTGAAAGTTATTATACTCTTCAAGATTATTCAAAATCTGTAGTTTCCCTTTGAATTTGAAATGCATCCTTATTTGATAGTTCATGTCTTTCCTGTTGGTGGCACTGTGCACATAGGAGTTATGAAAAACTTATGGGAAAGACCACTTTATTTATAGCTATAAATTCACCATTTGAATGATGCCTGTCTTTTTAAAAATTCCAGAGCAGCACTTTACTGTTCTCAGAACCATGATATTCCAATCTTTTCTAAAATACATTTCTGTGATATCCCTTACTTAATACTCATTGGCAATATGGAGATTCCTGTGAATTCAGCTGAACTACATTTTAAAAACTACTGAATCTTGTTTGCCTAACTTCTTACCAAATTTTTGGTGAAAAATAGTCATTGTTCTCTATATTAGGCTTCCATGACATGGTCTATAATAACAGTTTAAAAATGGCAAAAATCCTTAAAATCAATGAAGAAACATCAGCTTTGTGATCTACCTATGTGCTTTATCAATTTCTTTCTGTTGTTTTGTATTCATTTTTTTATAACAAGGAAACTATACACTGAAAAAAAATTGGAAGCTGTCAAGAAAATATTAGAAGGTACTTTCTAGAATCTCGATTAAGGTCTGTGAATGAATATGTAGCCCTCCAGTGAGATTTAAACAGGATAAAAGGAATTGATCTGGTACAGCTAATTGAGAAAATGCTGGAGCATCGAGATTCAAGCAAAATAGATTTGAGCATTTATATAATATGAGAGGTGGCCTTAAACAGACACTACCCCAAAACGAAGTTTATGTTATGTGCACTACCCATTACAAATGATGTTTGGTTGTGAATTTCTGCTGTTGGATCTTAAAACAATAATACAAGTATCTACACGAAATATCAATAATGTATTAGTTACATGAACTGAAGATCACATTAGCAGATTTAAGAGAGTATCAGATTCTTCAGTCTATGTGTGAGCATTGCAATTTCCTTTATAGAACAATATTTTTATTATATTTCTTTTCCTTAATCATTTCATCTATATTAAAAACATTTTAAAATTTTCTTAGGCTTTTAACAAAATCAATTGGCTCACATGAACAATATTTTTCAACAACTGAGTTATTTTAAATGCAAAGAAAAGAAACTCCCACTTAAAATCTGCTCATTTCAGCAAGGCAAATGAGCAGCACAGATAAAATCTAAAGCACGTGCCAAAAAAAAAATCAGATTTTACTGTATTCTACCAAAGCTGTTCTTCACAATTCCTTGAAATAATTAAACCTCTATTCGTGCTGATATCAAGATCACCAAATTAAAAATAATCAAAACTTAGCGGCATACCTATATTTAATTATGCATTATTCTATTTTCTAGAAAGCAATCGTTATGGATGGAATGTTTATGTCTCCCCCAAATTTATGTATCGAAATCTAATCTCTAATGTGATAATATTTAGAGGTGGTGAGGTACTTAGGTCATGAGGATGGAGCTTTTGTGAATGGGTGCCCTTGCAAGGAAGTCCAGAAAGCTAACTCTCTCTTTCTACCTTGTGAGGACAGAGAGTAGGCAGTCTATAACCTAGAAGAGAGTCTTCACCAAAATCCAGCAGGCTGAGTCTACAGTCTAGAAGAGGGTCTTCATCCAAATCGACCAGGCTGATACCCTGATCTGGAGCTTCTACCCTCTGGAACTGTGAGAAATAAATTTCTGTTGTTTATAAGCCACTCATTCTATGATACTTTGTTAAAGCAGTCCAAACTGTTTAAGATAGTAATATTTAGATATAATTTATCTGTAATTATATTGACTCTTTTTTGTATCATAGAAAACAATGTTGATTCTTAAGGACACAATAATTAATTTGACAAAAGAATCAATAGGTGGATAAGAGTGTATATAAGCATGATTTTGAATAGACCACCAATAAAATCCCTAGGGAAATACAGGGTAGCTTATGTTTGATTTTAATACACTTACCAATTTTGTTCAGATGTCAGTTATCTACTGTTTTGCTCAACAGAATTATATTCTATGAAATTTTACTGAATTCTGTCATCTTTAACTGTCATCCTGAAGACAAATATTTCTAGTTATTAAGACCCACGTTTAGTGTTCGTTTAATGGTGCTTTGTTTTATAAAAAAATTAATAGATATTTTTAAAGCAGTTTATTTAACAGCAAAATTGAGCAGAAAGCACAGAGTTCTATATATCCCCTGCTCTACATATGCATAGCCTCCCCCACCATCAACATCCCACACCAGAGAGGTACATTTGATACAGCTGATGAACCTACATTGACACATCTTTACCTCCTGGGGTCTATAGTTGACATTAGGGTTCTCTCTTGCTGGTGTAGTTTCTATGGGCTCAGATAAATGTGTAATGACATTTATACATCATTAGAGTATCATATGAAATATTTTACTGCCCGAAAATCCTTGTGTTCTGTTTCTTATCATCCCCTCCCTCCTAGCTCCTGGGAACCACTGATCTTTTTATCATTTCCACAGTTATAAATTTTTCCAGAATGTCATATATTTGGAATCATATGGTACTGTAGCCTTGTAAGACTACTAGACTCTTTTACTTAGTAATATACATTTAAGTTTCCTCTGTGTCTTTGTATGGCTTGATAGCTAATAATTTTCAATGCTGAATCATATTCAATTTTCTGGATATAACACAGTTTATCCATTTGCTTATTAACGGACATCATCTATTAGAATATACAAGTGCACGTGCCTTTTTGGTAGAAAGATTTATTTTCTTTTGGATATATACCCAATAATGGGATTGCTGGGTCAAATGGTAGTTGTGTTTTAAGTTCTTTGAGAAAATCTCCAAACTGCTCTCCCCAGTGGCTGAACTAACTTACATTCTCACCAACAATGTATAAGCATTCATTTTTCTCTTCAGCCTTTCCAGTATCTGTTATTTTTTGACTTTTTAATAAAAGACATTCTGACTGGTGTGAAATGATATCTCATTGTGATTTTGATTTTCATTTCTCTGGTGATTGGTGTTGATGAACATTTTTTCATATATTTTTTGACTTGTATGTCATCTTTTGGAAAGGGTTCATACATGTGTTTTGCCAATTTTATAATGGAAATAATGGAATTATTTGTTGAATTAAGTTCCTGATAGATTCTAAATCTGAGACCTTAGTCAGCTGCACAATTTGCAAATATTTTCTCCCATTCTGTAGCTTGCCTGTTTACTCTGTTGATAGGTTTTTGTTGTTGTTGTTTTTTGTTGTTATTGTTTTATTTTGTTTTTTGTTTTTGCAGTGCAGAAGCTTTTTAGTTTAATTAGGACCCACTTGTCAATTTTCGTTTTTATTGCAAATGCTTTTAAAAACTTAGTCATAAATTCTCTCCCAAGGCTGATGTCCAGAATGGTGTTTCCTAGGTTTTCTTCTAGCATTCTTATAGTTTGAGGTCTTACATTTAAATCTCCAATTCATCTTGAATTAATTGTTGTCTATGGTGAAAGGTAGGGGTCCAGCCTCATTCTCATACATATAACTAGTCAGCTGTCTCAGCACCATTTATTGAATAGGGAGTCCTTTCCCTATTGCTTGTTTTTGTTGACTTTGTTGAAGATCAGATGGCTGTACATGTGCAATTTTATTTCTTGGTTATCTATTATGTTCCATTGGTCTGTGTGTCTGTTTTTGTACCAGTTTCATGCTATTTTAATTAATGTAGCCTTATAGTATAGTTTGAAGTCGGCTAATGTGATACCTCCAGTTTTGTTCTTTTTGCTTAGAATTACTTGGTGATTTTGGCTCTTTTTTGCTTCCATATGAATTGTAGAATAGTATCTTCTAAATCTTTGAACAATAACATTGGTAGTTGATAGAAATATCATTGAATCTGAAGATTGATTTGGGCAGCATGGTCATTTCAACAATATTGATCTTTCTAATCCGTGAGCAAGGAATGATTTTTTTGTTCGTTTGTGTCATCTATGATTTCTTCAGTGTTTTGCAGTTCTCCTTATAGAGATATTTTACCTCCATGATTAGATGTAATTCTAGGTGTCTTTTTGTGTGTATGGCTATTGTAAATGGGACTGCATTTTTAATTTGGCTTCCATCTTGAACTCTATTGGTGTATAAAATTGCTACTGATAGTGTATATTGATTTTGTGTCCTGAAATTTTACTGAAGTCATTTATCTGTTCCAGGAGCCTTTTGGAGGAGTTTTTAGGGTTTTTCTAGAGGTAGAATAATATCATGAGCAAAGAGCCGTAATTTGACTTCTTTTCCTATTTGACACATTTTATTTATTCTTCTTGTGTTATTGCATTATCTATGACTTCCAGTATTATGGTAAACAAGAGTGGTAAGAGTGGACATTATTGTCTTCTTCCAGTTCTCAAGGGAAATTGTTCAAGTTTTAGTCCATTCAGTATGATGTTGTTTGTGGGTTTGTCATAGATGGCTCTTATTGTTTTGAGGTATGTTTCTTCAATGCCTAGTTTGTAGAGGGTTTTTATCATGAAGGGATGCTGGATTTTATCGAAAGCTTTCTCTGTGTCTATTGATATGATCATTTGATTTTTGTTTCTAATTCTGTTTATATAGTGAATCACATTCATTGATTTGCATATATTGAATCAACCTTGCATTCCAGAAATGAAGCCTATTTGATTGTGGTAGATTAATTTTTTGATGTGTGGCTGGATTTGGTTTGTTAGTATTTTGTGGAGGATTTTTACATCTATGTTCATCAGGGATATTGGCCTGTAGTTTTTGTTGTTGTTGTTATGTCTTTGCAAGATTTTGGTCAATCTTGAATTATGTTTCATGTGTAGATGAGAAGGATGTATATTCTGTGGCTGATAAGTGGAGTATTCGGTAGATGTCTATTAGGTCCAATTGGTTAAGGGTCTAATTTAAGTCCATCTTTGTTGGTTCTCTGCCTCAATGATCTGTCTAATGCTGTAAGTGGGGTGTTGAAGTCTCTCGCTATCATTGTGGGTTGTCTAAGTCTTCCCAAAGGCCTAGAAATTTTTTTCTTCTGAACTTCGCATTCCAGTGTTGGGTGCATATATATTTAGGCTAGTTAAGTTTTCTTGTTGAATTTACTCCTTCACCATTATGTAACGCCTTTCTTTGTCCCTTTTTACTATTACTGGTTTAAAGTCTGTTTTTTCTAAAATGAGGATTGCATCTTCTTCTTTTTTCTGTTTCCCACTTGCTTGGTAGATTTTTTTCCCATCCCTTTATTTTGAGCCTGTGGACGTCATTCCCTGTGAAATGAGTCTCTTGAAGACAGCAGAAAGATGGGTCTTATTTTTTATCCAACTTGCAACTGTGCCTTTTAAGTGGGGCTTTTAATATTAGTATGTGAGATTGTGATCCTATTTTGAAGCTGTTAGATGGTTCTTTATAGTTTCTATTGTGTGGTTGCATTATAGGCTATGTAATTAAAGTATGTTTTTGTGGTAGCAGTTATCTTTCTTTCATTTCCATATGTAGAACTCTTTTAAGTAAGAATCTCTTGAAATGGTGGTTGAATGGTAACAAATTCCCTTACCACTAGCTTGACTGGAAAATATTTTATTTTTCTTTCACTTATGAAGCTTCGTTTGTCAGAGTATGAAATTCTTGTTTGGAATTTCTTTTTTTTAAGAATGCTGAAAGTAGGCCCCCAATCTGTCCTGGCCTGTTAGGTTTCTGGTGAGAAGTCCATTGTTAGCCTGATGAGGTTTTCTGTATGTGATCTTTTTCTCTGGCTGCTTTTAAGAATTTTTCTTTAGTGTTGACCTTGGACAGTCCAGTGACTCTATGCCTTGGTGATGTTTGTTTTGCATGGTATCTTGTAGATATTCTATGGGTTTCCTGAATATCTACCTCTCTGGAAGCATTAGGGAAATTTTCCTGAATTAGTCTCTCAAATTTGTTTTCCAGGTTGTTTAAATTTTCTTCTTCTGTCTTAGGAATGCCACTACCTTGTAGATTTGTTCACTTTACATAATCCCATATTCCTCGAAGACTTTTTCACTAAAACTTGGTTTTTTTTTTTGTTTTATTTTGTTTTGTTTGTTTGTTTTTATCTGACTGGGTTCATTCAAGAGACTGGTCTTCAAGTTCTGAAATATTTTTTCTGCTTTGTCCAGGCTATTGTTAAAGCTTTCAATTTTATTTTGAAATTCCTTGTGTTTCTCTAGAAGCTCTGATTGATTTATTTTTATTATGTTTATCTCTTGAGCTTTCTTGCAATCCATGCTTTGGATTTTTTTTTTTTGAGACAGAGTCTTGCTCTGTTGACCAGGCTGGAGTGCAGTGGCATGATCTCAGCTCACTGCAATCTCTGCTTCCTGGGTTCAAGCGATTCTCATGCCTCAGACTTTCAAGTAGCTGGGGCTACAGGCATGTGCCACTACACCCAGCTAATGTTTTGTATTTCTTTATTTAGTAGAGATGGCATTTCACCATGTTGCCCAGGCTGGTCTTGAACTCCTGGACTTAACTGATCCACCTACCTTAGCCTCCCCAAAATGCTGGGATTACAAGTTTGAGCTACTGCACCTGGCCTATGCTTTGAATTATTTATCTGTCTCTTCTGAGTTTTCATTCTGGTGTTGGACTACTGCTGGAGAGTGAGTGTGGTCCTTTGTTCATGTCACCATATTCAGATTTTTTTATGGTGCCAGGATTTTTGCACTGGTTCCTTCTCATTTGGAGATGTTGGTACTTCTACCTTTTGTAAAATTTTCATGTGGATAGGATTTTTCTTTTCCTTTCTTTCCCTATAATACTATTGCTTTTTTTCTCCTTTTCCTTCTCTTCTCCCGAGGGGATGTGACTGTAGGGAGTGTTCGGTAAGGCCTTTTGGCTTTGCTTCTATAGCCCTATGTACTTCTTTTGGCAGGATTTATATTAGGCTGTGTGGTTTGACCTACGAGTCAGTAGATGGTGCTTACGGGTAAGAACCAGCTGTGGTCAACCCGGCTCGGTATATACTTGATTCTTACTTACTGGGAGAAACTCTCTGTTGCCTCAGGCAATGGGCTAATCTCTGGGGTGCACAGTGGCCTGAGCTCCCTGGCTAGACCCCAATTGTGGCAGTGGGCCATATAGGTGAGGCCAGACCAGGAACGTTCACCTATTGGTGCCCTAATGGCAAGCACAAGCACAAGCACCAGCACTGAGAGATCATTCAGTGGGAAAGCACCAAGTGCCCAGCGGTGTGCTTAGCCTAGGAGCTGGGAAACCTCCTTGGCTCCATGTTTCCTACATTGGGGGTTGGTCACCTAAACTCCTAATCCATGAAAGTAGGTGCTCCAGATGCCTGGAGATCTACCTGGATGTGCAGCATAGGGGGCTCTGCTGCACCATAATGTCTGCACAGGAAAGGTGAGGTGGCTCGGGCTGCTAAAGTGGATGGGTGCTATAATACTTGAAAATATGTCCGGGCATGTGGCAGAGAGGGTCCCACTGTACCAGTCTTTTCACAGGTAGGGTGGAGCAGCTCAGGTTGCTGATACAGGCAAACAGGTGCTCTGAATGTCTGTAGATCAGCCTGAGCATGGAGCAGAAAAGTTGTCACTGCACTGAAACCTCTGAACAGGAATGATAGGGCAGCTTAGGCTGCTGGTTCAGGTGAGTGACTGCTCCAGCTACCCGGGCATGGAACAGAGAGGTACCCCCTGCACCAAGATCTCTGCACAGGACAGGTGGAACAACTCAGTGTGCTGAACCAGGAAAGCAGGTGTTCCAAATGCCTGGAGATCTGCCTGGGTGTGGAGAAGAAAGAGCAATACTGCTCCCAGATCTCTGCCCAGGAAGGGTGGGGAGGCACCAGCTGCTGATCTAGGTGAGTAGATGCTCTGAATGCCTGAGGATGTGCCTGGGCGTAGAGCAGAGAGGTCTCACTGCAACATAATCTATGCCCAAGAAGGGTGGAGGCTGCTAAGACTGCTGGCCCAGGGAAACATGTGCCCCAAGTGCCTGGATTTCTGCTTGAGGATGGAGCAGAAAGGCCCTGTTGCATCACAAACTCAGGGGAGCAGGCTGGAGCATCCGATAAAGCAATACACAGACTAGTTCCAGGTTGCCAAGCTGGCCCTGCCTGCAAGTCTCATTGTCTAGGAAAAAGCACAGCTGCAGCAGTCCTCCTCCTGCCCCAGGCCTGTGACAGAGAAAACATAATTCCAGTGTCTACTGTTCAGGCACTTCCCACAGTTTTGGCTGTGGAGAGCCCTACTCTGCTCTAGAGCAAGTGCTTCAGTTTTTGGCAAGAGACTAAAATGTCTGTGTGACCATGCTGCTAGGTCGTCAAAGAATGACTGACTTTGTATGTGCCTAGATTAAAAATGACATCCTGCTCTCAGTCCAAGGGCTGAAAAAATGCCTGCAGATTTTCCCACGTTGTTTCCCCCTCTGTGCCTCCAAGCCACTCCTCACATTAGCTCCAGGACTTGGAAGGAACAAAGTGTTGTCTCTTGGACTGTGTTGCTTGAATCCCCAGTGAAAAGGTGAGTCACAGAGGGAGACTGTCTGCTTCTCTCATGTACTCTGGCTTCACTCCCTTTTATCAGTCAGATGCCATCACAGGGGCTTGTTGGCTCATGTTTTCCCAGGGATCTGGGATATCCTTCAGTATTCTGATGGATTCCCATTTTCCTTCTTGAATTAAAACTCACAGAGTTTATCTTTCTGCACTGTCTTGGTATTTCCAAGTGGCTGAGGCATGTTAAAAGCCTCCAATCCACCATCTTGAAAAAATAACATACTATCTTGACTTTTAGAACAATGGCAAAATACTGAGAGGCATAATGTACAATTATCAGTACAAGCAAAATCAGTCTCTAACTGTCAATTTTGTGGTCCTGCACTATTGAACCTGAGCTTTGGTTCCCCAGTTGCTTCTGCCCATCTCTAGTTCTAATTATTCTATTTGATGTCCTCCATTCTCACTCCTAATTCGCACCTGGTTAAAATTCAGATTAATGATGTAACAATTTTCCCTTTGACCTACCTGAAGACATTTTTCCTCTTTAAGTGTATTAAGGGTAATATAAATGAAGCCATTTGCACTTTTAGATATTATTATTATTCTAAACTGTTAGGATAGATGGAAAAGTAGAGTTTCCAGGAAGTCTAATGACCAGCATAGGCTATGAAAAAAAAATAATAAAAACAGAGACAGACAGACAGACAGAGACAGAGAGAGAAGAGTTATTCTGATACAGAAGAAGTCAATAAGAGAGGTAGTTTTATTTTATTAATAGCATTCACCAGGATAATGTTTATTCAGTCATTCATCCCACATATATTTAGACATGTTGATGAATAAATGAGAAAAAAAAATAATTGGCCCATGTGCTTTGGGCTTTAAATTCTATAGGGGAATAAAGACATTACATCAGTAATTACAAATGAGGTAAAAATGAAAAGGAAAGAAATAGTTAAGAAATTTGTAGTAGAAAACCTAACCTAGTGTGATCAGAGATAGACTCACTGAGAAAGTGACAGCAATTGTGAAGGCCTGGAGGCAGGAAAGAATGTGTCCTTCTTCACAAATTAAAGGATGTCCATTGTGTTTTCAGCTTCACTTGTGAGTGAGAACTTGACATAAGATTGGGCTGGATAAGAAGTCTGAGAATACACCATATATCATGGAGGCGTTATAAGCCCAGTGTAGGGATTTCACTTGGGATCTAGGCATAACTAGAAACCATATGAAGGTATTATTCAAGGAAGTAACATGATCAAGTCTGAGCTAATCTTGGCAGCACTTTGGAGAAAAGAGACAAATTTTAATTAAGTAATCAAGACAGAGATTGGAGTGTTTATAACAAATGTAGTGGCAATAGAGCTGTTTAGAAATACAGAGTAGACTGGGTAATAATTTACAAAGTGAACACAGCAGTATTTGGTGATTGACCAGGTGTGTTTAAAGAGGGAGGATAGCAACAAAAAACATGGGACAATCAATGTAGAGTTGCTTAACTTAAAAATACAGGATATTCAGCTAAATTTGAATTTCGGAAAAATAATGAATTTTTTTAGCATGTGTATGCTTTTTGTACTGTTTAAGATTTGCCTATACAAAAGTATTTACTCTTTCCCTGAAATTTGAATTTAACTGGGCATTCTGTTTTATTTGGCAACCCTCTATCTGTGGAATTAGAAATTTATAAAAAGGTGAATAGTTGGTCTCATATACTAACTTTGTTAATGAAAAAGTTTAGTAGGAGGTGCCAGTATGATATTCAAGAGGAAAGTCAGAGTAGGTTTTTTAGAGATATGGATCTAGATTTCAAGTGAAAAGATTCTTGCTGTGATAGTTCTCTTGCTATACCAAATAAATCCTAAAAGAATAGAAATAGGTAATCTTTTTTTCTTGTATAGTATATGGAGTGAGAACAAGATAATATGGGAGACAAACAAAATTTAAAGGCTGGATAGAAAAATGATTCACTATTCAAGAACTTAGGAGCCTTGTATGAAACAGGGCAATCAGGAGACCTAGTAACACAAAATCCCAGTTATTTGAGAAGGAGAGATTGTTACAAGAGTCAAAAGCTCTCCTATTCCTTTCATTGAGCTATTATCACTTCTGTAGGTCTATCTTTATCCCAGTGTGCAGTAGGTGTTGCTAGTTTCCCTGCCATATCCTTATCATTTCAGTGCAAAATTGTTGGATTCCCAACTGCCTGCATCTGTATCTCTTTTCCTATGAGCAAAGTATATGTAACCCCCGCAGAGACCACTCAGAGTTCAGCCTCATAAAGGGTCAAAAGTGCTGAGGAAGAATGGCTTCCCTTTACCCCACTATGGGAGCAGCTCCCATCCAACAATTGCTGGGAGTTGGTGTGTAAATACAGCTATGCTGTCATTAGTTATGAAACTCATATTCTTCACTGACTCTCAAAGTTCTCTGGTTCTCATTAGGTTCCAAGTATTCCCAAGGATAACTTGCTTGGTAAGATACTTAGTCTTCTTTCATTTTCTATGTCACTTCTCACTCCTTAACAAATGTTTTCTGAGATCTGCAACCAAATAAACTAGTCCTTCCTTGGGATCTGAATCTGGCGAAAATCAAGCTAAGATGCAGTGCTTTGACAGAAATTTGTTTTTCTTTCTTTAGTCAAAATCACAGGGATAATTTGAAAACGTTAAAATTTATCAGGCCATGAAAGGTTCTAAGAAATTCTGGACATAAAACTTCCTGTATTTCCCATTTGTGCAGCCTTCCCCCAAAACACTGAGACATTGAGAACACTCCTGAGCATCCAGCAACCTGTCTGTAGTAGACCTATCAGGGGTTCCTGCCCAAGCAAAAGAGGAAAAGAAAATTACAAGTGCAATCTAGGTAAATGTCAAGGGTTGATTTGATAGTCTTTGGGAAAAGTTTGAGAGCACTTTCATGCAATCGAGTTCAGCTCCTTTCCCTAGATCAGGCAATGAGAAATACAATCTCAAAAGTATTTTGCCATTTTCAAGATTGTTGAGTGTGGCTACTCTAAAATGAAAAGGCATGAGTGTCTAAGAGTTTACAGATTTGATAGCTCCATTATATGAATGGAATACGTCGCCCTAAAAGCCAATAGAACAGAATGTTTTAATAAGAATGAAGTGCTAAATTCTGAGAAACACTTCTGAGAGATTAACAAAATCAAAATATGTACTTCAGATTTGGCTGTAGGAAGGCCATAAGATTTTCAGAGAAAAAGTCAAGGGAAAAATAATCTAAATGTTTCCAGAAAGAAAAGTAAGATAACCTAGAAAAGGTACAAGAATCCAACTGGAATCTTATTATTCCTCAGCAATAATAGGTGCTAGAATAGAGTGGATGCTGTAATACACTCTTAGAGATTCTAAGGGGAAATGATTTTTAAGCTTAAATTATGTAAACAGTCAGGCTTTTGGTTAGTTTTTTTCAGACACCTAGGGGATCAAAGTTGTGGAATTTGTCTTTTTAGGGATGTCACTTCAACAAGTATGGGAATAAAACAAAGTGAAAATCAAGAAAAGTTCAGTAAAGAAAAATCTCAAGATAGTATTCTGCAATTGACCTAGAAAATAAGAGGTACAACTTAGAACAGAAAATCAGTGGATTTCTAAAAAAGATATGTTTAAGAAGATAGTAATGAATTTCAGTCCACAAAAAGAATGAGCAAGCACTAGAGATTATTGGTGATATAGAGAATGAGGTATATAACATTTTTCAATATTAAAACAAACTACTAAGGAATCTTTGAAATTTGGAGGAGGGACTTGAAAAAAATCTTAGTGCAAATGTAAAATCAAATAAATGTTTAAGTAATGTATAAGTAGTTAAAACATTTTCTTTGATGAAGTAAATGTATTGTTTGAAAATTAGCAAAGGAAGTGAGTTAGCTCTGTAATCAACAATATTTCTATAATCATAATAAGGTCAATATCACTCATTTTTTCAACTTTTAGATTTAACCTATCAATAGAGCAGAGAAAAGTTGATTATGATTATAAAATATAAATATGAATCTCAAAAAGGAAATATAAAATATAACTAAAATAAACTTAAAATGAAATTCTGTGGAAAGGTAGAAAGAAAGGTGAAGATGCTGTAATCTTTGTTTAAAAGTGGACTAGAAGAGCAATATGTTTTCTGTTTTTTTTTGTTTTTTTTTTTTTAGGAAAAAAGCATGGTGGTAACCAATATGCACAGCCAAGTAGTGAAGGCCCAATTGAAAATACAGGAGAAAGCAAAATGGCCTAAGAGCAACCTCTTTGATAAAGTAGAAAAAGTGAAATTTGGAGCATTTAAAATATTTTCACTAACATCATGAAAGCCAAACAAACACTACTATAAAAAAATCCTCCAGTTTGCGTAATCTCTATTTGATTACCCTAGCTGAGAATAACTGTTTTATTCCAAAGAGGATGATATTATACAAATAATACTGCTGTTTCCCCATTTGTTTTTCTTGGGATTTATGGTAAACTTGTGAGAATATAAGAATATATGTCCTGGAAAGTGTTCTCCTCTGTCTTCATTGAAATCTCAGACAGCTTCATCGAGAAATAGTTTTATGACACTTTCCATAAGAATTGTATGTTTTCTATTTATAGAAATAACCATCTTTGAGTCATTAGTAGAAACAGACTTTCCTTGACTATATAGATTTTGATTTTCTGTGATTATATAGAAATAGATTTTTTCTGGGACTAAATTAAATCTCCTTTCAGTTCTTCTAGAAAGCTTATCATTAAACTACATTTGGGTTCAGACACAGTAATATGCTGGTAAAGATCACGATGGGAATAGTGTGATATCAGAAGTACTTTACAATAACAAAGTTGTCATCAATTTGTCTTTCAGCAGTGAGTGATTTCCTAACAAAGAAGAGATTGTACATTCTGCAATATATGTAATATATGTTTCCCTACCAATAACATTATTATATTATTATTCTTTCTCCTTTGCATAAACAGAAAAAGACTTGACTTTAGCTAATTTATTTTATATTATCTGTTTTCCAAAGGAAAACTTACATCTCAACTAAAGAGAACTAATGCATAATGGCTATTTTAAAACAATTTGTAAGCTTTATTGAGAGATGAGTGAATGTAGTACAGTTTAAGAATGAATAAATATATAGTACTATTGATATAATTAATACTAATAGTGCTACATGTGTGAATTTTCTGGGTTTTGAAAGGATGCAGCTAAAATTATTTGTAAGTTTATATTTCTATCGTGTAGGCTTGGATACTACTGTAAGTCAAAGCAGATCAATGTGTCAGCATTTCACAAGCTCTTAGTATTGTAGAGTTCTGGATAACTAGTCTATAGAAGCTATATAGGTTCCATATTCACATACATGGGATCATAGATGTTCACTGAAGTGGAAGGAGCTACCCACAGGCAATATAGCAAGTAGAAAGTTTTCTACCAATTGGACATAGAAATTTTTATTTTGAATGAATGGAAAAAGGAAACTATTTATTCTAGAGAAAGGAAATTACAGATAAAGCTTACTGATCTTAAATAGTTGCCCTTCTATTAGATGTAAATTATGTATTTACCTAATGGTACAACAAAAGCATCCTATATCAAAAATATTGGATGCATTATGCCTTGAGGAAACCATTTGATGTATGTGACTGTGATGTACAAAAGCGTAGAAATAAAATTTTATATATAGTGATGTGATTAATATCATTAAGCTACGACTCACAGCTACCTTACCCCTCAAAGAGTCTTATGATGAGTATACCTCATTATATTGCATTTTACTTTACTGTATTTTGCAGATATGGTGGTTTTTACAAATTGAAAATTTGTACCAACCTTGCATCCATCATGTCTAATTGTGGCATTTTTTTAACAGAATGTGCTCACTTCATGTCTTTGTATCATATTGTAGTAATTCTCACACTTTTTAAATTTTCAAATTTTTAAATTATATCTGTTATGGTGATCTTTGATGTTACTATAGTAAATTTGGGGGGCACCACAAATCACTCCCATATAAGACAGCAAACATAATTGATAGATATGTGTGTTCTGATTGCTCCATTGACCAGATTTTCCCCATCTCTCTCCCTCTCCTTGGGCCTCCCTATTCCCTGAAACAGCAGTATTGAAATTTGGTCGATTAAAAACCCCACTATGGCCTCTAAGTGTTCAAGTGAAAAAATAGAATCATGTGTCTCTCACCGGAAATCAAAAGCTAGAAACAATTAAGCTTAGTGAGGAAGGTTGTTGAAAATTGAGATGGGCTAAAAGCATAGCCTCTTGTGCCAAATAGCCAAGTTGTGAATGCAGAGAAAAACTTACTGAAGAAAATTAAAAGTGCTACTCCAGTGAACACGTGAGTGATAAGAAAGAAAGACAGCCTTATTGCTGATAATGGAGAAAGTAGTAGTGGTCTGGATAGAAGATCAAACCAGCCACAACATTGCCTTAATCCAAAGCCTAATTCCAAGAAACATCCTAATTTTCGTTAGTTCTATGAAGGCTAAGAGAGGTGAAGAAGCTGCAGAAGAAAAATTTGAAGCTGGCAGAGGTTGAGTCTTGAGTTTTGATGAAAGAAGCTCTTTCTATAACATAAAAATGCAAGGTAAAGCAGCAAGGGCTGATGTAGAAGCTGCAGCAAGTTACCCAGAAGATCTAACTGAGATGATTGATGAATGTGGCTGCACTAAACAATTTTCCATGTATGCAAAATAGCCATTTACTGGAAGAAGATGCAAATGCCTGGCTTCAAAGCTTCAAAGGATAAGCTGACAATCTTGCTAGGGTCCAATACAGGTGGTGAAATTAAGTTGAAGCCAATGGTCATTTACCATTTTGAAAATCCTAGGGCCCTTAAGAATTATGCTAAATCTACCATGCCTTGCACTGTAAATGGAAGAACAAAACCTGGATGATAGCACATCTGTTTACAGGATGGTTTACTGCATATTGTAAGACCACTGATTAAACTTACTCCTCAGGAAAAAGGATTCTTTTCAAAATATTGCTGCTCATTGAAAATGCACCTGGTTACCCAAGAGCTCTGATAGAGATGTGCAGGGACATTAATGTTGCTTTCATGCCTGCTTATACAACATTCATTCTGCAGCCCATGGATAAGGGAGTAATTTTGACTTTCAAGTGTTATAATTTAAGAAATACTTTTCATGAGGCTATAGCTACCACAGATAGTGATTCCTCTGATGGTGCTGCATACAGTAACTTGAAAACCTCCTGGAAAGAATTCACCATCTAGATGCTACTAAGGACACTCATGATTCATGGGATGAGGTCAAAATATCCATGTTAACAATGGTTTGGAAGAAGTTAATCACAGCCCTCATGGATGACTTTCAGGGGTTTGAGACTGCAGTGGAGGAAGTAACTGCAGATGTGGTGAAAATAGCAAGAGAACTAGAATTAGAAGCAGAGTAAAGATGTGACTGAATTGCTGTAATCTCATGATAAAACAAACATATGAGGAATTGTTTCTTAAGGATGAGTAAAGAAAGTGGTTTCTTGTGATGGAGTTCACTCCTGCTAAAGATGCTGTAAACATTGTTGAAACGACAACCAATGGTTTATAATATTACATAAATGGAGTTGATAAAGCCGAGGCAGAGTTTGGAAGATTGACACCAATTTTGAAAGAAGTTCTATCTACTGTGGTTAAAATGCTATCAAGCAGCATCACATGCTACAGATAAATCTTTCATGAAAGGAAGAGTCAATTAATGTGGCAAACTTTATTGTTGTCTTAATTTAAGAAATTGCCATAGCTTACCCCAAACTCAGCAACCACCACCCTGATCAGTCAGCAGCCATCAACACTGAGGCAAGACCTGCAACTAGCAAAAAGGTTATGACTCGTGAAAGGCTTCAATGATTATTAGCATTTTTAACAATAAAGTGTTTTTAAATGAAGATATGTATATTGTTTCTTTGGACATAACACTATCACATACTTAGACTATATTATAGTGTAAACATGACTTTTATATGCAGCCGAAAACAAAAAAAAGTGTGTGACTCACTTTATTGCAATATTTGTTTTATTGTTATGGCCTCAAACCAAACCTTCAGTATCTCCAGTGTATAACTGTATTTCAAATCACGTTACTTTTTAAACATTAAGATATTTCAGAAAGATAACACACATACAGAAAAGTACAAAAACCTGCATAAAACTTGATTAATTATCACAACAAAAGATGTACAACTTTCATATATGCTACAAACAAGAATATTATGAGCACTCAAAAGATTGTTCTATGTTGCTTCTCAATCACTAATCTTCCACATCCAAAAACCAATTATTCTGACCTCTGACAAAATATAAGATTGCCTATCATTGTACTTCATATTAATGGAATTATATAGGAATATTTTTGTGGTTGCATTTATTTCTTATTTTTTGGGTGAGACTCTCACATGGCATTGCATGCTACAATTGTGCACTTTTTCATTGTTATGTAGTGTTCTGCTATTGTTTGAACATCCCCTCCAAAACTCATGTTTAAATTTAATTGACATTGTGATGGTTTCAAGAGGTCAAAGTTTAAGAGGTAATTAGGTCATCAGAGCTTTGCTCTCATGAATGGAATAATGCCATTATCATAGGAGTGGGTTAGTTATTGTGAGAGTTAAGTTCCCTTTTTCTTTCTGTCTCAAATGCTACCTTGAAATATGATGTCTTCATCAGAGGATGGCCCTCATCAGATACCATTGACATCCTCTAGGACTTTCCAGCCTCCAGAACCATTAGCCAAGTACACTTCTATTCTTTATAAATTACTCAGTCTGTGGTATCTTGTTATAGAAGCAGGAAATGAACTAAGCCATATTCCATAGTATAAATATAACACAGTTCATTTCTCTTTTCTCTTACACTTCTGGGTTGCTTCCAGTGTAGAGATATTATGAATAATGCTGCTATAAATATGCCTGTACATGTCTTTTGGTACATATGTACACACATTTCTGTTGGATATAACTCAGCGACGGTAATTGCTGGCTAGAATACTCAACTTTAGTAAAAAATGTCAAAATTTTTTCCAAAGTGATTTAACCACATGCTATGATCAGAAAAATATGAGAGTATTTCTTTCTCTACATGCTAACCATGATTTGCATTGCCAGTCTATTTAATATTTGACATTCTAGTAGGAAAGTAGTGATGGCTTAATGTGGTTTTATTTTAAATGATAACTAAAGAGGGTGAGTACCTTTCAGATCATTTCCCTAATGTCTTTTGTGAACTGCATACTCAATTTTATGCATATATTTCTATCGGATAATTTGTCTTATCTTGTTTATTTTTAGGTTTTTAAAATATATGTACTAGATGCATGTTGTAAATCTCATTCTATTACTTACCTCTTCATATTGTTAACTGGGATTTTGACAACAAGATTTCTTAAATTTTATATATTAAAAATCACCAATATTTTCCCTCTGTGTGTGTGTGTGTGTGTGTGTGCATGGGTGTGTGTTTTACATTTAAATATGTGATCTAATTAGAGGTTATTTTTGTTCTTTATGTGGGACAAGAGTCAGGTTGCAACTTTTTTTTTATAATGCAAGACTCAGAAAATTTTTTCTGAAAAGGATTGCATTATAACTGCATCGCTGTGATTTGTGGTGGATACCAAGCAGTGGTGAGAAGCAATGAAAGCAACACATATAGTCTCTGTTGCAACTAATCAACTCTTTCACTGTAGTATGAAAGGAATCATAGATAATATGTAAACAAACAAACAAAAAATATTGCTGAGCTTTACTAAAACTACAGATATTGAAATTTTAATGTTACATAATTTGCATATGTAATGAAATATTTTTCTTTTTATTTTATTGTATTTATTTATTCCTTAAATGTCTGATAGTGTTCTCAAGTAAAGCCATCCTCCCAGGAGACTTTGTTATGAAGAAATGTTTAATTATGAAGTCAAATTATTTAATAGAAAATGGGGCAATTCAGATTATTTTTTTCATTCTCTTTTGGGAATTTATTTTTATTTTTATAAATTTTATAAACTTATTAAATTTAATAAAATTATAAATTTATTGCTTGTTCATTTAAACACTTGTCAAATGTATTATCATAAAACTTTATAATATTCCCTTATTAATATTTAATTGCCTGTAGGATCTGTAGTTAGAACCCATCTTTAACTCCTGATCTTAATTTAGCTCCTCTTTTTCAGGTGATCAATTTTATTAATTAAAAAACCTTTTTATGTTTTTGGTTTTTTTATTTTTCATTTTCCCTTTTGTTTATTTGTGTTTTTGTCTTTATTATTTTTTTCTGTCCTTTAGCGTTGGTTTTAATTTTGCATTTTAAGTTTCTATTTTAGGATGAAGCTTAGATTACTGATTTTAGACCTTCTCCTCTAATAAAATTTGTATAACTTAAATATATAAACTAATCTATAGCTGTTTTGAAGAATCTAATCCATTTTGATAATTGCGTTTTTATTTTTACTCACTTCAAAATATTTTAAGATTTGCCTAGTAATTTACCTTTGACTCAAAGGTTATTTAGAGATGTGTTTGTGGATTTTTCAGATATCTTTCTGTTTTGAATTTCTACTTCTCTAAAAAGTTTTATTTTTCAAGCACATACTTTGGTTTATTTTTATCCTTCTCAAGTTTTTTAATAATCTGGAATATAATTTCGATTGATAGATGTTCCACATGTATTTAAAAATAGCCTGGTTGCTGCTGTTGGAGGTGACATATTCTGTATGTGTCAGCTGTGTATTCCAAGTCTCCTATAAGTGGTTTTCTATTTGTTCTACCACTTAATTTCATCAAAGTGTTAAAACACTTAACAGTAATTGGGATTTTATATATTTCTCCTTTCTGTTCTGTTAGTTTTTGCCTCATATATTTGAAGTTCTGTTAGAGGCATACACACTTAAGATTGGTGTGAATTCTTGATAAATTCCTCTTTCATTAGTAATAATCCTTTCTGTTACTAGTGATATTGCTTGTTTTGGAATCTACTATGTCTCTTATTAATATACCCAAATGAAAGTCTTAGTTAAGATAATCAAATGAAAATCTTAATATAGACAAATGAAAGTCCTAATCTTCATGTTTATATATTTTTTCAATTGGTTTAATTCCAACCTATTTGTGTATTTATCACCTCCCCTGCATCTTTCAAGGGCTTGATGGTGGCACTAATCTCCGCAATTCCTCCAGGAATGAGATATTGTTTTTTATTTACTATTTTCTAGGTGGAAGCAGCTCTAATGGCTTCCATTTAGCCTTTCTCACCATAATAGCCCTTACTCTACAAGTCATGGAGCCAATGTGGGGGTTCAGTCAGCTGCTGAGCATGTCTATGCACTGGGGAAATGACCACAGGAGGAGTCCAGGGACCCACTGTAAGTCGGACTTGAGCTAAAACTCCATTAATTACCTGACCTCTATAAGCACCTACTTTAACTGGAGAACCAAAATGATGTTTTGGGTCCTGTGGAATCAATGTCAGCTCAGAGCCAGTGTCTAGTAGTCCCTGAAATATCTGATCATTTCCTTTCCCCAGTGCAGAGTTACCCTGATAATAGACCAGAGATCTCCTTGGGGAAGGATGGGAGAAAGATTCACTGCACAAATTGTTGGCAATGTAGTAGGGTCCTTCCTCAAGGGGACCCAGCCTAGCCTTTTTTCAAGGGGTTCTGAGTCTATAAACTACCTAAAGTCTTGGAATTGATTGAGGGGCCATGATTCTCTGTTTTTATAATTCAAATTAGTCTTTTGTCCATTCAACCTAGAAGTTTTCTGCTTGTATAAATTAAGTAGAAATGCAGTAGGCTTCCTACCAATTTCACTTCTAGGAACACCATGATTAATTAGCCAATGCCAGAGGTCTACACAAGTCAGACTATTCTGATTGCTGCTTTGCCTTTGCTGTTTATTATGGTAGCTACTCCCACCTTGCCTTTGATGGTTTAGTGCCACCACTTGGCCCCTGCCAACTCTAGATCCAATTTTTCCCATTGTATTTAAATTTTGTAGTTGCATGACTGTGGTTCCCTCTGTTAGATCTGACATACAGAGAAGAGCAATACAGGGCTCTTCAAAGATGCAGGTGCTGCCCTCACAAATCTATTTCTAGAGGCATTGGTTAAGGGTATATCTTCTGGACCCTCCCAGCTAGAATGAGCATGTCTAAAGTGACTAATCCACTCCACCATCCCAATCTCAAGACTTTGGATCCCTTCCTCTACATTACACCAAGGGAGATCAGGCATTTCCAGCTTGCTCACAGTGGGCCATCTTTTAATCCGTATTTCAGCTAACCAAGCAAATAAACTATTAGAACCATTCTTAACTCCCAAAGCTGCAAATTAAATGCAGAGTCCCTTCTTATGGTCAAAGGTATCATGTAAGTATTATGTCTTACATTCAGCCTGATCCAAATCTACGTTCCTTCCACCATTATCCCACACCCTTAATATCCATTCCCATGCTTGTTCTCCAGATTTCTATTTATATAAATTAGAAAACTCAAGCAGTTCTTTTTGAGTGTAGTGCACCTCCTCATGGGTCACACTCTCAACCTCACCTCTAGGAGTCTGCTGGGATGTTAGTTATAGGTCTAGAAACAAACATAGGTGTTGGGGGTGGCTTCTGAGAAGAACCAACATTATCTTGCCTGGCAACTGCCTCAGGGGAGGCCATCACTGTTGCCTCAGGCAGCACAGGGTATATCTCCTCAGACAAAGGTGGAAAGGCTAATGGCAGCGTGGGTCCAGGAGGGGATCCTGCCACTACTGTGGATGGGGAAGTTGTTTCTTCTGGCAAAAAATGTTCATCAGAGTTTACAAACTCAGTGTGCCCAGCTTCATCAGGGTCCTCCCACACGTCCCCATTCCAAGTTGCAAGGCCCCATTCTTTTCCAATCAGTGCTCTCACTTTAACAGTAGACACCTGGTGAGGCTGCCACGCACCTTTCATTACAGGTCTGCCACTTGCATGATAAGAGCTTGTTTTTTTTTTGTTGTTTTTTTTGTTTTTTTTTGTTTTTTGTTTTTTTTTCCCTCACAATTTCAGCTCTTTCTCTACAGGAGACAAGACTCTCACTCATGGCAATCTTAGCAGATTTGAGGCTCAGTATCTGCTTCTGAAGCCAGGAGATAGAATCCCTGAGTTCATCATTTTCTTTCATCACTTTGTCCATGAACTTAGAAGCAACCAACCAACTTCATTATGTTCCTTGGATCTCCACATATGGTCAAAGGTATTATGTATGGAGTCACTAAACTCCTTGCCTCTCATGAGCGGTGAATCAGGAGTGTCAAATGCATCCTCCTGATGGGGACCACCCACAGTTCTTGCTTATCCCCTAGTGGCAGGCTACAATTCCCTGTCATTCCACAAAATATTCAAACAAATCAATCACATCTTCCTATGAAAACCAGAGGTCATCTCATCCTCTTGTTACTACAAAGACTGCCTCTGATATCCCCTGCTCATTCATTCTGTGCCTCAGTGTAACCCCTGTGTGACCCTGCACTGCGTGGTATGTTCCACCACCAGGCTATGAGTATATGTGAATAATAAATTGTTGTTGATCTCATCTATCCAATGTTGATGTATCATTTGCTTAGCCATCTCCAAAATCCTAAGATGGGAAAACCTCCTTACCCAATGGGGTGAAGAGTAGGCAATCAAAACAGGATCTACAAACTACATCCCTTTATCGCCTTTTTTTTCACCACCCTCTGTGGGATGAACTGTGTCTTTTGCCAACACAGAGGGTTATTATGGGTTGAATCATGTCACTCCTCCCACTCCCAAAATAAGTTGAAGTCCTAACCTTCACTACCTCAGACTGTGATCTTATATGAAAATAATATCTTTTCACATGTATTAAGTTAAGATGAGGTCTTACTGCTGTAGGGTAAAAGAAGACAGCTCTCTGAAGACCCAGAGACACACAGGGAGAATACCATGTGAAACTGAAGGCAGAAATTAGAGTTGTGCCATTGCAAGCCAAGCAATGCTGAAGATTGCTGGCAAACCGCCAGCAGCTAGGAAGAGGCAAGAAAAGATTACCCAAAAGGTTTTAGAGGAAGCCTAATTCTATCACTGGTTTCATGCTTTTAGCCTCTGGAACTTTGAGACAATACATTTCTCTCATTTTAAGCCACCCAATTTGTAATACTTTGATTATGACAACCCTAGAAAACTAATACACTTGGTTTTGCCATTAATCTGGTACATTCTGGGCATTTCTTAATAAATATGAAAAGGTTGTCCTTGGATTATATGGTCAGTTGGTTAATATGTACTAGTTTACCTATTTATATAGATGTTATGTTTATTTATTGTTTGTATTTATACCTTTTATAGCTTGATAGATATTTGAAGATAGTAAAAATGTGATGCTTTTTTGTTTTTTTTTGCCTTAAAGTAGTGTTTTAAACTCTAGATCATCTGAAACTACTTCTTTAATTTGACTTTTTTAACAGTTAACTCTTAGTTTAGGCCATTTATTTTCATAATTCTAAAAAATTTTGATTCTTGCGTATCTGAGAAAAATATTATATTTTCTTTTCATGAATAAAATAGCATAAATTTTTGAACTCTTTCAGAGATATGTGTATATTATTCTTTACTTTTCTGGCATTTATTATTATAAATATATCTGAGGCCAACAGATTTGCATGTAACCATTAATCTCTAAATTAAAGCTTATAGATATTCACATTTAGGAATTAATAAAGAAAATGATTACTTCTATTAAATATTATTACTTTTATGGATTTATTTTATTCTCCAGAAATACCAATAGTCCATAGTCTGAATTTATATTACCTTTCATAACAAATGAATAATTTTCTTCCATTTTATCTTGTTTTAATTTTGTTTTGTAATATGGAGGGCTTCCTGAATTTGGCCTTTTACATAATAATGACATTCTTGATTATATACTTATGAATCTAATATGACTTGAAGCATCTCATTGTTTTTTCTTTATTATTATTGCTTTGGTAATAAAATATTCTTATTCTTCACTGCTGCTTCCAATCCAGTTCTTTTTTTCAATGTCTGTTTGAATGGCTTTATTCCATTGTGTTCCTGTCTTTTTTACCTTTGGTTTTATTGGTTTCAAGCCTTCTTGAATTCTACTATGAATTTAGGACAAACATTTTCTATGTATGTCTAATATTATTTTCAAAACTACATTGTCCCTCTTCAACACTAAGGCCAAGTTCTCATTATTTTTTAAATACTTGCTCATCCTTGAATAATGTTTGTTCAGGCTGATATGTGTCTGTATACTCTTTACTCTTCAATGTTAGTTATTGTTTACTTTTTATTTCTTCAATGTTAGATGTTGTTGAGTTTATATTCATGTGGAAAGGACTACTCAACATATTTATATTGGTAATTTGTTCTCATATTGGAAATGTGCTTTTCTTGGTGAATACTTCCTTTCTCCTAAGTGGACTGTTTTTCTCTCAAAAGAAAAGAAAGTCCAGAGGGGCATTATTTACTTAAATCAGGTTGACTATTCTAACACGGAATTATGTTTATATTTATTTTAGCTTATTTTGCAATATATACGGTTAAGTACTGAATCATATATCAATTCCAATCCCTTTCTATCCCCTTTTCCAACTATGTAAACCCCTTTAGGCATCATTAAATTATAAATTTTTAAATAAAATGTATTGCTAATTACATAGCTGAAAAATAAAAGCTTTAGCATTTTATAAATTATCTCTAATACAAAAAATATTGATCAAAAATTTATTTAACAAAATTCTTCTAAAATTTGATAAAACCATAGATTTTAAGGACAAGCCATAAGTTTTAATATCAAAACACTTTAAATATTTTAAAAATATGAAAGATAT
The DNA here is from genome assembly GCF_000001405.40 of Homo sapiens. Taxonomy (NCBI): domain Eukaryota; kingdom Metazoa; phylum Chordata; class Mammalia; order Primates; family Hominidae; genus Homo; species Homo sapiens. The sequence goes on along the minus strand of NC_000006.12, from coordinate 141,651,923 downwards.
ATAAGTCATTGTAGTGATAAAACATTATTTTATTAAAACATGTATGTTTTTAAATATAAGCATCATGGATTTAATTCTTTTTTTTTTCATTAAGTCTATACTGTTTCTTTTAACCTCCTGGGATTAAAGTAATGTCATCAAACCCAAAAGAAAAATAAATACTATTTTAGACTAGTAGAGTTTACAGAGTTTTTCAGGTCATAAAGCTTGTTTATACCCCCTATGTAATTTGAATCAAAGACAACAATTAGGTTGACATCATGTATTACATTAATATGAAATCCTCCACTTGGTTTAATTTCTTACAACCTAGTTCCTGAAGTTTGTTTGCTCAGAGTGAACATGGTCCTGTTGTTATCCCATATTGGCCTGTTCTATTAGCATTATTGAAATCCCATGTATATGGGAGATAGTTAACTGACACTAAATCAGTCATGTTGTACAACCAGGAAAAGGTATAAATGACTATGGTTCTAGTTTATACAATATCACAACCCTTGCTATAGCTCACTTTTGCCGCTGATCCCATATCCACATATACAAAGTACCTCACCCATTCATTTCAGTACCTACTTACATTGTATTTCTAGAAATCGTATTTCCAAAATATATAATATATACCCCATGTTCTGACTCAAAAATATTAGTAAGTGCCACTCTGTTTAATTATGGTATAAATAATTTTAAACCAGAATATTAGATATCTAGCCTCAAATTGTATAAAAGTATAGGGTTTTTAAAATTTTTTTTCTAGTTTATTTAAAAATAATATTTAAGAAAAAGAGCTCATTAGGCTCTAAGACACTTAGTGCATAATAAATATACATGTTCTATTGAAGGGAATAATTTCCACAAAATTATGGTGTTGCTATAATATAAAAATACTTTCATTATCCCTATTAGGGATATTCATGAAAATATAATGAAAACATAAGTGAAAGATTGGTAATTAACTACATATTATTCATATTCAGGGAATTACATATTAATAAAGATCAAAAATCCAATATTTCACTTCTGAATATTTTCCTGAATACATGAGTCAGAGACTTCTAAAATTCCCTCACTGGAAATCTGCTTTTCTTAGGGAATACTTCCCTTCTCATAGGTGGACTGTTTTTCTTTCAAAAAAAAAAAGAAAGCCTGGAGGGGCGTTATTTACCTACTTAACATAGGTTCTCCATTCTAACACAGAATCATGTTCATATTTATATTAATTTATTTTGCAATATATGTAATGAAAACTGAATCATTTGTCAGTTTAACTCACTTTCTGTTCCCTTTTCCAAGTATTTTAGTTATTCACCTTTATGGATTTGCTCAAGAACATAGCTCAGTAAATTTTAGATAACATTGCTAGTACTTGCCAGGAAAGTGTTAACATTTTAAATTAAAATTAGATTTAACTAAAATGTATACTTCATATTTCCTATTAGTTGTGTGGCAACTTATATAGCTCTTAACTGTATAAAATAGTAAACAAATTCATTTTGTCAATAGTTTCACAATAACAATGCTAAGTTTATGATTGATCAGAGAGATTACGTAGCATGCCCTGAAGTTCTTTAATAAGAATACTCCTGTGACCATAGATAGAGACTTTATCCTCTTCTAAGCTTAAGCTGCTTCCCAGAACTGATAGATGCTGTGTTAACACACACCCATGTGTGCACACAGAAACACCACACCTCTATAGCTTTCCCTTCAAAATAGCACAAAATTCACTAAAACTTTTGCTTAACATTAATGTGAATATAGTCATTCCCTGCTTTGTTAAATTAAAAATATCCTACCTTGTATAAATTAATTCCATTTGCATTGTTTTCTCAGTGCAGATAGAATAAACAAGCAAACAAAGTGGAAAACAAAAACCAAAAAATCGTGTCAACAGAGTGTTCAGTAAAGCTATTGTGACAAACTTAAAGGACACTTACAGTTTATTAATAGATCAAGGTCAAAAGTAACACAGGATCCTCAGGGTCTTAATTTTGTTGGGATTGTGGGTAATTGCATAGTGCTTACAGACATTCTACTGAGAATATATTTACATTTTGACAAGCCTCCTAAGGAAATTTTAAATATTTACTTTTTGTTTTATCATCAGATTCTCAACTATATAGTTTGACTTCAATGAATAAATGACAACACTATTTCATGCTTAAGGGAGTTCACAGAAAATTTTGAGATTCTTTCCAAACATTATTTTCTTCTAAAACAAGTGTTTTAGTTTGGTAAATCTTTGTAAAACTGAACTACAAATGTGTTTGTTAGTTATATTGGCATCTGTTAGACTGTGAATATCAAAAATAAATACAGTCAGCACCAGGGATGCTTGAATAAAATATATGTGGATAAGGTTGATTTATTTGAACTGATTGTTTTTCCCATATGAAAAAGAAAAGCATTTTCAACAAAATCCCCAGAAACAAGATAGTCCTTCAAACTGGTCACTAAATCAAGTAGCAGGTATTGAACAGACCATCAGAGGTTCCTTTTATCCCTAGGAGAGTGAAATATACAAACTAAAATGAATTCTCGAGATGAACGAAAGCAAAGGGCACAACAACTATCAGAGCATTTCAGACCTGAATTGGTAAAGGAACTAGCAACTGCTTATTTGTTGTTCATTTTTTATTCCATTTAAAATCACCCTCAAGAGGAAATGTCAGGAAAAGTGAAGATTCAGTAACTTATTTTTACTATGCTGTCAAATTTCTCCAGTATCAAATTGTATTTTAAAAAATAGTTCTAATGACAAGCAGAAGATGATTCCATTTTTGTTTAAAAAAGCAATTTTTTTTTCTGAATGATGTATGGTTTACAACAGTCATTAAAGCAACTATTTACAAGGCAAGTAAACTTCTCTCTCTAGTGAATTTGGTAATAGTGTTATCTATTTATGATTTGCTAATACAAATGCCACACAATGATATGTTTTAGAATAAATTGCTCAATGACTTAAATTTAAAACGTTAGTTCAAAAATTCTCACAGTTATATTTTGAATACTCTGTCCTCATTACTTTTAGCATGCACTTTACAGAAAATGAAATGGTTGGATCGCTCTCAGATTGAGAAAAGAAGAAAGCTATCTGTTTCTGAATAAGGAAACCAAACAAATAAATAAATAAAATTATAAAACCATAATAGTAGCATCAACAATGTCAAAAACACACCTGACATAAAGAGTACTTGAAGTGTAGAATCTCAAATTAAACTTTTCATAGGTATTGATTAATATTATTATTTGTGAATTTGGGCTAAAATACAAAAATTGAAAATGGAACATGACCAATGTTCCCAGTGTGTTTTATTTTGACTACATGAAGACATTGCAGTTACATAACTTCTTACAAACACAATTTTGTGTGTGTGTGTGTGTGTGTGTGTGTGTGTGTGTTTTAATTATACTTTAGGCTCTGGGGTACATGTGCAGAACGTGCAGGTTTGTTACATAGGTATACATGTGTCATGGTGGTTTGCTGCACCCATCAACCTGTCATCTACATTAATTTCAGTTATTTAAAAAAACTCTTGGTATTAAAAACATCTTTTATGTTAATCTATCTATGTCTTTATACATAAAGAGAGTTTCTTTTAGACAGCTTATAATTGAGTCTGGCTTTTATCCAATCTGATAATGTCTGTCTTTTAACTGGTGACTTTGCATCATTAACATTTAAAGTGATCATTGATATGGTTAGATTAAAATTTACAATATTGCTTGCTTTTTTCTTGGCACTTATTTTCTATTTTCTGGATTTTTTTCTATAAATACAGTCATACAATATGTCATCATTTTTGAGTATCTTCTTTCACTCAGCACAATGTTATCAAGTTCATCCATGCTGTAGCATTTATCAGTAATTCGTTCTTTTTCATTGTAGAATAGTATTCCATTGTACAGATACATCATATTTTATATATCCATTTATCAGTTGATAGGCATTTGGGTTGTTCTAATATTTTTGCTATTTTAAAGAATCTGACCATGCATAATCACATATTTTTGTATGGGTATATATGTCTTTTCTCTTGAATATATTTCTCTGGAATTTCTGGGTTATATAATTGCCCTATACTTTACTTTTTGAGAAACTGTAAATATGTTCTTCAAAGAGGCTGCATCATTTTACATTCCACAAGAATGTATGAGGTTTGTCATATATCATATGTGTATTTCCCCCACATACTTGTTGTATTAGTCCATTCTCACGCTACTAATAAAGACATACCCGAGACTGGTTAATTTATAAAGGAAAGATATTTAATTGACTAACAGTTCAGCATGGCTAGGGAAGCCTCAGGAAACTTACAATCATGGTAGAAGGGGAAGCAAACATGGCCTCCTTCACATGGTGGCAGCAAGGAAAAGTGACAAGCAAAAGCGGGAAAAGTCGCTTATGAAACCAACAGATCTCATGAGAACTCACTCATTATCATGAGAGCAGCATGAGGGTAACCGCCCCCATGATTAAAATACCTTCCACTGGATCCCTTCCATGACAATTCAAGATGAGATTTGGGCAGGGACACAGCCAAACCATATTATTCCACCCCTGGTCTCTCCCAAATCTCATGTCCTGACATTTCAGTACACAATCAAGCAATTCAACAGTCCTCCAAAGTCTAAACTCATTCTAGCATTAACTCAAAAGTCCAAGTTCAAAGTCTCATCTGAGACAAGGCAAGTCTGAAATCCAATAGGCCAGTCATTAAACTTTAAAGTTCCAAAATGATCTCATTTGACCCCATGTCTCACATCCAGGTCACAGTGATGCAAGAAATCGGCTCCCACAATGTTGAGCAGCTCTGCCCCTGTGGCTTTGCATGATACAGCCCCCTTCTGGCTGCTTTCACAGGCTGGCATTGAATATCTGCAGCTTTTCCAGGTGCATGGTGCAAGGTGTCAGTGGATGTACCATTCTGGGGTCTGGACAATGATGGCCCCTCTTCTCACAGTTCCACTAGGCAGTGCCTTACTAGAGACTCTGTGGGAACTCCAACCCCACATTTCCCTTTTGTACTGTCCTCGGAGAAGTTCTCCATGAGGGCTCTGCCCCTGCAGCACACCTCTGCCAAGACACCAAGCATTTCCATATATCCTCTGAAATCTAAGCAGAGGTTTCCAAACCTCAACTCTTGTTTTCTGTGCACCCACAGGACCAACAACACATGGAAGCTGCCAAGGCTGGTGGTTTTCACCCCCTGGAACCATGACCCTAACTGCACCTTGGCCCCTTTTAGCCATGGCTGGAGCAGCTGGGATGGAGGGCACCAGGTCCCTAGGCTGCACACAGCAGAGGGGCCCCGGACCCAGCCCAGGAAACCATTTTTCCCTCCTAGCTCTCTGGGCCTGTGATGGGAAGCGCTGTCGTGAAGGTCTCTAACTACCCTCAAGACATTTTCACTATTTCTTGGCGATTAACGTTTGACTCCTTGTCACTTATGCCAATTTCTGTAGCCAGCTTGAATTTCTCCAAGAAGATGAGTTTTTCTTTTCTATTGCATCTTGAGGCTGCAAATTTTCCAAACTTTTATGCTCTGTCACCTCTTGAATGCTTTGCTGTTTAGAAATTTCTACTGCCAGATACCCTAAATCATCTCTCTCAAATTCAAAGTTCCACAGATCTCTAGGGCAGAAGCAAAATGCCACTAATCTTCTTGCTAAAGCATAACAACAGTCACCTTTGCTGCAATTCCCAATAAGTTCCTCATCTCCGTCTGAGACCAGCTTAGCCTGGACCTTATTGTCCTTATCACTCTCAGAATTTTGGTCAAAGCCATTCAACAAGTCTCTAGGAAGTTCCAAACTTTCCCACATCTTCCTGTCTTTTTCTGAGCCTTCCAAACTCTTTCAACCTCTGTGTGTTACCCAGTTCCAAAGTCACTTCCATATTTTTTGGTATCTTTTCAGCAGTGGCACTGCTGAACATTACCTTTACACTCCCGGTACGAATTTACTGCATGAGTTCATTTTCATGCTGCTAATAAAGACATACCAAAGAATGGGTAATTTATAAAGGAAAGAGGTTTAATTGACTCACAGTTCAGCGTGGCTGGGGAGACCTCAGGAAACTTACAATAATGGTGAAAGGGGGAGCAACACATCCTTCTTCACATAGTGGCAGCAAGGAGCAGTGCCAAGCAAAAGGGGGGAAGTCCCCTAGAAAACCATCAGATCTCATGAGCACTCACTCACTATGATGAGAACAGCATGAGAGTAACCAGGCCTGTGATTAAATTACCCCCTCTGGGTCACTCCCATGACACATGGGGATTATGGGAGCTACAAATAAAAATGAGATTTGGGTGGGGGACACAGCCAAACCATATCACACGTCAACAGTTCTTATCATTTATCTTTTCAATTACAAATGTCCTAGTGGGTATAAAATTGCATCTTATTGTCATTTCACTTTACGTATTTCTAATGACTAGAGATGTTGAGCATTTTTTATTGTGCTTATTGAACATTTGTATATCTTCTTTTGGGAATTGTTTATTCAAATCCATTGCCCATTTTTGATAGGGTTATTGGATTATTGCTGAGTTGTAAGAGTTCTTCATTCTGGAAACAAATCTCTTATCATATATGTAATTGTTAAATATTTTCCTTCATTCTTGGGGGTGACTTTTTACTTTATCCTGTTTACAAAAGTTTTAAAATTTGATGCAATCCAATAATCCTTTTCTCCTTGTTTCTTGTGCTTTTGATTGCCCATATAAGAAGCCATTGCCTGATCCAAGTCAGAGACTTACTTCTATGTTTTTTTTCTAAGAGGTTTATACTTTAAGCGGCAGCTCATGCCTGTAATCCCAGAACTTTGGGAGGCTGAAGCAGGAATATCACTTGAGCCCAGGAGTTTAAGATCAGCCTGAGAAAAATAGAGAGAGCCAATCTCTACAAAAAAATAAAAATAATAAAAAATTTAGTTGAATGTTGTGGCATATGTCTGTGGTCCTAGCTACTAAAGAGCCTGAGGTAGGAGGATTGCTTGAGATCAGGAGGTCAAGGCTGCAGTGAGATGTCATCACACCAGTGCACTGCAGACTAGGTGATAGATTATTTTTATCAAAAATAACAAAAATAAGTAAGTATATATATATATATATATATATATATATATATATATATACACACACACACACACACAAACACGTACTATATATATCGTTCTAGCTCTTACATTCAGTTCTGTGATCCATTTTGAGTTAATTTCTGTACATGACGTGTGTAAGGGTCCAACTTTATTCTTTCTCATGTGGGTATTGTTTTGTCTGAGCATCTTTTATTGAAAAGACTATTTTTCCCCACTGAGTTGTCTTGGCACCCTTGTCCAAATTAGCCATAAGCATAAGTTTTTTTTTCTTCAACTTTCAATCGTTTTATTGACCTATACATCTATCCTTATGCCAGAACCATGCCAACTCAATTACTATAGTTTTGTAATAACATGCATTATTATTGTTCAGTGATAATATATTTTATGAGAATAAATAATCTTATATTTCAGATGATTGTCACTCAACTCACCCCCCTATTCCATGGCTCTATATTACATGTAATACTAGTGGAATAATTTATTTTGATTCCTTGTTTTCTTTATACACTAAGAATATGAAGCCTAATTTTGTGACCCACATTAAACAATTTTTGCAGGAAATTTAGATGTTTAAATTTGCTGTTAAGTTGACCTCTTAGCTAGTTTCAAGTATACAGAATTTTACTATTTTATATTCAAATAATTTAATATATAAATTTAATGCATATGTTATGTGTTTGTTCTTTGAAAATACAAGATTTTATTCTTTGACAATATGATTTAATAGCATTTAATTCAAATTAATTTGATAACTCTGTAAATGAGACTAACACTAACCTAAAGAATGAACAGCACAGAAGTGAACACACCATAGCTTTCAAAAATGTTCATTATTTTCTATTATGCAGCAGGAGAGAAACAATTGCTTACTGACTAGATGAGATTTTTCTGGAAAATGCTTATCAATTATGGAGTCCGCTAACCTCTGAAACTGGTGTTTCCATTAATCCATCCAATCAAATCAATGAGCATTGACTAAGCATTGTCCTAGACATGGAATACATAGCCAAGATGTCTGGCTGGAAAGGATTTATAGACTGGTGTAGACATAAATAATTAAACAGGAACTGTTTATGGTAATAAGTACTGAGATATAGACAAGGAAAAATATGAGGCTCCCATACCAGATGGGACAGTCAGTAAAGGCAGAAAGAAGTAAAGTTTAAATAAATTCATGAAAGAAAGTAGAGCTAGCATAACAAAACCTTCTGGAGAGTACTACTGCTGCCAAGTGAACTTTAAAATTTCTATCTTGCTTCAGTAAAAATAATTTGTTTCTAGTCTTAAAATCATATTTTAATACAACCTCAGGACACAGTTGTATCTGAGAAAATAGAAAGTTATGAATAAAGTAGAAATATTAAGCTGAAGAGTTTTTAGATGTTGAGACCATGTAGATATTAACTGAATATTTGTTGAAGAGAACAATAATGAATTAAGTTGTAAGATCTTTACTTAGTGCCATTGCATTGAAAAGTGTGTGAGAGTCATTCTCACAAAACATCACTACTGCTATTTCATCTTGTGCTCAAATTCTGTGCTGTTTTTCGAGGCATGGAATTACATGGTTGGTAGTAACTCAAAGATTTGCGGAAGGAAGTCTATGGACCTTCACAGGTCTGTGGGCTACCTTTCTAGAACAGGGTATATACAGTGCATATATTCACAACTCTGCTCTCTGGATTCATGACCTCTATTCTAAAAACTGCTCCAATCTATCTCTGCAAAATTTCAGTCCAACTTAACACCTCTCTTTATCTTTTGAGAGAAGAATCTGTTACATATTTTTAGAAGAAAATTATGACCATAAAATCAGATATATATATATATCGATATATCTATATCGATATAGAGATATCTATATCTATATCTATATTTTGTATCTACTCATATGATGTCTATCCAAGGTCTGTATTTGGCCAGTTTGTGTACACAATCTTGTAATCCACTCTATCTCTCTCTATTTTATTGTCATGAGGAATGGAAATAAAGAGTGAAGAGACTAGAAAAATAAATCGATACTCACAACAAATTTAATCACTTTGCCCCCCCAATAACAGAGTATGATTTCCTCTACAAAAGGAGGTTATACTGTTTTTAGGAGGAAAACAAGATGATGGCACTTAATTCTGTATTTATTTGCTTATAAACTCAACTACCTCAGAGAAAATCAGAAAATATGTTGCTTCGAAATAAATTTGTATATAGAATTTAAGTTCAATATTATGTTTCAGTGAAGTTAGCAAACACTAAATACCAAGAATGAAGAAAAAGACAGTGAAATGTTTAAGAGGAAATAATCTGCCATTGTCTAAGTCTGTATCTGAATGTTATCTGCTCCAGGTATCAGGGAGAGGCTGTCAATCAGCTCTATTGCTGGAATGAAAGAGTAGAAGGTACAGTTTAATTTTATTATGGAAATTGATTTGCATCTCTTATATTTCTTAATTGAAATCTTTTCCAGGTAATGGCATTGAAGAATACTCATAAAACTGCCATGACTGGGGTAATAACTATTATTATGATCAAATTTAATAAAAAAACTTGCCTGCAATATGGGAACTATGAATAATTCATGTAAACTGTTGCTTAAAATGTGATAGAGAGGAAAAGACTTGTAGAAAAAAACCTTAATGTATCCAGACAGGGATCATAATTGGTTTTTGCAAATAATGAATACTTCATGTACGAGCCAAGACTAACAAGGATAGAAGTGAAGACTCCACACAGAGGAAACAATTCCACATATTTGATTTTTGCAGCATAAGTGGGATAGATGGCTTCTTATAAAAGAACTGTCAGAAAATACATATCCAAAATTTATATTTCAGAACAACACAATGCTTCTTTTAAATAAACAAAGATTAGGGAAATATTTAAAACAAGCCTATATTCATACACTTGTGAATGGTCTATGAAAAAATTGACTTCAGATCTCAAGTTTAGTATTTTTCTATCTATATTTTTTAGCAGTCTCAGAGGCTTTGAAATTCAACTTACTCCTAAAGATTTTGCACACATTCAATATCAGAAGAAAGTCATTTTAAAAAGCTTTGTTTTTATTTACTCAGTAGATCGAATTTTTGCAAGTGTGTTTATATCTATAGCTACAATCAAATTTTTTTTGTTTGAGATTTATTTCAACTTAGTTTTGTTTATTTTAACTCTGGAAATCTCTTTGTTTCCTGCTTTTATTGGCTACCATCTGGTGGAAAAAAATTGTAATAGCAGAAAAAGGTTAAAATATATGCAATAAGACAAAGATTTTAATTTTAAATATGTTTGTCACAAAATACTGCTGATACAGGTAGCAAGCTTGATACTAAAATATTTTTCTTACCAAACCAAGTTTCATTATAATTATGCCTATTTGGCTCTGAAGCAATATGAGAATGTGTTTAATTGTTTATATATAAAATAGCTATCATACTATAAGATATTCAAAGAAGGTAGGGGCCAGTTTGCTTTAATTTTTTCCATGTCTGTTTGCCCTGGACACACTTGTTTTACATACATGGTTTCAGCATAACTATTAATAGTGCCTCCTTTCAGTTTCAAACTATACAGAATAAGAAAATGAATTATATAAAAGCATTAGTATGGTGCTCATGGACACACTATGCATTAAATATTTTTAATTCTTTTAATTCAGCATTTCTGCTGTTTTTCCCCATGTGTTAGGTAATTTGGCATAGATTCTCATAGAATTCTTCTTAAAGATAACATCAAAAAACCAAACATTTAATTATGAATTAAAATGTAATAGTTGATCAGTTACTTCAATTCTAATTATTTTGGAAGTATATTGACTAGTTCATTGCTTATAAAAATGGCAAGTTTTTTTTACATGGTTAATAAGTACAATGTGGAGTACAAACCAGTATTATTCGCTGATTTAACTCATGATGTCTTAATATTGATCTTCTTGCACTTTTGAGTAAATGGGCTGAGAGAATAATTTTGTTGCAGGTATAATGTGTTACTATATATAATAAAACCTACAATTAATTTAGGGCAAAAATAAAATTAAATGACATACATCCATATGTAAGTTATATATCACTTAGGTAAAATAATTATAATTTTGATGATTAATTCACTCTTGTCATTCTTGCCCACAGTGCTTCTTAAGATACAACTCTTAAAAAAGGGTTTATAGTCCTCAAAATTTATTTGTATTTATACTTTGAAAAAGTTATACATTTTAATATTTAAAAAGATTTTAAAATGCTATTATCAATATATAATTTTATTTGTTAACATATCTTAATGGTCCCAGGATTCACATAGCCAAACTTACTGATTAAAATCAACAAAGGTCATATTCTAATGTCATGTACTTGTTTATTTTATAATTTACAGTAAATATCTTCAAATACTTTAAAGTAATATGTCAAGAGAAAGAAACAAAACACAGTATTAAAATCTGTTGCAGCTAGAGTTGAGCATTCAGGTATACTTAATCACAAATCTGTTGTTCCAATTAGATTAATAATGTTCAATTTCTATTTAAGTGAATTGTTAACCTAGGTTGTTAAAAATGGAATTAACATTAGAATAGTTATGGTAGTTATAAAATTATTTTGAGTTTTAAAGTTTTTAAATCTGGAATCTTCCAAAGAGAAATGTAAAAATAAAACTATCTAGTTCCTTAAAAAATAAAAATCAATTTAATGAGGTCAAGTAATAAAGATGAAATCTGTTCCTTTATGTACATGCATTATATACTTTCCTCCATATAAGTGAATTCTAAGAATTTATATATACATGTAAGAAATGAAGTTTATCTACAAATAAAAACACACTTACATCACATAATACATATTTTTCCTTTGAAATTTGCATTCAAGAAACCTCATATCACATTATGTGCCCCTTTTAGCATATAAACTCCTATTTGGGATGGAGAAGTTTATATACCTATCAATAGGAAATGTTGGAAACTTATAGTTGATACGATTAAATCAAAATCATATTAAAAATTATTTGTAAAACCCATAACTCAACTCTACATACAGTGTGCTGAAAAGAAAAAGCCACACGGCCTTACCTATTCATAATTGAGCTATCCAAAAGCCTTTAGACTGAGATTTATAAATAAATTTTTCCTTAAGTTCTCAAATGATTGTTCAGATAATTTAGCCATTATTAATATATAAATTGATGGATCAATTTAAGCATAAAAGAGAGAAACAATGGCTATGGTTAAAATATTAAATGTTGGCATACAGACATACAAACATAGAGTTTTATTGGTTTTCTCGGAGATGCTAGGAAAATAATTTATTATTCTGAAAAGTGTTTAAAAAAAAAGAATCAAGCATTTATCCCTTCTTTTGTGTATTAAGTATTTTGTGGTAATCAAAGACTATATAAGAGAAACTTTCTTTTATGGAAATATTCCAGCCAATAAATCAATGAGGATCAGAATTAGAATATCACTATTTTGCAACTTTAAATTAATGTTTTTAGATAATTATCATTAATAACTTCAAATAAAGTAAAATCAAGAAAAGCAGGCTTTATGGCCTCCTAATGGAAGTACTTAGAATCTATTAAGCCTATTACATAAATTCTTTCTAAAATTTAACTAAATTTCTAGATCTAACAATCAATTCACAGAGAATACTGAGAAACATATTAAAAGACACCACAGGCTGGGTGCGGTGGCTCACACCTGTAATCCCAGCACTTTGGGAGGCCAAGGCAGGCAGATCACTTGAGGTAAGATGTTCGAGACCAGTCTGACCAACATAGAGAAACCCCATCTCTACTAAAAACACAAAAAGCTTGGCATAGTGGCTCGCGCCTGTAATCCCAGTTACTCTGGAGGCTGAGGCAGGAGAATCCTTGGAACCCGGACGGCGGAGGTTGCAGTAAGCCGAGATCGCGAGATCATGTCACTGCACTCCAGCCTGGGTGACAGAGTAAGACTGTCTCAAAAAAAAAAAAAAAAAAAAAAAAACCAAATAAAAAAATAAGACACCACAGAGAAGCAATAAGAAAAATTCGGACTGTGGGAAACTATGAGGAACAAATAACTTGACTTATTTACTTTCAGCAAAATCTCAAGGGTAAGAAAAAAGTTCAAAAGGAGGAAAAGATAAACATATGAAGAGAATTTAAGAGACTGGTTAATTCCAGTGTATCGATCTTATCTTTACCCTGATTCAATTAAATCAACTGTGTAACTTCATGAGAAAACTCGAGAAATCTGAAAACTCACTAGATATTTGCGTGCATTAATGTTATTTAAGTCCATTCATGATATTTAAGGCATTACTGTTAACCCTTCAAGGTAGTTTATGATATTATGATTATGTTTTTGAAAGATTGCTTGTATTTAAGGATGCATAAGAAATATACATAGAAGAATGATATATAATCTGGGTTTAGTTCCTTAATGTAAGATAGGGTTAAGTGATAGGGATATAGATAAAACAAAATTCGTTATAAACCTTTATTCATTGGAAGAAGATGAGGAATAGATACGTGATACATGGTTACATTATTATTTGCTCTTTCCATGCACACACATGTATCTGTATACATGTATAGTCATATATGTGTGATTATGTATGTACATATCATACATACACATATATATTTACTTCCATGTATGTATATATCTTCCCTGGGTGTTCTTAGTGCACTCACACTCCATTTAGATTCTTTTGTGAATGATTTTCTTTAATATACAATATGTAAGTTTAGCCCTAGGCTTTGTAATTTTGTCTATTGAGATAGGGATGCAGCACTCTTTGGATAATAATCTTTTAATATTTTGATGCTACTAATTCAAACACATGAAAAGAAGGAATTTATAAAAATTCCTCATAAAACAATGATTCATATAATTCTGTCCTAATGGTTTATGTATGAAACCTTTGAATGACAAAATATTTCATTGACTGGATCTCTAATATTTGCATAGAACACTCTGCTTAGTTGTTTCAGGGCTGCAATTATATCCTTTTTTATTCCTCAGAAATTACATTTTAAATCCTTAAGATGATGCAGTTCAGTGCATCCCAGTGTTGGATTTTGCAAGTCTTTTTATTCTTCAAATTATTACAGTAAGCTAATGATGGGAACAGCTAAACATCAGAAACCATGGAAACTCAATTGCTGGGCCAGTCACACTGATGTATTAGTTCATCTGTAATGACATTTGGGATGACAGAATTCTTCCCTGATGAAAGAACTACTGAATATTAGCCCTAAAAGCACTTTCTTTATCTACCTATTTCAGTGTGATATACATATTTTTTAGTTCAAGTTTAAGAAGAAATTATGCAGCAGATAAAATATAGAGCAATAATGAAAGTTGTGGGAAGCATAGCTTTGACTAGGCTCCTTTCTAAACTTTACTATGTTAATCTTTTATGCATAGAATGTGTGTTGCATTAAACAGGCTTGTATAATCAGTTTCTATGTCAACCAAGAAGCTGGCAGATTATATTGATTTATACAGGATGGTTTCCCAGGTTGTGACCAATTTATTAGACCTAATTATTATATTTAAATGACTGGCAATAGAAGCTGGAAAATAAGTGATAGAAGCTCACCATTTAAAATATTCTTACACTTCAAAGGCTATTTAGATGTATAATAATCCTTATGAAAATAATTGAGGTAAGTAAAATTGATGAGTGAATCCAAAGTACATATTAAGCTAATGAATTAAGAAAAAAATAACAATCATGATTTAAGCTTGAGGGACCAAACTGCTTTTTATCTGATATTAGGAGGGTAAAAAATATTTACTCATAAAACTATATTGAAAAATGATCTCAGTACATTTAAGAAAACATAGAAGCTTAAAATAAATAGCTCATATTACCATAGTATTTGTTATTTCCTCAAAACACGTATCTTTTGTGTTCTAAATTGCTATTTTTTAAAAAAAGGATTGTTTGTTAGTGACAAAGAGCAAACTATCGCAAGGACAAAAAAACAAACACCACATGTTCTCACTCATAGGTGGGAATTGAACAATGAGAACACTTGGACACAGGAAGGGGAACATCACACACTGGGGCCTGTTGTGGGGTAGGGGGAGGGGGGAGAGATAGCATTAGGTGATATACCTAATGTTAAGTGACGAGTTAATGGGTGCAGCACACCAGCATGGTACATGTATACGTATGTAACTAACCTGCACGTTGTGCACATGTACCCTAAAACTTAAAGTATAATAAAAAAAAGAAGTGGCAGAGAATAATATAGTTCTTCATCCAACATACACTGAGTTCTAAAAGATCTATGTAGTTTCCTGTTTTTAAGATTATAGATTGGGTTGAGGAATGGTTATAAAATGTGGCAAAAAGGGAGCCAAGAAAGTGATCAATTTTCTAACAAAGATTGGTATGACGTAAAAACACAAGCTATGTTCAGTGTAACTAATATTGGGAAAACACTAGTCATAAAAACTCAAGGATACGGAATCACATCTTATGGTCTCAAGTATGATTGCACCTGATGGCCTCAAGTGATGTGTTTTGCAAGTGAGATTTGCTGATCCAAGGATGATTAAGTTGCTTTTATAAAATTCAAATTACTTAATGAGGATGTTCCGAAAAAAACCGCCTGATCATCTTCTATGACACAGATCTTACCCATGAGAAGTGACCTCCATTATCAATTTTTAAAAAATGACAGACCATTTTGAAGCTGATGTTGATGTTAAGACTACCAATGATTATTTGCTTCATCTCTTCAGTGCTGGTTTTACTAAGAATTGCAACAATCAAATTTGAAAGTCCTCTTATGCTCAGCACACACAGATTCATCAAATCCGGAAGAAGAAGATGGAAATCATGATCCAAGAGGAGCAGGCAAGTGCCTTGAAAAAAGTGGTTAATAAATTAATTGCAGAAAGCAGTGGAAAATACCTAGAAAAGTTTGCAATCCATTTATTCTCTCCATGATGTCTCCTATAAAATAGAAAACATGTTGAGGAAGCCGAAGTTCAAGAATTGGGAAAACTCTTGAAGCTTTATAGAAAAGCAGTAATTTTGAAATGCTACTGAGAATGAGACAGGGGCTAAAGTTGAATGACTTGATGGATTTGAGTCAGCGGTCCAAGAGTCTGCTTAAAATTCAGATTTTTATTAGAGACAAATGAAGAGTTTTATTTAAGAAAGAAGGAAAGAAAGAAAGGAAGGAAGGAAGGAAGGAAGGAAGGAAGGAAGGAAGGAAGGAAGGAAGGAAGGAAGGAAGGAAGGAAGGAAGGAATCCTGTTTGGGAAAAAGACTTGAACTTAAGAGCACACATTCTTTTAAAATAATCCTTAGAAAATGAGAGTTACGTCTTTCAAATGATTACAAAATCCGGATTTAAACAAATAAAAAGTTGTGACTTACTTTCCAATTCCTCGAGTAAATTTTATAAGCAAAACATTTTATTTTAATTTAATTGTGTTTATTCATGTTTTCTGTAGTAATTCTCCATATTGGTTAAAAAAATCCTCACTATTTAGTGAGACTGTCTCCTATATTGACCCCAAGTATTCTACAGTTTTGCATTTTACTTTTCCATTTTAAAACTATCTCTAATTTATTTATAGGTGATAAGAAAAGAAACTTAAATTATTTTTGTTCCAGTTTTCAAATATGCCTGTGTGTATATGTACATACATACAAGGAGCCTTTAAGAAGTTTATGGAAAGTGTGTATGATGAAAAATCTATACGTGGATTTCAAAAATTTTTGCACCAAAATAAACTTGCACTAACTTGTTATACCATGTCTGAACAGGATCACAGGATCTAGTTTGAGGTACTAAGAAAGATAAGACATCAGTTTGAAAAAAGTCCCTATCAGAGCAACATGAATTCTGCTAAAATTGAAGCAGGAACAAATGTCAATATTATAATGGAGCTTGGGTGGAAGGAATGATGAATTTATTGATACTTTATTAAAAGTTTAAAGAACAATACCCCAAAGAAATAAACAGTTTACAAATAAATAACTTGTTTTAAGAAGGGATGAGAAAATGTAGAAGTTGAAGCTGGCAGTGGCAGACCATCCACATCAATTTGCAAGAAAATATTAATATCATCTGTGCCCTAATGGAAGAAGACCAGTGATTAACAGGAGAAACAATAGACATCATACACATTTCCATTTGTTCAGCTTACACAATTCTGACAGAAATGTTAAAGTTGAACAAAGTTTCTACTTGATGAGTGCCATAATTGTTATTCCCTGATTAGCTGCAGAAAGGAACAAAGCTGATGCAAAACAAGTAAGATCGAGATTCTGAAGCCTTTCTCAGAAGAATTGTAAAAGGAGATGAAACGTGGCTTTACCAGTATGATTCTGATGACAGTACATTGAAAGCAGTGACTACCAAGAGGTGGAAGTGGTTCAGTCAAAGCAAAAGCAGTTTGGTCAAGAGTAAAGTCATGGCAAAATTTTGGGTGGATGTTTAAGACATTTTGCTTGTTGACTTTTGGAAGAGCCAAAGAATGATAACATCTGCTTGTTGTGAGATATGCTCATCTCTCATCTGCTTATTTGAGAAAGTTTTCCAATGCTTTAACAGAAAAATGCCCAGGATGGCTTTACCAGAGTCATTCTCTACCACAGCAATGCTTCTGTTCATTCCTCATCAAACAAGGGCAATTTTTCTAGAATTTTGAAGAAAAATTATTAGACATCCATGTTACAGTCCTGATTTTTCTCTCTCTGACTTGTTTTTTTTTCTAATATTTAAAAATCTGTAAAGAGCACTCATTTTTCTTTGCAATTAATGATGTAAAAAAGACTACAATGACATGGCTAAATTCCCAGGACCGTCATCAGCTCTTTATGGATAGATTAAATGACTGGTATTATTGTTTACAAACATGTCTTGACCTTGATAGAGCTTATGTTGAGAAATACGGTTTACATTTTACACTTTTATTGTCTAATTCCATTTTTCCAGGAACTTTTTGAAGTCCCCTCATATTTTCAGGAAGCTTATTCTGTTCCAGTTGTCAATAAAATTATGCCATTCTTCAGTTTGAGCTTTTCCCCATGCAATTTAGAATCAGCTTGTTAATTTCTACAAAATATCTTTTGACATTTATAATAGAATTTCATTTTGTTTACAGCCCTATTCAGTAAAAATTGACATTTTTGTGATCTATCACTACATTCATTTACTTAAATTCTTTCAATATAACACTATAAACTTTTACTCAAATTTTGTAAAAACGTGTTGGATTTAATCCTGATTATTTAATAATTTAATCCTATTTTTCATGGCACATATTATAAAATTATATTTTCTGTTTACTGCTTGTTTGTGAGAATGCAATTGGTCTTATAAAAATTTGTATCTGCAATCCTAAAATTGTTGAATTGTATGTTAACTAAAGTTTTTTTGAGTTTTCTAGGTAAACAATTATATAACCCATAAATAACTTAATTGATAATGGTGATAGTGGGCAATCTTGCTTTTCTTCTTCTTGAAGAAAATTATTTTAATCTTTTATTATTTTTCGATATCTGGATGTAATTTGTTAGTAAATATATTTTAATATTTTAAGAAAATATCCTTCTATAAATAGTTGGCTAATAATTTTTAGTATGAGCATATGTTGTACTTTATGGACTACTGATTTTCTGTCTCTATTGAAATGAATGAGTTATTTCTTTTAATGTAGTAAACTATATTAATCTCTAATATTTAACCTACTGTACATTCCTGGGAAACATTCTTCTTTATCATTGTCATTGTTTTTAATGTATTCCTTGTTTGGTTAGAAAATATGTACTTGGGATTTTTTATCTTTGTTATTAAGATGGGATTGTAATTTTTTTTTATCTTACTGACTTGAGATACTGAATCGTACATACAGATTTTAGTGTTACCCTTATGCTGACCTTATAAAATTAGCTGATGACTATTTCCTTTTTTGTTGTCTGGGAAAAATAAATAGAAACACAATAATTCATTCTTTTAGAGTTTAATACAATTTTCAAGGAAACCAATCAGGGATGGCTGTTATCAGTATTAGCTTCTAACCACTGAAAACCAAAGGTGTTTTTTGTTTCCTTTCAGATTCAACTACTGTAAGTTTTAGATTTCATATAATTTGTTTAAGCATTAAATAATTTTGTTTCTAACTAATAATTTTTAATATCTGTAGCATCAATGACTATCATTTTTAAATTTATATTATTTCTGTAACTTCTCTTTTAATTTCTTAATTTTCCTAGAGTTCTGTCAATATTACTAGTGTTATACATAAAAGACTTTTGGGTTTGTTGGTCCTATCTCTTGAATCTCCAGTTTCTGTTTCATTCATGTCTTTTATTTTCTTGAGTGTTTCCTTCCCTCTCTGATTTTGGTGTACTGTTCCTATAGTAATCAGTGCTAGATTTTAGTAGCTACATATATTTACAGACTTTATTTCAATTTATGAAGTTATTTAGCACATATTTTTTTCCTCTGAGGATTACCATAGCCATATAGCATAAAAGGATTGAATTTTGAAATTACAACTTTGTAAAATTATTTACTAATTTATTTTTATTATATTAAGGACACAAATTGAGATATATCCTCTCAACAAATTTTTAAATGCACAATATGATATCGTTAAATATGTGTACCATGTTTTACAGCAGATACCTATTATTTATCTTACATAACTGAAACTTTATATCCCTTGAACAGCAATCCCTCGCTCCAATTCCCCCTACACACAGCCTCTGGCAACCATCATTCTTTCTCTGTTTCTATGAGTTTGACTATTTTAAATACCTCATGTAAGTGGAATCATGTGTTTGTCATTCTCTGACTAGCTTATTTTACTTAATATCCTCCATGTTCATCCACGTTGTCACAAATGGCAGGAGTTTCTTCTTTTTTACTAGTGAATAATATTCTATCATATGTCTATACCATACTTTATTTTCTTTATCCATTCATCCATTGATGAGAAGTTAGGTTGTTTCCACAACTTAGGTATTGTGAATAATGTAATAAATGTGGGAGAGTAGACATCTCTTCAAGATCCTCATTTTAGTTCTTTGGGATATATACTCAGAATTGCTGGATGACATGGTAGTCTGTTTTTAATTTTTTGAGGAACCTCCATACTCTTTTCTGTAGTGGTTGCATTGATTTACATTCCCACCAAAAGTATACAAGGGCTCCAAATTGTCTGGATTATTGCCAACACCTACGTGTTGTTTTGTTTTCTTTGATAGTAGTCATTTTAAGAGGTGGGAGGTGATATCTCATTATGGTTTTGATTTGCATTTTCCTGATGATTAATGATGCTGTGCATCTTTTCACATACCTGTTGGCGATTTCTATGTCTTCTTTTGGGAATTCTCTATTCAATTAATTTGTCCATTTTTTGCTATTGTTTTTCTTATTTTTTTCATAGCCACCCCTTTTTGGGTATATAGGCTGGAAATATTTTGTCCCATGATATTGGTTACCTCTTTGCTTCATAATTGCTTCTTTAGCTGTGCAGAACCTTTTTAGCTTGATGTAGTCCCACTTTATTTTTTCTTTTGTTGCCTATGTTTTTGGTGTCATGTCCAATAAATCACTGCCAAAACCAATGTCATTAAGATTTTCCCCTTGTTTTCTTCTAGGAATTTCACAATTTTACATCTTACATTTAAATCTTTAATCTATTTTGAGTTTACTTTTATGTATGGTGTAAAACAAGGGTCTCATTTTATTCTTTTCTATGTGGTTTTGCAGTTTTCCCAACACCATTTGCTGAAGAGATTATCATTTCCCCACTGTATATTCTTGATCAACAAACTCATATGCTGATCAAGTTTATTTCTGGGTTCTCTCCTCTGTTTCATTGGTCTCTTTATCAGTTTGAATGTCTGTACCTGCTGTTTTTATTAGTAGATCTTTGCAGTAGATTTTGAAATCTGGTAGTGTGATGCCTCCAGCTTTGTTCTTTCTTAAGATTGCTTTGGCTATTTGGGGTTTTTGTGGTTTCATCATAATTTTAGAATTGATTTTTCCTATGTCTGCACAAATTGCCATTGGGATTTTGATAGGTATTGAACCTGATCTGTAGATTACTATAAGCATATGGGTATTTAAAAAATATTGTCATCCAAAACATTAGCATGGAATGCCTATTTATTCATGTCTTCTTTAGTTTCTTTCATCAATATTTTGTGACTTACAATGTCCAAGTCTTTTACCCTCACAGTTAAAACTTATTAGGAAATATTTTATTCTGTTGATCTTTTGTACATGTGATTATTTTCTTAATTTTCTTTAGGATAGTTTGTTATTTATAAAAACAAAACAGATTTTTTTGCATGTTGAGTTTATGTACTACATCTTTACTGAATTAATTAGTTCTAACAGTGGTGTGATGGGGGATTGTGCGGGTGTTTAGGGTCATTAGTGTTTTTTATACATAAGATCATGCCATCTGTGAACAGAGGTAATTGATGATCATTTTACCTCTTCTTTTCCCAGTTGGATGTATTTTTTTCTTTTTCTCCATCTATTAAGGAGATGATGTGATTTCCATCTTTCATTTTGTTAATGTGGTGTATCACATTAATTGATTTGTGCTTATTGAATGACCATTGCATCTCTGAGATAAATCCCACTTGATCATGGTCTATGATCCTTTTAATGTGCTTTTTATTTCCATTTTCCTTTGTTGAGGATTTTCATATCTATGTTCATCAGAAATATTGACCTATTGTTTTTATTACTTGTAGTATCTTTAGTATTAGGATAATTCTGACCTCATTAAATAAAATTGAAAGTGTTCCCTCTCCCTAAATTTTTTGGAATTATTTAAAATGACTGGTATTAATTCATCTTGAAATGTTTGGTAGAATTCACCAGTGCAGATATCTCTGGCCCTGAACTTTTCTTTCTTGGGTGGTTTTTGATTATTTATTCAATCTCTTACTTATTACTGGTCTGTTTAGATTTTCCATTTCTTCATAATTCTTGGTAGGTTGTAAGTGTCTAGGCATTTATTCATTTTTTCTAGGTTATAAAATTTGTTTACATATACTTGTTTCTACTAGTCTCATGATCTTTTCTATTTCTGTGTCATCAGTTGTAATATCTCCTCCTTCATTTCTGATTTTGAGTTTTCACTTTTTTCTTAGTTACATTAGCAAAGATTGCCAATTTTATTTATCTTTTCAAAAAACGAACTCGTAGTTTCTTTGAGTTTTTATTGTTTTAATTTATTTAATTTATTTAAATTATTTAATTTATTTCTGATCTAATCTTTATTATTTCCTTCCCTCTACTAACTTTGGGCTAAGTTTATTCTTCTTTTTCTAGTTTCTTGAGGTCTAAATTTAGGTTATTTACATCATCTCCTTCTTCTTTTTTGTTGTAGATGTTTATCGCTATAAACTTCCCTCTTAGTACTGCGTTTGCTGCATGCCAGATGTTTTTGTATGTTTAATTTTCATTTTCTTGAGATATTTTCTAATTTCTCTTTTGATTTCTTCTTTACTCAGTGGTTATTTAAAATTGTGTTATTGAATTTTTATATATTTTGAATTTTCCAGTTTTCCTTCCGTTACTATTTTTTTTTTTGCTGTAAAGCTTCACCGCTACCTTGCCTGTCTTTGAGTATCACCAAGGCAATGACGGTAGCTAACTCTCTTCTCACTAAATCTCTGAATAAAGTCTCTTCTCTCATTTGGTTTGTCTTGCTTATTTCCACATAATTTATCTTGGAAAGATTCATCTCTTCCAGGGATTTTAATTTCTCAGAACAGTTTATGATATTAATTTATGAGGTTTTAACTTTATCTGATTTTTTTTTTTTTTTGAGATGGAATTTTGTGCTGGAGTGCAATGGTGCAATCTTGGCTTATTGCAACCTCTGCCTCCCAGGTTCAAGTGATTCTCCTGCCTCAGCCTCCCGAGTAGCTGGGATTATAGGCATGTGCCACCATGCCCAGCTAATTTTGTATTTTTAGTAGAGATGGGGTTTCTCCATGTTGGTCAGGCTGGTCTCGAACTCCCGACCTCAGGTGATCCACCCACCTCAGCCTCCCAAAGTGCTGGGATTACAGGCATTAGCCACCAGGCCCAGCCCCTGATTTTTTTAAATAAAAGTTGTTGAAGCAGAAACACCAGTAGACCATGAATTTCTGACTTATTTCTAGAAAAAGAAGTCTAGGTCAAATATTCTTAAAGTTTGGGACAGTGCAAGTGTTGTATATTGGCCAGTTGCTTTATCTACATGAAGCCCCGCTACCATCGCCCAAAGAAAAATTATTCTATGGGCACAGAATGATGTCCTTGCTTTACACCTTCAATTAAACTACTTAACCACAAAGTATCCTGGGAATTATATTTGGTGGTTTAGAGCAAGAGTCAGCAGGTAAGGCCCTCAGGCCAAATCCAGATAGCCACCTGCTTTTGTAAATACAGTTTTATTGGAATACTGTCATATTTTCTCTTTACATACTATCTATGGCTTCTATAATGCTACAATAGCAGAGTGGAATAGCTGCAACTGAAAATGTTCGGCTCACAAAGCCTAAAATATTTACACTGTGGCCCTTTATAAAAAATTGATGACTATTAGTTTAGAGTGGATATGTCAGATACTGTATTTTTCAGGTCAAGAATTTTCATTGGCTCTAACAAATAATTTTAATATCTCTTCTCATTGAGTTCATGCTTTCCATCAAATATTTGAACATATTTATAACAGCTCTTCTAATCTTCTTGACTACTAATTTCATTACCCCTGTCATTTCTGATTTTATTCATTTTGGCTAAGTTTTCTCCTCGTCATGAGTCACATTCTTCTGTCTGTACAGTGAGTTTTAATTGGATACTGGATATTCTAAGCATTATGTTGTTGAAAATCTGGGTTTTGTTATCTTCCTTTGAAGTGTGTAAGGATTTGTTCTAGTGGGCAATTTTGGGGAAGGGGCAACTCCAAATTAGGTTATATTTTGAGGTACTGGGGTCTAGAACTCCAACGTATGAGTTTTTGGGAAAGACAATTCAACCTGTATCACAGGGACAATTGATCAAAGGACCCACAGGCCAAAAATGCCTATTTTTCAATTATCCAGATGTCTATTTGAAGCCTGTAACAGGTAGATTTAAGACAGGAGCTGAATAAGATTGATTTGAATAGAGCAGAAAACACAAAATAATAGTAGTTTAAAAAATGTGTAAGTTCACTTTTCTCCCATGTGAGGGAAGCCCAAGGCTGGCCTGGAGTCTTTATAGATATCAGGGACTCATCTTCCTCTTACAGTTCTATCATCAACAATGCCACTTCACATTCCAAGAGGTCTGCTAGGACTTTAACAATCATGTGTATATTATCTGGCTGCTTCCTAAGTAAGTCCAGTTTCTTTAAACATTCTTCTTGGGAGTCCTACAAAATACTTCTACTTATATTTAACTGACCAGAATTAGATCAAATGAATACTGCTAGCAGCAAAAGAGCCTACAAAACACAGTATTTCAGTTGGGTATGATACCTCTCCAAATAAAATTGTTTGCTATTAAGGAAAAAATGATACGTGGGGATAACTAGAAATCTCTGCCACATTTGCCAAGGATTGATGGCTGATTTATGAAGAATGGAGAAGTAACACCCTCTCAACAGACTTGAAGTCAAGTAAAAGATATTATTTCATTAGAGAAAACAGAGAATTTCCCAGGTTCTTCAGAGATTAGTCTTTGTGGTAATTAATGGTGCTGGTAAGAGTTGCATCAGCCTCACTTACCAATGTGAAAAGATAAATGTTTGAGTTCACCTTACCACTGGAACTCCAGATGTGTTTGGAACTATTCTGTTTCTAAAGTTTATTAGTCAGTAAGATAGGAATAAAAAGGTCTGCAAACCAATGTACAAATCCATATTATCTATGACACTACAGTGAGGAAATGAATTAACACTAAGAGCTCTAGGCCATGCTCAATATAATATAGGTTCGGATGTGTTAAATTGGATTTCCTTATAGCCAGACTAATAAAAATTGTGTTACTACAAGTCACCAGTTATCAAGTCTACCAAGCATTGTGCTAATTATCTATTATCTAATTACTACTTCTATTAACTCTTCATGGTAAACATTACATCCTCATTTTACTAAGTAGGGCATTGAGATTTCAAGAAATAATTTAATTTTAATGGCGGCCCAATTAATAAGTGACAAACTTGGGATTCATAGCCACATTTGTCTGACATCAAAGGCATTATGATATGATAATTATATAAGAAAGTAGGTAATTAAAAGACATTGTCTTAAAAATCAGACAATTGGAGCTAAATCAGGTTTCCTGAGAGACACATGTCATGGTTTTCAGTCTGTTCATGACATATTTGAAAAAGGCAATCAAGTAAAATAGAAATGTGTATCCTAGAGAAGGTCTTAAGGGAAAATAAACTGTCTTAATGATTTAATATTCTACAATATTGAGGAGGCAATACTCCATTCAGTATAAGCTCAAGAAAGAATGAATTAGGGAAACAAGGCCAGTGGATTTTGTTTCAAGGACTTTTTTTTTCATCTGAGCTATCCATGGATACAACTGGTAACATCCTGAAATGTGACTTTCTAATGTCAACAGAAAGTATTTAAGCAGAGATACTTGAGATTTCTCTGTCATCTGAGTGAATGGTTGGCTTAGATGCATTTGAGTATCCTTACAGTGGGTTGAACTGTGTCTCCCAAAAGGTACATAGAAAACCCAACCACCTTTATCTATGAATATGCCTTATGTGAAACAGGATCTTTCAGACATAGGTTAATATTGAACTCATAATGGATTAGGATAAGCTTTAAATTCAATGACTGGTGTTCCAATAAGAGATAATTTTTTTCCTGTGTTTGTTGGCTTTATATGTGTTCTTTTGAGAAGTGTCTGTTCATGTCCTTTGCCCACTTTTGTTTGTTTGTATGTTTGTTTGAGAGCCTCGTCCTGGTTGACCTGGCTGGAGTGCAATGGTGTGATATCAGCTCACTGCAGTTTTGACCTCCTGCTTTGCCCGCTTTTTAATGAGGTTGTGCTTTACTTGATGATTTATATAAGTTCCCTATACATTCTGGATATTAGACCTTTGTTAGATGCATAGTTTGTGGATATTTTCTCCCATTCTGTAGGTTGTCTGTTTGCTCTGTTGATAATTTCTTTTGCTGTTCAGAAGCTCTTTAGCTTTTTTAGGTCTTACTTGTCAACTTTTGGTTTTGTTGCAATTGCTTTTTGGGACTTAGCCATAAATTCTTTGCCAAGACTAGTGTCAAGAAGGGCATTTTTATAGTTTGAGGATTTAAACCTTTAATCCATCTTGAGCTAATTTTTAGGAAGGGGTCGAGTTTCATTCTTCTGCATATGGCTAGCCAGTTATCCCAGCACCACTAATCATCAGAGAAATGCAAATCAAAACAACAATGAGATACCATCTCACACCAGTCAGAATGGCTATTATTAAAAAGACAAAAAATAACTCATGCTGGCAAGGCTGCAGAGAAAGGGTGCATATACACTGGTTGGTAGGAATAAAAATTAGTTCAGCCACTGTGGAAAGCTGTTTGATTCTTCAAAGAACTTAAAATAGAACTGCTATTTGACCCAGCAATCCTATTTCTGGGTATATACCCAAAAGGAGATAAATCATTCTACCAAAAAGACACATGCATGCGTATGTTCGTCATAGCACTATTCATAATAGCAAAGACATGGAATCAATCTAAGAGGCATCTATCAATGGTGGATTGAATAAAGAAGATATGGTACATACATACCATGGAATACTACACAGTCATAAAAAGAAGGAAGTTATGTTCTTTGCAGCAATGTGGGTGCAGCTGGAGGCCATTATCCTAAGCAAATTAACACAGGAACAGAAAACCAAGTATCACGTTCTCACTTGTAAGTGGAAGCTAAACATTGGATACTCATGGATATAAACATCAGAACAATGGACACTGGGGATTATTAGAGCTAGAGCAGGAGAAACAGAGGTGGGTATGGGCTGAAAAAGTACCTGTTGGATACTATGCTTGCTACCTGGGTAATGGGATCATCCATACCCCAAACCTCAGCATCACGCCATATACCCATGTAACAAACCTGCACTTGTACCCCATGGATCTAAAACAAAAGTTGAAATTACCTGTTTAAAAAAGAAGAGAGATATTTGGAGACACATACACACACAGAGGAAAGCTGGCCATGGGGAAACAGAGACAGAACTTGCAGTGATGCAGCAAGGAATGCTAAGGATTTCCAGTGATTACCAGACCTGGGAGGAATCAAGAAAGACTTCAATCCTAGAGTCATCCTACGGTGCGTAGTCCTGATGAAACCTTGTTTTCAGACTTCTGTCCTCCAGAAATGTGAGAGATAAATTTCTCTTGGTTTAGGTAATCTGGTTTGTAGCACTCTGTTATGAAGCACTGGGAAGCTAACACGGTGCCTTTCAAACCTGAAAATCTACTGTTGGCTCTAAGGAGAAAAGGCCTCAGCAAAGAGAGTCCTGAAATAGGGAGGATTCCAAGCAGGCAGCCATCTTAGGTTGGTCCATAAAAAAAAAGTGTTCTTTTATCTTATGCAGAGGGAAAAAAATGAATGAGAGCAATTAAAGAGAGAGAAATAATGTGAGCCCATGACCAAAGGTTAGAATAGAATATGATATGAACAAGGAGGAATTAGGAGACCAGTCTAAGAACTGGGAGAGCTAGTATGACATTATTGTTTAATAAGCCTGAGGTGATTAATTGTGGAAATTACAGATGGCATGCAGTTCACTATGGGGAATTCAAACTTTAACGGGTTTGGAGGACTGAATGAAGGATTCACAAAGAAGTATGTACAGAAAGTGAGATGCAGGATTAGTTTTGAATCACCTGAACAATTGGCTTAAGGAGCAGTAATTTAAGGTTATTGTATTGAAAGATATTCTGGAAGTATTCAGAAGGGGGAAAGTAACAGGAATTATTGATAAAAAAAGAAAAAGTTTGAAGCAGAGAGAGAGAGAGACAACAAAGGTGACTGCATGTTTTGATTCATTAGGGAAAGGGAAATAGTATACTTTCTGTTTAGATCTGTTGTCTCTATAGAGGGTTTAGGAACTAAATATTCTAGACTTTGTAGGATATGAGGTCTCTGTCACAACTACTTAATTCTGCCATTGAATACAATGGCAAAGAAATCTGATTTTTCAGCTTTAATTTATTTTTTCTGGGCCACCTAATAATTTGCCACTTCTTGATCGAAGTGGATTTTACAGACACCCATTTGATGTCCGGAAATCTTGAAGTAAATAATGTTGTTGCAATCTGTAAAGTCCACTTGGCATTGTTTTAATTATTTCAAATATTTTTCATGTTGAGATAAAATTTAATACATCTGCTACTGTTGTTATATTCTTTAGGCAATTGATAAAAGAATATTTTGAGAAATAGCCAGGTATTAATGCAGATAGAGGAAGAGTAGTTCTTCCTGAATGTTTTTTTCAAAAGGAAACCTAACAGTTTCTATAGTAGAAAATATCAAACTGTACGAGTCAGAGTGAATACATCTGTTCTTTCCTTTTGGTAATAGGATTGCATTTTTAACACCTTTTTCATGATTCATCTCATTTCAGATGATTGCTTGTAAGCAAGCACTTCTGAATTCATCTAGATCATTTCTGATGCAGGGCATCATGAAGGACTCAATTAAGGATGGAAATGCGCCGTTCTATTTTTGCACATCCTACACAAAATTTAAACATAAACTCATAACTGCCTACAAGGTCCATAGTGTAAGAGCATCTTTGTACACCTGACATTTTGTCAAGAATAACATCCATTTTCTATCACTGCATGTGATTACTGAGATTTGTGTTTGCTGACAATATGATTTTTTACCTCAAAAACCCTAAAGACTCCCCCAGAAAGCTCCTAGAACCGATAAAACAATTCAGCAAAGTATCCAGATACAAGATTAATGTACACAAATCAGCAGCTTTTCTATACACCAATAGCGACCAAATGGAAAATCAAATCAAGAATGAAACACCTTTTTTTCTTTATTCTTATGGAAAGGACTTTATTCTTTGGTAATTGAAAATCAAGTGAATATGAACAGTCTGATACTCAGAAAATAGTTTTGTGAAACACAGGCTGTAAACTATCTGAAACATTTATATTTAATTTTACAAAACCTTTTTCTGGGCTACTAACAAGAGACTGAATAGTGTGAGGAAAGAGATGTGTCTACATGTCTTACATCATTGTAAATACTTGACAAAACATTTGTAAACTTAATTTATGTGAAATTTGTAGCAAGACTTTAACTGGATTAGTGTACACTTCAACTTGAAGTTGAATTCAAGTGTATCAAGCTGATGCTTTCTTTTGGCAAGAAATCACAATACTGATGAAGTTGGGAGTGGAAGGATTTCACTGCATTCACCTCTATAAAATGTGAGGATCAAAAATGTGGAAAAGGTTTTTGAGAATCAAATGTTGAATATGAATTCTTTGAGTTACTGTATTGCTAGGAAGTAATCAGATAAAACAATTATTTTAGGGTTAAAGATTATTCCTCAAGTTGAAAAATTTTATATTTAAAATATTATGCACATTTTACTTAAAATAGATTTTTTAACTTAGTAGCTTTCTCCAAGTATCCTATTGTTCTTTATAAATATAATCATAAATATCATTCTGTGTCCGGAATTGTTGGGTTCTTGGTCTCACTGACTTCAAGAATGAAGCCGCGGACCCTCGCGGTGAGTGTTACAGTTCCTAAAGGAGGCATGTCCGGAGTTTGTTCCTTCTGATGTTCGGATGTGTTTGGAGTTTCTTCCCTTTTTTATTTATTTATTTATTTATTTATTATATTGTACCTTAAGTTTTAGGGTACATGTGCACAATGTGCAGGTTAGTTACATATGTATACATGTGCCATGTTGGTGCGCTGCACCCACTAACTCATCATCTAGCATTAGGTATATCTCCCAATGCTATCCCTCCCCGCTCCCCCCACCCCACCACAGTCCCCAGAGTGTGATATTCCCCTTCCTGTGTCCATGTGATCTCATTGTTCAATTCCCACCTATGAGTGAGAATATGCGGTGTTTGGTTTTTTGTTCTTGCGATAGTTTACTGAGAATGATGATTTCCAATTTCATCCATGTCCCTACAAAGGACATGAACTCATCATTTTTTATGGCTGCATAGTATTCCATGGTGTATATGTGCCACATTTTCTTAATCCAGTCTATCATTGTTGGACATTTGGGTTGGTTCCAAGTCTTTGCTATTGTGAATAATGCCGCAATAAACATAAGTGTGCATGTGTCTTTATAGCAGCATGATTTATAGTACTTTGGTTATATACCCAGTAATGGGATGGCTGGGTCAAATGGTATTTCTAGTTCTAGATCCCTGAGGAATCGCCACACTGACTTCCACAATGGTTGAACTAGTTTACAGTCCAACCAACAGTGTAAAAGTGTGCCTATTTCTCCACATCCTCTCTAGCACCTGTTGTTTCCTGACTTTTTAATGATTGCCATTCTAACTGGTGTGAGATGGTATCTCATTGTGGTTTTGATTTGCATTTCTCTGATGGCCAGTGATGATGAGCATTTTTTCATGTGTTTTTTGGCTGCATAAATGTCTTCTTTTGAGAAGTGTCTGTTCATGTCCTTCGCCCACTTTTTGATGGGGTTGTTTGTTTTTTTCTTGTAAATTTGTTTGAGTTCATTGTAGATTCTGGATATTAGCCCTTTGTCAGATGAGTAGGTTGCGAAAATTTTCTCCCATTTTGTAGGTTGCCTGTTCACTCTGATGGTAGTTTCTTTTGCTGTGCAGAAGCTCTTTAGTTTAATTAGATCCCATTTGTCAATTTTGGCTTTTGTTGCCATAGCTTTTGGTGTTTTAGACATGAAGTCCTTTCCCATGCCTATGTCCTGAATGGTAATGCCTAGGTTTTCTTCTAGGGTTTTTATGGTTTTAGGTCTAACGTTTAAGTCTTTAATCCATCTTGAATTGATTTTTGTATAAGGTGTAAGGAAGGGATCCAGTTTCAGCTTTCTACATATGGCTAGCCAGTTTTCCCAGCACCATTTATTAAATAGGGAATCCTTTCCCCATTGCTTGTTTTTCTCAGGTTTGTCAAAGATCAGATAGTTGTAGATATGCGGTGTTATTTCTGAGAGCTCTGTTCTGTTCCATTGATTTATATCTCTGTTTTGGTATCAGTACCATGCTGTTTTGGTTACTGTAGCCTTGTAGTATAGTTTGAAGTCAGGTAGTGTGATGCCTCCAGCTTTGTTCTTTTGGCTTAGGATTGCCTTGGCGGTGCGGGCTCTTTTTTGGTTCCATATGAATTTAAAGTAGTTTTTTCCAATTCTGTGAAGAAAGTCATTGGTAGCTTTATGGGGATGGCATTGAATTTGTAAATTACCTTGGGCCATATGGCCATTTTCACGATATTGATTCTTCCTACCCATGAGCATGGAATGTTCTTCCATTTGTTTGTATCCTCTTTGATTTCCTTGATCCCACAGAAATACAAACTACCATCAGAGAATACTACAAACACCTCTACGCAAATAAACTAGAAAATCTAGAAGAAATGGATAAATTCCTTGACACATACACTCTCCCAAGACTAAACCAGGAAGAAGTTGAATCTCTGAATAGACCAATAACAGGAGCTGAAATTGTGGCAATAATCAATAGTTTACCAACCAAAAAGAGTCCAGGACCAGATGGATTCACAGCCGAATTCTACCAGAGGTACAAGGAGGAACTGGTACCATTCCTTCTGAAACTATTCCAATCAACAGAAAAAGAGGGAATCCTCCCTAACTCATTTTATGAGGACAGCATCATTCTGATACCAAAGCCGGGCAGAGACACAACCAAAAAAGATAATTTTAGACCAATATCCTTGATGAACATTGATGCAAAAATCCTCAATAAAATACTGGCAAAACGAATCCAGCAGCACATCAAAAAGCTTATCCACCATGATCAAGTGGGCTTCATCCCTGGGATGCAAGGCTGGTTCAATATAGGCAAATCAATAAATGTAATCCAGCATATAAACAGAGCCAAAGACAAAAACCACATGATTATCTCAATAGATGCAGAAAAAGCCTTTGACAAAATTCAACAACCCTTCATGCTAAAAACTCTCAATAAATTAGGTATTGATGGGACGTATTTCAAAATAATAAGAGCTATCTATGACAAACCCACAGCCAATATCATACTGAATGGGCAAAAACTGGAAGCATTCCCTTTGAAAACTGGCACAAGACAGGGATGCCCTCTCTCACCACTCCTATTCAACATAGTGTTGGAAGTTCTGGCCAGGGCAATTAGGCAGGAGAAGGAAATAAAGGGTATTCAATTAGGAAAAGAGGAAGTCAAATTGTCCCTGTTTGCAGACGACATGATTGTTTATCTAGAAAACCCCATTGTCTCAGCCCAAAATCTCCTTAAGCTGATAAGCAACTTCAGCAAAGTCTCAGGATACAAAATCAATGTACAAAAATCACAAGCATTCTTATACACCAACAACAGACAAACAGAGAGCCAAATCATGAGTGAACTCCCATTCACAATTGCTTCAAAGAGAATAAAATACCTAGGAATCCAACTTACAAGGGATGTGAAGGACCTCTTCAAGGAGAACTGGAGTTTCTTCCTTCTGGTGGGGTTCGTGGTCTCGGTGGCTCAGGAGTGAAGCTGCGGACCTTCCCGGTGAGTGTTACAGCTCTTAAGGCAGGGCGTCTGGAGTTGTTCGTTCCTCCCGGTGGGTTCATGGTCTCGCTGGCTTCAGGAGTGAAGCTGCAGACCTTCGCGGTGAGTGTTTCAGCTCATAAAGGCATTGTGGACCCAAAGAGTGAGCAGCAACAAGATTTATTGCAAAGAGCAAAAGAACAAAGCTTCCACAGTGTGGAAGGGGACCCCAGCGGGTTGCCACTGCTGGATCGGGCAGCCTGCTTTTATTCTCTTATCTGGCCCCATCCACATCCTGCTGATTGGTAGAGCTGAGTGGTCTGTTTTGACAGGGCACTGATTGGTGCGTTTACAATCCCTGAGCTAGACACAAATGTTCTCCACGTCCCCACCAGATTAGCTAGATACAGAATGTGGACATAAAGGTTCCCCAGTCCCCACCAGACTCAGGAGCCCAGCTGGCTTCACCCAGTGGATCCTGCACCGGGGCTGCAGGTGGAGCTGCCTGCCAGTCCCGTGCCGTGTGCCCGCACTCCTCAGCCCTTGGGTGGTCGATGGGACTGGGCGCTGTGGAGCAGTGGGCGGTGCTCGTCAGGGAGGCTGGGGCTGCACAGGAGCCCACGGAGGTGGGGGGGGAGGCTCAGGCATGGCGGGCTGCAGGTCCCTAGCCCTGCCCCGCGGGAAGGCAGCTAAGGCCCAGGGAGAAATCGAGCGCAGCACCGGTGGGCCGGCACTGCTGGGGGACCCAGCACACCCTCCGCAGCCGCTTGCCCAGGTGCTAAGCCCCTCATTGCCGGGGGCCGGCAGGCCCTGCCGGCTGCTCCGAGTGCCGGGCCCGCCAAGGCCACGCCCACCCAGAACTCCCGCTGGCCGGCAAGCGCCGCGGGCAGCCCCGGTTCCCGCTCGCGCCTTTCCCTCCACACCCCCCTGCAAGCTGAGGGAGCCGGCTCTGGCCTTGGCCAGCCGAGAAAGGGGCTCCCACAGTGCAGCGGTGGGCTGAAGGGCTCCTCAAGTGCCGCCAAAGTGGGAGCCCAGGCAGAGGAGGTGCCGAGAGCTAGCGAGGGCTGTGAGGACTGCCAGCACCCTGTCACCTCTCAATTCTACTTGTATAAAAAGGAAGATTCTAGACCTTCAATAGTAAGGCAAAATTAAACAATGGGTATATGTATTGTTTCACAAAATATAATTAAATTGTCCACATGTGGGTATATTATTTCACTGATAATATATATAGAATTTCCTTGTAAATTCTATGTTTGCCATGTATGCAGTTGAGGACATGGTACATTCTACTGAAATAAAAAGACAAATGGGATTTTCTAGATATGTTTTTTAATAGTCAGTTTGAACTCCAAAACTTTAAATTCTCAAACCAGTAATTATTCCAAAAGCTATGATTACTAATAAAAAAGTAATGAAATCGATTTGCAATTTTAGTCTAGAGTTTCACATGAGAGATATTAGGTAAGTAATCCAAGCCATCATTCTTTCCCAATTCTACTAAGAATTAAGCATTAATTAATTAAACAATTAATCAAATATTTATGGAGTCTTTGTTATGTACTGTACATGGCCTTGGAGATAGAAAAGATGAATAAGATGCATCCATGATTCCAAGGACTATGTGGCTTATTTGGGGACACAGATGTAGAGTTGGGTAATTACAAAGCACAGTAGTGCATGCAGTGAAAGAAAGATTCGGGGAACATTGGCCCTTGGAAAAAGAGTACAGAAGACAGATTATTTCCATTTCACCATT
Organism: Homo sapiens; assembly: GCF_000001405.40. Lineage (NCBI taxonomy): Eukaryota > Metazoa > Chordata > Mammalia > Primates > Hominidae > Homo > Homo sapiens. The sequence goes on along the minus strand of NC_000006.12, from coordinate 141,617,368 downwards.
TTATTACTTGTCTTTTCATGTAACAAACAGACTTCCCTGTTTGCTGTAATACAGCACTCCCAGCTGTCATATTTACCATCATCTATTCCAAGTTCCGCTCTGAGTTCCATGGCCCTGGTTTTCTGGCAATTTACAATTAGATGTAGAGAAACAAGGAATGCAAGGGAGCATAATTTGCAGGGCCCCTATTTTAGCCTGCTAAGACAGACTGCTACAACAAAATTTTATAGACTGGGTGACTTAATTAATAGATCATTACTTCTTGCAGTTCTGGAGTCTGGGAAGTCCAAGATCAAGATGCCAGCAGATCTGGTGAGGGGTCTCTTCCTAGTTTGCAGCTGTCTTCTCCTTACGTCCTCACATGGTCTTTCCTTGGTGCTTGCATGCTGAGAGAGAGAGAGAGAGAGAGAGAGAGAGAGAGAGACCTCATGCCCTCATGTCTCTTTCTTGGTTCATAAGGGCATTAATACCACCTTGAGGGCCCTGCCCTCATGACATAATGTAACACTAATTACCTCCCAAAGCCCTGCTTCCAAAAACCGTCATAGTGGGGATTAGACCTTCAACAATTTGAAAGGACACAAACATTCAGTCCATAGCAGCCCCTCACTCGCTCATACATATTCCATAGGCCTAGTACTTTTGTAAAGCAATTTTCTTAAGGGGGACCTACAAATTGCATATGATTCCAATTACATAAAACCTGGATTCATCCTTATAATCTGGTTCATAGGCCTATATTTTATTTTTCCTATGGTTTAAATATTGTTTCTAATATGTGAACTATGTAATACATATTTAGTGAAACCTGAGATTTCCACAGGTAATATTTTAATCTAGCCCCCATCATAGGCAAAAAGTATGATATACAGTGGTAGCTCAGAAAGGAGGGAGAGAGATAGATTTGTACAAAGCTCTTTTCTTAAGATGGTCAAAATACAGAAAGAAGGACCATTAAATTCCCTGAAATAGAGGAATGGCCTAGTATTTTAATTTCTTTGCCACTCTCACTTTTAGAGCGTAAATATAAAGGCACAATACCCCAGAGTGGTGGAGAAGGTAAATTTCAAAGTCCATTCTATTTATGTGTCTCCTTACATGCACTTCCATGATCGCTGTCTAATGAATCCATCATTAAAACACCATTAATTAGAAAAATAAGTGATAAGCAACAGAAACACATACATCATTTTAAACATATTGGAAAGCCACCCGTAATCAATTATGTATTAGTAGGACAAGAATGAGCAATCATTTCTAAATAATGTTGTTGCATTAAGTTTATCTAATAGTGGCACTCTACCTTAATCAATCCTAAATTAGATCATTAGTTAATTAAAATAGCTATTAATTAAATACTCTTGATTTTTATTTGTATCATGAGATAAAAATTCCTAACAAAATTCCGTTTGAAGATTGGATACATTTAAAAATTCCTGTTTTTTAATTCCACTGCAATGGAGACAGCTCATTGTAAAAAGAAAGGTTTTATAAGATGTTGCCATCACAGTTCACTGGTGGCAATGTTGTTTGAATTATGGATCAGAATGACAATCTAATGGTAAAACTTCACGTTATGATCAGTGAGTGGTGCAAATTGAGGGTTACCATTCCTATTCAGGGAATATACACTTCTAGAATATTAGAGCTGCAAATATTCTTAGACTCTCCAAATGGAATACCTACATTTTGGAAGTGAGTGCACTAAATTCCCTAAATGCTGTAGTTTGCCTAAGATCAAAGACTTACCAGTTAAGATGAGGCAAAAAAAAAAAAAAAAAAAAAAGCAAAAAAAAAAACCCCACATAATTCCTTAATTCCAACTTGTGTTTTTAGTAATGTATCATTCAACCCCTTACAATATCACATTTAAAAGGCTTAGAAGTCACTCTTATTTGTCAACACAGCCAAGCAAACTCCTCCTTGGATGTTGGATTTTAACATTGGCTAATGTAGCAGCATGACGGTTTTATTTCCTACAGAGGACTGAGAAAGTTGTTAATGTCTACAAAATCTAGATGAGGTCTTGATTCTACCTTGAGCCACTAATCTTTCACTGACAACTATAAGAAGGTTCATCACTCTCTAAAACAGCATGCTTTCTAGAGATGTCCTGTTAAGTTGCCAGGCAACAGATACCTTAGCTTTTAGGTCCTAAATCTGGGGAGAAGGCATTCAATACAGGAAAAAAATGAACACCCTGAAAAAAGAAAGCAGCAATTATACAGTTGGACTAACAAAGGAAAATTTACTATTTATTGAAAATGCCCTGGGTATTAATAGGCTTTACAATATTTTAAAAATAATGCTATAAATATTACTTAATCTTATATGTGCTCAATTATATAATTTTCCATTTTTTACAGTTTTCCTTTAAATGAAGAATAGGAATCTTTTCATATAACAGGAAATACACTTAATTAACTTTCTCAGCATTGTAAAATATACTAGTTTTTAGACAGATATAATTAATTTCAGTGGCATTATAAATAAAACATCTGTGAGGAACAATCATATTCTGACAAAGAATCAAAGAGTTAAATGCCCCTTAATTTATTGAATTTGGCAAACCTCCCAAGGCTTTTACTCAGTTTATGTTATCTGCCAGGTGGATGCAAACTCACTCTATAAAAAGAAATTAATTTACTAAGGTATGATGGACCTTTTCTTTTCTCTATTTTGCTAATTGAATATTCGTCACATAACAAGTGCCGCTAATTAACTGATTATTCCATTTACTGGCAAATAATGAACTTGCGACACCCATCAAATAAAGCAAGAGTTGAAAAATAATCAAATTTTTGTTTGGTTACTACTGCTCAGATAAATTTTTAAATCTTCAGAGCATACAATGTATTTCACTGTAATGAATCCTTATTTAGTAACTATAGAATTTAAGCTTAATCTCCAGGAAATGGAGGTTTTAGGTTAACAATTGATCTGTGTAACAAAATATGTGATCTTTGTAAGTCTATGTGTTTGGCTGAATTTAATAGTTTGATGAAATTAACAATGTGAGCATCTCCTCAATTTTTATTTAAGTTGGGTGTTTCATTTGGGAGATATTTTAACAGAGTTTGTTTTAGGAATTTTAATTATTTATGTTGATATTTACCAATGATGCTACTTAAATATTTTAAAGTCTAATTGATAAAGTGATTTATGAATTAAAAATATTTAGCATGTGTTGTAATCATTTTTATATTATCACAATGGTTTCCCATGTTAAATATTTTTGGCCAAAAATAGTAAAATGATTGGCACCAGAGAGACCAATTCTGACCATCCTTTGTAGAAATGCAAACATGCACTGTGCACACTCTCGTCCCCACCCTCATCATACAGAGAGGCTAGGATAAGACTCCTTACTGAAAACAGGTGGATGAAGTGAAAATCTGGGTGCTAAATGGTGAGAGCACTGGTTTCTTTACTCCACTGGGTCCAGGATTTTTTTTCTAGGCAAGAAACTGGAGAATATGAAAGTCTGTGAAGAAACTGATTGGCCTAAGAGAAAAGTCTTACCAATTCCCCCATTTTGAAATGTGAGAATAAAGTTGTCAACCTCCCATGGTAGTGTCCTTGAGGGAGGCCCACCAATAAAAACAGGACGCACACAGACTTTCAATCACCAATTTAGTGTCTATAAACAGAGAGTGAAGGGTCACCACAAATTGAGGAAATAATCCAAGATAAAATATCAGAATAAAACCAACAGATAATAAGAAGGACATGGAGAGGGAACAGAAACAATGGTAAAATAGAGATATACTGAATCATAGTGGGAGAAGGGGATATTATATGTTTTGGGTTAAGGGGTTGGAGGAAAATATTTAGAGAGGATCTAGTTCTGAGAATGTTAAATTCCAGTTTTCCACAGTAGAATGTAAATAGTTGATATTTAACATTTAGAACTAAGGAAGAAGTGTCATAAATATATTCTTCAGAAATATGAATTAATACACCAGGAAAAAGAAAAACAAATAAACAAACAAAATAACCAGCTCAAGTAGTTGAGAGTGGTTGCCTCAGAAGGCTGGTCCATGAACTAAATTCTTTCTGTATATCTATTTTGTATGGATGATAGTAACATAAAGAGGAATGCTTATCATTAATTGGTTTTAAAGTATGTAATGGAGACTACCAGACATAACTATCCCATCAGAATTCTAGATATGAATGATAATTGATGTAGATATATTCTAATGGTTTTAAGGTTGTATTTGAGGAAAACAGGGAGTATATGGGAGGTTATATCACAACTACTTTCCCTTCTGAGGAAGGCAGGAACTGGGGAGAAAGATATAACAATTAGCTTTCTAAGTGTCCCTGGAGATCACTGAGCAGCACAGAGGAAAGAAACTCTGGATTCGAAAGAGCTATCAAGTAGAGAAAGAATGAAATCTAAAGACAGATAATCCTATCATGTGGAGGAAGATATTATCCATCAAGGTTTCTGTCTGGAGATATGCATAGAGGTGGTTCAGTGAGATTCTGATGGCTGGTAACTTTCAGTTCACAACATGTCAGGTATTCTGGCTCTGTGAATCTGCCGAAGACAGTTGGGGTTGGGGTGGTCTGCATCTAGTTGAAGTGAGCTCCTCATTTGTGCATTCCAGGTCTAGCAGCATCCTCAGAACATACACTGGGCACTCTGAATATTCTCTGGGAAGCATCACTTGCCCATGCTTAAATACATCACTAATGAGAGGAATAAAATCACTGCGATAGGTTTAGGCTGGTCAATATTTATTCATTGTGGCTGGAAGCAAAGCTGTCTTTTCTAGGAACATGGTGTTTCATGCAAGGGAGGGGGGATGATGCTACCTCTTTATAGGGGGTCAGCCACTATTATATCTGTAAGTAGTTATAAGTTTGTCTTCTACTTCAAGTATTTATAGCTCTTATTTCGTTTTTCTGATCATATGAAACTGGCCTAAGAAGTTTTGGACAGCATTACAAAATGGTAGAGGTATTATTTTGTTTCTGCTTTTTACCTCTGCACATCAGGTGCCTGTATGTAGTTCCCAATTAAAACAAAATTTAAATTGATTTGACTTAATAAGAGGTTTTTATTTTTTAAATTAAGGATGAGTGTTAAATTTTACTTTTTATACTTAACAATTTTTCAAGTTTTCTACTCTACATATCATTTGTTTTTGTGCTGTTAGTGTAGAAAGATTAATAGATTTGTTTCATTGAGAAACAGTCTACTATTTCTTGGATGATTATGTATTAATCATGGTATATTATTCTATAAATGCACCTCAATTACTAATATTTCATATTTAGAATTTAGAGTTTATATTAATATTAAGGATTGGACTGCATATTTTTTCTTTTAAGGTACACTACTTATAGTTTTTAATATCAAGATTATTCTATTATCCTAATTTTATGAAAAAGAATTGTTATTTCTGTGTCTGGAAAAGTTTAAATGACAAAAGAGTTATTAATACCTTCAAAGTTGAAACACCTTGCCAGTAACACGGTATGGGCCTGAGGCCTTTTGAAAGTATTTCTTAGAAAATTTCAACAATTCCTTTCACAGTTATTGTTCTGCTCATGTTAGCTAAATTTTATTTAATTATACTGTGTATGCTTTCCTGAAAAGCTATTTTATCTAGATTTTAATATATTGTTGTAAAGTTATATAATGTAGCCAATAATTATTTTATTTTTTTCCTATATGTTGATCATGTGCTTGTTCTTGTTTCTAAATTTGTGTATTTATATACTAATTTTTGCTTGGTTAAAATAGCTAGAGAAATATAGTTTAGTTGATCGTATTTCTCAGCCATTGTTTTTTGTTCTTATTTTTCTAAAAATGAGATTTCAAAAACTTTCAAACAATATGACATTTCTCTAAAATTGTCTTTGTAGTTTTTATAGTTTTTAAAAATATATTTGATTTTATGATAAAGGAACAGCTAAAAAACCATGATGTAACACATTTAAGGACATGGCCTGTGGATATAGACTGTCTGGGTTCAAATCCAAGGCCTTCTACTTACCTGCTCTGGAACTTTGAAGAAGTTACTTCATTACCTCTGTCTTCCTTTTTAAAATTCGGAAATGGCTTTTATACTAGCACCTACATTTTAGGGTTGGCTTTGGAGAAATTAATACATATAAAGAACTTTAAATGGTACTGACACATGTATGATTTTAAAAATATTTAAAAAATCAAGACAGTTTAGCTTAAATGCATGTTGCAGACTTCATCAATATAGTGATCCTCTTTGTCCTATTTACTGATTTTTTTAATCTTCAGAACACATTCTGTCTAATACTTATATCTTTTGTTTTTTGTTAGCACCGTTTAATTCCTTACTCATTCTTCAGGGTTAACCCAAGGCAACGGAAATCTGGCCATCTGCTGGTCCTGGACTGCTACTGCTGGAATTCAAATAGGAATTCCCCATGAGTAAAACTAAAGAAAGAAGACTATGCGATATTGTAAGCTATTGTTTACACATACTTGACCAGAATAAGTGAGAGAAGTCACACAACAAGAGAAGCTGGGCGGCCCCTCAAGGGCACAGGCTCAACGTTTTCCACATGAGTAATATACTTCCTCTTTGGGACATTTCTTCTCTGTCTGTACCATAGCTCCTCAGGAGACTTCAGCATCTGTAGACCCACCACTAAGTACTTCTTATTTCTCCAGAGAAACAGAAGATATGGCAGCCTGAAAGTTCTGGCAAGAGTTGGTGTTGCATTTTTGAGTCTGAAAGCATTTTGGAGGCAGGATTTGTTCCTCTTTGGGGCTTTAGTCTTTCATCTAAAGGCCTTCAGCTGATTGTATAAAGCCCACCCATATTATGGAGAGTAACCTGCTTCATACAAAATCAACTGATTATAAATGTTAATTACATCTTTAAAAAAGTGCCTTCACAGCAACATATTGGCTGGTGTTTGATCAAACAACTGGGCACCATAGCATAGTTAACACATCAAATTAACCATTGCAGATGGGATTTTTGTTATTACAGTGCCATTGATCTCAGGTGTGGAGTTTACTGCTAGGGCTATTTAGACTGGACTCTGTGTACTGGGCCTGTGATAAGACCTTTAACCCAATCTGATCAAATCCTTTAAAGTTTGAAATCTTCACTCTTGTGGCTGAGTGTAGCACATTTAACCATTGTGCCTATTTTCTCCATCTATGATGACTGACACTCTGGAATCTGAGTAACAAGTTGTATTTTTCCCCCGAGGATACCCGAGGATATGTATGAAATATTATGTAGAAATAAGAAATAATGCAATAAAGTAATGCAGGTATGTTTGGAACAAATATACGCTACCCTATATTGGAATCCTCAAAATTAAATTTTATAATTTTTAATTAGCACATTAATTTTAAAAAATTTAATAAAATTAAAAATAGTACCATTACACTCTTCATTTTATTAATACACAAAAGTTTTTTAGCAAAGTTAATCAGAAAATGAATTAAAGGTAAATTGTTGAGGTCATCAAAAGAAAAGTCTGAGAAACTGTCATAGTCTAGAGAACCTTAAGGAGACATAGGAATAAATGTGACATGGGAACCTGGAAAAAATCCTGGAACAAAAAAAGGACATTGGTAAAAACTAAAGAAATCTAAATAAAGTATGGATTTCAGTTAATATGAAAGTACCAATACTGGTTGATTAGTTGTGACAAATGTACCATAATAATGTTAACAACAAGTGAAACTAAGTGTGACATATATATGAATTCTCTATAATATTCTTGCAACTTTTTTGTAAATCTAAAACGATTCTAAAATATTTCAAAAGTTTTATTGAGGAAAAAAATGTTGAATTTTGCTTCCAGCTATAATAGAGTAGTAAAGATTAGATGTAACCTCCATAATAAACAGCTACAATATGAGAAAAACATACATTAAAGAAAACATTTTCAAACATCAAAAAACTGGCAGCACAGTGATCCCTGAGAGCAGAGAAGAAAAACAAGTGAGGTAAGCCTATGAGTCCCTGGCTTTTCTGCCTGGAGGCAACTTCTGGATTCCAGGCACATAAAGAAGAAGCCCAGAGATCTATAGCCTCATTGAAGTGAGGAAATGAAGACTGAAGTTTAGGGAAGTTGAGGCAGCAGATTTACAGGGCAGTATGACAGAATGTTGAGGCAGCAGATTTACAGGGCAGTGTGACAGAATGGAGAAAGCAATGTGGAAAATTAGGATCCAGAAAATGGAAAAGGTATTTCTTTCTGTCCTTCTGAATGGGATGCCTTACATGTGCTGAATGAAAGTTCACAGAGTCAGCAATGAGCCACTAAGGAGTTGTAAGTTCAAGAATTATCAGATCTCACAAAGTTGAGGAGCTATTTGAGCACAGTATTAGTCCATTTTCAAGCTGCCAATAAAGACATACCTGAGACTGGACAATTTACAAAGGAAAGAGGTTTCATTGGACTTATAGTTCCACATTGCTGCGGAAGCCTCACAATCATGGTGGAAGACAAGGAGGAGCAAGTCATGTCTTAAACGGATGGCAGTAGGCAAAGAGAGAGAGCTTGTGCAGGGGAACTCCTCTTTTTAAAACCATCAGATCTCATGAGACTTATTCACTATCACAAAAATGACTTGTCCCCGTGATTTAATAACCTCCCACTGGATCCCTCCCACAACATGTGGGAATTCAAGATGAGATTTGGGTGGGGACACAGCCAAACCATATCAAGCACTAGTCAGCCAGAGGAGAGAATCCTCTCTGATCACCTGGAATTGAGAAGAGACTCCAAGTGGATCATACCTTCCCAGTACAACTAAAATATCACTGGAGTGGAGGCTTCTCCAGGCTTTCTTTAGAAATGCTTTTAAAGCAGAACTCAAAAGAGTCAAACTCATCTGCAATTATTGCTTGCCAAAACGAAGCTTGACATTTTTTATAGAAATAATAAAAAACATGCAATTTTCATAAAGTTAAGCACCTAATAAAAAATCTCCATGCAAAAAGAAAATGGCGGATAGGTGGCAGGACTAACTTGCAGCTCCCACTCAGGTGGACAAAGCAGTATGTGGAGACTCACGTCGTGAACTTTTACTCCAGGAACTACTGCAGAAACATACCAGGAAAGCCAAAAGAATTCACAGACCCTTTGAATGATGTGGATTTCCTCTGTAAGCTCTGTGGAACAGCCAAGGAACTGCGAGTTGGCTTGCTTCTCAGTTATGAGACTTGTAGCCTGGGGCAAGTTCTGAGCCCTGGTCACTAGCTTCCTGAAAAGAAACTCAGTGCTATTAGGGGGGCACAAAATGAGTAAGACCAGCCTTTCAGGCTGCAGGCTGTGTGAAAGCTGGGTGAGGCCTGTGGCTGCTGGCTTTCCCTCAGTTCCCTGGTGATCTGTGTGAGGCAGCAGAGGCAGCCATAATCCCCCTGGGAACATAGCTCCATTGGCCTGGGAACCACACCCCCAAACCTGGCTAACACTGGCCCCACCTGATGGTCTTTCTCTACCCATCCTGGTGGCTGAAGACAAAGGACATAATCTCTTGGGGGATCTAGGGCCCTGCCCACTGCCTGAGAAACCTGAATGCTTACCCAAAGGCAGATCTGGGGAAAGCTTGTATCCTACCACAGCTGATGAGCTCTTCAAAGTGCCACCTCCTGGCTGGAGGCCAACCAACACAAAATCAGTTCACTTAACAAAAATACAGCCAAGGACCCTCACAGAGTCCACTTCACTCCCCTGCTACCTCCACCAGTGCAGGTGTTGGTATCCATGGCTGAGAGACCTGAAGACAGACCACATCACAGTACACTTTGCAGACACTCCCCAGTACCAGCTTGGAGACCAGTTGCTCTGCTAGGTGGCTAGATCCAGAAGAGAAATAGCAATCACTGCAGTTCCACTCTCAGGAAGCTCTATCCCTAGGGGAAGGGGGAGAGCACCATATCAAGGGAGCACCCCAAGGAACAAAAGAATCTGAACAGCAGCCTTGGAGTCCTAGATCCTCCCTTTGAGTAGTCTATCTAAACGAAAAGGCATCAGGAAAACAATTCTGGTAATATGACAAAACAAATTCTTTAACAACCCAAAAAGATCACAGTAGCTCATCAGCAGTGAATCCAAACCAAGATGAAATCTCTGAATTGCCAGAAAAATAATTCAGAAGGTCAATTATTAAGCTAATTAAGGAGGCACCAGAGAAAGGTGAAATCCAACTTAAAGAAAAAAAAATTATAAAGGATATGAATGGAAAAATCTCCAGTGAAATAGATAGCATAGATAAAAAAACAAGCACAACTTCTGGAAATGAAGGACACACTTAGAGAAATGCAAAATGCACTGGAAAGTCTCAGTAATAGAATCAGACAAGTAAAAGAAAGAACTTCAAGCTTGAAGACAAGGCTTTCCAATTAACCAAATCTGAAAAAGACAAAGAAAAAAGAATTTAAGAAATGAACAAAGCCTCCAAGAAGTCTGGGATTGTATTAAATGACCAAACCTAAGAATAATTGGTCTTCCCAAGGAAGAAGAGAAATCTAAAACTTTGGAAAACATATTTGAGGGAATAATCAAGTAAAACTTCACCAGCCTTGCTAGAGATCTAGACATCCAAATACAAGAAGCTCAAAGAACACCTGGGAAATTCATCGCCAAAAGATTATTGCTTAGGCATGCAGTCATCAGGCTATCTAAAGATAAGACAAAGGAAAGAATCTTAATAGCTGTGAGGCAAAAGCACCAGGTAACCTATAAAGAAAAACCTATCAGATTAACAGCAGATTTCCCAGCAGAAACTTCACAAGCTAGAAGGGATTGGGGTCCTATCTTTAGCCTCCTTAAGTGAAACAATTATCAGCCAAGAATTTTGTAGCCAGCAAAACTAAGCTTCATAAATGAAGGAAAGATACAGTCTTTTTCAGACAAACAAATGCTGTGAAAATTCACCAATACAAAGCCAGTGCTACAAGAACTGCTAAAAGGAGCGCTACATCTTGAAACAAATCCTTGAAATACACCAAAATAGAATCTTTTTAAATGATAAATCTTATGGGACCTATCGAACAGTAACACAATGAAGAAAAACAAGGTATTCAGGCAACAAATGGCAAAATGAATAGAATAGTTCCTCATATCGCAATACTAGCATCGAATGTAAATGGCCTAAATGCTCCACTTGAAAGATACAGAACCACATAATGGATAAGAACTCACCAACCAGATGTCTGCTGTCTTCAAGAGACTCACCTGACACATAAGTAATCACATACATTTAAAAAAAAGGGGATAAAAAAAATATTCCATGCAAATGGACACCAAAAGCGAGCAGAAGTAGCTATTCTTATATCAAACAAAACAAACTTTAAAGCAACAGCAGTTAAAAAAGACAAAGAGGGATATTATATAATGATAAAAGGACTACTTCAACAGGAAAATATCACAATCCTAAATATATATGCACCTAACACTGGAGCTCCCAAATTTATAAAACAATTACTACTAGACCTAAGAAATGAGATAGACAATAACAGAGTAATAATGGGGGACTTCAGTACTCCACTGACAGCATAGACAGATCATCAAAACAGAAAGTCAGAAAATAGAATCAAGGAACTAGATTTAAACTATACCCTAGAACAAATGAACTTAACAGATATTTACAAAACGTTCTACCCAATAATTGCAGCATATACATTCTATTCATCAGCACAGTGAACATTCTCCAAGATATACCACATGATAGGCCACAAAACAAATCAACAAATTTTAGAAAACTGAAATTATATCAAGTAATTTATCACACTACAGTGGAATAAAATTGGAAATTAACTCCAAAAGGAAGGCTCAAAACCATGCAAATACATGGAAATTAACTAACCTGCTCCTGAATGATCATTGCGTCAACAATGAAATCAAGATGGAAATTAAAAAACTTCTTTGAACCGAATGATAACAATGAAACAACTTATCAAAACGTCTGGGACACAGCAAAAGTGGTGCTAAAAGGAAAGTTCATAGCATTAAATGCCTACATTAAAAAGTCTGAAAGAGCACAAATAGACAATCAAAGGTCATACCTCAAGGAACCAGAGAAACAAGAACAAACCAAACTCAAACCCAGCAGAAGAAAAGAAATCACCAAGATCAGAGCAGAAGTAAAGGTAATTGAAACAAACAAACAAACATACAAAAGATAATGAATTTTAAAAGTTGGTTATTTGAAAAGATAAATACCATGGAATACCACTTAGCCATAAAAAGATACAAAATAATGACATTCACAGCAACCTGAATGGGATTGGAGACCACTAATCTAAGTGAAGTAACTCAGGAATGGAAAACCAAACATCGTATGTTCTCACTCATAAGTGGGAGCTAAGCTATGAGGACACAGAAGCACGAAAATGATGTAATGGACTTTGGGGACTTGAGGGGAAAAGTAGGAGGGGAATGAGGGATAAAAGACTACACATTGGGCACAGTGTACACTGATCAGTGATTGGTGCACCGAAATCCCTGAAGTCGCCACTAAAGAAATTATTCGTTTAACCAAACACGACCTGTTCCCCAAAAACCTACTGAAATTAAATAAATAAATAAATATCTCTAAGCTTGCCAAGTAGCAGAATATTGCGACTCAAAATCAGTCATTTTTTAAAACCCAACAAATATAGACCCCAAAATGTTAAAGATGATGGAACTAGCAAAAAATAATTTTAAAAGAGCTATTATATTTTTGTACAGATATGTAAATGATAATATAAACGGAAAAGAAAGAAATGGAATGCACACAAAAAAGACTTAAATGAATTTTCCTCTGTTATCAGGAAAAAGCCAAGAATGTTTACTCTTGCTGTTTCTATTCAGTATTGAACCGATTATTCTAGCTAGTGAAATAAGGCAATAAAAAAAGAAACCTAGGTATACACTTGAAAAGAAAGAAGTAAATAACCTTTATTTGCAAAAGACACAATTGTATATGGAAAAATTCTAAGAAATCTAATAAAGGCTGCTGGAACTGATAACTGCCTTTAGCAAGGCCACAGAACACAGGAGCAATTTTAAAAATCATTTGTTTGACTATATATCAGCGAGAGACACAATTTTGAAAATGAACAATACCATTATCAAAAACATCAAAACATGAAGTATTGTTGGATACAATTAATAAAAGTTGTTTAACAATTTTACAATGAAATCTATAACTCACTAGAGTAATTAAGGATGGCCTAAGTAAATGGATACTTTTACCATGTTCCTGTGTTGGAACATTTAAATGTGGCAATTTGACACAAGGTGACCTGTGGATCCAACACAATGGAAATCAGTAGATATTTTATTTCTTTGTAGAAAAACCAACTTGTCAAAAATATGTATGACAATACAAATGTTTTAAAATAGCCAAATCAATTTTGAAGCAATAAAATGGCCACATTTCTAGGACATAATTTGGCTGGTTTTAGAATTTACTATAATGTTACAATCATTGACACATCTATGTCAATCAATTTTTGACCAAGGTAGCAAGGAAGTTACAAGGAAAGAAGGAAAATCTTTTCAATAACTGATGCAGAAAAAACTAGATATCTACAAATATTTTAAACAGGGAATCTTTACTTTTACCTTATGTTATACACAATAATTTAACTTAATATGGATCACAAACATGAACTCAAAGGCTAAAATTGTAATATTTATAAAAAACAAACCAAAATACTTGGGAGGCTATTCTTTTATAATTGACCATATCTTAGGCCAAAGAATCATGAATCAACAAAATGATAAACCGGACTTCATGAAAATTAAATATATACCTTAAAGTATATACATAAAATTTGTACATATAAATATTTACAAATGATGCATCGATAAACTTTGTTTTAGAAAACGGTACTAAATACAAGGGAAGATTTATGTTAATGTGATCATTTGTGGAAGATCATTTGACAATGTGCATCAGGACCTGAAATATCTTCATCCTTATTTGTGTATTATTTCAAATTCTAGAAACTTATCCTAAAGAAATAAAGCAGAAACACTAGAAGGCTATTCAATATGGTATCACTAAAATAGAAAAAAAGTAGTTTGAATGTACATGTATAATAGGAAAATCTGCTTTTGGTATAATGTTTTTAATAAAAAATAAATAAGTAAATAATTCAAATATAGAAATGTGTTTAAAGTATTCTATATTATACTTTTCTTATCCAATAAAAACATGCATTTCATGAAAAGTTGGCAAAATATATTTAAAAATTACCTGTAATATGACTCCTTGGATATTAAGACTACTAACAATTTTCTGGAGCTTTTTTGTAGCAAATTATATAAATGATACAGGATGGGTGTGTATGTATGTATGTAAATGTGTGCTTTTCATATTCTATTTCTTAAAATATTAAAAAGTCTTACGGAATATTAATATGGGTTATTTCTAGGAGCTGGGAATCTTAGTGATTTTTATTTAATTTTTTATCCATTTCCATGTTTAAAAAATAAAATGTGCAGTACTAGTGGAATAGAATACAGACATAAAGATGAAATGATATACCTTCATTAAACAATAATATAGAGGAATTTTGTCAGATATGCATATTTTATGTATATAAATACATAAAGTACATTTATATGTTTTGGGTGCTATCAGAAATAGTATTTCATTTTAATTACCAAAATGTTCCAGTTGTTCATTGTTGGTGTATAAGCATATGATTGACTCATTCATACTGACCTTTTATTCATTGTCCCTATTATGCACACATTACTTCTAGGAGCTTTTAAAATAGATTCCTAGTTATATTTCACCTAGAAAATCATGTCACATTTGAATAGAAAGTTTTATTTCTCTTTTCTAATCTGTATGCCTTTTATCTTTTTTCCTTGCCTTATTGCACTATGTTTTCTAGTGTGATGTTAAATAGTAGTGGTGAGAGAGCACATTTTTACTCTATTTCTGTCTTGAGTTTAAAACATTCATTCTCTCACCGTTACTTATAATGTTAGCTATACGTTCTTTATAGATCTCATTTATTAGGTTAAATAAATTTCTTTCTTGGCCAGGCATGGTGGCTCATGCTTGTAATCCCAGCACTTTGGGTGGCCGAGGCAAGTGGATTGCTTGAGCTCAGGAGTTAAAGATCAGCTTGGCCAACATGGTGAAACAACCCTATCTCTACAAAAACTACAAAAATTAGCTGGGTGTTGTGGCGCCTGTCTGTAGTCCCAGCTACCTGGGAGGCTGAGGTGGGAGGATTGCTTGAACCCAGGAGGCAAAGAGGCAGAGATTGCAGTGAGTTGAGATTGCACCACTGCGCTCCAGCCTCGGTGACAGAGCCAGACCCTGTCTAAAAGAAAAAAAAAAAAGAAAGAAAGAAAGAAAAGAAAAGAAATTCTAGGTTGCTAAAAGTGATATTTTTCTTTCCTTTTCACAGGAATGAAAATTTTGTTGAATTTTGTTGAAAGATTTTTCTATATCTATTAAAATAATCAAATGGTATTTTTCTCATATACTACATAAATATGTCAAATAACATTGATTAATTTTCAAGTAATAATTCAGTCATATTCCTGAGTGAATTCCATGTGGTCATAATTTATTATCATTTTTATATATTGCTGAATTCAATTTAGTAATATTTTGTTAAAAACTTTTGTATCTATGCTCATGATGTTTATTGGTCTTCTGTTCTTACAGTTTTGTCTTATTTTGGTATTAGAACAATACTGGTATCAACTGTTGCCTCCTCTTCTATTCACTGGAAGTGATCTGTAGAATCGATAATATTTCTTTTGACAAGATGCATCATAAGCTCTTTTCCTATTTTTTTTATTTGTATAAATTTAGGGGGCACAAGTGTGGTTTTATTACATGGATATATTGCATACTGGTGAAGTCTAGACTTTTCGTGCAACCATTGTCCTAGTAGTGTACATTGTACCCATCAAGTACTCTCTCATTCCTCACTCCCCTCTCACCCTCCTATCCTTCAGAAGTCTATTATTCCACATTCTGTGCATATGTGTATATTATTTAGCTCCCAAGTACAAGTGAGAACATGTGGTATTTGACTTTGTCTCTCTATTTTATTTCACTTAATGACTGCTCTATTAAATGTTTGGTAGATTTTAATACCAATGTTTGGTAGACCTGCAACCTTCCAGGTCTTGGTGATGTGGTTTGGCTGTGTCCCCACCCAATTCTCATCTTGAATTGTAGTTCCCATAATCCCCATGTGTCACGGGAGAGACCTGGTGAAAGGTTATTGAATCAGGGGGGTGGTTAACTCCATCCTGTTCTCATGATACTGAGTTCTCTTGAGATCTCATGGTTTCATAAGGGGCTTTTCTCCTGCTTAACTCTGCACTTCTCCTTCCTGCCATCATGTGAAGAAGGATGTGTTTTCTTCTCTTTCTGCCATGATTTTAAGTTTCCTGAGGACTCCCCAGTTTGCTGAACTGCGAGTCAAATTAAACCTCTTTCCTTTAAAAATCACCCAGTCTTGGGTCTGTCTTTATTAGCAGTATGAGGACAGACTAATGCATTGGGTTTTTTTTTCTTTTGATAGAACATAAAATAAAAATAGGAATTTTTACCTAATGTATTTTGAAGATTTGTTCAGTGTGTACATGTCTGGGATTATTATGTCTTTTCAGATAATTTACTCCTTTATTATGATGTAATGTGGTGACTTAACACTGACAGTATTTCCTGTTTGGAAGTCTATTATTTTTTTTTTCTGTAGATATATAACTTTCTTTTAATCAATGTTTGCATGTTATAATTTTCTCCTTTCACTTTCAACGTTTCTTTTTTATTAGATCCTTGTATCATATAGATTTGTTATACTTCTGTTGATGATCTTTGTCTTTTAACTGGTTTGTGAAGACCATTGACATTTACATTTATTATAGGAATTCTTGTTTTAAAATCTATCATCTTGTTAGCAGTTCCTATTTTTTACTTGTCCTTTGTTCCTTTTTCAGTCACAGTTATTTTAAGTGCTTGTTCTCTTTCAGTGTGTGCTTTTTCTTGCTGTATTTTTGTTTGTTTGTTTGTTTGTTTGTTTGTTTGTTTGTTTGTTTGTTTTTCCCAAGATGGATTTTCGCTCTTATTGCCCAGGCTGGAGTGCAATAGTGCAATCTCAGCACACTGCAGCCTCCACCTCCTGGGTTCAAGTGATTCTCCTGCCTCAGCCTCCCGAGTAGCTGGGATTACAGGCACCCGCCACCACACCCAGCTATGTCTTGCATAAGATAGTAGATACTAACGTAAATGATTTTTATGCTTGAAGATTAGTGAGTGCACCATTCCTTCTGCTAGACCTTTAGTAGCTGCACTGAGTTATGCTGTGCTGTTCTTATGCATATTCTCAGCATACCACAGGATTAAAGTTCTTCTAGTGATATTTGGTTTAGGGTGGAGACTGGGTTTCAGAGGTCATTTTCTCAATTTCTGCTTCCCTCCTGAAGGAGCGTCTTCTTTTTTCCCCAGATACAATCTTTCTCCTTCAACTCTCCCAGCTGTACTCTCCTATTATTTTTAATCAATACTAGTTGGCCTGATGGTGGGGGCTCTGCTAGAGTCTAATTCTATGTTCTGATGAATCCTCCATCTTAGGAACTGGCTCTCAGGGCACATTTACACACGTACTTCCTTCGCTTGTGGTGCTAGGCATAGTAAATATTTCTGCCTTTTGGTAGGTAGATTTTTTTTTTTTTCACTTTCCTTCCCCTACTTGTACCTGTGCCCAAAGGTGAGTTTTTTAAAAAAAATTCTTCTTCCTTCATGGAAAGGCATGTGGTCCATAAAATAAATATAGGAGACAGGCCTGTTTTATATTGGTAATGATTGCAGTTCCTCCTTTCAACGAATATCAAAAGAAAAGCTCCCTAAAAATTCTTCCTCATAAGCCCCAAAATACCTAGTGGGGATCATGGGAAAAAGGCAAGCAAAAAGATGCAGACCTCCTTGTATCTGTGGCCTCTGGAGGTTTCATATTTAGTGTATAGCAATTTTTTTAAGTCAGCTATATTTTCTTATTTACTTCTATAAAGTCCAGTGATGTCTGCAGCATCTGAGCAAAAGTTTGGATCCTGTTTGTCTGCGCAAGCAGGTGTCTTTCTCTAGATTTATGGTTATTTGGTTGCCCTGAGACCTCAATTCTCTGGTTGGCTTTAGAAAATACTATAATTTGCAGTTTATCCAAGTTTTGTTGTCGTTGTTATAATACTGGGGACCACACTATTTACAGCTCTTTACGTCTCTAAGATTCAGTATGTTTTTTTTGATTGTGTTCACAAATTTTTTTAAGTTATAGTACAAGCTAAATTGATACATTAATAGCATTAACATTATTTAGAGAACAAATAAGAAAAAGAAGTGAAGAAAAGAGGAATTGTGGTGCTTTATGGAACCTAGGAAGAGGAATAAAGATTAAAATATAACTTCTAAAGTTTTCTATAATATTGATGAATAGAATTTCCACTAGTAACTATGAAAATATTTTGTTCCAGTCTTTGTAATTCAGAATTATAATAATTTATTTCACTGTGGCTAGTTATTAATAATAAACTTGTACTGCCAGTAAATGTTAACTGATGCCTGTTTTTCCCTTTGAAATGGAGAAAGAAACTGAATGAGTCATGAGCATGATAGAGAAATTCCTCATCCATATAGCACATTTAGCACCATTCTCTCATAGGATCCTGTACTGAGAAACAGATATCCTGGTCACCTTGAGAGACAATGTTGTACACTTTCATTTTTGTCCTAAGGCAGTTTCTATTTTTATAGTTTTACCCAACATCCATCTGGCTTTAAACTGGGACACCAACCCTCTGATAGTCTTGCTCAGCATCCTGATTTCCTTTTCCTGAGTAGCAAAGAACAATTGTAAATTTAACCTTCCACTGCCTACATCAAAGTAATCATATATGGTGATCACTTTTTAAACTGTGGTGCAGTTTAATTTTCAATAATATGAAATGGTCAACAAACCAAGATATGACATACACTCTGTCTATGTTCTCATGAGTTGTTTACATAAAATTTGAAACTAGAGGTCCCAGGATTTTGTTGATGTACAAGAAGTACAGGCTCAGTTTAAAAAACATGCTACAGATTTTCAGCCTTGAAAATGGTGTTTAGGGCACAGGAATAATGCACTAAAGCTCAATGCATATCCCATTATTTTTCTTTCTGTTTCTCTCTTTTGTCTTTTTTTTCTGGCCAAAATCTTATCATCTGAATTACATTATAATGAAAACTATGTCTATAATATACCAGATATAATGTCATTCATTTTAGAACAAATAAATCTAGTGAGATTATTGAATTTATGGAAATTAGTCAAGGCTTTGCTTCTGATGTTGTCTCTACCCTGTTTGGGTGTGTGAGCTTACTCTCATGATCAGATGAAAAGTATATTTAAAGGGAAAGAAACATTAGGGGAACAAAAATGAAACCTTCAAATGTCAGTGTGAGTGAGTCTGTACACTTGCTTAAACTGGTTTCTAAGTCAGTCTCCTCATACAAGTTGTGGTAGTGAACTGCCTTTGCCGTATATTTGTATCTGAATATTTTAACATGTTTACTACTTTGGTGTTTGTATTTTCATGGTCATGTGAAAATTATTATGACAATTGGGATTAGGTTTTCATATTCTTAAATATTTCATTTGTTGTTTTGTTATTGAACTAGTCATTCCTATACTATAGATTCTGTTTTTTGAAGTTCAAATCATTTCTCATTAATATATTCATATTTACATTCCTATCTCTACCAAAACAGTGAATCCTTTGATAATTTTTTTTTTTTTTTGAGATGGAGTCTCACTCTGTTGCCCAGGCTGGAGTGCAGTGGTGTGATCTCAGCTCATTGCAACTTCTGCCTCCTGGGTTCAAGCGATTCTCCTGCCTCAGCCTCCGAATAGCTTGGACTACAGGTGCGTGTCACAACCCCTGGCTAATTTTTGTATTTTTAGTAGAGATGGGGTTTCATTTTGTTAGCCAGGATAGTCTTGAACTTCTGACGTCCTGATCTGCCCAACTCGGCCTCCCAAAGTGCTAGGATTACAGGCATAAGCCACAGTGCCTGGCTGTGAATCCTTTGACAATTTTACAAGTGCTATGCCAATTAAAATCCTAGACTTTTATGGATTGATAAAAATGTATATGTAAAATAACTTCATTTAGTTCAATCTTTACTATCATCTCTAACCTTTTATCAAATGGATATTTCTAAGTACATTGAAAGCTAACAGTATGAAAACTAATTCCTATAGCACATATGATAATAATATGATAAAAGTAATGTAAAATTTATCATCACTGGCCTTGGATTTAAGTATCAGATCCACTTCTGTATCTCTATGAACTTGATAGTCATATATTTTTTTCAAGAGCCTTGGTTTTCTTATCTGCAAAGTTTTTAGTAATAGCATTGCCCTCCCACTTCACAGAATTTCATGACAATCACCTTACACACTGTAGGTGAATGAATAAAATTTAAATGCATATTCAGCTTGTATATTTTCATTATTTAAATTATATACATAAATGAATAGGTCGTCTCTGAATATTTACTTGTCTAACTACTTTAACATCTACTTGTCTATCTATGTGTCTACTTGTCTAACTATTTATTATAGTATTATAGTATACTATTATTATATATAAGCAAGCTGAAAACATAATATTTATCAGCTAATATCAAGATGGTAGACTTAACCACAACCTGGTGATCATATTAAATGTAAGTGGTCTAAAAACACCAATTTAAAATCACATATTTTAGATTGAACTAATAAAAAAAACCCAAATATATGCTGCCCTCTGCCCAAAAAGCACTTAAAATGTAAAGGCACAAATTAGTTAAAATTTTTTAAATGGAAAAGATATACCACGCTAACAGTCAACTGTTAAACTGTTGAAAATAAGACTAGATTGGTTATATGAAATTTATCAGGGTTCAAGAGTGTCATTTCATAATGAGTTCAGTTTATCTAGATGGTGTTAAAATCTGAACAGTTTATATACCTCATAACAAAGCTTCAGAATATATGAAACAAAACTAATGGAGCTGAAAGGAGAAATGGACAAATTCACAATTATAGTTTTCAACAACTTCTCAATAATTGATTCAACAGGAAGACAGAAACTCATAAAGTATATAGAAGAGTTGAATAATATTATCATCTACCTGTAATAATTGCTATTTATAGAAAACTCCAGCTAGCACCAACAGAATACACATTTTTCCCAAGTGCATGCTGAACATTTAAGATGGATTATATTCTGAGTGAGAAAATAAGTCCAATAAATGGAAAAGTATTCAAATTGTGCAAAATATATTCTCTGACTGAAAGGAAATGAATGTAGAAATCAATAAAATACAATTTAACAACCTAGAAAATGTCTAAATATTCAAAAACTCACTACATTTCTAAATAATCCACTGGTCAAAGAAAAAAACAAATTCTTATATTACAGAGTATTTGACCAATTAAAATAAAAGCATTATGTAATATTTTTTCTCTCATTACAGGTCAATACAATTAGATACCACTAATAGTAAAATAAATAAAAAATTCCCTAACATTTGGAATTCAAAATGTTTGTTAAAAAATTATAAGAGAAACTAGAAAATATTTTGAACTAAATGATAAAAAAAATTCAACATAACCAAATTTGTACATAGTGGGAAATGTTATAGCTTTAAATTCTGTGTTAGAAGAGAAGGTTTTCAAATTTTATGAAGTGCACTTAAACTAGAAAAAAACTAGATGAAAACCCTCAGCAAACAGAAAGACAGAAATAGTAAAGGCCTATGCAGAAATTACTGAAATAGTAAAAAGAAAAGCAACAAACAAATTAATATAATCAGAAGATAATTCTTTTTTCTAAAAAAATCACTAACATTATTAAATATCTAAAGATAGGAAAAATAGACAGAAAGAAACATCAGTTACCTCTATCAGACATGAAAGAAGTGTTGTTATTATAGGCCATTCAAAATTAGAAGGATAATGTGGGTCCCACTCAATATGGAACACAAATCTATGCCAATAAATTGGTTACTCCAGATTATGGACAAATTTCTTGAAAAAATAAAATATGAAACCCTAAAAGTATTTTTGAGTAAATTTACAAATTAATTTTAAAATTTACAAAATAGCTAGAATAGCTAAAACACTTTTGAACAAGAACAACAAAATTAGAATACTTTATCTAATTTTAAGATTTATTATAAAAGCTACCAGAATCAAGACAGATTGGTATAGCCATAATCATAGCTATATAGATAAATGGAACAGAATACAAAATCCATAAATATTCTGCCCTCATGTGGTCAATGGCCAACTGACTTTTGGCAAAGGTGCCAAAATAATGTAATGGAGAAAGATAATCTTTTCATAAAATGCTATTTGAACAACTGAATATCTGTATGATATTCAAGTCTTATCTTACTCTCTAAATAAAATTTCAAGTCTTGAAATTTCAAGTCTTATCTTACTCTCTATATAAAAATTATCTTAATGAGTATTACAGGTCTAACTCAATATGCTCAAACTATTAAAGTTTTAGGTGAAAACACAGAAGAAAATCTCTGTTACATTTGATTAACAATAGCTTTTAAACAGGCCACTATATACACAAGCAGAAATTAAAGAAATAAAATGGACTTCAGGAATAGAAATATATTTGCTAGGAAAAGACATATTTAAAACAAAAACAAAACAAACAAACAAAACCAAGACAGATACTAGAAGAAAAACGTTTTTTAAGAAGAATATGTTCAAACCAAGTGTTTTTATCTGCAGTCAGTAATAAGAAATAAAACAATCTTAAGTGAAAATGTACAAATAATTTAACACATCAGAAAGATGCAAATTCATACCACAAGTGAATATCACAACACACCAACTAAAATGAGTAAACAAAAAACAATAGTATCTACTGTTGCAGGGAATTTGTAGTAACTGGAAATTTCATACATTGCTGATGAGAATGAAGAAAGGTACTATCTTATAAAGTGAAATACACACTTATCAAAAGGACAAAGCAGCTTCACTTGTAGATATTTATGTAAGAGAAATACAAATATACATCCACAGAAAAACATGAACATAAATGTTCACAATAGCATTATTCAAAATCATCAAAATCTGGAGGCAACACAAATTTCCATTCATTTGTGAATGCATACACATATTCTGTATGTCTGTCGCATAAAATACTACACAGAAATAATGCAGCAACATTAATCAATCTCAAGAACATCATGGTAAGTTAAAGAAATCAAACAGAAAATACTATGTATGAATCTGCTTATATGAAATTCTGGAAAAAACACAACTTTGTGAAAGAAAGCAGATGGGCTTTGTCTGATGTGGTGGTTGTGGGGTGAGGATTGGATGTAAAGGGACATCAAAAAAATTTTTTAGAGTATTAATATCTGTGATGTCTTCATGATTAGATACAATTATAAAAATTTCTCAGGCTGCACATTTAAAATTTGTGAACTTAATTCCGTGTAAATAGTAAAAATTATAGAATATAAATAAATAGAAAAAATAGAAAAAATCTCCCAATATATGTCTCCTCCCCGGGGAGGCCTCTCCCAATCACTCTGTTAAAATGTTTGCCTTTATGCCTTAGAAAGCTAAATGTTGTCTATCTCCATCTCTATAGTTGGTCTCTGCTGTGTTTGTGGCCTGTACACATCCCTAATAGTTCCTCCGTATTTTTATTTTACAATAAGGAAAAAATATAAATTACTGATTAACATATTTATAAATTTAGATATTGTAAAATTATGAATGTTGAGGTAGCAACCAATATAAAAACTCTCATTTCAAAGGGTAGCAAAAGAGCAAATAATGTTTTCCCAGATCAGCATTTTTGCCCCACAAATTGTTGTTTAGTTTTTGGTCAGAAGTGGGTCAGCTAAAGAAAGTCTGCAAACACTGGTCAATTCTTTCCTATGGTCCCTCATTGAGTACATAGGTATGGCCTTGTGAAGAATGAGAGAGATGCCATCTGAGGGACAGACATGGGACGCTCCTCTAGTAAAGGCAGGGCCTACTGAAGGCTGACTGTGTGGCAGGCTAGAAAAAAAAAAAAGCCTCTAAAGTGGGCCTTCGATGAGAGTGGATGAGAGTGTTACAGATTCTGACTAAAAAGGGAGAAGGTAAGGAGAGCTGAGATAAAGAAATAAATCCCTTTAAGGTGCCCTAGAACTTTACAGGCTTTGCAGACATCCTCTGAAGGGAGATGAGAGGGAAAGGTGAGAAAAGTATTTCAGAGATACTCTGCGCCTGCATTGAGTACAAAGAAGCCATCAGTGGAAGGCTAAGGGCAGGGCAAGATAGGTAGGTAAATCCCTCTCAGGTCTATACTGTTTGAAGCAAAATGATCCTCTGAAGACTCAAGCAGGGTAGCAGGGTGACATGAGATCACCTAAATAATAAAATGTGAGGCTGGAACTGGAGATGTAAGAGACGTCCTCAAAGATTTAAAAATGAGAATAAACACCTGATGCCATACTCAAATACTGAGAGTCAGTGGTAAACTAAGTCTAACTCAAGTTTAAATTCTAATTCTAATACTAGTAGCCTGATTAAAAGGAGAGTGTTATTTTCTGGCAGTAATTATTTTATTATAGGTTAAAAAATTCTCTTACATAAAATTTCATGCTTACAATAAAACATTAAGATGAAAATGTAAAAGCTATGATGAGCTGTTCGTGGTCAAATGACAAAACAGTCAATACAAGCAAAAACAAAAATGAGCCAGATGGTGGAACAATCAGAGAGAAGCTTTACATGTATAATGATGATGTCAAATAATTTAATGGCAAAGGTAAACAGCATGCATAAAGAGTCAGGGAATATTAGCAGATAGGTGGAAACCATGAAAAGGAGTTAAATAGAAATGTTAAGGAAAACATGCAATGTCAGAAAAAAAATAGGATTAATAACAGAATAGATTCAGCTGAAATGTGGTACAGAGAGCATGAATATGGATTCATTAAAATTATTCAAAATAAATAAAGTAAAAATTAAACTTAAAAATAAATTAAATGCCCAAGATACATGGGACTATATCAAGCGGTACAACATATGTGTCATTGGAGCTGTAGAAAGTGGAGATAAAGAAAAGACCAGATTAAACTAAAGTAAAAATGGAGGAAAATTTCCAAAAATGATTAAATATGTCAAGTTCAAATTCTAAGAAATTTAGTGAACTTTGAGTTAAAAAAGAATCAACAACAACTAGAAACATCATAGTCTACCCATTGAAAACCAAAGATACAAAGTACTGAAAGTTGACAGAAGGGCTATAAACACATTACACAGAGGGAGGTCATGATACAAGTGATGGTTGACTTCTCATCGAAGACATATGGCATCTGTAAAATGCTGGAGAAAAGGACAACCTATCTTTGTCCTTAAAAAAGATTTGATACCCATGCAAAACATCCTTTATTAATAAAGGGAAAACACATATCTTGATAAAAGACTGGTATGTAAACTATACAAAAAGTTCTTAAAACTCAACAAAAAGAAAACAAACACTGCAATTAAGAAATAGGCAAAAGATCTGAACAGAAAATGAATCAAAAAACAATATGCAGATGGGGTGGGAAGAGGGCACCTGGAAACTCTGTACTGTCTGCTCGTTCTTTCTACAAAGCCAAACCTGTTCCATTAATTAAAACATTCAAAAAATGAAGGGGAAAGTTAAAATATTTTCTTACAAAAGAAAGCTGTATGAATTAGTCTCCAACCACCCCTAAAAGACATGCTAAAAGAAAGTCTTCAGGTTGATTGGAAATAACACTACTGGAAAAAAGAATGACATGCACTAGAAAAATAAATAAATGTGTGTGTGTGTCATATGTATATGACAGGCAGAAATAAGATCATGGGCCGGGTGCGGCGGCTCACGTCTGTAATCCCAGCACTTTGGGAGGCTGAGGCGGGTGGATCACTTGAGGTCAGGAGTTCAATACCAGCCTGGCCAACATGGCAAAACCCCATCTCTACTAAAAATACAAAAATTAGTTGGGCATGGTGGCAGGCACCTGTAATCCCAGCTACTCAGGAGGCTGAGGCAGAAGAATGGCTTGAGCCTGGGAGGCAGAGGTTGCAGTGAGCCTAGATCTTGCTCTATTACACTCCAGCCTGGGTGACAAGAGCAAAACCTCAGTCTCAAAAAATAAAAAGAAACAAGATAATGAAAAAGGTATGCTATTTATGTGAACAATGAGCCTAAAAAATAAAAACATATGTTCTCTGATGATTATAGCATTAAATTAGAAGTAATTTATAACAAGGTATTAATAAAATTCCTAAGTATGTTAAAATTTACAAATTTGCTTATAAAATACCATGATAAAAAATTATGAGAGAATTTAGAAAATGTTGTGAACCTAATGATAAGGGAATCATAACATAAATCTCTGGATTGAAGTTAGGCTGTGGTTACTAGAAATTTATCATGTTAATAATTAACTTTTAAGTGAAAATACCTCATATCAGAAAAGAAAAAAATATTTATCTAAGCTTCCAATTTAAGAAGCTGGGGAAAGAAAAGCAAATTGAATCTAAAGACAGGCCATCACAGAAATATGGGTAGAAATCAATGATATAAAATAATTGAGATTCAATTTTTAATAATTAAATTGACATTGATATTTGATGAGATTAATAAAATTGATAAGGCCATAGTAAGATTCTCCATGATGTTAAAAGTAAAACATACAAATATCAGGATCAAAATAGTCTACATACATTGAAGAGATAATAAAAGGATACTATAAGCACTAGGCTTACTATTGATACAACCACTATAGACTATAAACCTCAAATACATTTTGTTGGGTGAAAAAACTCAAAGGCATGAGAAAATATGTACCTTGTAATTTCGTTTATACAAATTCTAACAAGAGGCAAAGCTAATCTATTGTGATAGTTATCAGAAATTTGTCATTTCGGAGTGAGTAATTTACTGGAAGGTGTCACAAGAGGACTTTTTGAGTGATGAGAATATGCTCTGTAATGTTTTGCGTGGTGGATATATGTGCTCATTCAAGTATTAAAACCCATTAACTGGCATCCTAATACTTGGGAGACCAAGACAGGCAGATGGCTTGAGTCCAGGAGTTCCAGACCAGCCTGGGCAACATGGTGAAACCCCGTCTCTATTAAAAAAACAAAAATTTCCCAGGCGTGGTGGTGCACACCGGTAGTCCTGGCTACCTGGGAGGCTGAGGTCTGAGGATTGCTTGAGTCCAGGAGGTGGAGATTGCAGTGACCTGAGATTGTGCCACTGTACTTACTACACTTCAGCCTAGGTGACAGAAAGAGACCCTGTCTCAAAACGAAAGTAAAAACAAACAAACAAAAAAATCCTCATTATCTGAAACACTTAAGATCTTTGCATTTTGTATTATGTAAATTGTATCTCAACTAAAAAAAAATGTTTTTGGTTAATTCCACCTCACTTTCTCCTATTATACACCATCACTTATTCGCCTCATAGGTATTAATATTCGTGTTTTATTTTTCCATTAATATTTCCCAATTGTGTGTTAAAGTTTGTATACATGTGTGTGTTTTCAACAGAGATGAAGTTGAAACAATAGAGGAAAGAGTATTTTTAGTTTAAAAGGCCCAAAACTGTGGGTGACTCTCTTTGCTTTACTCAATTTGATTTGATATGGTATTTATTAGACACTTAACTGTGATTTTTAAGACAAAGATTGATGTATGTTTAAGAAAGATATTTCTGTAAGATATCTTGATAATAGAATTAAAGCCTGCTTGATTTTTTCGTTATTCCTTAAAATTACTCCAGTGCTACAATAATAATAGTCCTATTAAAGAAATTAGAAAAGAATATGTATACGCACATAGACATCTAAGTCTTTGGTTGGCTAATGGCTTTTTATTTAATAAGTACAGCGAAAATGGAAAAGAAATATATCTAGCCCTGTTGTTAACAATTACAAAGGTCCTGTTTTCCTATATGAATGATAATGATTCCACTGAACTGAATAACTATTGTTCTCATTCTCCTCACAGCTGGCAGATGATATAGTAGAGACAGTCCTAATTACCTGACGGTCTAAGAATAAGAAAGGGAAAGATCAGTAGTTTGGTGATTTAATCACTGAATAAAATTAGTGTAGGACCCATTAATTTCCTTTTATATACAAACTACCATAAAAAGGCTCTTTAAACTGATTTCAGCATTATTTCTACTATTTAGAAATGTTAAATAATATTATCTCATAGCATTTTCCCCAACAGCAAAAACTGTTGAACACTTTCTCTGCTGGAAATGCTATTGAGGAGCTGTTTAAATTACTGAAGCATTTAAAAAATCAACATAATTAAAGTATAATGTACCACTTTCAAGTATATATTTCGATGAGTTTTGACGAATTTATACATCTTTGTAACAACCACACAATAAAGAAATAGAACATTTCTGTTGCTCTTGTACCATCTCAGTCAATTCCACCCCTCCAGACTTAGGCAACTACTGATATGTTTTCTGCTCCTATAGATTCTGTCCCTATTTTAATATTTTTCCTCCCCATTTTCTCTCACCTAGTAAGACCCTCTTTCAAGGATAATGAAATTAACAAAAGTTATATCTGACATCCAAATAGGCTGAACTTCCTATATTTTCCTTTTTCTTAGAAATCATAGAATACTTACTTCTTTCTCACCGGTCATCTAGCAGCTTTGAGTGGCCCTATTATAACATTGAAAGTGAATTTATAAATACTCAATTACAAAATAGTTTCACTGTATAGTCCAAACAATAATTATTTGACAGTTATCTATGGGGAGTGTACCATGTTTCAGTCACTCATTCAGATGGTGGTGTACAAAGTTAGGAAAGATGTAATATCTGCTAAAGCAGGGGTCCCCAGTCCCCCAGGGCCACTGCCTGTTAGGAACCTTGCCGCACATTAGAAGGTGAGCAGTGAGCAAGCATTACCCCAGAGCACCTCTGCCTTCTGTCAGATCAACAGCAGCATTAGATTTTCATAGGAGCGTGAACCTTATTGTGAACTGCGCGTGTGAGGGATCTAGGTTCCACACTCCTTATGAGAATCTAATGCCTGATGATCTGAGGTGGAGGTTTCATCCCGAATCCAACCCCCTCTCCCCACCATTCCTGGAAAAATTGTCTTCCATGAAAGTAGTCCCTGGTGTCAAAAAGACTGGGGACTGCTGTGCTAAAGGACAGGAAGCACAGTTGGAGATTATCATGCAGGAAGATGAGTGAGTACAGGGACTGTGGGGTACATGCAGGAGTACTCATTTAGATAGTACAGTACTATACTATATGAGAAGCATAGTCTTCGAGCTCATGAAGAATTTTTGAAGGGAGTGACATCTCATCTGAGAATTCAAGAAATTAAAAGAATTTGCAGAGGAAGATGGCAGGAAAATAACTTCAGTTGGAATGAAGAAGTTGAGCAACAACAAAGAGCCAAGCATTCCACTGAAGGCCAAAGATAAACTACAGATCAGAGCTCTTAAAATTTGCCTTAAGGGATTTGTATTGAGGATCACAGGAAGCCACTGAAAGCATTTAAAGGGTAGTGACATCATTATATTTTATATTTCAGCAAGATTATTCTCGCTTTCATAAGGGAAATTGATCATAGTTGTACGAGGTTACATATTAGTCAAAGATGATGTTAGTATAAAACATGGTATAGACTTTGAGAGAAGCAGATGTATTTGAACACATTTAAGAGCTAAAAATCTGCAGCAATTGAGCACTGATTAAATATGTGTATTGAAAGAGAAAGCAGTGTTTTTCAATTTGACAAAGGAGTGACAGATTTCATTATTTCTTGATCTAGGAAACCTGGTAGATATGTACACTTTGAGATGCCTGCAGAGTTTGTCAAATAAGTGAAAAGAACATTCATATACCTTTTACCAGATCCACCAATTAAGTTTGTCATCCCCCCATTACACACACAGACACATTTGAAAGTTGTAGATACCATACTACATACCCTAAATACTTCAGCACCTATCCCCTAAGAACATATTTTCTACACAACTATAGTTATCCAACTATTCAAGAAATATAATATGAGTACATTACTTTTATCTAATATGCTATAGTCCATATCAAAACTACCCAATTGTTCCAAATACGTAATTTATAGTCATTGAATTTCTCTTCTACACACACACACACACACACACACACACACACACACAATTTCTTATCTAGATACAGCAAATTGTGGTAAAATTTTTCTAAGTAGTAACACTTATACTTTTCAAATTCTCATGAGATCCATGATGTTCTTAGAAAAACAAATTTAGTCCACTTCCAGAGAGTAAGAGTGATAGTGTAATTTGGACAGAATAGAGATAGAGTGAACTGAACCAAAAGAATCCTCATAAAATATTAAAAATATTAAAAGTTCATACACAGAGTTTCATAACTTCTTTTGTTTTAGATTTTTTTAATATATATTAACAATCTGTCTTACTATCAGACATTTGGGTTAGGTGTAGCTCTTTTCATGATTTTCTGCTCCAGCATAAATCTTTCAATTTTAACAAGAATTATGATTCACAAACTATAGTTTCTCAATATTATTATTATTATTATTATTATTATTATTATTATTATTGTTGTTGTTGTTGTTGTTGTTTTGTTCAAGCAGTCAAAGCTATATAGCATTCCATGGGGTTGTCCCTCTCTTTGTCTCTCTCTCTCTATCTCTCTCTCTCTACACACACACACATATACACACACACACACCATAATTTAGGAGTTGGAGGGATATTGGTAATTTTAAAATATAACATTTAATTATGTATAAGGATTATAACCTTTAAATGACATAATACTTATTTTCCTTATGAATGCATGGAATATAGCCATCAATAAATTTACTCAAATTGAAAGTTACCTCCTTGGCAGATTGGAATACAATTGTCTCTAAGGTTTCTAAAGGTTTCTACATTAGATTTAGGGAGTCTCAACATGGAAAGGACACTGGTATAGAAGAAGGAGATGAGTCTCTAGAACGGAATCTGACACTATGGGTTGCTTATGTTTTGTGGATTTCTTTACTTGTTAAATGAGGACATTATAGGAGAAATATTTTAAGGCTCTTTTATATAATAATTTCATTGTAGAAATTTATAAAAGCTTGACGCAAGATGTGTTTTGTGCTGCTGTATCTCAATTTATTTCTTCCTTATGGGTGCAACAAAGTTAAGTGAATTTTCAGATTCATGGTGTTACAGAAAAATACAGGTCTTGATGTGCTCAAGTCCATTCCCTGAATCAAATTTGAACATATATTATTATATTCCATCTTGCAAAAGCACTAAAATCTCTCCTTGTTGTAATTCTATTGCTTTTGATCTTGCTTATGTAGCTTTTTAGCATAACAGTAATTTACAAAGTGAAAAATATATGGAAATGGCTTCCAGCAACATGGATGACTAATCTGATCAAAAACTTCTTGTTTGAAATGTACAAAAATACTGTGAAAAATATAAGTTACCATTTTAAGATGAGAACTAAGTTTAAGAGGAAGCAAGAAACCCTGGACATGAAGAGTAAACTCAAACTGGCAATGGAAAACTCATGACTTAACTTGAAAGTGACCTGGATAATAGAATAAAATTGGAATCACTCTACCAGCAAAAGCCTGGATTTTTAATAAGGAAAGATGCAGTCTTATCCCTTAAGAGCTAAAACTGTAACTCTTACGTAAGGGAGTGTCTCTGATTAAAATAAAATGACTGAGGAAACTGCATTCAATAGAGAGAAGTGAAAAGTATGATTGTCTTTCCAGGTCTCTGAGAGAGAGGTTGGGGTTTGGCACAGAGAGTGGTGATCTCTAATAAAATGATTAAACCATAGCCTAAAGATGCATGAAGGTGTGGGACCCAAATGTCCAGATGTATATTGTATTATCCAAATGTGCAGTAATCTCATGACTATAACTTAGTGATAAAATAAAAATAGTTTCAGTTAAAGCTCTGGGATGCCTGTAGAAGTAAACTTGAATTATTCTGTAGAGCATTTCCATAAAGTAGGTCATAGAGGACTTGGTCAGGGAAACAAACAAATACAAACTAATCCTTCACTAAAGAAGAGCTCACATTTAAAACTTTGCAATCATAAGAATTAACAATTCATTCTAGGGAGAAGTAAGCAGAAATTACAAACAGAAGAATTAGTAATCCCCAAATTGATATAATGAAACCATTTGTAAGAAATATGATTAAAGAATAGAAAAGAATAAAATTATACTAAAATGTATAATAAAAATAATTATAATAAAGGGAAGAAAAATTATAGAAACCGAAAGAAAAAAAGCATGTAATAAAAACTATACAAATCTTCTAGAAAAATCTCCATCTCTCTATATATTTCTATTTATACCTGTATGCCTCTATATCCATATACCCATATGTGTGGCTATATGTTATTGATATTAAATAATGAATGGGCAATTGAACAGCATTACACATAGCTGAAGAGAGAAAGTTTAAAGGTAAAGTTTAATGTGAATCTGAGGAAAGTATGTAAAATAGATAAAGAGAAGGAAAATATGAAAGAACATTTAATTAACACATTTTATCTCTGTATGTAAAAGATAAGAAAGAGGTAATATTCACAGAAATAAGGGAGGAAAGTTTTTTATAATTAAAAAGAAATCAGAAATGTTTAGATTTAAGAAGCATAGTTAAGTGTTTATCAGGATTAATGGACACAATCTCATCTCTACAAACATCAGAAAGTGAGCACCGAAAAGTGAATTCAAGAGAATCTTCACATAAGGCAAAAATCATTATGATCATCATGTCCCTTTTATGGTTAAAGGGACTGAACAGTGCAGAATAGTTAAATAATTTTCAGTGCAGAATAGTTAAATGATTTCACATATGTTCACCTAGCAAGTGGACAACATCATTTACAAAGGTAACACGAGAATTCAAACACAAAATTATAGATTTCAAATTTCAAGATATTTTCACCATACCAAATATCCATTTAACCTGTTACTAATCTTTTACTTTTTCTTACCTGATAAGGAATATTTTATATGCACTATATAGGAATCACACCATCATAATAATAATGGTATTTTAAAATGGTGTTTCTATGTCAAGTACTGTTCTAAGCCCTTTATGGCTTTCTCTGATTTAATTTCCTCCTTTAGTCTTTACAACAACCCTATAAAATAGGTAATATAATTGTTATCTCCACATTATGAATGGGTAAATTTCTTACCTGATCTCTTACATATTAGAATTAAATTCTTATGGAATTATTTTTGTTTATCTCAGTTTGTCACATGCCAAGTGCCATTTCCTTGTTATCATCGTTCGTTATTGAGGAGATAAAACAACTGATTTAACAAAGTATAACTTTAACAGGCATTTTTTTATTTGAAAATATAATGGTCTCTTCCTAAAGAATAATGAGAGAGGTTGAAAATTTCAGCAAGAGGTTATACTGAAAGCATTTTATGAATATTTAGAGGAATTTTTTAAATTATGTTATTATATCCTTAATATCATTGCCATCTTGGAATTATTTTTCTTATATTGTTTATATATTCTGTAAGTTAAATGGTATCAGTACATCTATGAACTAAAAGTTCAAACAAAAATGGAATGTAAATTGTGGAAAGTGACGATTCTCTCTCTCTCTCTCTCTGTCTCTTTCCATCTCTCTCTTTGTTCCCCTCCTTTCCCACTCTCTCTCCTTCTCTCTCTCTTCTCACCCTCTGTCTCTGTATCTATCTATCTATCTGTCATCATATTATGCAGATGATAGGTGATTAATAGAAAAATAGATAGACAAATGAACATGTAAATAAATAGAGAAGGGAAATTTTTTCCTTAGAGTGACATAGAAGTTACTAAATGTACAATAAAAAGTGGAGTAGAAAATCAACATTTTGTAACTGTCATACTAATAATTAATTTAGCCCAAACAAATAAAAGCAACAGGTACTAAATCTACTGTGTGAAAACTTGAAAATGAACAGTATATTTTCAGTTTCGCAGTTTTCTCCCATGAAATATTTCAAATACAAATAAAAAATAATAATTTTATAGTGTATAAACTTTGTCATCACGACCTTAACCTAGTTACCTTATACTTAATAAAGCAATCAAACTTAATTTCACCATTAAGGAGATGAACTGCCATCATGTACCTCCTTATATGATACACTGAGAATAATACAACCTCATTTTTGAATACCCCTGTCAAAAATATGAATAACATAAATCTATCTGTGAAGAAACATTGAATTCCCAAATTGTGGGATAATCTACAAAATAATTGGGCTGTCATTTTTAAAATGTCAAAATGAAAAAAGATAAAGACTGAGAAAGTTTCTGATTAAAGCAGCTAAAAGGAACATGACAATTAGTCTTATGGGTGATACTAAATTGCATTTCTTAGAAGAAAAAAATCTATTAAAGGAACTGATTGGTCAATTAGGGACATTTGAATATGAACTGCTGGTACAAAACTGTTTTAGTAATAATGCTACATCTCTCGATTCCTTCTTCTTACAAAATACACTCTAAAAGGTTTATAAATAAAGGGACAAATTATAATGAAATTAATTAGAATAAACATTATGAATAAATAATAGATTTCACAGCAAGACTGACACATAGAAATACATTATAAATTTAGAGTAAGACAGAGGGAAAAATGAACAACTGGTAAGGCAAATGAAACAAAATGTTAAGAATTTTTGAACCTAGGTAGAGTAAACAAAAGTTGTTTTTTTATTCTTAAAACTTTTCTGGTGAATGTGGTTCTCTGGGTGGTGTGTATGCCTGGATCTGTCACTGTAGCTACATGCTTGCCTGGTAGTAAGATATCAGATGCTTACTTTTGACACTCACCAACAGACTGCCTAATTCTATTTTTTGAACATTCATTTACTAAGGAAAAAGGTTTGAAATATATCAATAATTTTTAATTTACATTTTACTAATAATTACGAGATTGGCTTTTTTTGCGATTTGTGCTTTTTAAAAAATATTTATTCATTCATTTATATTGTGCATTTATAATTTAGGATGTTACTTCCCTTTGTTTTTATGAGCACCTTACATATGAAATAATCTGATATCTTTGGCATTTATTCTATAAACATTTTAATTGCTCTCATATTTCTTTTAACTACTTTTTAAATAGAGAGTGTTTTCCATTTGACTATTCCTTTCTCTTTTTTTTTTTGAAACAGAGTCTCGCTCTGTCACCCAGACTGGAATACAGTGGCGCAATCTCAGCTCACTGCAACCTCTGCCTCCTGGGTTCAACTGATTCTCCTGCCTCAGCCTCCCAAGTAGCTGGGATTACAGGTGTGTGCCACCATGCCTCGTTATTCTAGTATTTTTAGTAGAGATGGGATTTCACCATGTTAGCCAGGCTGGTCTCGAACACCTGGCCTCGTGATCCACCAGCCTCGGCCTCCCAAAGTGCTGGGATTACAGGCATGAGCCGCCGCGCCAGGACCATTTGACTATTTCATATGCCATTTCTTTTGATACATAAGGGCATTCATTGTTAATTTTTAGGTAATGATTTATCCCAAAATTGTTAGTAAGTTATTTATACTCATTTAATCCTAGACCAAGTGCTTTCCGGCTAATTTCCTGGATACTGCTGTCAAAATAAAATCAATCAATGGATATATATGGATCCTGAACTCTTTAATTTATTTATCTCCTTTACAGAACTTACCTTTGACTGAATTTATTTTAATTCTTTAGTTTTCAAGCTTTATCATCTGCCTCTTCCTACTTATCTATTGTTCTATAATGAAGCACCTTCCAAATTAGTAGTTTAATCTCACAATTTATTAGTATCTTTCAGATTTCTGTGGGTTGACTGAGCTCAGTGGCTTGGTCCTTGCTTAGGGTCTCTCATGTAGATGTCCTCATCTGAAGACTCCATCAGCCTACATGTCCAAGATAGCTCATTCCCAGGGCTGGAGAAGCCATTTGTCAGCCGCATTCCATTGACCCTGTATATCACCTTTTCTTTCTATTGTTCATAGAAGTCAAGACCAAGTTCAAAGGAAGTAGAATAAATCTCTGTCCCTCAATAACAAGAGTAACAAATGATTTGTGGTCATGTTAATTTGCCACAGTCCTCCCCAGTCTTTGATGGCAGAAAATCTGCATTTTTAACTGCTGATTCACAGCCTCCTAGATAGACTGGTACTGGGGTGTCTCCAAAAGCATGTCTCATCATTGTTCCTGCTATAGTCCATTAATCTACTCATTTATGCACCAGTACCACATATTTAAAACAGCTCAGTTTATAATATATTTTAGCACATAACAAGGCTGTGTACATGTTTTATTGTCGTACATGAACATAATACTGAAGGAACGTTCTTGACCCTGTCTATATCTTATTTTGAGAAGATTTGGATGATTAAAGATGAGAAAAAGTTGTTGTTTTCCAACCCAACAAGTTCTCAACTACATATGAATTCTACATTCTGCTTACAAAGTCTGTTTTGAGCTCAGCTCTTACTTTTAGTTTTTATTTTTTATACCGAAAAGGGCAAAACCCAAGCTGTCAACATTTTATTTTCTCCAGAGGTCTCCTTTTCCAATTCTAAAAATTCATTAGGTGCATTTTCAATCTTCTAAATAACCTCACGTGAGAGTTTTATCAAATATTTCATTACTACAAAACACATCTCCAATTTTTCATCCTCCTAAAACAGTTCCCTTGGCATTTTCCCAACCTCTTCTAACCATTTCCTCAGAGAATGCTGCCTGTTGTAAAGGCAATGCCAGAAAATTTAGATTTTTATAATGACAGTACCCTTTTCTGGTACCAATTTCTGTATCAATCAGCTCTTACTATAAAAAGCGCCGTATTACAAACAAGCACAAAACCTCGGTGACATAACTTAATAATCATTACTCGGTTCCTAAATTTGAAGATAAACTGGGGATTAGACTCTACTCAACTGGATCAGTCCCTTGAACCAGTGAGCTAGTCATGTTCTAATGGTGAAAGCAGAGGTATTGCAAACATTCTTTCCTAGCCTCTTATCAAGTTACTATGATGCATATCCCATTGGCTACAGTAATCTTCAGGGCTAAACACAAAGGCAAGGGAAGCAGAAATATATTTCACCTCTGTAATGAGAGGGTATGCAAAATCACATGGTACAAAGAGTGTGAATATATAAATTAATATAATCTAGGACAATGTTTAACTTC
Organism: Homo sapiens; assembly: GCF_000001405.40. Classification (NCBI taxonomy): domain Eukaryota; kingdom Metazoa; phylum Chordata; class Mammalia; order Primates; family Hominidae; genus Homo; species Homo sapiens. The sequence continues at coordinate 141,580,115 of NC_000006.12, read as the reverse complement.
TCTGCTTGACGTGCATATTTTTTAAATTGCATACTTACATTGAAAGTTTAGACGTTTGACATTTCATCTTTATGGGTAAATCCTCTCTGAAATAAGAGAAAACCTACTAAGAAATAAATGAACAGGACAATTTCAGAGGGTTATGCATTCTAAAATATTACAAATGAGGATGAAGAAATACTTTAAGCAGCATAGATTGGTGGTTAAGAGCATGTATTAAGACAAACTGCCTTGGTCCAAGTCTCACTTACTGAGATTCTAGTTATTACAAATTTCTTATACTTTCCTTGCCTCCATTTCTTGCTTTAAGTAAAATATAATTATTACAGTACTGTTTCATAGGGTTTTCATTAGGATTAAATGAGTTAATTTATGTGAAGTGCATAAAGTCATGCTTTGTATATGGCAAGTACTGAGTTTACCAAGTGCTGACGAGATGTTTCAAGTGATAGTTGAATGATTAAAAGATGTGAAGGAGATATGTGTAAGAATATTCTTTGCAGATGGTACAGCAATGTGAAGGCCCAAAGATTAAGAAAGAAAGAAAGAAAGAAAGAAAGAAAGAAAGAAAGAAAGAAAGAAAGAAAGAAAGAAAGAAACTCTAGAGGAACAAGAAGAAAGTCAATGTATTATTCATTCATTTATGTGAGAACTTCAAGCATTTCTTTATTTTTTTATTTATTGTTTTGAGACAGAGTCTCTATCGCCCAGGCTGGAGGGCAGTGGCACGATCTCTGCTCACTGCAACCTCCACCTCCCAGGTTCAAGAGATTCTCCTGCCTCAGGCTCCTGAGTAGCCAGGATTACAGGCATGTGCCACCATGCCCGGCTAATTTTTTTTTTTTTTTGTATTTTTACTAGAGATGGGGTTACACCATGTTAGCTAGGCTGATCTCGAACTCCTGACCTCAGGTGATCTGCCCACCTCAGCCTCCCAAAATGCTGGGATTACCGGTGTGAGGCACCACACCTGGCTTAAACCGAGCATTTCTTTAATGTGGATAAAGACCAATTCTTCATTTCCAAACTTATCATTTTAACATTTTGTTTTAATCTGTACTTTTAAATTAATTCCTAAAAGACATGTTTGTTTTGTTGTCCTCACTGGCTTCAAATCATAGTATTTTGAAAGTTGGAATAATCATATCTTTCTCAACATGTTAGTTTTTCCTTCTTTAATCAAAATAGAGACATTATTCTTCAGAGATCCCACTGTATTAGACTATTTGGACTGTTAAAATACCTTAGACTGGGTAATTTATAAACATCAGAAATTTATTGCTCAGAGTTCTGGAGGCTGGGACATTCAAGATCAAGGTACCAGCAGATTTGATGTCTGGTGAAGCTTCCCTCTTTGCTTCACAGATGATGCCATCTATGTCCTCACATGGTGAAATGGGAAAACAAGTTACCTCAATCCTCTTTTATGGGAGCACCAATTCCATTGATGAGATGACCTTATGGCCTAATCAACTCCCAAAGGCTTCATATCTTAATACCACCACTTTGAAGTTAGGTTTCAACATATGAATTTTGAGGGGGAAACAAACATTCACAATAGCAGTCACATAGTCACATAAATACTTCTTGGGGTTTCCTTTGATTTCTTAGCACTCTTAATTTACCCATTCATTCACCAAGTTTTGTAGATTTCTCTTATGAGGTATTGAACAGATGCTTCTCTTTTCTTAGTTTCTTCATCTACCATACTAATCCAGTAATTATTCCATTTATGATCTGCTTGTCTCATAGCTCATTGTAGTCAGCATCTAAGCAGATATTAATATACTACCTACTGTTATCTTGTCCCTCTATAGCAATTGTCACTCTATAAACTTATACTCCTACTCACTTTTACATTATATTTCCACAGATACTAATATGCTGTAGTGAAGAGTCCTTAGCTTGGCAATAGAATCTTCAAAGTTTCCATATAATTCTTTAAGCAAATTACTTAACATCTTAAGGCTGAACATCTTCCTTTTAAAATTGGAAAGAAAAAGTTATTTCATGCATTCATTTATTCTTCAGTCTATTTATCCATTCAAACATGCATGTATTCAATACATGTTTATTTTTGCTCACTAAATTCCAGGGGCTCAAATATAAACAGGACATAAAAAATAAAAAAATACATACAGATGAGTCTCATCTACAAAAAATGTGTCTCATCACATCTTTGTATTTCTATTAAAAGCAAATTCAAAACCAGAAGGCAAAAACATACAAATAGAGTAGTTCAAGAAAAGTTTGTTATTAATATGTAAAACCTACATAGAATTGTGGAAAATAGGGTTTCCTTAGACACCCATTTAGAACTTTATTATATGCTTTTCAAAAATTTGAGCATATTCTTAAATGGTTGATTTTAATTTTCTATTTATTGGATAAAAATATTTTAAAATGCACTAATTATGGTTTTTCTTAATTTATTTCCATGCAATAGTTTTGTAGGAAAGTAAAGAATGGGTCATTTGGGGGCACTTAATTATTGTTCTAGCAATGATTAAGTTTTGTTTTAAATAATTAAGTCATTTTGCTCCTTGCCAATGTATACTTTAATTAAATTGACATCAATGAAGGTAATACAACATAAAAATAATTTTACAGTGAATTTAATGTTCACTACCTTCTATACTATTTAGATTGGGATAATTAAACTTGGCATATTTATTAAATGAAAAAACATCCATTTAAGGTTACTCTTTAATGAATTTATTTGGTAGTAAAATTGCATTAAATATTTAAAACAGCTTATGAATATATTTTATTCCCACAAATATGCTAATGAATTTTTAATACAGAACAAATGTTCTATTTTTATTTTATTTTTCAATAAAATATATGTGTATTGCATATATGTGTATGTTTTGGTTCATTCTGCAAAGACTGTATGCTAATGTTAAAAATTATTGCAACAGAGTCTATTTATAGTTCATAAAAAAACCTTATGTTAAACACACATTTTTGGTTTGGGTTTCTTCCATATAGGTGAAATACTGAAGCCTGGCTTTCCAGACTTTAAGACTAAATGAAAGGATTTAAAAAGGCTCTAAAATCTTTATAGGGAAAAAAAAACCCAGGAAAGTCATGTCTTCAAATGCTCAGCCTTATTCTGTGGAAAGCTTTCTTGCTTTAAGGATTAAGATATTCATGGGAAATCTTCATTTTACCCTGCTGGACTCAACTTCATGCTCTGAAATAGAATTAACTTAAAGAGTCTAAGAAGTATCTGTCCAAAATCTAAATGACATTTTATAATAAGATCATGAATTAATCTGTTTCTAGGCAAACTCATTTGAACTACATAAAGTGAGCTCTTGCATGATACCATGCTTTAGGAGACAGATCCAGATATCACATGCCTGCTTTTCATTAAGATGGCTTTCTGTGATTTGACTGACTATTTCTGTCTTCTTCATTTGACCTCAATACTTTAGAACTAATAGAGTTTAATCCATAGTCTGTGGTTTTATTATTTATGCTTATAGTTTATAAAATGCTTCTAAAATTCCATATTCATTTTTCTTGCATAAAATTCTCCTCACCTTAGTGAGAAAATGGGTTCTATTCTTTTAACTAGACACACTGAAGACATAAGAATTTCTAAGGATACCAATCATAGGTAAATGATAAATCAAGTTTGAACTTTCTTTGTTTTGCCTTATATTGTCTTGTAAGAGAGTAAATTTTATTCAATTTCTGTCAATTTATCAATATTAGGTATTTGTCTTAAATTATTTTTGAACTCCATTGTTTTATTTAAGGGAATATGTACTTTCTAATTTTAACAATACTTAGCTTGCAAGGTTCAAGACATTTTTGTGTACGTGGTCCATTCACTGGTGATTCCTGTATAAAAGGTCACTTTTGAAAATCTAAAACTAAACTATGGCTAATTTTGAAGTTCAAAGAATATAAAGAAAACATCTGAGATGCAGCTATAAGAGGAATGTACAAGCACTGCTGATTCTGAAAGTGGTACGGAGTGCACTCTGACCATATGATTTGACCTTAGACTCAATGTCACATGGGCTTAATGGCTTCAGAGTACTTCTTTCTGGGTGTTTGTTATATTACGTTTGTGCAAAACTAATTATGGTTTTTGCCATTCCTTCAATTGCAAGAAATTCTTACATTTAGCTTTTTAAAAAAATCAATAACAACAACAATAAAATTATTTTGTTAGGTAGAGATTTTTTGCATCTATTTAAATTCTGTTGATTTATTATCTGCTTAATTCTGAGAAAGCTCAGTAATTTGTTATGCTTTATCTTGAGGCTCATAGTAGTCATGAGTGATTTATTAAATGTTTGCAATTACATGAACATTAATAATATTGAATGCTCTATACTGGTATATTTGTTTATGCTATATATTTACTTTCTTCACTTCTCTTGTTCTTTCTTGAGCCCACTCCAATCATGCTTTCTTCCCCACACTCTGCAAGTACTTACCTAGTCCAGGTCATTAATGATCTCTGTGTTGATAAATCCAATGATCAGTTCTCAGTGTTTATCTTACTTAACTTGCAAGCAGCAGAACCATGTTGAATAACTTTCCCTCCTACTATCACTTTTCAATGGGTTTCCAAAACAACACTCTCTTGTTGTTTGCCTATCTCCATGGCCACACCTGTTAGTCTCCTTTGCAGATTTTCCCTCTTTTAGATTTCTTAATAATGGGATACTCCAGAATTGAGAATATTTTAAAAATTCTGCTCTTTGCTATCAATATTGTCTCTTGGTGACTTCATGCAGTGTCATGACTTGAAATGCCATTAGTATTCTGAAACCTCTGAATATATCTCTAGATATCGCCACTTAAATTAAAGCTTCAGATATGCAACTACTTATTCATCTTCTCCATTTGCATTTCAAATAGACAACTCAAACATATATGTCCATATTAGAACTCCTGATCCTTTCCTCCAAATTTGCCCTATTCTCAGTCTTTCCCTTTACCATAATATAGCAACTACCTCCATCCAGTTTTAAAGATCAAAACTTTGGAGTCATCCTCTTGACTTCTGTCTTCTTCCTACATTCTAAGACATTTCTTTAGAAAACACTGATGGGTCATCAAATATAGCTAGATTCTAACTACTTCTCATGTTACTATCTCAGTCCAAGTCGTTCTTATGCCTTACTTGTATTTCCCCTGTAGCTTCCAAAATTTTGTTCACAAAATATCAATTTTCAACATAGGAGCCTCTGTGATCTTGTTTCATTTAGGATAATGTCACCCATCATTCAGAATATTTCAAGGGTACTCTAATTCCACAAGATTATAAGCCAGCATTTTAATGAAAGCTTTCTAGGCCCTACATGCTGAATGGCATGTTAATGCTCTTCCTTCAACATCTACTACTTTCTTTCTTACTCTCTTTCAGCCACATTGGCTTTCTACCCTTTATGGAGCACATCCACCAAGGGCCACCCTTAGTATACTGGCAGTTCTTCATGTCTGCAATGCTCTCCGCCAGATATCTATAGGTCTCAATCCCTTAATTAATTCAAATGAAATAAAGCTATGTATTCAAACTTGTAAGAATTTGCATTTTTCCTCACAATATTTTGTTTAATGTTTATTGTCTACTCCTCTAAAATTTAATTTCTACCATGGAAGAATTTTTGAATTGGCATATTCACTGGTATATTTTCAAGAACCTAGAGGAGGGCCTAACTCACATTATAAACACACATGCACACACACACACAAACAGATATAGGTAGGCTGATAGATAAATAATTTGTTGAAATAGAGGATAAATAGAAAAATATAAAGCATGGAAGTCAGAAACTACTGATAAATAGAAAAATATAAAGCATGGAAGTCAGAAACTACTGATAAATAGAAAACTATAAAGCATGGAAGTAAGAAGCTACTAAACAGTTCTTGTGTGTTAGGCATTGTCCTTTCTTTGTAATATTTTACTTATTTTGTGACAAATCTATGAAGAGTACACTAGTATTATCACTTTTCAACTAAGCATCTGAGGGGCAGAAATAAAGATAATTTAAGTTTAAGTGACTTAGATATATCCTGAAGGAAAGCAAAAGCACAATCAAGAATTTTAGCAAACAATATAAACCACACTAAATTAAAATAAGACTAAAAGTGGAAAGATCAATGACAGTAGTATTTAAGAAAGTTATGGATTTTATAATTGGTTTTAATCATTCTTGTGTTAGGTAATACTATATATTTTATTAAGTGAATTATTTCTTAAAGTTAAAAAAGATAGCACCCAATTTTATTTGGCAAAATTTTCCTAATAAAAGCTAAATATTTTCCGCAAAAAGATATTATCTAGAGGGTGCCAGTGACAATCCAGGTGCTTAGTGTGGACAAATAAGGAATAAAAGACATGTATCAGCAACTGGGGGGGGACAGTTGTCTGATTCTTTTCACCAGATATCCTCAGTTTCTAAGCTTAAATCCAAGGCAAAGTAAAGGAACAAGTTCATGTTGCATTTTATCCAGGAAAATTGAATGTTCATTCTTATAACACTTTATTGGCTTGGTTCCAGGGATGGAGAATTTTTACTTTTCCCCTTTCTCTTGACTATTCCTTTTCAGTTTTCTTTGTAGGACCCTCCCTTTCTTCCCAATTCTCAGGCCAAGGCTCCTTTTTTCTCAAAGTATGCCTTCTCTTCCCTGATTACAACTTTCATTGACATTCCTGTCTCTAAGCTGGGGCACATTGTGACTTTCATAGGCCTTGGGCAATTTTGCTTCCATGGATGTCTTCCTCTATAAAAAAAAAATTGAACATTGTATTTCACAACTGCCTTGGTATAGAGATAAATATATTTATAGCATATATTAAAATATTTTTTAATTTAAAATTCATTTTTGTCTTCGGATTGTAAAACATTAAAATATTTTTTGAACTTCTGAAATTACTGTGGGCTCTAGGCATTGTGCCTACTGCACCTAATGAAAAAGTCCATCCAGAAGCACAGGCCATACATGGTAAGGCCTCTCTCCACCTTTCAAACTCCTTCTCCTCCCACTGTGTCTCTTGTTCATTATGCTCCAGCCCTTGTTGTCCCTTAAAGACATAAATTGCACCTTCCCCAGAGACTTTGCACTGGTCGTTGGCTTCTACTGCTCTTCCCACGATATCCACGCCACTCATTCCTTCACTTTATTGTCTTCCTGATGACTATCTCAAAAACAACACACTCCTCCTCTCCTTATCCTTACTCTGCTTTATATATTTATTTTTGTTTTTAAAATTTTTTATTTTTTATTTCAATAGGTTTTTGGGGAACAGGTGGTGTTTGGTTACATGCATAAGTTCCCTAGGGGTGATTTCTGAGATTTCGGTGCACCCAGCACCCAAGCAGTGTGCAATCTTTTATCCCTCGCCGCTCTCCCCCTTTCCCCCGAGTTTCCAACGTTCCATGTATCATTCTTATGCCTTTGCATCCTCATAGCTTAGCTCCCACACCTGAGTGAGAACATACAATGTTTAGTTTTCCATTACTGAATTAGTTCACTTAGAAGAGTGGTCTCCAATTCCATCCAGGCTGCTGTGAGTGCCATTATTTCATTCCTTTTTATGGCCGAGTAGTATTCCATGGTATACATATATATCACAGTTTCTTAATCCACTCATTGATTGATGGGCATTTGGGTTGGTTGCATATTTTTGCAATTGTCAATTGTGCTGCTATAAACGTGTGTGTGTACAAGTATCCTTTTCGTATAATGACTTCTTTTCCTCTGGGTAGGTACCTAGTAGTGGGCTGCTGGATCAAAGGATAGATCTACTTTTAATTCTTTAAAGAATCTCCACACTGCTTTCCATAGTGGTTGTACTAGTTTACATTCCCACCAACGGTATAAAAGTGTTCCCTTTTCACCACATCCCTGCCAACATCTAATATTTTTTGATTATTGCCATTTTTGTGTATTTTAGAGCACTTACTCATCAAAAAAAACCTTTATATTATACATTGTTTTTTTTTTCTTTTTTTTTTTATTATACTTTAAGTTTTAGGGTACATGTGCACATTGTGCAGGTTAGTTACATATGTATACATGTGCCATGCTGGTGCGCTGCACCCACTAACTCATCATCTAGCCTTAGGTATATCTCCCAATGCTATCCCTCCCCGCTCCCCCCACCCCACCACAGTCCCCAGAGTGTGATATTCCCCTTCATGTGTCCATGTGATCTCATTGTTCAATTCCCACCTATGAGTGAGAACATGCGGTGTTTGGTTTTTTGTTCTTGTGATAGTTTACTGAGAATGATGATTTCCAATTTCATCCATGTCCCTACAAAGGACATGAACTCATCATTTTTTATGGCTGCATAGTATTCCATGGTGTATATGTGCCACATTTTCTTAATCCAGTCTATCATTGTTGGACATTTGGGTTGGTTCCAAGTCTTTGCTATTGTGAGTAATGCCGCAATAAACATACGTGTGCATGTGTCTTTATAGCGGCATGATTTATAGTCCTTTGGGTATATACCCAGTAATGGGATGGCTGGGTCAAGTGGTATTTCTAGTTCTAGATCCCTGAGGAATCGCCACACTGACTTCCACAATGGTTGAACTAGTTTACAGTCCCACCAACAGTGTAAAAATGTGCCTATTTCTCCACATCCTCTCCAGCACCTGTTGTTTCCTGACTTTTTAATGATTGCCATTCTAACTGGTGTGAGATGGTATCTCATTGTGGTTTTGATTTGCATTTCTCTGATGGCCAGTGATGATGAGCATTTTTTCATGTGTTTTTTGGCTGCATAAATGTCTTCTTTTGAGAAGTGTCTGTTCATGTCCTTCGCCCACTTTTTGATGGGGTTGTTTGTTTTTTTCTTGTCAATTTGTTTGAGTTCATTGTAGATTCTGGATATTAGCCCTTTGTCAGATGAGTAGGTTGCGAAAATTTTCTCCCATTTTGTAGGTTGCCTGTTCACTCTGATGGTAGTTTCTTTTGCTGTGCAGAAGCTCTTTAGTTTAATTAGATCCCATTTGTCAATTTTGTCTTTTGTTGCCATTGCTTTTGGTGTTTTGGACATGAAGTCCTTGCCCATGCCTATGTCCTGAATGGTAATGCCTAGGTTTTCTTCTAGGGTTTTTATGGTTTTAGGTCTAACGTTTAAATGTTTAATCCATCTTGAATTGATTTTTGTATAAGGTGTAAGGAAGGGATCCAGTTTCAGCTTTCTACATATGGCTAGCCAGTTTTCCCAGCACCATTTATTAAATAGGGAATCCTTTCCCCATTGTTTGTTTTTCTCAGGTTTGTCAAAGATCAGATAGTTGTAGGTATGCGGCGTTATTTCTGAGGGCTCTGTTCTGTTCCATTGATCTATATGTCTGTTTTGGTACCAGTACCATGCTGTTTTGGTTACTGTAGCCTTGTAGTATAGTTTGAAGTCAGGTAGTGTGATGCCTCCAGCTTTGTTCTTTTGGCTTAGGATTGACTTGGCGATGCGGGCTCTTTTTTGGTTCCATATGAACTTTAAAGTAGTTTTTTCCAATTCTGTGAAGAAAGTCATTGGTAGCTTGATGGGGATGGCATTGAATCTGTAAATTACCTTGGGCAGTATGGCCATTTTCACGATATTGATTCTTCCTACCCATGAGCATGGAATGTTCTTCCATTTGTTTGTATCCTCTTTGATTTCCTTGAGCAGTGGTTTGTAGTTCTCCTTGAAGAGGTGCTTCACATCCCTTGTAAGTTGGATTCCTAGGTATTTTATTCTCTTTGAAGCAATTGTGAATGGGAGTTCACTCATGATTTGGCTCTCTGTTTGTCTGTTGTTGGTGTATAAGAATGCTTGTGATTTTTGTACATTGATTTTGTATCCTGAGACTTTGCTGAAGTTGCTTATCAGCTTAAGGAGATTTTGGGCTGAGACGATGGGGTTTTCTAGATAAACAATCATGTCGTCTGCAAACAGGGACAATTTGACTTCCTCTTTTCCTAATTGAATACCCTTTATTTCCTTCTCCTGCCTGATTGCCCAGGCCAGAACTTCCAACACTATGTTGAATAGGAGCGGTGAGAGAGGGCATCCCTGTCTTGTGCCAGTTTTCAAAGGGAATGCTTCCAGTTTTTGCCCATTCAGTATGATATTGGCTATGGGTTTGTCATAGATAGCTCTTATTATTTTGAAATATGTCCCATCAATACCTAATTTATTGAGAGTTTTTAGCATGAAGGGTTGTTGAATTTTGTCAAAGGCTTTTTCTGCATCTATTGAGATAATCATGTGGTTTTTGTCTTTGGCTCTGTTTATATGCTGGATGACATTTATTGATTTGCGTATATTGAACCAGCCTTGCATCCCAGCGATGAAGCCCACTTGATCATGGTGGATAAGCTTTTTGATATGCTGCTGGATTCGGTTTGCCAGTATTTTATTGAGGATTTTTGCATCAATGTTCATCAAGGATATTGGTCTAAAATTATCTTTTTTGGTTGTGTCTCTGCCCGGCTTTGGTATCAGAATGATGCTGTCCTCATAAAATGAGTTAGGGAGGATTCCCTCTTTTTCTGTTGATTGGAATAGTTTCAGAAGGAATGGTACCAGTTCCTCCTTGTACCTCTGGTAGAATTCGGCTGTGAATCCATCTGGTCCTGGACTCTTTTTAGTTGGTAAACTATTGATTATTGCCCCAATTTCAGCTCCTGTTATTGGTCTATTCAGAGATTCAACTTCTTCCTGGTTTAGTCTTGGGAGAGTGTATGTGTCGAGGAATGTATCCATTTCTTCTAGATTTTCTAGTTTATTTGCGTAGAGGTGTTTATAGTATTCTCTGATGGTAGTTTGTATTTCTGTGGGATCAGTGGTGATATCCCCTTTATCATTTTTTATTGTGTCTATTTGATTCTTCTCTCTTTTTTTCTTTATTAGTCTTGCTAGCGGTCTATCAATTTTGTTGATCCTTTCAAAAAACCAGCTCCTGGATTCATTGATTTTTTGAAGGGTTTTTTGTGTCTCTATTTCCTTCAGTTCTGCTCTGATTTTAGTTATTTCTTGCCTTCTGCTAGCTTTTGAATGTGTTTGCTCTTGCTTTTCTAGTTCTTTTAATTGTGATGTTAGGGTGTCAATTTTGGATCTTTCCTGCTTTCTCTTGTGGGCATTTAGTGCTATAAATTTCCCTCTACACACTGCTTTGAATGCATCCCAGAGATTCTGGTATGTTGTGTCTTTGTTCTCGTTGGTTTCAAAGAACATCTTTATTTCTGCCTTCATTTCATTATGTACCCAGTAGTCATTCAGGAGCAGGTTGTTCAGTTTCCATGTAGTTGAGCGGCTTTGAGTGAGATTCTTAATCCTGAGTTCTAGTTTGATTGCACTGTGGTCTGAGAGATAGTTTGTTATAATTTCTGTTCTTTTACATTTGCTGAGGAGAGCTTTACTTCCAACTATGTGGTCAATTTTGGAATAGGTGTGGTGTGGTGCTGAAAAAAATGTATATTCTGTTGATTTGGCGTGGAGAGTTCTGTAGATGTCTATTAGGTCCTCTTGGTACAGAGCTGAGTTCAATTCCTGGGTATCCTTGTTGACTTTCTGTCTCGTTGATCTGTCTAATGTTGACAGTGGGGTGTTAAAGTCTCCCATTATTAATGTGTGGGAGTCTAAGGCTCTTTGCAGGTCACTTAGGACTTGCTTTATGAATCTGGGTGCTCCTGTATTGGGTGCATATATATTTAGGATAGTTAGCTCCTCTTGTTGAATTGATCCCTTTACCATTATGTAATGGCCTTCTTTGTCTCTTTTGATCTTTGTTGGTTTAAAGTCTGTTTTATCAGAGACTAGGATTGCAACCCCTGCCTTTTTTGTTTTCCATTTGCTTGGTAGATCTTCCTCCATCCTTTTATTTTGAGCCTATGTGTGTCTCTGCACGTGAGATGGGTTTCCTGAATATAGCACACTGATGGGTCTTGACTCTTTATCCAACTTGCCAGTCTGTGTCTTTTAATTGGAGCATTTAGTCCATTTACATTTAAAGTTAATATTGTTATGTGTGAATTTGATCCTGTCATTATGATGTTAGCTGGTGATTTTGCTCGTTAGTTGATGCAGTTTCTTCCTAGTCTCGATGGTCTTTACATTTTGGCATGATTTTGCAGCGGCTGGTACCGGTTGTTCCTTTCCATGTTTAGCGCTTCCTTCAGGAGCTCTTTTAGGGCAGGCCTGGTGGTGACAAAATCTCTCAGCATTTGCTTGTCTGTAAAGTATTTTATTTCTCCTTCACTTATGAAGCTTAGTTTGGCTGGATATGAAATTCTGGGTTGAAAATTCTTTTCTTTAAGAATGTTGAATATTGGCCCCCACTCTCTTCTGGCTTGTAGGGTTTCTGCTGAGAGATCCGCTGTTAGTCTGATGGGCTTCCCTTTGAGGGTAACCCGACCTTTCTCTCTGGCTGCCCTTAACATTTTTTCCTTCATTTCAACTTTGGTGAATCTGACAATTATGTGTCTTGGAGTTGCTCTTCTCGAGGAGTATCTTTGTGGCGTTCTCTGTATTTCCTGAATCTGAACATTGGCCTGCCTTGCTAGATTGGGGAAGTTCTCCTGGATAATATCCTGCAGAGTGTGTTCCAACTTGGTTCCATTCTCCGCATCACTTTCAGGTACACCAATCAGACGTAGATTTGGTCTTTTCACATAGTCCCATATTTCTTGGAGGCTTTGCTCATTTCTTTTTATTCTTTTTTCTCTAACCTTCCCTTCTCACTTCATTTCATTCATTTCATCTTCCATTGCTGATACCCTTTCTTCCAGTTGATCGCATCGGCTCCTGAGGCTTCTGCATTCTTCACATAGTTCTCGAGCCTTGGTTTTCAGCTCCATCAGCTCCTTTAAGCACTTCTCTGTATTGGTTATTCTAGTTATACATTCTTCTAAATTTTTTTCAAAGTTTTCAACTTCTTTGCCTTTGGTTTGAATGTCCTCCCGTAGCTCAGAGTAATTTGATCGTCTGAAGTCTTCTTCTCTCAGCTCGTCAAAGTCATTCTCCATCCAGCTTTGTTCCGTTGCTGGTGAGGAACTGCGTTCCTTTGGAGGAGGAGAGGCGCTCTGCGTTTTAGAGTTTCCAGTTTTTCTGTTCTGTTTTTTCCCCAGCTTTGTGGTTTTATCTACTTTTGGTCTTTGATGATGGTGATGTACAGATGGGTTTTTGGTGTGGATTTCCTTTCTGTTTGTTAGTTTTCCTTCTAACAGACAGCACCCTCAGCTGCAGGTCTGTTGGAGTACCGGGCCGTGTGAGGTGTCATTGTGCCCCTGCTGCGGGGTGCCTCCCAGTTAGGCTGCTCGGGGGTCAGGTGTCAGGGACCCACTTGAGGAGGCAGTCTGCCCGTTCTCAGATCTCCAGCTGCGTGCTGGGAGAACCACTGCTCTCTTCAAAGCTGTCAGACAGGGACATTTAAGTCTGCAGAGGTTACTGCTGTCTTTTTGTTTGTCTGTGCCCTGCCCCCAGAGGTGGAGCCTACAGAGGCAGGCAGGCCTCCTTGAGCTGTGGTGGGCTCCACCCAGTTCGAGCTTCCCGGCTGCTTTGTTTACCTAAGCAAGCCTGGGCAATGGCGGGCGCCCCTCCCCCAGGCTCGCTGCCACCTTGCAGTTTGATCTCAGACTGCTGTGCTAGCAATGAGCGAGATTCCGTGGGCGCAGGACCCTCCGAGCCAGGTGTGGGATATAGTCTCGTGGTGCGCCGTTTTTTAAGCCGGTCTGAAAAGCGCAATATTCGGGTGGGAGTGACCCGATTTTCCAGGTGTGTCCGTCACCCCTTTCTTTGACTGGGAAAGGGAACTCCTTGACCCCTTGCGCTTCCCAGGTGAGGCAATGCCTCGCCCTGCTTCGGCTCGCGCACGGTGCGTGCACCCACTGGCCTGCGCCCACTGTCTGGCACTCCCTAGTGAGATGAACCCGGTACCTCAGATGGAAATGCAGAAATCACCCGTCTTCTGCATCGCTCACGCTGGGAGCTGTAGACCGGAGCTGTTCCTATTCGGCCATCTTGGCTCCTCCTCCAGTTTTTCTTATTTTTAAAGACAGGATTTCACTCTGTTGCCCAGGCTGGAGTGTAGTGGCGAGATCATAGCTCACTGTAACCTGGAACTCCTGGGCTCAAGCGATCCTCCTGCCTCAGCCTCCCAAGTAGCTGGGACTATGCATGTTCACTAGGCCCGGCTCTGTCTATATTATACATTGTTTTTTCCATGTATCTTTCCCTCTCCTTAAAAAAGTAATTATGCAGGAACTTCCTGGCTTCATGCTGTTCACCAGTATGTAAAAGAGGGCCTGAAACATGGTAGGTACTCAGGAAATTCTTTCGAATAAAAGAAAGTAACTATTATATTATCATTTGAAATTAAAGCGATGATATACATTAATCATTTAAAATTTATCCATTTTGCTGGACCAATGGTTTTCATATACAGATCTTTTATTCATTCAAAGTAAAGATGAGGACATTCCCCAAATTTCTATTAACTCATCTCTTACAGTTTATATCTGGCTTTACCTTTCTTACAAAAAAGCGTACCTCCCTCCCCCATAGTCTTCCATAATGTTAACGAGAAACATTATTCCCTTGATGTCAGCTCATCACATCATCAGATTTTCTACCAATCACTAGCCCCAGAACAGCTATTCAAGAAATAACTTAGCTTTTGAAGCCTGAATGACATGGGATTTGATTTCGGTGCAGCTATTTGTGTTACAAAGAGCCCTACGAATCTTCAGACTGTTAACCTGAAAGATGGACATGATAGCTAGCTCAACATTTTTGAGAAGCATCCAACATGATATGTGTGGTGTGACCACTGTAATGCCCAGTGTATAGTACATTTCAATAAAAACTAAACATTTCCTTTATTTCTGATTATTTTCCTATCTTTACTAGCCTCTATTACTTTTCATTCAGCTTCCCTTTCTTCTTTCTTTCTTAATCTCCTCTTTCCCTTTCCTGTGGGAAATACCCTCTCTAACAAAAGATTTATAATAACACCCCCATCATCATTTCCTATCCTTTACTCAGTTTTCAATATTTTCTCCCATCTCTCCCTTTTCCTTTCTCTCTCTCTCTCTCTCCTCTCTCTCTCTTCTCTATGTCCTCTTTCTCTCTCTCTCCCATCCTACTATGTTGAGGCTCTAAGCTGAACAGTAAAACAGTGTGGCAAAAACAACTCTTAGAAAAGTCATTAGCATTTTACCTACCTAGAATTCTATGAAATTGCACTGGAATTTCTCAGTACTCGTGGCCAAGTTCAGCAAAACTTGGTGTCAGGTTTTATTTTTTAATGTAAAATTTATATGAGGAGATAACAGTTGTCCAAGGTAGAAAGCACTAAGTGAAATAATGCAGAAAATGATATAAATCCATCTTAAGGAAGTTTCAAGAAAATTATTCATGTTTGAGAAGATAATCATGAAATCTTTCTCAGAAGAAACAACTTATGTGTAAACATTAGCACCAAGCTGGCTGTAGGAAGAGAGTTCTATGAAGTAAATCAGTTCAATTGGCCATAATTTGGAAGATTTTAAGCTGGCCTTTTAAAATTTATCAATTAATTAATACCTGCTTTTAACTAGAGACAACATGATTCTGAAAAGTGTGGAAAGAGTGAATGTGAATTGTAGTAGACACAATTCAAGTTTGCTCAGACACAAACTGAGCATAGGTTGACCTGCTAGGAAATAAAGCAGCTGAAATAATCAAGGCTAAAAATAAAGAGGATCTGAATTAAGATAGAACAAGCAGAGTTGAAAAGAGTGGTTTTTAGAGACTGTGCAGTATATACACATCATTTCTTATGTTAGTGTCCATGGTGTAGAGAGTTAAGGAAGAATCAAATTAACCCGTATCAGAGCCCAGCCCTGTTCATTTTTGCTTGTATCTATGTAAACCGTGTGTCTACTACAGGGACTGGCTCGTACTTGCTTCTCGAATTCATATTTGATGTATAAGTAATGAAAACTTTTTAAATACAAGCTAAGTTTTTATAAAATAAAACAGGTTTGTTAAGCTATAACTCATATAGATATTCTCTTGCATCACCAAGACTCTAAACAAGACCATGAGAACCTTAGCTATTCATGGAGTCTTTATAAATAATGACAAACTTTTTTTTCTTTCTTTTTTTTAAACCAATTTTGTGTTTAGTTTTAATATGATAAGCAATCTGTAGCCAGGATATTGAAGTGTGCCCTAATATAACAATGTAGATTATCACATCAATTTGAATATTTTGTTAAAAGAGATGCAAGTGTGACCCTACACATTACTTACCCTAATGATTCCAGAATTGATTTAACCACTGCACACAGCCGATTCCTTTGCTTTATATGCTCAAGGATATTTTTGCATGGGGGACATTTCTTTGCTCAATGACACAGGCAGAAATGCCAGGCTGAGCAGCTCATGGCTGCTGTATTGATGCTTTGGTGAAGGAGGAGATCAGCTACCCCGAGATTTGGGCATTGTAAACGTCTTTCATTTTCCTTCCTTTCCCTGGTTTTAATTAGCATTGGTGATTCAGGGCTGACTAAATTTTTCATCCAAGTTTTTCTTTCAAGTCATTGATCAATAACTCGTTAATGAAGCCAGGAGAAGAGAACGAAGCATTCTTAAATGTCCAGTACCACTCCTAAAAGCAAACAAATAAACAAGCCAGGAGCTGCACTGAAGAAATCATTCAGCTAGCTAAACCGTGCAGTGGCTACGAGGAAGAGTAATTGATTTAGTGGGGAGGGTGCTAACATCCCTAAACATTAAATCCAAGACATAATATTTAAAACATTGCTTTAAAGGGTATTAATATTTGCATTATCGTTTTCCATTTAACTTTCATGAAATGTCATATGGTCTTAATAAAATAGTTTTCAAGGTATAGTTCATCTGAAGAGCCATTAATTCAACCTTCTCTAAATAGAGTTCTTTAGAAGACCGTTACATTTTGAATTTCCAAAGGAACAGAGCAGTGTGTGATGCATATCCTCAGTATTCATGCAGAGACTAGAGAAGGTCATTTGCACTTCTGTGCCAGACATTTCAAAAATAAAGCAAAAAAAAAAAAAAAAAAGTGGAAGTCTCCATGCACAGTTCAAGGATCTTTCCACTAGGTGGCAGAAGCGCTCCTTCAGCTCTTCCGCTTCTTCTGGTGTGGGCTGTAATTAGGTCAGTTTAAGTTAAAGTAGGGCTGAGAGATGAAAAAAGTAGATTTTCTCCTCTGGAACACACTGCAGTTTAATTTCACTTCTTTCTACATTGTGCGATGAAGGTGGATTTAACTTTTAAAGGCAAAGAGACAAATCTCTGCCAGGGTAAATGAAAAGACTCAGGGAGGGCAACTGGCACAAAAAAAAACATAAAAGAAAGGAAATGCTTTTTGGCTGTTTCCTAATTTTGATATCCGGGTCATAGTCAGAAATCATTTTCAGAGGTAAAGTGTTATATAGGTTCTGTGAAAAGCGGGGGTGACTTCTGAAGCCTAAGGGGGCCGGCTTGCTGGGTGTCGATGTTAAAAATTTCCCCTACTGGTGACATTAAATAAAATAAAGCCATTTTATCCTCGACGCTTTTCTAATTTTGCCAGCAGCCAGAGAAGCATGCTAATCTGAGAGGAAAACTCCACACCCCAACACAGGTTTCCCTTTCCTGCTGAATAAGGCACTTAGGAAGGAAGTGGTCCTGAAGGTGAAAGTTGAAACCGGTGTTTTACCCAATGCTGCCTGTTAGAGGCCCTGGGGAGGACAGGGACGTCCTGGAATCGGGATGGGCTGAGCGCGCCAGGCAGCCTGGTGAGGAGGTGGAGGAGCTTCCCTATCAGAGAGCGTCAGGAAGTCACTGCGGTCACCTCTGTGAGAAACAGTGGGGAAAAGGGGAGGACAATCGCAGGAAAACCCATCCACTCCTCTGCTGCCGATCATGGCATTCATTGAATGTGCAAAAGCCAGATATTGTTAAAGAAAATAAAGGCAAATAAGATATGAGAACAGACGTGGCATAAATAATGATGTTTCCTGATTCTAAACTCTTTAGAGGTTGAGAGCATCCAGCTAATTTGGAGGTTGTTTCTTTGAATTACAGGTCATGTCACAGGGAATGCCAAACTCAGAGAGAGGAGAGGAGGTTGGCGGCACAATAAAAGCTGTATGGGGGATGGGGGGGAAATGGGGATGGCTAATGGGTACAAAAAATAGAAAGAATGAATACAATCTGATATTTGATAACACCGCAGGGTGACTATAGTCAGCAATAATTTAACTGTAGATTTTTTAAAAACTAAGTGTATAATTGGATTGTTTGTAACACTAAAGATAAATGCTTGAGGTGGTGGATACCCCATTTACCCTGATGTGATTATTACGCATTGCGTGCGTGTGTCAAAATATCTCACTAGCTCTGTAACTACATATATATATATATATATCATCTACGTATCCAAAAAAATTTAAAAAATTTAAATAAATATATGAGGAAATAAGCTAAATACACAAACAGGTGGCTCAGATATACTAAGATTATTCAAATAATTCTTTAATTTTCTGAAAAATGTTTAAGATTGGAGTTGACAGTGCCTTCTGACGCCTCTTCAGCATTGCCCAGTTGCTAATGTCTTTGTGTTACCCCAAAATTTGTTCAAACATATTGAAACTGGAAATCCACCTGGTTAACAATACCTCCTGTTTGTGCAGGCTGTTTTCCATCTGTAGCCACAGATGATATGATTACAGACTTTGTGTGCAATTCGGTGTTCTTATGTTTGCCTACGGAATCATAGACAATCACATTAAAGCTATGTGCAAACATGGCACATGACTCAATTCTCCATTCCTCAAATGATGTTCTGTGTATGTCTCAATATTGAAGAAAGGAATAAAGAGTGATGGAGAGCAGAGTAAGAAGGCAAGGAATAAAGAACATGAATTAAAGACTCTTGAAATCTTATTTCAAGGACACAATCACTGTGTTGTAGCTTCTCATTTCAAATATACTAAGAGATCCAATTGTTGACAGACAGTAGTCAGATATGGTACAACTAGATACTGTACTTCTTGATGAGATTGGAAACAGAAAACACAGTCAATGAATTGTAATTTATAAAGACAGTGGACTGATCCCTGATGTATATCTCAGAAATCAGATAGTTTATCCCGGTTAGGAATTTGGAGACAAATGTTTGAAAACCATTCTGTCAGTTAATCAAAATGTGTTGAAAGAATACAGTGTCACAAACAGAGCAAGCATACCCACACACACATGCATACCCACACACACATGCATACCACACACACATGCCCACATATACCTGGGTTAGATTTTAGTTGAAACTTTGGTTAGAAATCCTCATTTCTTTGCTTAAAATTTGTAAGCTTAACTTTCTTCACGTGTTTGTTTTAGACTATAAATTGAACTTTAGGAAGCAAGTATTTTGTTCATTTGTAAAATGAGAGTAGTCTATTCAAACTTTTTAAAGCATAAGCCATACTCTTGCTAAGTCTGTAAATCTGGGATTAGAAGCATCATGAACAACCATTGGATTGTAGCATAGACAATCCAATTGTATAGAAAAATCTCTGATAATCTGTATACCACAGCAGACTTTATAGAACGCCATTGTTAATAAATATTTTATGGTCTTTAAAGTTTTAGTCATCATTACTACTACATATTCTGTGAAAGGTTGTGAAAATATTAAAGGTATCTAAGTAAAATACTTTCCTAGGAATATCTCAGGTAACTTTTAGAGACAGGGTCTTGCTCTGTCACCCAGGCTGGAGTGCAGTGCAGTGATCATAGCTCACTGTAACCTCCAACTCCTGGGCTCAGGGTATCCTCCCACCTCAGACTCCAGTTAGCTAGGACTACAGGCACATGCCACACACCTGGATTTTTATTATTATTATTATATATTATTATTATTTGTAGAAACAGGGTCTCATGGTGTTGCCCAGGCTAGTCTTAAACTCCTGACCTCCAGTGATCCTTCCTCCTTGGCTTCCCAAAATGCTGGGATAGGCATGAGCAGTGCACCTGGCAAGTAGTCTGATTTTTATTTTAAATGCCTAGCGTGGGTCCGAATACAATGGTACAAGTGACAAAAAGGAATAAAGAATCACAACTGGGCTTTGGCCTTCTCCTCACTGTTATCCTCTTATGTGTGTACCTGTGGATCTTTCTGCATAACCAATGCTATTATCCCACTGCAGTTAATTATTTCCATATCCACAGAAGTGTAAAACTGGAAATGAGTAATAATTCTATTTATTTAAATTCTGTGGCATGGAAATATCTGGCATGCAGTAGGTATTTGATAAATATATGCTGAACTAATGAATAAATAGAACTAATGAGTTAGCACTAGTTTTATTTCAATTAGCTATGACATGTAAAGCTACATTCTATAGGAGGAACTAGAGCTAAATCTCAAGTTTCTAGTTTCTCGATTCCAAGATTTTTTGGTTTTCGTTTTAATGTTATTATTTTTGTATATATCAGCACCTATTACATAGTGATCTTTTTTTGCTTTGCATGTAAACATTTTCAGTAGATGTATCAGTATGTATATTTCAGGATAGAGAGATAGATAGATAGATAGATAGATAGGTAGATATCTATGGGGACATATAATCTAAATATACAAGTGTAGGCACTGCTGGGTCACTATGTGCCTCTTAAGCAGTTAGTTCATTTTAAAGGCGGTTAATGTTCTCACACATTAAATAATTATAAATTAGTTAATCTTGTGCATAGTGGAAAATAATCCCAAACTTAAGTTTCATTTTATTAAATAAAGTTAATTCCCTCAAACTTTTACAAAGAGGGCCAATTATGACACTAATTATATAAGCATGACCTTTAATAGGTATTCATTCTGCAGGAGTGTATTATTGTTTGAGAAATGCTTGTATTTCCAATAATTTCTTTTATTCAAACAAAATTTTGAAGACAATATCTTATGATACCAGTCTAACCTTCATTATAACAAAACAATAGATGTTTACATCAACTGATTGTAATAGGAATCTTCTTCACTGGTAGAAGTTACAATATTTATAATTGATCCAAATTACAAAATGTTTTATTTTTTTTTTATTTTATTATTATTATTTTTCTTTTTTGGGACAGAGTTTTGATCTTGTTGCCCAGGCTGGAGTGCAATGGCGCAATTTCAGCTCACCGCAACCTCCGCCTCCTGGGTTCAAGCAATTCTCCTGCCTCAGCCTCCAGAGCAGCTGGGATTACAGGCATGCGCCACCATGCCTGGCTAATTTTGTATTTTTAGTAGAGACAGAGTTTCTCCATGTTGGCCAGGCTGGGCTCGAACTCCTGACCTCAGGTGATCCACCCACCTCGGCCTCCCGAAGTGCTGGAATTACAGGAGTGAGCCACCACACCCGGCCCAAAATGTTTTCATTTAATGAAACACAATTATTAAGTCTTTATTAGGTTATAGGATATTTTTATACCCATAAACATACATATATTTTAGCTAATGATTATGTTGTATATTATTTTAGAATGTTACATGTATGTTTCCTTGCCATGAAGCTTATTTAAATCACTCTCCTTCTTATGCAAAACTTTTACTAATGTATAATATACATAAACTAAAGTGCACAGATATTAAATGTGTAATTTGATGAATTGTCATATGCTGAACACACCTGGGGAAATCAACATTCAGTCAAGAAACAAAATCACCACTTAAGACCTACCCTTCTCCTTTTTAGTTATTATTTATCAACTTAATATAAATGAAATACATTTGTATTTGGACTCTCTCTGCAGGCTATACAGTTTTTTCAAGATAACCACTGACCTGACATCTATCACCATACCTAATACTAGCACCTTGTCTGATTTGGGATTTTATATAATTGGAATCATGCAGAATGTACTCTTTGGGGTCTTTTTTCTTTCACTCAATATTTTATTCGTGTCATTCATCTATATTGTTGAGTACAGGTGTAGTTTGTTTATTCCCATTGCTGTATAGTGTTCCACTGAATGACTTTAATACAAGTTACTTATTCATTTTATAAATAAATTCCAGTTTGGGAATGTTGAAGATAGCATTGTTATGAACATCTTTATAGTTGCTACACAATGTGAAGCTGTATATGCTCACATTTGGAAAACTCATATATGAAAACGCTGTGTAAAATATGTATATATTTAATTTTTTGACATATTGAGATAGAGTTTAAAATGGTTGTATCAACTAACATTTTCATTAGTAATGTACAAGTATTAAAATTGATCTATGTCCTTTCAACACTTAGTATTCTATCTTTTCCATTTTAAACGTTGTTTTTTTTTAATCTCTTTCCATAGAAATAACAAAGCTGTTTAAAACAATGCAGATGGTAGAAGCAGTTAGTAAACTCAAAATAGATAACTTGTTTTGTTTCAATTCGTGGGTCTTTTTTTTTTAATTAATCTTTTGTAAGATATCAAGGTGACTACCAAAGGAAGAGTATGATTATGGATATCTTTATGTCAGAAATCAGAAGAGACCTGAAATTAAAAAAAGGTGGTGTTTATACTCATGACTTTCAATAAACGAACATCAAATTAAAGACCACATGAACAGTTTAGTTAGTATTAAAATAATAATTACAACTGAAGGAAAAACAACTTGTAACATAGAATCCAAAACATGTTGATTTTGCCTTTGCCACTTACATTAAATTAGGCCCCAAGAGTGAAGTCAGTGTGAGGCATGTAATACATTTCCCAATCATAAAACAAAAAATGTTTTCCAAGATATTCCTGGAAAACTACAATTCAGCTTGAAAATTTTATAGCCTGCAGAAAAATGTCCAAATACAACTGTGTCTTACTTACATTAAATTAATTAAAACAATCTTCTTATATAAAATATACATTAAGATTCTTTCAGAAACTCATTAAAAGACCACAAAAAATTCGGAAACTATAATTGAAATTATTCTTTTTATTTTCTAGTGTGATTAATCCATTTTATTTGATGTATTTTCTGTAGATTGGTATATAGAATAAATGCAAACTTTATAAAGTCATTCTGCATGAGACAAAAATTCTCTTCAGTCATTTATTGGCAAAGGAGTTATAGAATCATGAATTATCTAAATTACAAGATACTGTCTCATATAAACTGAAGTATTTGATTAATAAAATGTTTTGATTATTAAGATATTTGAGTAAAATTTTTACTACATATGTTGAGAGAGCTTCTGGCAAGTTTTTATGAAAATAATTCAAACCTGTTCCTACAAGTTGCTTCATTGTATATTATGAAAATACAATTAAAGTTCAATATTTAAGTAATTAAATTTCAAACATTCTATGTTCTATAATTAATATTCAGTCAGAATTCATTATATTCAAGCTACTGTGCAAAGTATTACTCATGTGAAGGATACTCTTTGCCGAGGAAATAATACTAATTTTGTGAAGAATATTCAATGTACCTGAAACAATTGGCCTTTTATGCACTTAATGTCAATTTCTATTGCTCTGATACACTTCACCCAAATCATTTAAAATATTTGGATATGTCAATCAACACTTTTTGTACTCAATTATTTTATCTATTTTGAAGAGTGGAAATTATAGTGAAGATTCACAGAAACACACTGAATGTTTCAAACTGTGGTACAAAGCTATAAGAGAAGACATTATTCTTTTCCAGCAAAAATTGTAGGAGCATTGCATGTAGCAAGAAGTATTTTATTAGCCCTTGCAGATTCAATAAAAGCCTGTCAAGTCCTCAGTGTGAGAAGTTGTCATTCTGATTTGTCCTTCTGGCTCCATTTAAACCTACCATTTTAAATCAACTTTAGTATTAATACCTTCTAAAATGTAGATTTAAAAAAGAATAATTTTAAAGAAAAGTGACTGATTCATTTCACATCTTTGAAATAAATGGAATTTTGAAAATTATCTCATATTTCTTCCCCTGTGTTTTCTCTGATAACATGTCCCATATCAGGAGACTAAACTTTCATTACTCACTTAGTTGGCACTTTAATGGAAATTATTTGCAATTAAAAATACATAAACATTTTTTAATGGAGAGAAAATTATTTTCTTTACAAATTCTAATAATATATTTATATTATATTAAAATACAATATATGATTTGTGTGTATATAAGGAAAATGAGGCATTAGAAGACAAAAGCTTTAAAGAAAACATTCTTTTCTGAAAGAAAAATGACAACATTTTGGAAATAATCAACTATTTTATCCAAAAAACAAAAGTACATTTTATGCTTGTATTGTTTATTGCCTTTTATCTAAGTATTCTTTACCATTTTCATAAATGAGATATTACAATTTGAAATTAGTGGTTGAAGAAATACATTATTAACCATTGAAATATCAGAAATTTGGTACTCCTATTTCAGTGAAGTATGGTCACTATAACGAATATCTCCCATGTAGGTTTCAGCCTTCCCTGGAGCTTAGAAAAAGCTTTGGCCGGCAAACATGAAATCAAACCTGATCTCTAGACAGTTAGAATCTTGTCTGACCTTCTTTCCCACATGTCAGTGATAATTATTAAAGAATTAAGCCACGGTTTTATAATAAAGTATTCTCTTACAAATGCAAATTTGCTGCATCTGTTTTCAGTGGTTTAACTTTAAACTATCAATTACATTTTAATTTTCATATTTTTGAGCAATTTTTATTGTCACAATCTTGTCTACCCATGATTCTTTTTCTTTTCATTTTTTAATTGACACATAATAATTATACATATTTATGAGGTATAACGTGATGTTTCAATACATGTATACATTGTGTAATATGTCATGGTATTTAGCATATTCATCACCTCATACAGTTATCATTTCTTTGATAAACATTCAGAGTCCTTTCTTCTAACCATTTTGCAATATACAACACAATATTATTAACCATAGTTACCCTTGTATGCAATAGAACATCAGAATTTATTTCTTCTATCTAACTGCAAGTTTGTACTTCTTGACAAATCTTTCCCTATTTCCCCCTCTCCCCTGATCTCCCCAGCCTCTGGTATCCACTATTCTATTCTCTACCTTTATGAGATAAACGTCCTTAAATTCCACATATGAGTGAGATCATGCGGTGTTTGTCTTTCTATGCCTGCTTATTCCACTTAACATAATGTTTGCCAGGTTCATCCATGTTGTTGCAAATGACAGGACTTCATTATTTTTCATAACTGAATAGTATTGCATGGTGTATATATACCACATTTTCTTTATCCATTTATCTGTTAATAGACACAGGTTGATTCTATACCTTGGCTATTGTGAATAGTGCAGCAGTAAACATGGGAGTGCAGGTATCTCTCCAACATACTGCTTTCATTTCCTTTTAATATATACTCAATAGTGGGATTGCTGGATCATATTGTAGTTCTATTTTTAATTTTTTGAGGAACCTCCACATTGTTTTCCATAACAGCTATACTAATTTTCATCCCCACCAGCAGTGTATAAGTGTTCCTCTTTGTCCACATACACAGCAGCATTTATTATTTTTTATCTTTTTGATAATAGCTGTAGGTGGGAGGATCACGAGGTCAGGAGTTCGAGACCAGCCTGGCCAACGTGGTGAAACCCTGTCTCTGCTAAATATACAAAAATTAGCTGGGTGTGGTGATGTGCACCTGTAATCCCAGCTACTCGGGAGGCTGAGGCAGGAGAATAACTTGAACCTGGGAGACGGAGTTTGCAGTGAGCCGAGATAGCACCATTGTACTCCAGCATGGGCAACAGTGCAAGACTCTGTCTCAAAAAAAAAAAAAAAATAGCTCTTCCGGTTGAGGTGATGTGATATGTCACTGTGGTTTTGATTTGCATTTCCCTGATGATTAGTGATGTTGAGCATTTTTTCATATGCCTGTAGGCCACCTGTATATCATTTTGAGAAATGTCTATTCATTTCTTTTACCCAATTTTAAATTGGGTTATTTGTTTTTATTTATTTTCTGCTACGGAGTTGAGTTTCTTGTATATTCTGAAATATTAACCTCATCAGATTTATGATTTGCATACAATCTATTTCACGTCATAAAAGTATTTTTACCTACTCAAACTCTCATTTTTTCCTTATATCCTTGAACGTACTAAGCAGTTACTCAAAAGACTGTTACAGTTAGCTTTAAAATGGGGATATTCTGTTATTCTGTTGCTATAATTTGTTATTCCTACTGTTTTACCTTAATTTTATTATTTCCATATATATGCCTGGCTATGCTCTATTTTGTGCCATTGTGTTTGCAAAATTGTTTGTAGAATTATAATGCAAATGAGGGTGATGATCTGTTCCTCCAGAGAGGGTTTGCTTTGACTTCAGCCAGGCAACAGCAATCTGGGATTACTTCAATTTCATTTCATGGATTGAAATGATTCAAATATGAACGGCAGCTTCTGCCAGAACCTATATAATAAGATTTCTACTTACTCATAATTGTTATCCATTCATTGTCCTCCATACTCTAATTCCTGCCCCCCTAGCATCAAGAGGCCATCAAAGTACTATCAGCTTTTTAGCCTATAAGATGTCCTTCTGAAATAGTCAGATGCCCTCAAAGGAAAATCAGCCCCAAATACTAGGCTCATTTTTATAAATATATCTGTTTTTTTTTCTCAAATCATGACCCTTAAATTTTGCTATATTTTGACTTACAAAATGCTGTCAAGGAAATTTATTTTTATACTTTGTATGACTTTTCTATTTTTCCTCATTAAGTGAGTTGGCCTGAAACATTAATTTCATCTTGTTAGTCCCTCCCACTGCAACATGAGTGGACAGACAAAAATGATGAGAAAAGAAAGCCACCAGTTATTTATATAACTGATATTTGCCTATCTATTTATACACAGATAAATATGTTTTATATAACATATGGTTTAAAACAAACAGATCAAAATGTCTTGGAAGAGGAAGAAACTGTGCAATTTCTCTTGAATGAAAGGGCAAGTAACATTTCTAGAAATCCATGACAGTACTATAATAAAAGTGCATTCAAGAAACAAACAAATAAGAATATAATTATTTTAAGTTAAATTTATAGTAACATGAAAACGTAATTGAAACTGTGAGAGATGAAGTTGGAATATTTTCCCAGAAAGACAGCAAAAGACAATAGAAAACAGGGAAAAGTTGATCCAGAAGAAAAACATTAAAAATAGATCATAAATATGGAGAGGGCAAAATAATAATAATTCAACTTCTGTTTTTAGCTCAGAGAGACAAAATGCCAGAAAGAGCTTCACTTGTAAACTTACAAGAAAAACTAGACAGACTGCAAATAAACAGCTTCTCTTGAATCTAGCAGAAAACTGAGCACATAGGGCAAACAAACAATGTGAAGTAGGGAAGTGAGTCATGAAAAGCACCTGAATGCAAAAACAGGCACTGAGCATTTGCTTATCTTGGACAAATGCCAATGAATGACATACAAGACAAAAAGTAGTTTCAAGTGGAAATTATTAATGAATTGCAAAAGGCCAAGTATGGGCTAAGGTGAAAGTATAAAACCCCTGGGAGAGATAGTCATGGCAGGTTTCACGTACTCCTGCAGGCTTTTTTCTTTAAGAACCCCTCTCCCCAGGCCCTTCTCAGATGTTCACAGGGAAGATGAAGAAGTATCCTCAGAAAGCTTTTGCCATAGTGTTGACTGGAGAGTGGAATAACAGTCATCTCTAAAATTCTATCAAGAGCCACTATTATATATTCCCTAGTCTGTATGGCAGAGTTCATTAAAATACAAAGCCTGAAGGCACTGGCGGAAACCCACTGCCACTTGAGGAGGGGAACGGAGAAGAAGAAATTAAACTGTACTTTTTGAAGAGGAACACAGATACATGTTACACCCAGCATTTCATCTGAAGGAGGAGCCAAAACACTTAGGAAGATGCAATACTCCTGAGATTCACTTTTTCAGTGCCTTCATAAGACTAAGACCTACATAGTGCATCGGAAAATGCACCCCCCCACCAGCTCACAAAACGACACTAAAGTATCAAAAAATCAAATCAAAGCAGCAATGGAATACAGCGGAAAAATACTGCAAGGGACAGATCACTCCAGGGACTGGCACAGAGTTAAGACAAAACCTAAGTGTCAGAGACAAAAAACAAGACACACGGACACACTTACACACACACATACACACACACACAAACACAAATACAGATACCAGAATATGCTTGCCTATACAACATGTCAAAATTTCAGCTGAAAATTATGAGGCATAAAAAGGTGAGAATAAATATAATATTGAAATACAAGGCAATATAAGAATCAGGCTCATATGTAAGACATATGGCAGGAATAAAGAAAACAAGTTTAAAATAACTATGAGAGGTTAAAGACTCTATTGAGGAAAAAAACAAACAACATGCAAGATCAAATAGATTATTTTAGCAGAGATATGTAAACTAATAAAAACTCAAGTAAAAATGTTAGAAAGTAGAAACACAGTAGCAGACATGAAGAAATCTCAGAGTCCAGTGAAAAGAAGTACAAAAGTTCCCAAAACTTGGGATATTAATCAAACTTTCCTAAACCAGACAGTGAGAAAATCTTAAATGTAGCCAGAAGGGGAAAATTACATGCTACATTCCAAAGAACAAGGATAAGAACTTCAACAGACTTCCTGTATGAAATCATGAGAGCAAGAGGACAATAGAAAGAGTTCTTTTACAGTGCTGAAAATTAAAACAAAATGAAATTTTTGAATTTTATACCCCGCAAAAATACCGCTTAAAAGGAATAAAGGAAATAAAGACTTCCTGAGAACAAAACATAAGAAATCTCATTAACAGAAGATCCATTCCATGAGAAATGTTACAAGAAGTCCTTCAGACAGAAAAAAAAAAATAGGTTATAGGCTGGAAGATTGAATATATACAAAGAGAAGAAGATTATTGGAAATGGAATAAACAAAAGTAAAATAAAATATCTTGTTATTCTTGTTATTTTTATACATTTAAAGGCAACTGATTAATTAAAAGAACAATAATAACAATATCCTGTGTGTATAGCATATGCAAAAGGGAAATGCATGACCACAATGACACAGGGGTGGGAAAGGAGTTGAGAAGATACTGTGATAATCTCCATATACTATATGTAAAGTAGTATACTATTATCTGAAAGTGACCTTAGATGATTGAAACATGTATATTTTGTATCCTGGGGCAATCACTAAAAAGAAAAAGAAAGAAGTACAAGTGAGGAATATAAAATGAAATTATAAATATACACAATTAAAATTGGAGAAGGTAGAAAAAATATATATTTATAAAAAACAAATGCGAATAACTAGCCAGATGGTAGAATTTGATCTGTGTTGATAATTACTTTTGATATGAATAATATAAATACATCAATTGTCAGGTTGGACACAAAATCAAAACTCAACTGTAAGCTTATATACTATCAGAAGTGACTAAGGAGACATGAAGGCTGAAAGTCATGTGGTGTCTTGGATTGGTTCCTGGAACAGAGAGAGGACTCATTAAAAAAGAATAGCATATGGATAAAAAATAAGCTAAAAAAGACAAAAGTTCATTATTTGTATAATGGAAATTACAAATAAAGGAAATATTTTTGCTTTATTTAACAAAGTCATATAGTTGTTTTACTTATTTAGTTTATTTGAATATATAAATTTGATAAAAGTTAAATTAGCAATATTGGAGAAGCAGAACTTCAGAAATGGTTGAGTGAGGAGCTCTGAAATCTTTTTCCCACAAAGTGATTATTAAACTGAACAAAATTTTCAAAAGATAACCATTCTGGGGCTCTGGATGTTAATCAGTGGTGTATAAAAATTTAAGAAGCACTTATTCAGGAAAAGTTTTGTTAGAATAGTGGAAGTGTGCAGTGTTTTAGATTGCAGCTGCTCACATACCCTCTCACTCACCTCCCCCTCCTTTGTGCAGTAGTTCTACCACTGTAGGGTAGGCCAGGAGGATCTGTAACTAGCCAGTCAGGGAGACTGATTTGACTTGCTGGGACCTTGGGGAAAAACAAACAAAAAAAGCCTTTTTTCCAGGACATTGATGAAAATGATAGTGATTTCAGTGAGAAACAATCAGGGAATGCAAATATTGCAGGTAACCTGAAGACAAGATACTGATTGAGGCAAGAAACCAAACACAGGTCATCCAGAAATTTCACAGGGAGGCACAGGTCATAAGACACCTGTAGTAGATGGTATTGGTTAGGTTTATTTGTCAACTTGACTAGGCAGTGGTATCTAATTATGTAACAAAACAGTAAGCTAAATACAGTGTTGCTGTGAAGATATTTTATAGATGTGGTTAACATCTACAATCAGCTGACTTTAAAAAAAAGAGTAAATAACAAAAAGAGTAAATAACAGAATTCTTGGAGAAGAAAAAAATCTACCTTAAGACCATGGCATTTACACCTATTGGAGTTTCCAGCCTGATCCTAGCCTGCTCTACAGATTTTGGACATGTCAGCACCCATAATTATATGAACTAATTCTTTAAAGTAAATTCTTTCTTTCTCTCTCTCTGGATAAAGAAATAAGCTCTCTCTCTCTCTCTCTCTCTCTCTCTCTCTGTGTATATACATAAAATCTGTCTCTCTCTACACACACACACACACACACATACACACACATCTATATATCTATCTTATTAGTTCTCCTACTTTTGAGAACCATGACTGATATACAGACCTAAGCTCTTAAACTCTTACTCATTCCTGAGGATCTGGATTTATACATGTCCAAGGTTGCACACACATTTATGATGGTCCTAGTTATCTACTGGTACCTGACTGAATTTGAAGTGTTGCTTCCATAGAAGATAAAACATGGTACAGTTTCGTAAACTGCCTAACCCTTAGCTGTGTTACTCACCCATATACAGATCCATTGACAAATGATGCAACCCTTAGCGCATGTTATTTCAGCATACCCTCTGAGTAATTGTTGATTGACCACTTAGCCAATCTGACCCTAGGTAGAACCCTAGGAACCCATGTTTGAAAAAATAAAAACAAGGAAACAAAAGTGAATCATAGGCATTACTGGCATTACTGATGTCAGGAGAGACCACAGAACTATTCCCACCCAGTCATTAAACAAATAAACAAATTTTTTTAAAAAAACATAAAAACAAAACATAGCTGGTATGGTTTGAACATTGGCCCCCTCCAAATCTCATGTTGAAATTTAATCTCCAATGTGGCAGTATTGAGAGGTGGGGCCTTTAAGAGGTGATTGGATCATGAGGGTTCTGTCCTCATGGGTGGATTAATTCATTCATGGGTTACTGGATTAATGGGTTATCATGGAAGGGGAACTAGTGGCTTTATAAGAAGAGGAAAAGTGACCTGACTAGCATGTTAGCATGCTCAGCCTCCTTGCCATATGATGCTTTGGGTTACCTTGGGATGTCACATAGAATCACCACCAGCAAGAAAGGCCTCACCAGATTCACCACCTGGGTATTGGACTTCACAGCCTCTATAACTGTAAAAAATAAATTTCCTTATAAATTACCCAGTTTCACTTATTTTGTTATAAGCAACAGAAAATGGACTAAAGCAATAACAAAAAACAGAAACACAACACCAGCTTAGAATAGGGAATAATAATTCACAGTTGCTGTAATATTTCATATTAAGTGGCCAGATTTCAAAACCCAGTGCTATACACAAAGAAATAGGGATGTGTGATCAGTATACAGAAAATAAAATTCAATCAATAGAAACTATCTCCGAAGGGCTCCAGATGTATGTAGTACATCACAGAAAAAATATCAAAGCAGCTCTTATAAATATATTTAAAAGCCTCAGAAATCCTTATTAAAAGACGTAAAGATAAGTATGATGTCAACAGATTATCAGAGGATAGCAATAAAGAAATAGATAAAATAATTAAATGGAAATTATGAACCTGAGGCATTCAATAACTAAAATTTAAAAATATACTAGAAAGGCTCAATGGGTGATTAGTAATGGCAGAAAGAATAATTCAGGGAATATGAAGATATACGTGTGTGTGTAGAAATAAATATTAATAAAAATGAACAGAACTTTAGTGGCTGGTGAAATACCATCTAACATACCAACACATGCATAAAGAGAGTCCTAGAAGGAGAGAGGATAAAGGGAGAGAAAAATAATAAATAATGGCAAATATTTCCTCAATTTGATGAAAAACGTTTGTCTACACATTCAAGAGGATGCAAATTATACTCCTGAAATCATACTGTAAGATAAAAATATTTTACTAGAAGCAAATAGAGGCATTTTATAAAGACAATGGGATAAACTCATTAGGAATTTATAATTTTTATAAACATACACCCACAAGTATTTATATACACACTCAACAAATGACCTCAAAATAATATGAGGCAAATCTGGCAGAATTTAAAGAAGAAATAGCTAATTGAACAGTAATATTTTGATACTTCAGTAACTCACTCTCAGTAATACAGAAAATAAATATAATTCAGAAAGGAAACAGACACTTTGGCAACACTATCAACCAACTTGACCTAATGTCATTGCACCCAACAACAGCAGAATGAACATTCTGTTAAAGTTTTCAGAAAATACTTTTTGAGAATAGTCCATTTTTAGGGTTCTAAGACAAGTTTCAATGCATGTAAATGAGTTAAAAGTCATTTAAAAATTGTTTTTGCTACAACCAAATCAAATTAGAGATCAACAACAAAAAAAACTTACATAATCTTCAGATATTCACATATTAAATAAAATGCTTTTAAATGACCCATAAACCCAGAGAATTCATAAGAGAGGTTAGAAAATATTTTTATCTTAGTGAAAATAAACATATCAAAATGTAAAGAATGTAGTTAAATCAGTGCTCAGCAGGAAAGTTTTGCTTTAAACACCTTATCTTTGTCCTTTTGTGCTGCTATAACTAAATATCTGATAGTGGGTAATTTATAAAGAATAGTTGATTTTCTCACAGTTCTGGGGAATGGGAAGTCCAAAATCATGGTGCTGACAGATTAGGTGTCTCGTGAGAGATGTTTTCTGCTTTCAAAATGGTGCCTTGTTGCTGTGTCCTCACATGGTAGAAGAGGTAAATATTGTGTTCTCACAGAGCAGAAGGACAAAAAAGAGCAAAAGGGACAAACATTTTCAGAAGCAATGGAAGGGACAGAAGGGCAGAGGGAAAGAAGATCCTCTCTAAAAGCTTTTTTCTAAGGTCATTAATAATTTCCTAATAATTTCTCCCAAAAGGTCTGCTTCTAATATAATTGCTGTGATGATTAAGTTTTAATATGAATTTTGAAGCAGCACAAACATTCAAATCATAACATGCCTCATTAGAAAACAAAACAAAAAAAAGATCTCAAATCAATAACCTAGGCTTCCAAATTAGGAGAAAACAAAACCTAAAGCAAGAAGGAAGGAAGTAATATCAGACTGCAAATCAAATATATATATAACAAAACAATAGAGAAAAATCAATAAAATTAGAAGTAAGGGCTTTTTTAATTAAAAAAAATGGTTAAATCTTTAGCTAAAAAGATGAAGGAAAAAAAAGAGAGAAGATACAAATTAACCAAACTGCAAAAGAGAAGATTTCATTACAGACCTTACAGAAATTAAAATAATAAAAGGGACCATTATAAACAAATGACACAACTTAAAAGAGTTGGAAAAATTCTTCAGAAAGGCAAAATTACCAAAATCAACTCAAGAAGAAATACAAATTACACAACTTAAAAGAATTGGAAAAATTCTTCAGAAAGACACATTTACCAAAATCAACTCAAGAAGAAACACCTAAATTTCGCCAATATGAAAGTAAATTTAATAATTAAAAATCCATCCCAGACCCACATAAATTCACTAGTAAATTTTATCAAACATTTAAAGAAGAAGTAATACCAAACCCCATAAAGCCTTCCAGAAAATAGAGTAATGAAGCTTTCCCAACTCATTCAATGAAGCTTGTATTGTAGTGACACCATTCACAGAGAGACACATCACAGGTAAAGAAAACTATATACTTATATTTTCCATAAACATAAACTCAAAAATCCTCAAGAAAATATCAACAAAGAGAATATAGCAACATAAAAATATGTTAATACATTATGGTCAAATGGAGTTTATTCCAGAAATTCCAGGCTGCTTTAACATTAAAAAATCAATCTATGTAATTCACTATATATTGACAAACTAAAGAAAAACAATATAGGCATCTCGATAGAAGCAGAAAAAGTAATTAAAGATTCAATGTTAATCTGTGATAAAAAAGACTTCTTGCCCATTAGAAACAGAAGTGGCATTCTTTAATAAAGGTTATGTTTGAGAACCATTAGCTGTCATCATACTTACTGATGAGAGACTAAGAGCTTTACCGATAAGATCAGGGACAAAGCAAGGATATTTTTTCTCATCATGCCTATGCACTTTTGTCCTAAAGTCCTAACTAGTGTAATAAGTTAAGAAAAATAAATTAGAGCCATCAAATCATAAAGGAAGAAATAAAACCATCTCTTATTAGGAAGAACAAGATTTTCTATAACAAATTTTCAAGTAATTCACTAAATATTACTAGAACAAGTTTAGCTATATTATAAGATACAAAATTATTATAAAAAATCACTATATTTTATATACCATCATAGCAAAGAACAATCCACTCAAAGATTTATACACAAATATTTTATAGCAGCATTTTTCATAATAGTCAAAAAGTGGAAATTATCTGAATGTCAATGCATTGGTTAGTAGATACCCAAGAAATATTATATCCACACAATCATATATATTCAGC
This sequence comes from Homo sapiens, assembly GCF_000001405.40. Taxonomy (NCBI): domain Eukaryota; kingdom Metazoa; phylum Chordata; class Mammalia; order Primates; family Hominidae; genus Homo; species Homo sapiens. The sequence continues at coordinate 141,545,335 of NC_000006.12, read as the reverse complement.
AACAGGATACTTTTGATACATGTCGCAACATGGATGAACCTCATATGCTAAGGAAGACAAATGCAAAAGACCAAATATTGTATGATTCCATTTATATGAAATGTCTACAAAAGTCAAATCTTTATCGAGAGAATAGACTAATGGTCATCTGAGTGTGGAGATGAAACTGAGAGGTGAATTCAAGTAATACAAAGGTTGTGAAGTGATGGTTGCTCAACGCAGTAAATTTACTAAAAGTACCTTCAAGCTATTAAGTTGTATGTTTAAAATTTAAAATGGGTGGATTTTATGGTGTATAGATTACTTAACCAAAATGCTCTTATAAATTAAATTATCTTTTAAAAAACAAGCAAAATAAAAACAAGCCAACAAACTCCTGGTTTGTTTTGGAGACAAGGTCTCACTCTCACCCAGGCTGGAATACAGTGACGTAATCTCAGCTCACTGCAGCCTCGACCTCTCCGGGCTTAGGTGATCCTCCCACTTCAGCCTCCTGAGTAGCTGAAACTACAGGCACATGCCACAACGTCTGGTTAAATTTATTTTGTATTTTTTGTAGAGACGTGGTTTCACCATGTTGCCCTGGCTGATTTCTAACACCTGTACTCAAGCAAGCCACCCACTTTGGCCTTCAAAAGTGCTGGGATTACTGGTGTGAGCCACCGTGCTCAGCCAAAAACTTTTAAACAACAACAAAAAAGTTTTTGTGGGTGAGTGGTAAATGACAAATCTTTCATTTGGAATATACATTGCATATATTTAGTGATTTTAACATTCTCTCTGTGTTTTGTTATTGCTGATGCATCTGATATTTGATGTCTGATATTTAGTAAACATGGAAGAACCCCCACAATCCCCTGCCCCTCCTGTTTTCCCCATCCCTTTCTATTGTGACACAAATTACACACCAATCTTTGGAATTATTTGGATCGTTGTTCCCATTTCTTCAGATTTATACCTTCCCCAACTACAAATATTTCCATGCTAAATCACTTTGGATGTTTTCTTATGGTTTTTACTAACCAAACTACAGGTCACTATTTTTTTTAAGAATACTCAAAACAGGTCAAATATTCTAATGAAATTAGCACTAATTTATTAGAAGGAAATAAATGAAAGACTGAGTGACATTTTAGATGTTCTTGGAGCATTAATGAATCAGATCTGTGAGGTTAGGAGGCCTTATCAGAAAAGTCAGTATGAGGGTATTATTGTCCATTTGATGCTACTGCATTGTATGTTGTCATTGGTTATCAGTGTAACAGTTTTTATTATTTTAATAAGGTAACAGCACAGCTTCATTCTTTGTTGGAACCAAACAAAAGAATGAATATCGATAAAGTAGTAGCATGTGTACAGAGAAATAATTATTTTAATGCTCAGTTGATGCCATGCACAGTTTATCGCTGATTACTGGGGAAGGTACAAGTAAAATTTTGTTGCTATGAAAATTAGTTCCACATGTGACTCATTGAGGAGATGACAGAAGAAAAATTTTGAATTAATTTGAATTATATTTTAATATTTAAAAAATTGTTTAGGTCTTCTATGTTTCATTGAAGTCAGGTGCAATCCAGAAAATTTGGAAATGGTTAATCTTCTCAAGAAGCCAAAAAATATGTGCTCGGTATTTTTAATTATTTTCCCCAAAATAGAATTAACTATTTGATTATATAAGCACTGAAGATACAAGATTATGGGTCTGTTAACAAGAGAGTGAGTGTGATGAGCTGAAGTAGCAAGATCTTTTATTATAAGCTTAGTAAAGTGTTTTATTGTGCATTAGTCATATTGTATATATATACATATATTAGTTTGAAGCATATGAAATCTGTTTTTATATATCAAAATAAGAGAACGTTGTCCACTCCCAAAGGTTTAATTGTATACTCACTATATAAAATATGAAAGAAAATAACCAAACTTTATTTATTTTAAAGTGAGAATTTATATTAATGCGTTTTTGTTTTTTCTTTAATCTAAAAATACGGAAGTCTCAGTAAAACCAAATATTTAGTAAAATATATGTCTCTACAAAGAAGCATATAAGACATTTTTATTTTTATGCTCTTTGTGAATAATTTTTAGTGCCAGTGCAGAGAATATCACATTTAATTAAAAATAGGTAAACAGGCTGGGCGCAGTGGCTCATGCCTGTAATCCCAGCACTTTGGGAGGCTGAGGCAGGCAGATCACTTGAGGTCAGGAGTTCGAGATCAGCCTAGCCAACATGGTGAAACCCTGTCTCTACAAAAAGTACAAAAATTAGCCAGTCGTGCTGGCGGGCGCCTGTAATCCCAGCTACCTGGGAAGCTGAGGCAAGAGAATCGCTTGAACCCAGGAGGTGGAGGGTTGCAGTGTGCCAGGATCATGCCACTGCACTCCAGCCTGGGCTACAGAGTGAGACTCCATCTCAAAAAAAAAAAAAAAAAAGAAAGAAAAGAAAAAAGAAAAAAATAGGTAAACAATAATTATTCCTTAAGGAAACTCATTTAAAAGTCATTTGCTTGGAAATATTTATTTTATTAATATTCTAGTATTAGTATTCTTTAAGAACATGAAAAAGTAAGAAGAGGAGAAGAAAAAGAAATAAACAGCAAAAATAAAATAGTAACCATTCCAGATAACAGGCTAGGAGGATAGGAATATTTTATGTTATCATCTAGGCATGTCAAGAATAAATATTAAAATTATGTGAAGATGGAAGCTAACGTTAATTTAAAACATAGAATTTCATAAAATTCCTCCTATGCATGTATACAAATTTTTATGACCTTCTGAGAAGTCTTTTCCTTTGGTAGTCTTATTCTCTCAAGAATAAAATTTTTGTTTATTGATAATGTTGAGAGAAGATGACACTATGGATGTTTAAATGTCAAAATGGTGCAAGGTTCAAGGTAATCTTTTAAGATGATTTCTTGAGAATAAAACTGAACATAAAATTGCAATAAATTATTACAGAGATATAGAAACAACTAAAAAACAACATTTAAAAAATCTTCATTAATATCCACACAAGAAGCAATTTAATCAAGAGACCATTAAAACATAAGAAAACACATATTTCCCTTAAGAGAAAGAAAACTCATGAGACAGAGGCAATATTAATTCTTGGAACATAAACAATTTCTTCATTGGCTCCTTTTTGACATCTTGCCTTGTATGGATTCTGTACACAGCTGTGATGTATGACACAAGAGAGCAGGAAGTGAGCCTTAGTGAATGTGAATAAAGATGTTTCTTTTGGTTACAAGTACAGGAAAGAGTAAGATGTCAGTTACTTCTGAGATGAGAAAGAATGCCAGTTGAATAATTTCATGGACTCCTTTTGTGTCCAAAAGGCTTCATATCATGCTTTTATATATCACTCGAGGGAAGCCAAGAGACAGATTAAACTTTGTCAAATTCTCTTTTTGAACAGCTATGTTACTGTTCATTTGAAACTCCAGATTGGACCACAATCTACATAGATGACTCTAGACTTTTTAAGGCAAGAAAAATTCCTTCACTTATTTCAAAAGATCCCATTATAACCCCTATAAAAACACTTCAAGCCCTGAAGCATGAAATTTGATTGCCAACTCATCTACTTTCATTGCTCCCTACACAGTATCATGATAATGTATCCTTGAATTTTATTGAGAGATTTATTTCCACTACAAATTAAAAACCAGCCATTCCCTTCAGAAATACATTTGCCACTATCTTTTTATATTAGAGAGAACTTTGTTAATAGCATTTAATGTGACTGCATCTGGGTACAAGTTTGTTTATGCATTTGGAAACCAGGAATACCACAATGATACTTTCTGGCATTTGTAAAACTCCACAGAACAGAGAGATATTTGCAGAACTATTCAGTATCCAAAAGACACACATGAATATCATATTCGTGCAACAAAAGTGGATCCATTGTATTATGTCCACATCAATAGGTTTACTAGTCCCAATTCCAGAAATCTAAGTTTGGAGATGCAAATTCGAATGTATGTGGGACTAGGATTCCTCCCTTCCAAACTAGAAGAAAACAACATTTTTTCCAAGTATTAGAATTGAAGCCATTATTAATGGTGTCCACCCTCAGCATATTTAACTAACCTTAATTTGCAACAGAAGAGATTGGCATTTATCCTCAGGAAGAAATGGAAAACCTCTAATGCTGGAGTTCCTAGCTACTGGAATAAAACAAACAAACAAACTAAATAAAGCCATGCATATTAAAAAGGAAGATTTATGGGCAATGTGATCTTGTATGTAGAAAATTTTGTGAATTAATGAAAAGATACTACTCTTAAAACAATTTTAGCAAGGTTGCAGTATTCGAAGTAAATATATAAAAAACAATTGTAGCTATAATCTCTAGAAATGAACAAGTAGAAAATAAAATTAAGAAGAAACAATTCCTTTCCAATAGCCTCAAAAATTATAAAATATGAATAAATATGACAAAAACTGTGAAAGACTTCTACCTTACAAATTGCAAAACATTACTGAGGCAAATTAATAAAAAAAAACAAATAAAGTTATAACATGTACCTAGATTAGAAAACTCAATATTATTAAAATAATAGTTCTCAAATTTATCTGTAGACTTAGTGCTACATAGTTGCAAATTCACAGAGGATTTTTTTTGTAAAAACTGACAAGTTAATTTTAGATATATTTGAAAACACAAATGACCTACACACTAAAGTAAATATGGAAAACCTAATTTGAAGGACTTACACTTTAAAATTTCAGATTTCCTAGTGAGCAATCGTAATAAATACGGTATGGTATTTTCATAAAGATGGATGACCAATCTTTCATAAAGATTAATAGACCAGAATTCGGCTGACTCATATATGGCTAATTGATTTTTGTCAAAGATGTCAAGGTAGTTCACTGGGAGAAGGGTAACCTTTCAACAAGTAATGCTGGAACGGTATTTGGTCATTGTGTGTCATAGTGACACACAATTGCAATTGAACACATCTGAGAATGTCATTAGGACCTCCTGAGGCTGTGTCATGCATCATTAACCTTGGCAAAATAAATCTTCTAAATTGATTTAGATCTGTCTCAGATATTTTTGGGTTCATAGATGCATAAGGCAAAAATGATAATTGAGGAAGCCCACTACCATGTTTCTTCTTGGGTTTTGAAGTCCTAGTTGGTCTGTTTTCTTCTTGCTACCTTTTGGAGTTTTCTTATGTTTGTTTTACATAGACATTTACGTGTATGTTTTAGCTGTACATAGTGAAAGGAATAGAAAAACATATGTACTCTATCTTTCAGTAAGTGGATATCTCTTTGCTTTTAAGGTTTTATACATTTTAGGGAGACCTAAAACAGCAATCAATATGTGTAAGATATACACTGCTTTAGTTTAGAATGTGGGGACACTCAAAGCCAGGGCTTTAACCAGGTAGCTAAGAGACAAAATGTTGCATTTTTTGGGTCCTTGATTGGCCTTTCACTGAATACAAAATTTACATGTGAGAGGGAGCAGAGGAATAGTCACTTATGACTCAGTCTGGCTCAGTGAATTTGCATTTTTACATAAGCAATAAGGCAGAGGAAGCAACCAGATATGCATTTGTCTCAGGTGAGCAGAGGGATGACTTTGAATTCTGTCTTTCGTCCCACACTGGTGAAGATAAGCTATCAATCTTCATTGCCAAGGTTAAATTCAACATAACCATTTCAGAGTAAAGATCTTGAGGACCACAAGGAATTTCCTTGTAGGCAAACTGTAAGGGAGGTATATAGCTTTTTATCTTTGCAGCCATATTATTTAGGAACAAAATGGGAGGCAGGTTTGCCTGATGCAGTTCTCAGCTTGACTTTTCCCCTTTGACTTAGTGATTTTGGGGTCCCGAGATTTACTTTCTTTTCACGTACTCCACAGAAGTTATTGGAGAAACCAATGACCTGGAAAAGCCAATAGTTGCAGACAAAAAAAAAGCTCCCCCCAAAGCCTGCTCTCTTTAGTTGAATAAACAAACAAACAAAAAAAGGCAGCCTGACAAGTGCAGATCTTTTCAACAATAACAGCTGTGCTCAAGATAAACACTGTAAAATAACTGTGGCACCACCCTCATCTAAAAAGGTCAAGCAGGGAGCCTAGATTTCCACTGTCACCAGGTTGTAATGAGGTGACCCACACTGATTACAGGGTGTTGTCAGAGGAGGAAGAATGGAGATCAAGAACACTCATCACCACTGGGTGGTAACAAGGACTCTCCCTTCATAGTGTCCGAGTAGACAAGGTGGGCACCCTGGACTTCTGCCCCACCCCTGGAGGTAGTAAGCCAGCCCTCACCCTTCTCACTGGGGGGTGTCACAGTAGGCCCTGTGGAGATTGAGTATTTTCAACCTCATTTAGCAGCAATGAGACCAACCTTCACTCCTGTAGTATCAGTGCAGGCCACATGAAGAGTAATAGAAAGGCACCCCTTGTTCATCAACCAAAGTGGCATTAGTGAAGGCCAAGTGAAAAGCATGAGCTCTGATCCCAAATCCAACAATAATAGCAAGGTGCCATTTTTCCTGGAGGCAACTGTCAACAGAAACCAAATGGAAAACCTAGACTTACTTCCTCACCTGGCTATAAGGAGGTGGCATTACTCTTCCTTAGCTGGACCAGACAAAGAAAGACTGCTAAAGCTCAAGGTTTAAGTAGGATCCAGGATCTCACATCATATTACTCAAAATGTTCAGGTTTTAATAAAAAATCTTTCATTATTCTAAGAACAAGAAGACTTCTAATTACTAAGAAAATGACAATCAATAGAAGCTGAACTTTAGGTAAAATAGACAGTAGAATTATCTCAAAAGGATTCAATAGCAGTCATCATAAAAATGCTTCTGTGAACAATTATGAACATTCTTCAAATAAATGAAAAAACAAAATTTCATCCAAGAAATGAAAAATAGAAGAATCAAATGAGAAGCATAACGCTGAAAAAATACAATAACTTAAATTTTTAAAAACTCACTGAGTGTGCTCAACAGCAGAATGCAGAAAACAAAAGTGAGTCTGTGAACTTGATGGTAAAACAATAGAAATCATACAATGAGAATGACATTGGAAGCAAAAATATGAGTAAATACAGTAAGCTTTTCTTCTCTTCTTGAGTTTCCTAAATTATGTTTGGAAGATGAAGCAAAAATCATAAAAAGTGTCAAATGAATCCTAAGTAAAAATATGAGTAAATACAGTAAGTTTTCTTTCTCTTGAGTTTTCTAAATTGTATTTAGCAAATGAAGCAAAAACCATAAAATATATCTAATATGGTTCTAAATGTACATAGGGGACATTTTTACACAATTCTACTATAAGTGGCAGAGGTTAAGGACATGTAATGGGAGATAAGGTTTCTGTATATCATGTGAACTGGTAATATGGTGAAAACAAGACTGTGATAAGTCATGCATAGATAATATAATACCTACAGCAATCACCATAAAAGCTATATAAAAAGATACATTAAAATGCTTTGGTAATTTAAAACAAAATTCTGAGGCATGTTTGATTAACTCATAGAAATGTTTAAAAAAGCAGTGAAATGAAAATAAAGGGAACAAATAGAAAGTATATACCAATATACCTATATTCTGACCTTTAAGCCATCTCCAACAAATTTAAAAGAATTGAAACCCTACTAAATTGTTATCTGTTCATAATTCAACCAAATTATAAATCAACAACAGAAAGATTACCAAAAAGCCTCCAAATACCTGGAAAGGCACTCTTAAATAATCCATAGGCAAAGTGGAAGTCTCAAGGCAAATAAAAAATACATCGAATTGAATACAAATGAAAATATAACGTATCAAGATTTCTGGGGCACAGCTAAAGAGGTGCTGCAATAGAATTTATACTACTAAATGCTTACCTTAGAAAAGAGGAGAAGCCTTAAAAATATTCTCAGTTTCTACCTCAAGAAACTAGAGAAAACAGAGCAAAAATAAACCCAAAGAAGGGAGCAGGAATGAAACAATAAACACTGATGTTCACGAAGTTTAAACAAAGAAAAATAGAGAAAATTAATAAGCAATCAAACAAACAAAACCTTGGTTATTTGAAATGATCAGTGTAATTGTCAAATCTATAGTAATAAAGAGAAAGAAAAAGAGAAGGCAAAAGCCACTAATATTAAAAATGAAACAGTGGATATCACTGCAGAACATGAAGGCATCAAATGAAATAGTAAGGGATTATGAAGAAAAACTCTAAAACCACAAATTTTACAATTGAGATGAAATGGACAAAATTGAAAAAGTAGAAAAAGACAACTCACCCAATATAAAACAGGTAATTTAAATAGTTCTATAACTATTAAAATAACTTGAATTCATAATTTCAAACTTCACATAAATGAAATTATCAGGCCCAAGTGATTTTACTGAAGAATTATACCAATCATTAAAAGAAGAATTAATACCAATACTCTATCATCTCTTCCAAAGCATGGAAGAAGAAAGAGCTTGTCAAACTCATTTTATGAAACTGGTATCATCCCAATATCAAAACCACGTAAAAGTAGTATTAAAAAATCCAATACCAACATCTCTTATGAATATCAGTACAAAAAATTTTGAAAAAATATAATCAAATACAATTGAGTTATATGTTTTTGTTCCAGACATGCAAGACTAGCTCAATATTTAAAAATGAAAAAATCTACAATGTCAATAAGCCAAGCAAGAACAATCATGTGATATATTGTTTAATGCAGAAAACACATAAGGCAAAATTCAATACCCATTTGTGTTAAAAATTTCACAAATCTAGGAATGGAAGATAATTTTCTAAACTTGATAAGGAGCACCTATACAAAACCTCAAGTAATTTAATACTTAATAACAGAAGAACTAATGCTTTCTCCCTAAGACTATCCAAAAGGCAAGGCTTTCTACTCTAACTTCTGTTATTCAAAAATAGTACTGGGAGTTCTAGGTAGTTCAATAAAGAAAGGAAATTAAAGATACACACATTGAGAAGGAAGAAATAAAAGTGTCCTTATTTCCAGATGATTTATAGTTCTATGTAAAAAACTCCAAGGAATCTAAAAAAGAGGCCTAGAATTAATAAGTGATTTTAGGAAGATCTTAGTATACAAAATCAAAATTAAGAATCAATTGTACTTCTATACACTATCAACAAGTGTGTAGAAATTGAAATTTAAAATATTAATACAATACTATCTGCAGTGTTAAAAAAAGAAAAAACGTATAAATTTAACAAAACACATATAGGACATGTATTCTGAAAGCTACAAAATATTGATGAAATAAGTCAAAGAATATCTAAATAAATAAATGCTCATAGGTTAGAAGACTTCACCAGTAAAGATGTTGATTCTCTTCAACTCGATATACAAGTCCAAGCAATTCCTGTAAAAATACTGGCATGAATTTTTTATAGTTATAGATGAGTTACTCTGAAATTTATATGGAAAAGTAAAGGAACTAGAATAGCCAAAGCAATTATAAGAAAAAAAGAAGAAATTAGGAGAACTCTATCTATCTGATTTCAAGGTTTATGATATAGAGGAAGTAATCATGACTGGAAGTATTGGTGGTAAAATAGTCACATAGGTAAATAAAGCAATAGAATGCCTACAAAGAACCCCACACAAGTGTGGCCAACTGGCATTTGCAAAAGTGTGAAAAAGTTCAATGTTGGAAGGATAGTTTTGTTAACAAATGGTGCTGGAGCAATTGTATATCTGTAAGCTCAAAAATGAAACTTGCCCTAAACCTCACAGTTTATATAAAATTTAACTCAAATGGATCATATATTTTAATGTAAAATGTAAACTATGAGGCTTTTTAAAGATAACAGAGAAAAAAATATCATTGGGACCTAGGGTTTGTGGAAGAGTTGTTAGGCATAAAACCAAATCCACCATCCATCAGAGGAAAAACTGAAAAATTCGATTTCATGAAAATTAAAGACGCCCTGCGAATGACCCTGTTAAGAGGATGAAAGGATAAGTTACAGACTAGGAGAAAATATTTGCAAACAGCTTATCCAACAAAGGACCAGTATCTAGAAAACATAAAGAACTCCCAACATTCAACAGTAAAACAAATGAAACAATCTGGCTGGAAATGGGCCAAAGACATGAAGAGATGCTTCAATGAAAAGGGTATGTGGTTGGCAAATAAGCACATGAAAATATGTTTGACACCTGTTATTAGAGAAGTGAAAAGTAAGACAAGTTATCACTGCATGCCTATTAGAGCAGCTAAAATAAAGCATAGTGAAAATCCCCCATGCTGGAGAACATGGGGAGAGACTAGGTCTCTCATACGTATTTAGTGGGAAGGTAGTGTTACAGTCAATCTGGGAAAAAAATTGGCAATCTCTAAAAGCACTAAATTTGCTATTACAGTGTCATCTAACAATTAACAATTCCAGATGTTTATCTCAAATATGTGAAAATATATATTCACATAGAATCCCATTGATAAAATGCTTATAGCATTTTCATTTGATTTTTGTTTGTTTGTTTGTTTGTTTGAGATAGGGTCTCTTCTCACTCTGTTGCCCAGGCTGGAGTGCAGCGGTACAATCGTGGCTCACTGTAGCGTTAACCTCCTGGGCACAAGCGATACTCCCACCTTAGCTTTTTGAGTACCTAGGACTTCAGGTGTGTGCCACCATGCTTGACTAATATTTTATATTTTGTGGAGATGATTTCTCACTGCGTTGCCTAGGCAGGTCTTGAACTTAAGCAATCCTCCTGCCTCAGCCTCCCAAAGTGCTGGGATTACAGACATGAGCCGCCACAACTGGTAAACAGTTTTATTTTTAATAGCTCAAAACTAGGAAGAATCTAAATGTCCTTCAGTGGGGGAAAGGTTAAACTATGGTACATCCATACCATTAAATACTATTCTGCAATAAAAAGGAATGAATCTATGCAAGAACTGGGATGGATCTTAAGGACATTATGCTGTGTGAAGAAAAGCTCAAAAGATTACATATTTTATTATTCCATATATATATAAAACTCTAAAAATGTCCAAATTATAGAGATAGAGAACAAATTAGTGATTGCCAGGGATTTAGTATAATGGAGAAAGTGTGCCTTTAAATGAATAGCATAAAGGAGGCCTTTCTGTGATACAATTTTTTAGTATCTTGATTGTGGTGGTGATTACACAAATCTACACACATAGTGAATTGACATGGAACTATATACACACGTTATATGAATGTCAATTATCTGGCTTTGATACTGTGCTATAATAATATGCAGTATAACCACAGAGGAAACCGAGTGAAGAATACATAGGACCTCTGAACTGTCTTTGGTACTTTCTGTGAATCTATAATTATTTCAAAATAAAACGTTTAAAAAAGAGTGAAGATTTGGAGTAATATATCACTTTTAGACTCAAGGAATAGTTTTTAACTCTGTAAGTGGAGATGAAGTAGAAAGAAACAATTATCCAGAGTTTTATTCATATTCTACTTCATTCAGTAACATTGGAATTACTTAGCAATGGTGGGGATGACACTTTGAACTTTTCTTTCATTGTGACTCTGTACTCAAAGAACCTTGGTGTGCACAAGCCAGAAAATCTAACAACTGTCCTATCACTGTCTAGGGGCTGCTAAGCATCCCCTCTCCTAGGCTATGGACTTACACGTTTCTAACATACACATATGGGAAGGAAAGAAAAGCAATACCAGGGCAGAGCAGGAGTAGATGATGGCAGTGACCCACTAATATCAAATAAGTGTTTTTATTATGCATTAAAAAGCACTGTAAGCAAATATGGAAAACCAGTCATAGTAAGTGTTTCAAATTTGCATATCAATTCAGAGAATCACAAAGCAAGACAGCTGATGTGAAATGAAGCTATGTCTCTTCTGAGTGAAAAAGAATCAATGCAATACATGAGAAAAAGTGTGTCATTGTTTTCTGTTTTTTGTTTGTTTGGTTGGTTTTTGTTTTCGTTTTTTTTCCTTAAGGCACTGACTTTGGAACCTGGGCTCAGGTTTTGAATTTCTGCTCCACCATATTTTTTCTCTGAATTCTCTGAAATTAGAAATTCAAATGCTTACTGTGAAATTTAATTGTAATTTTTAACAATCCTATATTGACACTGCTGCAAAAATAGGTTATAATCCAGTTTATTGGGTTTTCTATTCTTAACTTGTAAAATAACAAAAATTGTATGTGTATATTACCTTTGAAAAATACTAAAACACACAAAAAGTAATTATAAAATTCATAATACTTTATTTTTAATGGTTGGTAGTAGTAGAATGTCTTCTTGGAGCCATTCAGTATAACTCCTACAAGTAACCACAGTTGAATGTTTTGTGTTACATATGTTGTTTCACATTTTACAGGAATATGTAATTTCAAATAAAAGAATTACTAGAATTCTGTTTAAAAATACACACTAAATGTTAGTCCTTTATACAGATCATTCAACAGTTATGCTACTATTCCCATGAAGACTCACTCTAAAATTTATAGTAAATATTTGAGTAAGATTAATCATACATATGTATAATCTTGTATTTAAAAGAAATAAACATCCTTATCAATTTTTATCTTATATAGATATGAATTGATATATGACATTTTTATTCAGTTAATAACTTACCCCTTTCCTAGTGTGCATATATCTACTTATTTGATTTCAATGGCTATATAATTTTTAATAATAGATATAACAAATTTTATTTAACAATTCTTTTGATGGGCATTCAGCTTCTTTGTAAGTTATGCTAATAGGGTTATAATAAACATTCTAATACATTACTCTCACAGAATCCTTAGGGTGTCACGTTTCTAGTTGGAAACCTCTGTGGCCAGTGGTGCCTTTGCCCAAGTTTTGCTTGGGTCCGCTGGGGTTATTCCACCCACTCAGCCCAGCAGGACCACTTGGCTCATGCTACTGGCCTGTTTCCCATGCCTGCCAAGGGCAAGCCAAGTGCAGAGTGGCAAGGGGTTTGTGAGTGAGCACAGGGCCCAGACACTGCACACAGCCAGGTGTGCTGGCTGTGGTGAGGCAGACACCTCCAGGCATCTGTTCCTGTGAGGCTGCTGCTAGACCAGGCATATGGCAAGCTGCTTCCACTTGGGTATTGGAGAACATGGTGGCACCAGGAAGCTTGAAGATGCCAGGAACTGTAGAGTCCCAAAGAGAGTATCACAGCCCTGGCTTGGGGAGCTTTTCGGTTTAAGCTCCCTGAAGGGCCACAGCTCTTCTTTCCTTCTCACTTTTCTCCTTCTTGTCATCTACAACATGGCAAGTGAAGGTGGAGAGGTGAGAGGATTCAGCTCTGTTTGTGTTACAGTGCTTTCACTCCTGCCATTCAGCGGGTCCCAAGTTCTTGTTCCATGTCCAGGAAGAATGAGGTATGCAAAGAACTGGAGGGTGAAAAAGGCAGAAAGGAGTTTCATTGAGCAACAGAACAGCTCTTAGGAGACCTGAGGTGGGTAGATACTACCTGCAGACCACAGGTTGTCCCAGCTAGTGTCCAGCTCTCAGCAGAGAGGAGAACCATGGGTAGCTCCTTTCCACAGGCAAGTCGTCCCAAAAAGTTGAGGAGACCTGAAGTGAGTAACTGCTTCCTGCAGCTGGTAGTACCAAAGTCTGGGTGATTCTGGCTGAGTCCAGGGTTTTTATGGGCTCTGAAGGGAAGAAATGTGCACTGATTGGTCCATGGGAAGCCATGGGACAACCTGGAAAAAGCACTATGAGTTCTTACTTCAGGCTGTGGATTCCACCCAGAACTGGCAGTGTGGCCCCCAGGCTTCAGGCTGTCCCTGGCTTGAAGGTGGGGTTTCACTGGGGACCTGCTCCTTTCTGCCCAGGAAACTGTCTACCTCACACTATCAACATGCCTTCCATGGCACCCAGGCTGTTCCTGCCAAGATGTTCCTTATAGGTCCAGGCTGAGCTGCCCTCAGCACCCCTCCCTTTTGTGCTCACTGACACCCAAAGTCTGGAGAGGCCTGAGGCAGCAGGGGGCTTCCGTGTCAGCACTGCCCTGGGTACATACGCACAACCGGCCAGGTTGCAACAGCGCCCAGGCTTGGCTACAACTTTGCTCCACAATTGGAGCTGGCACCAGAGTTGGGAGAAGCTAGGGAGTGGGAGCAGGCACTTCCCAGCCTGCAGGGACAGGGAGGGCTTCCTGGGCTCCAAAAAGCACAGGGATGCCCAAGTCTGGAGCCACAGTTAGGTGGCTATAGCTGTGCCCCGAAGCACAGGGCTCCTGTCCCACTGACTCAGAAGTGGGTGAGGCTCCTGCCTGTTCCAAGCCCCCACCAGCTCTCTGAGTGCATAGCCCCGGCCACGTCTCCCAAGCTGCAGCTGGCATCTTCACAGCAGCCACTCCAGAAGGGTCGCCACTGCCATCATTACCACCACAAATATAGTGTGGCTGAGTCTTCAAATATTATTTTGAATTTTCTATCTAGTCAAGTAGATCTTTTAGCATGAAAATTATTTCCACATATTCTAGGTCTCACAAAACATGCTATCCATGTGCCATACTTTAGAAATGATTTTTGAAATAGTTACAGTTACAAAAGAGAAAAAATACATCTCATTATTAGATTGAAGACTGCCTGTAATAATAATTCTTTTTAAGGAATTAAGGAATTAACCTGTTTCACATTAAATGAAAAACAGACCAGAAACTAAATTAATTTAACAACGTTTTGGTGAACAATGAATGGAGGAATACATTTGCAATACTTATAAATAAATTTGTCTTTCAACAAAAATTCATATCATGTTGAGTATCAAATCCAGGACTCATTTTCATTCAGTAGAAGAATGCCATTTTTGTCTTTTATTATTGGATGTTGATGCAAATGTGATAAAATAAATAATCCAGATATAAATATTGGAAATAAATTAACCAATATAGTCTCAATTTTAGATGATATTTTTGTAGCAAAACAAATGGTATCAGCTAAGAAACAGTAAAAATTCTATCATTTTTGGTTATAGAAGATAATAACTTAATGGTTTACAGTGCAATGACCATAACAACTTAGAAAATATAATAAAAGTAATCATTTATAAGAATTATTGGGGTTTAAGTGGGTATGATATGTAACACCACTCTTTTCTCCACCTGAGTTTCTAATCAAATATAAAACAAATGCGTGAAAAGGAGAATGTAACAACCATCTTTATCACTGATAAGCAGATGTTAAACAATGTACTGAATCTGCAGGAAATTAGCTTTCTTAATACTGAACCTGAGAATTAAGTAGACTTAAACCTATAATAGTGCTGAATCTATGCAGGTGTCCCAGTGTAAAACTTACAGTGCCCCTGTAAAACATATAGTGTGGAGGACCGTGGCAAAACGTGCCATCTTTATGGAAGATTTATTCCCAAGAAGCAGTGAGGTCTAGGATAATTGCACCAGATTTCTTTTTGCAAAATTATTAGTCTGATTAAATTACTCTTCCTCAAGAAAGCTTAAGGAATAGAGAGAGTAAATAAGTAAAATACTAGCATATCTTCTTCCACTTGGAAGTAAACATTAGAAAGTGGGGTGGAAACAATCCAAATCAATAGTAAACAAGTGTAAGAACACAACCAATGCAGTTGTATAGGTTACATATGAAGACATCTAAGAAGGCTGAGAGAAAAAATAAACGATTGAATAAAATATTGAGAATTACCTAGTGTTTCTATAGGGAAAACAATTATTTTAAAGATACTGCATCTCCACCAATATATAATAGGACATTGCATTCAGTTAGGTCTGTTGCATGTCTGATTTATTCTGCCATCACAGAAGAATTACTTTTCTGCCTCTTCTGATACTGGCTGAGAAGAACTTCAAATCTGGCTCCAGTTCAGCACCCAAGATAAGAAATATAATCATAAGGCATTTTTGTAATATGTTCTTCACTTTTGAATTATTTTACTATTCAAATTTGGAAGTTGCATAAAATAGTATATGTTAATAGATGTATCATCATTTAGAAATATGTGCATATACATTTATCTCCCTCTACCTTACTGTAATATACATATATTATGCATATACATATATTATACATATAATATACATAGTATATATTATATATACATATATAATGCTCAATACATATATATACATATATGTGTGTCCATATATCAATACCTACATATATATATTAATACATACATACATATATATATATATATATATATATATATATATATATATATATATAAAATGCTCAATTCCACATTTCACTTGAATGATTAGAGTCTCATGTTTGAGTATAAGAAACCAATTAGGGTTATACTAATCAATGAAGACAATGTCTTTCGAAAGTTAAAATTCTTGATGGAAAGTTCAAGATAACTGTAACTTCAGCTCATCAAAACCTTTAAAAATATTGAGAAATAAATGCATCTGATTGCACTAGAGCCTTACTTCCTTGACTGAGTGTGGAAGAGAAAGTAATCAATGCTAAGATCCTTACCACAGTCCTGGGAGTTGTTCAGTATTCTGCATCCAACTTGGGAAATATATCTAATTAAAGGAAGTTTGCTTTAACGATTTGCCTTAGGATCACAATTAGTAGAGACCTCTAGGGACTGTGGTTTCTACTTAGGATCCTTCAATTTGACTATACTGTTATCTCATATTGGAAATTAATGAATGCTTAATGAAAAAGATATGTTGCCTACCTTACTGAATCAGTTCCTTTCAAAACTACATTTTCCTTCTTAAATGTTTAAGTGTATGTCTCCATTTTAAAAGGAAAAGTTTACAAATACTTCTATTTGTGGATGTACTATGACTTTTTCATTTTAATTTATGACAGATGGCAGCTGTCTTTAATGGCTGATATAAAGATAAAGCCTAGAGGTTCATTTTTCTTCAAAAAATTTTGACAGCCAACTATGCAGGCTGATTTTTCATATGAGAAGGACATCAGAACACTGATTCTAACTCATGTTTCTAAAAGTAATGTATATTATATAGTAGGAATTTATAGGCTAATAGTGGAATAAAAACACTGTGATGATAAACTTATAAAATAACTCCTAATGGGCCCTACCTGCTGATATTCAAACCGTTTTCAATCTACTCTCTATGAGTGTGGACTGGATCTACTGACTTGCTTCTAACAAATAGAATATGGCAAAAGAGATGGGATGTCACTTTCGAGATTAGGTTATTAAAGACTGTCTTCTGTCTTGTCTGCACTCACACACTGGATTTTGTCAGATTGTCCACATGGAAGTAGCCCACATGGAAAAGGACTGAGGTGTCCTCCAGGTAACGACCACTGAGGAACTTAGGTCCTCTAACAGCCCACAGAGAACTGATTCTTACCTACTACCACATGAGTGAGTGAGCTTTGAAATCAGATCCTTCTCCTGTTGAGCCTTGAGATGACTACAGCCCTACTGAACAAATTGATTGCAGCCTTGGGAGATACCCGAGAAAGAGGAACAAGAAAAGCTGAGCCTGGATTTAGGAGCCACATAATCTGTGAAAAATAAATCCTGCTTAAACCATTATGTTTTTGAGTAATCCGTTAGGCAGCAATAGAAAACTAATACAAATATACATGTCTATAGTGTTTAAAATAGATGACATTGTTCCATAGAATAACCAGCAACAAAGTAAAATGATATTATTGTTATTACCAAAAATTCCTCAAAATTATTTGAGTTCAAGCATCTTATCAGTTCATGTTGGTGCTACTATAACAAAATACCACAAATGGAGTGGCTTAAACGATTTTATGTTTCTAATTCTAGTGGTTGGCAGTCCAAGTTAAAGGTGCTAGCAGGGCAGGATTCTTGATGGGAACACTTTTCCTAGTTTACTGACAAATTGTCTTTCTGCATCTTCTCTTGGAGTAAAGAGAGCAAGCTAGATTCCTGGCCTCTTTTTATAGGGTCTTTTCCATACTCATGACTTAATTCCTTCCAAAAGCTCGATCTCCAAATACCATCACATTTAAATTAGGGTTTCAACATGTGAAAGTTGTCATAATCAAAATGAAGTCACTCATGTTAAAAACAAAACAAAAGAAAAGAAAACCCTGAAAAATGGAGCCAGGGAAAGCTATGAGGCGACGGTTCTCATGCTTGTATGCCTGATAACAAAATTAGCACAAAGGACTCTGCAAATACCACAAGCCAGCACAAAGGTCATTGCGACTTTACATAAAAAATTACTTTTGTGAAGACATCGGCTCAGCAACTGTCTGTCTAACCTTGAAATGGCCATCAGTCACGTTATTGATCCCTGCAGCCAAAGATAATCATTTCAAAACATGCAATCCTCTTATTTTTCCTTTAAAACCCCTTGTCTTCCTTTACCTCCCTAAATCTGCACGTACTTTACTATGGCACATATATTCCCACTGTGACGCCCTGTTCCAAAATAAATATATTTTTCTTGTAGAAATCCTCTCTCTGTTTGATATTTAGATTGACAAACATGAACTTTTGCAAAGCAGAAACGTTTAGTCCATTGCAAGCAGCCAAAGTAAATATTAAATATATTAAATTTAAATTTATTAGGCTTATATATAGTATAACTTACATAGTTTATGTAGTATTTATGTATGTATGGTATGTGTATATATATGCATATACACACACACACAGACACTGTCTTCAAAACTGTTGCCTTACAATATTCTTAACATAGGGTAGTGTTATGTCTTCTAACATTGTTGTTCTGTTTTGTCTTGGTTTCTGTTGTGTCTTTTAAATCTTTTTCCTTTATATATATACTTTAGAATTAGTCTGTCAATATCTATAAAATATATCCCTGAGATTTTTATTATGCAGATTTTCTAGATCAAGTTAGCAAAACGTAGTATTTTAACAATGTTGAGTCTTATAATCCATGAACACTGAATATCTCTTCATTATTTAGATCTACATTGAGTTCCTTCTTCAGAGTCTTATAATTTTCTGCCTGGAGATCTTGCACATATTTTGTTAGACTTACATCAAAATATTTTTGGTGGTATTTTAAATGCTATTGTTTTCAACTTAATTTCAAATTCCAAATCTTAATTGCTGGTATTAAAAATTGGCTTTGTTATATTAACCTTGTATTCTGCAATCTTGCTGTATTCACTTAAAGTCCAGAACTAGTTGTTTTTTCTCTTCTTTTGTTAATATTCAGGTCATTTACCAATAAAAACAGTTTTGTTTCTTCTACACCATCTGTATAGCTTTCATTTACTTTAGCTTTATTTCCCTGCCATTGACCTCCAGAATGATATTGAATACAAGTGGTAAGAGAGACCTTGTTTTAAATCTTAGAGGAAAAACATAGTTTCTCACCATTAAGTAGAATGACAGCTGTAAGTTTTTATGGTTGCCCTTTATCAAGTTGAGGAAGTTTCCCCCTATTACTAGTTTGATGAGAGTTTTAATAAAGAATAGGTGTTGCATTTTGTCACATACTTTTCATCATCTATTTACATAATCATCTGATTTTTCTTTTTTAGCTTGTTAATGTGATGGATTACATTAATTGATTTTTCTGAATATTGAAACAGCCTGCATAGATGGAATAAATCTCACTTGGTCATAGTATATAATTCATTTTATATATGAATGGATTCAATTTGCAAATATTCTGTTGAGAATTTTTGTATCTATGTTCACATGAGACATACTGGTTTGCAGTTTAAAACATTATAATGTTTTTATCTGGTTTTATTATAAATGCAATGCTGTCCTCATAGAATAAGTTTTAAGTGTTCCCTCTTCTACACGTTTTGGAATAGATGAGGGAGAGCTGGTATTATTTCTTCCTTTAATGTTGGTTATAAAGTACTAATGAAACCATCTGGACTGATAGTATTTACTTATTCATTCATTCATTCATTCATTCATTTATCTATTCATATTTATTACTGTTGCCAATACTTCCTTTTGAAGGTTATTAATTATTAATTCAATTTCTTTTTTTATATATAGACCTGTTCAGATTATCTACTTCTCCTTGTGAATTTTGACTTGGTACCTCTCAAAGAATGGCCCCACTTCATGTACCTTATTAATTTTGTAGCCAATAAGTTGTTCAGTGCTTTCCTTTAGCATTCTTTTAGTATCTGTGGGATTACTAGTGATGACCTCTCTTTCATTTCTGATATTTATACATTTGTGTGTTTCCTCTTATATTAGTCTGCTTAGGCTGCTATAACAAAATATCATGGACTGAGTGATTTAACTGAAATTTATTTTCTCACAGTTCTGGAGTCTGGAAGTACACAATAAAGTGCCAATAGAATTTGCTTCTTGTGAGGCCTCCCTTCCTGGATTACACATTACTGCCTTATTGCTGTATTTTTCTTCTGTGCACATGCAGAGAGAGAGACAGAGAGAGCGAGAGCGAGTGAGTGAGAGAGAGAGATCTGGTATTTCTGCCTCTTCTTACAAGGACGCAAAGTCCTATATGATTAGGGCCCCACCTTTATGATCTTATTTAACTTTAATTACCTCTTTAAAGTCTCTGTTTCCAAATAGAGTCACGTTGGCCGTTTTGAATTCAACATATGAATTTGGAGGGGGCATACCATTTTTTAAATTAACCTTATTAAAAATTTAATTTATCAATTGTTTTGATCTTTTTAAAAAATGAACTTTTTTGGTTTTGTTGATTTTGTCTATTGATTTCCTTTTTTTCAAATTCATTAATTTCTTTTCTAATTTTTATTGGTTTCTTCTTGTTTTAGAATAAATTTCCTCTTCCTTCTCTAATTTACTAAGGGGGATGGTAAGATTATTGATTTTAGATCTTTCTTCTGTTCTAATATCTACATTCAATGCTAAAAATTTCCCTCTTAGTACTGCCTTCCATGCATTCCACATATTCTAATAGGATGTAATTTCATTTTCATGTAGTTGAAAATGTTTAATATTTTTTTCTTAAGATTTGTTTTTTAACCCATTTTTAGGATTGTTTTGTCTAATATCAGGACTTTTCAAAAATTTCTAGCTCTCTTTTCACTATTGATTTCTAGGTTAATTCTATTGTGATCTGAGACAACATTTTGCATGACCTGCCTTAGTCCATTCAGGCTACTGTAACAAAGTATTATAGACTGGATGATTTATAACCAACAAATATTTATTTCTTACAATTCTGGAGGCTGTGAAGTCCAAGACCAAGGTACTGGCAGATTCTTCGTCTGATGAGGGCCTGTTCCTCATAAAGGGAGCCTTCTTTCTGCATCTTCACATGTTGGAAAGGCAAGGAGTCTTTCTTGGGCCTCTTTATGAAGTCCCTAATCCCACTGATGAAGGCTCAGCTCTTATGATCTAATAATTTCCCAAAGGCCCCACTTCTAATAATATCATCTTGGTTTTAGGATTTCAATATATGAATTGTGGTTGAACACAAACATTCACACCATAGCAACTTCCTTTCTTTTAAATTTAAGGTGTGTTTTATAGCACAAGATAGAATCTATCTTGGTGAAAGCTTCATGGGATCTTCAAAAAAATACATATTCGGTTGCTATTGGATGAATTAGTCTATGAATGCGAATTAGATCATGTGGATTGATAGTCCTATCCAGGTCAACTATATCCTTACTGATTGTTGCCTGCTTGAACTATCAATTACTAAAATTGAAGTGTTGAAGCACCAAATAAGAGTGAATTTTTCTACTTTTTTCTTGTAATACTGTTTTTGTCTCATGTCTTTTGACATTCTCATATTAGATCATACACCTTTAGTGTTGTTATGTCTTTTTGAAAAATTGACTTTTAAAAATTCTGTAATGACCCTATTTATCACTGATAATCTTCCTTGTCTGCAATTAATATACCTACTTCCCATTTCTTCGGATGCTGTTAGCATGGGTCTATCCTCCTTCTTCCAGAGGGAAGACCATGCAAGGACACAGTGAAAAGGCCATCTGCTAGCCAATGAGAAAGGCCTCAGAAGAAACCAACCCTGCCCACAACTTGATCTTGGGCTTTTAGACACCACAACTGTGAGAAAGTAAATTTCTGTTGTTTAAGCCACCCAGCCTTTGATATTTGTTACATCAGACTTAGCAAAGTAATACATCCATATTATTATTTTAAATATTGTAGACCTTTTAGAATGTACATTAAAATTAATAACCAAATTTAAAATTATTAGTAATATTCATCTCTAGTTTTAATAATATTTCTGTTTGCAACCTGTTATAGCATTATTTTATCCAACTTTTGAAACTTTGTATTGTTTTATTTTTAACTTGTCACAATACAAGTCATTTATCACAGCCCAAATATTTTTTAAATAAAATACAGGATGCATAATTTTTCTGTATTTCTTTTAAAAAAATAACTTTCTGTGAAATTCTTAAATAAATCTTGTGTCTAAAATCATTTAGAATTTATAATGAAGCTACTCCCATTTTATGATGTTTATTGTTCACTCTGATTTAGCTAAGAATAATTATAAGCTTTTCTGCTCATGTCTTATAATTTGAAGACTATGTTAGAATTTATTCACTAATAGGAAATTTTATCAGTCTACATATTAAGATCTATCTTTAGTGCAGGAAAAACATTATTTTACAGGGTTGCTCATACATCATGGCATTTGTTCCGAATGCCATGGTCTATTTTCAAGAATAGTGATTGTCTCTGTGTTAATATATCACTATTCTATCTATATCCTCCCTGTACGTCCCCCTTTTTTCACATTTTCTTTCTTTTACTATTGCATTTGATATTTTTGCATAACTGACTTAGGCTGTTAGTGCTCTATGATTCCAATATTTGCTTAATCTTGTTTTGGTGATAATTATTCAAACTTTACTCTTTTTTGTAGTCTGTTTTTGTTGCCTCTTTATTCTGCCAATAACCTCATTTGCCTTTTTTACCTACTTTCATTGAAGTATCATCTGAATGCCAAATATTTCTAATTTTTCAAATCTTATCATTATATTATTTTTAATATAAAAGATGTATTTTGATCCTCTAAGCCCTGTTGTCACTTTTATTCTATTTTACAAGGGTTTCTACGAGTATTTTACTGTCTTTATAGATAATCAATTACATGTGGTGAGTTTTTTTCATTGGGTCCACTAGACAGGCAATATATATTTTTTAATTTTTTTTTTTAAGTTTTAGATTTAGGGGTTACTTGTGCAACTTTGTTACATAGATATATTGTGTGATTGTGAAGTTTGAGCTTCTTGTATACCCATCACCCAAATAGTGAACATTGTACCCATGGGTGATTTCTTAACCCTTACCCCCCCACCCCCTCCCTTCTTTTGGAGTCCCCAGTGTCCGTAATTTCCATCTTTATGTCCACAAATACCAATTGTTTAGTTTTTCACTTACAAGTGGAACACATGGCATTTGATTTTCTGTTTTTGAGTTTATTTCACTTAGCATAATGGCCCCCAGCTTTATCCATGTTGCTGCAAAAGGCATGATTTCATTCTTTTTTATGGCTGCATAGTATCCCATGATGTCTATATATCACATTTGCTTTAACCAATCAACCGTTGATGGACACTTAGGTTGATTCCATGAGATTGACTCCATGAAGTTGTCATGATTCCATGACATTTAGGTTGATTCCACTTGGTATTATGAATAGTGCTGTAATAAACATATGAGTGTAGGAGTCTTTTTTATATAATGATTAATTTTCCTTTGGATACATGCCCAGTGGTAGGACTGCTGAGTCAAATGGTAGTTCTGTTTTTCATTGTTTAAGAAATTGCCATACTGTTTTCCACAGAGATTGTACTAATTTGCATTTCTACCAAGAGTGCATAAGGGTTCCCTTTTCACTTCATCCATGACAACATTTGTTGTTTGGGGACTTTTTAATAATAGCCATTCTGATGGGTGTAAGATGATATCTCAATGTGGTTTTAACTTGCATTTCTCTGATGATTAGTGATGTTGAATATTTTTTCATATATTTCTTGGCCACTTGTATGTCTTTTGTTTTCTTCTTCTTTTTTTAAGAGACAAGGTTAGCTGGGCATGGTGGCTCATGCCTATATTTCCAGCACTTTGAGAGGCTTAAGTGTGTAGATAGCTTGGGCCCAGGAATCTGGGACCAGCCTGGGCAACATGGCAAAACCCCATCTCTACAAAAAAATACAAAAGGTAGCCAGGCATACTGGCATGTGCCTATAGTCCCAGCTACTTGGGAGGATAAGGCAGGAGGATTGCTTAAACCCAGGGGATTGAGGCTGCAGTGAAACAAGATTGCACCACTGCACTCCAGCCTGGACAGGAGACCAAGACCCAGTCTCCCTTTCTCTTTCTCTCTCTCTTTTTGAGATAGGGTCTCATCCTGCTGTCCAGGCTGGATTGCAGTGGTGCAATCTTGGCTCACTGCAGCCTCAACCTCCTGGGTTTAAGCGATCCTACCGCCTCATTCTCCTGAGTATATAGGACTATAGCTGCATGACACTATGCCCAGCTAAATTTAAAATTTTTCTAGAGAAGGGGTCTTGCTATTTTGTCCAGGCTGGTCTCAAACTCCTGGCCTCAAGTGATCCTATTGCCTTGGCCTCCCAAAGTGCTGGGATTACAGCCATGAGTTACTGCATCCAGTCATATACTTTCTTTCAAGAATGGGATTTCTTTTTGCTTGTTGAATTGTTTGAGTTCATTTTAGGTTCTGGATATTCGTCTTTTGTTAGAGACATAATTTGCAAATATTTTCCTCCATTCTGTCAGTTGTCTGTTTACTCTACTGACTATTTCTTTTGCTGTGCAGAAGCTTTTTATTTTAATTAAGTCCCATTGTCTATTTTTTTTGATTTTGTTGCATTTAGTTTTGGGGTCTTAGGCAGAAATTATATGTCTAAGTCAACGTCCAGAAGAGTTTTTCCTAGGTTTTCTTCTAGGACTTTTACAGTTTCAGGTGTTGCCTTTAGAACTTTAATCCATCTTGAGTTAATTTTTGAGTGGTGAGAAATAGATATCAGTTTCATTCTCGACAGACAATATTTCAAATTAGAAAGCCCCTTAAAAAATGCCCAGGGAGAACTGACAAACCAGAGTCTATCCAAAACAAGGTCACTATATTGTGAAGTGACTATTACTTATGTCACATGAGGAGTCATAAATCTGACAGTTGTTTACTTGGGAGAATAAAGGAGATGTTGAAAAGATGTAGATGTCTAAGTATTGTCAGGGCTGTAATTAGGAAAAATGATATTTTCAACATGGATATAGCAAATTGTAGATTGCAGATTTCATTTCGATCTACATAAAAACTGTGTTACAAAAAGATCCAATGTTTGTTTATTTAAATTGTTCTCTATTATAGATATTCAAATATAGCCAAAATGACCT
The DNA here is from genome assembly GCF_000001405.40 of Homo sapiens. Classification (NCBI taxonomy): domain Eukaryota; kingdom Metazoa; phylum Chordata; class Mammalia; order Primates; family Hominidae; genus Homo; species Homo sapiens. The sequence goes on along the minus strand of NC_000006.12, from coordinate 141,520,036 downwards.
ATTGCCAAAGGGCCTTTTGAAAGAGATTTCTAATTTTTGTGGATATTTGGTTAGATGTTTTTTCCTAGTACAAGATTTCATGTAAAGGCAAAAGGAAACAGTAAGCAAAATTTGATTTTTTAATTTATACCAGCTTGCCATCTGAAAAGAGAGGCTTTCAAAATTTTATTTTCCTTTATTAAAAAACCCACATTTCCAAAATGCTAGAGTTTGATCCTAATGATACAGTTGATGAATGCAAATTGGATTCTAAAGTAATTATTATTTCCACTCCAATAATCATAAACAGCTTTAACAACTTTCCTTTTGCTCTAGAATAAAGTGAAATATATTTAAGTCAGTTATTTAGAAAAGGCATGCATAAAGAATAGATGTAAAGGAAAATAATGCTGAAAAACATTGAAATTTTACTTATTAAACTGAGGCAGGTCTTTTCACCTGGGCAAACTTTCAGAATGTGTACAAAAAGCTAATACTTTTTGTACTGAAAAGTAGCTTTCAGAATATTTATAAAAAGTATTAACTATGCTTTTCCTTGTTTTTAAATCATCTCTTTCTAGGATATAATTTTAAAATTGCTACCTGAATTTCTAAGTAAAGCTAATAAGTATGTTATCCCTTTCTTTAAAGTATAATATTGCCACTAATTTTTCCGTATAAGAAGTCGAATGTTTATTGTAATAACTGATTTAAAGGAAATAATATTTATACATGTTGTTTAATAAATTATTAACAAAATATAGTTAAATATATCTGTGCACTGTTCTTCCTTCCAATTTAGAAAGTATTCAGATAGGGTATCTCATTTGGGATTACCCTGTGAGATATTATTGTAGGTGCTTCAGAATGATTTTCCTTTTAAGCCAATATCACAAGTCATTTAGCTATTCTAATGAATAAAGAGAAGCTTCCCTCCTTGCTCTAATTTCCACATGTATATGATTTCAAAATGTCATGGTCGATGCTCTCATTACCCTAGCCATGCCTGCTTATAATGAAAGCTGCCCACACAATTTTCCACTAAAGATTACAAAACTTTGATTAGATTGACATTGAATCTACATCATTCACTTTTGTGGGTAATTAAGACTACAATTGAACATATGTATGGTATTTTCACTTAGCTTCGAAATATGTATATTTGTGTCCTTTTTAATTTCTTTTCAGTCCTTCATTAAAGAATGAATTAAATTTACAGTGATAGGACAAATGCAAATATAAAATATGATTCAATTTGACTAGATGTAGTTTCACATTTTCAAGTAAAACTATTATGCATGTTTCATTCGTTATTAAAGTTATTTTGACACAAAGCATACAGATGAAGAACATTTTAGATTCACTTGTGCATTTATCCCAGGGCCACTTATCCATGCGACTCAATCCTGTACCAGAGAAAATGCTTGTATCTGAAGCGTGGTAGACACTTAACAAATACTATTATTTATGAATATTTATGTCTATTATTCTTTATCAATAAAGCAAAATGACAAAAATAAGTCCCGAATCTGCAAATTAAATATCACAAATTCCATATACTAATAATCTGCATTTTTTCATAGAAGAGTCTTACAAGTAATCAATTACAAGTTATGTGCTATTAATGGAGAAGTTATTTAATAAATTTCAATGATAAGTGTTAGGGTACTCGGGAGTTCAGAAGGAGTATACATTGTAACAAGGATATGTAGTAAAGGTCTTAAAAGAGGTGTCTGTTATTTGCAGACTCATAACATCCATGAGTAGTAGAATCTGATATGGTTGATCATAAGAATTTGGCATCACTGGTTGGGAGGTGGAGGTTGTTGGAAAGAGTCCCATATATTTCTGGAGCTCCAGATAGTTTCACTAGTGAACTGTTTAATTTAACAAATAATGTGCATCAAGCCATATTAAAGCTCAACATACTATTCTAAATTCTGTATTTCTAAATACAGAAACATGTCTAAGAAGTTGTAAAATATATCTGTGAAAAATACTTTAAAATACTTGCATAAGATGAAGTATGCTTCCTTCACCAATTAAATTTTCATGTGAGAAATAACTCATTTTTCAACAATGTTAAGAGTGGCAGATGTATTTATTTTATCACCTGCATTTGTAAAATATTCTTTCGCCTTTCTTCTTTATTTGGTATTCCAGAAAAGAGGTAACTCTCATAAATGCATGTCAGTAATGCAAGTAGCTAGAAGGTAAGGTAGGTGATATGTATTTACTATTATCCCCTAGTTCTTAGGCTACAAACTTATGTTGGCTTTGAGAAGTTCCACTAATAATCGGGGCGTCATACTAATTAAATAAGACAGAAGATGTCATTTTAAAAATATTTATTATTTTTTGATGTGTGAGCACTTGAAGTATGTCCCCTAAACAAATTTAATTTTTGCTTCAGGAACCCTGCATGTAATATCTTTTTAATATATACTTTCAATATCTATCAAATTTCACATTATTTTACATTATTCCTTTGATAAATGTGTTCTTTCTTTTTAACACCTTTTTGAGTATAATTTATGCGCCATAAAATTTAACCATGTTAAGTGTAAACATCAGTGATTTTAATAAATGTACACAGTCAGTCATTCATCACCAAAAAACATTTTTAGAACAATATCACCCCGAAATTTCTCCATGCCTATTGGCAGTCAATTGCTGCTCTCAGACCTATCCCCATGGACTTGTAGTCTTGTGTGTGTGTGTTTGTGAGTGTATATGTGTGTGCATGCTACATTTTTCCTTTTCTAGAAAAGTTACATAAATGGATTTGGATTCGTACAGCATGTAATCTTTTGTGTCTGGCTTATTTTTCTGAACATTATGTTTTTAGAGAGTCGTCCCTGTTTTTGTGTATATTGATACTTAGTTTAAAATTATGTGTGAGGGCTAGGTGCAATAGCTCACACCTGTAATCCCAGCATTTTGGGAGGCTAAGGCAAGCAGATTGCTTGAGTCTGGGAGTTTGAGACCACCCTGCGTAATATGGCGAAAATGGTCTGGTGAATGCCTGTAGTTCCAGCTACTTGGGAGGCTGAGGCAGGAGGATTGCTTGAGCCGGGAGGAGAAAGTTGCAGTGAGCAGAGATATTGCCACTGCACTACAGCCTGGACAAAAGAGTGAGACCCTGTCTCAAATAAATGAATAAATAAATAAATAACTTGTGAGTACACGCATACATCCTACGTTACTTATTCACTAGTTAAAACACATTGTTTATTACTAGTTAAGGCTATTATGAATACTGCTGCTATGATAATTCACATATAGGCCTTTCTGTGGACAAATGTTTTAATTTTTTTGGATATATTATTTGGAAAGGAATTATCCGGTCCTATGGTAAATGTTATGTTTTGCTTTAAACAAACAAACAAAAACACACATATGCACACTGCCAAACCACTTTATAAATGCCAGTATATATTCTAAAGTTTCAGGACCAATTTAGGTTTCCAATAGGCATGCTTCGAAGTCCAATTTTTCTGTATCTTCTTTGATACCTGCTAAAATTAATGCTCTTTATTTTCGTTATTTTAGTGGTCATTCAATGGTTTTAATTTCCATTTCCTCAATGACTAATGTTTTTGAGCATCTTTTAATGTGCTTATGTGCCCTTTAAGCACCTCTTTGGTTATGTGTTTATTTATTTCTCTGCTATTTAGTTGTTGGTGTTATCATTAATTTGTAAGAATTATGTATATTTTTTCAATACATGTACTGTATGAGATTTATATTTTGAAAACATTTTTCATCTAGGATGTGAATTTTCATTTTCTTAATGGTCTTTTATGAAGTTCACACATTTTTAATTTTGACAAAGTACAATTTATCAACATCTCCCTTTTCTGTTTCCAACTTTTGCGCTTAAGAAAGCTTTGCTTTAAACACAAAATTTTTCTATTATGTTTTGTTCTAGGAGTTTTATATCTTTAAATATTATATTTAGGGCTATTGTTTTTAATTATTATATTTAGGGCTATTATTTATTATAAGTGAATAATTAAATATGTGAACAAAATTGTCTGAAAATTTTGAAGGAAAGAGACTTTATTCCTGTAAACAGTTTTCAAGTCAGGAAGATGCAGTCTTCAGTGTAAAACAAAGGTTCATTACAGAGAACAAAGAGAGGGTTTGGGGTTTAAGGCAAAAGTTCCTGTTCAAGATCTCAATCAGGTCTGTTTCTGCAAATGAAGGCTTGAAACATTTACTTTTGATTGGTTGGCACAGCTGAGTTCTGATTGGTTGATATAGCTGAGCCTTCATGACTGTGCCAGGTGACCTCTTATTTGTTGTTTTCCAAGCTGGAAATCAGAAGTCTCCATCACGTGTTTCAAACTGGGGAATGGAAGGGGGTATTTCTGGAAGTTTATTTTGACACCTAAAACTGCAATCGATTTGGCTTGATTGTGTAAAGGGAGGTCTTGTGATAGTTTCACACCTTTCCGAGAACACAGAGTCCAGTGACTGCTCCTTCACCCCGCCATGACCATCTGCTTCTGGTTTAACTTCTAGCAGCTCAGTTTGCCGTGGGGAATCCATTTTGTCTGTCGGCCAGGAACATACTTTACCAGGTATAGTGGTGTGAGAGTCTATTTGTTTGTTTTTTGCATTTGTATAAACAATTGTTCTACTACAGTTATTAAAAATGTCATACTTTTCCTATTACATTTTCTTGACATCTTTTTTGGAAAATCAATTGTCCATATGTGTTTTGGTAAATATCTGAACCTTTACTATGTTGTGTTTATCTATATGGTTCTCCTTACAGTAATACTGCAGTCTTGTTTGCTACAGAGTCCCAAAGTATTATATTATGTTTTAAAATCATGTAGTATAAGTCTGCATTCCACTGTTTCAAAATTGTTTAGCTGCTGTATATAGATAGATAGATATAAATAATATACATACAAAATAAATAATAAAATTTTTCAATTTCTAGATAAAATCCAGGATTTTATTATGAAATATTTAAAATTTATATATCAATTTAGGGAGAATTGCCTTCTTAACAACATTAAGTATTCCAGTACATGAAAAGGACATGTCTATTTGTTTAGATGTTCCTTACTTTCTCTTAGCAATGTTTTATAGCTTTTAATATACAGTACATGCACAGCACATCTTTCACTAACTTTTTTGTAAATAGTATTTTTCTTACCTTTGTAAATAGAATATTTATAAAATTTCCTTTTTGAATTGTTTGAGAATAGTATATAGAGACATAATTGTTTGCATATTAATTTGTATTCCGTGTCTTCACTAAATTTACTGACTAATTTCAGTGGCTCTCTTATAGACTAATTAGAGTTTTCCACGTACACCATGATATTCTCTGTGAATAAAGACAGTTTTGCTTTCTTTTTTCCAACTGCATGATTTTTATTTCTTTTCTTGGTTTATTACTTTTTTTAGAGGGGAGCAGAGCCTCCATTCCAATGGTGAATAGCAGTGTGAAGGTAAATTTCCTTGCCTTGTTCCAAACCTGAGCTTTTTAGTAGTTGCCCCAAAGTTTACAATATATATATTTAATTTATCATAATCTATTTCAGTTAATATTGATTTACATTGGCTAAAATATAGCAGTTCTTATCAGCACAGCTCCATTTCCTTGCCCTTTTTTCCTGCTAGTCTCTCTCTGTGTGTGTGTGTGTATGTGTAGTTTTTACTTTAAATAGTCATATGGTTTTTAATTAATCAACAGAAAAAGAAAACGTGAATATTTTATAATTACCCTGATATTTACTATTTCTAATTTTCTTCATTTCTTCCTGTCCAGGTGAGTTTTACAATCTAGCGCCATTTCTTTTCAGCCTGGAGAGCTTTCTTTAGTATTTCTTGTAGGACAGCTCTCCTAGACATAACATTCTCTGTTTATCTTTTATCATTATTTTAAAATCTAGAACTGTCTTTATTTTATCTTTCTTTATTAAAGTCAATTTTGCTGAATACATATTCTTACTTGACAATTTGTGGTGTGTGTGTTTCACTTTCACTTTGTCATTCTTCTGAAAAGTATCTTCTGTTTTCTATTGTTTCTGATGAGAAATCAGCCATTAAGAAATTTTTGTTTGTAAATCTTCTTCGTTTTAACCCTGTATGAGTTTTATTGAGTTTATTGAATTTTTAAAGTTTTAACCCAGATTTTGAAACTTTTTAGCCATTATGTTTTTCCAATAGTTTTTTTTTTCTACTTCTTTCTTTCTTTTTACTTTCTGGAAAAAATTACTCATTTGTGGGGATTCCTGATATTGTTCCATTGTTCTCTAGAGCTCCATTTATGTTTCATCCAATTTTTGTTTCCCTCTGATTTAAGAGTAATTACTGTTGATGTATTCTCAAATTCAATAATTCTTTCTTCTGCCATCCCAAATTTCTGTTTAACATATTTAGTGAAATTTTTGTTATTATATTTTCACCTCTAGAATAGTGTTTCATAATTCTTAGTATATTTTCATTTGTTTTAAAAACATTTTGTCTTTATTTTAAAATAGTTGCTTTGAAGTATTTCCTCAGCCCAACCATGTGCCCACACTGAATCCGTTTCTAGCAACTGCTTTTTAAAAACCAAGTTGAATATGGGCAATACTTTCATATTTTCTTCTTTTTCTTTTCTAATAATTCTTAGTTAAAAACTATGTGTTATAGATTATACTTTGTAGCAACTCTTTCTTCCTTTTCATTTTTTTAAAGTTTTTGATTTTTGGTTTTCCTGGACTAAGTAGCAAAAGAAGGCCGCAATCTTAGTACCATTCTTACCTAAAGAAGTAACAGCTCTTCCACAGTAAACACTTCTAATTTTTTTTTTTTCAGTTAAATAAGAAGTCTCTTTTGGAAAGTTTAGTCCAATTTATATCTGTTTTCTGCAGAGTAGAGTTCTTCAGGCATCTTTCTTTATACAACAATTACAAGAAGTAACTCCAAAACAAGATATTTTAATCAACACACAGGAAATCTTTTGAAGAGCGTGACAATATATTTTTACTTATAGATGTCCTGGGTAAAAGAATATATGGTGCTTACAGATACTAAATAATATTGAATTAGCAAATAACCAACGGTTTACAAGCCTTAGTCTTTTTGTATGCACAATTGCATCCAAAAAAAAAAACCGAAGATATATGACACTAATAATAGAGTTTCAGGTTACCCTCTAAGTAGAATTTCAAAATTACTTCATTCAGACCATAAAATATTTGCTTCAATAGTTGTCACCTCAAATTATCTAAATGTTTATTTTCTCTTTGAACTTATATGTATAATATAGTGGCATGACTAAATATCTTTACTTTTGTATGATATTGTACAAAAACTTTACTATTTTGTCATGAGGCTGTCTTTAAGTATATAATTTATCTAGAGTGATTCCTTGATTTGTTGGTCCTGTTGTGCATAGTATTTTTCCAACTGTGTGTTTATAGCTAGGAACATGTAAGTAATATACAAATTAATCAATTTCTTTATTATTCTGAAGTTTTTCTCAAGATTTCATGCTTAGCAACTTCATAGTGTCTGGAAATTTTCCCTTAGATCTTTAATAAATCTCTCAAATGTCAATTTTATTTCATAATATCAGTATACATGGTTAAATTATTTCCACTGTTAAATTAGGGTTGATGTAAAAAATAATTTTGCTTTATTCTGATAAGGAGTTATTTCCCTAAAATATTTCTCTGTACCAATATAAGCAAAACTTCAAGTTAAATACCTTTTCTATCAGTGCTGTAAGTTAGTAATTCAAGTAATATTTGAAAGTATGTTTCAAGAAGGTTACAGTACTTGTGCTAAAATTAAAACTACCCTTGATTCTCCGATGAAAGAATCTTTCCAGTGAAATAATAACTTGTGTGCATTGAGCTAATATTGGTCTATGAGAAATGGTTTCTCAAATGCTATGTTTCAGCTGTGATTAGATCGCATCCCCAAGGAATTTGACTATATTTTTCTTTGACTAGCCTGGAGAGTAGAATAGTTACAATCTCAGTAGAAATCTATGAGACATTAAGAACTTAATCTAGAAAACCAAAAGCAATCTGGGACCTAAGGGTTATCTAAAGATAGAATCTCAGGGAAAACATTATGCTTTCACTGTTAAAGAAGGTAGTTCAGATAATTTTTTATTTTTATATATTAACTTTATGTGAAGATATATTTATATTCTTATAATTCACTTCAAGCTTTGAAATAAATATGACTTCTCCCTTAAATCTATTCAAACAAGCCACTCATATTTCTTAACCTAACTTGTTATTCTCAATTTGCTAGTGATGGACCAGTTTTAATTAATGGTGCTTGCCTCTTAATTGATCTTCAAACCGAGATGTACATCACTTTACAGGATATATTGGTCTCAATGAACTATGAGAATCTTTAGCTAATAATACAAAACACCTCCTTTCTGTAGTATTAAAGACTAAGCTTTCGAATCGGTGCCCCATTCTCAAATTCTTACTTCCAATTTTTATCTCCATTGGATTCAGAATTACCTATCAAAGCACAAATTATGAGTATCCTTAGTAATATCACACCAGTCAATTTTGTGAACATTGTGTACTATTTTGTGTCTCCAATCTTTTGTATTGCTACTTCTATCTATATGTGCGTTGTGCCCTAAAAAGTATCTCCTGTTATTCAAGACCTAGTTCAAATGTCAACTTTTCTGAGATATATGTTATTGATGCTCTTTTAGATTTCAGGGAGGTGACATTCATATCACCATCAGCAATGTTAGTTCATGGTAAGTTTATGTGGAGATTTCATGGCATCATTTATTTAGCTGTACAGTTACCCTAAATCTTATTGCTTATACATAGAAGGTATATGATCAACGAATAGAATTGCTAGTTTTTTTATAATGATAACACAATTTTATAATTTTTTGTAATGTAACAATTTCTGTAAGCCTCACTCTAGATAAACCCAGGTAATTCATATGACCCAATAAAACTGGAGAATAGTACTTGACTTTTTGGTAATACATACTTCAAGATGCTTGAGAGATGAGATATTCATATTTCATTCACTCTCCCACATATTTATGTGCTCATCCAGCAACTATTTCTTAAATATCTGCTGGATGTATTTAATATTGCAGAAAGATGTGCTGGTAGAGAAACATGGAAAATGCCCCATGCAAGGACTGTCAAAACACAATAACCAGGCCCTGAACATGTGTGAAATAAGTGTCCTAAAACCTAACTTAACTAGCTTGACTGATGTATTGATTAGGGTTTGACCAAAGAAGTATATTAGTAGAGTAATATGAAAGAGAGTGTTTACTATAGGAATAAAATTACAAAAATGTGGGAGCTGTTGAAGAATGCAAGGGAAGACTTACACTACTGTGTCTCCTGGTGAATCTAAAATTGCTATAGGTCAGGACAACTGGCAGGCAGAAAATATTTGATCCGATGATGGAGGAAAGCAAAGGAAAAGTCGAATAGAGAGGAACAAACTGAAGCCCTGAACTTATGTAAAATAAATGGCTCAGTGATGTGTGTTGGAAGCAGTTAAGATGTAGGAGTAAGATTTTAACTGACTTCAACCTCAGAAATGCTAGTTTCTGGCAAACGTTGCTAGCACCTATTCCCATGGAGCTGCACATGTGCCTAACCACATGTGTACAGGACCTGGAGAAGCTGAAGCAGGAGGGTTGAGGGGAGCTAAAGTAGCTGCATACTCAAAGGATGATAGAATATTTTGGCCACCCGTGTAAGCTCTAGTGGAGCTCAGTGCATTATGAAGACCTTCAAAATGAAGTGCTCATGTACTTTTTGCATCCTTGAATTGGCAAACATTTCTGTTGTGGCCATGCCTAACCTGAATCACAGAGGGAAGGGAATACTGGGGAATGTAGTTCGGGCATAGATAAGTTGACAGTGTAGAGCCATCTCTGCTAGATCCCTGTCTCTAGAACTTATTTAAAACACAATCAACTTATTATATGTTTCATAAGGTTGCTGTTTGAGTTGTTTCAGCAAATATATATATATATATATTTTGAGACAGGGTCTTGCACTGTTGCCCAGGCTGGAGTGCAGTAGCATGATCATGGCCGACTACAGCCTTGACTTCTTGGGCTCAAGAGATCCTCTTGCCTCAGCCTCCCGAGTAGCTGTGTGTGTGACACCACAGATAGCTATTTTTTTCTTTTTCATTTTTCTTTTTGAGACAAAGTTTCACTCTGTCACCCAGGCTGCAGTGAAGTAGCATGATTCTCAGATTACTGCAAACTCCGCCTCTTGGGTTCAAGTGATTCTCCTAATTCAGCCTCCTGAGTAACTGGGACTACAAACATGCGCCACTATGCCCAGCTAATTTTTTTGTATTTTTAGTACAGACAGGGTTTCACCATGTTGGCCAGGCTGGTCTCGAACTCCTGACAATAAGTGATCCCCCGCATCAGCCTCCCAAAGTACTGGGATTACAGGCATAAGCCACCGCAGCCAGCTCATAATTTTTTCTTTCTCTTTTCTTTTTTTTTTTTTTTTTTTCATGTAGAGACAGGGTCTCACTGTGTTGCCTAGGCTGGTCTTGAATTCCTGGGTTCAAGCGATCGTCTCACATCAGCCTTCCAAAGTGCAGGCATTACAGGTGTGAGCTACCATGCATAACCCTTCAGCAAATATTTCAAAGCAAATAGAGCTGTGAAATGTGGTAGATATTTAATTTGTCTTTGATTTATAGTTTGTCTGTTAGTCATCTTACATCAGCAAGCTAAATATAAAGAGCCTTTTCCCATATGAGGATTTCAATATTTTTTATATATATGTGTGTGTGTGTATATATGTGTGTGTGTATATACATACATATATATATATATATGTATGAATTTATCTGCCAACATGTTAGGAGTCTTATATAATGTAGACATATTGAGCAATTTAACTTCATGAAAATAAATACCTGTTCAAAATTACATGATAGGTTGGAATATATCCAGAGTTTACTTAATGTTTAGTGACACTTTATGTGTGGCATTAAATTCCATGCTTATGTTTTCTAATACCAAACATGCAAAAGCAGCATTTATATTTATGTGGCCAAATCGGGAAAATTACATGTGTTTTTAATATAGATACTATATTATTTAACAGTAGAATATACAGAATATAATCTGATAATTATTTTCTTCTACAGACTGCTGGCATGAAATGTAATTTTGGGTGATAAAAAAATCCAGCTGTGCCATCTTTCGTTTCCATTCTGGAATTTTTTTATTTTGTTTTCATTTTAAGTGAATGACTAAGTTTAACTTTTTATGATTGACTTTGTTTTAAAATCAAGACATGAAATGAAATTGACTATCTCTCAATATTATACATTAGTAACAGCCTTTTATAATCAGAGAGATCAGTTAATTGGCATATTTATTTCCACTTAGGTCTAATAATTAAGATAATTTTCACTTATTAATACAAGAAATTTTGTGGGAGTGTGAAATCTACTGATTATCTCAAAAAATAAAATTGAAATTTTAATTGCTAACATAGCCTGAAGAAACAACAGCAAGAATAAAACAAACTCCAAGACTTCGTGCTTAATAAGGTCTTTCCCTAAGTTTACCTGTTTGATACAATAAGCTCAAACTGGCCACAAAACACCTATTCAGGCTCTCTGGTAATTAAGAAAATACTAAAAATTCAGATAACAATTATTGAAGGTAAAAGAATCTCGATTTCATGATTGTTTATATATGTATCTACATATGTATATGTTTGCCTATGTTATATTTAATATACATGGCTTGTTTTTCTTTCTCCAAGGGTAGAATAGTAGAGTTGTCTGGCAGATTACATTTTTAAAGTTGGCTAAAACAGTATCTTTCATTATAGATTACCTTCAGTGCAATTTAGATACTCTTCTCATTGTGAGGTGAAGTATATGTCCTCCTCTTGGATGTAGGTCTGTTTATGAATACGGCAAAAGTGATGCTATGTAACTTCTAAAGCTGGACCATCAAAGATATAATAGTTTCCATTTGATTCTATTGAGATACCTTTTCTTAGAACTGAATCACTATGCCCTGTGGAAGTCCAAGTAGACTGTGGAAAGGTTCACGTGGAGATAAAATGAAACCTCCCCATCTCCCCACCTGCCCCCCTTAACATACACCCCCCCACCTCACACACACACACAGGCCCTGGCTGAACTTCCAGGCTGTGGCCAGTAGCATTTTTTGAGCTAAGTGAGTGAAACATCTTGAAAGTGGATAATCTTATCCCCTGTTAAGCTGCCTCACACGAACCCATATGGAGAGAGACAAAACGGCCTAACAAAGTCCAAATTCACATTTCTCAGCAAAACGAATGATTGTTTTGTTTTATGTAATACCATTAGGACACAAAAGGTACTGAGTTTCCACCTGATTCACTTGGAACACTTGCCTTTGGAGCCCCAAGTGCCATGTGAGAAATCCAATGCTGTCATCCTGTTAGGGTGCTCATGCCACATAGAAAGGCCATAGTAGGTGATAGATTACCAGCTGGTTGACCATTACAGCTGAGTGAGATCTCCAGTGACAGCCACCATCAACTTTCAGGCATGCAAATAAGGGAGTCTCTACATGAGTTTTGCTCTAGCAAGCCAGTCACTGCCAATCTGTTATTACAGAATAAGGAGGAGAAAGAACTGTGCCCATTCTGAATTGGTGTTTTATGGGGTCTGTGAGCATTCTATTGAATGGTCATTTTAGGACCATAACTTTTGGGTTAATGTGTTACACATAAATAGCCAAAATAGATAAATCATGGTATCAGGAATGAAGTGCTGCCTTTACACAATCAAAAATACATTACGATGGTGTGATACTGATTGGTGGCAGAAGCTGTAAGGATATTGAGGAGACCATTAGTTAAAGCCTAAAGGGTGTCAAAGAGGGTGTTAGCAAAAGCCTGAGGGACCAGGGGAGTTTGTAGGTGGGGCTTAAAGGAAAGTGAGGAAAATGTTACTGATAGAGAAAAGGACATCTTTTATATTAAGAGACAGTATCAAATTGACAACTATAGTAATATAGAAAATAGACAATATATTAATTAACTTGATGATCAAGCTAAGGAAATTTCCACATAAAATTTTGAGTGTGCAGTTTGTCATTTTCTAGCTGCCAGGTATAAAATGAGAGAGAAAAATTTTAGTATAAATATAAATGAGCCTAGATTTGCTGAGTTTGCCAATAAAACTCTCTCTCATTCCTTACTGCTTTAAGAGAAGATTCAAAGAGTAAGAAATAGCCATGTGTCATAGTTTAACTCCAGGTCACTGTCAAAAAAATGTCTCATGGTAAAAATGTAACTAAGGAGGCAAATTTAAAACCATTTGTTAATACTTCAGGCTTCAGTGTTTATAGATTCAGAATATAATTGCATAGTCTGTGGACATCTCTGTTAAAAAATAAGGTTTGTGATATGGTTTGCCTGTGTCCCCACCAAAATCTCATTTTCAATTCCCACATGTCATGGGATGAAGCCAGTGCAAAGTAATTGAATCATGGGGTGGGCCTTTCTCATGCTGTTCTCATTGATAGTGAATAAGTCTCATGAGATATGATGGTTTTATAAAGAGGAGTCCCCCTGTACAAGCTCTCTCTTGGCCTGCTGCCATTCATATAAGAGTGACTTGATCCTCCTTGCCTTCCACTATGATTGTGAGGCCTCCCCTGCCACATGGAACTGTGAGTCCATTACAACCTCTTTTTCTTCCCAGTCTTGGGTATATCTATATCAGCAGTGTGAAAACAGACTAATACAGTAAATTGGTACCAGGAGTGGGGTGTTGCTGAAAAGATACCTGAAAATGTGGAAGCAATTTTGGAACTGGGTAAAAGGCAAAGGTTGGAACAGTATGGAGGACTCAGAAGACAGATAGGAAAATGTGCGAAGGCTTGGAACTTCCTAGAGACTTGCTGAATGGCTTTGACAAAAATGCTGATGGTGATATGAACATTAATGTCCAGGCTTAGGTAGTCTCAGATGGAAATGAGGAACTTGCTGGGAACTGGAGCAAAGGTGAACGTTGTTATGTTTTAGCAAAGAGACTGGTGGCATTTTGCCCCTGCCCTAGAGATTTAAATTTGAGAGAGATGATTTGGGGTATCTTGTGAAAGAAATTTCTAAGCAGCAAAACATTCAAGATGTGACTTGGGTGCTGTTAAAGGCATTCAGTTTTAAAAGGGAAACAGAACATAAAAGTTTGGAAAGTTTGCCCTGACAATGTGATAGAAAAGAAAATACCATTTTCTGAGGATAAATTCAAGTTAGTTGCAGAAATTTCTATAAGTAATGAGGAGCTGAAATTCAATCTGAAAGACAAGGGGAAAACGTCTTCAGGGCATGTCAGTGGTCTTCACTGCAGCCCCTCCCATCACAGGCTTGGAGGCCTAGGAGGAAAAAATTGTTTTGTGATCTGGTCCCAGGGTCCCCATGCTGTGTGCAGTCTAGGGACTTGGTGCCCTGCATCCCAGCCACTCCAGCTGTGACTTAAAAGGGCCAAGGTATAGCTTGGGCTATGGCTTTAGAGGGTATAATCCCCAACCCTTGGCAGCTTCCACATGGGTTGAGTCTGCAGGTGCACAGAAGTTAAGAACTGAGGTTTGAGAACCTCTGCCTAGATTTCAGAGGATGTATGGAAATGCCCAGATGTCCAGGCAGTAGTTTGCTGCAGGGGCAGGGCCCTCATGGAGAACTTCTGTCAGGGCCATGCAGAAGAAAAATGTGGAGTTGGAGCTCCCACACAGAGTCCCTACTGAGGAACTGCCTAGTGAAGCTGTGAGAAGAGGGCCACCATCCTCCAGACCCCAGAATAGTAGATCCACTGACAGCTTGCACTGTGTGCCTGGAAAAGCTTCAGACACTCAATGCCAGCCCATGGAAGCATCCAGGAGAGGAGCTATACCACTATACCCTGCAAAGCCACAGGGGTGGAGCTGCCCAAGGCTGTGGGAGCCCGCCTCTTGCACCAGCATGACCTGGATGTGAGACATGGAGTCAAAGGAGATCATTTTGATGCTTTCAGATTTGACTACCCCGCTGGATTTTGGACTTGCATGGGGCCTGTAGCCTGTTTGCTTTGGCCAGTTTCTCACATTTAGAATGGCTGTATTTACCCAATGCCTGTACCCCCATTGTATCTAGGAAGTAACTAACTTGCTTTTGATTTTACAGGCTCATGGGCACAAGGGACTTGCTTTGTCTCAGATGAGACTTTGGACTGTGAACTTTTGATTTAATGCTGAAATGAGTTAAAACTTTTGGGGACTGTTGGGAAGGCAGGATTGGTTTTTGAAATGTGAGGACATGAGATTTGGGAGGGGCCAGGGGTGGATTGATATGGTTTGGCTATGTTCCCACCCAAATCTCATCTTCAATTTCCATGTGTCATGGGAGGAACCCAGTGGGAGGTAATTGAATCATGGGGTGGGTCTTTCTCATGCTGTTCCTGTGATAGTGAATAAGTCTCAAGAGATCTGATGGTTTTATAAAGAAGAGTTCCCCTGCACAAGCTCTTTCTTTGCCCGCTGCCATCCCTGTAAGATGTGACTTGCTCCTCCTTGCCTTCTGCCATGATTGTGAGGCCTCCCCAGCCACATGGAACTGTAAGTCCCTTAAAACCTCTTTTTCTTCCCAGTCACAGTATGTCTATATCAGCAGTGTGAAAATGAACTAATACAGTTTTTAAGGTCTTGAAATGCTTTATGCCTTAGTAGACTCAAAGGGATCTCTCAGTGAAACGTTTTCGTGGATGTGTATGTAGATTTTGTTTACTAGATTGATTATAAATTGATACCCAGAAAGCCTATAAGCTTGTAAAAATAGATTATTAGTATATGTTATTCAATTAAAAGCAGAAGAGATAGAAAAGTAAAGAAATCATTTCACACTCCTTTAGGGGATACAGGCAGAAGGCAGGTGGAGAGAAATACCCAGTTACAAACACATGCCATTTCCTATGGAAAAAGAAGGAGTCTTCAGAGGGCAAAACCAAGAGCTTGAAACATAATGCCTAGATCCACCCTGTACTCCCAGGCAGAACTTTTCCCTAAACACTGATCTGGCAACATGTGCATGGCTGGATTCTGAAAATTCTGTGGACGAATAACCATTGAGAACCTTATCTTTTTGAATGAGTGTCTATATCAGCTATTCTGTGCCCATCTCATCATAGCATTCTGTCCAGGGGAGGAAGCTGGAGGGCAGATAACTTGTTTCTTTAGTTTATAAGTAATTCAGATTGAGATAAATTGTATTCTAGGAGTTCTACACACAATAGAAAACCTAAAGTGCCTCATCTATAGTTGGACCTGATTTACCTGAGGAAATCCTGGACTTTGATGAACTATTGTCATAGTAGGATAACACTTAGGGATTTTGTGGGCAGGCAGTGCTATATTTAGTATATGAGAGCAAGTGGATTATTGAGGTAGAAGGCAGACTAGCAGATTGCATGTTCTCAAAGATGGCCACAATAATATCTCCAACACCATAAATTCTTTTTATGAAGTGTTCTGACATCCCTCCCATTGAAAGTTAGGATCTACGCTTCCTCTCTCAGGTTTACGCAGTTTTGTTAGTGTGGCGATAAGACTGGTACATCCATGGGTAGGTCATAAAAGGCAATATGGCTCCCATCTGATTGTCAGCATGCTTGTTTTCACAGCCCTGAACAACCACATCTACTGGAGTTAGCCATGCTATGAGGAAGCCAAGGCCACATGGTGAGGCTCTGTGTTAGTGTTCTGGCCAATAAGTGGCAGGCAAAGCTGTCACCTTTTGCATTATTGATTTAATTTCCAGTAATTCTGATGACATTAATATTTATGTCTCATTTTATATTCACTGTAGTTATTTTTTCCTCATTCTATGAAGAGGTGCTTTTTTGGCTGATTTGAAAATATTACATATCTATTTTTAATTCTGAGGTTATTTATAACCTACTAAAACTTTAAGTTCCGATTCCCTTGCAATTTTTCAGTCATTGAGTTCTACATTTTTCTCTTAAATCAGACTAGACAGTACTTTAAGATTTTATTTATTTCCTCTTACTCATCTATCTCCCAATGTTAATGTTTATTTTGGTATTAGTCCACAATTATATGAACATAATTGTTATATTTTTCCTACTTTATTCTTTCTGTATTTAGATGACAATAATCTTTAATAAATTGTTCACTAAGCCCTATTTTACCTGCTTCCTTTAGCATTTCTCTTGGTTGATTTTTATCCATTCAATAGGATCTCCTCCAATAAATTTTGTTCTATGATAAAGCTTTTAAAGTACCTTTAATTGTGTCTTTGTTTTAAATCTCAGTTTAGTTTGCCATAAAATTAGAAGTATCATATAATTCTTTATATTTTATGTTTTGAAAATATTGCTCCACTGTCTTTTTGCCCTTGGTGTTGTTAATAATTCTAACATTGATTTCATTAGAATTGTTTTCATTATTTTGAAGAAGTTTAGTTTCACTATTATGTGTCTGGTTGTGGCTTTTTGAAAGTTTCTGTCTTTATTTTATGAGATTTTTCTAATATAATATATTTTGTCTTTTAAATATTTGGATCTGTTCTATCCTTACTGTTTCAAATAGTTCCTCTGTTCAATATATATTTAAACTCCTTCAAGGACTCCTATTTCAGGCAGTTACATGTCTAGTTCTACCTTACAGACACCGCAAATTCTTATTCTTTCCATAATTTTTAGTATTTTCTGATGATTTCTGGAAGAGCTTTTAAACTTAATAATCCAGTTCAAAAAAATACCACTTTTGGCTATATTATTCTGTTATAAAATCCTTCTATTGTGGTTTTTATTTCCAGTACAAGAATTTTATTTTTATAAGAAACTATTTCCCTTTGGTTCCTCTTTATAACTTTATTGTCTTATTTTATGTTACCAATAATTTTTATAGTATTTTGGCTTCTTATTTTCAGATATTTACTTTTCTCTTTGTTGTGATCATTTATAATCCCTAGGTGATTATCAATCACTAGAGTAGAAAATAGAATCCAGAAATAGGATTTGAAGTCACAAACTTTGCTTGTGTCGTGAACTTAATACAGGGTTGAAAATAGTGAAATTGTCTACCTCCACATTTTCTATTGCTCCCCAAAAAGTAAACTTCTCATCAAGGAGATTATATGTATCTGCTGTTTGAATTTCTCCTTTGCTGTTCTTCTAGAGCTTGAGAAATGCAGGGAAGAGGGAGACAACAGGGGGTCAGTGGTCAGGAAGCCTATTTTGAATTTGTTTTATGCTCCCCCTCTGAGACAGGCTCTAGCAGCATCCTGTTGCTTCTCTAAATTAAGGCCAATTTATACTAAGCAATACTAAGCATCAGTAAAATATATTTCCTTGTTATCCAGTGTGTTATTTAAGTAGAAAATTACATATTTCAGCCATTGCTTTTAGATTTTCTTTTTTTGGGGGGGGTAGGGGGAGGATAGAGTCTTGCTCTGTCTCCCAGGCTAGAGTGCCATCTCAGCTCACTGCAGCCTTGCATCCTGGGTTCAAGCGATTTTTCTGCCTCAGCCTCCCGAGTAACTGGGGTTACAGGCATATGTTAACACACCTGGCTACTTTTGTATTTTTAGTAGAGTTGGGGTTTTGCCGTGTTGGCCAGGCTGGTCTCAAACTCGTGACCTCATGTGATCCACCCTCCCAGCCTCCCAAATTGCTAGGATTACAGGCATGAGCCACCATGCCCATCCTTGCTTTCATACTTCCTATTGGATTATTTTTGTCTTTGAACTTAGAGAACATGCAGAAGAAGGGAAAAAAATCTGAGAAAACTAAGTTCCAAGATCTCATATTTATAAAATTATATCTTACTGTGGATAAATTCATTCCTTTATCCCTGAAGATTGCTTCTTTTAATTTCAGGATCCTTTTTGTTTTTAAAATACTTTCATTTGGATTGGGTTTATTTACTCAATGCCCGTATGCCCATTGTATCTAGGAAGTAACTAACTTGCTTTTGATTTTACAGGCTCATAGGTGGAAGGGACCTGTCTTGTCTTAGTTGAGACTTGGGACTGTGGACTTCTGAGTTAATGCTGAATGAGTTAAGACTTTGGGGGACTTTTGGGAAGGTGTGGTTGGTTTTGAAATGTGAGGACGTGAGATTTGGGAGGGGGTGGTTGGAATGATATGGTTTGGCTGTGTCTTCACCAAAATCTCATCCTGCATGGCAGCTCCCTTAATTCCCACATGTCATGGGAGGGAGCTGGTGAGAGATAATTGAATCACGGAGGGGGGTCTTTCCTTTGCTGTACTTGTGATAGTGAATAAGTCTCATGAGATCTCATAGTTTTAGAAAGGGGAGTTCCCCTCCACAAGTTCTCCTGCCTGTCACCATGTAAGATGTGACTTAGCTCCTCATTTGTTTTCAGCCATGATTGTGAGGCCTTCCCAGCCATGTGGAACTGTGAGTCAATTAAACCTCTTTTCTTTGTACATTACCCAGTCTCAGATATGACTTTATTAGCAGTGTGAGAACAGAAACTTTGGGATATAAACAGAAACTTCTTTGGGAAAATGAATGTGTATTGTTTTAAGCCACTAATTTTTGGGAAAGCAAATTGGGACACTAAATCTGCTAGGCAGCAATTGATACCTAATACAGCATCTTGAAACTTAATGGGCTAATGAAATTCGTTCTAATTCATATTTAGATTATCTGTTATTTCTTATTAGCTTTTGAATTAAGGATAATGGTCAGATTATGTTTAGTTTGTAAGAATGCCAAACTGTCTTTCAAAATGGCTTTCATTCCCACCAGCAATGAAGGATGGTTCCTGTTCCATATCCACCCTCGCATTTGTTGCCATACTTTTGTTTGCATTTTGGCCATTCTAATATATGAGTAGTGGTATCTCATTGTTGTTTTAATCTGTAATTACTTTTCTAATGAGAGGATATTGAGCATCTTTTAATAGGCTTATTTGCCATCTGTGTATCTTTTTTGGTGAGGTGTCTGTTAAGGTTTCTTGCCCAAATTTAAAATCTGCTTTTTCTTTCTTGTTGAGCTTTAAGAATTTTTTGTATATTTTGGATAACATATGTTTTTCAGTGTGCCTTTTGCAAATGTTTTCTCCCAGTCTATGGCTTGTTTTCTCATTCTTTCAACAGTGTATTTCATAGGAGAAGTTTTTAATTTTTAATGAAATCTAATTTCTCAATTATTTCTTTTATAGACCATGTCTTTGGTGTTGTGTTGAAAAAGTCATCATCATACCTAAGATTATTTAGATTTTCTCTTATGTTATCTTTTAAGAATTTTATAGTTTTGCATTGTACATTTAAGTCTATGACCCATTTTGATTTAATTGTTACGTAAAGTGCAAGTTCTGTGTCTGGATTCTTTTTTTTTTTTTTTGCATGTGGATATCTTTTGCTAAAAGACAATTGCTTCTCCATATATTGCCTTTGTTAACTGTAATATATAAAGAGTTTCATCAATCTTAACTGTTTTGACAAAAGATTACAATGTGCATGTAGCATTATAACCATAATTGAGAGTATCGTCACCATCTGAAATAGTTCATTGGAGCCTCTTTGTAGTCAGCTCCATCCTGCAACCCCAGTCTATGGCAAACAATTATCTGGTTTCTGTCACTATATGTTTGTCTTTTTACAAATATGTTATAAAACAATTATACACTCTATTATCTTTTTTGTGTGGCTTTGCATTTAGAATCATTCTTTAGAAATTCATTTAAACTGAGTGAATTGATCATAGTTTGGGGCTTTTATGTGTGTATCCGCTAACATTTGAGGACAAATCTTTCTGTAAACCTCTACTATTTTCGTTTTCTTTTGTGAGGATCTAGGGAGGCATTTATCTGAGTCACATCATGAGGAAATATGCAACTGTATGAAAAAATGTAAAAGAAACTTCCCACATTACCATTTTGCATTCTCACCAACAATGTATAAGAGTTCCAGTGATGTCTCATTCTCATGCATGCTTTATATCTTTAGAATCTTTAATTTTAGCCATTCTGCTGGGCGCTTAGCTATCTTACTATAATTTTAATTTCTGTATTCCTAATGACTAATGAGTGGTGTTGGACCTCTTTTTAATTTGCTTATTTTCCATTTGAATATTTTCCTCAGTAAAGTGTTCATTGAAGTATTTTATACATCTTATTTTTTAAGAGTTATTACTACTGAAGAGTTCTGTATATATTTTGAATAGAAATCTTTTATCAGATATATGATTTGCAACTATTTTCTCTCATGTGTGACTTAATTTAGCACTTTCTTAACAGTGTATTTTGAAGAGCAGAAGATTTAATTTTGCTGATGTCTACATTTAGTATCCTATGTAAAGAATCTTTGCATAAACCGAGGACAATTTTCTTCTCTCTTTTCTCCTAAATTTTAATATTCTGAGTTCCTACATTCATTTCCATAATCCACTTTGAGTTAATTTTTGTGTAAGTTATGAAATGAGGTTCATTATTTTGGATACATATGTCTAATATTTTCAGCACTTTATTTTTTTACAAAGACTACACATTCCTCATTTTCTTGGCACCTTTGTGGAAAATAAGTGGTCAGTATATGTCTCATTTTGGAAAATATAGTCTACTCCCATTTATTCATGTGAGTATCCTTACTCCAAACCACACTGCAGATTACTTAAACAATACACATTCCTTCTTAACCATTAACATTTAGGGCAAGAGTGAATAAGCATTGTTTGTAAGCAAACCAACAATCGACTTTTAAAAAAGAAATTGGACTCATATAGACAATAAAGATCTGTAATTCTTGTAAAAAAACTATGTAGAAAACTTTGGGAGACTTCTTGTACTCTAAACATAGAGGGAGATATAATCATTAGTAGTTTTTAATCACTGAAAGTATAATCATGGCAAAACAAATGTTTTACTCTTTTGTATTTACATCAATAGAGGTATATAATATAAAAATCTAAATGTAATGGCTGTAATAGCTCATTGTGAATGATGTATATTAGACATAAAGATAATTATTTGATTTTATAGTCTCTTAAAAATTTTAGTCATACTTCTCAGAAATAATTTGTAATAAAAGTCACTAAAATATATACTGCTATGCATTCTTTTACATCAAGGAATAAAACGGCACATACTACTCACTTTAAACTTTGGTACTGTCTGTCAGGTATCCCACTAAAATCCCAAATGTTTCTCAAAAGTCACATCTAAGTGCAATATAAATACAAAACGAAAGGTTTGTCTCAATTATTTCCACATTTATTTATCTTACAAACCTCAGTTATTAACAGAAGTTAACAGAAATCTTAACAGAAATATTATTTGCTATGATTTATATTAGATTGAGATTCAGAAAATTTTAATTCTGGCATTGTTTTCCAAATAAGCAGCTGTATTTTTCTATATGAACACTAACGTCTCAGTTTTCTCACCGGTAAATAATAAAATTGGACTCAATGTAATCCCTTAGTTATTCTTAGTTTTAGATAGTGCTCAGTATTCCATTTTCAGCTCAGTCATGTAGAAAGGTGAAAAGAGGTTAACTCCTGCAACCACAACAAGAAATTGGAGACCAGGCATGGTGGCTCACGCCTGTAATCCCAGCACTTTGGGAGGCCGAGGCGGGCAGATCACGAGGTCAGCAGATCGAGACCATCCTGGCTAACACGGTGAAATCCCGGCTCTACCAAAAATACAAAAAATTAGCCGGACGTGGTGGCGGGCGCCTGTGGTCCCAGCTACTCGGGAGGCTGAGACAGGAGAATGGCATGAACCCAGGAGGCGGAGCTTGCAGTGAGCCGAGATCGCGCCACTGCACTCCAGCCTGGGCAACAGAGCGAGACTCTGTCTCAAAAAAAAAAAAAAAAAGGAAGTTGGAAGGGCACGTGGCAAATTAATTACTCTTCTTGAAAATAGAAGAGACTGAGATCACAGGAAAAACAACTAAACTGAAACTTACACACATGCAGAAATCATCAGAAAGAAACAGACCTTTATTTAGCATTTGTCTAGTTCACCCCAATACCACCTAATACCATGTAACCCAGTAAGAAGGACCAGCTAGAAATTTCTAAAACATTGATAAAGAACAATTGGGAGCCACAGACATAGAGGAATTTACACCCTGTTGCAAGACTTTTTCTTCAGGGATACCATAGTTGCTCAAAGGAACATTTGGGAAAAACCATGAGAAACCTTGACTGGTGGTGTTGATTGGAGAATAAGACGAGAAATCACTGTCAAAATTGGGCCAGAATCCATCTCTCTGTTTTCCCTATGAAACATAATATTTAATCTTTAGAGTGAAGGACAACGCAACTATAGCCTGGGGACACTTGTAAGAACCTACTGCAGCTGGGGGTTGGGGAACAGGAAATAACAAAGCTGTCGCCTTGGGGGAGGGAACGGTATAACTACTAGAGTCAACATTGTATCTGGAGGGAGAAGCAGGAATGTTTCTGAAAGCCATATTTCTGAGACCATGTTGAGAACATCAGAGAGCTTTCATCTCTTCTCCCTTTCTTTTGAAAGGAGACAATCACCACCACAATAAATGTTGAGTAAACATATTATGGGAATACAGCTGGGACACTGGTAGTAAGAGATTCTCCTGAGGAGCAGCACAAAGAGAGGACCCAAAGTCAAGCAAAAATACAAAACCTAGCAATCTAAGCAAGGATGAAACTTCAGACTATGCCTAACTTCTTTCCAGGACTCAGGGATGTTCAATCTTTTGGCTTCCTTGGGCCACAATGGAAGAATAATTGTCTTGGGCCACACAAAATATACACTAACACTAACAATAGCTGATGAGCTAAAAAAAAAAAATCACATAATGTTTTTTAAAAAGTTTACACATATGAGATAGATATAACACGGATTTTAGAACTCTCAGGCAGGCATTTCAAAATAACTATAATTAGCATATTAACGGCTCTAGCTGAAAATACAGGAAACATGAAAAATCAGATAGGTACTGTTAGCAGAGAGATGAAAACTATAGGGAATGATTAGATTAAAATGACAGAAATTTTTTATAAATTGAGAAAGACTGGATGTATTATATGTACTCACCAGTAGACTAAAAAAAACTTAGGAAGAATCAGCTAGTTTGAAGATATTAATAGAAATTCCCCTAGTGGGGAAAAAACGTAATGCATGAAAAAACTAAGTTAAAAAAAAGAACATCCGGCTGGGCGCGGTGGCTCACGCCTGTAATCCCAGCACTTTGGGAGGCCGAGGCAGGTGGATCACCTGATGTTAGGAGTTTGAGACGAGCCTGACCAACATGGAGAAACCCCGTCTCTACTAAAAATACAAAATTAGCCGGGCATGGTGGCGCATGCCTATAATCCCAGCTACTAGGGAGGCTGAGGCAGGAGAATCACCTGAACCCGGGAGGCAGAGGTTGCAGCGAGCCGAGATCGCACCATTGCACTTCAGCCTGGGCAACAAGAGTAAAACTCCGTCTCAAAAAATAAAATAAAATAAAATAACTTCCAAGATTTGTGAAACAATATTAATATCATATAATCTAACATAAACCTAGTGGAGCCCTTGAAGCAGAAGAAAGATGAAAGAGGGATGAAAATATACTCGAAGAAATAATGGTTAACAGTGTTCTAAATTAGTGACAGACACCAAACAAAAGATCCAATATTCTCGTAGAGCAAGAAAGAAGATGCATGTGAAAACCAAAACGACAGAACATGAACAAAGAAGCAAACAAAACTAAACCCAAAGACAGAGAAAATTTTAAAGGCAAACAGAGAAAAGAAAGACACATTGCTTAGAAAGACACATAAATAAGAAAATAGCCAATGTCTTACGTGAAGCCATATAAACAAACATACAATGGAATGATATTTCTAATGTGCTAAAAAATAAAAAAAAAAAAACTCTTTCAGCTTTGGTAGGAAGGCAAAAGGTCACAGTCACTTTTTAAGTCAACCTGGAAGTTTCTTTTTTTTTTTTTACTTTCTTATAACTGATAATTTTGAAATAATTACAAGAAGTTGCTAAAGTAAAGAATAATACAGAAAGGTTAAATCTATGATCCATTATAATGTTTAAACATACAATATTAATACAATCAATAATCACACTCCCACATACTTCCCAGTGAATTGAAAAGTTATGTTCACGCACAAAAGGCATTTGTGCAAATATTTAAAGATGATTTATTCTTTATTAATCATCAGCCCAATAAGAAACAAACAAGATGTCCTTTAACAGGTGAATGGATAAAGAAACTCTACTGTACATACAACAAATGCTACTTGGCAATAAAAAGAAATACGCAACTGATACAAGCAATAATATGGACGAATCTTAAATGCATTTTTCCATGTGAAAGAATTCAATTTATACAAAATTCTAAAAAACATAAAACTTAAGTTTGGGAAACAAATTAGTGGTTGATAAGAAGGCATGGAAGCTAAGAATTTGACTCACAAGGGACTGCCCAAGAGAACTGTAGGGTAATGAAACAGTTCTGTATGGCAATTTCATGGCAGATATATGAGTATAATTTTTTTAAACTTACAGAATTGTATACCACAAAGAGTGTACTTTATGAAAAATACTAAAAATAAATTATGATATTGTGGAATACCAAGATGGCAAGCAGAATGTTGTAAATGAATCTAAGTGTATCTCATATATATGGCAGACTTCATTGAATGGGGCAAAATAAAAAGGACCTGACAAGTAACTGAAAATCAGTGTTTCATTCAATATTATAGAAATAAATATATAATGAATTACATACAAACACTATCCTTTATTTGGTGTTTTTTTACTCAATTCTGAAACTATTTTATATATACTAGAGTTGATTAAATGTATACATATGTATAATTAGAGCCAAATGTTTCATTGTCAGAAAAAATACAAATAAGGTATGAGACAAGGTTAGAATAAATCCTATTGTGCTGGGTAAAAATCAAAGATAGGAATTCAAGTATGTATGTCTGTGTGTGTGTGTGTGTGTGTGTGTGTGTGTGTGTGTGTGTGGTATATACACATATATGCATGCATATGTATATGCATACATATATGTATATGTATGAATGCCTATGTGTATACATATATATGTATATACATATACATATATATACACAAAAATATATATACATAGTATATATATTTTATTTTGTAAACATAGTAACACATATGTTAACTAAAAGATATCTGAAACAGATCTCAATCAATTTAGAGGTTTATTTTGCCAAGGTTAAGGACCATGGCCCATGGCCCATGACAGCCTCCAGAGTTCCTAAGAAAATGTGCCCCAGGTGGTTGGGTTACAGTTTGGTTTTATACATTTTAAGGAGATAGAAGTCACAGGCAAAGACAAAATCAATACATGTAAGGTATACACACTGGTTTGGCCTGGAAAGGGGGGATGTCTCAAAGTTGTGGGGCTTCCAGATCATACGTGAATTAAAAGATTTCCTGATTGGTATTTGTTTAAAAGAGTTAAGCCCTGACTAAAACGTTGAATTTAGCATAAAGAAGTGTTTGAGTTTATATAAGAAGGTTGTGGAAGCCAAGATTCTTGTTATGTAGATGAAGCTTCCAAGTAGCAGTCTTCAGAGAAAATAGTTGGTGAATGTCTCTTATCAGTCCTCAAATAGTGTCAGATTCTCAAGAAAAGACGTAGTAAGAGAAGGAGATTCTCTACAGGGTGCAAATTTCACCCACAAGAGACAATTTTGCAGGGCCATTTCAGAATATGTCAAATAAATATATTTTGGGGTAAAATAATTAGATTTCCTTCAGGGCCTGTTATTTGTCATGTGATGCTATATGAGAGTTGGGTTGGAATTTGGTATCTTATTGCTATAAAAAGTCTGTTTTGACAGTCTTAGGATCTTATATTTAATGATAACACTAGTCAGTTGTATCTAAACTGCTGAGGAGGAGAGTATAATGAGACATGTCTGACATGCTCTTTCTGTCATGGCCTGAACTAGATTTTCAGGTTTCTTTGAGATCCGCTGGGCCAAGAGAGGGATGCTTGAGTCAGCTAGGGGTGCTTAGAATTTTATTTTTGGTACACTTATACATACACACACACACACACACATACACACACACACCATAGATTAATGTAGATAAGCACAGACAGAAAAGTAGATATAGATGTGTATGTATCTATGTGTTCATATGCACACATATATTTTCTAAATCTGTCTGCTCAGAGTGCCTGGCACACAGCAACATTCTTGTGCTCAGATCTTAGATCTTAGTTTCTAAGTAACATTCTCCAGTAAAAATAAATAAATAAGTAAAGCTTCTTGGCATAATTGCTGATGCTAGGCCTGGGACAGGAATCTTTTGGCCAGCAAAATAAAAAGTAACAATACTGAATTGCCTCACAAAGAAGAACATAAGTATCCATGAGTCCAAACTGACATTACGTAAGTAAATAAATGAAGTAGAATGGCTAAATTTCCTTATAGAATTCCAAATAATAAATGTGGAAGTAATTAAGGGAAAAGAAAATAGTCATTAGGAAATCATAGTCATTGCTTCAAGCAAGATCTGCTGATGAATGCTAAATTAGTTGACAAACTATTAAGAAGAAAGAAGATAGTTAAATAGCTTCAAGATATCTTCCTCATAATATTTAATAAGTGTTGTGATATTTTATATACATGTCTATACATTCTTTGATACTCCTCCTTCCAGGAGTTGGAGCTTAATTTCCCTACCCTTGAGATTAGGTTGGATTTAAAGACTAGCATTTATCAAATAGCATATGAAAAGGGAAATCCAGTAGTTTATAGTGAAAATTTTAACAAATAGCATTTTAATCAAATATTCAAAATTAACATTATGAGTGATAAGATATCCCTGTTATCAGGAGATGAGGGAAGAAAAAAATAAACCAAACTTCAATTCTATGAAACTTTTCCCCTAAATCCATAGTAACCTTAGACTAGTCATGGAAAATAGACAAAACTTTTAAGATAGTTATAAACAAGGAAGTCTGAGAAACTGAGATAGACTGGAGGAGACCAAGGAGACATGATGACTAAATGTAATGTGGTATCCTGGACAGAATCTTGGAAAAGAAAAAGGGCATTAGAAAACTTGTAAGTTCTGAACCAACTTTAGTTAATACTATTGCACCAATGTTAATTTCTTACTTTTGATAAATGTAGTATGGCTATGAAATATGTTGTGCTATTGTGAAATATATACTTGGTCTTTGTACTGTTTCCTGGTATATAACTACTAAAATTGTTGGAAACTTTAATGTGACCAGTATCTTTTTGTATGCTAATATGTTGATTTAGGCTGGCATCTCTCTTAAGTAGCTTCAGGATGGGGGCTGCTCACTGGAAAGAACAAAGCAGTGTTACAGAAAAGAGGTACCCATCCAGACCCCAAGAGAGGGTTATTGGATCTCATGCAAGAAAGTATTCAGGGTGAGTCCGCAGTGCAAAGTGAAAGCAAGTTTATTAAGAGAGTAAAGGAATAAAAGAATCGCTACTCTATTGACAGAGCAGCCCTGAGGGCTGCTGATTGCTCATTTTTACGGTTGTTTATTGATAATATCCTAAACAAGGAGTGGATTATTCATGCCTCCCCTTTGTAGACCATATAGGGTAACTTCCTGACATTGCCATGGCATTTGTAAACCATCATGGCGCTGGTGAGGGTGTAGCAGTGAGAACAACCAGAGGTCACTCTTGTTGCCATTTTGGTTTTGGTGGGTTTTGGCCAGCTCCTTCACTGCAAACTGTTTTATCAGCAAGGTCTTTGTGACCTGTATTTTGTGTTGACCTCCTATCTCATCCTGTGACTTACAATGCCTTAACCATCTGGGAACACAGCCCACTAGGTTTCAGCCTCATTTTACCCAGATCCTATTTAAGATGGAGTTGCTCTTGTTCACACGCCTCTGAACGCAGGATTAGAGGATTGGGACTTTCAGCCTCACACCCTACCCACAAGGGAAGGGATGAAATTAAGTTGATCATCAATGGCCAATGATTTAATCAATCTTGCCTATGTAATGAAGTCTCCATAAATACCCAAAATGACAGGGTTTCGAGAGCTTTTGGATAGCTGACTAATGGGGGTTCCTGGATAGCTGAACATGGTGAAGTTCCTGGAGGGTAGCACACCCCACCTCCATGGGACAGAAGTTCCTGCAGTAGGGATACTTCTAGACCTTGCTCTATGTATCTTTTCATCTGATTTTTTTTCATCCTTTAAAACATGTTTTGTAACAAACTGGTAAATGTAAGAGAATGTTTCCTTGAGTTCTGTGAGTGCTCTAGTAAATTAACTGAACCCGAGTTGGGGGATATGGTAAACCTGATTTACAGTCAGTCAGAAGGAGAGGCAAAATAACCCAGGGCTTATGATTGCTGTCAGAAATTAGGGGCTGTCTTGTGGAACTGAGTCCTCAACCGATGGGATCTGGCACCACCTCCAGGTAGAGAGTGTGGGAATTGAGCTGGGTTGGAGGACACCCAGCGAGGGCCTGCTGTAGAATTGATTGCTTGCTTTGCCCTTTGCATATGGTGTCAGAAGCATGTTGTGAGAGTATAGTAAGAGAAACTGAGTTTGTTTTTTCTGCTCAGGTGTTCACATTATGGAAAGCTTTTAAGTTTACATTGGAATTCTTTGTTCTATTTTTCTGTAGATCTAAAACTGTTTAAAAATAAAGAGGCTAGGTCGGGCATGGTGGCTCATGCCTGTAATCCTAGCACTTTGCGAGGCCAAGGCGGGCAGATCACAAGGTCACGAGTTCGATATCAGTCTGGCCAACATAGTGAAACCTCATCTCTACTAAAAATACAAAAAATTAGCTAGGTATGGCGGTGTGTGCCTGTAATCCCAGCTATTTGGGAGGCTGAGGCAGGAGAACTGCATGAACCCAGGAGACGGAGGTTGCAGTGAGCCAAGATCATGCCATTGCACTCCAACCCAGGCAACAGTGCAAGACTCTGTCTCAAATAAATAAATAAATAAATAGGCTAAAAATTATCACGTTTAGGTGTATTATAGCATTTATCTTTTCTAGATTTCTGTAAGGCTATTTAAAAATGTAGAAATGAAGTGGTTTTGTCCAATGACTTTGTTACTTAAAATCCTAAGAACCCTGTATGGTTAGAGTTCTATAATGTACACTGTAAGTTAACACATATGTTACCTTGTGCTGTGGTTTTAGTACATCCCCCAAAGTTTGTGTGTTGAAAACTTAATCCTCAATGCAGCAACATTGAAAAGGTGGGAACTTTCAATAAGGTCATAAGGGCTCTTCCCTCATGAATAAATTAGGTCTGTATCATGAGAGTGGGTTAGTTATTTTGGCCCCTTCTCTGTCTTGTCTGCTTTCTTGCATTTCTGCCTATCTGCCATGGGATGATGCAGCAGGAGGGCCCTAGCCAGATGCCAGCACCATGCTCTTGCACTTTTCAGTCTCCAGAAACTTGAACAAAATAAACTTCTTTTCTTCATAAATATTACCCAGGTATGGTATTCTGTTATAGCACTAGAAAGCGGACCAAGTCACATTGGGTTAGCAAATAAAAAGTCAAAATATTTCAATGCACAGATTTATAATCATGACAGGCAAAATTACTTATCTAATTCTGAGGGATAAATTATCTAACTTTTACTTGGAGTTTTCTAAAAGACCTAAAATGTTTAACTGTGGGTCAACCTTTACCTGATATGCTTACTTATAAAAGTCTAAGAATACTGATTTTTTTCTCAATTTGCTTATGTGTTTAGAATTATTATTTTTAAAAACACCCAACTAGTCTTCCCCACATCTAATTAATCAATATGCACAGAAAACAAATAAATAAAAATATAGAAAAGACACTGAAAATTTAAAGTTTAAGAACTAATGGATTGATAAGAAAAACAGTGCCTCAAAAATGGTTTTTATATATATATAAATTATGTATATAATACATTATAATGTATGTTTATAATAATATATAATTTTACCATAATTTATAATTTATATCATAAATTGTATATACATATTTGATAAAAATATTATTTTAACCATATATATATACACACACAAACACACACACACATATATATATAACCATTATATATATACTGATAAAAATTTTACACCACTGGAACATTTCATTATTTTGGCAGGATTGTCTTTGGGCAGCACAACCTTGAGGAGCAATGTAGCAATATCTTATAAGGTTGAAGAAACAGCCATAGACAGCTCAGTAATGAAATCATTACTGAATGTGTACACTAGAGAAACTCTTACATATGTGCAAATTTAGTAAATGCTCCCTGTCCCTTTGGCCTGATGAGTTCACCTACTGCTCCTTTAAACAGCTACTGACCTGCTGCTAGACTGTAACTTCCTGTTTCTGCATCACCCTTCTCCACTTAAGCCGTTTCTCTGAAAACAAATGAGATAGAAATGCTGGACACAGGAACACTCAGTATGTGCCTGTGTTAACACTACTTAAGGGAAATCCTCAACAATTGGGGCTAAAAGGCAATGGCTAAATCCTGTAGCTTCCTTGTACTGGGGTAGAACTAACCCAAGGTATGTTCCTTACAATCCCCAGTGGGATTGTGACTCAGTTGTTAACTGTGGTACTCAAGCTTGTTAAGACGTAACTTTATTGCCCCTTTTCTCTTACCTATTTCCCTTTCTTTCTTTTCTCATTTTTGGTGCCTGGGATCAACTTCAAAATAAAGTGTCTGTGTCCAAATCCTTGACTCCATTGGATTTGGTGGGGGAAGGATTAAGACTAAACAGAATATGAGAATGTCCATTCCAGCATGATTTGTAATAGTAAACAATCAGCAAAATTGAGGCTTTTAAATTTTATTGTGTTTTATAGTAGCTTAGCAAAATAAATCAATAATTTATTTTTATATCTAGAACAACCGAGAATTTACATTCAGAGATATTAAATTTATAATATCTTCATAAATTGGAATTGGAATTAATTTATAATATTTTCTTATGTGAAGTCAATACTACTGACTATCAAGACTTCTTATATGAAGTCAATACTATTATCACTTTTTGGTGTAAGTGTGGAACATACATTCAAATGACTACCAAGTAATGGGATTATATGCATGCTTAGAAATAAATACAGATATCAAGTTCTGAATAAGTGGTCATGGTAATATTTATTCCCAGATAATTGCAACAAACCATGTAGAAATTATATATTTCTTAGATGAATCAACAATTCAATTGTATTATACTGTGTATTAGTCTGTTCAGGCTGTCAGAACAAAATACAATAGACTTGATGGCCTAAACACAGAAATGTATTTTCTCATAATTCTGAAACTGGAAGTCCAAAAGCAAGGAGCCAGCAGGGTTGGTGTGTGGCGAGGGTTTGCCCCTTGGGTTGCAGATGATTGGATGCCTCCTTGCTACATTTGCTACATGCTGTCTTGATCTTTTCTTTGTGTCCTCCTGGAGAGACAGCTAGAGAGAGAGAGAAAGAGAGAGAGTGAGAGAGAGGAGAAAGTTATTTTTCTCTCTGGTGTTTCTTCTTATAAAGACATTATTTCTATTGGATTAGTGTCCCAATTTAATGATCTTATTTAACCTTAATTATATCTGTAGAGGCTTCTTCCCCAAATACACAAATACAGTCATATTGGCAGTTAGGCCTTCAATATATGAATCTGGGGGAAGGAATATAAATATTTAGTCTATAATATACTCACATTCTGTACTCAAGACTTTTTATTAAAATAAGTTACAAGGAACTTATCATCCACTGATTACTAAGAGGCGTTGGGAACCATATGCAAATAATTTTTAATCTTGATCCTTCTAACACTTTATTACAAACTATTCATATCTAGAATTTAAGATTTGGATGAAACTTTTCAGATTATCTACTATAAGCACAACGTACAAGGATATTTCTATGTGTTTCTTGGCAAGGTGCCAGGATCATACTCTATTTCTGGGCGGAGGGAACAGTGCATTGTATTTACCTAAATATTTAGAGAGTCTTCTTAATATTGACTTATAATATTTTTTCTTATAATGTCTATACATTTGACATAAATATGCCATCTGGAAAATGCTGACCATATGTGTTCTCTGATTCCAAGTATCACTGTATTTATTTTCATGGTAACCTAGCTTCAGAACAACTCAAGTGCTCAAACCAAACACTGTAATATGGATACTGCCTGTCAACTAACAGATACTTTTTCTATGATTTCCTCATAAAAAGTATTTGCACAGGCTGGGTGTGGTGGCTCAGCTGTAATCCCAGCACTTTGGGAGGCTGAGGTGGGCGGATCATGAGGTCAGGAGTTCGAGAACAGCCTGGCCAACGTGGTGAAACCCCGTCTCTACTAAAAATACAAAAATTAGCTGAGCGTGGTAGTGAGCTTCTGTAATCCCAGCTACTCAGGAAGCTGAGGCAGGAGAATCATTTGAACCCAGGAGGCAGAGGTTGCAGTGAGCCGAGATCACGCCACTGCACTCCAGCCTGGGCGAGAGAGCCAGACTCTGTCTCAAAAAAAAAAAAAAAAAAAAAAGGATTAGCACGATACAGAACCCTTTTCTCATAATGCCATTTCAAAATTAAAGTTATTTGTTTTGTTGTTGTTGTAGTTGTTTTGGTAAAAGGAAGAAGAAGAAGAAGAGAAAAATTATGGATATGAGGGCAATCTAAGAGCAACATCTATCAACCATTTGATTGCCAGGGTTGGTGCAGCAGATCTGGTTGACTAGACAGGTGTTCCCTTCCTTCCTCACCACTCCATATGCGTTCCTTCCAAAGCTGTGTGCTCGGTAAAAGAGGATGACCATCCGCGATGGAGAAGGACCCATCTTCAGTCAAGGGCACGTGAGTAGATGGGCTTCCCTGCTAGAACTTCCAAACAAGCTCTCAAGAAGAGAAAAATCAATCACATGATATTATTCTTCACCTCTCTTGTTTATTATTTATTGATTTATTTTGTTGCTATTGTTGAATAGTTCATATAGAGTAAGTCTGGAGAAAAATAAATTAAACGGTAAGGACAATTCAGTGATTATCCAATTGAACAGCTGTATGTGAAATAACATCATTATTGGTATTACTTTATTACTTTTAGGGTTTGAATTCTTGTGTTCAAGTGTAGTTCTTTCAGATATTGTTGCTGTATTATCATCTCTAAATTTGTAAGTTGTTTCTTATTTCACAGGGACATAAAGACTGGAAACAAGCTTCATTGCCATTGGGGTTCAGTTGTATCTAAGTGATAAGAGAAAATTTCTTGGTGTTGTAGAAGAGCAGAAGCCATTGTTCTCATGCCATGGCTGAGGATAAATGTGTGGGCTTTGACAAATGGCAGACATGGGTTTTTGCCCATTGATTTTGGAGATCTTCCTGAGAATCATCTTCTTAGGTGTGGTAGGCAACTAAAATAATTGTTAATGGCTTCCTGAGATTCCTTCACTTAAAAATATCTTGAAAGCAGCTTTTCTGACTGTCATTTTGCCACCTCTCAGCAGTTTTATTGGCCACTAGTTCTGTGTCTTAAACCTCTTTACATGTAAAATACTTAAGAGTGCTTTCAGTTTTAATGTCTAAACTCTTATCTATTCAGTAGTGGATATTTGCCACTCTCTTCTAGTAAATATCTGGTTTTCAAATAGATTATATGGTTATGTGAGAAAAATCCCAGAATTAAAAAAAAAATCAGTCCTATTAAATTAACCACATACCTCCATCACACCCAAAGTTCTTGCTGCTTTTCCTCATTCTTTCAAAAAAATTTTTTATGGTTTCAAAACTCCATGCTGATAGTTTTTATCTTTTGTAATGATATAAATCAAGAAAATATGTCAGGAAATAAAATTGATATAATTTCAATACATTTATTTTTATATTGTTTTATTTTGTATTAGACTTGATTTTTATGATAAAAGTCAATGAAAGTTATCAAAATTTAGAAAAATAAAAATGAGATGAAATGTATTAAAAGGAAATCTTTAGACAAATTTAAAGGAGTTTAATGAAGCAGAGAATTATTTGGGAATCCAGTAGCTCTCAAGAGCCAGCAGAGTGGTTCAGAGATCTCACTTCTGCAAAGTAGGTAGGCAGTACATATGGACAGAAAATGAAAGTAAGGTACAGAAACTGGTTGGTTACAGCTTAGCATTTTTTACTTGTTTGGACATGGTCTGATCAATTGGCAGCCTGTGATTGGCTGAAGCTAGTCGGCTGTGACTGGCTGAGACCTAGCAATTTGTTACAATATATACTCCTAAATTAGGCTTTCAGTTTGTTTAGTTAAATTGTAGTTTGTTATGTAGGGACCTACGGTACCGAGACAGCCTCAAGCCAAATTTAATTTAATTAAACAATCATCACCTCAATCTTAATCTTGGCAAAGGAAATACTAAAATAAGATGGGCCATTGAGGAATCTTTGAGCCTTCCAAGTAAAATGGCAAATTTCAAGTTACACTGCGTTACTACAGGAACTACAGAGGTTAGAGTTTTGATCAAAGACTTAAAAAATTGCCATCCAGTGAACAGATACCTGATTAAAGTTACCTCTAAAGAGGGCAAATATTTAATAAATGGCAACAAAGAGCTGGCCGGGTGTGGTGGCTCACGTATGTAATCCCAGAATTGTGGGAGGCCGAGGAAGGATGATCGCTTGAAGCCAGGAGTGGTAGACCAGCCTGGGCAACATAGTGAGACCCTGTCTCTACAAAAAATAAAAATAAATTAAAAAAATTAAAATAAATAAGTAAATAAATAAGAGCTCCCAGTTTTTGCTTTAATAACCCAGGCTTGAAATGTTGTGTTTTTTTTTCCATTGGAAAAAAAACATTTTAAGGTTTCACTTTATTTTTGCTGAATTGTTAACATTGCTGAGCTGATTTCACCTAAATTATGGTAAAGATTAATCAGAGACCCTAAACTCTGAAGGAAGTATCTTAACTATTTTTCCAGAACTCACTAACCGCAAGTCCTAGAAAACTCCCAAGGGCAAGTTTCATATTTCTGGCCATATTTTAAAACTGAAATCATTTTGAGGAAAATTCTAAAGCGTTTGAAGAGAAGCATCCAAAAATTTCAATTGCTTCTCTGAAACCTTGGAATCCTGCCTGTTAATAATCTCCATGCTCTTTGCTTAGAATTTACCCACAGAATTAACTGACAGGAAACTGCCCATCACCCTCCACCCTCCCAGTAAGACTGTGCCAAAACACTCATCAGAAGCCACAATGACAAAAATAGATCCAATTGACGACTATGCAGTGACTAAGAAACGGATGTACCGATTTAAGCTATCTTCATTATCTTCTTCCTTGTTTTGATGGCAAAAAGAAAGAGAAAGCTACGTAATAGCATCTGGGCAAAACAGCTTGTACACCAAGTTCTGCCCTATGTAATTTAAAATATTTGAGTTCTTATAACATCCCTGAAAAGCATGGCTTTTAATACAAACACCACATATATACAGTACAGATCATCTAACTATAGTCATGCTTCTGGGCAGAGCTTGCAGCAATAGCAAAAATAATAAAAGAAAATTCTCTTTGTACAGCTGAATGGCTGCACTAGAATTTTCAGTGTTCAGATGTAATTAGAAAACAGCTGTGAAGGAAAATCAATTGTTCCTGGTAGTCAATGGCTAATTTTCCACAATCAAAATAAAGAATGCAATATGACATGTTTGTAATGAGCAAGTAATTGTTTCTCTTTTGTTTATTGTTTTAACATTTTTCCCTTTATTTGTGGGAGCTGTCATTTGCTTGCTTTAGGACAACTTCTCCTAGTCTTTGCTTCTCCCATCCATATTTAAATACTAGCAACTGCCAAAGAGGCTATGCAGTCCAGCTCAGTTTATTCACGATTGCCTTGCTTATGATGGTGATTTGTGGACTTGCAAGGAAATATTGTCCTTGCTTTTATGAATTCACAATAAAGCTTCCATAAACGGAATGATTATTAAACACTAGCATTTATTCATGGGATTTAACTTTGATTCATTCTGCAAAGGTCTCATGTGTCAAAAAGATGCAGTTCCCAGAATTCATTGACCTGCTGCTCCAAGTGCGTCTGCATTGCAAAACAAAACAAAACTGAAACGACCACACGGCCCTTTTTTTATACCCTTCAATCATTGGCATAGACTGGACGGTATTGGTGTAGCAGATGGATAGAAAAGCTCAACCTCTATGGTGCACACTTGGAATTTAGATGGTTGGAAAATTAACTTAAATGCTAGAATAGACCAATGAGAGTAAAATTGTTTTATCATGCAAAAGAGTCTGGTTGAGAAACACCAAGAGGATTAACACTCCTAGGCTGCTTTCAGCTGATAGAAAAAGAAAAAAAAAATGCTTATATTATTTAGTGAAATTAATGTCTATATTATTCTTTTTCTACACTTATATTTTTCTGGAACATTCTTTGAAAGCAAATATAATTGCAGTTTCAGAGAATGAAATGAATAGTAAATAAGGACTGAATCTTAATTGCTGTGTGATCTTGGGACCATGTCTTAGTCTTGGTTTATCTCTATTTCTTTGTGAGAAAAATGATAATTAATATGTGAATATAGGTTCTTCCTCTTCTAATATTATTACATAAAATATATTAGTATATGAATATTTCCAAATTTTAAAGTTCTGGAGGAAAGACATTTTCCATTAAAAAAATGCATGATAAGCCATCAGTAGCCACTAAGTCATAACTAGTTTCATCACATCCATTTAAACCTGTGACTGACAATTTTCTGATAGTACTTCTGAATTTTTCTCAGTCTTTTGTCTCCAGAGAGCCTGTTCCAGAATCTGTGCAGTGTTTATTATATAGCTCCATTTCTTGGCCCTAAAAAGGCATTGTGGTTTGAAGTCGCTGATGATGAGAAGGGAATTCTATATTTTATGAAGCAGAGTAAACTATTAACTGAACCAAACTTTGAACTGAACTTTGAAAACTATTGGCCTACTTCAATTATTATGGATAACAAACCTGAATATATTTTTTGAATGGCTAAGGTGCCATGCAGCTTTTGTTATAAAATTTCAGGAGGCACTCTCCCCTGTGATTCCCTGTCTATCCACTTTTGTTCTTCATAGTCTTAAGTAGAATACCAATAATTTGATATTCATATTTCCTCCTAATAAATCTCATACTGTCATACTTCATTACCTCTGCTTTTTCTTACCCTCAGCACAGAACGTCCCCTTTTTCCACTTCCCAGTCTTTTGAAAAGCACCACAGGCAAGGTCAAGAGATGTTTGCTTGTTTGATTTTTAATTTGTGTTGTTTGTTTTTGAGATCACGATGTTATACATACTTTTGTAGATGTTGTGCCAATGAAGCCAGTGGAAATTTGACTGGAAGATGAAATGATAAAAGATGGATGACACTTCTCATCCCATGACTATAAGAAGAGATAACGTAACTAAAAGGTAGTTAGATGGTATAATTAAAATATATAGTATAAGACCTGACAACCAATTGAAATGAAGGAGGAAGACAGAAGGATGGTGGAGTTCTGTAAATTCTCCAAGTTGGTAGTATTATTTTATGTCTACAACATGCTTCCTACAAGTACAAACATATGGCTGATGCTGTGTCAAATATATATTGTCTTTCAGAAATTTGAAAATTGTGGTACTGCACACAAGGAGTGTATAGAAGGCTATTAGAGTTGAGTCAGTTCATGACAATCTAAAAAGGAGAAGAATGTCAAACTCTTGCTGCTGAGATTCTGAGATCTCTCCTTTTCCTTGCTCAGGGGTTGATTCTTTAGCTGTTTTCTTGATTTTCTGATCAACCCAAAAACTTTTCCAAGAAGTCCTCTTCACGCAAATTTTCCCCTTATTTTATTCACAATTGTTTTCTGGTGCATGGTATTCAAATAAGTTAAAGTAATAAATAAAGTAATGCAGAAGTTAGTACCTGAGTGTGGCTTGCAAGAAGCAGACCCTGAGTAAAAGTGTTGGTGTGGAATCATTCAGCAGATCACGATGAGACTACTATCTGAATGGTAATGTGAAAACAGTGTTTGGCAGTGGTAAAATATCCAGCAAAAGCTTTATTTCAAATCCCCTAAGACTATATTCCCATTGGCAAAGTCTCTATGGAAAAGGTAGCTACTCCCATACACTGATTTTTATAAGATATAAGCAATGACAGAACCATGGAGAGAAATGTTTGTGTTGGATACATTGAAATATACAACATAAAGAAAAACAAACTCAAATTTTGAAGTTATTGCATCAAATAATAAAATAAAACTTCAGTTGGACTCCAAACAGGGTTAAAAAATACTAATTTCTTCTTGCAATAGTAGTAATAGGAATAAAATACCACATATTGATTCTAAATGTTACTGAAATATTGCAGAGGTTGACATAGTACATGACTTAACAAGATTTGTTACCCAAAGGTTAGGGTGTTGATTAAAATACACTATCAGCCAACCACACTGGGGATATCTTGGAATATGCAAACGATTTACTAGGTCCCTCACCTCCAATGATCTCTATTCTCCATCTGATAAAGTTTCTTTTTTATCTTCTTTGCTCACAGAAGATGTAATTCTATGGTGGGAGGAGATAAAAAATTTTCTCTGAAGTCCCACATCCAAGGCCACATCTCTTACTGATGCTATCTTTGCTGGGTTAACAAAATCCAATTCCAACAAGGCCATAAAAATAAGATACGTAACTGACTTGGGAAGGAGAATTACATATATAAGCAATTGTAGAAATTTGACAATGGATGCCATCTAAAACCTTATGAGATTTTGCCTAATAAGGGTAAATATAATTTTCAAATAAGTTGAAGTATTTTTTCTACATATCTACTTACTGGATAATTATCTATGTAGCTAAAATAAACAGTAATAAAGATTGATCTAAACTATGTTACATATTTAACAATTTGAAATTCTCCATGTAATATAGGTAAGGAAGGGTAACAACAGTATCAAATAAGGATGTTGAATTAATTTTGTCTTCTACATAGTCTACCTGGTCTATATCCAATTCCTGAATCCATATCCCTATATGGATGGATTTAGCTTCCTTCCTGTCGTATAAGTTAAAATGTCTCTGATGCTACCTGAGATAAAACCTTCCTTATGTATTCTCAATTTCCTCTCATCTAATTAAGGATGTTGCTCCTGTAATTCTCCTCTGCACTCCTTCATCACTGAGGGCTCCTGTGTACTGGAACATTTCTATCACCCGTAAACATTTCCAATCTTAAAAAATAAAAATAAACTATGCCATATATGCGCAGATCAACCCTGATTCTTAGCTTCTGTTTTTGTTTTGTTTTGTTTGTTTTGTTTTGTTTTTTAGATGGAGTCTCACTCTGTCACCCAGGCTGGAGTACAATGGCACGATCTCGGCTCACCACAACCTCTGCCTCCAGGGCTCAAGTGATTCTCCTGCCTCAGCCTCCCGAGTAGCTGGGATTACAGGCGCCCGCCACCATGCACAGCTAATTTTTGTATTTTTAGTAGAGTTGGAGTTTCACCAGGTTTGCCAGGCTGGTCTCGAACTCCTCAGGTAATCCACCTGCCTCGGCCTCCCAAAGTGCTGGGATTATAGGAATGAGCCACTGCACCCCGGCCCCTTAGCTTCTGTTTATAGCTAATAAACAAAAGGGTTGTCTTACTCAGTTTCTTTACTTCCTTTTCTCTCATTCTCTCTTGCACTCTCTCCAACTCAGGTTTTATTCCCACTACTCAACAGAGATGATTTTTGTTAAAATCACCAAGAGACCTATCTGCATTTCCAGATTTGAAACTTAATTCTCAGTCCTCATCCTAAAAACTACTTAAGTGATATATTTAAAACATTTGAGTGCTCACCTCTTCTTGAAATACTTCACTCACAGGCCTTTAGGACATCACTCTTTCTTGATTCACCATATTTTCTAATGCTTCTTTGCCTTTATCTCGTCTAATCTTATTGAATGTGATTTTAGGAATGCCCCAAGCTGGATCCTAAGCCATCTCTCTTTCTATACTTATTCTTTAGCTAATTTTGTCTAGTCTTATGACTAACACCATACAAAAAGTGTTGACTTCCAAATTTAAAACTTAATTATCAATATTTCTCCTGAAGTACAGCCTGAAACACTTAATCTCGCTAAAGACACGTAATGTTTACTTAGATATCTAGTGAATTTATTAATGTTACCATGTCCAAAATCAAACTCTATTTTCTTCCCCTAAATTTCCTCCAAAAGTTTTTTAAAAATTTAACATTCTCATTGCAATACAGTATTCCAATATATCAATACACCACGTTTGTATAACAGTTTCTTTATTGGTGTATATTTGACTTTTCCCAGGTTAGAACTCTTAGGAATAGTGCTAGGGTGAACATTTTTACACATCTTTGATAAACATATATGTTTTTATCCTAAGTATATATCTTGAAGTAGAATTGCTAAGTATGCTTAAAATTAGCTTTAGTGAATAAGGCCCAAAATATTTCTCGAGTGGTGTACATAGCCACATGTCTATTAGCAATGTATGAGCTTCTCACTTGAGGCATGTCCTGGCCTAAACTTGGTACTTTGTCTTTTAAAATTTTGCTATTAACAGTGATTAGTAGTACCGAGTTGTCATTTAATGTGCATTTCCCTCATCACTATTGAAATTAGACATCTTTACACATCATTGGTCATATAGTACCTCTCTTTATTTTAAGAGCTTGTTCCAGACTTTGGCCCAATTTCTATAGGATTGCCCATTATTCTGCAGGGTTTAAAAAAAAAATCTGGATGTGAGTCCTTTATCAGAATTATATATAGGAAACATTTTCTCTTTGTATATGGCTGCTCTTGTCACATGCTAAAGGAGTAGGTATAGCCAAAATTGTATTTTTTCTCATTATTATCGATATTTGTGTCTTGATTAACAAATTTGCTTACTCCAAAGTCAAAATAAGATTCACTTATGTTTGTTTAGTATCTTTACTGTTTTAACTTTTTACATATGGATCTACCATTTATTTAGAATTGTTTTTTTCTGTAAGGGTTGAGAGTAGGGATTAATATCAATTTCTTTGCATATGATTGAATTTTGGTTGGGCTTACAATGATTTAAGAAGAGTGAAATTTTAATACCATTAAATCTTCAATCCCATGGACATTTTACTCCTTCTTTGCTTTAGGTTATGTAATTTAGCTCAATAATATTTTGCAGTTTTAGTGTAGATATCCAGATATTGATTCATCTTCATTAAATTTATTGCTAGGTATTAAATAATTGATAAGACCTTTATAAATTGATTCATTTTTAAATTTTATTTGCCTTGTATTCATTTACGCTATATCAATAACATGTAAATTATCCAACAACCTGCTAAATTCACTTACTTATTCTAATATTTGTTAACCCCTAGGAATTTCTATATTTACAACCATATCTGTGTGAAAATTGGTATTACTTCTTCCTTTATAACTCATATATCTCATTTATTTTAATTGCCCTATTGTACTGAAAAGAACTTTCAGTACATTGTTACTGGGCAATGGTCATAGAAAGTATCCTCTTGCATTTTTCACCTCAAGGAAAATGCTTAAAGTGTTTATTATTATGTATGATGTTTGAAATATGTTTTCTGTAGTCATGTCTGATTGCAGTATTTTTAAAGTACCTTCTATTATCTGATTACTAAGAGTTTTAAACTGAATTTGTGTTGAATTTTACAAAATCCTTTTTAAGTGCAGCTATTAAGAGGAGAATGGGATTTTTAAAGTTTACTTTTGAATGGGAGGTTATATTGATTAAATTAGAATATTTTAAATAAAATTTATATTCCTGGAATACATGCGACTTGGTATTTTCATTTTTATAAGTGGCTGGGTTTGATTTGCTATTTGTTTAGGATTTTTGCATTTATAAGAAGATTGGTCTGTGCCTTCCTCGTTTTTAATAATATATTTTATGACATTTGACCAACAAACGTATTCAGTTTCAACTACTGACTTGGGAAATCCTTTCTTCTGTTCTAATTAAGCTCAGAAGTTTATTTAAGATTACCGTCACTTCATCTTTAAATATGGAAGCATTCTCCAGCAAAAATAAGTGTTTTTTTAGATTACATTCTGAGAGGGCTGAAAGATACAATTTCTTTAACACATAATGTCACTTCAGATTTTATGTATCTCTTCTGTTAATTATATAAAATTGTGTTTTTCTAGATATCTGATCAATTAAATTTTATAATTTTACATAAACATGTTCAGAACTTCTATAATCTTTTTGTGTCTGTTGGATCTTTAATGGTGTTTTCTTTTTCATGTCAGTTATTTGTAACTTGTGTTTTTATTATTTTTTTGATCAACATTGCTATAGGTCTATGCTTTTTAAAAAAATTATTTAAGGCCAGGCATGGTGGCTTACGCCTGCAATCCCAGGACTTTGGGAGGCCGAGGCAGGTGGATCACGATGTCAAGAGTTGAAGACCAGCATGGCCAAGATGGTGAAACCCCATCTCTACTAAAAATACAAAAATTAGCTGGGCATGGTGGCAGGCACCTGTAATCCAGCTACTTGGAAGGATGAGGTAGAGAATTGCTTGAACCCGGGAGGTGGAGGTTGTGGTGAGCCTAGATGGTGCCACTGCATTCCAGCCTGCGTGACAGAGTGAGATTCTATCTCAAAAAAACTTATTTAATATAAATATCATGATTTTTAATCTTATATGTGTGTTTCTTCACTCATTGAGAGGTGTGTAATAATGTTTTGCAATGTGATTATGAATTTGTCTATCTAACCATTTGGAAGCTATGTTCTTATATATAAATTTAGAATTGTTTAATCTACCTGGTGGATTAACCAGTGAATTGTTCTTCTACATCACTTCTTCGTTCAAGGATAATGTGTTTGATATTAATATAACTTCTGTTATATTTGTACTTGTACTATCATTTACCTTCAGCCTTTCTGAGCTCAAGTGAAAAAACCTGCAAAGTACAGGGACCAGGCTAACTTCTCCTTTCCTCTATCTTCTTGAGATCTTAGTTTATCTCCAGGTCCTGGCTTTGTTGGCAGCTCTTACTTCAATACTGCCCATTCAGTCATGTAAGATGCCCAATAATTCTTCTGGTTCTATGGCTTTGGCATCGGCCTTAGCAACAGATTTGCTCAAGAATCAACAAATATTCTTGTAGAAGAAGCAGATGTAAAATATCAGCTCACTGCTCTATAAATCCCTTATCTTGAATTTTGACCCATCAAATTCTGTGAGTTCCATCAGTTCTTTTATATATTTAGTTTTTTTTTTTTTTTTTTTTTTCATTTTTATCCAGGTTTCTTTGTTGTCATTGCTGGGAACATTGGTCTGGTGAAAGCTATTTCATCATGGTCAGAAGTAATATTACAGTAATCATTTAAAAATATCTCATATCACATCATTCCACTGCTCAAAACACTCACATCACAAGAAAATGGAAGTCAAAGTCATTACAAAGGCATAGAATCCCCATATAACCTTGACTGACTGCTCAGACCTGATGTCTTAGCACTCACCCACTACTTTACTCTACATTGTGCTTCAACCATTCTGATGATGTTTTCCTATTCCTTGATAGTCCAATATTAGCAATACTCTTTGTTTTCACTTCTTGCAGTGCTATTCCTCCAAATATTTGCATGACTCATTCCTTTCTCGTGTTGATTTCTCTGCATTGTTTGTTTTATATAAGGCCTGCAACATCAGTCCGCATACTTCTGATGCTTTTTAATTTTTCTTAATAGCTCTTATCTCCACCTGTCATAATAGATATTTACTTGTATTTTTTTCTGTATTTGTCTCCCTCTCTCTAGTAGATTATGATTATATTACATGAAAACTGAGACCTTGTCTACTCTGGTCACTGCTCAATATCTAGCACTTGGAATATTTCTTGATAGTGTATGGCATTTAATAAATATTTATGTATTCTGTCAGCCCACCATTTCATTTTATTTTGCCCCATTTAATCAGAAAATTTT
Organism: Homo sapiens; assembly: GCF_000001405.40. Classification (NCBI taxonomy): domain Eukaryota; kingdom Metazoa; phylum Chordata; class Mammalia; order Primates; family Hominidae; genus Homo; species Homo sapiens. Next base: position 141,475,086 of record NC_000006.12, on the reverse strand, counting down.
CCTTTTTTATAGCCATAGATGAATAGATTACTCAGAAAATTCTGGAATCTATTAAAACTAAACAGAAAAACAAACAAATCCAAAACACATAGGAACAAACAACCCCCAAACAAGCAAAACAACAAATACAATTTACTGCAGATTATGACAGAAATTTTGGCATAGAGACTGCAATTAAATTGTGAGTTTATGAACAAAATAGTGTTAGGAATTGTGATAAATACCACTTATCACATTATGTAATAATTTGAACCATGGGGGAAAAAGACATTGAAAAGCAAGACTTAAAAGACTTGAGACATACAGCAGAACTCTACAGAAAATAAACACCATTGTACATAATTATAGGGAAAACAGCCAGCAGATTTATAATCTAGGACCTACAGTAAAATAATCTATGTAGCATTTAATACTAAGATATGTAAAAACGAAAACATCATTAGGGAATATTTGAATCAATTTTCTCAGCATAGAATGTAAAAGCCAGTGAACTGAGAACTAAATAGAAGCTGCAGATGGAGAGATGCAGAAAGAATACTATTTTACCAACTCCCTTCAGAAAAAAAAGAACAGTGAATTCACTTTGCTGGAGATGAGTGGAGGGAAGTTTTATGGAGAGTTTTTATTTAGGATGATATATGGATAAGTATTATAGGTTGAATTTTCTCCCGCTAAAGTTCTTATGTTGAAGTCCTACCCTCCAGTTCCTTAGAATGTGACTATATTTCCTCTTTAAGGAGGAAATAAAGATTAAAGGAGGTCATTAGGGTAGGCCCTAATTCAATTTTACTTATGCCCTTTTAAGAAGAGAGATTAGGACACAAGACATGATAAAAGGGACGACTGTATGAAAACAAAGAAGAGAGCCATCTACAATTCAAGGTGAGAAGGCCTCAGAAGCCCTGCTGACACCTTGGCCTTTGACTTCTGAACTGAGAGGAAATAAATTTATGTTGTTTAAGCCATCCAGCTTCTGGTACTTTTTCATGGCAGTCCCAGCAAATTAATGCAGCATGTTTCCAACCTAAAAGGAAAGTATGGAAGAAACAAGATGGATGAAGCAGTGAAGAATGGAAATAATTTTCAGATCAAGGACCAAAAGATGGTAGAGCGATGTATCCAGAGGTATAATAGTGAGGTAGAAATTGGAGAATGTGTTAAATTGTATCATAATAACTATTTAGCAAGGGTACTGGTAACAACAAGAGTCAGCCAAATGCCTAAGCAGATAGGGGCTGGTACCCAGTGAAACCCCACCTCCAATCAAGCCAAAGACAGTTTAAAGACTGAGAGCCAAGCTACAAGTTAAATCCTCAGAGTGGATTGAGAAATTGTCTTTCTGTTTCAGGTGCTTTCCTCTGATTGATCCCCACCATTCACCCATTTTACATATACTTACCTTTTCCTAATTGGTTTTCTACCCTGTTGTGCCCACATTTGAGGGGTGTCTTCACTTTAACTTTATGCATACTCACAAAACAATTAACACACATTCCCTATCCTGTGCCTATAGAGACCCCAGACTCAGCTGGTAGAGGAGGAGATGGCCAGACTTTGGGGAAGACTTCCTGCCTGCCTCCAGCTCCCATCTCCAGCTGCCCTCTCCACTGAGAGCCATTTTCATTGCTCAGTAAAATTCTCTGCCTTCACCATCCTTCAATCATTCATGTGATCTCATTCTTCTTGGATGCTGGACAAGAGCTCATGATCCACCAAGTGTAAGTACCCAGAAAAGGCTGTCACACTGGCCCTTTGCCCTCACTGGTGGAGGGCAACCACCCTTCTTAAGAAGGCAAGGGGCCAACTGAGCTGCTAACACACTGCTGTATGTTGGACTGCAGATGGCAGAACTAAATGAGCACTGTAACACCCCCTCCAGTCTCACTGGGGTCATGGGCACCTTCACCTGGGTTTCACCACATTCCCTTCATGGTGGCATCCCTTGTCTGAGCATGGGCCCCACATGGCGATTGTTCCTGTGTTGGTGCCTGGAGTGGCTGTCCGGGTCCTGCATTTGCTTGCTTACGTGCTCCTTTCTGCAAGGGGCTGAGTGCAATGGACCAAAAAAATGGGACACCCCTGCTGCAAGTCTGGTGAAGGGGCCAAGAAAAATCCTGCATCATCTGTGGGCTCATCCAGGACTCAGAAGGGTGAGTGAATATGGATCTGACTCTTCACTTTTTTCCAAGACTTCTTGTGCTCAAACTTCCCTCTGAAGGGAGATGAAGCACCAAACCTCTGAGTGGCCAGTTAAGAGCAAATGGCACAGCTAGAGAGGACAGGATGTGACCCTGCCACCTCTCTTTCAGATGAAAGAAATGTTTTTTTGTTTCTCTTCACAGAGGTCTAGCCACTGTGTTGAACCAGAATAAAGTCCTGGGGCAACTGAAGACATCTGGCCAAGGCCACTCCTCAGGGTTGCTGGAAGGCCCCTAGACTGGCTCTGTCCCCAAACTCCCTTCAGAGCATTGGCCAAGACCCCCAGACTTTTCTGTGGTATTTTTCATTCCTTCTTTTATGCTTTGAAATGGCTCCTATCTCTTCTTTTATAATGTTAAGGGTGTTGCTGCAAACTGCAGAGATATTACTAGGTGGAATAAGCATTTGACTTAGCCACCAAATATGCAATTCAGAGCAATGTGATTCCCATCTGCTGTTAGAGGCAAGGGGGATACAGTGATTAAGAATATTTCCCCTGTTGAAGGAACCCATTTGCATAGATCAAGAGGCTTTTTCCCTCAGGCACCTGCCCCTCCCCCTACACTTAAGCTTTTCTTTTTTCCTTTTATCCACCTTGTCAGGGGTTCACATGACCCTGCAAATGCAGGGAGCTCTCCTAGGCGAGGGGAATTGTTTTTTCTACCTTAGAACTATGCTTACGATAGGGAAGCAATGGAGGAGTGACCATCCTGTCTGCTGGCTGCAAATTTGGCAAGGGCCACCTGGGACTTAATTTAAAGAAATCCATGCACTCCCCTGAGACAACTTTTTTCCAAAACTCAATTGCAAGCTTTGGGTTGAAGCCCTAGAGAGGAAAACTAGATCTGAGGGATCCAAAGGCAGGCAACCACAGAAGTGAAGGGGCACAGTGCAGGTGAGCATGACTAATTCCTGCCCATTAGCCTCCCAACACACACATTTCATGGGTAGATGTTATACTAGTATCCATGCCATAAACGAGGTCTGGGGAACTCAGAGTTTACTGACAGCAGTGGGGACAGGCAGCGTGTGGGTGAGTGCCAATCATTTCCACCCTTTAGGCCTCCCTGTTAATGTGGATGAAAGCTGCATTGGCACTCATGGGCAGCACCCTGCTGATGTCACTGGGACCCAAGGATTTAAGGATGGAAGAAGGAAGGGGGATGCCATTTCTTTCTCTCCCTCACATACCCAATGTATTCATTTGGAAGAGAAAGGAACTGAGAGACCACTTTTCCTCTCTTTCCAAATGGATAACCAATCATCTTCAGTCAATACTTCTGAATCACTGGGACTCCTTTGGGAAAAAAAAAAAAGACTTTTCCTCTGTCCTCTCTTTGTGGATGAGTAATTGTGTCCCTATACCAGGACACTCTCCTCAGATGCATCCTCCAAACTGGGAAAAGTTAATTTCACAAACCTTAAATTGCTTGGCTTAAAATTGAGCTTGGGGGAAGGGAATGCAGAGGCCTGATATAGCAGCAAAACAGTAAAAGTTTTTTACTAATCGGACTTCTGGCCTCTCTCTCCCTGTGCAAACCTATAAAAAGGAATGGTAAGGGTCACTGTACAGTTCTGAAAAATCTGGATGAGGGCTCCATCTTGTTTTACGTCCTTGAGAGCCTGATCTTGCAACCACATAACGGTAGTTTCTTTTGGTCTCTGCCATTTTAAAATAGCGGCCTGGGTTCAATTCCGGCCAGGGAATGAGTACTTTCTGGTTAATATCTGTGTGACTTTTACTATTTGCTGATTCTCTTCCCCTCTATGAACTTCTAGTTTCCTTTCTTAAATCTTCCTTTCTCTGAGCTACCTATAAAGATTCTAGATTTTCTAAAAACTGCTTATCACCTCTTTGAAAATACCTCATACACTTGTGGTTAAGTCATAACCTTAGCTGAGGCTTGCTGGTTTCACCTGTGAGGCTGCATTTGGTAAATTTCTAAAGCCAGAAATATGGGCTACTTGGCATGGTTAAAGTCAGGTAACAAGGGATTTAAAAGAATTTTCTTAAAGAGCACTATGGTTAAAAGTCACCTTAAGTAAAAGTGAATATCAAAGTCATAAGTATTTAATATAGTTAAAAGACCTTTATATTTTTTTATTCGTGGACCTTGTTTTTTTGGACAAAGGTTTTTTTCATAGTCAACTGAATTATTTTTCTCCATTTTGTCTTTTCACTTTTAGTGCACACCCAATAGGCCCTAAGATAACTTCTAAGAGAATAGGATTCCTTGGAAAAAACAGAGAAGGTGCGATGAACCCCATTTTGGAGGGGAAAAAACCCCTCTTTTTACCTCATGGAACCCTAGGAATTAAAAGCAGATAGACCCCTCTCAAAATCTGTTTTTGTCTTCCAGCTATGCCTGTTTATTAGGCCCTAGAAACTGCATGTTTTCCTAGCCCTCCTTTTTGAAAGGCTCCACCCTGAGGTCCATAATCCAATTAGGAGATTGGCAAATGAAAAATATTTCAACTACTGGATCTTCTTATGTCTGTCTTTGTAGTCATATATGTGTTATGTGTGTGATGTGTATATAAAAAAGAGCTCTAATTAATTGGCTTAGAGAAAAATAAGCACTTAGATCAAATTTTTTTGAAGGAAAAATAAGAGCTATACTGCCTTTTATTTCATGTGATTTAATCTTTGAGAAATAAAAATGGTTCTACTTTGGGAGGCCGAGGCGAGCGGATCACGAGGTTAGGAGATAGAGACCATCCTGGCTAACAAGGTGAAACCCTGTCTCTACTAAAAATACAAAAAATTAGTCAGGCGTGGTGGTGGGCAGATGTAGTCCCAGCTACTTGGAAGCTGAGGCAGGAGAATGGCGTGAACCTGGGAGGCGGAGCTTGCAGTGAGCTGAGATTGAGCCACTGCACTTCAGCCTGGGCGACAGAGCGAGACTCCATGTCAAAACAAACAAACAAACAAAAAAACAGTTCTAAAGATTACTGGTAAGATACAAATGTCTTCGAAATGTACATATGCGATCTAAATTATGCAGGTCAGATACTAGGTTTGCTAAATGTTTTAAGGTTGTAAACTGCTTCTTTAGTTTTTCAGAACTGGTCAATTTACCCGCTTCGCAATTTGGTAAGGCTTAGGGAAATATAGAATTAACCACACCCCAAACTATGTTGGAAAGAGTCAGACTTTATCTGCACCTAGTATATAATTGAAATAACTTATCAGATTTTACATTAAAATTTAAAATTGCTCAGAATTACCATTATAACATGTAATTGAGACTACTGAAAATAGATCTACATGCAAGTTGTGTGAGAGAAGTAAAATGTGTTTTTAGATAAAGATTATAAAAAGGCATGGGAATGTAAATTTTTGTCTAGTTTAGAGGGTTAGAGGATTGTTTTAAATTAGATAAGATAAAGCTAAATGTTTAAATAAGTTGAGAAAACTTTGCAAAAATTAATGTTGTAAAAGAAATTCTGTGTGTGAACATATTAACAAAAATTTGTAAAGGATTATCAAAGGTTTATAAGACTCTCACCTCATGGTCAAACTGATTAAGATAGGATAAAATTATCTATAAAGTCTCATTTAAAAAATGGGGTTGACATTAATAGTAGACTCATGCAAGAGTAAAATTTGGCCTTCTCTCTCTTGAACAGGATTTTCATGTAATTTTAAAGACAGATTGTTTGGAATCAAGTCTTTCTTCCTAATGAATAAAAGTTTTGCCTTGTTTTAAAATTTTTGAGTCAACATTTTGGCTAAAATAAATGACTTATGGTAATGCAGACTTCTATTTCATAATATCAAGTGTTTTAAAATTTTAACCTGTTTGGTAGCCTTCCCAAAATAAAAATTCATCTTCAAAAATTGTCTTCTCTGACCCCTAACTTTTGAATTCTACAGAGGTCCCTTGGAGCATCCAAAAGAGAGGAAAACAGGATTATTTGATATGTTTAGTTACATGGGATTGCCAAAATAAAAATAAAGTTTAATATTCATTAGGTTATATAATAGAAGATTAATGTATGTTCCAAAATTGTATGAAATTTCTAAAATTCTAATGTCTTAGTATATAGTATCAATCATAATTTAGGTTCTTGTGTTAAGTTATTGTAAACCACAGAAATAATCAAATTTCTATGTCAATCATGTTTTTGATTGTCACCACCCATAGACATTATGTCACTCACAGACAATTGTTGTCTTGTTTTCATCCTTTTCAAAAGACAGTTTATAATCAGCTATAGGACTTTGATTGGTGCTCTCAAATGCAAGTTTCTAATAACTTTGGAGATTGTGATGATGGAACAGAGGAAAAACATATAATACTCATGAAGAGCTAAAATGTTCATGAATATCAACCCGAACAAGAGTTAATGGAATGGACTGAACTAATATAAAACTGAAATAATCTTTTTTAACTTTTTCTTAAAATCTTGCTGATTCTTGTTTTGTTTTTCAGAGTCAAGGAAAGTTTTCTTTTGAACTATCAAGAGTTTTTAACAATTAAGTTATTTTCCTGTGAACAAAATTTGGAGCATATTTGTTTCTCTTGGCCTGGCTTCTCCAGAATTTCAAAACTATTTATGAGTATTCTTAACTTATGGCAATATAGTTATTTGCATCAGTGCAATAAAAATCTATTTTCCTCTGCAGCAGGACACAATTGGAGAAACTGGTAGTTTTACCAAGGCTCTGACTGGAAAGGTGTGCTTTCCTTTAAGGAATCAAGCTTGACTTGCAGAGTCAATAAAAACCCCTGGGGAAAACTGGCCTCACACCTTGTCTTCACAGTTTTGGCATAGGGTTGCAAGCCTGTGGTAAGTAAAGAATGTCACTTTCTAACAGGCCCAGGAGCCACTTGTTATCTTGAAACCTCAAGAAGAGAGGAATTTACCCAACTCATATTTATTTGAGGGTACAAGCCCTTGTGGGCTCAGCTTTATCTGAGATTCCTTGTGGAACAGAGTTCCATCAAAGCCAATTTAAAAAGTCTATGTGAAAGATAGTTATTCTTGCCACACTTTATGTGAATAATCAGGTCAAGCATAAGACTAAGGTTTATTTTACAAACAACACATTCCTATAATGATTTGTTTTTAGCAAAACTGAGGATTGGAGAGAGAAAATTATGTTTCAAAACTTATATGCTTGTCATTAAATTCTAGTCTCATTACTTGTTTTTAAGTTTTTGCCTACATTTTACACTAATGATGCTTATTCCTGTGAACCAACCAGTGATCTACAGCTGCAGCTCAGGAGAAAAACAAAAGGGATAGGTAATGTAAAAATCTGGATCAATATTCTAGTTCTGAGCCATTATTCTGCAAATCTTGCCAGGTAATTGAAGTAAACAGGATGCCCATCACCCAGAGGTTTCTTTGGGAAAATAAGACAAAGGGAGCTAACCAAAGCCAAGTCCTATGCACCCAAATCTTAGTAGGCTTAACTATAGCCACCAGTTATCTGTGCATAAAAGCAGTCTCGGGATTTTTGAGCTGTCCCTACCCCTGCCTTGTTTTGTTTTGATACATATCTTGTAATAACCTGGTTTGTCTCTTCTGGCCTTCAGGCAGTCATACTCCAAACAGTCATGAAACCAGAGGTTCAAACAATGGCTCCCTTTTACAAGGGAACCTTAGATGGGCCTCTGAGGGAAATCTGACTGCTGTATTCCCAAAACAGTGACCCCTGTCAACAGGAAGCCATTAAGACTGGTCTTTGTCCCTATTCTAATGGAAGTTAGATGTACTTCTTCAGAGGGGGAAATGATAGAGGCAGGAGGCAGACAAATGTCTAGGCAGATAGGGGCATGTATCTGGTGAAACTCCACCTCCAAGCCAAAGACAGTTTAAAGCCTGAAAGCCAAGCTGCAAGCTAAATCCTCAGACAGGATTAAGAACCTGTCTTCCCTTTTGGCACACTTTCCTCTGACTGATCCTTACTTTCCACCTATTTTACATAGACTTACCCTTTCCATATTGTTGTGCCCAGCTTTCAGTGTTCCCTTCACTTTAACCTTTTTTGCCTACTCACAAACCAATCAGCATGCATTTCTCATCCTGCACCTTTAAAGACCCAAGACTCAGTCAGTAGAGGAGGAGACAGCCTAACTTTGGGGAAGATGACCTGCCCTTCACCTGTTTCTCCAGCTCCCCTCTCCACTGAGAGCCATTTTCATCACTCAATAAATTTATCTGCCTTCATCCATGTGGCTTAATGATCCACATAACCTTACCCTTCTTGGACACAGGACAAGAGCTTGGGGCCCCTGAGTGTGGGTACCCAGATAGGGCTATCACACTGACCCTTTGCCTTTGTCAGTGGAGGGCAGCTGCCCCATGGGATGAGACAAGGGGCCAACAGAGCTGCTAACATACTGCCGTCTGTTGGACTGTGGACAGGGAAAGTAAATGAGCACTGTAACAACCTCTCCAGTCTCTTTGGGGTCATTGGCATCCTCACCTGGGTGCCACTGCATTCCCCTTAAGGCAACATGCCTAGTCTGACTGTGGGCCCTACACAGAACTTGCTTCTATGTTTGCTGGATCCCACACTCACTTGCTCATGTACTCTCTCCCACAAGGGGCTGAGCACAGTGGACCAAGTGAACGGGGCAACCTTGCCACGAGTCCAGTGAAGGAGCTGAGAAAAATCCTGCATCAGTACTTAATAGCCATATCAGCACAGATTAAACTTCAGTTTCTACCTAAGGATCTTATATGTCTCAGGTAAATTTAAACACTTTACAATTTACACAGTTATTAGGGACCTTGTACTTTGTATTCTCCATAACCCATAGGAGCACTTCTTTTATCCTGGACAACATACTGGTTACTTTTTCAGGTATCTAACTCAAATCCGTTGTCATTGCATACTTAGCTTTCAGTAAGAAATGACCAAAAATAGTGAATTAATGATTAAACAGTTACATGTATTTATATTTGCAGGAGAAAATAAGAATCAAAAGATAACAGAAGTGAGACATAACAAAGAAATCAGAAGGACAAAAAGTATGTAATTTAAATAAATTTAATGAGGTTTAGTGATTTGGAAACAACAGCAAACAACAAACAGATACCTAAGGATTTAGCAGAATTTAGAAAAGGGCCAGAAAATAATAATGTAATGATCAAACCTGAAAATTAAAAAATAATAATATGATAGGTTTGTGTTTATTTAATAGAGGGTCAAAGGAAAATCCAAGAGTTTAAATAATTGGGTCAGTGTGGACCATGTCATTGGGCATGTATGTTATGGAACAGAACGTTCATTCTAACCAAAGGGGTAAAACCCACCTGGATCAACTCTGTGAGAGATGTATGGTAAACAGTTGCTCACACATATACAGGTTAATAAAATCTCCAGCCATGAATCCTATCATTATATTCCTCTTATTATATGGATTATTCAGGAATATTTGGTTATGATTTGAGAGTTCCTATCTTATTACAGATATCAAATGCAAAATTAAGATTTTTTTCTATTTTTATGTACGTTCCACATTGTTGATTTGTGCTTACTAATCTATTAATTAGACAGATGGGCCATTGGTTTCTGAACAATTACTATTGAGGAAAAAAACTCTCATTGTTTACAGAAATATTAGAAAATATTTTCTGTTTTTATTAATTGATATCAACCTGTCTCAGTCAGGTATTCCAAGTTCAAAGTTCGCTAACTTCTCTGTTTTCTTACAGATTTTTGACTTCTCTGTCCTTTGTGGATGATAATATTTAGATTTCAGAATGCACAAGGGGGTATTGTAATTCTCTGCAGGCAGTGAATCTCTGGCCATTGATCTGTGTGTCATTTCACCAGACTCTCAGGCACAGCAATGTTATAGTCTGGCAGCAGATAATGAAGACCTGAAACAACCTCCCATTCTGATGAATAAAATAAAGTAAATATTTTAAATCTGTTTATTTTCTATTGGAGGTAGCCTGTAGTTGAACATATATATTACCTTTTGAAAATCAACAAAAATATTTAGTTGATTCCAGTAGCACTCGGAGTTGTGAATTCATATATAGAATATTGAATTAATGGAAAAAAACCAGAGCATCCGAGTATAAACAGTGAAAAATGGTGCAAAATGAAGAAAGCAGGGGCGTGGGTGCATAAAACAGACAGTTGAGAAATTTTTCAAGCATGATTCTTTGTCTTCTTGAACTCTGATTTAAAGGTTGCTAAGCAACAGTGGCAGTAACAGCTGGGACACCCTTGATCTTGTTGTGTAAACTATTAAAAATAGGTGATGGAAAGTGGCACCATGGAAACAATGACTCTACTGAAGCAGGTGTCTGTAATGCAGCTTTTCAATCTAATGTTAGAGGTGTAAATTACAAAAAGACAAAAATAAAATAACTGTGTCTTTCATTTTCCTAATCTTTGACTTTGGTAAGGGATATTTCTTCTCCTTTGCATTTTCTTGCAATTCCCCAAGCATGTTGGCTCAAGAAATTGTTGATAATTTTAACTAATTACTAACATTGGATTTTGATTTCTAAATTTCAAAAGTGATTTCTTTTTTATAATTTCAAACTCAATCGAAATTCTATATATCCAGTTAAATATAAAGTGCTATATAATGGCCATTGTGCATGAATCTTTTCAGGTTTCTAATTAACTAATATTAATTTTCAGAGGCTGATCATGTTATTATTTATTTTAGATTAACAGGAATCACCCTTGAAGCCCTCCCTGAATCTTGTTGTATAAATGTTTTCAATAATAACAACACAAATATATACACCTAGTCTATATATTTCAAGGACTCATTCTATTATATTTATAAAATCAACAGTAAATAATTCAGCTCTTATTTTCAGATAGTTTATTAGATGCCAGCACTTAATGACCTATAGAACCAGTGTAAACCTCAGTACTTACAGAGGTAGAAAGGACACATTTCCAACAATGTCACCTAAATCAAGCTTTTCCTGCCAGTCAAGTGAATTTGTTTTTTTAGACATTCAATTGAAGGACCATTAAAATAAGAATATTCAGATATTTTGTGTTTAGAGCATTTAAATAAAATGTGTAATAACTAGAAGAGCCTGTAAGACCATTTCTACTTTCATTTTACACATGAGAAACTGAAAAACCACAAAAATGTTAGCTAAGGCAGAGACTACAGTTCCTAAAGTAACATATTAATCTGTCTCCTATTCCAGAGCTCTTTCCACTGCGGGATGATGTTAAATTTAGCCTATTCTAATAAAGATTTTAGAACTTTGTGAAGATTTGATTATTATCGAATGATAATTGATAAGTTTCATGGGCATTTCTGCTCATTTTAGTTTTCTAAACTCATGCATTAAACTTCGTTTTCATAAAACACATAAAACAATTATAAGACATATAAATTTAAGATATTAAGAATATCATGTTCTTGTTCGAACACAAGATAGTCCGTTGACACTAACTGGCAGTGAAACATATATCAGTGAGTCATGCTGAGCGCCTTGTCTTCTGAATTCCAAGTTTGGGAACAGGCAGATATGGCTGAAAGCCTGGATTCTGCAGAGCAATGACAAAAATAATTGTTCTGTATTAGATAGTCATTTGGAGCCAGGCTGTGAGTTTGGAATTAAGGAATATGTTGAGGCTCTTCTCACAAGAAAGAAGGCAGAAACCGTTGCCGGTGACTATGGCTTTCATTATCCACATAGTAAGTCTACTTAAAAAAAAAAAAAAAAAAAAAAACTTCTAGAAATAATAAGTTAAACAAAGTTAAAAGATGAAATATTCAATATTGTTTCCATATAACACAATTTTAAATTTAAAAAATTGAAACAGAAGTCGTATACTTCTCAATATAATGCACAACGTTTATGGAAATGAATATACCAAAATGTTTTCAACCCTATATTAAGAAAATGATTAAACATTACTGAAGATTATTAAAGAAGTCATAAATACATGGATAAAAATTATGATTTTTATATAAAGTAGACAATATTATAAAGACAGCAATTTTCCCACCAAATTAGCTATAAGTTAAATGGAATTTAAGTCAACCTCTCAATAGGTTTTCTTATGAAACTTGACAAGCTGATGTTACTACATCATGTGTAAGAGTAAATGATCACTAACTGCCAAGATAATTTTGGGAAAGGTTGTTGATATGGTTTGGCTGTGTCCCCACCCAAATCTCATTTTGAATTGTAACTCCCACAATTCCCATGTGTCATGGAAGGAACCTGGTGGGAAGTGATTGAATTATGGGGGTGGCTCTTTCCTGTGCTGTTCTCATGATGATCATGAATGAGTCTCACAAGATCTGATGGTTTTAAAAACGGGAATTTCCCTGCATAAGCTCTCTCTTGCCACTGCCATGTAAGAAGTGCTTTTCACCTTCCACCATGATTGTGAGGCCTCCCTAGCCATGTGGAACCATAAGTCCATTAAACCTCTTATGTAAATTCCCCAGTCTTGGGTATGTCTTTATCACCAGTGTGAAAACAGACTAATACAGGTGTGGTGTTTGTAATAGCCTTACCCTACCCAGGTTCAAGGGAATTCTGTTTGGGCTCTTTATAAGAAGTGCATTATCAGAAAAGATATTTGCTTGAATACATTTCTCAAATTAATGAATTTGAAAAATATTCACTTACCCTGTAATTATATTTTAAAACTCTCCATTGAAGTTGTCAGGGGAGGCAAATTTAACTATTAAGATGCCAGACTTGCTTGGCAGAAATTAAGATAGTTACCTATTTTACTGTTGTTTATTCCTATAATATTGTAAGTGTAATTTTTCATAGCCTTTTGTATCCCAGGATTAATTTTATGTTTTTCATTATTTTGAAGAAAAATAGGAATATAATAACAGTACCTCCCTTCTGAATTGTTTTGGAGAATGTTTGAGTATTACCTTGCCATAATTGATGAGGTACTTCAGAGGAGACACTTTTGTCCTGTGTCACTATTTTCAAATTTAACAATCCTACATGTTTAGTTAATGTTAAAGGGTATTGTCAAACGCTGCTCCTGTACTTCTGACTTAGGCAAAATCCCTATTGCTTAAGTCACCTAAGGACATCAGACTCAAATTCTTGCTGATTAATCCTCCATAAATCCATCATCTATTTAATATTTTAAAGTATATTAATAGGGTTTTATTGCTGAACTAATTATTTAATTCATGCAAGCTAAAGTTCTTCCTCTTTTAAAAGAGCAACCTCAATAGGACCATGTTTCAATATGCAAACATAATACTGAAGTAGCAAGTAAAGGAAAGCAATTGTGTCCTTCCATATTGCAATCCATTAAAAAATATCAGTAGCTCCTATAATTGTCCACATGTCAAATTTGAGCTGTTTCTTAGGTTATAAATATTGCCAAACTCCCAAACTGGGGAGTAATTTGAGAGCCAGACTGGCTTGCTTTAAATCCTAGATCCACCTCTTGTTAGCTATGCGAAGTTGGGCAAATTTTTATTATTCGATTTTCTCATCAGTAACAGAGATTATAATAATAGCAACTACTTCATATGGTTCTTATGTAGGTGAAATGAGTTAGTATATGTGAGCCTTATGGAAGAGTATGTGACACAAGTCAACACCATATGGGTCAGCTATGATCTTGCTAGCTGATGTTGTGCTAATGTTCTTCCTCTAGCTCCAGGTGTTCCCTTCAAAAGCACTTGAGATTTTTTAGGATAAACATATGAGGCCTGATAAAAAACAATCATACCTCCCTGTGATTCAGACTCTAAACATTTACTTTATTGAAAGGGGGCTAATCAAGATAGAAAATATATGAAAATATATGAATTGTTTCTAATCATGCCAAAGAAACAATTTTAAATTTAGCTTTTTACTTTTTAAATTTGCCTAAAAATCAATTGTTAATTTATATAGATTATTTTTTGCTAAAAAATTTGTAAACTCAGGTCAGCAGGAAATATATACCCATGTGTAAGTCTACAAATATGTATGCACCACTCCTCTGATATTTACACCATGACAATTGGTAAATACAAAAAATATTTTATGTATATATGTGTAAAGATGATACAGCAAGAAAAATCCATATTTGTGTGTCATTTTCAAAACAAATTTTATCTGGAATAATTATAGATTTAGTGAAAACTTGCAAAGATAGTTTTCATATTCCATTCACCCAGTTTCCCTAATGTTAACTTTAAAAAAATAACAATGATATATTTGTTGAATTTAAAAGTAACATTCTGAGGTAGGAAGCGGGACTTGATGCTAGAGCCAGTTTCATGCGCTTCCATGTGAAGAGACCACCAAACAGGCTTTGTGTGAGCAATAAAGCTTTTAATCACCTGGGTGCAGGCAGGCTGAGTCCGAAAAGATAGTCAGCCAAGGGAGATAGGGGTGGGGCCGTTTTATAGGCTTTGGGTAGGCAAAGGAAAAAGGGTGGTTGTTCTCCGGTGGGCAGGAGTGGGGATCACAAGGTACTCAGTGGGGGAGCCTTTGAGCCAGGAGAAGGAATTTCACAAGACAATGTCATCAATTAAGGCAGGAACAGGCCATTTTCACTTCTTTTGTGGTGGAATGTCATCAGTTAAGGCAGGAACCGGCCATCTGAATGTGTATGTGCAGGTCACAGGGGATATAATGGCTTAGCTTGGGCTCAGAGGCCTGACATTCCTGTCTTCTTATATTAATAAGAAAAATAAAACGAAATAGTTGTAAAGCGCTGGGACAGCGAAAATTTTGGGGGATGGTATGGAGAGATAATGGGCGATGTTTCTCAGGGCTGCTTCAAGCGGATTAGGGGCGGCGTGGGAACCTAGAGTGGGAGAGATTAAGCTGAAGGGAGATCTTGTGGTAAGGGGTGATATTGTGGGGATGTTAGAAGAAACGTTTGACATATAGAATGATTGGTGATGGCCTGGATACGGTTTTGAATGAATTGAGAAACTAAACGGAAGATACAAGGTCCGGATAATAGAAGGAGAAAAATGGGTATTAAAGGACTAAGAATTGGGAGGACCCAGGACATCCAATTAGAGAGTGCCCAAGGGGATTCAGCGTAATTACTTGCTTGGTTGGCAAGTTTTTGGGCTCTATCCTTGAGTTTTTTTATGTTGTCATACACCAGGCCAGATTGATTTAGGTAAAAACAACAACACTCTTCATTTAAGAATATACAGAGTCCTCCTTTTTCAGCAGTGAGTAAGTCAAGGCCTCGGTGGTTTTGGAGGACAACTGCAGCTAAAGAGTCAACTTGGGCCTGGAGGACTGATAAAGTTTGTGATATGTCTGTGATGCTAGCAGAGAAGTCATTAGTCAGGCTACGGAAGGTCGTGACAGAGGTTGAAATGCCTGCTATTCCAGTACCGAGAGCAATAGTGGAGGCAGAAAGTCCTAAACCCACCAGCAAGGGAATTAGTGGAATAACTGTTTTTTGTCATGTCGGTGTCATGAGGGGAACAGGGAGCTCTTCGGTCCCATTTGCAAATTGAATTTTGGGGGTAAGGAAAACTAGTGTGCATGTGCCTGTCCAATTAGCAGGTAGACACATGTAGGTAGAGGATCCACAGAGGAAGAAGAGACCTTGTGTGAGGCAAAACTGGAGATGTAAAGTAAAAAGGTGAGAAGGAGTGCTGAAAGGGGTGTCTTGTATCCAGACTCCTAGGGATCCAGCTAGGGCGGCAGCTGTCAGAGGTTGTAATGGGGACTGATGGGGTAACTGCGTAGAGGAGGAGGTTCGATTTTCATGGTGTATGAGAAAACATTGAGTATCTATGAGCAACCTTTCACTGTTATTTCGGGGCTGGGTATAAGTAAACAAGAAGAGGGCCTGGGAGGAGAGTCTGACTCGCAAGGGGAAGGTAGCCAAGGATGGAGTGAAATACAGGGTAAGTGTCTTCCTGAACAATAATTACTGCTAATGTTTTTGCGTTTGTCAGTATCGATAGAGGGCTTGTCCGTAATATGGAGCTGGAAGGCTCCCATTGTTTCAGTGATGTGTGTAGTTGGGCTTTGGAGATGAAGAGTAAAGGAACATCGAGAAGGTGAAATATTACCTAGGGGAATTCCAGTGGGTCTTTGCCGAGAGATAGATAAAGGACCGGTCACAGGAATAGTAGTTTGTGTTGTGAGAGGTCCAAATATGGGGGGAGTAGAGTTAATATAAAGGTTTTTTAAATAAGTGTGGAGGAGGGTGGCAGCTTGCTGATGTGAGATGTCTGGGGAGGTCTTGCTGGACCTGTCTAGAAAGTAAATGAGTTCTTCAGGAGGGTAAAGGTGAGGGCTGTTAAAGGAAGTTCAGAGGTGTAAGGAGACAGGAGATGTTGCCGAGTCTGTCTGTAAAGTAGGGACAGCTGTGTAGGCACTGGAAGAAAGGGAAATGCAAAGCCAGCAGTTGTTCGCTAAGGAGGGATTAGAAGCGTCTAGGAGAGAATGGGTAAGGTTGATAGTGTGGTGGAGATAGCTGGGGAGAGGTAAAGGGTGGCATAAGAATGGGAATGAGAATAAGAGTGAGTATAAAAGTGAAGAATAGAACTTCATCAGGGTGGAAGTATTGGAGGGTGCCCTGCCTGCAAAGATCATCTACCCACTCTAAGAGGGAATTAAGAGTAGTGGTTTGGGGATAGCACCAAGAGATATCAGCTGTGATGGCTTGAAGAAACAGTGTAAACCGGCAGTGTAAACAAGAGTAGGGCATTTATAAGTAGTTAAGAATGGAGAATAGGAGTATGACTAGACAGAAAATAGTAGGGATGACAAGTTTTTTGGGGCTCAGCCTAAGTGGTGGGGGTGACGTCATAAAGCCCCGTTGCAAAAAGTAGGGTAAGGACGAATAGACCTAACAGAATGAAGGGATGTATTAGGCTCATAAGGGTTATTACTGTTCTTCAGAAATATGAGTGAGTTTAAGGGAAGTAGGGGAGAGTACTTGCGACTTCCAGGAGGAAGAGGAGGGATTAGGCTGGCTGTCTGATGGACAGAGCTTTATTCTGGAATGGTGAATCCAGTGGGGAGGATCCTGCAGGCAGACAGCAGTTGGGGTACTATAGATGACTAAGTAGGGTCCGGTCCATTGAGGTTGTAGAGTTTGAGGGGTCAATTCTTAACAAGAACTGATCGTCCAGCTAGGGTGTCTTCATATGGCTGGGGATCTGGAGTAGGCAATAGAAGATTAGCAGCCTGGCGAATTTCCTGTCTAGCCTGTTGGAAGACTGTAAGATAGTCGCCTAGAGGGCTGGAGTCTGGGATGAGGTTGGGGCCAAGCAAGAAAGTGTGTCCATATAAAAGTTCAAATGGACTGTACCCTGTAGCATCTCGAGGACAGGCTCTAATTCTGAGAAGCGCAAGAGGTAAAAGTACTATCCAATCCTTTTTAAGTTGGAGGCTGAGCTTGGTGAGATGTGTCTTTAAAAGACCATTAGTCCCTTCTACCTTTCCTGAAGATTGAGGATGGTAAGGGATATGAAGGTTCCATTGAATACCTACAGCCTGAGAAACTGCTTCGGTGATTTGACTAGTAAAGGCTGGTCCATTATCAGACCGTATAGAGGTGGGAAGGCCAAACTGAGGAATTATGTCTGACAGAATGGAAGAAATGACTGTGGTGGCCTTCTCAGACCCTGTGGGAAAGGCCTCTACCCATCTAGTGAAAGTGTCTACTTAGACTAAGAGGTATTTGAGTTTTTGTGACTCGGGGCATGTTGAGTAAAGCTAATTTGCCAGTCCTGGGCGGGGGCAAATCCTTGAGCTTGATGTGTAGGGAAGGGAGGCGGCCTGAATAATCCTTGAGGAGTAGTAGAATAGCAGATGGAACACTGAGAAGTTATTTCCTTGAGGATAGATTTCTATGATGGAAAGGAAATGAGAGGTTTTAAGAGGCGGGCTAGTGGCTTGTACTACAGCATAGCCTGCCTTTGCTGGTGTGTGGTAATTAGGCCTGGTGGAACCGTCATCAATAAACAAAGTGTGATCAGGGTGAGAAACAGGGAAGAAGGAAATGTGGGGAAATGGGGTGAACATCAGGTGGATCAGAGAGATGCAGTCATGAGGGTCAGGTGTGGTATCAGGAATAATGTGGGAGGCCGGATTGAAGTCTGGGCCAGGAAAAATGGTAATTGCAGGAGACTCAACAAAGCATGAGTGCAGCTGAAGGAGCCAGGGAGCAGAAAGTATATGTGTCAGGTGTGAGGAAGAAAATAGATTTTGGAAGTTATGAGAGCTGTAGAGAGTGAGTTGAGCATAGTATGTGATTTTAAGGGCCTCTAAAAGTATTAGGGCAGCAGCAGCCACTGCACGGAGACATAATGGCCAGCTTAAAACAGTAAGGTCAAGTTGTTTGGACAAAAAGGCTACAGGACGCGATCCTGGTCCTTGTGTAAGAATTCCGACTGCACAGTCCTGCACTTCGGCTGTGTGTAATGAAAAGGGTTGGGATGAGTCAGGGAGAGCTAGAGTGGGGGCAGTCTCTAAAGTTGTCTTCAAGGAACGGAAAGAGGAGTGGGGAAAGGATTTAGGATCTATGGGGTCAAATAGGTTTCCTTTTGTGAGCTTATATAATGGTTTTTTTAGGATGGCAAAACTAGGTATCCAAAGGCGAAAGTATCTAACCATGCCGAGGAAGGAAAGGAGCTGTTGTTTTGTAGAAGGGGTTGGGGTTTGAGAGATTAGTTGAACACGATCGGCAGGGTGAGCACGTGTGTTTTTATGAGAATTATGCTGAGATAGGTAACAGATGAGGAAGAAATTTGGGCTTGACTGAAGTAATGGGGGTTTTCTATGAAGATTTGTGGCAGTACAGCCTAGGTAATTTGCTGAGCTTGATGGGTGTCAGGGTCAGTCCAAGTGAAAGTGAAGAGAGGCTGGGATGACGGGTGCAAAGGAATAGTAAAGAAAGCATGTTTGAGATCCAGAACAGAATAATGGATTGTGGAGGGAGGTATTGAGGATAGGAGAGTATATGGGTTTGGCACCATGGGGTGGATAGACAAAACAATTTAGTTGATAAGGCATAGATCCTGAACTAACTTGTAAGGCTTGTCTGGTTTTAGGACAGGTAAAATGGGGGAATTGTAAGGAGAGTTTATAGGCTTTAAAAGGCCATGCTCTAGCAGGTGAGTGATAACAGGTTTTAATCCTTTCAAAGCATGTAGTGGGATGGGATATTGGCATTGAGTGGGGTAAGGATGATTAGGTTTTAATGAGATGGTAAGGGGTGCATGATCGGTCACCAAGGAGGGAGTAGAGGTATCTTATTCTTGTGGGTTAAGGTGGGGGAATACAAGAGGAGGATGCAAAGGAGGCTTTGGATTGGGAAGAAGGGCTGTAATGAGATGCAGCTGTAATCCAGGAATAGCCAGGGAAGCAGATAATTTAGTTAAAGTGTCTCAGCCTAATAATCATACTGGGCAGGTGGGGATAACTAAAAGGAGGGCTTAAAAGAGTATTGCCTAAGTTGGCACCAGAGTTGGGGAGTTTTAAGAGGTTTAGAAGCCTGGCTGTCAATACCCACAACAGTTATGGAGGCAAGGGAAACAGGCCCTTGAAAAGAAGGTAATATGGAGTGGGAAGCCTCAGTATTGATTAAGAAGGGGATGGACTTACCCTCCACTGTGAGAGTTACCTAAAGCTTGGCGTCCGTGATAGTCTATGGGCTTCCGAGGCAATCGGGCAGCGTCAGTCTTCAGCCGCTAAGCCGAGAAGATCTGGGAAGGAGTCAGAGAGCCTTGGGCCAGAGTTCCAGTGGCTGCCAGGTGAGTTGAACAGTCTGATTTCCAGTGGGGTCCTGCACAGATGGGACACGGCTTAGGAGGAATCCCGGGCTGCAGGCATTCCTTGGCCTGGTGGCCAGATTTCTGGCACTTGTAGCAAGCTCCTGGGGAAGGTGGTTCTGGAGGAACGCCTGGCCACTGTGGTTTAGGCGTTTGGAAGTTCTTGTGTGCTGGAGATGTGGCTGGGGTTTGTCTCACAGTGGAGGAAAGGAATTGAAACTCAGAAATATATTGCTACTTGGCTGCCTCTATTATTGTACACCTTGAAGGCGAGGTTAATTAAGTCCTGTTGTGGGGTTTGAGGGCCGGAATTTAATTTTTGGATTTTTACTTAATGTCGGGAGCAGATTGGGTAATAAAATGTATATTGAGAATAAGATGGCCTTTTGATATTTTAGGGTCTAGGGCTGTAAAGCGTCTCAGGGTTGCTGCGAAACGAGCCATGAACCGGGCTGGATTTTTATATTTGATGAAAAAGAGCCTAAACGCTATCTGATTTGGGATAAAGAAAAAGGAGCATTAGCCTTGACTATGCCTTTAGCTCCAGCCACCTTTTTAAGAGTAAATTGCTGGGCAGGTGGTGGAGGGCTACTCATGGAACTTAACTGTAAACTGGACCAGGTGTGAGGAGGGGAGGTGATAAAGGATTATAGGGTGGAGGAGTGGAGGCTGAGGAAGAATTGGGACCTAGCTCGGCCTGGGGAGGAGGGGAGAGGTCAGATGGGTCTGTAGAAAAGGAAGATTAGAAAGACTCAGTGATGCTTGGGGTTGAGACGGAGGGGACAGGCAGGAGGGAAAGAAGGAAGATTCGGGATGAGTTGCATTGGGCACAGAGACTAGGGAGAGACTGATGTGTAGAAGAGTGCCTGGACATCAGGCACCTCAGACCATTTGCCTATTTTAGTCCAAGACAAGAATTATTTAGATCTTGCGGGATGGAAAAATTGAAAGTGCCTTTTTCTGGCTATTTGGAACCACTGTCGAGCTTGTACTGGGGTCAAGCGGCATTGTAGGAGAAAATAAGGCATTTACGTTTTAGGTTCGGTGTGAGTTGAAGAGGTTTTAAGTTCTTGAGAGCACAGGCTAAGGGAGACGGAGGAATGGAGGGTGGAAGGTTGTCCATAGTGAAAGAGGCAAGCCTAGAGAAAAGAGAGAGTAGAGACATGGAAGGGGTTCAGGGGTTCTTACCTTCCAGAAAATTGAGAAAGGGGTCGGGGCATGGAAATAAGGGATTGGGGCACAGAGATAAGAGGTCAGGGCACAGAAATAAGGGATTGGGGCACAGAGATAAGAGGTCGGGGCATGGAAATAAGGGATGAGGCACAGAGATAAGAGGTCAGGGTGCGGAAATAAGGGATTGGGTGTTCTTTTCTCCTGGAAAAGCAGGACTTGCCACTAAGGGTGAAGGAGAAGGGGTTTGAGGGGTTCTTGCCCCTCACCCAGAAAAGCAGAGAAGGGGTGGAGACATGGAGAGAAGGGATTGGGGTACTTGCACCTCCCCTAGAAAAGTGGAACTTGCTGCTAAGGGTGAAGGACAAAGGCAGGCATCCCCGTGTGGTCTGACACCTCTGAAACCTGGGTAAATAATCAGGCATCCCTGCAATGATTAAACACCAAGGGAAGGCTGCCTTCCCTAGTCCATGACCGGCGCTGGAGTTTTGGGTCCACAGGTAAAACGTGTCTCCTTTGTCTCTACCAGAAAATGAAAGGAATTGAAATTAAGAGAATTGGGAGATTGAAGTGTGGCACCAAGATTGAAAGGAGAAAGAGGTTGAGGGATAGTGACGAAGGTTGGAGAAGAGAGTAAAATGAGGCCACTTACCGGATTTGAAATTGGTGAGATGTTTCTTGGGCTGGTCGGTCTGAGGACCTGAGGTTGTAGGTGGACCTTTCTCACGGAGCAAAGAGCAGGAGGACAGGGGATTGATCTCCCAAGGGAGGTCCCCCGATCTGAGTCACGGCACCAAATTTCATGTGCATCCGTGTGAAGAGACCACCAAACAGGCTTTGTGTGAGCAATAAAGCTTTTAATCACCTGGGTGCAGGCAGGCTGAGTCCGAAAAGATAGTCAGCCAAGGGAGATAGGGGTGGGGCCGTTTTACAGGATTTGGGTAGGTAAAGGAAAAAGGCGGGTTGTTCTCTGGTGGGCAGGAGTGGGGGTCACAAGGTACTCAGTGGGGTAGCCTTTGAGCCAGGATGAGCCAGGAGAAGGAATTTCACAAGACAATGTCATCAGTTAAAGCAGGAACAGGCCATTTTCACTTCTTTTGTGGTGGAATGTCATCAGTTAAGGCAGGAACCGGCCATCTGGATGTGTATGTGCAGGTCACAGGGGATATAATGGCTTAGCTTGGGCTCAGAGGCCTGACAGCCAGGGCTTGGACACCAGACCAAATTGAGAACTAGCTAAAACAGGGCTGCAGTGGAAGAAGCTTTCCATCAGACATGTCCACCAGTGTGCCATGTCAGTTACATGGCAATACCTGGGAATTACCACCTCTTTCCTTGGCAATGACAAATGATCCAAGAGTTACTACCCCTTCCCTAGAAATTTCTGCATAAACCACCCTTTAATCTGGATGTTATTAAAAGTAGGTATAAATGTGACTGCAAAACAGCCCTGAGCTCCTACTCTCTGCCTATGGGGTAGCCCTGCTCTGCAGTAGCAATCATAGAGCTGTACCACTGCCTCTTCAGTAAAGTTGTTTACTTCTACCTGTGGCTTACCCTTGAATTCTTTCCTGGGCAAGGCCAAGAACCCCCTCCTGGGCTAAGCTCCACTTTAGGGCTTGCCAGCCCTGTATCAATTAGTACATTTCTATTAACTAAACAAAAGGCTTTATTTACATTTTACCAGTTTTTAAAAATTCTTTCTCTGGACCAAGATCTAATACAGGATATTACATTATATTTAGTCATTTCTCCTCAACCTCCTTTGGTCTTTGACAGTTGCTTACTTATTTATTGTTACTCATTGCTTTGAAATTTGAAAGAATTCTGGTCTGGTATTCTAAAAAATGTCCCAGTTATAAATGATTTTTATCTGAGCAGTGGTATCATCAGTGCTTTTTTTCTTTCTTGTCCCTTTTTATCGTTTTTCTTGAATCTTAATAATGAACCATAATTAGATCTATTACTTTTCCTATCACAATGTTGGCCAGACATCTTATACCACACATGACAACTTCTTAGCTCATCTTTGTGTCCTGAATGTTCCTGTGGCCTCCAGCTGCACACAGGGACAGATTCACAAAGCCTAAGTTTTTCTTTCTTTCTTAGGGCTCCTGTGCTTTTGTTCCCTGGATGCCTGCCAAGCTTGCTCACATGCACACTCTTACACACCTTTAAAGAACAAGGGATGGGATCTGATGGCTATAAAATCCCCACCTTCCATTTTTCAGACAGAAAATTCTCAGTTGCATTTATGTGATTCATTCTGTTCCATTGAATTCCATTGAATTCCACTGAATTCCATTCCATTGAATTCCATTCCATTCTATTCTCAAGTAGATTCTACACTGTCTTTAGAAGGATCAAGACCCAGTGGCTCAAAGCAGAAATCAGTGTTAAAAAATACTCTTAGGTAGGGCCAGTCAGGGTGACTCATGCCTGTAATCCCAGTACTTTGGGAAACTGACAAAGGAGGTTTGCTTGAAGCCAGCAGTTTGAGACCAGCCTGGGCAACATAACAAGACCTCATCTCTACCAAAAAAATGTATTTTTAAAAAATTTGCTGGGCATGGTGATGTGTGCATGTAGTCCCAGTTAATCAAGAGGCTGAGGTGGGAGGATCAATTACACCCAGGAATTCAAGACTGCAGTGAGTCATGATCCCACAGCTATACTCTAGCCTGGGTGACAGAGCAACACCCTGTCTCTAAGCAAACAAATAAGCAAACAACAACAACAACAACAACTCTTAGAGTGACTTTTCTTCCTTCTATACTTTACTCTTTTCAGTTCCCTGACTCCAGTTCCCTTGGTACAAGCATTTTAAGGTGAGGGGGTGGGGTGAAGTGGCAATCAAATCTCAGACAGAGTAAAACAAAATAATTTTTAAAATGTGTGTAAGTTCATCACATGTTATAAGTAATATCCTTGGCCAGTGCTCATGTTATTTAGATCACTTAGTCTAACATTTATCACATCTTATTTGTAGGCATAGGAGAAAAGATTGAAACAAGGGGAAAAAATCTGATGCCTTTTTAATTTACAGTGGTCTCTTGAACAACATAGGTTTGAATGGCATGAATGCATTCATATGCAGATTTCCTTCCCCCTCTGCCACCCCTGGGACAGCAAAACCAATCCTTCCTCTTCCTCTCCTCCTCAGCCAACTCAAAATGATGACAAAGATGAAGACTTTTGTAATGATCCACTTCCACTTAATAGTAAACATATTTTCTCTTTCATATGATTTTCTTAATAATATGTTCCTTTCTCTAGTTTATTTTATTGTAAGAATACTGTATCTAATACATATCACATAGAAAATATGTGTTAATTGACTGTTTATGTTATTGGTAAGGCTTCCAGTCAATAATAGGCTATTAGTAGTTAACTCTTTGGGTTAGTCAAAAGTTATACATGGACTTTTTGACTATTTGAGTGGTTGGTACCCCTTAAAGACCTACATAGTGAAAGTGAACATAATAGATTTGATCACTGATATTAATTAAGCACAATGAGGTCTTTCAAGCCAATAAAATTAGGTAAAGTAAAATGAAAAGGAAGAAATCTCCATAGATACTTTTATCTAAGTTTTGAGTTCTAAAATTAATTCACAAGGAGATAAAAACTAGAATAAGGAGATAAAAGTTGGTCATTGTTCTCTATTATATTTTATGTTTGTACCATGACACTGTTGGAGGATGTGGAATCATAACAAATTACTCTGTTAAAAACAAATATTCTTGTCTTTTGCAATTAAAAGAGCTTAGCAATGGCACAAACCAGCATGCATATTAGAATTGAGATAAGAATTAAGGTAAATAATAGTGAAGTATTTCTTATGCAAGAGAAAGTAACAAATGAAGGGCAGGATTTTCCTTATTATCACAGACTGTAACATCCAACACTCATTTCTTTACAGGAAAAATATTTCATACTCTGTACAAGGCACTGTGCTAAAAACTGGGCATGTATCAGTGAACAAAACCCACGTAGTCACTGGGACCATGAGACTCCAAGTGGTAGGAAAAGTGTATGCTAAAACACTTACATAAGCAATACTTTTGAGGACTTACATAAGCAATACTTTTGAAATGTGACAGATGAAGGAAAACATTAGGATACAATAAAACAGAACAATCTGAGTGGATATCAATTTAAATTAGGTAATTAGGAAAGACCTCCTTTAAGTAAAAAATTAAGCTGACCCATAAACCATGGTTGACTTTCTCAGTGAAAAGAAAGACAAAGACTTCTGAAAATAAATAAAGGAAAATTTAAGAAGCAAAGAAAAACTATAAAATATGTATGTTTCTGGTAAAGCATACTTACTAGAAATACTGGAAAATATTGACATGTTAAAAATTACTGACAGCCCAGGTGATACATTAATAATAAATTTGATCCAGTCAACAGAATGAGGTGATGAATTTGCAGTGAAAAAATAAAATAGAAAATACCAGAAGAATAACTATGTCTCTTTAAAACATCCAATTATTGTAGAAAAATGAGTTTACACAAAAAAAATAGGAGTTGTTTTGCTTAAGGGAAAAACAAAACTTTATAATAGGATTTACAATCTTAGCTTTCCTACCGTAGAAGCCCTACTACAGTAGAGTAGGTTATTAAATATTGGTAATATTATAAATATAATAATTATTCAGCAAAGTAAATGTAAAATGTAGAAATTAAAGATCCACAATTATTCTTTAGTGTATTTGATTAAGAAATTGAAGCACTGAAGCAAATATTACTTATACTATTATTTATATTAGGAATATTTACACATTATTATGGTACAGTCTCATTGGTACATTGGGCAAGAAATGTTTGATTTCCACCCAGACTAGAGTTATCCATTTGAGAATGGCTTCTGCATGTTCCATATTCAATTATAAACATAAATTGTATTTATACATGGCTTGGTCTACTTGTTAATTTTCTTTCTCCTCCTATAGAATGTAAGCTCCAAAATTATGCCTCTCTTAATTTTGTCCAGTATCTTCAATAGAATTTTCTAAGTATTCATTGAATTAATGAATGAAAACATTATTTTAAAATATTTAGCATTAACAATAGATTTTCATGAAACAGAAACACAATGTAAGTGTACATGTTATCTTCAAAGCAAAATCAATTTCAGAATAATGTGGGGAAAAGACTGTTTACCTTTAATTCCAGGAAAGGTAATTCAATTGCCATTATACAGTTAATAAACCTGAAATTCAAAGACAAATGACATGCTTTTGGTAATTTAGCTTTAAATGATATGATTGGGAGTGGGCACAAAGTATTCTGTCATAGATGAGGATTATTTTTAATAATCATTTATCTTCATTCTGTGAATTGAGCTTATGTAGTTTCCTATGCAGACTGTTAGATGAAAACTACTTATTTCCATAAACTAGATTCAAGGCTAGTTATACATTTATTTATTTTTCTTTTTCTTTTCCTTTCCTAATTCGTGAGGTTGCTGCATATTTGAGTTATTATAATTCTAATTATTCCTCTCTCCTAACCTCTCTTTACTGTTCCCTTGATGACCATTGCTTAGTCAACCTGATGAAGCTTGCCTAATAAACTCTTGACATTATAGTAAGGAATTCAGTGGCGGACAGTATATTAGAGGGGTTAATATTGTAGGCTCTGGCACCAGTGCATGGATCCCAGTCCTGTCTTTATCACTTAGCAGTTGTGAAAACTTTAGCAAGTTATTTAACTGTACTTCAGCTCTTCACAGGTAAAGCAAAGATAATGAAAGTATCATTTAATTCCTTGGGAAGACTTCCTTGATCTTTCTACAAGGTTAAGTTGACTATTCTATGATCTTGCAAAACATTACCTTTCTTTTGTAGCAGTAATAACACTTTAACACTTGTAATTAATTTCACATCTATTTGTAGAATGTTTAAGTTTTGGATAATCTTAATGCTATAATCTACATGACAGTATTACTTTTTGGGTTGATTATTGTTTTTTGTTTTTTTTTCTTCGCTCATCATTACATACTTGATAGCTGACACATAGTAGATGCTCAGTGTACAAATGCTGAATTAATGAATAAATTTTCATATTTAGTAGCATCCTATAATTGTAGCATCCCTCCTATTCCATGTTACTGGTGGTATGCAAAGTGTCAACTACTCCCTTTCCCCTTTCTGGCCTCATGCTATTTCCATTGTTTTGAAGTTACTGCATTGGAATTCAATTAAGAATAAAAGGATGAATTTTTTTAATATTTCAATATTACTCCAAATCATAATCGTGCAAAAATAATTCACGTTCCCTTTAGAATCCAGATGCAAATGACGTTTTATAAAAGCGCGTCAATTAAGGTAATAAAAACTATTCTCGCCTTCTTCATTATAACAACAATGTACCTTGGTACTATTAAATCTATTTCTCAAAATTAATTTTTAGGAAGTTAAGACAAGGTGTTCTCAGGGCTGTATTAATTTAACCGTAGACCAAAGCTTAATTTCAGACTTGAACACAAGCAAATATACATTTTCTTTCTTTTGTGTATTCATGCTGAATTAAATCCTTAGGTCAAGTAATCAGCCAATTCTTAACAAACTTTTCAAAATAATTCTATGTTCCCCAGTAGGTAGATGTCCTTATGGGCAAGCTCTATTTTGAAAATCTAAACATAAAAAACAGTGTAGCTTATGATTAGGCAGGTGTTAATTGCTTTTTCTAATTGAACAGCAGTAAATACACACTTCCTTTTAACTGAAGAAATATATGCTCTATATTTAAACTTAACTGCCCATATAATCTTAGAGAGAGTTGAAATTTAAAAGTTTTATGATTTCCTTAAAGTTTTTAAACTAAATATTAAAGACCATCAAAGGAATATATATATATATTTTTTCTCACATTTCGTATATATATACGTGTGTATCTATCTATACATATATATATTTTTTTCAACAGAGAATTCCTGTATCTAAAATTTTAGTAAGTTTTAGAATAGGAAAGAGAAAATGTCTGCAGATATTTACAGTTCTCATAAATAAAATTATCTTTTGGATATACTTAATTTTAAAATAAATTCTCAAAGTCCTCCAATACAGTAAATCATCAATCAAAGAGGTGATTGCCACTTTTTGTTTGGATCTAGAATGCTGAAATAGAGGCTCAGTAACTCTATCCTGACTAAGAGACTGCAAAGAAAATTTGGTATTAGAGGGACTTCACTTTGTAAAACTTTAAAATATCTTTTTTTTTTCCTTAAAATTTTCAAAGAAATGCAGTTTTACTCAAAGTTCTTTTAAACTCTTAAGGGACATGTAGTTCTCATTTTACATAGCTTATTACAGATTATACTAAATAATGTAATGTTTGTTATACATTTTATGTAGCCAATATGACTATTAATAATAAAAAAGCAAGAGTCAATGATAAAAAAATCTAAAAACTAAAAAAGAAAACAAAATTACAGTAATCCAGTAGAAATTAAAATTACCTGTGGTATTTTCAATGACCTGGGTAACAGTATTTTTCCTCTAACCTTCACACCTTCATTAGAGGGAATACAAAGAGGAGCCACAGATCTCTCCCTGCTCCTAGATCCTTCCTCTGGTCTCTAGGCCGACAGTGTGGGACTGCAAGGCGGACAGTCAGTGCACTCAGGGCTCCTGTTAACATCACTCCAATACTTCACACATCCATTGGTTTTTGTCTCCCAGACTGATAAAAAAGAAAATTACCTTTCATTTAAAAAGCAGCCCACATATATAAAAGCCACATTCATATTCACACATAACTGTGAAAGAACCATGAGCCTTATCTGGAGCTAGGCACTGTATGGAGTCTTTCTAACTCTAAACATTTCCTCTCCTGAATCACGTGGATCAGCCTCCAGGGAAAGGCTTCTTCATATTTCTTGTCCTCTGTCTTAGAAACAAATTGCAACTCCATCTAAATGCTGTAGAGCTTTGTGGATGGTGCCTCTGGGAATCTTGAATGTAGATGCTGTCATGAAATGCAGAGAGAATTTGAACAGCAGAAATGCTTAAGGAAGGAAAAAGACAGATTAATTAACTTTCAGATCTTCCATTCAGCAAGAATGCAATAAATTCTTACATATGGAAGTGTTATTTCCAAGTAGTGCTCAACATCTATTTTCCTATATTTATTTTTGTTTCAATTATGATTATAGAGGTAGTCACAAATTAGTAAAACATTCGCAATAGAGTAAATGATTTCTAATTACGTGGAGGTATGAATTCCTCACAATATTAAGTATTTAATACTATATATAAGATTTCTACATGTGAAATACATATAGAAAAAACATCTTTAAGGCATAATTCTGACTCTTCCCATAGGTAACTGGATGATTATTGCCTGCTAGAAATGAATTTTGCCAAATATATTCAATTCAGTTGAATTAATTTTTAAATTAAAAAATCTGCACTTCTCAAATAATTTTGATTTGTTATTTTGATTTCTTATTTTTGTCCTCAATTGTAATAATTTCAAATATTTTAGAAAAAAGTTTTTGAAGGCATGAAGTTTATTTTTAAAGCTTTACATTGTCAGTTTACACTTTTATGAAAGTATATTGTTTCAGTTATTTTTGTTAATAGGTACACAACTTGTGTGAAAATATTAGAATAGTGGAAGTAATGATTTTGCTAAAATGAGAAAAATAAATTGAATTAAATATGTAATAATGCAAGAGTGATGAGTATTTTCATTTTATCACTCATGCAAATATTTCTGTCCCATCAACAGAGCATATACATACAGAAGGATAATTAAGTTCAATCATCTTTGATCTTTTACTAATTTTTGGTCACTTTAAAATACTTTACACATTTTATCAAAATAAAAATACATTTATGAAGTAGAAGGATAGAACTCAATTTATTTAGTGATTTGTGAGCTTTATTTAAACACTGAAAATATTTAGATTATGAGATGAAGACTTCCAACTGCACTCTTTTTCTATTAACATAAAATTATGATGGAACTAATTTTACCTTAGGGGTTAGACTGAATTCTGGCTAACCCCAGAGAACACACCTTCCTTTGTAGTACATTCAGACTATTTCTCTCCCACACCTCAAGTACTTCAAGAAGTTAGACCTTTATTCTCTTCTACATGACTCTCCAAAAACAAACAATAAAAAAAAACACCTCATGATATTCAGCTACATTATTTACTACTCTTTCTTTTGGAATTCTATATGCCACCTAGTATACTCTCACTTCTCAAGGATTTTAGAAATTGGTTCATTTTTCTCCATCACAATTTGTCACAACTCTTAGGAATTTAATATTGATATAAAAGATCTTACTCATTCTTTTACTTTCCCAACTCAGATGATCTTGTTTTTCACCCCATCTCAATCACTATATCAATAATCATATCCTAGATCTGAACTCCTTCCACAGTCTTACATTTAGCGCCAGATACAACATTCTAAAATTTCAATTGATTTAATCTAGTTATTCAACTGTAATATTTTTCCTACCCTATTACTTCTTAATAAGATTATATTTTTATCCTCATACACTCATAGTCTTACTTCTTGCTTATATTCCATTGTTTAATACTATATTTTAGCAAAAAAACTCCCAGCACAATATCTATATAATCAATTGTTTACACCTTCTTCTCTTTGTCATATATGCCCCGTACACTCAATCCTATTTAAATAAAACCCTGCACACATCATACCAGTAGCCAAGGAGTTGAATGTAGCAGAGAAAATAAGAAATCCGTGTTGATTTGCTTCACATTAAATCATGACCACAATCATTAAGCAAATTTTCAGTTCTGACAAATAATTACATTTGGGTTCCCTTGTTAACTCACTAGCTACACCCATTCATGCCTCTGTCATGCCTTCTTTTTCCTTCCAGCTCCATGTCTCTTCTTATGAGCATCAACCGATGATCTTTATTCTTATTACACTGTGTGGAACATTCAGGATAGAATTTGTACATTCTTCTCCCACCCACTTATGCACTTACCATAACAACAAATATTCATCTACACCCAAATGCACTGCTTTCCCTTCTGGGTTTTTTTTTTTTTTTTAATTTAAGTGAATTAAGGTAAACTCCTCCACTTGGACACAAAATTCTATCCTTTCCTGCTTACTCACTTATGAAATTATTCCTTCTCTCCTACAAACATATTTTGCTCTGTACTGAATCATTTCTATCACCATGGAAACCAAGTATAATATCTCTCATCTTAAAATAAAACATTTCCTTGTGTTCACATATCCCTCCAATGACCTCTCCATTCTTCTATTTCACATTAGAGCAAAACTCTTTGAAACTATTGTCCATATTTTCTGCATCCACTTCTGATTTTTACAGTGTCTCTTGAATCTAATTTATTAAGACATTTATTCTGCCACTGCACTGACATTGCTATTCTCCAATCATAGGCCACATCTTAGTGGTCCTACCAGCAACATTGGCCAAAGTTGATTCCTCACTACTCTTTGAAGTCCATCCTTCACTTAGCCTTCACAACAAAACTTATGGGAAATCATTTAATAGATCCATTTAAATTAGAAAAATTATCCATTTCATTATAATTGTCTGTTAATCGCTATAAGATTTGATTGATCACTCTGATAGTTTGCTGTCTTCACATCTCTTTCTATCCTTCCCCAGTGGTTTACAGTGTCCTATAGGACCTGGCCTCCTTGCTGTTCCTGGAATACATCTACAAGTTGGCTACAATTTCAGTCATTTCACTTGCTGTTCACTCTACATGGAAAACATCTCTAGCAGAAATCGTTGCAGCCCACACCATCACTTCCTTCAATTCCTGTTAAACTGTTTTCTTATCAGAAAGGCCTTCCCTGATAAGCCTATCAAAAAGAGCATTCCTGACAGATTACTCTGTCTACATACCTTGCTATATTTTTATTTTCATCCTAGAATGGAATCCCTGTCGTATTTTTTAAACTGTTTTGTTTGTTTTTGTGTTTACTACTCATATCTTTCTACAAGAATTTATGTGCTAGGATATCGACATATTTTGGAAAAACTGCATCAATTAATATATGTTTAAAATTTTACACTTAGACAATTCAAAAACAATTAAGGCAATATTTTACAAAATATATAATTGAAAAATAGTCAGCCAGAATGTTGACGAATACTAGGATGGCACACAGAGGATAACAAATGAATCAAACTCTTCTACAGGTGTTTGATATAACCACACTGACAGAGATGGGGAAAAAAGAAACCAGCAAAGAATATAAGGAGCTTATCTAATGTAACTTTGGAAAAATGTTTAGACTGGAAACTGTAAGGCTAAAGTTCTGAAAGGATATGTAAATAAACACTGTACTTGGTACCTTAGAGCTAGAGGTTAACAATTATAAAACCATTGCACTTGTATATTATGGTGGAATAAATAAGTAAACAGTGTTGTTGGGAGCCAGGTTTCTTACTGTCAGAAGGGAAAGTTACAAATAAGCAAGAAAGGAGGTCTAGAGTGGATCCCAATGTACTGTATTAGAGTTGGAGAACTCTAATGTATTTATATTTAGCTTAATAAGCATTCATAGATGGATAGATACTAAAAGTTATGAATATGTGTGTATACATTGATTAATATACATATATATTCACTGATGACTGAGAAGGCTAGAAGCAATGGCACTCCTGTGCCTAGATGATGGGATCTAAAATATATTCTCCAACAAAAGAACTAAGAGATCCTTGGAAAAAATGGCAAATTTTAGGGCTAAAACAGGAAAAACATAAGAGAATCCTTGAGCATTTCATAGTACCAGAAAGGAAGGAAGAATTCAAACAACAATAATACCAATAGCAGTGTGGTGGGAGAAAAGGGACAGAGGAGGCAACATAAAAAATTTCCCTCTGGTCAAAAGTGAAAAACCAAACTGAGCAACAATACATAACATAGATTAGATTATAACCCAATGTATGACATTAAAATAAATAAATCTATACTGACATAAATATATGACTGAATAAATAATTATAGGAGAAGAGAAAAATCTTTCTTACAGAATAATTCCAAATAATGTATCTATGTGGTCCCTCTTCAGGAGGTAGAGCTTAATCAATCCCCAAGGTGTGTGTAGGGGGTAATAGGGTTAAACTTATTTATCAGCTTCCAAAGTATATAGAAACATAAAACAGTAACTTTCCAGTAAAGAAACCTGGAAAACATTACCTGAACCCAGTGATGAAGGTTAACATCACGAGTAATACCATGTGAATGTCATTTAACCCCTGATATAATGTAACAAGGAAACATTGCCTCTGTGCTATCCTTTCTAAAAACCCATAATGCCGGCCAGTCATGAGAAAAACATCGGACAGACCCTAACTGAAGGACAATTTCAAAATACCGTCCTTGGCAGGGCGCCGTCGCTCATGCCTGTAATCCCAGCACTTTGGGAAGCCGAGGCAAGAGGACCACCTGAGATAGCAGATGGAGATCAGCCTGGCCAACGTGGTGAAACCCTGTCTCTACTAAAAATACAAAAATTAGCCAGGTGTGGTGGCGGGTGCCTGTAATCCCAGCTACTCATGAGGCTAACATAGGAGAATCGCTAGAACCCAGGAGGCAGAGGTTGCAGTGAGCCAAGATCGCACCACTGCACTCCAGGCTGAGCCATAGAGTGACTCTGTCTCAAAAAAACAAATACAAAAACAAAACAAATACAAAAACAAAACAAAAAACAAACAAACAAACACCTTCCTATAACTTCTCAAAATTGTTAAGGTTATAAAAAATGAAGAAAAGCTGATAGACCATCCCAAACCAGAGGAGACTAAGGTGACATGACATTTAAATGTAATGTGGTAAGCTGGTCTGGATCACGGAACAGAAAGAGGAAATTCCTGGTAAACTGATAATATATCAATAAACTCTGGAGTATAGTTAACTACAATATACCCATATTAGTTTTATAATTTTGACAAATGTACCTTGATAAAATAAGATGCCAACAGTAGGAGAAACTGGGTGAAGTACGTATGGCAATTCCCTGCACTAACTGCAAATTTTATATATGGGGAGAATTATACCAAAATACAAAGATAACTTAAAATAATGAATTAGTGAAGCAGTGAGATAAAATTATACAAACTGATGTTCAAATTAGAAATTAGAAAAAAAAAGACTGGAAATTAAATACAAATAAATGAAAGTAAATAAGTAGAGACTAAAAATCAATGATTTAGAAAATAAAAAAACTGTATCATAGCAATAAAATCAAAAGATTTCAATAAAATCTTTGGGAAAAAATCAGCAAAACCAATAGCTTCTAGAAGACTTATCAAGACACAATGGTGCTGAGTAGAGTCAAGAAATAGACTGACACAGATGTAATCAATTGATTTTGATGAAAGTATCCAATTGAAAGGGACAAAGGATAGTCTTTTCAAAATAAAATAATGGAACAATTGCACATCCATATGAAAAATGAATAAAACTGAACTGTGACCTCATAGCATATTCTTAAATTGACTTCAAATGCAACTTAGACATAAATATGAAAGCAAAACCTTAAAACTTCTAGAAGAAAAGCACTGTTGGAAACAGTTTGACAATTCTTACAATGATAAACATATTGTTACCATATTACTCAGCATTTCCAATCCTAGGCATTTACCCAAGATAAATATATGTGTGCACCTAGATTTGTGCATGAATGTACAAAAAACTTCAACATAATAGTTGAAAACAGGAAACACCTCAATTGTCCATCAACTGGAGAATAAACAAATTGTGGTATATCCATAAAATAGAATACCATTCAGCAATCAAAATAAATAAACCTGTAACATATAGATGACAAATATAGACGGATACGTGCAAAATATAGCTATCCAAAAGATTATTCTGAGCAAAACCAAGCAGAAAAGGACATGATACATGATTAAACTTATATTAAATATATGACATTACATTATATGCAAATCTAGAAATGGCTAATTTACTATATAGTGGCAGAAAGTAGATCAGTGCTTGCTAGGGCCTAGAAAATGAATTTCTGTATTGTGGAGTTATATGAGGTTATAGAGATGTAGTCTGTTAAATTTATTATTAATGAATTTAATTAATCACATCTTATAGAAATTTTTATGTTTAATTTTAGATTTATTTGTATTAGGTTTTATTGTTTTAAAAATCACTATAATAAATTGTGCAACACATCAAAAGAATTTACATGAGTTTTCTTGGGAAGGTCACTAATTTTGAGGATGTCAAGGAAAGAAGCAGATTTATGCATTGGTGGCCACACAGTGCTAACAAGGACAGTATGTGGGAGTTAGAGCCATCATTTGTAAACTGAACTAATTCAAACAGAAATGGGAGCTGAAAGACTATTAGGAAAACATTCTTCATCCTGAATGTCATGGCTTTCATTATCCACAGGATACAGTATAAATCCATTTCATTTATTCTAAAATGGATTTGAAAAAAAAAGAAATCAATGGCAATAGTAATATCCATATGCAAATTAAATGGGAAGAAGCTGAGTTTCCCCCAGCTTTACTACCAAAGTAGAAAATCATTTATTTTTTAAAAAATTAATAAAATAAAATAAAATAAGATTAAAAAAATGAGGGATGATGACTTGGTACAATATTGTATTGCTGGGATTATGGGTGATTTACATCAGTGGTCCCCAATCTTTTTGGCACCAGGGACCAATTTCCTGAAAAACAATTTTTCCATGGACTCTGGGTTGGGGGAAATAGTTTCAGGATGATTCAAGCGTATTACATATATTGTGTACTTTATTTCTATTATTATTACACTTTAATATATAATGAAATAATTATACAACTCACCATAATGTAGTTTCAGTGGCAGCTCTGAGCTTGTTTTCCTGCAACTAGATGATCCTATCTACAGATGATGGGAGACAGTGACAGATCATCGGGCATTAGATTCTCATAAGGCACGTGCAACCTAGATTCCTTGGATGGGCATTTCACAATAGAGTTTGCGTTCCTATGAGAATCTAATGCCACTGCTGATTGGACAGGAGGCAGAGCTCAGGTGGTAATGCCAGTGATGACGAGCCCCTGTAAATACAGATGAAGCTTTGCTCACTTGCCCACCACTCACTTTCTGCTGTGTGGCTGGGTTCCTAATGGCTCATGGACCAGAGGATGGGGACCCTTGATTTATGTCATTAAATTTGAAATTATCTATATTTTCTACATACTCAGCCATAGTTATGTACTTTTATAAAGAAATTAACCTTTTGCTATTTATTATGAAAATTTTCAAGAAAATAATACTCATCGCTATTTTTGCTTGAAATGAAATGCAAGGCGTACAAGTGTTTAATCCATAAAATCGATTGAATATAAAATGTATAAGCAGGATTTTTTTCTATGATTAACAAAAGATTAGGCATATGGTTTAGTAAGCAGAAGAGATTTTGGCCTACACTTAGTATCTACCACTCCAGATGAGAACACATTGATTTAGTAAGCATTTATTGAGTTCCTGCTATGTTCTAAGCTTCTTAGATGTGAAAAATCTTCCCGAATTTATTTCTTCTATAAGTGTAGGTAAAACTCTGGTTTATTCCAAGAGTTAAATAATACATTTTGCAGTCTTAATCTGTTGCCACATGTCCATTTGATTAATTGTTAAGTGTAATTTGTGTAAGATAGAAGACAAATTGCTTAAATAATTGGGCCATATTTATCTTTTTATTTGTTCTATTATTCAAATTAATTAAATATTTTCACTATTCTGTTTTAAAAAACACACACATGTTAAATATACATTAAAAACATAAAATGTCAAAATTTTACTTATGTGTTTACAAAGATGGAAGAAAGACCCTCGTCTATGTTATTTACAAAAATTACCTTAAATATTTCACCCAAAAGTAAAAAAAAAACTTAAGGCACTGTCTGTCATAGTTTTAGGTTATTTTTTCAGTTATCTACTATTTCAATATCACTTATAACATTTGAAACTGTATCTGATCCCTAGCTACTATTTAAAATTCTTTGTACCTGTGTTTAACTACCATGCATATTCATAAGCATGTAAATCAATTTTCAGCAGATTATCTGGTTTACAGACTTCTTTTTTTTAACTCCTAGAACTGAGTTTTTTGACAAGCTAAAAATATTTTCTTATCACACCTTTCAATTCTAGTTTCACATACTATATTTGTTTTCTACTGCTGCCATAACAAATTACCATAAACTAAGTGGTTTAAAAAAATACAGGCTTATTATTTATTACCTAATAATTCTGGAATTAGAAACCTGAAATGGGTCTCTCTATGCTAAAGTCAGGTGTCTACAGGGTTACCATATGAGGTAACACAGTTACTGGTTACAGAGATTAGAGGATGGACATTTTGGGGGGTCCATTATTCTGCCTACCACACACACAACTAGAAATCATTCTGAAAGACAAGTCAAACTGCGAGAAAATATCTGAAAATACATATTTGATAAAGAATTGATATTCAAAATACACAAAGAACCTTAATACTCAACAAAAAGGAAACAAATAACCCAATTAAAAAAATGGTCAAAAGACCCCAACAGGCACCTCACCCAAGAAGATATGCAGATGATAAATAAGCATATGAAAAAATACTCAACATCATATGTCATTATGGGAATTGCAAAATAAAGTAACAATGAGATACCATTATATATCTATTAGAATGGTAAAAAAAAAAAAAAAAAAAAAAGAAAAAACACTGAATATCCCAAATGCTGGGGAGCAGCTGGAATTCTCATTAATTGCTACTGGCGATGCAAAACGGTGCAACGTTTTTGGAAGACAGTCTGGCAGTTTCTTACAAAAGTAAATGCACTCTTATCATGTGATCCACCAGTCATGCTCCTTGCTATTTCTTAAATGTGTTGAACATTTATCTCTACACAAAACCCAGCAATGACTGTTTATAGCAACTTTATTCTTAATTCCCCAAACTTGGAAGCAATCAAGATGTCCTTAAGTAGGGGAATGGATAAACCAACTGTGATACATTAATATGTTGTAATATAATTGCATGATCAAAACAAATGAGCTATTTAACCACAAAAAGACATGGGGAACATTAAATGAATATTGCTAAGTGAAAGAAGCCAATCTGAAAAGGCTGCATACCACTTTGTACATTGGCAGTATCGTAATCAATGAGGTTTCTCCAGGGTGTGATTATTGGTAATTGAAAATGAAGGTTTATTCATTTTGTTTGTTGCCTTAGTTAATCAAGAAAAGTCACTGCCACAGATCACCAAGGATTAATGGACTTTGGCTTGATTTGGTGATTGGACAAAACTTGAGTTTTCTTAACGTGGAAAGATACGACTGATTCTGTTTGAGGAATAGAGAGTACAGTGAATACTTGGAACCCAGAAATGGAGACTCTGCTACTTATTTATGATTATTTACCAAATATTTCTGGTTCTTCCACTTTGAAGCATATGGTAGGATTACATTTAACTGCCTGCTTGAAGTTTTTGTCATGGCATCTCTTATTTTGCTCAATATAGTATGAGCAAAGGTGTTGTATCTCAATTTTGGTTGAAAGATTTCAAAGCTGGTATAAGATTCATCATTTTTTCTTTCATCTTAAACAAAATACTGTGGATGCTTATGTGAAACTGGAGGCTCCATTAATATTTGTCCTTGAGTAACTTGAATAAGTTGCTTGAATAAGCATCATTTTTAACCTGCTTTGGACATCAAGGACAAACAAGAAATATTGTTGTGTTAAACTACTAAGATTTTGGGAGAGTTTCTTACTGTGGCATAATTTAGCCCATCCTGATCAAACATTACTAGATTAATTATTCAAGACAAAAGACTCACTGATGAGCCTTTTCAATGCGTATTCCCTTAGTTTATTTTTTAATATATAGATTGCTTTTTATCATAAAGAAATAATGAGGATTAGAGAGAGACAATGTGTGATAAACAAATCAATAATTCAAGAAAACATATCCCTGAGAGTTACTTACCAATCAGAAGCTAAGATTCAGCTTTAATTTTAATTCAATGAAACTTTAATATAATGATCTTAGAAAACACACTTGAGTTTAGGCAGTTGAGTTTTAGATATATTTTTTATGAATTGCATATTTTTTCCTTTTATTTGAATGTGTTACATGTATATTATTCCTCTATTAAATGATCCTGGTGATATATAAGAGAAAGCATTCCTCCAATGAGTACTTTAATTTAGTACTCTATTCAAAGTTCTGTGAAGAATCCAACTTAAAAAGAAATTGAGTGCATGTTATTTTCTTAATGTACGTACTTGCTTTCCTTTTCCAACTTAAGATAAAAGAGGATTTTGTTGATAAATGTGAAAAGATTTGGTCACTACAGAGACACATCCAAAATAATAGTACTATATCAAAATATCAAATACCTATTACTTCTACCTTTTAACTATATATTCATAGAGTATCCTGAATGACCTAACTATGATGATGATCAATATATAGTACAGGACATTCCTATATAATATTGTTATATCCACAGGATTTTTAGCCTATGTGTCTTTCAGGCATGTAGCTAATCTTCTATGCTTCACATGAAAAGACATTTGGAAATATTTTCTTATATATAAATTCCCAACATTGATGGATGAAATAGCTAAGCCTAATTAATGTAGCACTTTAAGCAGATTTGTATGTAACAATTCTATCATCTTTCATTTTGTTAAAAGAAATGTTGGAAGAATTATGTTAAAACAAAGGGAAGACAGATAAATTCTGGCATAGAAAATTAAACAAGGTTTACCTTTAAGATTCTTCCAAAATTATTCGCAGAATATTTGTTAACTCTTTTTTTCTTTATTTCTTCTTTAAAAAAACAAAACAAACAAAAAACAAAACAAACAAAACGGGATACATGTGCAGAACGTGCAGGTTTGTTACATAGGTGTATGTGTGCCATGGTGGTTTGCTGCACCTATTGACCCATCCTCTAAGTTCCCTCCCCTCATCCCCCACTCCCCATCCCCCAACAGGCCCTGGTGTGTGTTTCCCTCTCTGTGTCCACGTGTGTTCTCAATGTTCAGCTCCCACTTATGACCGAGAATATGCGGTGTTTGGTTTTCTGTTCCTGTGTTTGTTTGCTGAGGGTGATGGCTTCCAGCTTCATCCATGTGTCTGCAAAGGACATGATCTCATTCCTTTTTATGGTGGCATAGTATTCCATGGTGTATATGCACCACATTTCTTTATCCAGTCTATCATTGATGGACATTTGGGTTGGTTCCACGTCTTTGCTATTGTAAACAGTGCTGCAATAAACATACGTGTGCATGTGTCTTTATGGTAGAATGAGTTGTATTCCCCTGGATATATACTCAGGGATTGCTGGGTCAAATGTTTTTCTGGTTCTAGATCCTTGAGGAATCGCCATACTGTCTTCCACTATGGTTGAACTAATTTACATTCCCACCAACAGTGTAAAAGTGTTCCTATTTCTCCAGAGCCTTGCCAGCATCCATTGTTTCCTGACTTTTTTTTTTTTTTTGAGACAGAGTCCTGCTCTGTCAACCAGGCTGGAGTACAGTGGCACGATCTCGGCTCACTGCAACCTCTACCTCCAGGGTTCAAGTGATTCTCCTGCCTCAGCCTCCTGAGTAGCGGGGACTACAGGCGTGTGCCACCACGCCTGGCTAATTTTTTTGTGTTTTTAGTAGAGATGGGGTTTCGCCGTGTTAGCCAGGATGGTCTCAATCTCCTGACCTCGTGATCTGTCCACCTCGGCCTCCAAAAGTGCTGACTTTTTAATAATCGCCATTCTGACTGGCTTGAGATGATCTCTCGTTGTGGATTTGATTTGCATTTCTCTGATGATCAGTGATCTTGAGCTTTTTTCATATGTTTTTTGGCCACATAAATGTCTTCCATTAAGAAGTGTCTGTTCATATCCTTTGCCCACTTTTCGATGGGGCTGTTTTTTCTTGTAAATATGTTTAAGTTCCTTGCAAATTCTGGATATTAGACATTTGTCAGAAGTGTAGATTGCAAAAATTTTCACCCATTCTGTAGGTTGCCTGTTCACTCTGATGATAGTTTCTTTTACTGTACAGAAGCTCTTTTGTTAACTCTTAAGGGACAATGACATTACTGATAGTCATAAATTTGATAAGTTTTAGTTTTAATTTATGAATCCTAAAAATTAAAAGTATAAAACTGTAATTATGATTGATGAAAGTAGCCTAATTACTGTGTGTATTCACTAGTTCAAGTAAATATTGGAACATGCAGATGATTTAAAATATGTTCTTGGGATTAACATGCTTCTAATCAAATTTATTTTTTATATATATACATATGTATTGCATATACATATGTATATGTATTGCATGTACATATGTATTGCATATACATATGTATATGTATTGCATGTACATATGTATTGCATATATATGTATATGTATTGCATGTACATATGTATATGTATGTTTACCCCCTTTTCTCATGTTTGAGTTCTTGTATTATTAAACATAAGTCCCACAAAATGGAAAGGGAGATATAGTTTCATTCAAAAAGCACCAGTCTATAGGAGGAGGCAAAGTATAAGCCAATCCATTAAAATTAAAAACTTGATTGCCTGCTGTTCAGCCTGCTATTTCTTTAGATACTAGCAGTGTCTAGTCTTTAAAAAATTATTTTCCCTAATATCTTGTCAATCTTTGGTAGATTTCATTTCAGTATCTCTGCAAATATCAACACCATTCATTCCTTTAAAAAAACTCACCTATTTTTCAAAAGCAATTGCATACTTAGTGCCTTACTTGAAAGAGAGCAGGTGCAGTTCAAAGAAAAAATTTAGTTAATGAAAAATATTGCAATTTAGTATGTTGTAAATATGACTTTTAAAATTAATGATGGAATTATTTTTATAATCAAGGAATGGTTTTCCAACAACTGCATTGTCGGCAACAGAAAAAACAATGCCTTTCTTCTCTATTTTACATTTAAAAGTAAGTTCTAGTTGGAACAATGAGTTCAATGTAAAAAACAACGAAATCAGTAAATTACTAGAATTCCAGTATGGGATATATTTCTCTACCTATGAAACAGCTATAGTACTTTAAGTAAGGCACAAAATCCAAAATCCTCAAGGAAAAAAAAAATCTATCAACACATATACACACACCTTCATCCATGTATACACTGAGATAGGAATACAAATTTGAAATGCAGCAAGAGTTTAAAAGGAGAAAGTTAAAAATATCTCATGAATAATGAAAGGGTAAACAAAAGATAAACACTTACAAGTTGTTCTTTTACAAATATATACAGCATTATATGTGCCTGTGGTTGCACGGAAGTTAGGAATTGAGGTTTGGGAACCTCCGCCTAGATTTTGGAAGATGTATGGAAATGCCTGGATACCCAGGCAGATATATATATATATATATATATATATATATGTGTGTGTGTGTGTGTGTGT
The DNA here is from genome assembly GCF_000001405.40 of Homo sapiens. Classification (NCBI taxonomy): domain Eukaryota; kingdom Metazoa; phylum Chordata; class Mammalia; order Primates; family Hominidae; genus Homo; species Homo sapiens. The sequence continues at coordinate 141,432,582 of NC_000006.12, read as the reverse complement.
GTGTGTGTGTGTATGTGTGTGTGTGTATATATATATATGTGTGTGTGTGTATATATATATATGTGTATATATATACATACATATATATGTGTATATATATACATACATATATATGTGTATATATATACATACATATATATGTGTGTGTATATATACACACACACATGTATATGTGTGTGTGTATATATACACACACACATGTATATGTGTGTGTGTATATATACACATACATGTATATGTGTGTGTGTCTATATATACACATACATGTATATGTGTGTGTGTATATATATATGTATATATATGGCATATATATATAAATACTGAATTCTCCCATGTTTGTGACTAAGAGAAAAGAAGGATCCAGAGTAGTGTTTATTTTTTAAATAAACTTTTCAGAGTAGTTTTATGTTATGGAAAAAATTACAAAGATATTACCAAGAACTTGCATATATCTCACACCCAGTTTCCTTACTATTAATGTCTTCCATTGCCATTTTACATTTCTCTCAATTGATGAGCCAATATTGATAAAGTATTGTCTAAATTTATACTTTTTTCAGGTTTCATCAGTTTCTACTTAATGTCCTTTATCTTATCCCATACAGGTCACCATACTACATTTAGTCATCATGCCTCCCTATGCTCGTCCTTGCTGTGACAATTTCTTAGACTCGTTTTGTTTTTTTGATAACTTTAACAGTTTTGAGGAATATTTGCAAAGTGTTTTGTAGAGAGCCCCTACATTTGGGTTATTCAGATGTATTTCTCATTTCTAGACTGGGCTTATGGATTTGGGGGATGAAGGTGCCACTATTGCTATAAATCAGTGGTACTTTTTGGCAAATATGATTTGTCAATGGTGATGTTAAGCTTACCTGGCTAAAGTAGTATTTGTCAGTTTTCTCTATTCTAAAGTTACTCTCTTTCTGCCTTTCCATTCTGTATTGTTTGAAACAATGTCACTATGTAAAATCAGCCTACAATGAAAGGTGAGTTATGTTCCATCTTCTTAAGAGTATCTACATAATTTATTTGGAATTTCTCTACACAGATTTGTCTATTTCCCCCACTGATTTGTTTGTTCAATCATCTACTGCTGTGTCCCCATTCAAATCTCAACTGAATTCTACCTCCTAGAATTCCTGTTTGTTATGGGAGGGACTTAGGGGGAGATAACTGAATCATGGGGGCCAGTCTTTCCCATGCTATTCTCTTGATAGTGAATAAGTCTCAAGAGATCTGATGGGTTTATCAGGGGTTTCCGTGTTTGCTTCTTCCTCATTTTTCTCTTGCTGCCACCATGTAAGAAGTGCCTTTCACTTCCCGCCATGATTCTGAGGCCTCCCCAGCCATGTGGAACTGAAAGTCCAATTAAACCTCTTTTTGTTCCCAGTTTTGGGTATGTCTTTATCAGCAGAATGAAAATAGACTAATATAGTAAATTGGTACCAGTAGAGTGGGGCATTGCTGAAAAGATACCCGAAAATGTGGAAGTGACTTTGGAACTGGGAAACAGGCAGAGATGGAACACTTTGGAGGGCTCAGAAGAAGACAGGAAAATGTGGGAAAATTTGGAACCTCCTAGAGATTTGTTGAATGACTTTGAGAAAAATGCTGATAGTGATATGAAAAATAAGGTCCAGGCTGAGGTGGTCTCAGATGGAAATGAGGAACTTGTTGGGAACCGGAGCAAAGGTGACTCTTGTTATGTTTTAGCAAAGAGACTGGTGTCATTTTGCCTCTGTCCTAGAGATCTGTGGAACTTAGAACTTGAGAGAGACGATTTAGGGTATGTGGCAGAAGAAATTTCTAAGCAGAAAAATATTCAAGAGGTGTCTTGGGTACTGTTAAAAGCATTCCATTTTAAAAGGGAAACAGAGCATAAAAGTTTGGAAAATTTGCAGCCTGATGATGCAGTAGAAAAGAAAAAACAATTTTTTTGAGGAGAAATTCAAGCTGGTTGCAGACATTTGCACAAGTAGCAAGGAGCCTAATGTTAATCCCCAAGACCATGGGGAAAGTGTCTCCAGGCTATGTCAGAGACCCCTCACGGGCCTGGAGGCCCAGAAGGAAAAAGTGATTTCGTGGGCCAAGCCCAGAGGCCCTGTACTGTGTGCAGCCTGAGGACTTGGTGCCCGGTGTCCCAGCCACTCCAGCTGTGGCTGAAGAGGCCAACGTACAACTCGGGCTGTGGCTTCAGAGGGTGGAACCCCAAACCTTGGCAGCTTCCATGTGGTGTTGAGCCTGTGGGTGCACAGGAGTCAAGAACTGAGGTTTGGGAACCTCTGCCTAGATTTCAGAAGATGTATGGGAATGCCTGGATGCCCAGGCAGAAATTTGGTTCAGAAGTGGGGTGGCATGCTTATGGGAGAGCCAGTGCCAGGGCAGTGCAAAAGGGAAATGTGGGGTTGGAGCCCCTCACACAGAGTCGTTACTGGGGGACAACCTAGTGGAGCTGTGAGAAGAGGGCTACCATCATCCAGATCCCTCAGAATGGTAGATCCACTGACAGCTTGCACCATACACCTGGAAAAGCCACAGACACTCAATGCTGGGAGGGAAGCTATACCCTGAAAAGTCACAGGGTGGAACTGCCAAGACCATGGGAACCCACCTCTTGCATCAGCGTGACCTGGATGTGAGACCTGGAGTCAAAGGAGATCATTTTGGAGCTTAAAAATTTGACTGCCCCACTGGATTTTGGGCTTGCATGAACCCTGTAACCCCATTGTTTTGGCCAATTTCTCCCATTTGGAATGGCTGTATTTACCCAATACCTGTACCCCCAATTTATCTAGGAAGGAATTAGCTTCTTTTAGATTTTACAGGCTCATAGGCAGAAGGGACTTACCTTGTCTCAGATGAGACTTTGGACTGTGGACTTTTGGGTTATTGCTGAAATGAGTTAAGACTTTGGGAGGCTGTTGGGAAGGCACGATCAGTTTTGAAATGTGATTTTGAAATCACATTTGTTTTGAAATGAGATTTGGAGAGGCCACGGGCAGAATGGCATGGTTTGGTTGTGTCCCCATTCAAATCTCAACTGAATTGTGTCTTCCGGAATACCCACTCATTATGGAAGGGACCTAGAGGGAGGTAATTGAATCACGGAGGCCAGTCTTTTCCTTGCTATTCTCGTAATAGTAAGTAAGTCTCATGAAATCTGACGGGTTTATCAGGGGTTTCCACTTTTGCTTCTTCCTCATTTTTCTCTTGCTGCTGCCATGTAAAAGTGCCTTTTGCCTCCCACCATGATTCTGAGGCCTCTCCAGCCATGTGGAACTGTAAATCCAATTAAACCTCTTTTTGTTCCCAGTTTCAGTTATGTCTTTATCAGCAGCATGGAAACAGACTAACACATATATTATCTCAAAGTTACTTTATATTCTGGGATATAATCAATACTGTATTACCGCTCAAGTTGTTACAACTTTGGCCATTGGGAGCTGTTTAGTTAAATCCCAAATCATAAACCTACTTTGAATCCCAATCATAGTTTAAGGCGAAGTCTTTTAATATAAATGTATTCTGTGAACTTATTTCAAATTATGACTCTACGTTTTCTCCAGGTCTAAACTTTTCGAAACTCAAAAATATATATCCAGCTACAGATTTACATTTCCTATACATGTAAAACAGACAACTCAAACTTAATACTTCTGAAAGCAAATGTCTTGATTCTCTCTTTTTAAAGTTCTTCCCTCCAAGTCTTTTCAGACTCAGCAAGTCGCAGTTAATATTTTTATTCTGTCTTTCAAGGCCAAATATTCAGATACCTTCCCTGAATCCTTTCTCTCTTGTACACAGCACATAAAATTCATCAGCCAATCATTTCAGCATTGTGTTCTGAAAATATTCCAAATCTAACTATTTCTCATTATCTCCAAGTCTACCACCACAAAGGAAAATAATTAGAAAGCAATAGTAAGCTCCTAACTGGACTATTTCTGTCCTTGTTCCCAGTAGGATTAATATTCACAGAACGGACAGTGATCTTTTTTGATAAGTAAAATTATGTGATCCAGCTGTGTAAAAATCTACGAGTTTTATAATACCCAGGCCACACAGTAATGTGGCCTACTCACCATGACCTCAATTTACTCATTGTTTCACCTCTTTGCTCTTTCTCACTTATTCCAAGTGTGTTTCCACTTCAGGTACTACGTCTTTACTGTTTCCACGTCCTTGAAGAATCTTTCACAAGATCGTGTCGTATCTTGTCCTTTTCATGATGTTTGTTTATGCTCAAAAATCATTTTATCAGTGTGGACTTTCATAATGAAACTCCCTGAAATATCTCTCTTTACTGCCACTGACTATCCATTTTCCATATCACTTAATCCCAATCTATTATATTATTTCTTAGTATCTATATCTCTCAACTACAATGTAAACTCCAGAGGAAATAATAATTTCATTATTTCAGCTCAATGCATTTCCCAAGTGCCTAGAGCTCTGATTGGCATAAAGTAGGTGCCAAATAAGAAAAGTGTTTGTTAAGTGAATGAATAAACCAGGTATTGCTTTTATAATAAATATTAGGAAATTACCCTTTCATTGGGTATACATTTCAATTGTTAATGAACAAATAATTTAGGTAAACCATAACCAAGGTGATTCTAGGTACTTAATTCTCACACGTGTGGTTTGTTATAGTACATTTCCTAATTTTAAACTAAAAATAATATTTATAGCTGTAAACGGTTGTCAGGTTGAAAGTATCAAATCTAATAGCTATTTTATGAAAGCCATTTATGTTCAGTAAATAAAATAACCTTAATAGGTTATTTTTATTATTTCATAAGTTAAGGTCCTCATTTGTCAGGAATATAGCAACACATATATATAATTGTTTAGAATCTATTTTTCCTTGTTTCTTCATTTATAGCTATCCTTATGAGTAGAAATTGATCCCATTACTACTTGTGGAATGTCTGGCATTTGCCTTTGCTTATTAAGGAACAATTGAAAAAATAATTTCTTTTCTCTGAAGATAGTAAATGAATTATATAGGAGAAAATACAGGGTGGCTAGGGTGTATGTCAGATCCCAGAGAAGACTCTCCATAACTAAGAATCTGGGGTCGTCCCATAACTACTACTCCCCAAGTAAATACTGCTAGTCAGAATATTTGGCACAATAATTTTGAAGTGCATTATGAGATGATCATGCAATTTAAAAAATGTGCATACACTATAACCCAGAAATTCAACAACTTGATATAACCTCTAGAGAACTGCTAGTGAATAAGTGCTCCAGAAGATAGGAATATTCATAGTAGCAATTTGTTATAGCAAAACACTGAAAACAACACAAATACCAGTTGAGAGAAGGACAGAATAATAAACTGTGGAACAGTCACACAATGGAATATAATGTAACTGAACAATAAATAAAAATTACCAACAAACCAGATGCCATCACACAAACCACAATATTGAGTAAAAAAGAATACATCTGTACCTTGGAAATATTACACAGGAAGGTAGTGATACATGCTTACACACATACACACACACACACAAATAGAACAATGATAAGCAAAGGAATGGGAGGGCCACACTGAAAATGGTGGAGTCTGGAGCTCCAAGGATCTGCTCTTCTGTTTCAGCAACCGTTAGCCTGGCAAAAACTGTCAGAATAATCCTTTTCAGAATGTGGGAATCTAATCAAACACTTACAACAACCAGGGGAGTGTTTAATGAAGAAAACAAATGCTAAATTGTGGTAACAGAGTGGTGTGTCATTTTACTCATTTATCATCCCCTGCTTCCGAGCTCAATCGTGGCTGTGGAATTTATGATGCATATTTTTGGTGTGGCTTGATGGTACCAGAGGGAGCAATAAAGACTTTGTTCTCAAAGAATTGTGATTGTTCATTTTGACAGCAGCTCTATGACGGATTCTCTTAGACAACTCCTAAGGCTGGAGCACCCTTTTGGACAGCATTGGTCAGAAGCATTTAAAGGTATATACTATGCATAACCACTAGGTGCAAGGGATAGCAAATGGTGCAAGCAACTGACAGACAAAAAGCTTGGAAAACAGGAGGCTGGAGAAGAAGACACATGGAGGAATCAAAATTCAAAGGACTCCCACATACACTGGAGAATCCTGGAGACCACGTGCATATCTAGGGCTGGAAGCATACATGGAAAAGTCTGATCTTTGGGACCTGCATGAGCAGAAAATGAGGACTAAACCAGAGGTTCACTCAACTTGTTCTAGCTCAGAGCCAATCTGCAAAGACCAGGAGAATTTTGTTGTGTTTTGTTTTGTTGTTTTTAATTTATTTTTCTTTTTAGCTGCAGGCATTGAAGGAAATTTCTGTCAGGTTACTGGAGGACCAATGAGATACTGGAATGAAAAGTCTTTGCAAAGATGGTTTATAAAAGTTACAGAATAACAGACAACTGTAATCCACAAGCAACAGCAAATTCTGGGAAGGGGAGATTTAGATTTATAGAGTTACTAGACTGTAAAATTCAAAATGTCCAATTTTCAACAACAATAAAAATATTGGTAATGGAGAGAAACAAAAAGTATGGCCCACTCATAGGAAAAGAACAAACTGACCAAAATCATTCCTGAGGCACCCCAGACATTGGGCTTACTAAATAAAGGCTTTAATCCACAGTTTTAAAAATGCTAAACATACTAAGGAAAAACACAGACAAAGAACTAAATAAAACAAGGAGAATTATGTTCCAACAAATCTAGAATATTAGTCAAGAGAAAAAAAATAAAAAGGAAGCAAATAGAAATTCTGGAACTGAAAAGTACAATAGCTGAAATAAAAATTTTACTAGAATTCTTCAGCAGTAGATTTGAGCAGGCATAAGAGAATCAACAAATTTGAATATTAGTAGTTAAAAGTATCCCATCTAAAACGTAGTAACATAAAAGATTGACTAAAAGAAATTAACAAAGCTTAAGAGACCTGTGGGTGACACCATCAAAGATATCACTATATGTGTAAGGTAGTCTCAGAAGGAGAGGAGAGAAAGAAAATAGTAAAAAGAATGTCTGAAAAAATAATGGCTAAAAACTTTCCATTTGGTGAAAATTCTGCATCTACATATCCAAAACAAACTCAATGAACTCTGAATAGGGATACAATCAAAGAGATACGCACCTTGATACATACTTTTTTTAAAGCAAAGAAATGGTAGAGACAAAATTCAAAATTACCATTAACTCTAAGCAGAGTAAGGGCATTGGGAAAAAACTTACATAGTTTCAATAGCATTGCTAATATTATGCTTTATAAGATGGGCACTGAATAATATCTGTATCTCATATGTTATTTGATAATCATTGACTCAACATTACATATTTTGAATGGTACATAAATAAGTTCTATCATCTTGTAACAATGTTAAAAATTATAAAAGGAAATAGTTAAAAAAAGGAAACTCACAATAGAGAAAACACATGAACATTCATCATATGAAAAGTTGAGAACATTCATAAGTCAGTGAGAAACACAAATAAAAATTATAATAAACTCTTATTTCATTATTAAGCTGGCAAAAAATAAAAAATTGCACAATACTATATTTTGGAGGGTCTAGGAAACCTTGGGTTTTGATTCACTGGTGGTATGAAAATCGAAACAATTTTGGAGGGCATTTATATATATTCAGCAAATGAAGTTAAATAATTCTAAGTTTTAAAAACTGCACACATCATAAAAGATATACTAATTTAAAGATAGACTAATATGAGGTAATATTCTTTGTTAATTTTGAGTTGTTTGTTTTGTAATTTCAACGTAACCAAAAAAATAAAGCTAGTAAAACACATAAGTAAAACATTGCATACAGAAAGTAAGATATAATAAAGGCACTTGATCATATGAAAGAAAAAAATGGAAAGAAGGAAACAAAATAGATTTGGAAAAGATAAAACAAGTACAAGATATTGAAAGTGAACCTAACTCTATGTATTCAAATTAGAAGTAAATGGACATAATACTATAATTAAAAGGGAAAAATCATTACAGATTGGATTAAAATAAACAAGACTCTATAGCCAGTCATGTATAAGTAGATTTTAAACATTAAAAACTCAGATACATTTAAAATGATTGGAAAAAAGTACAGGAGCTATTATTGGAGACAGACATTGCATAAAAATATAATAATACATTAACAGGAAGTTATGCAATTGTAAATTTATATACTGTTTATAACTTGGGTTCAATTATATATATATACTTTTAAAAAGTTGACTGAAAAGCACAAATAGACAAATCCATGATAATTTCTGGAAATTTTAATACACCTCATTCCATAAGTGATAGACCAGCTGTCAAAAAAAATCATTAGCTATATATAAGAATTGAACAAGAAAAATTAACTAGTTTGATCCAGTGACATATATATTGAACACTACAATCAATAACTAGAAAATGCATATAGTACATCTGTTAAGATTTACTGTGTATTGGGTCATAAATGTCTGCAAAATAACAAACGTTTTAAATTAATGTATAGGTTCTCTGAAAACTATGGATTAAATTATGGTTCTATTGTTTGAAAGACAAAAATGGATAAGTGTGTGAATATTTGCATGAAACACTTAACGTAACTCATTAGTTCAAGAAGATATTATATTGAAAATTAGTAAATAATTTGAAGTGATTATTAATAACAATATGATCTATCAAAGCCTGTAAGATTTAATTAGAATACTTAAAAGATACTATAGCATAAATGCCTATATTAAAACATACTAAAAGTTGAAAATAAGTTACCTATACTGTCACTATAGGAGCTAATAAAAAAGAATAAGTAAGCTCAACGAAACTGGGAAGAAATAATCAAAATAAATGCCAGAAATCATTTAAATGGAAAATAGACATGTAATAGACATAGTTAACAAAGCTAAAAGTTGGTTCTTTGAAAATATTAAATTGCTAAATTTCTAGCGTCAGTGACCAAGAGATAGAAGAGGAGAGAGAAAAAAAAAAAAAAGACCAATAGACCAACATCAGAAGTAAAAAAGAAAATCTCACTATCAATATTATGTGCTGATAAATTTGACAAGTTATTCAAAATGAAAAAACTTTTTGAACACATAAATTATACAAGATAAAAAAAAAACTGAATAGCCCTTAATATAGCAATGATATAATCCACAAGTAAAACTTTCACGCGAAGAAAGCTCCAAGCACAGTATCATAAGAGAATTTTTATAAATATTGAATGAAAAATCAATGTTATATGTTTTTCAGAAATTTAGTATAATCTTCCTAACTCATATTATCAGAAAAGTATTATTTTGTTGCAATAATACTAAAACAATATTTTAAAAAGTGAAATTGTAGGCCAATATTTCTTATGAACAAAGATACAAAATTCCTAAAACATATTATTAGCACATTGAATTTAGTGATAAGTAAAAAGGATAACACATCATGACACAAAGTGATGCATGATCCAGCAGCGCCAGTTTGGTTTAACATAGATTGAAAATCATCTACTACAATTCAGTAGACTGACAAAATTAAAGACAGCAACAATATTTGAAAAAAATTATAATTTTTTAATTGTACAGACTAAGTCCAAAAGGAATTTTCTTAATCTAATAAAGAGTATCTGCAGAACACTGTTATCTAATGTAGTAAATGATAAAATATTCCATCTCCTCTCCATCATCCAATTTGGAATTGCAATTGAGATGCCAATTATCTTCATTTCTATTTATTATTATATTGGTGGTTAAAAGCAGTGCAATAAAGCAACAAAATTAAATAAAATACGTAAAATTGAGAAAGAAAGAAACAAAACTTGCATTATTTATGAATGATACAATATATGTAAAATATTCAGAAATATCAGACAAATTGAATTAAGAAGTACATTTACCAAAGTTCAAGGATAGAAGGTCAATATACATAAATCAATTTTATATGTATATTCCAGAAAAGTAATAGCAAGTGGAAAATGCATTTAAACATATAAAATCAATTATAATAACGTCAAAGAAACATTACATTCCTAGAAATAAATCTGGCAAAACACATGGGAGAAGACTGTTCTGAAAGCTCTAGACATTAGGAAGATATTTTAAAGAACAAAAAATTATAATATGCCATGTTCACTGATGATAAAACACAATATTCTAAAGATGTAATTTCTCCCAAAATGAATGAATATATTCAACACAGTTCAAAATCTCTGCCAGTGTGTGTGTGTGTGTGTGTGTGTGTGTGTGTGTGTGTGTGTGTGAAAACTGACCAGGGGAAAATAAAATGTACCAGGAAATATGAAGTCATGAATACCCAAAGCAATCACGAAAATAAAAAGTAAAAATGGACCACTTCCAGATATGAAGATCTATTATAAAGTAATACTAATTAGAAAAGCATAGATGAAATGAACTATAAAGTTGAATAGAGAGCCCAGAAAGAGACCTAATCATATACAACTCCATGTAGTGTAATAACAGTGACAATGCTTATGTGAAAATCAATTTTCGACAGAATGCAGATCAAGATTTAACATATGAAACAGTAAAACATTGAGAAAAAACACAGAAGATTTTTCTAGTTGAGCCTGAGGTAGGCAAATATTTCTTAAGCAAGACATACAATTGCTGACCAAAAGAAAAATAATTCATAAAATGAACAATATTATACTCACAGAACTTCTGTTCCTCAAGGTATACTTCATGGTGAAAGGGCAACCCATAGAGTGGGAGGTGCTGTTCACTATATATTCATATATATGATACAGAATTCTTAATTGTAATGTATAAGGATCTCTTTCAAATTAATAAGATAAAGTAATGCAACTCATCATTAGTCATCAAAAAATGCAAATCAAAAGTAACATACTGTATTTATATACAACCATCAGAGTGGCTGAAATGAAATAGATAATGCCAAACTGGTAAGAAATTAAAGTATCAGAGGCTTCAAGTGAAGGGGTATATAGAAGTATTTGTACAATTCACAAAACCCTTAGGCAGTATTTACTAATGCTGAACACATGCATAACTTGTGACTCACTCCTGGGTACATCACCAAAGCAATGGCCAGCAGATTTCTCAGCAGACTATCGCAAGGACAAAAAACCAAACACCTCATGTTCTCACTCATAGGTGGGAACTGAACAATGAGAACACGTGGACACAGGAACGGGAACATCACACACCGGGGCCTGTTGTGGGGTTGGGGGAGGGGGGGAGGGATAGCATTAGGAGATATACCTAATATTAAATGAAGAGTTAATGGGTACAGCATACCAGCATGGCACATGTATACATATGTAACAAACCTGCACATTGTGCACATGTACCCTAAAACTTAAAGTATAATAAAAAAAAAGAAAAAGTAAATAAATGTCCAGCATGCGCCTGCTAAAATGTTTTTTATGGCACTACTTAGGCTAGTCCAAAATGCCTATTAACAACAGACTGAATAATAAATGTATGTTCATTCAGCAGAATACTATCCAAAAATAATAATATGTATCTTACGAGTACACAAAATATAAATGAATCTCTCAAAGAAAATATTGTTCAAAGGTGCTAGACACAAAGGATTATATTTTGTATTATTTTGTTTACATAAAATATTCAAACTAGAATGACAAACTTATATCTTCAAAAGTCAGGATAGTGTTTATCTTTGCTGGTGGGGAAAAGTGACTGGTGAGTGGAAGAGTACAAAATAGTCTTCTGGGAATTTGCCAACATCCTGTTTTTTAAGCTAATTGATACATACCCAGGTGTGCTGAATTACTCATTTATGATGCAGACACTTTCAATTTAATAGCTTAGCCAATTAAGTTATCTCTGTCCTGGTACAGTGTGCTTTCATTATTGGTTTTGCCCAAATATTAAATATGGACATATAAATCATGTCTATTAATATCTCTACTATGTTTGATATGTATATGCTCAAAGACTTCTAATACTGTAATATATAGATGGTGGTTGCAATCTTTGAGGTGGCAGAAATCACCCAGAAAGGAATAATACTGTAAAAAAAGAAGCTCAAGAACTAATTCCTTGGAAACAGCAGGGAGGCTAGAGTTTAGTCCATAACTATAACTAGTGCTTTTAAAAGAGACAGCAACATCAAACAGAGACAAGCCATACTCAGGTAACGATGAGAAGCTTCAGTAACCATATTCCAATAAGTTAGAGAAAGAAAAAGGAAATTCTTAATTCTACAATTATCATCTTTAGTTTCTGTTCAACCTTTTCCATCTGCCATGTCTTATTTCAGAGCTAATTGAGTGTCCAATTTTCCATCTCATTATTTCAATCCACCTTTCTGGAGAGTATATAAAAACAAATGCATAATCAATTCATTGCCAATACTCAAAACTCTTCAAATATTGCTCTGTTGCACATAGGACAGAGTACAAATTGAAATCCGTTAGATCAGTTCAAGAAGTGTTTCAGTATTTGGCCTTTACTACACCAGGTAGATTAACGGCTTGTCTTATATTGCTCTCACATACAGATTACATGATTTTGGCGTAAGAACTACTTACATTTAGATCAATTGTGTATTCAATGAGTTTATTCTTTCTGACATGAGGCCTGCCTTAAGACAAGTGTCAATTCAAGGCTCATCTTCCTGACAAAGCTTTACCAGACCTCATTTTACAGCACTCCACATTGCAGGTAATACTGCAACACTGATCACTGTTCATTCCACTAGATTTAATATTTAATCCTCAGTCTCCAGATTTCAAAAGTCACCTTTGTATCCTGAGTTTCCAGCTCTATATCTGGCACATGGGAGGTTAAATGTGCCTCAGTTTAGTTAGGATAGGTTTGGCTGTGAGAAAGACCTAAAAATTGTGGCATAAACAATACAGACATTTTTTTTCCTGACATGAAACATTTGAAGAACGGTAATGGGGGTTGCTGTTACGGTTGCTTAGTTCTATGTCCTCTCAACCCCTTGTAACTTCTCTGTTGCATGTGGCTCCCATTCACAAAGTTATTCTAGGATTCAGGAAAAGAGAAAAAGGCTCTTTAAATTTCATTTAAAGGAAAATATCACAAGTCCTCACAGAGCGTTTTCATTAAAACTCCATTTGTCAGAATTTCCTCCCATGGGGACTTTCCCATTCATAAGGGAAGCTAGGAATATAGTGCTTATCATCCTAAGTCTCCTCACTGCTTTTCCTCAACTGCCTCCTCTTCCACATCTCCTCTTTCTCCTTCTTACAATTTAACTCACTTTGGGTATTAGGGTTCTCCTGAGAGACAGAACCAATAGCACAGATAGACGGTAGGTAGGTGGATGGATGGATGGATGGATGGATGGATGGATGGATAGATAGATAGATAGATAGATAGATAGATAGATAGATAGATAGATAGAAACAAACATAAGTGTGAAGTGATTTATTAGGGGAATTGGTTCATAGGATTATGGAGACTGGAGTCTCACAACAAGCTGTTTGCAAGCTGGAGACCCTGGGATACAGGTTGCCAGCCTCACTCCAAATCTCAAAGCCTCAGAAGCAGAGAAGCTGAAGACCTGAGAAACTGGGGAGGGTGGGGGAGCAGGGAGTTGGGGGCTCTGCTGTAAGTCCAGGAGTCCCAAGGCCAGAGAACCTAGAATTCTCATGCCCAAGAGCAAGAGGAAGAGAGAGTCCTAGCTCCATGGCAGTGAGAGCTGAAACCCTTTCTTACTATTTTGTTCTCTCCAGGCCACCATCCAATTGGATGGTCCTGCCCACATCGAGAGCAGATCTTCTTCACTCAGTCCACAGACTCCATCACTCTCACAGATACATCCAGAAGTAATTAATGCATTAACAGTTCTCTAGGTATTCCCTAAACCAGTCAAGTTGACCCCCAAAATTAACGATCACACTTCCTTTTCCTTTCCCTCCTCTCTCCTCCTACCTTTCCCTCGTCTCTCCTTCTACCTTTTCCCCTCTTCAGTTTCTCTTCACCAAATCCCTCCAGTCTGCCCAGCCACCTATCCTAAATCTTCCTGGAGCAGTGAAACATAAGTGATGTCGATCAACAGGAAGACATATCTGAGTATACTGAATTGAAGAAGATGAGTATTAAAGTTAAACAATGTATATAAATACATTTTATGCTGGTAGATACATTACCATATAGAGTCAATTACAACCTAGTATTTAATTCTCTAATCTTTGCTCTGTCAGAACTTTGTAAACTAATATAACTGGATAAAAATCTCCATGCTGATTCACTTAATCGATATTTTTTACCATATAGTAATTTAATAAAATTATAAATGATTCATATTTAATATTTACTTCAATATACATATAATGCTTGGTCACGTGATTTCTCCGTGATTCACGATGGCTGGTTATTTATCTTAAGTAAATGTATGACCAAAACAGAATGTTATTCCTCTTGCAACATTAATATTTTCAATGGCAATTTGGAGATACTGGATTTGACAGCCTTGGGCAGATTTGCCCACGGTTAGAAAGATTCGGCCAAAGTATCTGTTGCCATGGTAGTTCGCTGTAGGGTATCCTGCTATACTGTCTATTTTATTATTCTTGTGGAAGCTAAGTTACTTTTCAAGAAATGAAAAACATTTTGGAGGATCCTGCCTTTGAAAGAAAATAAAAAGTAGGTACAGGCAGTTAAAATGAATTTTTAAAAACATTGTGCTAAAACACCTCCTTGACAATGTGTTACACACACAAACACATACACACACACCCCTGAGAAATAAGAATGTCATGTATTTTGATGATTCTATTTCAACTTAAATAACATTCTGTCTCTTTCAAAATTGAAATTGTTTGTTATTTCAAACTGCATATATACACATGAAATCTTAATGATATTAAACATCCCATGATATCTTACAGGCTAGTGATTCAAAGACAAATTTAAGTTAAATTTACAAGGAAATATTATATAAATGCATATAATAGTTATTCAGTTCAAGCAATTTTCAAAAAGCAAATATGCCCAGGGAATCAACACTCAGATCAATCAATAATAGAATACATATACCCTCTCAATCACTACTCCACCACGGAGGGAACCAGCATCTTGCTTTCTATCAGGATTGAACATTATTCATAATAATATGTAATATAGGCAAGCATAAACTATTATTGATTCCTCTTTTAAGAATAAGTGTGGCTCAGAATTTTACGTAAGATTTGTTAATACATGAAAGGTAGCACTTGAAACAAAAGCTTCTGAGTTACTAAGAGGGAAAAAAGAACATGAGAAAATTATTACAAAACAGCATGTGGTCAAGTATACATACACATGCCTTTTTCTTATAGGGTAAAATAAACGATGAGGTTTTTTTTCTTTCTTTTTTTTTTTTTGACGGAGTCTCACTCTTTCACCCAGGCCAGAGTGCAGTGGCGCTGTCTCGGCTCACTGCAACCTCCGCCTCCCGGGGACGCCATTCTCCTGCCTCAGCATCACTAGTAGCTGGGACTACAGGCGCCCTCCACCGCGCCCGGCTAATTTTTTGTATTTTTTGTAGAGGCGGGGTTTCACCGTGTTAGCCAGGATAGTCTCGATCCCCTGACCTCATGATCCGCCTGCCTCGGCCTCCCGAAGTGCTGGGATTACAGGCGTGAGCCACCGCGCCCGGCCAATGATGAGTATTTTTAAACATTATTCTGAATGATGTTAGCAGATCCAATGCCCTGCTTCACTCTGCACGTAGGGAGGATCATGTGCTAGGCCAAGCAAAGGCTTGCTGTTGTGTTTCTTCACTTGCTGAGAGAGAAAAGTTCTAACAGAATGGGTCTAAAAGAAAAGCTGAGTTTATACAAATATTTTATTTTTATGTGTATTATTGCTGAAAATATGAGTCAAAAGTGAAAGGCATATAGAATGATAAACTCTAATATAAACACTAATACTTCTGGATAAACAGTTAGTTCCCTACCACACTCTATGTCCTCATTTATTTTAATGTGCTCCAACTTCCAAAAAAGCATCATATCATTTCGGATGCTTCCTTCTGCCCATAGTTAATTGGATCCAGTGCTGACCCAAATTATGTCAGACTCCATTTCTAAAGTACATTTTATCTAAGCTGCAAGATCTTAAAAGGGAGGGCTGTGACCACTTGAAATGAAGATCTTCCAGTATTGGTGTCAGGGTGGACATCTTCCATCTGTGTACCACGCACAAATAAGCATAATGTAGGCACCAAACAAATGATCACAAAAATAAACGAAAACACTGTGGACTACTAAAATCCATAGGAAGTACACATTTACTTAAAACTCTCTGTGACTTTCTTTTATTGAGAAGAATTACAGATAATTTCCTCAAATCCAGAGCTACTTGCTCAACTTATTAATAATTTGTAGAGTGTTATAGTAGTTTTGGGAAAGGAGACTTACCTGGTGATGATTTTTAGTTGTCATAAAATCCTCATCAGTTTTCTGGTATCAAAGAGTTAAAATTTTATATAGCAATATTACAGAGTGAGTGGGACCACGTTTCTTTTAGAATTAAGAATATTTGGTCTGGCACAGTGACTCATGCCTGTATTCTCAGCACTTTGGGAGTTTGAGGCGGCCAGCTCACTTGAGCTCAGGAGTTGGAGATCAGCCTGGGCAACATGGTGAAACCCTGACTATTCAAAAAATACAAACATTGTTCAGGTGTGGTGGTTTGCACCTGAAGTCCCAGCTACTCAGGAGGCTGAGGTGGGAGGATGAGGTGGAAGGATCACTTGAGCTCTGGAGGTGGGTGTTGCAGTGAGTCAGTTGCACCACTGCACTCCAGCCAGGGCAAGAGAACCAGACCCTGTCTTAAAAACAAAACAAGCAAACAAAAAGAATAATTAACAATAAATGTTGATTTTTTTTCACAAAGAACTTTGAATCATGTAGGCAAATAGAAGTCCAGAACTACCTTAATATTTTAAAATCATAAGTGATATAAATATCCTGATACTAAAATGAAAGGTACATTAAAGAATGAGAAAATAAAATCTAAATTCGAAATTTAATTCCAGAAAACTAAGCTAATAAGACTTTAATAGTAGCCAATCTTTTGTATTAATCACTCAGAAAAGAGGAGACATTTGATTGTTTTATGATTGAAATAACATAGCATGTCAATTACACTTCTTACCTAAAATGTTTTTTTGAACCCGGCTGCAGTGGTTCATGCCTGTAATCCCAGCACTTTGGGAGGCCGAGGCAGGCGGATCGCTTGAGGAGAGGATTTTGAGACCTGCCTGGCCAACATGGTGAAACCCTGTCTCTACTAAAAACACAAAAATTAGTCAAGTGTGGTGGGGCGTGCCTACAATCCCTACTACTCAGGAGGCTGAGGCAGGAGAATTGCTTGAACCTGGAAGGCCGAGGTTGCAGTGGGGCAAGATCATGCCACTGTACTCCAGCCTGGGTGACAGAGAGAGACTCTGCCTCAAAATAAGTAAATAAATAAAAATATAAAATAATATAAAATTTTTTTTTGAGAAACAAAGCACTAATATTATATGCCCACTTTGTTTTTAGCATTAAGTGGCCTTACTACCATTTTCTTATAAGTTCTAAGTTTCATATTCTAACTTCATTTGCTTTGTATTGTCTTTATGTATATCCTAGTATCTACAAGAGATTTTATAAAAATAATAAATAAATACAAACGATTCATTTTCTAATTAACTTGTTAGTTTTCAAAGATAATCTCAACCATTCCCTTATCCTCTTCTCCAAAATGAGAAAGTACAATTTAATTTTGTTTGGGCTTCAAATAACAGAGAAAACTCAAGGCAGTGAGTAAAATTACTTGATACTTCAATGGCCCACATAGATATCTAAAAATGATCTTTCATATGGTATATTAGTTATAGGTGATGCAAGCAAAATTAAGTTTCTAGTTGTGTAAAGAACTTATTCCACAAGAAATAGATGCCATTCAATTTAAACTGTCTCAATGAAGTTATGTAATCAAACAAAAAGAAATAATTGGTGGTAAACACAAACTCTCCAGTGTGCTGGAATAGGCATACTTATTCTATGTTTTTGAATACTCTTGCCTCCAGTTACTACACCACCTCTAGAAAACATTCATTCACCTTAAATTTCTTCGTCTATAGAGCACATTGGCTCAATGGATATAAGGTTGTTCATATTTTCAACTTCAGTTGAGAATCTGGTTCATTAAAGACCTCAACACAATATGTATATATGGTCTATAAATAGATTGATAGAGGATAGTTAGAGGGTAGATGGAGGAGGATAGTTGGGTACATAAACACATGAAACTATTTGTTGTATCTGAACCACAGAAAAATTATGGTTAAAAACTAATACATGTTTTTTGACAAGCAAGATTTACTTTTTGGAAGAGGGCTTTGTAGGATATGAATTTCACTTCAATCTTTTTCACTTTAGTGGTGACTGGATCACAAAAATGATGTATTTATGGATAAAATATTTGATATGACCTCTAGAGTTTAAAATACCAAGACTCTGCTGAGTAAGAATAATACTGCCTGTTATATATTTACAAAGAATAAATACACAAAACCTTTTATAGTGAGAAGAAATAAGAAGAAATAATATAATAAAATGCATAATCCTAAAAGTGTAAATCTTTTATATCCATTATATGATTTAACTTTAATAATCTTTTATTTCTAAAACTTGAAATAACTTTTGAAAGAAGCAATGCACTATCCTCAAAATGTTTTAAATGATAACTTGGTAGACTATTATGCAGCTCTTAAACATGTTGATTATGCAGATTATGCAAAAATATGAAGAATGTTAATGAAATTATGTTAAGTGAAATAAAAATATATACATTGTGTTTGCACACAACATGCTAATTCTAGCCTCCATTTCTGTGGTTTTGATTTCATTACTTGGAATCCTGCAACTGGCACTACTTTCAGCCTAGAAAATTCCCACTTACACTTTAAAACTTATTTTAGGAATCAATCACTATTACTGAAATACTTATTCATTTTCTGCTACTCTACCTGGTAAAGAATTTATCATTATACTTGTCACATTGCATGGTGATTATCCATGTAAAGTCTTCCTTGCCTCTAGAATATTATTTTCCTGAAGGCTGTAATTGCCTTTTCCATGCTTGTAACCCTGTTGTATTACAAAATGCCTGACATGATACTCAGCATCTTGGCGATTAATCTATTCAATAAACCACAGTTTTGCCAGTGCTGGCCTCTCTAAGCAAGTGCCAGACTTCTGGTAAGCAAAGCTGCTACTGCCACTGCACTTTTGAGTGATGTTGGAACACACTAAGAAAAGACAGGAGATAACTTCCATGCTCCCAGCCTTATCATCAGGCCATTCCTGGAAAAATTCTTTTGAAATCCTTAGAGCTAGCTAACCCCACAGTGTATCATAACCCTGCAGTTTTATCAATGCCCAGAATACCAGAGAAAAACAGAAACTGATGAATGAAAGTGATTACTTGAAAAGCTTAATGAATTAATAAACATATTTCCATACAATTTATTTAAATGTTAATCCCAAACTTGTCTATAGTAGTCAAAAATTAGATAGAAAACAATCCAATATTCATTAACAGAAGAATTGATTTAAAATTTGGTTATATTCATAAAATGACATCTAAGCCACCAATAAAAGGAAAAAATCATAAACACACACAAAAAAAATCTTCAAAACATAATATGAGCAACAGAAACCGACAAAAAGGGTACATCCTATGTGCATATAACTATCTAGATATATATATAAAATATATCTAGATATATAAATATCTAGATATATATATCTAGACCAAAAAAAAACTATGGTGAAATAAATCAGAACATTGATAACCTCCTGGGTTAGAGATAGGAGTCTGGGAAAGAGACTAGCAATCTTTTTGAGGTAATTAAAATGTTTTGTATTTTGAGGGGGTTGTGGGTTACATATGCATTTGTCAAAACTCATTTTCGGTGACTTTGATGTCTATTCAACACACTAAATGTAAACTGTACCTAGATTCCAAAAATGAAAATAATATCTAAGTGTGCTTAATATGGAGTACTGGAGAAGCTTATTCCAAAATGTATATGAATACTCAAAACTGTTTAAAAAATTAAATTGCTGTACTTACACATGTTGTTTTAAAATGTACTGTGAAGAAACAGTGGTTAAGAATATGTAGTAGTGGAGTAAGAATAGTCAAATGGACCAAGGAACAAGAATAGACAGTTGAGGGAAAAAACACATGTATATGATGGATAGATATTTGAACAAAGTCAAAATGGGAATTTAGAAGAGGAATGAACATAATGTATTTTGAATAAACACCATGGAATCACTTGCATATCTGTATGAAATGACGTGAACTTCAAAAACTACTTCATTTGATACACAAAGAATAATTCAAACCTGAATCTAAAAACAAGACACAGAAACATTTAAGATGAAAACTTAGACAAATATCCTTAGTAACTTGGAGTAGGCACGAGTTTCTTATACAATAAAAAACAAAGCATTAGATACAAAAGAAAAAAGCTAAATTGAGGTTGATAAACGTTAAAAATTTCTGCTCCTCAAAGGACATCATTAGGAAAATGAAAAAAGTTTCAGAAACTAGAAGAAAATTTTCATTATATGTGTGTGTGTGTGTGTGTGTGTGTGTGTATACATGTATATATATATCTGTCAGATATTACATGTCAAATATTTTATATATAAAGTATATATAAGAATATATATATCATATATAAGAAAATGTCCATTATATATATAAAACATATGTGTCAGATATTTTATATCTATATGTAAAATGAACATTTTCTGTGAGATATATATATGTCTGTTGGGTAGAAAACAGATATATATGTCAGGTGCATATATATAAATACTGTCATATATACATAATCTCTCTATATATAAATATCTGGATATTCACATATATATTTTTATATTTCTATATATATTCTATATATATATTCTATATATATTCTGTCATATATATTCTATATATATTCTGTCATATGTATTTTATATTTCTATATATACTCTGACAGATATGTACGTATCTCTCTCTCTCTCTCTCTATATATATATATATACACATATATATATAACTGACAGAGCATTTGTATACCCAGAATATCTGAATGCTTCCTACAACCTAATAATAAAATAAAACAATCCAATCAAAAAGGGGGAAAAAAGACATGAAAAAACACTTCACAAAGCAACATAATTCAGTGGTTAATGAACACATGAAAAGGTGCTCAACACCGTTAAACTTCAGGGAAACCAGTGAAAAAGCATTTCACATTTTCTAGAAGGGCCAAAGCTAAAGATTGAGAGTGTGTTAGAAAGAATGCAAACCAATTGAATATTTTTAACAAATCACTGTAAAATTTATGAGTATAGAAAACTGTTTCAAAGATTTTTTTATAACATCAAACATACACTTATCAAATGACCTAGAAATTCTATAGCTACTTACTTAATGAAGAAAAACAAAAGGTGATATCTACAAAAAGACACATACAAAAATGTTTATAGATTCCTCATTCATAATGCCAAAGCAGAGAAAAATTAAATGTCCATATACATGAAGATGTATGATCCCAACCCAATAGTCCTATAGATAGTTATTTTTCAATAAACAGAAACTGACCATTCTGATCTTAAAGCTTGAAAATTATATTTGTTTTATCTGAGTTCCTTCCTCAGGGAAAGATTTTCAGGCCTCTCAAAAGAAGTATCAAAAAACTGAAACTCATCAGATAACTGCATCTAGACAATGAGATGTCGGACCCATTTTTCATCATGATTGCTTCCTGGTTCCTCCCTAGTCTCTGCTTTCTTACACATTATTATATTTCTTCTCTGCTATATAAACCCCTAGTTTTAGTTAATCAGGGAGATGGATTTGAGACAGATCTCCCATTTACTTGGCTGCAGCACCTGATTAAAGCCTTCTTCCTTGTGTCAGTGATTGGTTTTCTGTGCAGGAGCAGGCGGACTTACACTGAACCCCTGGTGTTTCAGTAACAAGGATAGATATGTTTTGATAAACAATGAATATTTATCTGGTATAAAATGGGGCATGATACTGATGCTCCCGACAGGTACATTAAAGTTTCACTGTCTATATATTATAGTCAAGGACAGGCAAAACTAATTTATGATGGGAGATACAAAACCTGTAGTCTCTCCTGATAATGGTGGAAATTTCTGGGGAAGGGGGACTAGGAAACTTCCTGTGGCTAAGGAAAAGTGATATATCTTGGTTTATAGGGTGCATATACAGGTGTATACACTTGTGAAAACATAGTATACATTATTTATGATGTGTACCTTTTATTAAATGTATATAATATCTCAATAAAAATCTTCATATAGATTATTGTTTTGCTCCCTGCAGAATATGTTTAGAGCCTCTGACTACATTTTCTACCAATTAATTTAAAAAGAAAAACTAGATACAGTAATGCTGAGCATTTTTTCAATTAAAAGGGTAAGTGGATTTTTCTTATTTCTCATTATCATCTACCTTGATCCTGTTGGAGATCATTTTTATTGATTGATTGAATTAATTTTTTTATTTCATTTTTTTTGAAGAAATGGGGTCTCATTCTGGCTCCGGGCTGGAGTGCAGTGGCACAATCATTGCTTACCACGGCCTTGAAAACCCAGGCTTAGGCACTATTTCTGCCTCAGTCTCCTGAGTAGCTAGGATTATAAGCACATGCTGGGATTACAGGCGTGAGCCAGGGTACTCAGCCCCTAGTGGTTACTTTTAATTTTTTAAAGCTAGTGTTTTAGTTGCTATGAAGTGATACTATTCTTTCAAAAGTCTAGCTGGAACTATGAGAGTCAAGGCAATATTAGTTTTTCTGTGTGATGTTTTGGTTTGATTTTGTACCTATACTTTTTGTTAACTATTATTTTCATTACTTGGGTGCCACACTGCCTGCAATCTCCAAACAGAGGAAACTTTTGCTCACTCCTTTATCTCCTTATACAAAGAATTTGCTTTTGGAGAACCTAAATGTTCACTAAACTAATTAGAATCAAGATGGCATGGATTCTTGGTGGGTTAGTCATATTAGGGCTCTACAAAAGGACTGAAGGCTACCCTAAGGACATACACAAACAAGCAAACGATTCATAAACCTAGGGCCAACCTGAGTATAATACAATTTTTGGAAACTGGAAATTTCTGATTAAGGTGGTTTGAATAATTAACAAGCAGTATAAAGTTATGGAATGAATATACACTGTCTGTGGAATCCAAAAGAGTTTGATTTAATGCTAGTTTTGTCATTTATTGTGTGATCTTTCCATGTTTAAGATGTATTGACTAACATTGAAGGTAACAATGTTACTGAAACACCAGGGGTTTGGTCTAAGTCCTGCTGCTCACCACACAGAAAGCCAATCACTGAGACAAGTATTGCTGGAGACAACAGCTTTAATCTGGTGCTGCAGCCAAGGAGATGGGAGATTAGTCTGAAATCCATTTCCACAACTAACTGAAATTGGGGGTTTACATGGCAGAGAAGAAATGAATCCATGTGTTGGAGAACAGGAATTAGGGAGGAGTAAAGAAGAGAGTTTGGTCAACAGGATGCAGGTAGTTAGATTAGGTAGTCATGATGGATGACAGGTCTGCATCTTATTGTCCAGGTGTGGTGATCTAGTAAATTTTAGTTCTTTGATACTATCTGAGAGGACCGATAGTTGGTTTCCTGAGAAAGGAACTCAGATAAGACAAATTTAACTTTCTTATGTTTCAAGACTGGGGATTGATTTTTATGTTTATTCAAAGGAGACCATAAACATTAGTACCATGGGACAATTGAGCTGGTTTCAGTGCCCCCCTTTCTATTTATCAATTCCTGAATCATGGAGAATCTGGTCATCAATATTTCTGTCTGCCTCAAGCTGGGGAGGGGCAGTGTGGACAACTCTACACATCACGGGTGAATATGGGCAATAAGCAAATCAGAGGTTAATCTTATACTATAATTTTCTTCTAAAACATAATCTCTCTCTCTCTCCAGTTCCCCACTTCCACCAAAGATAGATCTATTTTGCAGTCTACTTGCAAAATAAGCTTCAGTCCCACTGTACTTGGCCTGATTACCCACAAAAAGTTCAGTAATAGGCTCTCCATTGTCCAAATAGGCTCTCCTAAATTGGCTTTGCTGGAACCAAGGATCAGACTTGACCTCCACAGGCATCTTCAGCACAGGCAAGGATCCATCTGCACCTGCAGATACCTGTATGAATTGGGTGAACTCTTTTCTTCAGGCCTCAGCAACTTGAGATTCCTTGGCCCTGTCAGAAAGTGATGCTCTCCACTAACCACAGACAAGGAACCCTGCAAAGGAACTGTGTAGACGAAGTGCCAGGCCAGTCCTAAGGGGTTCTCATTGGCTGTATAAAGTTAGTATCAATTTCTCCAAACAGTCTGCTTATATCTGAAAACATGCCATTTCAGTCAAAGCCTAGGGAAAATAACCATTTCCTCCAACTTTGTCTTGTTATAAAAGAAAACAGATTTTTATTGAACTTATGCAAACAACTGCAGTTCCATGAATTCAGAATATTCACAAATAGTTTCTGAATTCTGGATAAATCAGGAAGAGAGAAATATGCCTAAAATTCTTCTAAAAAGAGTGTACTCTCCTCAGTTGTTAAAGGCTATAAATAACTCAAAAGAACATTTCCTCCAGGCTCTGAAAAACAAAACAGACTCAGCAATGTTTCAAAAAAGCTATAAAAATTATTTCTTTCCTCCATTAGTTCAGTCCACACAATCAACTCCTGCTCTGTTCATATTGGGTTATCAATCTTTATAAACACATTGGCCTTTTAAATCAAGTCCTGGAAGTTTTCTCTTTAGTCCAATGGCACAATCTCCAAAGTTATCAGAAACCCACATTCAGAAGTCCTTTTCATGAACTCCCCCAAAGAAGCAAGTCTTGGACTATAGCTGCTTATAAGTTGCTTTTTGAGAAGAATCAAAGCCAAAGAATTGTGGATGACAAAAGTCTTAGGACAAACACAATTGACAAGGAAATTTGGTTATTTCTGTGGCATACAAAAATTTAACATAATAATCATAATAATTACAACATGTATTAATACATATGAGAATTTCAGGAATCACATACAATACTGAGACAAACATTAAAAATACATTTATTTAAGTATAATCCAAAGAAAAGTAAACACCACCTCACATTTTAAAGTAATTTGACCATAAAGTAAGATCTCCTTAACCTTTCATATTTTTGTAATTTTCTATTGCAGAGAAAATCAATGCTCTAAGAAAATGTTCTTATTCTGCCACATGGGTCTAGGTGCTGGCCTTAAATCAGTGCACTTGGTATATTATTCTGAACTAATTTTGTCCCTCAAAATTGGCCCTTACATTCTCATGCACCCACCTCTTCTACAATAGTTCCTGAGCCTAGAAGGATTGAATAGTTTTCATTTCTGGCTTTGTGTCTCATGAAAGCAGTTCATTTTTATTATCATCTTCTCCCACGTCTAAAGACAAGGCTTTGATTGGCATCACTGTTCAAGATTTATCAGGAGTTGATGCCTTTTTCAAACCTAGGAGTCAAAGCCTTGCAACTTAACAGCATAAGGATTAGTAAATAGGACATTTTTACTGCAGAAATTCCTATCATTCTCTCCAACAATGTCACAAATTAAAATACTGTCATTTGGTGTCCAGTTGCAGCACTTCAAGCTATTATATTAAAGTGGTTAGGTTACTTCTTGCATATATCTAATTGCTAGCATTCTAGTTACAGAACTATACCAAAAGCATAAAAATGGGATAAGTCCTTTGGCAAACTTATCAAAGTAAGATCATTAACTTCTCTCCATAAAAAAATGGCAAATGCAAATATCAGCTTTGGAAGTTCAGTATGAGGACGAATAATCTCCTTTCACTTCAGTAGTACACAACAAAACAAGGGCAAAGTAAGAACAAACACACAATAATTCCTGTTCAGCTATTTTAAAAGTGTATTGTCACACATTTCCAAGATTGGTTTTCACATATAGTACTGATGGCTGATTAGGTAACTTTTACCACTAGAATCTTTAAACCAGCGCAACATGTGTTTTCAAGTACACATATGAAAACCCAACAGTGATAGAAGACTTGGGTCCAAACATCAATAGAATATTCTCATATTTGATAAAAGCTTAGGTTCAAAAATCACTAGAACATGTTTTTTTAAACTGCTACTTAATCCAAGTGAATGTCACTTAATTTTAACAATGGTAGGCACAACTAAAGTAGTTTGAAAGCAATCCCAATCAATATAATTTCGATAATGACAAGGACAATCTTTCCTGAATATTAAAACTTAGTACCCACATCAAAGTTTTCCTTCATGATTTGAAGGAAAAGATCTTAAGCCAACCCAAATTATTGATAGAATTGAGTTACCATGGAAATAAACACCACTTAAACATTTCTACTGTTACCTAGTTTTCTAAATAAAAAATATATAATGAACTATTTCTGTTCAGAACTTATAAATCCTTTATTTTTATGCCAGGAAACTTAACAGCTCTCTATATAAGAGATAAGCAAAGTCAATCCGATTTTAAATGGCTTGAGCAAGGTAGCTTAGGTATTTTAGGTAAATAGAGCAAATGATGAATTGTTGGAAATGCATAGGAAATGAAATGACTAATCATAGAACCAAATATAAGCCTTCCATTAGAAACTAAAAAACATAGATGGTTTTATATGTGTATATATAAGTAAAATCCAAAGGAGGACAAACATCAAATAAATTAAGATTAGAAGCAAAAACAAATAAACAGTAAATCAACTCCCAATTTTTCACCTACTCAGTTTACCTTGGAGGCTAGTGTTACCTAGGGCCTAAAAAAAAAAAACACAGGATGGATTTTTTTTTTATTGATATGCAAGTTAATGTCTGTAAGTCCACTAACACCACTATACACTTCATGCAATTAAGAAACATATTTCAGACATGTGAATGGTAAGTACTTTAGTACATGCAGAATAGCAGATACGGTGTGAAACAAAGCAATGCAAACATCTATGTGAAATTTGGCTCCATGCTAAATCTGGCTCTATGCTTAACTATATTAAAAAATGATTGCCAAATTTCAAATGTAATTTGTATAATATTTTTTATTTTAACTTCATGAATGCTAATAGCTTTAACTATGAGCAATATTAATTAGCCAAATTTCTCTAATTTTTTATTGGATTTTCAAGAGTATTTTATTACATAAATTTTTTCAATTTTCTATTTTCTCTGTATGTGCATGAAGATAGACACAGAGAAACAGGGAAAAAAAACTAAATTGGACATGCTTGGACTTTCTGTTTTGTCCTAATTTTTAAAATAACCAATTATTTTATTTTAGGACAAAAATTTACCATAGTCCATAATTTGAATCAACCTTTAGATAACTGCTGAATTAGACAAAATTATTATTTTTGTTAATAAGAACACATATTTTTGGCATATTTTTTATACAGAATTATACACTAACTAGAAATCTTATTGTTAGTAGCTTTAAATTTTAGTGAAAACCTAGTAAGCAAGAAGTCTTGAGTTATCAGATGTTAGTATTTTATAGATGAGAACATTCCACAATTTTTAGAAGCATATTTCCCAATATCATGACCTTTTATTAATTAGAAATGACCCAGACACCTAATGAACATCAAAAATAATTTTAAATTTAAAATTATACAAAAAGTAAACCTATAAGTTGTTTCATTTACATGTACTCAATTCTTTCATTTTTTAAACAGGTTATCTAGATTATTTATGAGAACTAAGATATTAGACCAAACTAGTCATTTCCTTGTTAACTATTTTGTAACCTGTGAATTGTAAGTGTCCATCTTAGTAAGAATTTTAAAGTTAAATACATGGGTATTTTCACTAATAACTCAGAAGATGAAGCTGTATTCATTAAACCAACAACATTAAATTAGTCTATTTATAAAAAAAATCACAGAAACAAAGATTATTTTTGTATTGGCTGGGTTTATAGATTTATAATCATCTGTGCCAAACTCTGACACCTCAAAATATCTAGCAGACACAAATATAAAACCAAGTTAAAAATATATACTGACAATTCCAATGACATTTAAATTTTTATTTTACCAGTACTTTTAAAGTCAACTTGTTTATTAAAGATTTACTTAAGTCGCATGAACTTGAAAATTGCTTGGACTTAATTTAGGAGTGCTCTTTTATTTATAAGCCAATTTGGTAGACACAACATATGAAATAATATACATACATGTAAACACATCTAAACATATATACATACATGCAAACAAAGATCCAATAACTTTTACCTTGGAACTCTAGCCATGAGATACCAATACAAACTCACAGGCTTATGAACACGTTCACATGGCTAAACTTCTTTTGACCTGATAGGCAATCCAATGAAGGTTGTGAACCAAAGTTTTGGGTATAGCAGTTTCTGTGGCATTTTGATTTTTAAAGGCTAAATCTCTCCACACTCCAAGGATGACTGGAGCCAGAAAAAACCACAGAAGAACATCATGTACTAATCAAGCCTGACCTTGCTTTGAACAACAGCATAAAAGCCTGAATACACAAAACTCCACCCTGCTTTGCCATTCAGCAGCAAAACGAGGCACATGGAGAGGCCAAACTTATCCAGATTCAAAGATATGAGGCCAAACAGTATTACATAAGATTATCAGCTTATCAAATTCTTACTTCCCATGGCTATATTGACATACACAAACAATCACCAAAATACAATCCAAGTGCTGCAGCAACCAACAAACCCCAAGAGTGTCCAAACTGAAACAGCGGAGCTTCCTCTTTCCATGGGGTGAGCTTGATGAATTTGCACACCAAAATTCTTCAGACTGTCCCTAGTTGAGAGGAGCAATCCTGTTGTCTGGTACCCACAAAAGACACTCACTTGCTCAGAAACACATGCAATTACTAAAAAGCCCCCAAGAGTGTCCAAACTGAAAACAGTTAGCGTGCTTCCCTCTCTTGGTCAGGTGGGCTTGTTCAACCTGCAAACAGAAATGTATTTAAAAGTTTCCCAAGTAGAGAGGAGCAGATCCTGCTGTCTGGGCCCAGAGAGGACACTCACCAACTACCCAGAAGCAGATGTTGAATTTCAAAGGCTGTTCTTCCCGGGCAATCAGGAATGTGGTTGGGGCCAGCAATGCCAGGGCCAAAAAGAGAGGCAGAAACCTACATCCAGTCCTAAAAGGACAGGCAGCTACTTAGAAAGGCTTTTAAGCTCCTCCAGCCTGCAGCAGACAGCAAAGCCACAAGCAATGCATTCCAGATCAGCGTACCAAAATGCCAGGGGTTTGGTCTAGGTCTTGCCAATCACTGAGACAATGAGTATTGCCAGGGAAGAAGGCTTTAAC
Organism: Homo sapiens; assembly: GCF_000001405.40. NCBI lineage: Eukaryota > Metazoa > Chordata > Mammalia > Primates > Hominidae > Homo > Homo sapiens. The sequence goes on along the minus strand of NC_000006.12, from coordinate 141,403,203 downwards.
CTGGTGCTGCAGCTGAGGAGACGGGAGATTAGTCTCAAATCCATCTCCTCAACTGACTGAAATTTGGGGGTTACATGACAGGGAAGAAAGGTAACCATTTGTGGGAAATAGGAAGGAGTAAGGAAGAGAGGTTGTCAACAGGAAGCTGGTGGTCAATTATGCAGTCATGATGGGTGAAGGTGTGGCATCTTATTGTCCAGATGTGGTGATCTGGTAAAGTTCAGTTCCTTGATACTATCTGAGAGTCCTGATCGCTGGTTTCCTGAGAAAGGAACTCAGACAAATGTAACTCTCAAATGTCAAGACTCGGAGGGTCAATTTCTATGTTTATTCAAAAGAAACCATAAACATCAGTTCTATGGGGCAATTAGACCAGTTTCAGAAATATTCCTATTTTATAATTGTGAATATTAAACGTAGTACTAAATATAAACTAGGTGGCACATAATGGAGTCCAAATAAATACTCATTTCCTTTACCAGGGTTATGCAGTCAGGAGTCAGTGTAAGGTGACAAGGGGAGGACAGGGTACAGATCTGCTGTTTAGGCAGTTGCTAAATATAAACAGATCCACTTAATTTAGCCAAGAGTTAAAATTGACAGTAATAGAGTCAGATGGGATGTACGGGAGATAAGTATACCAAGTATTTGGCTTAAGATTTTTCCTCCCTTTCTGGTTTCTGACTTTTCAAATAACACTGAAATTTTTTTTGTATAAATTTAGACTAGGGAAAATACAAACTATAAAATACTCGGTAGGTTATTTGAAGTGCTGGCAATCAGTGCCAAAGTTTTTGAAGTAAATTATGGCTTTCAAAATAAGCTTGGGTTTAAAAATAAAGACATTTTGCACCAAAACTTCCAAGCAAGTATTGAAGATCCACAAAGGCTTTCATTGCAGAATTGCTTCTGGCCACATTTGCCAACAGCACTTTCTCTTCCTTCTATCCATGCCAATCTCTTTCTTTTGATTCTTAGATAGTTTTGTACATTAGAGAAACATTCTTATTGGCCTCATAAAAAATGAAGTCCCAGTAAAAAGGGAATTCATAGAACAGAGAAATAAATGAGCTTACAAAAGTCCACTGCAGTAATTTGAGTTGGCTCAGACATCAGTCATTTTGGCCCTTAAACATGAGAAGGGGAAACAAGCAAGGGATTGGATAAGCTCCAGTTTCCATGGCAAGGCAAAAGTGGGTGAAAGCGATCTGGTTATAGAGATGCGAAGGCGTGGGGGACTACTTAAGCACAGTGCTATATACACTGTATACAATGCATGAATGAGCATTTTTTTTACAATACAATGTATTAAATGGCATTGTTTTACAATCTATTACAAACTTAAGCATTTGTAAAATTGAATAGAAATTAATTACAAAAACCGATTAAGCATATTAATGTAATGACAATTTCAAAATGCTCTAAATGTTTCCAAATGCTCACACTCAATTATTGTACTTAATCCAAGGTAGAAAAGAAATAGTTCAGTGACTGGCATTAGTCCATGGATCACAATTTGAGTAGTACCGATCTGTAGGGCATACTAGTTTTAATCAAGGGTGAGCTAATAAAGCAACTATTTGAATTTTTTTAAAGGAAACAAAAGAGGACAAACCTAAAACCTCATTTGTAGTGTTTGCCAATTCTTATAATGATAAACTTCTTCCATGGCTGACTTCAAGCTCTCAATACAATGTTACTGAATGCAAGATGGAAAGAAAAGTGCAGAATCCACTCTTGAGCCTCCTGAGGACATCACTGGTTTAATACTAATTCAAGTAACGGGCAGAAGAACTTTTAGAGCCCATCCATCATGTCAGTGAAAAATGTGGCTGGCAGTGAAGTTTTGGAGAGTAAGATTGCAAGTACACGAACTTTTGCTGGGAAATGTGTTTGTTCTTAAGAGCTTTCATCACAAGGCAAGTTACTTTGTGCTGTCCCGGGAAAGAGATGAAGCAATAAGACCACCAGGTTGATTTGGAGGGTGGTAAAATCAGAAAGTTCAGAGAAATATTTTAATATTAGACGGGGTTTAGGATTACTCACTAGATAAATTGGTCAGAACCACACAGTGGTGTTTTTTTTTTTTGTTTTGTTTTGTTTTTTGTTTTGTTTTTTTTTTTTTTTTTTACCAGCTATACTCTATTCTCTTAACATACAGAATCTTATTTACTCTTGCCTTAAAACATCAGATAGATTTTGTTGTCCTCATTTTGCAGAAGGGCAATCCAAAACTAAGAGTGTTTGACAAACTTGCTCATGATTTCAAATCCAGAAAATGATAAAGCTAAGATTTGAAGTTTTCCTTCGGAACTCCGAAGTCCATCATCTTGACCTGAACATCATACTCAATTCTTAGAATGTACCCCATAAAGGAAGAGAAGTTGAAAGGAGACATTTTTTATGTGTTTTTACTTATCCAGGTTCAGTGAAGTTTCTTCAAGGGCCAAATAGGAACTCAGCAGAAATGGCTGATTGCAATTCAGCAAAACCTAGGATAAGTCACTTGCTGAGTGAAATGGTTATTAACTAACCTCTGTATGTCTTATTATTGCATCAGTAAAATAAAGATAAGTATAAAGGGTTGCTTTATATTTATTAAAACATTAATAACTCATATTAAAGGGTTGTTTTAAGGCTCAGATAAGATAATCATTGTGCACACCATGTAAGTGGTAATAAATTAATAAATAGTATTTTAATTATTTGATTATTATGATTATCAGCTGAGAAGTTAGGCTCTCTTGAGCCTGCAGGTGAGGTGTAGTGGATTAAAGTACAAAACGCAGAGAAACCAGAGGTAGGGAAATGAGCACTGATATAGCTTTGCCTTTGATGTCATAAAACATTGAGTGCTTGTTATATTCTTCCAGCGTTCTTTGTTCACATGCATCTAATCCATCTAATTGTGTTCAGAGGAGTACTTACAATAGTGGTAGAGAGAAAATATGTGTAATTTTTTCAATAACTCAGTCTTGTTTTTTCTTACATATCATTGCTCATGAGCATGATTTTTTAATACCTGAATATTAGAACAAATGGAATTATACAAGCTCCAAGTTTGAATTATATCAATACATGCAAGTGTTATGGTTAACTTATTCATGTATAAAACTAGTGAACCAATTCAAAATAGTTAAAAGGATATATGAAATGCCAAGGTCCTAGAGTTACAAAAATATAACTAGTTTTGTATTAATTTAACCTGCTGAATTGTGGTAATGTTAAGGAGAACAGAAAGCTAACACACTGTAGAAATTCTCTAATCTGTCTACAAGCCTCTTTGCTAATATACTTACTAAAATCAGCACTAAGCCGTATATTAAAGCAAAATAACATTAGTTAATTTCAAACTTCCTCTTATCTCATTTTTTTTTCAACTCCTGTCTTTCAGGTGCCAGGTGCTGACAAAAGTATGCCACTGAGGGAAATTTTCTATTGGAAATTGATTCTCTAAGAGCTTTTAGTTTCTTGTAATTAGCAAATATTGGGTTATGTGTTTCTTGGTATAATTAGATACATTATTATGTTTGACGCCCCTGTCAGTTCATAAGAGAGTCAAAATCTTCAAAGCTCTCCATAATCATCACTTGCTTTTTTGTACCTTATTTCAAATTATCATTATCATAGCACAACAAACAAAAGACTCATTTTAGATGTGTATATCAGAGTAAGAAAAATGTAATGGTTACTGCATGCACATATCTTTTCCTAGAAATATTCTTTTGGTTCAGAAAGAAAATCTCGTTAGGCTATTTTTAGTATAAAATTTAGGGCTCTGAAACCAATCCTAGGAGAATAGATATAGCTACCTACAGGAGCAGTTTTCTTATATAAAGGGACATAGTAAGCTCATGGTAACCCAATAGGGTGAAAGTGGAATAGAGTCCCTCCTCTTTTTCTCTTCCACCTTTGACTTCCTGCTGGTGTCTCCCATAGGTTAAAGCCAGCTTGCTGTCAAACAAAAAGGAGCCCTTGCAGGCAGTTCATACACGAGACGCTCAGTATATTGAGCAAGGGGACAAATTATGAAGAGGAATCAACAGGGACAAGCAGAAACATCTGCACAAATTAAGAGCTAAAAGCTCTGAATGAGAAATGAGTAAGAATGTGCTGATGGGGTCAAATCATCTGGAAAAGATTACAAACTGGAAAGTGGTTCTGAGCAACATACCTACAGGCTTTTGGGGACTACTGAGAAAGCAGGCTTATAAGAAATATATGACAGTAACGTGGCCAAAGGACTTATAATAATAGAGATGTATAATATTCATTTTGGCATTGTCATCATAGCTATTATGTAAGCTGGCTTCACTGCCACCACCATATCACTGTATATATCATAAGTAAAATTCTGCTACATAGACTTTTTAAAAAAACTTTCGTATATGGAGCAACTAAAAAAAAAAAAGAAAGGAAGGAAGGCTTTGGATGATGGTAAGTGAATGAAAAGAGACAGCAACAATCTGTAAATATGAGATCCTAGAGACACCACACACTGTGCCTCTTGAACCAACAAATTTCTTCAAGCATTCCCTAAGACATAAAAAGGGATGCTGCCGGGTTGTCTGTCCATGTGGAATTGGGATTGAGCTAAAATTTCATTTGTTATCAAAAGATGAAGCAAACCCAGTTGGCTTCCAGGGTGCTACATCAGTATTTTCAGATCTATTACAATATCCTGATGGTTAAGAGACTATCATTTTTAAGACTAAAGAGAAAAGATAAGAGTTTCTGAAGAATAGTGGAATCATATCGTTATTTCTAATAATTTGATGAACTCTAAGAATAAATAAAACATAATAAATATTTGGAGTGAAAAAGGGAAATTGATCATTGGCAGTTCCTCCCTCTTAATTTCCCCCAAATGCAGGGAGATGTAGTTCTATGTAAAGAAAATTTCACCAACAGAAGCAATTTGTCCAGGGCTTGTAATATTCTTGTGATAGCTTTACTTGTAAAAAATATATTCATAGAGAAGGTAAATTATTTGTGATTTTTTTCCAGGATCATACAAATATGCAATAAGTTTTGTTGTGCATTTGATGATCGTTGAAATAATCATAACGTTATTACAATTTTATTTGCTTTTATTAGGTTGCTGCAAAACTAATTGCAGTTTTCCAGTTTTGTTTTAATTGCAAAACTGTAATTACTTTTTTACCAATCCAATAAATAGAGAATAAGATGATTTCTAACATAAAGTGTATTAAACACCCACACTCTACTTCTTCACACTTGGCTTATGTACCACTTGGTAGATGTAGTAGGAATTTTGTGTCTAACGTTCTTATTATGAGGCCAAAGTTTTAGGTAGGTGTAGTACATAAATAAATGAAGGTAATATCAATATAAGGCCAGCAGACTCTGTAATTCACTCAGAATACAAACTGTTTAAACAATCATTTCACACAGGTGCAGGGTAATTAAATATATAGATACACTCAATAGATTGGCAAGATGTGGCTGTTTCTAAAATTGCAAAATTTATTTGATGAAATGATATCTTTTCTCTAGAGAATTTATTAGCATAGAGCAATATTCAGAAAGTTTTATATCAAAATCACACCACCAGTGAAACATAAGCCAAGTCAATTTCCAATGAAAAACGATGTTTTAAAAACCAATGATTACCAAGAGTTTCTAAGAGTTTAAGTAATAGCATGTTAATGATTTATTTATTTCATTGAGCAGCAAAAAACATTTCAAATGCCAATACTTTTCTTCTTTCTTTTTGGTTATTCTTATTATACAGACTTATTTTTCATTGGATTAAAAAAAAGCAACAGCCATCTTGACATCGCTTACTGAATGTAAATTTTATAGTGATGAATGATGATAGCTTTATTTGGAAAATATAATTTATATTCAAGGACAGAAGATACGAAGTTTTAAGATGGTGATAATCATAATTTTTCTTTAGTTACCAGAGAATTCCATAATCACATAACTCTGTGGGGAAAACAGTGGGAGGAAAATCACTAGTAAATTACTACTCCTATAAATTTCTTCAAGAATTGCACGACAAAATCGTCCTTTTGTGATTGCCAATAGTGGTGACAAGTAATCAGAGGAACTTGTGCAATAGTTGTGAATTTTCAGTAATTTTGCAAAAAAAACCCAATTTCTACTCTGAACAATATCTAAAATTTTATTATGAAAAATATTTTGTTTCTGTGTCAGGGGATATTAATCATTTTTTTTTTGGATTGCAAAATTCTCTTTAAGAAAAGGTAAACGTTTGGTCTTAATAAAATGTTACCATTTAGACAATTCAGGTTTCTAGAGAGAAATACTGAAAGTTAGACTGTATCCATTTACTTCAGTTCTCTAAAGAAATGATTTTTTTAAAATAATGTGGATTATCTGCATACACTGAATCATGGTTTTAAAATTCATTAATCTGGCTTCTACTCCACTTCAAATAAAAGTCATCAGTGACCTCCTGTTTACAAAATCATTTACCTTAATAGTAATAACAGTTTTTATGTTTGGAGCTCTAACAGTGTAAAATTCCTAAAACATTATATAATTGGGAATGATATGCATTTCTGTAAATATTTGATAGAAAACACCATAAAGCTATCTCTATTTAAGATTTTCTTGGTGGAAAGTTTTTAAATCACTCATGAATTTTATATTTTCTCATACTTCCATTTAGGTTTCCTATTTCTTCTTCAGTCACTTTTGGTAATGTGTCTTTCTAGAAATTTATCCATTTGACTTAAGTTGCCTAATTTGTTGGCATAAAGTTGTTTATATTAATTCGTTAAAATTCTTTCAATTTTTTTTAATGTCGACAGTGGTGTCCCCCTTTCGTGCCTGATTTTGTAATTCTGTCTGGTTTGTATTTCTTTAATTTCTGCTCTAATTATCTTATCTTCTGCCTTTTGCTGGTTTTTTAAAATTAGCCTCCTCCTTTTTTTTTCTTTCTAGTTTCTTGAGGTGGAACCTTATGCTATCTATTAATTGAGACCTTTTCTCTTTTTTTAATGGAGGCATTTAAAGCTATCAATTTTTCTTCTATGCATGATTTAGCTGCATCCCATGAATCTTGCTGTGTTGTGCTTTGATCATCTCAAAGCATTTTACAATATTTATAATTTCATTTGGAACTTTTTTCTTTAGACCCTGGTGTATTAGTTCGTTCTCACACTGCTATGGGATCTTTGGGGTGTCGCATTTCTGGCCAGAAACCTGTGGCTGGTGGCGCCTTTGCCTAAGTTTTGCTCAGATCCACTGGGCTCATTCTGCCCACTCAGCCTGGCAGGCTGTGCTCAGCTCACACTACAGGCCTGGATCCCAAGCCTCCAAGGGAGACTGCGAGTCAGACATGGAGTGGTGAGGGATGTGTGATGGAGCCTGTGGTCCAGCCACTGCGCAGTCAGACACGCCAGCTGCTGCTGCGGGGTGGGCAGCTCCAGGTGCTGGCATGGGCGCCCGGCTCTCTGCAAGACTGCAGCTGGACCAGGCACACCACAAACAGCTTCCGCAGCTGGCACTGAGGAATCCAGTGGTCCCCAGAAGCTTGGAGGTGCTAGGAATCACAGGGCCCCATAGAGGGAGTTACAGCATTGGCTAGGGAAGCTCCCAGGTCTGGGATCCCTGAAGGGCCGCAGCTTTTCTCTACTTCTCTTCACTTGCAATGAGGTGAACAAGGAGCATGTTTCAGCCTTGTTTGTGCTACAGCTTTATTAGCCTTATCATTAGGTGGGTCTTGAGTTCTTGTCCTGCAACCAGGAAGAATGAGGTATGTAGACAAGTGGAGGATGAGCAAGACGAAGGAGAGCTTTATTGAGGGACAGAACAGCTCAGAGGGGACCCTCTTTCTGCAGCCAGGGTGTCTCGATGAGTGTTTAGCTCTTAGCAGAGAGGAGACCCTGGAGTGGGAAGCTCCTCTTTGCAGGTAGGTCATCCCATCATCTCTGCAGTTCTCAGCAGAGAGGGTAGCTCCTCTGCAGGTGGTAGTCCTGTTGTCTCTCCGTCCCCTGCTTTGGCTGAGCCCGGGGTTTTTGTATGAGCCTCAGAGGGGAGGAAGTGCGTGCTGTTTGGTCCATGGCCAGCATGGATGGGCCCGGAAAAGGCACCACAAGTTCCCACTCCGGTCCCCATGACTGTTAGCCTGGACCCCAACCTTGAGGCCCTCCCTGGCCTGAAGGTGGGACCTCACCAGGGACCTGCCCCTTCTGCCCAGGAGCCTGTTGGCCTCCTGCTGCTGTCCGTGGCACCAAGGCTGCTCAAACCAAGGCTGCTCGCACCAAGGGGCACTTACAGGCCAGCACCGAGCTGCCCTCATCCTTCCCACTCAGCCTCCACCCCCACGCTTGACGGTGGCCAAAGTCCAGAGTGGGCCAAGGCAGCAGGGGGCTAGCATGTCAGCACTGCCCAGAGCGTTTGCACTCCTGGCCGAGCTGTGACAGTGACCGAGCTGAGCCCAACCCTGTTCCAAGATCAGAGCAGGCGCAGGAGCGGGGAGAGGCCAGGCAGCGGGAGCAGACACTCTCAAGCCTGCAGGTACAGGAGGACCTTCCTGCGTCTCCTGGAGTGCAGAAATGCCTGGGTTATTGGTGGCGGCAGGGCAGCTGCAGCTGCACCTAAAGAGCTCCCACACTGCCAACTCAGAAAGGGGAGGGCCCCCACTTATCCCCGCCTCCCGCTGGCTCTGTGGGGTGTGCAGCCCTGGCCTTGCCCCCCTTGCAGCCTGGGGTAGGGGGTCCAGGTCTTTGCTGGGCCCTGGCCGATGTTTTGGGCAGGAGCGATGTCACCACAAGCTTGCCCCATTGGCCCTGGGGCTCAGAGGCACCCCGGGGTTCCCACTTGCCTGGCTTGTGGCCCTTCCTGTGGGGGTGCATCCAGGTGCGCATCATGGGTCCCAAGCCCAGCCATCAGGAGTGTCGGCCTCGGTGGTCACCCAATGCAGGGCAGACCCCAGGGACATGGCCCTGGGAGGTCCTGCACAGAGCCTCCTCCAAAAGCACAGCAAGCAGGGTGGGCACAGTGGCCGTGCCACTGGCTGGATCCCCAAAGCAGGCACTGCTCTCACTTCCTGCCTCTGCCCCACAAAGCACGGCCCCTTCCACTTGCCCCAGGCCCGCTCCGCCACTCCCCACACACCCCCGCCCCTCACAGCCCCTCCCCCCGCCCCCAGCTCCATGTGCAAAGCAAGGCACAGCCCTGGGCCCAGGTCCACCTCAGGGCCCCTCTCTGCCTGATCTTGCTGCTCCCCTGCCGGCAGACGACTCAACCTGGCCCCATTGTGGTATCCCCCAGGGCAGCGGGCTCTGCAGGTGTGGCTTCCCTGATGATTTGTTTTCCATTATGTCAGGATCAATTTTTCAGAGTCTTCCTTTCTTCAGCGAGTCAACACTGAACTGTCCGCTCAGCTTTTTGTTTCTTGTTTTGGGGTTGAAGTTTGGCTTCCGAATGTTGTTCTTGGGTCAGTGTAAACTAGTAGTCAGGCAATGACTGGCCAGAAATTTGACTTTGCAAAGGGGTTATAAGGATGTAACTCCATCATAAATTGAGGATCATCCCTCATGTGTGAGATATCTTTTGTCAAAAGTCTTGTTTTAAAGTTGTTTTATTGAAACATCTGCACATTTATTTGCTGAATCAGCTAACAAAAACCTAATTTCTATCAAATTATATTCACTTACTTGTGAACTGTAGGTAATGTCAGACAGTTGTGTTGATTATATGCCTATGATGTGCTTAGTGCAATGCCTGGCACAGAGTAGATGTTTGAGAGATGTGAAAACCCTATGGAATTACTCTCAGAAAGCATCTTTTATGATATCATTTGGACTTATAGTTTGAAAATAATGCATTCACATCCTAAATTTCCAGATTTTAGTTTTCCTTTATAATTTATCACAATTATCTACAAGTTTATACATGTTATTTATAATTTTAATTGTTATTATCTACTGTCTTCCATTCTAATAAAGGACAAACTTCTTAGGATTAACAGCTAGCTTTTCAAATTTCCCCCTACGTCTAACATAGTGCCTTTCTCATTGCTGGTGATTAAGATATTTGTTCAATAAAACATTTAATATGAACCAAGTTTATCACTTCCTTAATCCCTCTTCCTTTTCTTCCTTCTATCTTTCCTTTGACATGCATTATTAGTCAAATAACAACAGTTTAGATATGCTGAATATTTTTAGTTTAAGAAAAATAGGTATGACATTACACTATTTTTCAGTTTAGTTTAGTGGAGTAACTCACATTTAACTGTTTATGTATGTATGAATAAGAACAAACACAGTTTTTTTTGTTTATTTTGGTAACTGAATAAGATGAAAGAGGGAAAGAGGAGGAGGAGAGGAAGGGAAAGAAAGAGAAGAAAGAGAGAAGGAGGAAGGGAGGAAGGCAAGGGAAGAAGAAAATAAGAGAGAAGAGGAGGAAAAGTAGAAGCGGGAAAATGAAAAGAAGGCAATCTCAGTAGAATAATAGAAGAAGAGCTATGGAAAATATGAAATATCTATGTCAAGACAAACTGTTTCTCTTATAAAGAATGTTCTTAATACTGAAAAATAAGTCAGACTTAATTTTCTGAAAATCTAATTGAGTTAAAATGCATTAAATGTGTATGAATATCATGTAAACACTGTGTTTTGGAAATGTTCAAAGGCCATGCTAAATAAGGATGCAGTCTTTAACCCAACTGGAATGAATTAATCAATGTCAGGACTTATTTTAATTAATGTAATTTGAGAATAATTTTACTTAATTATTAAGGGATAAAGATGTGACCTCACTAATTAAAAAATGAATAACAGTTTAAATTATATTCCAAAGAACATTTTATGGAGTGACTATTATTAGGAAAGGATAACAGTGGATTCATATGTCTGTATTCACTTTCCAATAGGATGGATTTGTGTTTACTATCTGTAATATACAAAGCAACACAATATCCCAAGGACTATTAATGTTATCTTTTGTAAGAAAATAATTTCCTCTCCAATTATAATGATTTAAATAGGACTACTATTTTAAAAAGTGAGAATGAAGATGTAACTTATAGTTGCCTAAAATAAAACCAGAGAAATTTACATGTGACCTCCCTTAAAATTAAATATATGTAAGTTTGCAATTTTCTAATTTTTCAATCAGTGTTATTCAAAGTAAACATTCCCTAACTACAAAAGATTAGAGTTAGGCAAACTGCATCTCTAATCTAACCTTCACCATGACCACTTTTCCTTTTGTGCCTATTTCCTTTATTAGGTTTCTTTTGAAGCTCATCTAGCAAATCAGATACTAAGCAATTGTAATGGAAGATTAAAAGCAATTTCATCACGTTAGAGCAAAAGAACTATTCAAAATTTACTTACAATTGTTCCACTAATGTACCTGACACTAAGAAACCTCCTGTGTAGGTGAGAAAATATTTTTATTTTCTATGGCCTCTGTCAAAATAGCACTAATTAATACCACTTCTGAAGGCTTCCTCTGCTTGAAAGACTTGCTTACTTTGCTACTAGAATATAGGCCACTATATTTATTGTGGTAATTGTTTTTATTCAGCCAATTTTAAAAGGGGAAATATTTTATGCATGCATAGAAACATTTCACTGATCAGCATAGTGAGGAGAGTAGTGAATTACACTGAATTGGAGCAAGAGCTTATAGCTGATAAATGATTTAGAATCAGATAAAGACTTCTTCCTAAATAAAAGCATAACCACTGTTCTCATGCTGCTAGTAAAGACATACCCAAAACTGGGTAATTTATAAAGGAAAGAGGTTTAATTGACTCACAGCTCTGCAGGGCTGGAGAAGCCCCAGGAAACTTACAATAATGGCAGAAGGGGAAGCAGGCACGTTTTTCTTCACATGGCGGCAGCAAAGAGAAGTGCAAAATGAAGGCTGGGGAAAGCACCTTATAAAACCATCAGATCTCATGAGAAGGAACTCATGAACACAAGAACAGCATGGAGGTAACCACCCCCATGATTCAATTATCTCCCACTGGGTCCCTTACATGACAGGTGGGGATTATGGGAACTACAGTTCAAAATGAGATTTGGGTGGGAACATAGCCAAACCATATCAGCTACAAAACATGTTATAAGAAAATTACAATTTGTCTTAATTGGTACTTGAGAAACCTCCATTCTCCTTCTTAATTTGTGAAATGTTTCTAAATTTGTGATCTCCAAGCAACCTGAGTCTTAGAGATCAATGTTGTTCTAATACATAGCATATTTCCATTCAACTTCTCCAGTCAAAAAAAACACAGCCTCATATCAGGGTCAGACACATGATAAACCTTGACCAACAGCAACTGCCCTAAACATCCCTGTGACAAAATAAGGTTATGGTTACTTATGCTAACAAGAATTCCCACCTGTATTCATTAACAATTTATACTTTTCTAATAGTTTCATTTAAAAATGTGACATCCATTTTGAAATAATTTCTAAGTGTGAGGGAGGTAATTGAATGCATACTCCCTGAAGCATTTACAATGTCTGTTGGAAATTTTCAGCTATGTTAATATAAACATAATACAGAAAGAAAACCATCAATACATGCTATTACCTCACATTTTCTTTTTGAGAAATGTGGCTGATGATCACTTACTGCTCTACACTTCAGGAAATTGACTTGAAAAGTGTTTTTTAAATGCTTACAGAAGAAAAGTTCTGAATAATTACAAGTTTAATTAGTTAAAATATGTAAAGACAAATCTTTTGCATTCTGAAACTGTCAGCTCTCTACTAGCTTAAGTTTCTTGATTGGGCTTGGAAAGCAATTAGGCTGAGCTATTCCCTACTAAGCTACATTTACATGTTAAATTGCATTATGATCTGTCTTATGTTAAGAATATTTGTGAGAGAAACAATATTACGACAAGGATAGTATAGCATTATGAAAGAGCTAATGTAGCAAATAAATATGATTCTGGAACAGTAACTTTAAGCTTTGAAAGGCTATTTTCTGAGACAACTCAAAAACTTTAAGCATAGAAACATGTTTGAAGTCTAAGAGTTAGCAAAAATGTCAGTACTTCTTTTTTGAGGTAATATTGCTCTCTTCTTTCAAATTCCCTTTAGAATGTATTTCTTTCTTGGATTATGCAATAACCAGATTGAATGACAAGGGACCAAAATGTTTAACATTCTTCTGCTTTTCAACAATTTAGTATGTATATCCTACTAATTTAAAAATCAGTTTTAAAGTTGAATACTCACCAGTAGGACCGAAAAGATAGATAGATATGTGGATGGATAGATAGGTGGATAGAGAGAGAGAGAGAGAGAGAGAGGTAGATAGAGACAGGTAGACATAAATTATATAAATATACATATATGCACTATACAGATACTTATATACACAGGTGTACCTTGTTTTAAGTGCTGTTTGCTTTCTTGTGCTTCACAGATATTATGTTCGCAGACATCATGATTTTTAAAAATTGAAGGTCTGTGGCAACCCTCCATTAAGCAAGTCTACCAGCAACATTTTTCCAATGGCATGTGCTCACTTCATGTCTCTGTGTCACATTTTGACAACATATTACTTTAAAGTTTTTCATTATTATTACATCCATTATGGTGATCTGAGATCACTGATCTTTGATGTTACTATCGTAATTGTTTTGGGGTGCCATGAACTGTGCTCATATAAGATGGCAAACTTCACTGATAAATTGTGTGTGTGTTTTGGCTGCTCCACCAACCAGCCTTCCCTGATGTCTCTCCGTCTCCTTGGATCTCCCTATTCATTGAGACATAATAATATTAAAATTAGGCCAATTAATAACTTTACAATAGCCTGTATGTGTTCAAGAAATAGAAAGAGTCACACACCTCTCACTTTAAATCAAAAGCTAGAAATAATTAAGCTTAGCCAGGAAGACATAAAGAAAGTGAAGATAAACCAAAACCTAGGCCTTTTGTGCCAAACAATTAGACAAGTTGTGAATGCAAAGCAAAAGTTCTTGAAGAAAATTAAAAGTGCTACTCCAGTGAGCATATGATTGTTAAGAAGGTGAAACAGCATTATTGCTGATATGGAGAAACTCTGAATAGTCTGAATAGAAGACCAAACCAGCCACAACATTCCCTTAAAACAAAGCCTAATGCAGAGCAAGTTTCTAAATATCTTCAGTTCTATGAAGGCTGAGATTGGTGATGTAAACCAAAAATGAAATTCTAAGCACCCACAACCAACTGAATGGACCTCTCCTGTCAGCCAATGGCTCTCCAAAATTAACCTGAAACCTGAGTTCATGCAATGATGGGAATGGGTTGGTGGAACATGCCTCCTTATGCCCTTCTCCCTTTGGAATTCAGGCACGCTGACCAGCATTAACATTAAAACAGAGACCTTAATACAATCTACTCTCTCTGGAGCCTGCTACCTGGCGACTTCATCTGCCTAACAAAAACCTTTGTCTCCACAAACACTTAATTTAACCCAGACGCTCTGTTGTGTTGATTCCAGGTCTTTAGATAAACTCTTTCAACCAACTGCCAATTAAAAACAAAATCTGAATCCATATATAACCTGGAAGCCACCACTTCAAATTGTCCTGCCTTTCTGGGAAAAACAGTGTACAACTTTTTTTTTTTTTTTTTTTTTTTTTGAGACAGTCTCTCCCTGTCACCCTGGCTGGAGTGCAGTGGCATGATCTTGGTTCACTGCAACCTCTGCCTCCCGGGTTCAAGCAATTCTCTACCTCAGCCTCCTGAGTAGCTGGGATTACAGGCACCCATCACCACGTCTGGCTAATTTTTTTGTTTTTTTAGTAGAGACAGGGTTTCTCCATCTTGGTCATGTTGGTCTTGAACTCTTGACCTCATGAGCCACTTGCCTTGGCCTCCCAAATTGCTGGGATAGCACGTGTGAGTCATCACGCCCAGCCAATATCTTACACATATTGATAAATGTCGTGTGTCTTCATAAACCATATAAAACCAAGCTGTAGACTGACCACCTTTGGCTCATATTCTCAGGACCTCCTAAGGCTATGTCATGGGCATGTCCTTAATCCTGGCAAAATAAACCACTAAATTGATTGAGACCTGTCTCAGATACTTTTGGTTTATAGGGGGAAAGCTGCAGAAGAAAAAAGTTTGAAGCTAGAAGCAGTTGGTTCATGAGGTTTAAGGAAATAAGCCATCTCCACAACATAAAAGCACAAAACGAGAAGCAAGTGCTGACGTAGAAGCTGCAGCAAGTTATTCAGAAGATCTAACTAAGATCATTGATGATGGTGGCTACATTAGACAGTGATTTTCCATGTAGACAAAACTGCCTTGTATTGGAAGAAGATGCCTTCCAGGACTTTGATAGCTAGAGAGAAATCAATACTTGACTTCACAGCTTCAAAGAACAGGCTGACTCATTTATTATGGGCTAATGCACCTGGCAGCTTTAAGTTGAAGACAATACTAATTTTCTATTGTGAAAATTCTAGGGCCCACAAGAATTATGCTAATTCTACTCTCCCTGTGCTCTATAAATGGTATAACAAAGCCTTGATGACAGCACATTTGTTTGCAGCATGGTTTACCTAATATTTTATGCCCTCTGTGTAGACCTACTGCTCAGAAAAGAAGATTCCTTTCAAAATATTACTGCTCATTGACAATGCACCTGGTCACCCAAGAGCTCTGATGGAGATGTGCAAGGAGATAGGTATTGTTTTCACGCCCCTACCACAACATCCATTCTGCCGCTCACGGATTATGGAGTTATTTTTACTTTCAGGCCTTTTTAGTTAAGAAATTCATTTTGTAAGGCTACAGCTGCTAAAGATAGGGATTATCTGATGGATCTGGGTAAAGTAAATTGAAAACCTTGAAGGGATTCACCATTCTGGATGCCATTAAGAATATTTGTGATTCATGGGAGGAGGTCAAAATATCACCATTAACAGGAGTTTGGAAGAAGTTGATTTCAATACTCATGGATGAATTTTGGGGTTTAAAGATTTCAGTGGAGGAAGTGACGCAGATATGGTGAAACAGCAAGAGAACTAGAATTAGAAGTGGAGACTGAAGATGTGAGTAAACTGGTATAATCTCATGATAAAACTTGAACGAATGAGGAGTTGCTTTTTATGGCTGAACAAAGAAAGTGGTATCTTGAGATGGAATCTGCTCATGATATACATGCTATGAACATTGTTGAAATAAAAACAAAAGATTTAGAATATTCCATAACTTTAGTTAATAAAGCAGCAGCAGGGTTTGAGAGGATTGACTCCAATTTTGAAAGAAGTTAGACTGTGAGTAAAGTGCTATCAAAAACAAATATTACAAAGAAATATTCTGTGGGCTGGGTGCGGTGGCTCACACCTGTAATCCTAGTACTTTGGGAAGCCGAGGTGGGTGGATCACTTGAGGCCAGGAGTTAGAGACCAGCCTGGCCAACAAGTCAAAAACCTGTCTCTACTAAAATACAAAAAATTAGCTGGGCGTGGTGGCGAGCACCTGTAATCCCAGCTATTTGGGGAGGCTGAGGAACGAGAATCGCTTGAACCTGGGAGGCGGAGGTTGCAGTGAGCCGAGATCAAGCCACTGCATTCCAGCCTGGGCAACACAGTGAGATTCCATCTCAAAAAAAAAAAAAAAAGAAAAGAAAAAAAAGAAATATTGTGAAAGAGTTAATTCAGTGACCCACTTCATTATTAATCATATTTTAACAAATTTCCCCAGTCACCCCAAGCTTTGGAAACCATCATCCTGGTCAGTCAGCAGCCATCAACATCCAGGCGAGACATTTCACCAGCATATAAATTATGATTCACTGAAGGCTAAGATGATCATTTGTATTTTTTAGCAAGAAAATATTTTTAAGCTATGTACATTTTTAGACATAATTTTATTGGGCACTCAATAGACTACAGCATAGTAAAAATGTAACTTTTATATTCACTGGGAAACTGAAAATTTACATGACTTATTTTATTGCAATATCCACTTTATTTTGGCCATCTGGAACTAAACCCACAATATCTTTAAAGTATGCCAGTATGCCTCTATATCATTTATAGCTATTGGTAGTTATAAATAAAGTTAATGCACCATTAAATAAAATAATTGTCTTAAATTTAAGTGAAATGTCCCATAAAGACCTAAAGGATGAAGTTTAAATCTAGGTTTCCCATGCAACTTTCAATTCCATGTCAAATAGTATTAGTATTTGCATATCTGACCACCAGTCATTGTTCTTCTCCCTTTCTCTATTTATTTCAAACTCCATTGCACACCACGTGTCCTATTGTATATGTATTTAGAACCACAGCCCCTGTGAAAAGTTCAATTTACATACTGCAGAAATAGATGCCTCCTGAAAACTCTTTCACTCTAAGGGTGTTCATAGGGCATTTATGTCTGTCCTACGGATGCTAAGTACAAATAAAACCTGTGAATATTAAATGTAAAACAAATACTAGATGAGTCTGAAAAATGGTGAGAGGAATGCATACCCTCAAGAAATATTAGGACACAAAGAACAACATGGCAGTGAATTTCCTTGGCTTTCTGTCTTATATATCCCAAACTTGGGGCTAAAGAAGCATGCAACCTAGAAATATCAGCTGGTAGTGAAAAAAAAAATTACAACAAAAGTCTGCTCTTTCTAGCCAAGGAACATGGAACAGAGCAACGTAGCAAGCCAATAAACTTTTAGACAATAACAATTCTACTCTAGCTAAACACCACTGAAAGAACAAACGAACAAAAAAACTGTGGGATTTTTATGGGGTTAGGGGGCTGTCCTGAGAAAGGTCAGAGTGAAGTCCACCTAAATCATAGGATTGAGACAAGAAGTCTCTCTTATCTTGGTTTAATGGCAGAATCAATAAGCAGTTTCCAGTACTTATTTGGCAGATTAGCAATGCCAGTTATTTATTACAGCATCATGGTCAACATCAGTGTGTTCCTTTTGGTCTTCCACTCGTGGATGAAAGATGGCTACAGCAGCTCTAATTATTACATTTCTATAGCAGAAAACAGTGTGATATGTGAAAGAGAATTTCTCCTGTACCTTATTTGTATTAGGCTGGAAATGTTTGTACAGAAGAATTCAAGAAAACATTCCCTAACATTTTATTGGCAAGAACTGGACAGCCCTAGGCCAGGTGCTGGAATTATTTCCCCAGAAATTAAGCAGTTTCTGATAAATAGAGATAAATCGCTTTAGCTAGGTAGAAGAACTTGAGAGGATTGGGAAAGGTTGCAAGATGGCTTTTGGTTTAACTAAAAAACAAAGTCTACAACTAGCTTTATTAATATAGTTTCATATGTTAGCCATTACAGATGTTTTCAATCTATTGTGTCCCACTATTAATTCTGTAAATTGATGAACTTATTCTGAAATAGTAAATTTCACCCCCAGCCAAGAGGACAGGCATCCCTGAAGAAGCAGATCAGTCATTCACCAATGTTTTCCTGTAGCTCGGCTAGCCTCACAGGGACTTTGATGGTACAGGAGGATTTAATCCATATTCATCACAATCTACAGGATATATGCTTTTATCTCCAATCTTCCAAAATCAAAGCCCACTGGGGGAAAAAATATATATATATATATATATATTTAGAGAGAGAGAGAGAGAGAGAGAGAGAGAGAGAGAGAGACAGATGTACTTAGTGGTGTCATAGTACTTTCCTACTCTGCCAAGAATTTCTCACTTCCTCCACTCTCAACTTTTCCCACAATGCTTTGTGGAGTCCTGTAATTAATGTAAATACATTTTCATATATCTTTAATGTATTCATAAAATGTTATATTTTCACTTTTGCCTTAGGTTGAAAGTCTTCTGTCTTCCCCCAAGAATACCACGGTTATTGTTCAGAATTGTTCAATACCCAAAGTATCAATTGGCCTGGACGCAATGGTTATTTTCCTTGATCTACATTGTGAAATTCATATAATTACATTTTAATTCTTCTAAAACAGTCTTTTTTCAGCTTATGTTAATTGGCTATGCTATCTAGCCTAGTTCATTATTTGCATAGTTTACAAATACTTTATCATTTGAGGCTTTGGTATCTGGATAATAATCATTTACATTTCTAAAGTTCACATCAACACTGGCTATTCTTTTTAATGTATTTTTAAAAGTCTCTGTATATTAGATTATGAAAGAGGTAATGCATGCATGCAAATATATACCTGTGGTAGTTAAGAACTTCCAACCAGTTCAGTCTAACTCCTTATGGGAAAAATAGATTAATTCTTCACTTTATATTTCCTACACAGGTTGTTTGTCTTAATGACAGGACACAGCCTTACACATCTTTTTTTAATTATCAAGTTTAAATAAAAATAGTATGTTAAAATCTAACGTTAACTGCTACTTTTATTTATTCATGGACAACTCAGGAATTTATAACATTTTACTTCATTGATATCACTCCAATTTATATATAATTTTTACTATATATTTTGATTATTTATTACAAACCCATCAAGACATTATAGGTATTACTTTATAGAAATACTTCCATATTTATTCTTTCAATTTTTCTTCATTTTCTCCTGCATCTCAGAATTTCCACCTCATAAAATTTTCCTTCTCCCCGTAAAATACTCTTTAATGTTTATTTTACAGAATTCTCTGGGTAATACACTTTTAATACTTTTGTCTAAAAATTTTTTATATTTTGAAAGTTATCTTTCCTACATATATAATTGTAAATTGGCAGTTATATTTTGACAGTGTTATGAAGATATTCCATTGTCTCCTGGCCTATATTATTCCTTTTGAGAACTCAGTTTTCAGGGTGGGGATATTGGAATATTTATAGAAATTTGATTATATCTTTATTTCTAGCTGTATCGTTATCAAAAGGGTAGGTAAGCTTTGTAGTCATTTATCTTGCTTGAGGTTTATAAAGCTTCTTGAATCTAGTTTGACTTCTTTCATCATTTTTGAGAAAGAAATCCCATTCATTATCTCTTCAAATATTGTCTAGGTCCCATTTTATTTCTCTCCTTTTCTGAATGCCACTTAGACATCAATTAGACTCTTTAAACTCTATATCTCATATAGAGCAAATTATGATTTTGAGTTTCTCTTTGTAAAATCTGAACATGAACATATTTAGTGCACATGACAAATAGCTCTGATTATATGGACATATTTGGTTATGGTGTTTAAAATAACTATTATTGCATAAGATATTTGTTAATTTATACTAAAACATCTAGACAAAACATATATTTATAAATATTTAAAGTTCATATTCCAGATTTTTTATTCCTGAATAAAAAATACATATTTTTATGGCAAATACAAATTATTCAAAACATGTATTGGAAAATTTCCTTATGGTATACTCGCCAAGCGATAAAGACAAGCCATAAAATTTGTTTTTATCATTTTGCCAAAAACCTGTACTCCTTAATTTTAGTTCTTTTTCAGTTGGGGATATCTCAGAGGATGTTTCTAAACTATTTTAGAGGATTCAGTTAATAAAAATTTTTGTAATTTAAAAAAATTTGTATATTTATTTTATTAATGTAATATTAATTTCATTTCCATGATCTTGGAGATGTTACTTTATGTTTCTGGACTTCAGTGTTCTTATTTGAAAAATCATGGGTTTCAATCATTTGAATTCCTCAGCTCTAACATTAACTGGGATCTACAATACATTTATTTGCCTACTTTTGTACCACCCCATCAATTCTATTTACCTGAATATCTATTACTGTTGATCTTTCTAATTAGCTATCCATATGTACTGCACACACACTTTACATACATATGTAATATATAAATTCAGTCTTAATATCATCACTCTAATTTTAGTTCAAATTATCTGAACTAAATATTGTAAACATAACAGTAATTATTCAGTGTAAACATTATTATATAGTAATTATTACACTATGAGTAGCAATATAAAAGAAGATAGAATTATTAATAAAAATTTAACTTTATTTTAATTAATATACACTGAGGATTAGTAATACTTTACTACTATTAAAATATTTTTACGTGGTCTTCAGTTTCCTATATAAATTAAAAATATTAAGTCTATAACGTTTCTCAGTATATTTAGGTGCTTTGACAAATGACAGCACAGACTGCAAATGCAAACTATCAAACAGCTAAAGAAAATCTCTGAAAATTTCTGTGTTTCTTATTCAATTTTTTGTTTTCATTATAAAATTATTTCTATGTACTTCAATACAACTTCTATAAATTGCATTGAGAAATTTAAGATGCATATCACATGCTTCCATGTTCATTATTTTTGCTAGTTTCTACATAGTTTCTATCAAAATTGCAAATTTAATCACAGTTAGTCATTAAATACTGTTAAATAGACTCAGCATCTATCATACAGATGGAAAATAAATCTAATTTTGAAACTTTTTTATTACCTTAGGTCACATAATTAGTTTCTCTTAAAATATGGAAATAATAAACTAATATTATTGAAATTAACTTTAATGGAAGTCTTCTAAATTCCCGACACATATAAAAAATCATTATTCAATGATTTTAAGAAGTAAAAAAATTAAGCATGGCCCATGTTTTCATATGTTTAGTATATTTATTATCAATAGTAGCATCTATGGAAAATACTTGAAAATTATACAATCCTGTCTCCTTTTTTGAGATATTATAGGACATTTCGAGTAGTTTACATTATTTGTAATAGTTGTTCCTTGATTATTCCAGTAAATATACTCTACTTAATCCTTTTTACAGGTATTATGTAAAATGTATACATAGTATCTGTAAAATGCGTACATAATATCTGTAAAACATCTAAAAATCTAAACATGGGAATGTTTCACAGGATTTATTTTGCTTTGTGTGGCTTTGCTTCTTTGTATTAGCTAAGAGTTAATAAGTCACTCTGATACTCTATATCTCATTCCAAAAAGACTTTGCTCCGTGTTCAATATGACTCATTTTCACTTTCTGTTCCGCTTTTTTTTTTTTTTTTTTTTTTTTTTTGAGACGGAGTCTCCCTCTGTCGCCCAGGCTGGAGTGCAGTGGCGCGATCTCGGCTCACTGCAAGCTCCGCCTCCCGGGTTCATGCCATTCTCCTGCCTCAGCCTCCAGAGTAGCTTGGACTACAGGCACCTGCCACCAAGCCCGGCTAGATTTTTGTATTTTTAGTAGATACAGGGTTTCACCGTGTTAGCCAGGATGTTCTCGACCTCATGACCTCTTGATTTGCCCACCTCAGCCTCCCAAAGTGCTGGAATTACAGGTGTGAGCCACCACGCTTGGCCCACTTTCTGTTCTTTTTACTTGTTGAATGGAGCAATATTGCAATCTTGGCAGTTAAATAATTCACCAAACATATTAAGCACAAGTTCTTTTTTATGTATATATTCGAATTTTTTCTGCCTCTGTGTTAAACTATAGAACATCTTATTTCTAAGGCAAAGAGGCCTAAACTATAATCTGGAGCAATGTGTTTTCCAAATCCCAAGTGTTACAGCATCTAACAGAAATGTTATCCAGACTTTCAAACTCTTCATTTGTATAAAGGAAAATGAAATAAAATTAACATTTATTTTGTTTTCACCCTACAACAGGGATTGAGATTTCTTAGCATATTATTTAACTTAATGTCACAATAATTCTGCAAGATAAAAACCATTATAACCTCTATTTATTTATTTATTTATTTATTTATTTATTTATTTATTTATTTTGAGACAGAGTTTCATCCTTGTTGCCCAGGCTGAAGTGCAATGGCGTAATCTCGGCTCATTGTAACTTCCTCCTCCTGGGTTCAAGTGATCCTCCTGCCTCAGCCTCCCAAGTAGCTGGGATTACAGCTGCCTGCCACTCTGCTCAGCTAATTTTTGCATCTTTGGTAGAGACAGATTTTACCATGTTGGTCAGGCTGGTCTCAAATACCTGACCTCGGGTGATCCACCAGCCTTGGCCTCCCAAAGTGCTGGGATTACAGGCGTGAGCCGCCATGCCTGGCCTATTATAATCATTTTTAAAGATGAAAAAGGAAAAGGAAGAGAAGAAAAGTGTATGTGTATTCTATTGTTTCATTTAGCATTTAACAATGGATAATAACTGAAAATGAGAAAGTTTGCCTTGTTAGAAACAGTATGGTGGTGTTTCATTTTGTTTTGTTTTTTGCCTTTATTACACTCTGGGTTTGTCCTGGTGTTGGGATTTCTAGTTCCCTTTTTTACCTCCATCTCTTTCTTTGTCGAACTCTTAAAATTCATATGTAAAAAATTAGTGAAGTATTCTGCTCATATAATTTGGGTTGAATCATTTTTCATTTATTTTTTTTCCTAATGAAGAATAAATATGAGTTTTTATTATTTAATTGAGTAAAAAACATTGGTTCAGATTTACATAATATGTTACTTATTCAGTAGAAATAAAACATATAATACAAACTTCACTATTTTATATAGAAATACAGAGTAGAGTCATCCAGAACCCCCCTACAGATGCCAAATTTAATGCATGCTCAAGTCTCATATAAAATGATACAGTATTAGCACATAACCTATATATATCCTCCCACCTACTTTAAATGAACTCTATGTTATTTATAATACCTAATACAATGGGAATGCTCTGTAAATAGTTGTTACTGTATTGCTTTTGTATTTGTATTTCTTTTTATCATGTTTTTTCCCCAGATATTTTCAATTCACAGTTGGTTGAATCTCTGAATGTGGAACCTGTTGATACAGAGGGACAGCTATAGAATTCTGAGTCCAGAAAAGATAGGCTTAAATGAGTAAAAAATCTTGATATTTAAGTGTAAAAATAAGATATTTGTTGACTGAAATACCCTATTCTTTTTCCCAAATAAAAACATTATTATGTAAATAATCTTTTTACTATAAAATATTTCTTGAGTGTTAGTAACAGAGCAAAACTCAGAAGATAGAATAATCTTTTTAAATTTATTTATTTATTCTATTATTATTATTGTTGTTGATTAAAGTTCTAGGATACATGTGCAGAACATGCAGGTTTGTTACATACGTATTCATCTGCCGTGGTAGTTTGCTGCACCTATCAACCCATCACCTAGGTTTTAAGCCCCACGTGCATTAGCTATTAGTCCTGATGCTCTCCTTCCACTTGACCCCCACCCGCAAGCAGGCCCCAGTGTGTGTTATTCCCTTCCCTGTGTCCATATGTTCTCATTGTTCAGCTCCCACTGATGAGTGAGAACATGCAGTATTTGGTTTTCTGTTCTTGTGTTAGTCTGCTGAGGATGATGTCTTCCATCTTCATCCATGTCCCGGAAAGGGACATGATCTCATTCCTTTTTGTGGCTGCATACTATTCCATGGTGTATATGTACCACATTTTCTTTATCCAGTCTATCACTGATGGGCATTTGGGTTGGTTCCATGTCTTTTCTATTTTCTAGTGCTGAAATAAACATACACGTGCATGTATGTTTATAACAGAATGAGTTATATTCCTTTGAGTATATATGCAGTAATGGGATTGCTGGGTCAAATAGTATTTCTGCTTCTAGATCCTTGAGAAATTGCCACACTGTCTTCCACAAGGGTTGAACTCATTTACATTACACCAACAATGTAAAAATGTTCCTATTTCTCCACAGCCTTGCCAGCATCTGTTGTGTCTTGACTTTTTAATAATAGCCTTTCTGACTGGTGTGAGATGGTATCTTATTGTGGTTTTGATTTGCATTTCTCTAATGATCAGTGATGTTGACCTTTTTTTCATATGTTTTTTGGCTACATAAATGTTTTCTTTTGAAAAGTGTCCATTCATATGCTTTGTCCAATTTTTGATGGGCTTGTTTTTTTTTCTTGTAAATTTATTTAAGTTCCTTGTAAATTCTGGATATTAGACCTTTGTCAGATGGGTAGGTTGAAAACGTTTTCTCCCATTCTGTAGGTTGCCTGTTCATTCTGATGATAGTAGAAAGAAATAAAAGGTATTTGAATAGGCAGAGAAGAAGTCAAATTGTTTCTGTTTGCAGATGACATGATCCTACATAGGTATAAATATTTCTAAATAAATTAATTAATTAAATAAATGACTCTAAATATTTAGAAAACCCTTTTGCAACCAGCCTGGACAATATAGTGAAACCCCATCTCTACAAAAAATACCAAAAACAAACAAACAAACAACAACAACAAAAAAAGCAGGCTGTTGTGGTGGCACATGCTGTAATTCCAGCTACTCAGGAGGCTGAGGCAGGAGAATCTCTTGAACCCGGGAGGAGGAGGTTGCAGTGAGCCAAGATCATGTCACTGCACTCTAGCCTAGGTAATAGAATAGAGCGAGACTCCAAAAAAAAGAAAAAAGAAAAAAAACCCCATTGTCCATTGTCTCAGCCCAAAACTTAAGCTATCAGCTTACACTGATAGCTGATAAGCAACTTCAGCAGTCTCAGGATACAAAATCAATATGCAAAAATCACAAGCATTCCTATACACTAACAGTAGACAAGCAGTGAGCCAAATCATCAATGAGCTCCCATTCACAATTGCTACAAAGAGAATAAAATACCTAGGAATACAGCTAACAAGGAAGGTGAAGGACCTCTTCAAAAAGAACCACAAACCACTGCTCAAAGCAATAAGAGAAGACACAAATGGAAAAACATTCCATCCTCATAAGGAATAATAAATATTGTGAAAATGACCATACTGCACAAAGTAATTTATGTATTCAATACTATTCCCATCAAACTACCATTGACATTCTTTACAGAATTAGAAAAATCTATTTTAAAATTCATATGGAACTAAAAAAGAGCCCACATAGCCAAGACAATCCCAAGCAAAAAGTACAAAGCTGGAGACATCACACTACCTGACTTCAAACTATACTACAAGGCTACAGTAACCAAAACAGCATGGTACTGTTACCAAAACAGACATATAGACCAATGCAACAGAATAGAGACCTCAGAAATAATACCACACATCTACAACCATCTGATCTTCAACAAACCTGACCAAAACAAGCAATGGGGAAAGGATTCCCTATTTAATAAATGGTGCTGGGAAAACTGGCTAGCCATATGCAGAAAACTGAAACTTGACCCCTTCCTTACAAATTGTACAAAAATTCACTCAAGATGGATTAATGACTTAAATGGGAAACCCAAAACCATAAAATCCATAGGAGAAAACCTAGGCAATACCATTCAGGACATAGGCATGGGCAAAGATTTTATGATGAAATCACCAAAAGCAATTGCAACAAAAGCTAAAATTGATAAATGGGATCTAATTAAGCTAAAGAGCTTCTGCACAGCAATAGTATAATCTTTTACATATACTTAGGAATGAATTATTTGGGCATTTTTAAGATCATGAGGAGTGAAATATAGTAAATTGATTGTAGCTTATTCAACTTATATTAACATAGATTAATTTATATTTTATTACAAGGCAGGCAGAAATTTAAATATAATATACAGAGGATGTCACTTGGAGAAATGCACACATGCACACACACATATATATGTAATATTAATATATGTATGCACACAGAAAAAGCACGCATGCATACACATACATACATTCATACATGCACGTATACATTATGTTTATGAAATAAACATATTGAATAACTACTAAGTTACTGAATATACATATTAGTGTGTATATACATGTATATATGTATATTGAGGAACTTCTTTGTAGCAGTTAACAAGAAGTTGTTAGGAGCATGAAACCTGAAGCCAATCCCTTCAGATTAAATTCTGACTCTACCACTTACTTCTTCACCTCTAAAATCGGACCTCAATAATTTTTACTTCATTGTATTTATGTAAGTATTAAATGAGTTACTTATGAAATTTTTAGAACAATGTTTGGCAAGTCAGTGTTAGCTAAATTTCAATAATTGTTAGTAAGTGTTAGAAAATAGATATATTTAGATTTTTGTTGTAGGTTTTGGTTTTATTGTGAGACAGGATCTTTCTCTGTCACCCAGGCTGGAGTGCAGTGGTGCAATCTTAGATCACTGCAATCTCAAACTCCTGGGCTCAAGAGATGTTATCACCTCGGATGCAGAAGGTAGTGCTGAAATTATGATTTTCGCAGATAGATGTGTACAGGTAGGTAGAAAACATATTTAAAAATGACACTGAAATATATACTTTTAAATGTTTAGTAATTTTATCAAGCCATATAACCTCTTATATTGAAAATTAGTCAATATAATTTTTCTCTTATTACTATATATGATTTAAAGTATTTTCTTATTTAGAAGTAAACTGACAAACATCCATCATGGTACATAGATAATCTTAATACAATAAATATATTTTTTATGATAAAAGCATGGACAAAGTAAAATGATAAAGAATCCTTACCTCAAATGATATATAAAATGTATACAGCTTTTCCCCGATATAGCAACTTAAATAATTTTACTTAACCCTCAGTTGGCTTATCTTATTAATAAATTTTCCTGAGTGCTGACTTTATTAGAATGTCCCACTGGGTAGAAATTAGGATTTAATCAGCATTCAAATTTGTAAAAGATACACTAAAATTTATGACATCTTTCCTCTGAAAAATATCACTAAGTTTAAATTGTTTCATTTTGTGGTTTTCGTATATATTTGCTTATAGGACAATATCTTCAAGTGATTCCCTCCCCCTGTCTGGACTACTATGTCATCAACTTTGATTGAAAGATCAAAGGAGTAATAATTCAATATATTTCAGTGATAGTAGATAATTATATTCAAAGATATATATATATATAAAATATATATTATATATATAGTGATGGTATACATATACCTTAGTATGCTGGGGCTGCTATAACAAACCACCATATGATCCAGCAATCCCAATACTAGATCTATTCCCAAAAGAAAAGAAATCACTATACTGAAGAGATGCCCGCATGACCATGTGTATTGCAACACTATTCAGGACAGCCAACATTTGGAAGTAACCTAAGTGTCCATCAGCAGATAAATGGATAAAGAGAATATGGTACATATACACAATGGAGTACTATTCAGTCATAGAAAAGAATAAAATCCTGTCTTTTGCAACCACATGAATGGAATTGGAGGTCATTGTGTTAAGTGAAATAAACCAAGCACAGAAAGACAAACTTTGCATGTTCTTATTTGTTTGTGGGAGCTTAAAAATTTAAACAACTGAACTCATGGAGATAAGAGTAGAATGATGGTTACCAGAGAAAGAGAAGGGTAGTGGTGATAGGGGTGGGGATGGCTAAAGAGCACAAAAATATAGTTCCATAGAATGAATAAGATCTAGTATGTGGTAGCACAACAGGGTAACTACAGTCAACACTATTTTGTTGTGCATTTAAAAGTAATTAAAAGGGCCTGGCACTGTGGTTCACTCCTGTAATTCCAGCATTTTGGGAAGCCGAGGCTGGTGGATCACTTGAGGTCAGGAGTTCGAGACCAGACTGGTCAAAATGGTGAAACCCCCTCTCTACTAAAAATACAAAAATTAGCCGGGCATGGTGGCAGGTGACTGTAATCCCAGCTCCTCGGAAGGCTGAGGCCGGAGAATCTCTTGAACCCGGGAGGTGGAGGTTGCAGTGAGCCAGGATTGCACCACTGCACTTCAGGCTGGGTGGCAAGAGTGAGATTTCATCTCAAATAAATATATAAATAAAATAAATAATCAAAAAAGTATAATTGGATTGTTTCTAACACAAAGAAATCATAAATGTTTGAGGTGATGGATACCCCACTTACCCTGATGTGATTATAGCACATTGTGTCCCTAAATCATAATATCCCAGGTACCCCTTAAACCTGTACACCTACTATGTACCCACGAAAATTAAAAATTAAAAAATATCTTCTAGGCAGACACAGCAGCATTTTCTAAGCCAAAAAAGTATGATAGAAAAATATGTCATAAACTAAATAGCTTAGAAACAACAAAAATTTATTTCTAACCATTTTGGAACTTCAAAGTCCAAGATAAAGGCACTGACAGATTTCGTGTTTGATGAAGGCTCACTTTCTGGCTTACAAACTGGGCCTTCTTGCTGTGTCCTTATATGGTAGAAGGAGTGAGGGAGGTCTCTGGGGTCTCCTTTATAAGGGCACTAATCACATTCACAAATTCTCTATTATCATGACCTAAACATCTCCCAAAGGCTCCCCTTCCTCTTTTTAATGCCATCATATTAGGTGTCAGGTTTCAACATTTAAAATTTGGGAATTCATATTCAGTTCATGATACTACATTCATACACACACACACATGCATACACACACACAGCCATTAATACCATCTAATGCTTATTTACATGGGCCATAGTATATATAGTTAAAATCAGAAAAGGAAATGAAGCATTACAAAACCTAGTCTTTATGTCATCACTTTTCTGAAAAATAAAGATATTACGTATTTTCATATTTAAGAGCTATATAATAAAAATTCAATCAGCATAGATTTTAAAATATTACTTAATATGAGCTTCTTGTAACATATTCAATTAAAATCTGCCTACCTGAACAGCAAGTCAAACAAGAATTTCTTGGTGAAAATCAGAATTATCATTTCTCCATTTAAGTAAAGGCAAGAAATAATGCTCACCAACAGTTTATTGTTTTTGGTTTTGTTTTAATGTTTTTAAAAAGTATATATACTTTTTGGAACATATACATGATAGGAAAGGAAGTTATATTTACTGTGCTTTCTCATACATTAATCATTGGCTAAGGATTTACTCAATAATGACCTGTTTTTGTCATCACAGTGTGAATGAGAGGTAAGTCTTAACCTTCTTGATTTGTAAATCAGGAAACTGGTAACTCAAATAGCTAAACAAATGCAGAAAATTATACTTGTGTGGCTATCTTAATCAATGTTCTGTTGCTTATAACAAAATACATGAAACTGGGTAATTCATATAGTAAAGGAGTGCATTTCTTACTGTTGTAGTGGCTGAAAAGTACAAGGTTGAGGCGTAGCATCTGATGAGAGCCCTCTTGCTGATGGGGACTCCAAGCAAAATCCTGAGGCGGCACACAGTATCACATGGAGAGGGGGCTGAGCATGCTAAAGTACTAGCTCAGTTCTCTCTCCCTCTTCTTATAAAGACATCAATGTCCCACTTCCATGATAACCCATTCATCCATTAACCTGTTAAATAACTGATGCATGAATAGATTAATCCATGATTCAATAACATCTTAAAGGTCCACCTTTCAATAATGTTACCTTGTGGGTTAAATTTCCGCATAAGTTTTGGAGGAGATAGTCAAACTATAACAGTGGCTTCATATTAGATTGAAAGCCTATTATGTAAATTGGTAGCAAATAAATAAAGAAGGCACCATAATTTCTGATAATAGTGATATACATACTCACATTTTTTTATTATATATATATGTATTTTTTTTTTTTTGTATTTTTAGTAGAGACGGGGTTTCACCATTTTGGCCAGTCTGGTGTTGGCCAGTCTATGTATGTATATATATATACACATATATATATACATACATATATACACACATATATATACATATATACACATATATATACATATATATACATATATATACACATATACACATATATATACATATATATACATATATATACATATATACATATATACACATATACACATATATACATATATACATATATACATATATACATATATACACACATATATACATATATATACACATATACATATATACACATATATACATATATACACATATATACATATATACACATATATACACATATATACATATATACACATATATATACATGTATATATATATACGTATATATATATACGTGTATATATATATGTGTATATATATATATATATACACACACATAAAATATGGCTTTGGCCCAATGTTGGTAGGATTTTGGTTATAATCTATGATAGATAATCTCTGTCTATAGATAGATAGATAGATTACATTTATATAATATAAATATAGAGAAATATTTGTATTTATAGATATAAATAGATTATATAATGTATCTATCTATCTAATCTACCTATCTATAGATAGACACAGAGAGAGAGACAGAGAGAGAGAGAGAGAGAGATCTAGAGTAGTTAGGGATAGGCTCTCTAAAAGGGGCCTTTTAACTATGTGCCTGATGAGATGAGAATGACTCAACTATGCGAAGAGACATAGGGATAATGCTCTATGTGAAGAGCCATAGGGATAATGCTCTAGGTAGAGAAAAGAGCAAGAGAAAGAAATAAGCCTGTATTCATCTAAGAGAGTTGTTGCAACTACAGTAGAGACAGTGAGGAGAGAGATGGCATGAAATTAGGTTAGGAAGCCATGTCAATGCTAAATAATGCCTGGTTTTATAAGCTATGGCCAGACATTTAGGTTCTGTCCTAAAGGAAGTGAGAAGTGGTTAATTACATTAAGCAAACTAGTTGTTGATAATATTCATGTTTTATAACACGTATTCTTGTATTCTGCTCCTATGTGATGAATACACCATCAGTTTGCTGAGGCTAAATTTAGTGAGGCAATTAGGGGGTCTTTAAAGTAAGCCCAAACAGAAATGATACGGGCTTGGATACAGGTGGTAAAAGAGGACAGAGAAAGAAGGAGAGAGGCAGAACATATATTGGCGAGGTTGATCCAACAGAATCTACTGATACATTGAATTTGAGATTTGAGAAATGAGATGCCTAACTGAAGGAAGTATAGATTTCTGGCCCAGCTAATGGTTGAATATTGGTATTATATGTCAATATTAAGAAAGATTGAAGAACTATTACATAAGAAAGTGAAAAATGCAGGAAAAAATAAAAGAATAAACCTTCATAAGTCCAGAAATTGACGTTGCAACAAATATGAACTAGAAAATAATTTGATGACTTTTTTTAAAAATAGTAAAATTAATGAATCATAAAATATTATTTACATAGGTAATTCATATTGTATTGGGATTTTGGCTGTAGTTCTAAAACTATAGATAATTAATGCTAAGGCTCAGGTTCTAAGGACAATACAAAAGAGTTGCCAAATACTCCATCCAGAGATTAGCAATTGGTGACCATGGTAGTCCTTTGACTTAGCCCTCCACTTCATCAGATTAGGCATTATGAGAGATAACTAATTTCTAGTATAGATTTTCAACTTATTTTAGTGAATTGTGGTGTCTCTTCTTCCCCAGTACTAACTCACCAGTAAAGAGAAAGAGGGGACAAAATAAATGCCATCTGTAGAACATGGTGTTATATAGGCATATGGTAGACTAGTATTTCACTCTCCAGATGGCTGCTTAGTGAACTGTAGAATCACAAACATCCACATTGTTACTATAGTAGGAAATCTGTTCACAAGGTTTGGCATGTGTCACCTGAAATTTGAGAAATCATAGTGAGTGGTGTCATCTTCTTACCTGGGGAGGATTTTTAAAATGGAAAGATAAGCAGTGAAGTGCAAACAATGTTATTGATAGAAAGAACAATATCTAATCATATAGTATTGACAAGAGAAAAAAACTCTAAGACACAGTAAGATTAAAGGTGAAAGGATGCAACTGTTGTATCTATATAAACATCAGATATAATACATGTTGTCAAACAGAGATAGATATTTCATAATTTTAAATCTGTCAATTCATCATTAAAATATGATGATTCCCAATTTACAATTCTCATCTATTTAAAATTGTGGCTAGAGAAGCTGTAGTTTTAAAATATATGATAGTAAAGAAAATAGCTGAATATCAATGATATAAACACGCATCTCAAAAAATTATCTTTCTTAAAGATTGAACAATTTATCTAAAAAAAGTCTTTAAGAAAGAAACGATTTCTTTAAGAATCCTTTCTTAAAGAGTGAACAATTAAAGACTATAGTCAGTCGTAATGTATTGTACACTTAATATTTTCAGAAGTATAGATTTCATATTTTGTTCCTACCGTAACAAAATATAATTTTAAAATAAATTCATAATTGAAAACCTGCTCTTAAAAATAAATCTCCAACTCAAAAATTGTATTAGCATATTCTACCTACATGTATTAAACAATATTAAGATGACACCATTAAGAAGATGACACCATTCACTATGGATTTCTCAAATTCCAGGTGACATATGCCAATCTTATTCAAACACTCCCATACAATAGAAAAAGAGAAAATGCAGAACAATTCATTTAAAAAGGCCATAATAAACTTGACACTACAAAAGAAAGAAAAAGTACCAACCAATCTCACTTATTGAAATAACATTGTACTGTAAAAACATTGTAAACCACTTTGTTACAACTGTATACATGTTTTATTAACAACTGTATAAATATAGCAAAACAAAGTTGGGCTTATTCTGGGAGAGCAAGATTTATTTAATATTTTAAAAAATATGATTTGCCACAGTGACACAATATAAAAGAAAGGAGTCAACCTCCTCAATTGCAGAAAAATCATTTGATGCTATTTAAAATCCATTAAGAAAATGTCTTAAGTTAGGTATATTAACTCCCATTCACAATTGCTACAAACAGAATAAAATACTTAGGAATACACTAACAAGGTAAGTGAAGAAACTCTTCAAGGAGAACTACAAATGACTGCTCAAGGAAATCAGAGAGGACACAAATAAATAGAAAAATATTCCATGCTCTTGGATAGGGAGAATCAATATTGTGAAAATGGCCATACTGCCCAAAGTAATATATAGATTACATGCTATTCCTGTTAAATGTAACATTTATACTTTTCACAGAATTAGAGAAAATGATTTTAAAATTCATCTGGAACCAAATGAAAAGCCCACATTGCCAAGACAATCCTAAGCACAAACAACAAAGCTGGAGGCATCAAGCTACCCAACTTTAAACTATACTCTAAGGCTACCATAACCAAAACAGCATGGTACAAAAATAGACACATAGACCAATGGAACTGAAAAGAGAACTCAGAAATAAGACTGCACACCTAAACTATCTGATCTTCAACAAACCTGACAAACACAAGCAATGGGGAAATGATTCCCTATTTAATAAATGGTGCTGGGAGAACTGGCTAGCCATATGCAGAAAATTAAAACTGGACTTCTTTCTTACACCTGATGGATTGAGGACTTAAATGTAAAACCCCAAATTATAAAAACCTTAGAAGAAAATATAGGCAATACCATTCAGGACGTAGGCATGGGCAAAGATTTCATGATGAAAATACCAAAGGCAATTGCAACAAAATAAAAAATTGACAAATGGGATATAATTAAACTAAAGAGCTTTTGCACAGCAAAAGAAACTATCATCAGAATGAACAGACACCCTACAGAATAGGAGAAAATTTTTGCAATTGGTCCCCCTGACAAAGGTCTAATATTCAGAGTCTGCAAGGAACTTACACAAATTTACAAGACCAGATGCTGTGGCTCATACATGTAATCCCAGCACTTTGGGAGGCCAAGGCAGGCAGATGACTCTGAGGTCAGGAGTTTGAGAGCAACCTGGCCAACTGGTGAAACCCCACCTCTACTAAAAATGCAAAAATTACCTGGGTGCGGTGGTGGGTGCCTGTAATCTCAGATACTCGGAAGGCTGAGGCAGGAGAATCATTTGAACCCAGGAGGTGGAGGTTGCAGTGAGCCGAGATCATGCCACTGCACTCTAGTCTGGATGACAGAGACTCTGTCTCAAAAAAAAAAAATTACAAGAAAAAAACAACCCCATTAAAAAGTGAGCAAGGGACATGAAGAGACACCTCTCTGATGAAGACATTCACATGGCCAAGAAACATATGAAAAAAAGCTCAACATCATTGATCATTAGATAAATTCAAATCAAAACCACAATGAGACACCATCTCATGCCAGTCAGAGTGGTAATTATTAAAAAGTCAAGAAACCTAGGTTTTCTTCTAGGGTTTTTATGGTTTTAGGTCTAACATTTAAGTCTTTAATCCATATTGAATTAATTTTTGTATAAGGTGTAAGGAAGGGATCCAGTTTCAGCTTTCTACATATGTCTAGCCAGTTTTCCCAGCACCATTTATTAAATAGGGAATCCTTTCCCATTGCTTGTTTTTGTCAGGTTTGTCAAAGTTCAGATAGTTGTAGATAAGTGGCATTATTTCTGAGGGCTCTGTTCTTTTCCATTGGTCTATATCTCTGTTTTGGTACCAGTACCATGCTGTTTTGGTTACTGTAGCCTTGTAGTACAGTTTGTCATGTCTAAAACACCAAAAGCAATGGCAACAAAAGCCAAAACTGACAAATGGGATCTAATTAAACTCAAGAGCTTCTGCACAGCAAAAGAAACTACCATCAGAGTGAACAGGCAACCTACAGAATGGGAGAAAATTTTTGCAACCTATTCTTCTGACAAAGGGCTAATATCCAGAATCTACAATGAACTCAAACAAATTTACAAGAAAAAAAAACCCCATCAAAAAGTGGGTGAAGGATATGAACAGACACTTCTCAAAAGAAGACATTTATGCAGCCAAAAAACATATGAAAAAATGCTCATCATCACTGGCCATCAGAGAAATGCAAATCAAAACCACAGTGAGATACCATCTCACACAAGTTAGAATGGCGATCATTAAAAAGTCAGGAAACAACAAGTGCTGGAGAGGATGTGGAGAAATAGGAACTGTTACACTGTTGGTGGGACTGTAAACTAGTTCAACCATTGTGGAAGTCAGTGTGGCGATTCCTCAGGGATCTAGAACTAGAAATCCCATTTGACTCAGCCATCCCATTACTGGGTATATACCCAAAGGATTATAAATCATGCTGCTATAAAGACACATGCACACATATGTTTATAGCGGCACTATTCACAATAGCAAAGACTTGGAACCAACTTGAATGTCCAACAACAATAGACTGGACTAAGAAAATGTGGCACATATACACCATGGAATACTATGCAGCCATAAAAAATGATGAGTTCATGTCCTTTGTAGGGACATGAATGAAACTGGAAACCATCATTCTCAGCAAACCATCGCAAGGACAAAAAACCAAACACCGCATGTTCTCGCTCATAGGTGGGAACTGAACGATGAGAACAGATGGACACAGGAAGGGGAACATCACGCACTGGGGACTGTTGTGGGGTGGGGGGAGGGGGGAGGGATAGCATTAGGAGATATACCTAATGCTAAATGACGAGTTAATGGGTGCAACACACCAACATGGCACATGTATACATATGTAACAAACCTGCACATTGTGCACATGTACCCTAAAACTTTAATAATAATTAAATCAAATTAAAAAAATAAATAAAAATTAAAAAGTAAAAATAAATAAATAAAATAAAAAAGATTTAAAAAAAGTCAAGAAACAACAGATGCTGGTAAGGTTGTGGAGAAAAATTACCACTTTTACACAGTTGGTGAGAGTGTAAATTAGTTCAAGTGTGGAAGACAGTGTGGCAATTCCTCAAATATCTAGAAGCAGAAATACCATTTGATCCAGCAATCTTATTACTGGATATATACCCTAAAGAATATAAATTATTCTTTTATAAAGATACACGCATGTACATGTTCATCGGAACACTATTCACAACAGCAAAGACATGGAATCAACCCAAATGCCCATCAATGATAGACTGAAAAACAAAAATGTGGCACATAAATACCATGGAAGACTATGCAGCCATAAAACAGAATGAGATCCTGTTCTTTGCAGGGACATGGATGGATCTGGAAGCCGTAATCTTCAGCAAACTAATGCAGGAACATAAAATTAAACACAGCATGTGGGCACCGAATGATGAGAACACATGGACACATGGTGGGGAACAACACACACTGGGGCCTGTCAGGGGGATGGGATGGGGGAGGGAGAGCTTCGAGAAAAATAGCTAATGGATGCTGGACTTAATACATAGGTGATGGGTTGATCTGTGCAGCAAACCAACATGGCACATGTTTACCTATGTAACAAACCTGCACATCCTGCACGTGTACCCCAGAACTTAAAATGTAAGTTGAAGAAAAAATAAAAATAAATAAGTGAATAAATTTGGTCATTTTTTTGGAAGTACCAACTGAAGCTGAAAGTCAGAGTATTTTATGTCCCAGGAATCTCCATCCACAGGCCTTTACCTAAGTAAAATGCAAATTTGCATGTACCAAAAAAATATGTCCAATAATATCTGAAGCAGTGCAATTTATAAGAACCCAAACTGGATATAACCCAATTGTTGAGTGATAGCAATACTCAACTCTCTTCTTGCAGTGTGAAAGCAACCATAGACAATATAAATAAATGTGTGTGACATTATTTATAAAACACGAATGAGCCAGAAGTGGCCCAAAGTAAGTAGATTGCTGATCCCTACTACAGAGCCAAAAATACACAAACTGCAGCTAAGCACAACAAAGTCGATGAGTCTCACAAATATAATGCTGAACAGAGAAGAAGCCAGACATAAAATAAATTCATAATGTTAATAAAAGAAACCAGGATCCTTGGAGAAACGGTCTGTAGAAGGGAATATACAAAATGAGCCTGAAACATTTTACAGTGCCAGAAAGCATCAAAGTCACAACAATGATGGAAGGGTTTATCAAAATGGCACAGAAGTCAACTGAATGAGCAGCCAATGACCAAAGCTGGAAAAGTTTAAGTGAAAAAACAAATAGCATGTATTGCATTATAACCCAAATTGTAAGATAAATATCCATGAGCTCATAGTGGTACAAAGAAATGTTTGAATAAATGGATAAATAAGGTATAAGAGTCAAATCTCTCATGCAGAATTCCTAATGATAATATAGATACTTAGCCATCAGGGAGATGTGGCCTAATTCCTGCTCTTTAAAAGTAGGCTTCACATTAATGACTTCCTTCCAAAAAATACACTTTTGGAATGAGTGGAAAAAAAAAAAAGAAAAAGAAAAACCTGGTGAAACCCCATCTCTACTAAAAATACAAAAATTAGCCAGGCATGGTGGCGTGCGCCTGTAGTCCCAGCTACTGGGGAGTCTGAGGCATGAGAATCGCTTGAACCCGGGAGGCAGAGGTTGCAGTGAGCCGAGATTGTGCCACTGCACTCCAGCCTGGGCGACAGAGTGAGACTCTGTCTCAAAGAAAAACAAACAAACAAACAAACAAACAAACAAACACAAAAACCAGAAACAAAAAAAAAACCTGAGTAACTCTACAGACAAGAAACCTAAGAAACTACTTCAGCTAGGTGACCAAGCCTATCTTCAGTGAAAATTTCAACTGATAGTATGTACCCTTGATATAATGTTATAGGAATAGCACTTCTCCTCTGTGGGCTTCCTTTCCCAAACCCTGGTTAATCATGAGAAAAATATCTGACAAACCAAAACTGAGGAACGATGTATAAAATTCCCGACTAGTACTCCTGAAATCTGTCAAGGTCATCAAAAATAAGGAAAGTCTGAGAAAGGGTGACAGTCTATTGAAGCCTAAGGAGACAGGATTATTAAACAGAATGTGCTATCCTGAGAGGGATCCTGTTATAGAAAAGTAAAAGGAGTGCGTTAGGTAAAAACCAAAGAAATACAACTGAAGTATGAAATTTAGTTAATAATAATGTATTAAAATTGGTCCATTAGTTGTGATAAATATATCACACAATGTACGATCTAAACAACATGGGAAATGGTGCAGGTTATACAGAAACTATCGATACTATATTTGCAACTCTTCTGTGAATCTAAAATTATTTTGTAATACAAGCTTACTAAGATGTATAATTTATGATTCAAAAAAAGCAGTCAAAACCAAACTATAGTGTTTAGATATACATGCTTGAACGGTAAAATACAAAGCAAAGCAGAAAGTGATTTTTCTTAAAGTCAGGTTAATAATTACCTTGTGAAAAAGGAACAGATAGCAATTGGAGGATGAAATGAAGTGGGCTTTTTGGATGCTGGCAATTTTCATTTTTTTACCTGGGTGGTGGTAACAAAATACTTCCTTTGTAGTAAATCATTGAGCTGCATATTTTTGCATACATTTCTATATTTGTATCCCTACTCCTTAAATGTAGGCTGCACATAATGACTTCCTTCCAAAAAAATACATTATGGAAATAGAGTGGAAAATAAAAGAGTAACTTTACAAAGGAGAAACTTAACAAATACTGCCTCGGCATCATCAATGATCAGTCATGTTGATATTGTGTATCATTGTTATGATGTGATATAAATTGCATTTCACCTCTGTGGTCTCCTTTCCAAAACCCATATTTCCAGTTGAATCATAAGAAAAACATCTGACAAACTAAAACTGAGGAACATTTTATAAAATACCTGACCAGAATTTTTGTGCTAAATTTATCTGTCTGTCTGTCTATCTATTTTCTATCTATCATCTATCTATCATCTATCTATCCATCATCTATCTATCTGTCTGTCTATCTATCTATCTACAAAGAGAAGTGCCATCTTGTTGAAATAAGGGGATTCCAGCAAGAAGTTGCAGTGGGTATATCATGAGATAAATTAGTTTAGTCAGGTGTTGCATCACGAACAGCAGATAACGCTGGAGGGAAGCATCCTTGCAGAGGTCTTCCATAGTAATTCTGGCTTATAATTTCTGAGAACTAAAAGGTGAGGGCTTACCACACACAGGGCAATAAACAAGATTACAAAAATATAATCTAAGAAAACTCCTTTTACTCCTATCTGTTCCTCCCCTCAATTGTGATCATTGAGGGGCCAGTTGTAGGAGAAAAAAAAAAGGTGAAACAGATTGAAAGAATAGACCATACCCCCTTTTCCCAACGAGGTTTCCAACTAAGGTTCGGGATTTTTCTGAAAAAAAAAAAAAAAAAAAAAAGAATATTTAAATTGGATATAATATTGGTGTTTTAAAATTAGACCACACTAGACTTATTAGAACACAAATTCCATGGGATCTGCACCTGATATTGGCAAGATCTTGAGAAAAGAAATTCCCAAAGCACATTTAATTAGATAAAAATAAAATTTCTTCTGTCTGTACTTATTAAATTCATTCCATTAAAAATGTCATTGCAATATGCACCTAAACATATATTTTGACTTAAACATAGAAATATGCAAAAAATATGTCCATTGTTAAAAGTAGAGCCCGATAAAATTTCTATTTTCTTTCTTCCATAAACTACACCCATAACAAATTTTCTATTATAAAGTATATAAATAATATATAATTGAATAAAAATAATGTAGTATACACACACACACACACAGAGACAGAGAGAGAGAGACGAGAGAGAGAAAGAGAGAGAGAGAGAATGAGAGTATTTTAGAGACAGATTCTTGCTGTTGCCCAGGCTAGAGTGCAGCATACATCCGAATAAAAATAAAAATCCTAGAAAATACAACTTAATTCTAAATCCTTCTAGATATTTGTAGTTTTTTTCTCTTAATCATTTTCTTCTTCATAATTCATGTCATTAGATAAGTTGACTTTAGCAACTCACATTTATCAAATTTTCCAAATGTTTAAATTTCCAAAACTTTAATTTTCATTAAATGATAGCTTTTTGGTATTACTCTTTCTTATGTTTTTATAGTGTGTACTTAAATCTCAAACCTATTTGGGAGCAGATATCACTGATACTAACCATTAACAGGTTTTCAATTAACTAGGGTGGAAGAAGTGTTTCGAGTATCTTTTAGTGTGTTTTATGATGTTAATAATTACTAAAGAAATTTAGTATGTCACTTAAGTGAAAATCATTTAAAAGGTTTCTACTACCTAAAGTTTAAGTTCCTTAGAAGCTTCCCAGTGGTGACTTCCTGGGTGCAGTTTGATATGTCTGGAACTCTAGAGGAAGGTCTCCCACTGTATATATAAATGTGGGTGATGCCAGCACAAAGATATATTAAGCTATGAGAAAGGATAAGATTACCTGGGAACAGAAAATAAAGAAAGAAGTGAAGAGAGCTTAAGGGTAAATCTCAGAGAAACTGCAAGCATTAGAGTCAGCAAAGAGGATGCAGAGTTGGCAAAGTGGATAAAGAACGGTGAGTGAGGGGGAAATAAGTCCAGGATGATTTGACATGAGCTAAAGTCAGAGAGATTATTTTGAGAAGGAGATGAAGACAGATGTCAACTGTGAAGCATGGTGCTGAGAGTTCAAATACTATCAAACCTAAAAAGCGACCATTCGACTCAGTGCCCTTGTGAAGATGTGAACCAGATGACAAAAGTTCGGGAAGATAATGAGAGAGAAATAAGTTGAAATAACAGTAGAATCATATTCAGACCATTTTGATGTGAAGGGAAGTAGGAAGTGACTAGAAGAGAAGGAAACAATTAGAAATCTTTGAAAACATATATGATTTTAAGGTAATGACATAGTAAAAATGGACCCAAGTTGAAAATGACTAAAGGAATGAGGATAATCAAAGAGTAAATGCCCAGTCTGAAGCATAAGTGAGAGTACAGCTTTTAGGAAGAAATTTACTTCCTAATAACAAGAGGTAAAGGGCAAGATGTGCACAATTCCATCTAAGATAGTTGTAGAGAGAAGTTCTAGAAAACCTAATGCTTTCTGTTTTCCTTTCAATATGACATAATGTCATCCACCAATGGCTCTTGTGCTGGTAGTGGGGACAAAGGGTGTATAAAAAGTTGATCACAGATGAGAGAATAAATAAATGAAATTGCGTTTTGAGAGGCTGGAAGTGAGCTTCCAGGGAGATATTTTAGGGCTGTAGTTTAACATCTGTTTGAAGTTTGACACCATTTATTTAGAATGAAGCTAGCCACTTTTATAAGTTTCTCCTGTAACATTGATAAAAATGTGGGGATATTTGTAAGAGATTATAATATTGGACCATCGACTACAATATGTACAAGAAAGTCAGTGGAGTGTATTGATGTTTTAGGAGAATATGGCAGATTTATTGAATTTGAGTTTTTAAATGTTTAAAAATAAAATGCTTTCAGACAATCTTATCCCTTACATGAGGACATAGGCTTACCAAATTGACTTTTTAGGATGTGAGGGACAAAATTACTTATTATTCAAATATTTCCCATCCGTTCTATTTAGAAGAGTGACTAAATACAATTTGATCTATTATTTGGGCAGGTGTATTCATATAACCCCATTGTAGACTTTCATCCATTGAAATGAGAATGTATATTCATGAAACATGTGCAAAACTGTCTAATAGTTGTGGGGGTGCTTAAAATCGAAATCAGAGATCATTTGGGGCATGTTTGTAGAGAAGGTCAGTCAAGAGAAAGATATCACCAAATACTTGGAAATGTAAATGTTGCTATAATCGTCCTAATTTTAAAGATTAGCTTTTTAGTTATAGTTAGATTGATATTAAAACGTCAAAATATTGCTAAAATAATGTTTGATTTGGAGCAGCCCCTTTTAATTTGTTCATATTCTCTCAGCCTAGAGCATTGATCATGGTCTAATTGCAGCTTCTTTTGCTTCCAATTGTGTATTCCCATTCTTTTCTTTATACAGGCAGCTTTCAGGCACATGCATAATTGTGTCTAATTTTATGAATCTCAAATTCAGATTGTGATGACTAAATGAGATCCTTTGTTTTTTGCTTGCTTAGTCTCTCTTCCACGTCAAAATTTCTACAAATAATTAGTTCCTTTTTTTAAAAAAAAAAAAAGATATTATTTTACATATTAAAGCTCAATGAGTCCTGAGATCCAAGTAAAGTATCATTTTGGAACTGGAACAGCATTTACCATAGAATCTGCTTTCATACAGGAAGGGAGATCATCTCAGTATTTCTAACACCATTAATTAAAATGATACCAGAAATGCAGCATTAGAAAGAGAAAAATTTGCAGAACATTTTTTAATAGTCTCCTAGATTAAGCTGGTCATTGTCTCAGTCTTCATAAAACCAATCACACATCACAGAGTTAGAGAACGACAATCTAGGCATATGGATTTGGTACATATATCATCCTACAAAATTACTGTCAAAATGCAAGATGAGAATTACAAGAAATATGCACGAAAATAATTTCAAAAAGCAGTGATCTCTCCCAAGATCCTAGGCAGTCACTGTAGAGCTTCCTGGCAGCATAAAGCAGTGGGAGCCCGCTAATGAGGCAAGTCATCCGTTATCATTGCTGTGCTTAGCCTGATTTAGTTATCTGAATCAAAATGACAGATTCAGGAGGAAGGCTCCTGGGAACTCGACTGAAAATGTTATGTTGATGTAACCATGCATTTATCAGTCTAGCAGAGTGCTTCTTAGTCTCCATGCCAACAATAAAAAGAAACAAAAATATTGGGTTAAAGGGCACTACGATAACTGCTAAAAGGAGCTCTGAATCTTGAAACAAGTCCTGGAAACACATTAAAACAGAACCTCTTTAAAGCATAAATCACACAGGACCTATAAAACAAAAATACAAGGCAAAAAGAAAAAAAAAAGAAACAACAACAACAACAAAAAAACCCCACAAAAGTGCACAAGCAACAAAGAGCACGATGAAAGTAATGGTACCTCACATTTCAATGCTAACATTGAATGTAAATGGCCTAAATGCTCCACTTAAAAGATACAGAACCGCAGAATGGGTAACAACTCACCAATCAACTATCTGCTGCCTTCAGGAGACCCACCTAACACACAAGAACTCACATAAACTTAAAGTAAAGGGGTGGATAAAGGCATTTCATGCAAATGGACACCAGAAGTGAGCAGGGGTAGCTATTCTTATATCAGACAAAACAAACTTTAAAACAATAGAGGTTAAAAGAGACAAAGAGGGACAGTATATAATGCTAACAGGTCTTGTCCAACAGGAAAATATCACAATTCTAAACATATATCCACCTAACACTAGAGCTCCCAAATTTTTAAACAATTACTAATAGACCTAAGAAATGAGATAGGCAGCAACACAATAATAGTGGGGGACTTCAATACTCCACTGACAGCACTAGACAGGTCATCAAGACAGAAAGTCAACAAAGAAACAATGGATTGAAACTATACCTTGGAACAAATGGACCTAACAGATATATACAGAACATTTCATCCAACAACCACAGAATACACATTCTATTCAACAGCGCATGGAACTTTCTCCAAGATAGACAATATGATAGCCATAAAATGAGCCTCAATAAATTTAAGAAAATTGAAATTGTATCAAGCACTCTCTCAGACCACAGTGGAATAAAACTGGAAATAACTCCAAAAGGAATCTTTGAAACCATGCAAATACATGGAAGTTAAAACACCTGCTCCTGAATGAGCATTGAGTCAAAAATGAAATCAAGATGGAAATTTAAAAATTCTCCAAACTAAATGACAACCTATCAAAACCTCTGGGATACAGCAAAGGCAGTGCTAACAGGAAAGTTCATAGCCCTAAGCGCCTACATCAAAAAGTCTGAAAGAGCACAGACAGACAATCTAAGGTCACACCTGAAGGAATTAGAGAAACAAGAACAAATCAAACCCAAACCCAGCAGAAAAAAGGAAATAACCAAGATCAGAGCAGAACAAAATGAAATTGAAACAAAAAATACAAAAGATAAATGAAAAAAAGCTGGTTCTTTGAAAAGATAAATAAAATTGATAGACCATTAGCAAGATTAAGCAAGAAAAATAGGAGAGAAAAATCCAAATAGCCTCACTAAGAAATGAAACAGGAGATATTACAACAGACACCACTGAAATACAAAAGATCATTCAAGGCTACTGTGAACACCTTTATGCACATAAACTAGAAAACCTA
Source organism: Homo sapiens (assembly GCF_000001405.40). Taxonomy (NCBI): domain Eukaryota; kingdom Metazoa; phylum Chordata; class Mammalia; order Primates; family Hominidae; genus Homo; species Homo sapiens. The sequence continues at coordinate 141,358,572 of NC_000006.12, read as the reverse complement.
GAAGAGATGGACAAATTCCTGGAAAGATACAACCCTCCCAGTTTAAATCAGGAAATATTAGATACCCTGAACAAACCAATAACAAGCAGCAAGATTGAAATTGTACTTAAAAATTACCAATGAAAAAAAGTCCAGGACCAAGCAGATTCACAGCAGAATTCTACCAGACATTCAGGGAAGAATTGGTACTCATCCTTTTGACACTATTCCACAGATAGAGAAAGAAGAAACCCTTGCTAATTCATTCTATGAAGCCAGCATCACCCTAATACCAAAACCAGGAAAGGACCCAACCAAAAAATAAAACTAAAGACTTGTATCTTTGATTAACATAGATGCTAAAATCCTTAACAAAATACTAGCTAACCAATGACAACAACATATCAAAAAGATAATCCACCATGACCAACTGGGTTTCGTACAAGGGATGTAGGGATGGTTGAACATACGCAAGCCAATAAATGCGATACACCACATAAAATTAAAAGCAAAAATCACATGATCACCTCTATAGATGCAGAAAAAGCATTTGACAAAATCCAGCATCCCTTTATGATTAAAACTCTCAGCAAAATAGGCATAAAAGAGACATACCTTAATATAATAAAATCCATTTGTGACAAACCAACAGCCAACATAATACTGAACAGGGAAAAGTTGAAAGTATTCTCTCTGAGAACTGGAACAAGGCAAAGATGCCCACTCTCACCATTCCTCTTCAGCATAGTACTGGAAGTCCTAGCCAGAGCAATCAGACAAGAGAAATAAATAAAGGGCATCCAAATCAGCAAAGAGGAAGTAAAACTGTCACTGTTGCTTTCAGTAAACAGTGGTTTACCTTGAAAACCCTAAGGACTCCCCTAGAAAGCTCCTAGAACTGATAAAAGAATTCAGTGAAGTCTCCAGATATAAGATTAATGTACACAAATCAGTAGCTCTTCTATACACCAACAACGACCAAGCAGAGAATCAAAACAAGAATTCAATCCCTTTTACAATAGCTGCAAAAAAAAAAAAAAAAAAACTTACGAATATACCTAACAAAGGAGTCAAAGGACCACTACAAGAAAAACTAAAAAATCACTGCTGAAAGAAATCATAGATGACACAAATGGAAACACATCCCATGCTCCTGGATGGGTAGAATCAATATTGTGAAAATGACCATACTGGCAAAAGCATTATACAAATTCAAAGCAATTCTCAACAGAGTACCATGATCATTCTTCACAGAATTAGAAAAAACAATTCTAACATTCATATGGAACCAAAAAAGAGCCCACATAGCCAAAGAAAGATTAATCAAAAAGAGCAAATCCGGAGGCATCACACTACCTGATTTCAAACTATACTATAAGGCCATAGTCACCAAAACAGCATGGTACCGGTATAAAAATAGGCACATAGACCAATGGAACAGAATAGAGAACCCGGAAATAAACCCAAATACTTACAACCAACTGATCTTCGACAAAGCAAACAAAAACATAAAGTGGGGAAAGGACACCCTTATCAACAAATGGTGCTGGGATAATTGGCTAGCTGTATGTAGGAGAATGAAACTGGATCTTCATCTCTCACCTTATACAAAAATCAACTCAAGATGGATTAACACCTTAAACCTAAGATCTGAAACTACAAAAATTCTAGAAGATAACATTGGAAAAATCCTTCTAGACATTGGCTTAGGCAAGGATTTCATGACCAAGAACCCCAAAGCAAATGCAATAAAAACAAAGATAAATAGCTGGGACATAATTAAACTAAAGAGCTTTTGCACAGCAAAAGGAACAGTCAACAGAGTAAACAGACAACCTACAGAGTGGGAGAAAATCTTCACGATCTGTACACCTGACAAAGGTACTTGCACACGCATGTTAGTGGCAGCACAATTCACAATTGCAAAATTGTGGAACCAACCCAAATGTCTATCAATCAAAGAGTAGATAAAGAAACTGTGGGGTGTGTGTGTATATGGGGAGGTATATATATATTTATATATATGTATATATATGATGAAATATATATATGTATTTCACATATATATGATGGAATATATATAGATATTTCACATATATATGATGGAATATATATATGTATTCCACCACATATATATGATTGAATATATATATATGTATTCCACCACATATATATGATTGAATATATATATATATATATGTATTCCACCATATATATGTGGAATACATATATGTATTCCACATATATATGGTTGAATACATATATGTATTCCACATATATATGGTGGAATATATATATGTATTCCACATATATATGGTGGAATATATATATGGTGGAATATATATATGTATTCCACCATATATATGTGCAATATATATAGGTATTCCACATATATATATGTGGAATATATATAGGTATTCCACACACACACATGTGTGTATATATATACACACACACATATAAATATACACACATATATATGTGTATTTATATATGTGTGTGTGTGTATATATATATATGATGGAATACTATGCAGCCAGAAAAAGGAATGCATTAACAGCATTTGCAGTGACCTGGATGAGATTGGAGACTGCTATTCTAAGTGACATAACTCAGGAATGGAAAAACCAAATATCATATGTTCTCACTGATATGTGAGAGCTAAGCTATGAGGATGCAAAGGCATAAGAATGATACAGTGGACTTTGGAGACTTAGGGGAAAGAGTGGGAGGCAGGTGAGAGATAAAAGACTACAAATATGATGCAGTGTATACTGCTCAGGTGATGGGTGCATGAAAATCTCACAAATCACCACTAAAGAACTTATTCATGTAACCATATACCACCTGTACCCCAGTAACTTATGAGAAAAAAACGGCATGCTTTAGGAAAATGAATATTGGGCAAGATATTTGCTTTATAAACAGGCTTAGTTACACATTGAAACGAGCTCCATGTCCTGACCAACTCAGGGCTTCTCAACACATAAGAGGTTTTATAAAGTAATTTCAGCTTGTCAGGAACAATTTTTCTCTTTCCCTTTAGGATTACTTATAACTTTAGCTTTTGCAACTATAACCGGTGTTATTGGCAGCCTATTAACTTTATTCTACTGTGAAAACTGAAAGAATTAACTCTTTCTGTCCTCTCCTAATCCTCTACTGTTCTCCAAAGCCAGTAGTAGACAGCCGTTTTTAAAGTGCATTTGACATGCTAGGCATGAATTTAAGAGGCTTGATAAAAGAGGTACTGAAAATAAGAAAAAGAAAGAATCCAAATTACCTAAGGGGAATACAAGCTGTTGACAAACAGCTCAATCTGCCAGTTCTCCGTTTGAGAAAGATTTTTGATATTTTTGATCAGTGGGCTAGACAGATTTTTCTTGTTATGAGAAAACTATCGACATTCAGAAAATATCATTAAGGACACATTAAAAGCCACATATGATGAAGAAAAGATTGCTCTTCTAAATATAGAATAGCTCATTGCACAAATCTCATTCAATCAAAGATAATAGAACTGAAGATGGTTTATAAAAGAGAATATTTTTTGGACATATGCACAAGTTTTCATTATAGGATATGAACAGAACCAAGAATAGAGAAACACAGATATTCTTCCATTTGATGTGTCTGGTTTATTTTATGCTAAGGGCTGGAAATGTATAATAAACATCTTTAACCACTCCCCTGGAGTCATTTAAGTTGATTTGGGCATCACATTAGGATTTAACAATTTTCTAAACTGATCCAATTTAATGCTTTTTAAAGTACTCACTTTCTTGGTCTTTCAAGCAGCCTCTCTACATCTCCAAAACAAAGTGCCCAGCTGTATAAATGAATGAAATAAGGCCTGCAGGAAGCCAAAAGCTTAATTTTAACCACATGCTGGAAAGTAGGAGAATTTATCTCTTTCATCCAAGTTTTTTCTTCTCCTTTCATTGGGAACTATGCCTTTGTTGGTGATTTTTTTTCTAGGCCATCGATTCATTATTTAATCTAGGTTGAAGATAGTTTTAATGATAAATAGGCAGCTCTTCATCCCTTATCACCTCTTTATAGGTTACTCTTCACAGTGGATATCTATTCACCCTTACATCCCCATATTTTGTCATAACGTCTAGGATCTTCACCTGAAAAATCCTTAAAATATTCAAGTGTTTGGGCAAATACCTGCTCCAAGCCATAGGTGGAGCTAGATGGACCAGGTTCCATCTAGCTCCACCTAAATCCTGCTCTGAGCGCAGGTTTTCTTGCGGTGGTCTGTGCTGACTTCTGAAGCCCAGTTCCTCAGCTGCCAATCACACCTACATGATACAAGAATGACCTGTGCATCCTTCATTAAGTGGATCTTAAGCAAGAACTGAGAAATCCTATCAGGCTACTCTCTGTGGTTACTCTCTTAAAGGCCTGGTCATCTCCAATCATGCCCATTTTGTTTTCATTGTTCCGTATATTTTTCAATATTTTTAACTTATTACTTCATTGACTGACACTCTATTTACTCAACGTTCTTTATAAAATTCCACTGTAATTCACCGTGACTTGAGGGCTTTCTCAGAAGTACTTTAGGGCATCTACTCAATAGAAAAAAAAGAGTTGATGAAGCACATATTATATGTCCTTTTCTACATTGCACTCAGGGAGGAAAGTGAAGTTGGTTTGCTTTTTAACTTTTTTTTTATTGAATAGATGTCTTAAAGCGGCAGTTCCCAACATTATTGGCACCAGGGACAGGTTTCATGCAAGACAGTTTTTCCATGGACTGGAGGAGGGGGTGGTTTCAGGATGACCCAAGCACATTACATATATTGTGCACTTTATTTCTATTATTATTACATTGTGATATATAATGAAATAATGATACAACTGAACATATTTTAGAATCAGTGGGAGCCCTGAGCTTTTTTTTTCCTACAACTAGGTGGTCCCAAATGTGGGTGATGGGAAACAGTGACAGATCATCAGGAGTTAGATTCTCATGAGGAGTACACAAGCTAGATCCTTTACATGCACAGCTCACAATAGAGTTTGCATTCCTATGAGAACCTCATGCCTCAGATGATTTGACAGGAGGCAGAGCTCAGGCACTAATGCTTGTTCACCTGCTCCTCACCTTCTGTTGTGTGGTCCTGTTCCTAACGGGCCACAGAGGGGAACCATGGGTACCAAGGGTTTGTGTCCCTCATCCTAAACTACTTTTGAGAAAGCCCTCAAGTCACAGCGAATTCCAGTGGAATTTTATAAAGAAAGTTGATTAAAGAAGGTGTTAGTCGAGGAAGTAATAAGAATACTAAAAAAATATAGTGAAGCACAATCCACCAAGTGAGGTAAGTATCACACACAGTAAGTTATGACACAAGAAAATATACAATAATGTGAAAAATAAGATAAAATATATCATTTCTGAGTTCCCCTCAGGTGTCTAGTAAAGCAATAAAAGTTCATAGCGAGGGGCTCAAACTCAAGCAACCAAGCTGTGTGTGTGTGTGTGTGTGTGCACGCGTGTGTGCGTGTGTGGTATACTGATTCTCCCGGAAGTGTATCTTAAAATACAATGAGCTTGAACTTCTACAAGAAAGCATTCAGTTTCAGATCCAGGACGTTCTGCCCAAGTGAAGTTAGCTAGCTAGCAAAGAGGGAAGAAAATACATGCTGCATGCCCCAAAGCCCCATGGTGGCCATTTTCTTTAATTTTTTTTTTTTTTTTTGTAAGAGAAAGTGGTTTCCAACCTTAACAATTCTCTGAATCCTTCTATCAGTTCATTTTTAAGGAAACACCTTTTTTTTTCCTACTCCATAATGCGATCTTCATTTCTCCCATTGTGTTCCCTAAGTTCTTTATTACACTATAAGCAAGAACAATAACCAAAACAAGCTTGGTCTTCTGTCTCCATGAAAGATTAATAGATTTATTCCACTTAGAGATTTTATTTAAATGATGAATGAGAGATCATGTTGAAAAACTGTTGGAATGTACACGTTTTGATAGAATCCTAGCTCAAATTTCTACAAATATCAGCAATTTCAAAACAACCCAAACCTTCAGTAGTTATTATTTCATGCAGGGATAGTTTATAGAGGCACCTGGTCTCTGCTGGACAAAGATAGCTATGCAAGCTTCATTGTTTTTGTTCCCTGTAGCTTTATGTTCTTTGTGAAAGCAAATTCAAAACCATCATATTTTTATCACTGCATTTCATCTGCTATGTATTTAAAAACATCCTTACCTTGACCCTGATTATCCAAACACTATACAGAGAGTATCATCACCCAAACATACAAAACAAACTAATGTATGCCTGTAAAATGAAAATGAAATTTATGTTACTTTTTAAGATTTATTCTTTAAAGAAACAACAACAAAAGCTCAGTGGAAAACATAGGGAGTTTCAGACATGAATAATTTAATTAAAGCACTTTCTAATATAAGATAAAATAAAATCCAAAATTAACTAAAAACAAATAAAATAAAATAGAAGTCACCTTGATTTATTAAAGGAAAAGTACATTCACTACTGCACGAGATACTTCCAATAGGATATGTGCAAACTCTTAAGGAAAATATTCTAAATCTGCAGAGTAGCTGCCCAGACATAATGTTTCTCTCACTTCCTTTCCCTTTTCTTTCTCTCTTTCTTTCTGTCTTATTTACTTTTTCTGTCTCTCTCTGTCTCTCACTCTTTTGCTTTCACTCTTTCTCTTTTCTTTCACTCTTTCTTAGAAAGTATCAACAAAATACATTTATGTTATTTGATTAGAACACTGGTAAACCAGCCTAGATGAAGAGAAAGGATTCCCATGAAGAATGGATATATTATCTCCAAGTATTGGAAATTCTGGATTTTCAAATATGATAGTAACTGAAAGAAGTATTCATTCCATTCAAATTTGTCGAGGTAGAGGCTTTGAGATAAATCAGTGTTAAAAGTTACAACAATCCAAAACACTTCCCCAGTATCTCCACTTGCTAGACTCAAGTGCAGATGGATTTAGCCATAGCTTCAGTAGATAAGGCATCGGCCAAACATAAAAGGGACAGTTATATGCGGCAGCGGGTAGGAGAATTCTGAGAAAGTGAACATTGTAGGTGCATGAGTTACTCTAATTGAAAAAGCCTCAATATTAACTTCTCAAGTGGCAATTGATTACATATTTTAATATAAAACAAATGCCAAAAAGTTATTAAGACCTTTCCAGAGACTCAGAGTGGCTACAAATGTCTCAGGATTGGGAAGCAGTTCTAAGGAGGATGATAATTTCCTTTTCCCCTGGAAGAAAAATCCAATGTCTTTAGTGAAGCAAATGATGTTTAAAATCTAGGTTTAAAGATGTGCAGATGAAATTTAAAGTGGTTCAGCCGGGTGTGGTGGCTCACACCTGTAATCCCAGCACTTTGGGAGGTGGAGGCGGGCGGATCATGAGGTCAGGAGATCGAGACCATCCTGGCTAACATGGTGAAACCCTGTCTCTACTAAAAATACACAAAATTAGCCAGGTGTGGTGGCGGGCACCTGTAGTCCCAGCTATTCAGGAGGCTGAGACAGGAGAATAGTGTGAACCCGGAAGGAGGAGCTTGCAGTGAGCCAAGATTGCGCCACTGCACTCCAGCCTGGGCGACAGAGCGAGACTCCATCTCAAGAAAAAAAAAAAAAAAAAAGAAAGGTGGTTCATCATTTTATGTTATCTCAATTCTCAAATGATATAAAATTATCCTATATTAAACATGAGATTTTTGCATTCAGCAATCATTAATTTTTTTTTAAATTTAGATCATTGTGGAATGTAGGACCTCTACCTCAGAACAACATAAAAATCTAATGTAATAGAAATACTTATTGAATTAAAGTTAAGAAAGTTGCTATTTAGACTCTCTTTTCTATCATATTGCATGGGGATACTTGAAGTTAAGTCAGAATCTATTTCCTGTCACCTTCTAGATATGCTAAAAGCAGTCTATATTCTTTCCAATAGAATGTATTCAGTTGCAACTTGGATCAACATCTAACTTTATACAAAATAAACTGTTGATTTGGCATTTCTTTCTATATTCCAGCCATTCTTTGTTAAAATAAAAAGCATTTATTTTTCTTAAATTGGTTCCATGCTTGTTAACTCCTCAGATTCAATCTAAGAAGTCATGTTTTGTAGTCAGTATTCTAAGAGGGAAAATGAAAAACGTCTTGACAGATCATTTTTTCAAGGAGGATTTTGGTTTAAGCCCTTATGAAAGAAGAATACTAGATTAATGATAACTGAGAAGCAAGAAATATTCTTTCTGGTCTCTGAGCAGAGAAAATGACACATGAGAGTGAATGGTGTTGTATAGAATCCTCAAATCTCAAGACAATTTCAAAGACCTGAAGCCAGCAGTGTATTGCTTTTTCTACTGCATGAATATCATTTTAGGTATTCTAACTTGATGGTTCTCTACTGAGAAATACCATTTTAAAGCTCTTTTATCATTATGGATTAAAAAAAAACAGCAAAGATTTTTAAAAAGTCACATTGGGAGATATGAAGAACCCACATTGAACTGCAGTCTTTATACACATGCACGTGTGCATGTTTGTGCATGCACACAGACACACACACACACTTGAATATATTTAGCCTCAGCCCCAAGTATGAAAGCCATTCATTGTCTAGCCTTGAAATATTATCTAGCCTTTTAGGATAGGTCAACCCCAGACAGCAAGCTTGGCTGATAGTGTTCATGTTGTACCATGCCTGTGACCAATTGATAGTGGCTGGTGGAGTATGAACTGGGAACACTTTGAGTGCATATCTGTGCTTCAAAGAAAATGGTGCTAACCCAAGTTAGCTTTCACTCTCTGTGATTCTGGACATAAAATGTTTGAGCAAATCTTTTTCACTCTAATTATAAAGCTTTTTATTAATGTATTAAGTACTGTGCAAAGCTATAGATTTTGTGGTAGCATGGGTAAAAAGAGAGCAGGCCTTGTGTCTACACTGTTTGTTCTTGACTCTTGACTCCAAAAATGAACCCCTACCACTTTGAACAATCTACAAAACCTCTTTGTGCCTTTTGATTCGTATTTAATATGGAGATGATAAAAATAAGTCTAATATCACATGATTTTTATTAGGATTAACTGAGTTAATACAGGTAAGGTGCTTGGAACAGATCCAGGCACATAATACCTAACAAATACTCAGAAACTGATCATTATTTTTACTATTTTTTAAGTGGTTGAAAATAGGAATGAATTTAAAAATATATGAATATAAATGTTGTTACTTCACTTTTTCTATCAATGTTAGAATTGTAAGAACTAATGCTTATATACTTTTAGAAATAGCTTAATTAAACTATTAGCTTAATTTTATTAATTCACTGACATAAGACAGAACATGATACAGTTTTCTGATCATTAATATTGTTGCCATAATCAATTTTTTACTTTATATGATACCAGATACTACTTACCAATAATACTATCTTAACCTCTTTAGATTTAAAATTTCAAACAGACATTATTTAGGTGGAGGAACATATGGCTTACGTATGAATATAATGAGAATTGCTTTTAGAATAATATAATATACTGAACTGGCATATACCTGTGAAGGTCAAATTTCACTTTTTAGTAAATTAATACTTGGGGACTATGTCACTAAGTAAATTGGGTAAAAGAGGAGAAATGCTAGGTGGACTGTGGAAAATTGTGCCTGTTTTACATTGTGCTGGAGCTGGACCTTCTAAAAGAAACTTTCTTCTTTCTATAAATATATGCTCTCCCTCCACTACATCACAGTTTCTGCTATCAATATTTCTCAGACTTTATCCAGTCCATTCCCCAAAGGCATATTTATTATTCCTACAAATCAGGCAATTCAGATGTTGTAGCAGTGGAAGTTCCCAGAGATTACATGAGAGACATTCATTCTTACATGAGAGACATTCATTTAGTTTCTAGTAGGCTACTAGAAAAACCCTGAAAGCAGATTCGAATTTATCTGATGGTTCTCCTGTCAATAACATGCTACTAGTATTTGTGAAACAAATGAAATCTGACATATAAGTATGGTTTCAAATGTTTAGACAATGTTCAATATCTACAGGGTACATATCAAAGAAGTAGACATTTACCAGTCTGTTAAGCAGCACTTCAAGGTCAGAATTACTTCCTTTTTGAAATTCCTTAATAAGAGGCAAGTCACTCTTTGAAGAAAAGTAAAAATTAAAGCAGATTCCTCATAGGCTGACCAAATAATTTATGGTTATAACTGAATCAATTTGAAACTTAACAAAGAGTTTGTGCTTAATAAGTAATCATTTTGCCTCTTAATTAGTATAAGCCAGTGTAGAACTGGGAGTTTATAAAGAAACCACTAATGAAAACCCATCCTTAATGCTGGTGAGTTCTCTCATTTTATTCCATTCTCTTCTTAAGGAGTTGAGTTACCTCATTTGGTCTCAGACGCTAGTTCACAGAGTAAAGCATACATATGGTGCGGGAAATCTACAGTTTGACACATTTGGTAACACTTTCCACCCACATTTGTTTCAGTGATATCTCTCAGCCTCCATTGACCTACTCTTCCTCCTGAGTATTCATATTTACATTACTTTACTTATTAGTCGTTCATTCCCAGGGTGATTTTTTTTTACCTAAAATTATAAAATGTCACATAAAACAACTATATTTTTGATAATCAGAATTTATTCATTAAGTTGTTATGAAAGCCATTTATATGCCAAATATTAGGGTTAAACTTTGGAACTGCAAATCTAAGAAGGCATCGTTTACACCTTCCAGAGTTAGCAGTTGGTGATCCTGAAGATTTTAGTGAGTTGTGAAAGCCATTTAGAGAACTAGCTAATAAATATGGATGCCATCCATAATACTAACTTATAATCAAATCTGCCTATGGCTGTTAACTGGTTGTGTTCCATTGAACACTAGATCTCATAGTTTATTCCTAGAAGAAGAGATTCATGGTCAGATAAGCTGAGGAAATTGACTATGACTTTTCTTGATTTAGACTTCCAGTTACAATTTAAACACATGAAGAGCTTAAAAGTCATCACTCCCATTCCTACAGGAAGAAAACAGCAAATAAGCTAAAAATTAATGACTTTTTTGGACCCATCACTAAATTGCAGTCTCAAGGCAAACCAGAACCCTAAAGTCTGAAAAGACAGGCAAAACGGAGAATCACAGAGGATATAACTGACCTGGAATAAATGTTTCTGGAACTCTTCTAATACTGATGGAAAGATTTAAGCAGTTAGTATGATGAAATGCTGGAAACTAGTGAGAACTCCTCCTTATTGCCATATTCTTAAGAGCATTTTGTGGGTTTAACTCACAAGATATCTCACCAGATTCTCAAGTTGAAGAGCCAAGGAAAAACCCTCATGCCTTTGGCAGTGAAAGTGAAAAAGTAATTATTTTGAAACATCCCTAGAACATTCTCCATAACAAATTATTACTCTTCAGGGCAAAAGTCTTTACTAGAGCCTTATTTCAGCTAGAGGGAAGGTCAATTACCCACCATCAGCCCCTTCTAGCCTTCCTGTCTCATAACAGAGAGAGAGGAAAAAGAAAACACTAAAAAAACAACTTGTAAAAATTACAGTCCAGGTACACATATAATCTTATGATTATATAACACTTCCCCTCTCACACGTTTTTTTCCAACAAATAAACAGTATAATAATGGCAGATGAAACTGAAAGAGCTGCAAGATACAGGCTCTGTTTAGGAAGAAGTACTTGGGAGATCCCATAGACAAAAGGGGAGACAAAAACAGGTCACTAGTGGATATTGATTCCAGAGGAACCGATAACTAAAGCAAACATTAAACACAGCCCAGTCCCCAGCCAGACTGAAATAAAAATGCAGATATTGACTTTTTACCTCATATATCATGTCATGTCCAGCTTTCAACAGAAATTTCAAAGCCTGCTAAAAGACAATAAAAATACTGTCTGAAGAGACAGGGCAAGCATTAGTGTACACATGTACCCTAGAACTTAAAGTATATTTTTAAAAAAGAACTAGACTTAGATATGACATATAATTTGGAATTATCCAATAGAAATTTATATAGAAAAGTAACTATGATTAATATGTTGGGGCTGTAGTGAAAATAGTGGCTACATGCAAGAACAGATGGGTAATGTAAGCAGAAAGATGGAAACTCTCAAAAAGAATAAAAAGAAAATAGCCAAATGCAAAGAATACTGACTCAAAATTGAAGAATGCCTTTGATAAGCTCATCAGTAGACTGGACACGGCCAAGGAAAGAATCAGTGGATTTAAAATGTCAGTAGAAACTTCCCAAACTGATATACAAAGAGGAAAAAAAGGAAAAAGAAAACGGAACAGAATATCCAAGAACTCTAAGACATATGGTATATCATATGCTTAATTAGAATTGAAATTGTATAAGGTATACCATATGCTTAATTGGAACACCAAAAGAAGAAAGAGAGAACAGAGTGGAAGAAATATTTAAAGAAATAATAACCAAAATTTTTCCAAAATTAATGGTATACACCAAACCACCAATTCAGAAAGTATACAGAACACCATGTATGATAAAAACCAAATAATTTTTACCTAAGCATATTAAATTCAAATTTCAGAAAACCAGAGATCAAGAGAAAGCTTGAAAAAAGCCAGAAAAGCAAAGCAGCTTATCTAGAGAGGGAAAGGAATAAAACATTGCCTAGGACTTCTCATCATAAACCATGAAAACAAGAACAGCGTGAAATGAAGTACTTCAAGGATTGAAACAAGAAGAAGAAGAAGAAGAAAAACACCATCTAAACATCCATATCCAGTAAAATTATCCTTCAAAAATTATGGAGAAATATTTTCTCAGATAAATAAACTGAAGGAATTCATTGCCAGCAGAATTAAGAGGCAAGACATGTTAAAAGTTCTTCAAAGATAAGGAAGATGATACAGATCAAAAACTGGGATTCACATAAATAATGGAAGAGCAACAGAGATGGAGTATGTTCAGGTAAAATAAATTTTAAAAGAAAGTTTAAATCATCTATTTGATAACTGCTTGATTAAAGTAATAATAGTGATGGTGTATTTGACAACTCTAGCATATGGATAACTGAAATGAATGACAATATTATAAAAGATAGAAGGAAAAATTTAGCATTCTTTGTCCTTACATGCACTAGGCATGAAGCAGTATAGTGATACTTGAAAGTAGGCTCAGATTCATTGTAAATGTATAGTATAAGATACAAGGAACCAATAAAAATTAAAATAAAAAATTATAATGATAATGGTAAGTAAAGACAAGAAGGAAATTATACAAAAAGTTCCATTAAAAATAAGGAAGGCAGATGGTAGAGGGGAGGAATTAAGAACAAGTAAAACAAATAGCAAGCAATAAATATTAACCCAACTATAGAATAATCCTTTAAAATGTGAATGGGTTGAATGCATCGATTAAAAGACAGAGATTGTCAGAGAAGATTAAAAAAAAACAGACTCAAATATATACTGACTCAAAAATCCTATTTTAAATATAAAGAAACAGGATGAATTAAATGGATTGAGAAAGATATACCATGATAACACTAATCAAAAGACAAATTGAATGGCTATGTTAATTTCAGACAAAGCAGACTTTGTTACAAAGCAAATTTCCAGGGATGAAGAAGGGTATCACACAATTCCAAGGAAACATAATACCCTGCAACAGATACTCTCCAAACAAGAATGCCTCAAAATACATAAAGTAAAAACTAAACTATCTGCAAGAAAAGATAGAGAAACCCACTATTAACTTCCACACCCCTATTTTAGTAATGGGTACATCAAGCAGAAGAAAATCAGTTAAAGACATAGTTGGTCCCAATAACACTGTCAATTAACTTTATCTAAATGACATTTAGAAAATACTCTATTCGACTACATCAGAATACACATTTTTCTTAAACTCAGATGGAACATTCCCCCAGATAGATTACATTCTGGGCCACACAAATCACCTTAAAAACTAAAAAGAATATAAATAACATGTGCAATCATACCATATTTAAATTAAAACAGAAATCATTAATAGAAAGATACCTGTAATGTCCTCAAATATTTGGAGATTTAACAACACACTTTAAATAATACACAGATAAAAGAAGTCTCCAAAGACATTCAAAAATAAAGTAAAAAGAAAAACAGCTTGTCAGAATTTGTGGATGCAGTGAAAGCTGTGCTGTGGGAAATGTATGCCATTAAATGCATATTTTAGAAAAAAAGAAATATTTAAGATTAGTAATATGGGCTTTGTTCTTTAAAATTAATGAAAGAGGTGATACTAATGACTAAAGCAAGCAGAACAAAGTTAATAAAATTTGGAGCAGAAATGAAGAAGTTGAGAACAGAAAACACTGGAGAAAGTGACCAAAAGCAAAAACAACTTTTTTGAAAAGATCAATAATATTGATAAAGCTCTAGCCAAGCTATCCAAGAATAAAATAGAAAACACACAAACTGCAGCATCAGAAACGAAAGGGCAGAGTTTAGAATGAATGATCCCCAGAATATTAAATAAATAATAAAGGATAACTGTGCATGATTATATGCCCACAAATTTGGAGATTTAGATGAAAGGAACACAATCATTGGAAAACAAAAGTTACTAAGACTCATACTAGAAGAAATAAATCATCTGAATAGATGTTTTGTTAATTTAAAAATTTGAATCAATTATTAAAACTACCAAAAAAAAAAAAACCAGGCCAAGATGATTTCATTACAAATTATATCAAACATTTAAGGAGGAAATTACACTTATGAAATTTTCCAAAACATAGATGCAGAGGAAACACTTCTTAACTCACTCTGTGAGACTAGAATTACCCTAATATTAAACCAGATAAAGATAGTATGTGAAATAAAAACTACATAAACAGTGATGCAAAAATCCTCCTCAAAAATAAGCAAATTGAGTTCAACAACGTATAAATTATTCACCATGAGCAAGTGAGATTCCAAGCTGGTTCACCATTTGAAATTTAGTTAATGTAATTAAACAGGAAGAAACATTATATGATCATATGATTGCATATAGGAAAACTATTTGCTAAAACCCAACATACACTCAAAATAAAAACTCTTGACATGCTAGGAATAGAGAGGAACTTTCTCATTTTGATAAAGGGCATCTATAAAATACCTAGATCTAATATACTTAATAGTAACAAACTGTACATTTTTCCCTTAAGACCAGGTATAAGGCAAATATATTCCCATTTATCAAACTTCTATTCAACATTATATTGGAGTTATAGCCAGTGAGGTAAGATAAGGAAATAACAAGTATACATACTGGGAAGGAAGAAACAAAATTGTGTCCTTTATACATGAAATAATTGTCTGGAAAATTTCAAAGAACCACCACCAACAAACTCTTAGAACTGACAGAGAATTATAGCAAAGTTGTAGGATACAAACTTAATATAAAAGTCAAATGCTTTGCAAAGTACCAGCAACAAACAAATGACATTTAAAATTAAGACAAAATACTGTTTACAATAGCACCAAAAATTGAAGTATTTATTTATAAATCTAATAAAACATGTACAATTTTTATGTGGAAAATTACAAACCTACAAACCTTGGATTTTAAAAAATCATCAAATCTAAATAATGAAGAGATGCTCCATGCTCATGGATTGGAAGACTCAGTATTTTTAGAATGTCAATTCTTCTGTACTTGATCTGTGTATTCAATATAATCCCATTCAAAATACCAGCTCATATTTTGTAGATATAAACAACCTGATGCTAAATCTATATTAAAAGGCAAAACATTCAGAATAACAAATACAATAACCAAGAGAAAGACATTGGAGGATGCACACTAGCCAGCCTTAAGATGACTTATAAGGCTAACAATGAAGAAAGCATAGTATAAGTTAAAGAATAGAAAAATAGACAAATGAAATAGAAATAGAAAAAAAAGCTCAGTCAGAAACAGACTCACTAAATTATAGTCAAATGATCTTTGACAAAGAAGCAAAGGCAACTCAATGGAGAAAGGATATGTTTTTCAGCAAATAGTAGCCTAACATTCAGACACTCATATGCAAAAATAAAAGTAAACACATTGCACATTTTTCACTATACATATTTTGCTAGACACATTTTATGAAAATTCACTCAAAATGAATGTGGCCTAAATCTAAAATTCTAAATTATAATTTTATTGTAATATATCATAAGATAAATTCTACATGACCTTAGTTTGGTGATGAATTTTTAGACACAATGTGAGCACTATCCATGATAAAAATAGATAAGTTAGACTTTATAACATTTAAAATCTTCTATTCTTTACATTCTGTTTAGAACGATTAAAATAAGATTTTAAACATTGTCAATACCAAATGCTGGTGACAGAGAGCAACAGGATCTTTCATTCATTGCTGGTAGGAATGCAAAATAGTACATCCCATTAGAAAGGTATCTTTCTACAGACTAAACATAGCCTTACCATATGATCCATTAATTGCATACTTAGATATGTGATAATTTAATACACTCATATAATTTGTACAAATCAACTCAGTTCAATTAGGAAATCTATCACTTTAAATATGCTAAAACACTTGAACTATTCTCTTCTAGCTATTTTAAAATATACAATAGATTATTATAAACAATTGTCACCTTGATCTATTAAACATCATGTTGTATTTCTTGTATCAAACTGTACCCATAAATAAACTTCTCTTAATCTCTCCCTCGTCCCCCTACCACCACTTCTCAGCCTCCGATAACAACAAATTTTCTCTCTATCTTCATGAAATGCCCTTTTATATCTCCAACATATGAGTGAGAACATACGGTATTTGTCCTTCTGTGCTTGGCTGATTTCATTTACATAATAACCTCTAGTTCCAACCATATTACTACAAATGACAGGATTTTATTTTTTTCTTATGGCTGAATAATGTTTCATTTTTTATGTATACCACATTTTCATTATCCATTCCGCCATTAATGGACACTTAGGTTGATTCCATATTTTGGCTATTATAAATAGTGCTGCAAAAAACATAAGCATACAGATATACCTTTAACATATTGATTTATTTTCTCTTGAAGATATACCAGCAGTTGAATTGCTGGATCATATGGTAGTTCCATTTTTACTTTTTTAAGAAACCTCTATAGGTATTTTTGTATGACTGTGCTAATTAATATTCCCACTCACGATGTATGGAGATTCTCCTTTCTCCACATCCTTGTCATGACCCATTATTCCTTGTCTTTTTTGATAAAAGCCATTTGACTGCAGTGAGATGATATCTCATTGTGGTTTTGATTTGCATTTCTTTGATAATTAGTGATGCTGAGCATTTTTTCATTTACCAGGTGGTCATTTGTATGATTTCTTCTGAGAAATGTCTACTCAGATCTTTTGCCCATTTTTCAATGGAATCATTTGTATGTTTGCTATTGAGTTCTTTGAGCTCTTTATATATTCTAGTTATTAATCCCTTGTCAGATGGATAGTTTGCAAACATTCCAAACATTCTTTCCCATTCTATGGGTTGTCTCAGCATATTGTTGATTTTTTCCTTTGCTGTCTAGAGACATTTTGGCTTGATATAATCTCATTGGTCTGTTTTTGCTTGGTTGCCTGTACTTCTTAGGTCTTACACAAAAAATTCTTTGCTCAGACCAATGTCTTGAAGAATTACTCCTATGTTTTATGCTAGTAGTTTTATCATTTTTGGTCTTACATTTAGGTCTGATCCCCTTTGAGTTGATGTTTATATTAGGTGAAAGATGGGAGTCTAGTTTTATTCTTCTGCATATGAACATCAGTAGAATAAAACTAGTCATTTATCAAAAAGACTGTCCTTTCGTTAATGAGTGTTCTTGTTACATTTGTCAAAAATCATTCAGCTGCATTATATGGATTAATCTAGGTCCTTTCTTCTGCTCCATTGGACTATGTGTCAGTTTTTATGGCCATACTATGCTGTTTAGGTAACTACAGCTTTGCACTTGTGTGGTGGTATGATTCCTCCAGTTTTGTTCTTTTTGCTCAAGATTGCTTTGTCTATTTGGGATCTTTTGTGGTTTCAAGCAAATTTTAGGATTTTTATTCTGTGTATATGAAGGATGTCACTGGAATTTTGATAGAAATTTTAATGAACCTGTAGATTGCACTGGGTAGTATTGTCATTTTAACAATATTAATTATTTCAATTCATGAGCATGGGATGTCTTTCCATTTGTTTACATCATCTTCCTTTTCTTTCATCAATGTTTTGTAGTTTTCCTTGTAGAGGTCTTTTACCTCCTTGGTTAAATTTATTTATTGGGCTTTTTTAGGTAGCTATTTTTGCTACCAAAAGGGAATTGCCTTCTTGATTTTTTTCAGCAATTTCATTGTTTCTGTATAAAAATGTTACTAATTATTGTATATTAATTTTATATACTCCAACTTTACTGATTTTGTTGATCAATTCTAAGAGATTTTTGGTGAAGTATTCTGGTTTTTCTATATATAAGATTATGCCATCTGTAAACAGGGACAATTTCACTCTCTCCTTACCCAATTTAGATGCCCTTTAATTTTTCTCTTGCCTAACTGCTCTGGCTAGACCTTCCAGTACTATGTCAAATAAAAGTGGTGAAAGTGAGCCTCCTTGTCTTGGTCTAGATCTGAGAGGAAAGACTTCCAATTTTTCCACTTTCATTATGATGTTAGCAGTGGGTTTGTCATATATGACCTTTGTTACTTTTTAGTCTGTTTCTTCTATATCCACATTGGTGAGGGTTTTTAAGGCAAAGTAATTTTAAATTTTATCAAATGCGTTTTAGCATCTATTGAAATGATTATTTGGTTTCTCTCTTTGGTTCTCTTAATGTGATGTATCATATTTAGTAATTTGTTGAGTCATCCTTGAAACCCAGGAATTAATCCCAATTTACCATGATGAATAATCTTTTTAATGTGTTATGAATTTGGTTTGCTAGTATTTTGTTGAAGATATCTGTCTCTATGTTCATCAAAATTATTGGCCTGTGGCTTTTACTGTTGCCGTTATGTTCTTGTTTGGTTTTGGTATAAGGATAATGCTGGCCTTAAAGAACGAGTTTGAGTATTCTCCCTCCTTTTTAATTTATCTAAAGAGTTTGAATAGAATTGGTATTAGTTCTTTAAGTGTTTGTTAGAATTCAGCCATGAAGCCAGCAGGTTCTGGGCTCCCTTTAATGAGATAATTTTTATTAAGGCTCTAATCTCTTTATTATTGTTTTGTTCAGATTTTATGTTTCGTCATGTTTCAATCTCGGTAGGGTGCATGTGTCCAGGAATTTATACATTTCTTCTAGGTTTTCCGATTTGTTGCTATATAGTAGTTCATCATAGTCTCCAATGATTCTTTGTATTTCTGTGGTCCCGGTTATTATGTCTCCTTTTTTCATTTCTGATTTTATTTATTTGGGTCGTCTCCTTTTTTTCTTAGTCTAACTAGAGATTTGTCTTTTCTTTATATTTTCAAAAGAACCAACTTTTCATTTCATTGATCTTCTCTATTTTTGTCTCAATTTCATTTATTTCTGTTCTAATCTTTTTTTTTCCTTTCCTTCTACTAACTTTAGGCTTGGTTTGTTCTTGCTTTTCTAATTCCTTGAGGTGCATTCCTAGGTTTATTTGAAGTCTTCCTACTATCTTGTCATAAAGTGCTTTAAACTTCCCTCATGGTACCACTTTGGCTATATCTCACAGATTTTGGTATGTTGCATTTCAGTTTTAATTTTCCTGCTTAATTTCTTTATTAATTCTGTGTGCATTCAGGAGCATCTTCTTTCATTTGCATGCATTTGTATATTTTCCAAAGTTCATCTTGTTATTGATTTCCTGTCTTATTTCATTGTTGTCAAAAAAAAAAGATACTCAATATAACTTCTACTCTTCAACTTATGAAAGCTTGTTTTATGGCCTAAGATATGATCTATTCTGTAGAATGTTCCATGTACTAACAAAATGAATCTATTCTACAGTGGCTGAGTGAGACATTCTGTAAATGTCATTTAGACCTATTTATTCTCATTTGTTGTTTCTTTGTTGGTTTTTTGCCTGTATAATCTGTTCAAACAAAAAATGAGGAGACAATGGGCTATTTAAATCATCCTCTATTATTGTATTGCAGTATATCTGTTCTTTAAATTTATTAATGTTTGCTTTCTATACTTGAGAGCACTAGTGTTGGATGCATAGATATTTAAAATTGTTATATCCTCTTGCTGAATTGACCCATTTATCATTATATAGTGACCTTTTTCTCTTTTTACATTCTTTGATTTGCAGTCTGTTTTATCTGATATAAGTATCGCTATTCCTGCTCTTTCTTGGTTTCCACTGGCATAAAATATCTTTTTCCACCCTTTCATTTTCAGTATATGTGTGTCTTTATAGTTGAAGTGGATTCCTTGTATGCAGCATATAGTTGGGTCTTACAGTTTATCCATTCAGCCACTCTATAACTTTTAATTGGGGAATTGAGTCCATTTACATTCAGAGTTATTATTGATAAGTAAGGACTGATTAATGCCATTTGTTGCTTATTTTCTGGTTGTTTTGTAATTCAGCTCTTCCTTTCTTACTGTCTGCATTTTTTTAAGCGATTTTCTCTGGTAGTATGTTTTAATTTGTTGCTTGTTACTTTTAGTGAATTTATTAGAGGCTTTTGCATTGTGGTTACCATAAGGCTTACACAAACATCTTATAGATATAGCAAGTTATTTTTAAGCAATTGCAGTTTATCTGATTAGAAAGAGAATAATAGAAACAAATACATAATTAAAAAACCCTCTCTATATCTTAACTTTATCCCCCCCAACATTTTGACTTTATGTTGTTTCAATTTACATATTTTTAATATTTAATGCTTCTTAACAGATTGCTAATACAATTATTACTTTTTATAGATTTATCTTTTGGGCTTTATACTAATGGTATGAGTGGATTGCACACCACAATTATAGTATTACAGTATTCTGGTTTTCTTCATGTATTTATTTTGCCAGTGGGTATTAGACTAAATATGTTCTTTTTTCATGTTAGTGCTTTTATTCCTTTCAGATTGAAGAACTCCCTTTAGCATATCTTATAAGAGGGATCTGGTTGTGAATTCTCTTAGCTTTTGCTTATCTGAGGAAGAGTTTGTCTCTCGTTTATATTTGAAGGATAACTTTGCTGGGATTATGATTTCAACATACAAATTTGGGGGGAACAACATATTCTGTCCATAACAGTCCTTATTTAAGGAATGTTCCTACTGGGCTATATTTGGTCTGTTTAGAATGGCTTATTGTAAGCAAACTTGAAACTAGTAGATTTATAGGGAAATGAAAAATATCACATAAGCCGTGTAACTAAGTATAAAATGTTTATCTCTGTCTTGAACTATTAAAATTAACTTGTGATTTTGTTTGTTGTGATTTGTCTCACTTTGCATCCAGGCTTAGCTGTGCTGATGATTAATTTTACATGTAAAATTGGCTAAGTTATATTGGACAGGTGTTTGTTCAAGCATCAGTCTAGATATTGCTGTAAAGATTTTTTTTCAGTGTGATTTACATTTTTAATCAGTAAATTTTGATTAAGTAGATTTAGTGCCCTAATAGGGGTGAGCTTTATCCAAATCAGTTGAAGGCCTTAAGAGCAAAGATAAGGTTCCCATGAGAAGAAGCAAATCTGCCTTATGACAGAAACATAGAAAGCCTAACTAAATTGCCTTACAGATTTCAGACACAAGTCTGCAACATCACCTCTTACCTTGAATTTCAAACCTGCCAGCCCACCTTACAAATTTCAAACTTGCTAGCCCCCACAATTGCATGAGGCAATTTCTTAAAAATCTCTCTCTTTATTTATCTGGTTATGTCTGTCTGAAGAACTCTAATCCTTCTCCCATGGGCTCCCTGCCATAATATAAGCCAATCATAAAGACTTCAGTGATGTTCCTCCAGAATTTAAATCAAGTTGCTTAAATTACATAAAAGACTTATTTTCATCACATTGCTACCTATTTCTTGACATTTACCTCTGATGATCCCAGCCTTCATGTTATTCTCTACTATTACTGACCTATAAGTGGTTCCCTAAATAAATCAGGTCGTTTTATCTTTACTCTCAATAAGGACTTGATATATATTTATTGGCTATTATTTACTTGACACTTTGTCTACTCCAGAATAGCAAGAAAAGTGAGAAATCATTTGATTTCTAGAGACTCTTAAGGCTATTAAGAGTATTATATTTCTGGAAATATTTATGGACTACAGAGCCAGAAAAGCCTCTATTACAAAAAACTAAAATGCTTCAAAAAAAACGCAGCTTTTTAAAATCACCTCATAACTGAGTTCAGAAGGAAGTACTGAACATTTCCAAGGCTGGAGAAAGAGAAAAACAAACAATCAGAGTTATTAGTAAATGCTAAGGTTTGCCTTCCTTGGGGATACGTGCCAATTACTGTACCTAGGGAATGTGGAAACGGGGGGTTATACAATGCAGGAGAAGGCCTTGGGCAATTTCGAGAAGGAAGTTGTAATTGAGATCTTTACATAAATCCAGGTCATGTGAATAAAGTCATATTTAGAGAAGGGCTGGACTGAAAAAAAAGGTATCATTAGAAATGGGAGATGAAAAAAAAAAAGCCTTTCTTGGCTTTGGTCTGAGTGCTAATTTTGTTTTTTTAAAGTTATTTCTCAAGCATATGCAAATACTCTTATTTGTGTTAGCTTCCCATTCATATCAGAGCCCTTAAAATGAGAAAATCCCCTAAGAAAATTGTTTCTCTTACTAATGTTCCAGGACACCTAATGGAAACAAATGTAAAAACATCTCTAGAGGGATGGAAGCCAGGGCTCACTATATTTGCAAGATGAAGCTTTGAGGAATTCATAGTCTCAACATGAATTAAACATTAACCAGAGAGTGCAAGTGCTTGTAGCAGAATTATTCATGACAAAAAGTCAGATGACCATCTCAGATAAATATTATGTAAAAGCACATTTGCTATGACAAAATAAATATAAGATGGAATTAAAATTTTTGAATGAAAAAACAACAAATAGCCAGGAAGATGTGAAAATAACCTTAAAAAATTAAAAATGGCAAAAACGGAGAAGCCATTGAAATTGAAACTTCAATGGATACTTTAAACAGAAAAATAAACAAGCAAAATGTAGATAGGTGTAAAACAAGAGAAGGGGTAAGAGATATTGGAAAAAGAATAAGATATGCTTTATATAATGGGAGTTACAAACTGAAAGAATGTAGATACTTAAAATGGATGCTATTTTTATAGAAATCTTAGCGTCTTTACTAGAACTATTGGAAGATATGCACCCTCAGGTTTAAGATTCTTACAAAATCATTAGATATGTTGTAGTAAAACAACAAAATATGGTAAGTTGTCCCTTGGTCGTCACACGTGGGGGACTGTTCTAGGACCCTTGTGTATACCAGAATCCACCACAAGCAAGTCCAGTACTCAACACTGCTGAACGTGTGCATACAAAAAGTTGGCCTTCTATATCTGTGAGCTTCACATCCTGGGAATATAAAAGATCAGATATAAGTGCATAAGTGGACTCGCAGAGTTCAAACCCATTTTGTTTCAGGGTCAATTGTATTTATAAAAATAGAAAAAAAAAAGATTGCCAACAAAGAAACAGATTGATTGACAGCAGATTTCTCCATAGCAAAAAGAAGGCACAGAAATAATACATTCAAAGAACTCAAGGTTAAATTAGTATTTAATGATAAAGGCAAAATAAATGCACCTATACACAAATAAAATTTTTCAAAATCACTTTAGAAAACTGGTAATATATATAATAAATCAAAACATAAGCAAATCCAAAGGTGCAGCAATTCCATTCCTATTTACATACTCAAAAAAATGTGTTTACACACATAATCCCAAAAGATATGTGTAAGAAAGTTCATAACAGGTTTAGTTTTGTAGTGAACATTAGTTGTAAACTGTTTCAGAATTGATAAATTATGGAATATTATTTTTATAATATTTTATAGAGATAGCTCTTTCTATAATCCACAATGTGAATTAATCTCAAATAAACTAACAAATGAAAGAAGACAGACACAAAAAGTACATAGTATATGAATTTGAAAACATAAACAATTATTAATGTTTATCTTTGAAGAAAAGGGAAATAATTACTGGAAGTTGAGACAACATGATACCCCAGGTTCTGGC
Source organism: Homo sapiens (assembly GCF_000001405.40). Classification (NCBI taxonomy): domain Eukaryota; kingdom Metazoa; phylum Chordata; class Mammalia; order Primates; family Hominidae; genus Homo; species Homo sapiens. The sequence continues at coordinate 141,334,340 of NC_000006.12, read as the reverse complement.
AGTATTCGATTTCTTAATTTAGGTGGTGATTATACAATTCACATGCTGTGAAAAGTCATCAAGTTGTTCATTTAGGATCTGTGCATATTTCTGTAAAATATAAATAATTTCAAAAGTTTTATTTAAAAAACTGTAGAAGGATAAAAAGATGCATTCCAACACAAGAAAGCATTGAAAAAGTACTCAGCCTCACTGGTAGGAGAAGAAATATATTTTATTCAATGCCAAACAATGTTATGTGTCATTGAAGAATAATGGAAAAGACATGAGTGGTGAAATGTATTTTTCAGCAACAGTTATTAAGTACTCAGGCACTCTACTAGGAGCAGGAGATGCAATAGTGAATGCTCCGAAATCAGTCAGTCCCACTTCTTTGTACCTATCTGTCAATCAAGATTTGTTACTGAGCCCATATACCATTCACAGTAATTCTCTTAGAAAATTATCCAAGTGTTATATGCTTCTTAACTCAGTTATCTATGCAGAACTCTTAGCCAGGTAATATTATACTCATTTTACTGATGAGGACATTGAGGCTCAAAAGATTGTGGGATATTCCTAAGATTAACTAGTTACCAAGTAGCAAAGACAAATTTTGAATCTAAATCTTACTGGTTGACCTAACTGCTCTGCAGATTATAAATTATAGAATGTTTCCTCCACATCAGGTACACACTGAATGTTCTACATACCAGTATATTTTATTTTTCTATTTATGTTTCTATTTGTATGCCTATATGTAACAGAGCTATACATATAGAAGTACAATAAAAAATGAATAAGGTAATGATAAGTAAAATATTTAAAATAATTATTATTTCTAGCTACAGGAGAATATGTTTAGCGATGAGCACATGAATGATTTGAAAGGAACTGATGCTGTGCTGTCTCTTAAGATGCATAACAAATACACATCTTAAATTTTTTTGGGATATGTATACAACCTTCATTTAAGAAATTACTTATAAAACATTAATGTCAATGCAAGAATTTTTAAAACAATAATTTAGATGTAACACACAAATTTATAATCATTGTAGGCAGCCAAAGATGCTACATTCCCAAAATGAGACAATTAAATAGAAAATGGAAAGTGAAAGATTAGTTCAAAATATATTAAAATGTAGACTTGAAAAGTTTCAATGGCTTACTAAACATGGAACATGAGAAAAATGTAATGTTTGTCATTTTACAGCAAGACAGTTGCTTGAGAAAATAGGCAAACGTTATTGCTTTTTATTAAAGCAGGGGCTCACTACCTTCACTGGGCATCAGAATCACCTAAATAACTTGTTAAAATACAAATGGATGGACCCTACCCTAGATTTTCTCATGCGTTTTTTTTGTTCTAGAATGGGGCCAAAAAGTTTCTATTTCTAAGTTTACACATGTTGCTGGCCCACAGGTCACACTTGGGAAGATATATCTTTGTAAAGTAATGAACAGATTTGAAGATTTGTACATGATGTACAACATTTCTGTTTATCTAAAAAACCCACATTTTTGTTTTTATTATCCACCTAGAATTTTCTACTCAAATCAAAAGAATTTTTCCTGAGAAGTAGGTCAAAAAGAGCCTCCCAGTCTTTATTTGCTTTATATCCTCCCTTTGAATATTCCCTGCCTTGATAAAAAATCTCTCTTCTCTTTTCTTTGATGGATATAATGTTCTCTTAGTTTATTTCTTGCCAGATCTTTTAACTCCCTTTTCACTCTGTAGTCCTATGAATCCTCACTTCTTTCCTAGAGGCCCTATCTTTTTACTCTGCAGAAGTTTTTAGGAACTCTAATCTATTCCCATGGCTGCAATTAGATTTATACAAAAATGTATTAATCTTGTCAATGATATTGAGGCATCTCATGTCCAGTTTCTAATTTCCAAGGGAGAGATGCTGAAAATCCTGTCTAATGAATCTATCTATATGAGGTTCCTTCTATTACCCTGTTCTACAGAGCAAAGTTGCTATATTCACCTTCACAACATTCAAAATAATATTTAAATTTTATTCTAAAATTTAAAAATAAAATTTTAAAATTGATTCTGTTTAAATATTAAAAATAATGCTAAATAGCATTAAACCAATTATATAATATAGAAGTATAAATATTGTATTAATATCTTCTTCATTTCCAGACTTTGAATTTCCTTCAACTGGGAATCATTATCTTTTGGTTAAACAAAAATTACCCAAGAAGGGTGAGTGAGAAATACATATTTAGACTTATGAGACTTAAAGTGGAAAACACTACAGATAAAGAAGATATGTTATTTTATTATTTTTAATAAAAAATTATTTTCTCAATATCTGTGGAAAATAAAATGTTTAGAAATTAAAAGGAGTAAGAAAAAATGTTTTCTACAAAGAAATAAAAACTGACAGTAGAATGTCTACAGCAAGTGTAGAGGATAATGGAACAAGATACAGAAAATACTGAGAAAAAAATACTGTCAGCTAAGAGGTGTAATCTCAGCTACATATCATTTACCATGTGGAACAAATTACAGACATTTTTCCAACAAAAATATTATCATCATTAAAGATAGTTCTAAAATGTACATCAGAAAGAAGAAAAATGATCATAGTAAAAGAACCTGAGATACTAAATGGTTATTTTTTAAATGGTAAATTTGTGGAGAGAGATGTATATATGCATATATATATGCGTATATATATGCATATATATGTGTATATATATGCATATATATGTGTATATATGCATATATATGTGTATATATATGCATATATGTGTATATATATGCATATACGTGTATATATATGCATATACGTGTATATATATGCATATATATGTGTATATATATGTGTGTGTATAACCAAAACTGATTTTATAATAATAAAATAGTTTTTGTACTGTGGAGTTATTTTAATGAACAACACACTAAATGTGGCATTCTGATTCAAATAATTCTAAAGTATTTGGCTGGGGAAAGGGGAAGAATGTCTATAGGAATCTTAAATATAAATAAGGTAATTTTAAACGTAATCACTAAGTTAACAGAAATCGATCTCATAATGAGGAGAAAGATAAAAGAGGAAACCATTAAAAAAATCTGAATGAATCCGATAGAAAGAAAGAAACATGAAGCATGAAGAGGGCAAGTGAGAGAAATGTGGGAGAAATAAAATGTGAAAATAGAATAAAAGAAATCCACATATATTCACCAACATTCCTTTAATAAATAGCTTCAATAGAGCCCAAAGTAGAAAGATAAGTTGAGAAATTCATAATAATGGTGAGTGTTTATGTTATTTCTCTTGGTTAGTCAAATGTCAAGCAGACCAATAGCAACATACACAATAGACAGACATAGTTTTTCTCTATCCCTCTCTCTCTCTTTCAAACACAAAAACACATGTCATTACATATTTCTTTTGGTATCATGGTGCACTCTAGAATATTGATCACATTCTAAATCATAAAGCAGGCATATTTTGAGGACTTGGTAGAATACATATCACGTTTACTGGCCATGACAACTTTAAATATAATGAATAGAAAAAAAATTATAAGAGCTTATACAATTTACATTTTAATAAAACACACATCTAAATAATTTGTAAGTCAAGTCATAATGGGTTTGAATATAAAAATACACTTAGAATGGAGTGATAAAAATACTATACACAAAAATGCATGTTAATGCAGCTACAGAAATATTTACAGATAAATAGATACATACTGTTGAATACCTTCATTAAAAAGAAAGGTTAAACATGAATAAGCTGGTATCTAACTTAAAGAGTTGGCATACTAAAATGAAACAAAGAGATAATTCACATAATATGGAAGGATAGAAATAAGAGCACAAATAAGTGAAACACAATTATCATTAAAAACATCAATGATATTAAAATGTTATTGTCTGGAAAGAATAATAACACTGAGCAACCTATCATTTATATGACCAACTGACAAAGTACAAAGCAGAAGATAAATACTGGAAATACTTTTTAAAGTTTAAAATATATTATCATAAAAAAGATAGCAATATAATATAAATAACTACATTTCAATATATTATAAAATGGGTAAAATATTAAAGATTTGAGAAAATGTAAATAACCAAAATATGCTCATGAAAAAAGGTAGGATATCTGAATTGTAGTATTGGGTTTAAAATCTCCCCCCCCACACAAAAAAAGCCTAGATCATTTTAAATTCAAATTCTATTAAATTTTCAAGAAGCAAGTACTTTTAATCTTACGTACAGCAAAGTAAACACTCTCCAACTTACATGTTGCTAACATCCTCGGCACCTACATCAGACAAGGACACTCATAAATATAGATGAAAATACTTAACAAATATTAACAAACTGAATATTTCCATAAATATACAACGTGGTACATCATGGTCGGTTAGTTTATTTCAGATAAGCAAGGTTTATTCAGCATTAGAAAATGTGTTCATGATAATAATATGGAGAGACAAATATTTAAAACTTTTTAAACACAGAATTAAAAAAAAAGATGATAAACCAGGAAAAGGTGTTGCAAAAAGTTAACTGAAAAAGATTTATATTCTTTATATAATTTCATAAATGAAGAATAAAAAGACAAACCAATAGAACTAAGTCTCAAGTCATAAAATGCATAAATATTAAATACTACTATACTAAGATATCTTTTTTGTGTGTGTATATATATACTGAATACTAAATGCTACTATACTAAGGTATCTTTTGTGTAAGGTATCTTACAAAAGATATCTTAGCATAGTAGTATTTAGGGAAAATCTAAATAAAATAAAATACCATTTTATGTTTACCACATTGGCAGATCTTAAAATATGTGTCTCTGAGGAGAACAAGGGAGAAGGAAAAACTAGAGTTGTCTGTATTATTTTTGTCACTTTTCTGTAAATTTAGGACTATCCTAAAATAAAAAGCTTATTTAAAGAAAACTAGTAATTAAAACAATGCCTGGTATATAAAAGGCATTCAATAAATATTGTTGCATGAAGAAATGTGATATTGAGGATGTGGCACAACATTCACTAACACAAATGTATTAGTAGTGTAAATTGATGCAAAAAGTTTTGAAAAATAAAGTTAATTATTTCCAATAAACTAAATACTTGTATGTTTAAATTCTACCCCAAGGGTGATGATATTTGGAAATTGGGGGAACTTTGGGAAGCGATTAGGTCATGAGTGTAGAACATTCATTAGTGACATTAGTGCCTTTATAATTTCACCTTCTAGATGTGTCTGTGTCCTCTTGTGGTGGAAGGAGTGAGAGTTTGCTCTGGGGCTACAGGCTCAATTTTTATGTCTTTTCAAAAGAAAATTGGGATTTTGGTCAGTGATTGGTCCATGGAGGTAGAACCCTCATGAATGATATTAATGCCTTATATTTATTTTTATTATTGTAAATTGACAACTTATAATTGTATAAATTTATGGGGTACAATGTGATGTTGTAATTTATGGATACAATGTGGGATAATGAAATCAAGCTAGTTAACATATCTATCACCTCAAATACTTAAGTTTTTTGTGAGTAGAACATTTAAAATTTACTCCCTTAACAATTTTGAAATGTGCGATGTTATTGACTATGTTTATTGTGCTGTGCACTAGAACTCTAAAAATGGAAAACATATTCCTCCTGCTTCACCAAAATTTCATATCCTTTGACAGTCATAAACCCATTATCCCCACACCCCAACATCTATAACCACCATTCCATTCTCTGCCTCTATGAGTTTGATTGTTTTGGATACCACATATAAGTGAGAACATGCAATAGTGGTCTTTATGTGCCTGACTGATTTTGCTTAGAACAATGTTCTCCAATTTTATCCATGTTATTGTAAATGATAGAACTTCCTTCTTTTTTAAGGCTGAATAGTATTCCATAGCGAATCTATACCAAATGCTCTTTATTCATTTATCTATTTTGTTTTTGAGATGGAGTCTCACTGTCACCAGGCTAGAGTGCAGTGGTGCGATCTCAGCTCACTGCAACCTCTGCCTCCTGAGTTCAAGCAATTCTCCTGCCTCAGCCTCCTGAGTAGCTGGAACTACAGGCACACACCACCACGCCCAGCTAATTTTTGTATTTTTAGTAGAGACGGGGTTTCACCATGTTGGTCAGGATGGTCTCAATCTCATGAACTCATGATCCACCCGCCTTGGCCCCCCAAAGTGTTGGGATTACAGGTGTGAGCCACCGCTACTGGCCTTTATCCATTTATCTATTAATGGACTCTTAGGTTGATTACTTTCCTTGGCTGTTGCAAGCAGTGCTGCAGTAAACCTGAGAGTGTAGGCATCTCTTTGACAAATTGATTTCAAATATTTTAGGTAAACCAGAAGTGGGTTTGCTGGATCATGTAATAATTCTATTTTTTTTGTGTGTGAAAACTCCATAGTGCTTTCCATAATAACTGTACTAATTTACATTCCCACCAACAGTGTAGACGGGTTCCCTTTTCTTCACATCCTCACTAACACTTCTTACCTTTTGTCATTATGATAAAAGCCATTCTGATAGAAGTATGATTATATCTCACTGTAATTTTAATTTGCATTTTCCTAGTGTTTAGATTAACAATTACGTCAACATAGTTGTTTCCTTTGCTGTGCAGAAGCTGCTTAGTTTGATGTAATCCCATTTGTCTATTTTTGCTTTTGTTACCAACATTTTTGGAGTCAAATACAAAATATTGCTCAGACCAATGTCGTGTAGTTTTTCCCCTGTTTTTTTTCTAGTACTTTTAGAGTTTTTGGTTTTATGTTTAAGTCTTTAATTCATCTTGAGTTGATTTTTTATATAGTGTGAGGTAAAGGTCTAATTTCTTTCTTCTGCCTATGGAAGTCATATTTTTTCAAGACAATTTATTAAAGAGACTGTCCTTTTTCAATAGCGTATTTTTGGCACCTTTGTTGAAAGTCAGCTGATCCTACATGGGTGGGTTCATTTCTGGGCTCTTTATTCTGTTCCACTGGTCAGTGTGTATTTTTTTTTCCAATACCATGTTGGTTGTTTTAATTACTATGGCTTTATAGCATAGTCTGAAATCTAGTAATGTAATAACTCTTTGTTCTTTTTCTCACAAGTGCCTTGGCTATTCCAGGGTGTGTGTGTGTGTGTGTGTGTGTGTGTGTGTTTGTGTGTGTGGTTCCATAGTGCCTTTTGAAAAGGCCCCAAAGAGACCACTAACCCCTTTCATCATGTGAGGACACAGCTAGAAGGCACCATCTATAAACCTGAAAGTGAACTCTAACCAGACTTTAAATTTACCTTTCCCATGATCTTAGGCTTCCCAGCATCCAGAACTGTAAAAAATAAATGTATGTTATTTGTAAGCTACCCAGCTTTTGTTTTTCTTTTAACAGCAGCCTGAACATACTAAGATAATATCCAATAAAGTTAAACATGTGCATACCTTAATAAGCTAATTTTAATGTGTGTTCCTTGAAATTGTCAGGATACACAGATGCAAAACGTATTCTTACCCAGTTTCACTTTCTCCAGTTTAAGTTTACCACAGTCAACTGCAGTTTGAAATTTTTAAATAGAAAATTCAATAAATAAACAATTTGTAAGTTTTAAATTGTGTGTCATTCTGAATACCCTGAAGAAACACTGTACCATGTGATGATTCATGTCGTGGGTGTTTTGTCCCACCCGAGACATGAGTCATTCTTTCATTTAGTGTATCCATGCTGCGTACATTACTTGCCTATTAGTCATCCGCATCATCAACATCATCACAGCTCGATGATGCAGGATCACTCAAAGCAAATGATCTCTTTGTGACTATTGTAAGAAGGTGACTGGTAACCTAATGCTACAATGCCTACCTCATTCACCTCACTTCATCACATCACATAGGCATTGTGTCATCTCACATCATAACAAGGAAATATCTTATTATACTACACATCTAAGTGTGCAGTACGACAAGATATTTTGAAAAAGAGAAAGAGACCCCGTTCCCATAACATTTATTCATGTATATAATTATTCTATTTTTATTATTGTTCATCTTTTATTGTGCCTAATGTATAAATTAAACTTTATCATAGATATGTATCTACAGGAAAAAGAGTATATATAGGATTTAATACTATCTACAGTTCAGGCATCCACTGGCGGTCTTGGCAGGTATTCCCCATGGATAAGGGGGGAAGATACTGTATATAAAATTATAGATATAGATATAAATTTGTATGTATATGTATACCTTGGATTTTATATATTGTATATTATGAATATATAATATATACAGTCTTGCATAAAACTTAGTAAAATAATATATTCCAAATAAATCATAAATTGCATATTCTTATAAGCAGCATAGTACATTAATAACTTTTGGTATGTTCAAAGTATATGTTGGATTGCATGGAATAATGAAATACAGGAGCATGCTTCAGTATGTATGAATGATTTCACCAAAAATTAATCAATAATATAACCAGTACAAAACATTATTATAATATTTTTATAAACAGGTAAATGTGAATAATACATTATGTAGAAATACATTTGAGTCTGGTAAGCTGATATTAAAAAGCATGAAAATAATTATTTTGGTATATTGGTCATCTAAAGGTGGAGAGATGAGGTTATAATATTTATAAAAGCAAAGAATGAAATTTAAAATGTTTGTCAGTGTCCTATTTTTTAAGCTGTGTGTGGGGCGCGGACACAGGTATTTATTTTTATACAAACATGTATATTTCAAAATATGTTCATATATTCATAAGTATATATGATATTTTTCACAATTAAGATTGACATATTTAGCAACAAAGGATAATTTTTTATATAATTATGTCCCATGCAATATGTAGGTTACATTTATAGCAGTAATTTATTCATTGGTTATGCTAAATTCAAATGTAATGGAGCATTTTGCATTTTATGGTAACTCTACTCCCAGTAAATATTATACAAAAATCAATTAACTTTAGTTTATTGATCTTGTACGTGGTAACCTGATGAACTCTTGACTTATTTCTATTTCCCATTCACTTGATTCACTTTTGTTTTTCAAGATTTCTACCATGAATGTTCATCTCTTCTTTTCCAAATTTTATTCTTCTTATGTTATCTTTAAAGCATTGATTATTTCTGAAAGTACAAACTAAATAGTAATGCCAGATTTGATGACATTGTCTTGTTCTTCATGTGAATGGTAATAATTACTGTTTCAGCAAGAGTAAGATGTGCTTAATGAATAGAGGTTAAAAGAAAAGAAGCTCATAGTAAATAGCCTGAGTTGAAATGCCAAAGGAGACTCTATTGTAATGACATGGGCATGATGGTGGACAGCATTTGGGAAATATGCTGGGTGTTATACTGGTTTACCTGTAGTAGGTACTGGTTTACCTGTAGTAGGTACTGGTTTACCTGTAGTAGGTACTGGTTTGAAATTGAGTTGACTTCAAAAGAGGAAAAAAAAGAATATGGAAGTTGTGGTTTTGAATAACTGTCAATTCAAACAAGCATATGTGGTTCTTTTGACCTGTCATTTTTCTTAGTAACTCTGTAAAGAAACTTTAAATAGACAAAACACTTTTACTAGATCCCCATTTGTTTTGTTCTCTACCTGTGTGTTTTATTGCCAAGACTAGCACATATATTGGGAGATAGGGGATTTCATTCCCTGGATGGCTTGTCATGTGAATTGAGAATGTTGTGATTCCACCAGGCAGGGACTACAACTGAACTACTCTCTCTGTTACTTTTGGCCACTAAAAAGTAATGTGCAATAGCACTAGCAATGAATAGGAAGGCACTGCATTTGTATATCACACATTATTCTTTGATATGCAGCTGACTTATGCTTCCTTCATCTAGGATTTATTTATATTGAGTTTATAAATGAGATTTCTTTTCATTTTCTGTCCTTGTTTGGTTTTAGTATGAGAGTTTTAAAAATATTTTAAAATTTATATTGTTCTCCCACAAGATACTATGCTCTGCCACAGTGCAATAGTTGGAAATTTTCTCCTATTTTGAGGGTTGAGTTGGCAGCTGGGTGTGGGGTGGTCCATGGCCACCCAGTATTACAGAGATCTAAACTGTGTTTATCCAGTATTACCGAGCTGTAAATGATTTAATGTTATTGGTTATTTCTGATTTCAGTTAATTAAAATTTAATAAATAAATCCAAAATAGAAATACACATCAATTTTCTTTTTAATTATTATCTGCAAATGTCATTTTAAATTTGGCATTTTACATTAGTATACCCCTTATATACTAGAGTTATATTTCAGAAGCTCCATGAAAATAAATTTTGTAACTACCCTGACAACAAATATATTTGAATGCAGCTGGTACTTCTTCATGTTATTCTCTCTCTGTTTCATCCAAACCTCAGTAGACCACTAAGCAGTTAAGAAGCTGGGTTTGTCAGTTTATTTTCTTACCAAAACTGAAAAAAAAAAGAAAAAAAGGTGAGTTTGTGGAATATATTGTGAACTGAATGTTTAGAATCACATTTTCGAAATATTTTATTTAAATAAATGAGTTTTTTCTTTTCTCCTTCCTTCTATCTCTCTTCTCTCCAGGCCCATTCCTGAAAATTCTAAAAGACTCATATAGAAATATGAAAGAGGATCTCCCTAGAGGAGTAAAAACCTTTGAAAGCTTCTAAACAAAGAACAAACCCTTTGGGCTGAAAACAAGAACATGTAAAAAAAAATTTTTCTCATATACATGACCCCATGAAAGCTTCCATTTGGGAAAAAAATAGCAGAGTTTGCAAGCTGCAAAAAACAATGTTGTGCCCTAAGGATCAGTAACATTATTCCATAGATATAACAGTGCAATCTAATGATGTTTCATTGGCTGAGGGCCTTGTCAATTGATAGCCAGAAGGACAATTTGGTGTTCACTGGCAGACCCTTGGATGGGAATATTAAAAAGAAACCACTAAGAAATCATAAACATATGGAATCATTAAATCAGAATACACTTAAATTTATTTTCTGATTGGTGAATAGTCTTAGGTTAACATAGTTAAAATGCCAACATTACATTCTTTTGTTTAATTTTAATTGTTATTATTACATATTTTGTGTCCTATATTTATATCTATTTATCTTTTATATTCCACCTACATCATGAATAATTTATACTTTTTAAGCCACTTTTTGACTTTGCTCCTTTATTTTGGCTAAAATATTATTCCTTTAGTATTGCTGTAATTTCCCCTAACCCTTCTAGTATCTTGCCATGTAAGTTTCTTATGGTCATTTTCTACAACTCATACACATGTTTAGAAGACTTTACTTGGCTGATTTAAATTCCAGGACCAAGCTAGATCTCCTAAATGATCAAGTTTTACTTTCTACTTTATATTATACATGATTATAAATATAGGGCATAATGGTTTTACGATTGGCCTAAAATAATACTAACTTTTAATGAAAACATTTTAAAAGCTGTTGGAAACATTTTAATAGAAAAATTGTTTCTTAAACTATGCATTTTCATAGCACTAAAAATTGTATTACTCCAGTTTTTGTATTATTTAGGACTCTAGCTACAAAAACAATTAGAGAATTTATTGCCTTATTTCTTTCCCTGAATTTATTTTCAGAAAAAATAATATTTCTCTTAATATTTAATTTCCTTTCATATGAATTACCAATAAAGAGCCGAATAAAGACCTATATAAAAATTATCATGTAATATAACCAGCATGTTTTAGGTAGACTACTCATTTTAGCATTTTTCAACCTTAAGAGAATTATCTAGAAGTGTGTTTTACAGTTCATATGTAATTATTTGAAGTATTGATAGACTTTAGAGGATGCCATTAACTATAGGGCAGAATGCAATGATTTCCAGTCATGACTCATTTCTAAAAACTTCACTAGTTTGATTTAATAAACAGTGGGTGGAATACTCTCTAAATGTTAGTTTGAAAAATGAATGATAAAATTAGCCACTTAAAATGAATTTAAAACGTGGTAGAATAAAAAAAACCACAAGCCCTCCTTCTTCCCAAGTAAACACCAACTCAACAGTAGCACATGAACTAATGCTTTCTTTGAGAATTTCAAAGCCAGTTGAGAGTGCCCACCAAATGAAGGTGAAACCAGCCCCATTGACACTGCTAGAGAAATTCCTGGCACTAATCATAATTCTTCCTCAAGGCACAGCGTGATATGATTGAGAGAGAGAGATCTCTGAGCTCTTGTCTTTTCCCTGGGGAGGAAAAGAGAATACTAGACCATACTTTCAACGTTCTGACTTTTGTCTGAGTGGGGTGCTGGCTGAGGAGCTGGCTTCTATGTTGCCTGATTCTAAGTGCTGAAAGGAAAGTGTGTCAAGTAGGAAGCTGCTGAGAATAAAGATGACAACTTGAGCTAACACGTAATCATTCACCATAGTCCCTTCCCCTATCTGAGAGTAGCACAGTTTAGAGAAGACTCCAGATTCCAGCTTCTCCCTGGGGAAGGAAAGAAAAGACTGAAAGATATGGCTAACACTTAGATTTTAGGGACCTACTCCAGGGACTCGTTGATGTTTTGCCTGAATCTAAGTGTTGATAAGAAAAAGTGCCAGAGTTCAGGATGATGAAAGAAAAAGCAATGTTTTGGATTAGCATGCACTCACTATAGTCCATTCACCAGTTCAGTGCAAAAGTGGGAGAAAACTTCCAACTGTTAATTTTCTTTTGGGGAGGCATAGACTTAAAGCATGTGTCCAATGTTCCAGCTTGTTGTGTGGGCTGCAGTTCAGCTTTTCAAGGGGCTCTCCAAGGTATTTGCTTCTGCTTTGTCTGACTCAGAGCACTTATCGCAGGCATACTCTAGAATCCTGGAGACTGCTGAGAACAAAAGAGATGTAGGCAGATTGTGACAATTTGAGAAAGCCTGAAATACTATAGACAGCACCAAACAGAATACTATTGGAGTAATAAAGCCAGTAAATTCCTCCAACTGAATATGTGCATGCATAGTTCAAGAGAAGATGCATCCACCGAAAAGGGTTGAGAAGCACCCAGAATCTCTAGATGGGCTAGCCAATAAAGTTCTTTCCTTGTATAAAGCCAGTTCATAACTATTAAGGGAGGTTTATTTGTTTGTTTGTTTTCAAAGGCACAGCTTCCAACAAAAAGTCACAAGTCACATGAAGAAAGAGGAAAACCTCGCCCTATCAAAGAAATTTCCAGAAATCAACCCTAAAGAAAAGCTGTATATAAATCACTTGAAAAAACACTCAATATAACTGTCATCAAGATGCTCAATGACCTCATGAAAAAAAATGCATGGAAAAAATTAGAATATCAACGGAGAGGTAGAAAAAATATTTTTTAAAAACAGAAATTTTAGTGCTGAAAAATATAATAACTGGATTGAAAAAAATACTAGAGTTAAACAGCAAACTTGAACAAACAGAAGAAGAAATGAATTTTAAAAACTGGTCAAAAGAGAAAAGAATGAAAAAGAGTGAAGAATGTCTAAGTGATTTATGAGACATTATCAAGCAGACCAATTTATATACCATAAAATTTTCAGAAAGAGAAGAGAGATAAAGAGAATGAGACATAAAGCT